>NC_000003.12:18760000-20010000 GCF_000001405.40 Homo sapiens | reverse complement strand
ATTTTGGTGTAATTTTTAAATTTTCCATTAAAAAAGGAAAAAAAAATCGTTGGTGAGGGAAAGCCATGAAGGCTTCCCAAAATTCAAATAGTTCTAAAAGTATTTATAACGTGGACATTTGTAAATAAAATTTTACTACAGGGATAAGTAGCTGTATCCAATACAGTTGTACGCTTCATGGAATTAAATACAAATAAAGTGGCAAAACATTTCAAATTTATCAGTTTTGCTTGCTTCTTTAATTTTTATTTATATTGCCACGTGTAAATCATGTATGAAGGTTGCTAAAGCCCTTTTGCCTATCACATAGTGCACTATTATTTATCGTTTATCATAGAAGGCTTTCCTTCCTAGAAGTGATTTTTGCATAATTTACAGGATTCAAATTCTACTGGCTAGCATCTTAAAGATATTTACCCTGTTTTCTATGGACATTACATTATTTTCCATTCATTTTTAATTTACATGTATTTCTTCTAATTGTTTTATTTATACAGCTCACATTTTATTTTTAATTTAATATACTTTTTGTATTTTTTTGAGACAGGGTCTCAGTCTGTCACCCAGGCTAGAGTATTGTGGCACTGTCATAGCTCACTGAAACCTCAAAATCCTGGGCTCAAGCAATTCTCCCCGCTCATTCTCCAAGTAGCTGGGACTACAGGTGTGCACCACTATGCCCAGTTAATTTTTAAGTTTTTTGTAGAGAAGGGGTTTCACTATGTTGCCCAGGCTGGTCCCCAACTCCTGGCCTCAAGCAGCCCTCTTACCTCAGCCTCCCAAAGTGTTGAGACTACAGGTGTGAGCCACTGCACCTGGCCAAGTTCATTTTCTCTTAAACCATGTAACATAGCTGTAACTAAGTGATGATATAAACAACTTACCACAACATCTTAGTAAATATGCATTACACAGTTCTCAAATACAGGTCGTTAAAACAATCCTCTCCCATCGATCTGATTGTTTCTTAATTAATTTTACATAGAACACATTTCTCCCTAAGCATTGTAATTTCATGCCTTTATGTAATGTATTTTTATTTGGCATAGTTCTCAGTGTCCTTTTCACTTAGGGCAGAATGAGCAGGCTTTTTTTTCAGTGTCCCCTAGGTACCACCAACTCTTTCACCGTTTACCTCATTTGAGGCTAAAAGCAACCTTGTGCATTTTACAGATAAGAAAGCAGATGCTCAGAGAGATTAAATGACTTGATTGAGGTTATACAGTTAGTAAATGAATTTTTTTTGTTTAAGAGACCTGGTCTCCCTCTGTAACCTAGGTGGAGTACAGTGGCGTGATCACAGCTCACTGCAGCCTCAACCTCCTGGGCTCAAGCATCCTCCAGTGTCAGCATCCTGAGTAGCTGAGATTACAGGTGTGAGCTACAGCGCCCGCCCAGGGACAGTTTTTTTGTTTGGTTGTCTTGTTTGTTTTGAGACAGAGTTTCACTCTTGTTGCCCGGGCTGGAGTGCAATGGCGTGATCTCGGCTCCCTGCAACCTCCACCTCCCGGGTTCACACGATTCTCCTGCCTCAGCCTCCCGAGTAGCTCGGATTACAGACATGAGCCACCACTCCTAGGTAATTTTGTATTTTTAGTAGAGACGGATTTCACCATGTTGGTCAGGCTGGTCTCAAACTCCCGACCTCGTGATCCGCCCTCCTCGGCCTCCCAAAGTGCTGGAATTACAGGCGTGAGCCACCGCGACCAACTTGTTTTTGTTTTTATTCAAAGTCTGAGACCGTAGGAGAAAGATGGCTGTGGAGTCGCACATTACCCAGAAGGAAATTAAGAAGGAGCTTCAGAAGCTGATCCTCACAAGCAGACAGGCCCGCTGCCGCCAGTAACAGCCGCCGCCACCGAATGGTCGAGTTCTCCGGATGAAACATACCGTCCAGCGTGCTGGCGACCTACACTTGGATAGATGCAACCTTGAAAGAACTGAGCTTAGTAAAATAAGTCTATCCAGAGGCTAGAAAGAAGGGCACACATTTCAATTTTATAGGTTTTTACAGATATTAAAAGATCTGGCTATCGAGTTAAGGAGATTGGCAGCGCCACATCTGGCAGAAAGGGGACTGGTGATTCCATGACCCCTGCAGTCACAGAAGTTACAACTAGGAGATTATTCGGACATAACGATTACTCCCACTCCTTCAGGGTTCATGAGGTCGTATTATATTCTATTTCCTATTTCTTTTATTCTCTCTCTCTCTTTTTTTTTTTTTTTTTTGAGACGGATTTTTGCTCTTGTTGCCCAGGCTGGAGTGCAATGGCATGATCTCGGCTCACCACCACCTCCGCCTCCCGGGTTCAAGCGATTCTCCTGCCTCAGCCTCCCAAGTAGCTGGAATTACAGGCATACGCCACCACGCTTGGCTAATTTTGTATTTTTAGCAGAGACGGAGTTTCTCCATGTTGGCCAGGCTGGTCTCGAACTTCTGACCTCAGGTGATCCGACAGCCTCGGCCTCCCTAAGTGCTGGGATCACAGGCGTGAGCCACCGCACCTGGCCTCTATTTACTATTTCTTGAATGTATTTTTCAGTCAGTTACGTAAAGTTACATGCTTTTTCCTCCCCTGAAAAAAAAATCCTAAGTCTACATTTTTCACAACAGAGTCAGTCCTCCATATCTGAAGGTTCTGCATCTGTGAATTCAACCAACTTTGGATAGAAAATATTCCCAAAATACCTCCTAAAATAATAATACTAATAAACCAATACAACAATAAAATAATACAAATAAAAATACAGTATAAGAACTATTTACATAGCATTTACATTGATTATGTATATTCTATCAAGAGATGATTTAAAGTATACAGGAGGGCCCGGGTGCGGTGGCTTACGCCTGTAATCCTAGGACTTTGGGAGGCAGAGCTGGGCGGATCACTTGAGTCAGGAGTTCAAGACGAGCCTGGGCCAACATGGTGAAAACTCATCTCTACTAAAAATACAATATATATACGTGTGTGTGTGTGTGTGTGTGTGTATACGTGTGTGTGTGTGTATACATATATATGTGTGTATATATATGTATATATATATACACACATACGTATATATATTTTAGGCGGGCATCTGTAATCCCAGCTACTTGGGAGGCTGAGGCGAGAGAATTGCTTGAACACAGGAGGCAGAGGTTGCAGTGAGCCCAGATCACACAACTGCACTCCAGCCTGGGCGACAGAGCAAGACTCCGTCTCAAATAAATAAATAAACAAGTATACGGGAGGGCCGATGCAGTAGCTCACACCTGTAATCCTAGCGCTTTGGGAGGCTGAGGCAGGGCGGGTGGATCACATGAGGCCAGGAGTTCAAGACCAGCTTGGCCAACATGGCAAAAACTCATCTCTACTAAAAATGAAAAAATTAGCCAGGCGTGGTGGTGCACGCCTGTAGTTACAGCTACTATGGAGGCAGAGGTGGGAGGATGGCTTGAGCCCAGGAGTTCTAGGCCACTGCACTCCTGGGTGACACAGTGAGGCAACATACAAGGAAGATGCAAATACTACGCCATTTATATCAGGGACCTAAGCATCCTTAGATTTTTGTATCCATGCATGGAGAGGGTGGTCTTGGAACCAAGCCCCACAGATACCTAGGGACGATGTATATTGTTTTGTTTTTCCATATTCAAACTTCCTGTGCATGACCTAGCATTTACTGAAAACATCAGATTTTAGGATGGTATGCAAAATGGGTCCCTACTTGCCTTCAGAAAATGTATTTGTTTATTTGTTTGTTTTTGTTTTTGAACAGTGTCTCGCTCTGTCGCCCAGGCTGGAGTGCAGTGGCTTGATCTTGGCTCACTGCAACCTCCACTTCCCAGGTTCATTCAATTCTCCTGCCTCAGCCTCCCGAGTAGCTGAGATTACAGGTGTGCCATCACGCCCATCTAATTTTTGGGGTACTATTAGTAGAGACAGGGTTCCACCATGTTGGCTGGGCTAGTCCCAAACTCCTGACCTCAAGTGACCCACCTGCCTTGGCCTCCCAAAGTGCTGGGATTATGCGTGAGCCACTGCACAGGGCCAGAAAAGATCTTATATTCAAATTTATATTTGGAAAGATAGATAACATAATTACTATTGGGGCTGGGGTTTGTTGCCCAGGCTGGAGTACAATGGCTTGATCTCAGCTCACCGCAACCTCCACCTCCCGGGTTCAAGTGGGGTGGGAAGACAAAAACATTCTTTTGTTTTCTACTTTGTATCCTTCTGCATTGAACTTAAGAACATGACGATGCATACCTTTTATAATAAAATATATTTCATTATTATTATCATATTGTCATTATAATTAAGTGGGTTAATTTCTTATCTAACTACCAACTATCTATAGAATATCAATAGATACTCAACTGTTGAATATCTATTATGTGTCTGAGATGTTTTAAGTACTTAGAGGCTCCAAGTATTCTTAGTGTCGTAGGCTCCATCCCTCATTACTCTAACACATTAAAAGGTACCCATCTCAAATACAATTTATATATGAACTGAGTTGAAGTTGACTAGTTTTTGTAATGTCACATTTCATAAATATTTATGGCTGGGCACAGTGGCTAATGCCTGTAATCCCAGCACTTTGGGAGGCTGAGGCAGGTAGGTCACCTGAGGTCGGGAGTTCAAGACGAGCCTAACCAACATGGAGAAACACTGTCTCTACTAAAAATACAAAATTAGCCAGGTGTGGTGGTGCATGCCTGTAATCCCAGCTACTTGGGAGGCTGAGGCAGGAGAAACGCTTGAACCCAGGAGGTGGAGGTTGCGGTGAGCCGAGATTGCGCCCTTGTACTCCAGGCTGGGCAACAAGAGCGAAACTCCGTCTCAAAAAAAATAAATTTAAAAAAAAAAATGTATATATAAAGTTATTTATTTATTTATTTTTGAGACAGGGTCTCGATCTGTAGCCCACGCTGGAGTGTCGTGGTGCAATCATGGCTCACTGCAGCTTCCACCTCCCAGGCTCAAGAAATCCTCCCACCTCAGCCTCCTGAGTAGCTCGGACTACAGGCATGCATACCATCACACCTGATTTTCTTTTTTTAATTGTTAATAGAGACGAGGCCTCACTATGTTGCCCAGGCTGGTCTCAAACTCCTGGCCTCAAGTGATCTCCCTGCCTTGGCCTCCCAAAGTGCTGGGATTATAGGTATGAGCCACTGCACCCAGCTAACTTTGATTTTTATCAAGTTTTAAAATATTTTGTAACCAAAGTATTTTTTTTTCTGGTCTCTAACTTTTCATAGGCCCTTGAAAATATCTCATGCCCTAGAAATTGTACATGAAATGGATAAAAATGGCCCCAGGTGCCGAGTACAGTACTAGATGTTTCTGATAGGAAGGCGTATAAAATGATGCCTGCTTTCCAGAAATATATCATCCAGCTCTACATCTTTTCTTTCCTATCCTCGCCCTGTACCTCTTTGTTGTAGTTTTTAAAAAAATTCTGTCCTTACTATCAATTCTTTTTCTTATTCTGCTGGGTTTTGGCATAATCCATTCATTTTCTTGTGAACTCTCTAATTAGAACACAAGTGTTTTAAGGCAGACGAAATGCAGTACAAAAGTAATTACAATCATGCATCATTTAACGATGGGGATACTTTCTGAGAAGTGCATTGTTAGGCAATGTCGCTGTTGTGTGAACGTCATAGAGTGTACTTACACAAACCTAGATGGTGCAGCCTACTAACACCTGGGCTATATGCTATAGCCTATTGCTCCTGGGCTACAAACCTGTACAGTGCGTTACTGTAGTGAATACTGTAGGCAATTGTAACACATGGTAAGTATTTGTGTACCTAAACACAGAAGAGGTACAATAAGACATTGTACAAAGAATAAAAAATGCAACATTTTAAAATAGGGGACTTACCATGAATAAAGCTTGCAGGACTGGAAGTCCCTCTGGGTGTCAGTGAGTGATGAGTGTGAAGGTCTAGCACATTATTGCACACTACTGCAGATGTTATAAACCCAATACACTTAGGTTACACTAACCTTATAAACTATTTTTTCTTCAATAATAAATTGATCTTAGCTTACAGTAACTTTTTACTTTGTAAACGTTTAAATTTTTACAACTTTTTGATTCTTTTGTAACATTTGGCTTAAAAGACAAAAACATTGTACAGCTGTACAAAAAGTACTTGCTTCATATCCTTATTCTAGGGGCTTTTTTCTGTTTTTAATTTTTTGATTAAAATTTTAACTAAAATTTTAAATTATTTATTTATTTATCTTTTGAGATGGAGTCTCACTCTGTCACCCAGGCTGGAGTGCAGTGGCGCCATCTCTGCTCACTGCAGCCTCCGCCTCCTGTCTCCTGGGTTCAAGCAATTCTCCCGCCTCAGCCTCCCAAGTAGCTGGGATTATAGGCATAAGCCACCACGCTCAGCTAATTTTTTGTATTTTTAGTAGAAACGGGGTTTCACCATGTTGGCCAGGCTGGTCTCGAACTCCTGACCTCAGGTGATCCACCCGCCTCGGCCTCCCAAAGTGTTGGGATTACAGGTGTGAGCCATCGCGCCCAGCTAAATTTTATTTTTATTAAAAAATTAAAATTATTTTTAAATTTTAAAACTTTTTAACCTTTTTTTTAAAAAAAAAAACAAAACTAAAATACACACCTTGGCCTACACAGAGTTGGGATTGTGACTGTCTTTCATCTCCACATCTTGTCCCACTGGAAGGTCTTCAGGAGCAATAACACACGGAGTTGTCATCTATGTTAACAATGCCTTCTTCTGGAATACCTCCTGGAGGGCCTGTCTGAGGTTGTTTTACAGTTAATTTTTTTTTTAATATAAGGAGTTCACTCTAAAATAACAATAAAAAGTATACTATCATAAACACATAAGCCAGCCACATAGTAATTTATCATTATCAGGTATTACGTTCTGTACATACTTGTATTTGCTATACTTTTTTTTTTTCTTTTTGAGATGGAGTCTTGCTCTGTCACCCAGGCTGGAGTGCAGTGGCACCATCTCGGCTCACTGCAACCTCCGTCTCCCAGGTTCAAGCAATTCTCCTGCCTCAGCCTCCTGAGTAACTGGGATTACAGGCACCTGCCACCATGCCCAGCTAATTTTTTGTATTTTCAGTAGAGATGGGGTTTCACCATGTTGGCCAGGCTGGTCTTGAACTCCTGACCCCGTGATCAGCCCGCCTCAGCCTCCTAAAGTGCTGGGATTACAGGTGTGAGCCACCGCGCCCGAACTAGTTTTTGTATTTTTAGTAGAGACAGGGTTACACCATGTTGGCCAGGCTGGTCTTGAACTCCTGACCTCAAGTGATCCGCCCACTTCGGCCTCCCAAAGTGTTGGGATTACAGGCGTGAGCCACCGTGCCTGGCCTTCTATTTGCTATACTTTTATTTGACTGGCAGCACAGTAGGTTTGTTGACACCAGCATCACAAAAACATAAGTGACATGTTGCACTTTATGACATTGAGACAACAATGATGTCACTAGGCAGTAGGAATTTTTTGGCTCCATTATAATCTTTTGGTACCACCGTTGCATATGGTCCATCATTGCCTGAAACATCATTATGCAATACATGACTGTATGTCCATATTAGAAATCAGAATCTCAGGTCTCAAATACATACTTTCGCATGTCTAAGGTAAAATACTGTGCTGATTTATCTGAGCATTTGCTTAGATGTCTAGCTGACTTTTTGGAATTTTTGCCTAATTTATTTCAGGGAGACACAGGTCAATCACCAGTTAATTGAGTACTTACATGTTTTTTGAGAAATATGACTCAGAATATTTAATCCTAGGCTTATATAAGATTGTGAGGAGCCAAATCAAATTGCAATGATAACAGCCTGCTTGAAGAGATTTTCGCTGCATCATCCTGGCATGTAAATATCTTTCATCCTGTTTGCAGAGTGTTTTGGAAATCAAGAGAATGGAATATGAAAACATCAACATTTGATTCAGATGAGGATATTCTACTTTTACCCAAAAGAAAACGTTTTAGAAAGAAAAAGTCAAGACCAGTGAGACACACCAAACGCCATGAAGAGGAGCAGGTCTATGAGCAAGGGACCACATTACCCTGTTCCATATGCAAGCACGAAATTGACCTAACTGGTATTTTTCTCCATAAGAAGCAACATGTAGCTCTGGCCACGCTGGGTTTCCAATGGATGGGTAGAAAGAAACCACAGCCCTCAGTGATTGCTGTTCAGAGACAGTTCATGATTTCTAAACTATTGTCATCTTTTATGTTCACTGAAAAAACCCTACAGAGCATTAATAATGCTTTTGAGCTGCTTTGGAAAAAACAAATACCAGCATACTATAAGATTTTTGATAACATTGACAGGAGTGTCATATATTCTCAAAAAATATGTCATCTGTTAATTAAAGGAGTGGGCATTTGTGAAGACAGGAATTCTACATGGAAAGCTGACATGAATGATAAATTCACTGTAGTGAGTAATTTTGGTAACAAACCTAATGTGTGTTTTTTTGGTTTGTTTGATGGACATCACGGTGCCTCAGCGGCAGAGTTGACATCAATGGAACTCCCAGTTTTACTTCTCCATCAGCTTTCCAAATTTGATCCTTCTTACCAAATGACAACTGATGAGCAACAAATAATCAATTCCTTTTACACTGTGTTTAGAGAAGAATACGCAGCAATAGAAGACCTCTTTTCTGCCATAAACAAAACAGAAGCAGTGAGGTGTGAGTATGAGGACACACACAAAGCCTTTGCAAAAGCATTTTGGAGAATGGATAGGCTTTTAGGTCTTGGAAGAAAAGAAGTGTCCAGGGTTCAATGGAGTGGCTGCTCTGCAGTTACTTGTATATTGGAAGGCAAACCTAAAAGTCCTTATGCTCATAAGAATTGGAAAAGAAAAAATACCCATGATGGGTTGGCAGAGAGCTCCCCTTCCCAGGAGATGCCAAAAATAATTTCTGGAATATTACATGTTGCAAACACTGGTATGTACATTGAATAGCACCAAATAACACCTTTATGTTTTTGGTTCCTTGCAGCAAAACCCCTCATGCTTCCACAATTTTTTATTGTCTATTATTTAGTGACTTAGTACCTAGAAATTGCATTGATCAATATAAGAAACAACAAATAACCACAATTTAAATGCAGATTGCAGGCACAAAAATAATTGTAATTATTTTTTAAAGAGGCACAGATATGATATAATGTGACAAATACGTTAAAGTTTCCCAAAGGGGTAGCAACACAGTTGTTGATAAGGATGAAAAGCAAAGTTACTACATATGCTTAAATCTGAACAAAATTAAAAACATTTTGTACACTTCCTTTTTTCAGAAAAATGGAAAGTTGTTTGCTCATTGTTAGTGTAGTTGTTTAAATTGGTCAGTTACTCTGATAACTGTATTTGCAATAGGTCATTCTCATGCTCACTGGCCAAGTAGCATCTATTTCATCTCAGAGAGAATAATAGTTCATGCCTCAGTTTTATGAGCGTGTATTCTCTTCTTTAAGAAGTTACCTGTATTGTTTAAAGGTTATTTCAGGGAGTTTAGGAACTTGCCAAAATGGAAAGCTCAGAGGTAAAACTTTTTAGCAAAATTGACATGAGTTCCACACTGAGTTCCATGAGATACTTAACTACAGTTCTACTACCCTTTTCATAGATAGAATTATCATTAATGATAGTGTCCACTTACTGAATATTGAATACAGAGTAATTTCCTCGTCTAGTCTTACAATAACTTTGATATCTAGTGATATCTAAGTATTGTTAACCCAATGTTTCAGATGAGAAATTAAAGCTAAAAAATGTGAGATAATTTGTTCAAGGTCTCAGAAGTAATAGGAATTGGAGTTGGAAATCAGTCCTACCATATCATGTTACCTCTTAAGGGGATTGTTTCCAAAGCCTGAGGAGGCTGGGCCTCCGCGAGTGGGACTTTGTGGCAGAGACAGTGTTGCAAGGCCAGATAATCACAAAGAATACTACAACAAATGTCAAGGTGCCAGAAAGTCAGCCTGTTTCTGATCCAACCTGGTTCTGAGCCTGAAATGTCAAGGGCTCCAGACTAAACAATACCAAGAAAGCTAAGTGCATGTCCACTGCCTCACAGTCTTTGTCGTTTCTCAGGCTCTATGCTGAGGTTCCAAATACTTCATAGACATAATCATTACAGATTTAAGGCCAATCTGTGAACTGACCCATATTCTTGGAATTGGGACCCCTATGGAAGATATCATTAATTATAAAAGTCTTTGTAAAATTAATATGACAAATTATGACATATTCAATAAGTGGATACTGTCATTAAATGTCTAGACACAGCTGTGGGTGGTGGCTCACGCCTGTAATTCCAGCACTTTGGGAGGCCGAGGTGGGTGGATCACCTCAGGTCAGGAGTTTGAGACCAGCCTGGCCAACATAGTGAAACCCCGTCTTTACTAAAAATACAAAAAAAAAAAAAAATTAGCCAGGCGTGGCAGGTGCCTGTAATCCCAGCTACTCAGGAGGCTGAGGCAGGAGAATCGCTTGAGCCTGAGAGGCGGAGGTTGCAGTGAGCTGAGATCACACCACTGCACTCCAGACTGGGCAACAAAGAGAGACTCCGTCTCCAAAAAAATAAAAAATAAAAAAATGGCTGGGCGCGGTGGCTGACGCCTGTAACCAGCATTTTGGGAGGCCAAGGCGGGTGGATCACGAGGTCAGGAGATCGAGACCATCCTGGCCAACCTGGTGAAACCCTGTCTTTCCTAAAAATACAAAAATTAGCTGGGAGTGGTGGTGCATGCCTGTAATCCCAGCTACTCAGGAGGCTGTGGCAGGAGAATGGTGTGAACCCAGGAGGCGGAGGTTGCAGTGAGCTGAGATCATGCCACTGCACTCCAGCCTGGTAACAGAGCAGGACTCTGTCTCAAAAAAAAAAAAAAAAAGTCTAGACACACTGCTGATTGGTTGGTTCTAATCTCCAGGTCAAACAGTTGGATTTAATTTCCAGGCCTATACAATGGTGTTAAACTGTTTGCATCTAGGCATGTTGCATTTTCATAGAAAGACACATGGGTGAAAAAAATTCAAATTGTAAAAGAGAGAACCTGAGGTCATGATTTAGCTACAAAAGTACTTCTGTAAGAAAGAACTTTAAATGACTTTCAGCCATAAGAAAATAATTTTACACAAATTTTTCAAGAATTATTTTGTATTTTATAGAACAGGATTAATTATAGCAAGGGAATTAGGTTTCCCTGTTTAAAATTCATAATATATCAATGTCATCATGACTCTAGAATTTAAAAAAAATTATTACCTTATAATGACATATTAGTTCAATGATGAAGCCATTGAATACAGGTTGAATTTGTGCATGTAGAAAAAGGTACTGCCAAACTCACATTCTTTTTAAAAATGTTTATCTATTTTATTGATACATAATAATTATAAATATTCATGGGGTACCTGTGGCATTTTGATATATGCATATAATATGTAATGATCAAATCAGAGTATTTAAGATATTCATCACCTGAAATGTGTATTATTTCTTTGTGTTGGGAACACTTCAACTCTTCTAGCTATTTTAAGATATACAGTGAATTATTGTTAACTATAGTCACCCTAATGTGCTATCAAACACTAGAACTTATTCCTTGTCTCTAACTGTATGTTTGCACCTTTTTTTTTTTTTGAGACGGAGTCTCACTCTGTTGCCTAGGCTGGAGTGCAGTGGCGCGATCTTGGCTCACTGCAATCTCCGCCTCCCGGGTTTAAGCCATTCTCCTGCCTCAGCCTTCTGAGTAGCTGGGATAACAGGTGCATGCCACCACGGCTGGACAATTTTTGTATTTTTAGTAGAGACAGGGTTTCACCATGCTGGTCAGGCTGGTCCCAAACTCCTGGCCTCAGGTGACCCACCCTCCTCTGCCTCCCAAAGTGCTAGTATTACAGACGTGAGCCACCGTGCCCAGCCTATTTTTGTATTTTTAGTAGAGACAGAGTTTCAACATGTTGGTCAGCCTGGTCTCGAACTCCTGACCTTGTGATCTGCTCATCTCAGCCTCCCAAAAGTGCTGGGATTACAGGGGTGAGCCACTGTGCCTGGACTGTTTGTACTTATTAACCAACCTTACTTTATCTCGTCCTGCCCCGTCCCCAACCTTTCCCAATCTTTGGTAACCATCATTCTGCTTTACCTCATTGAGATCAACAATTTTTAGGACCCACATATGAGAGAGAACATGTAATGTTTGTCTTTCTGGTCTGGCTTATTTCACTTAACATAATGCCCTCAGTTCCATCCATGTTGCTACAAATGACAGAATTTCCTTCTTTTTCATGGCTTCATAGTATTCCGTTGTGTACTTATACTACATTTTCTTTACCCATTCATCTACTGATGGACATTAAGTTGACCCTGTATCTTTACTATTGTGAATAGTGCTGCATAAAACGTGGGGGTGCAGGTATCTCCTTGATATCCATTGGCTACATACTCAGTAGTGGGATCTGCTCCCCATGACTCAAACATCTATCAGAACCCATCTCCAACATTGTTGATAAAATTTCAACATGATGTTTGGGGGGAACAAAAATACATACCATAGCAGGGCCTTTATTATGTTGAGACATGTTTCTTCTATGCCTAATTTGTTGAGAATTTTTATCATGAAGAGATGTTGAATTTTATCAGAAAAATTTGGGGGGCATTTATTGAGATAATCATATGGTATTTCTCCTTCATTCTGTTGGTAATGTGTCATATTTATTTTATTTTTAATGCTTGCTGTATTACAAGTCGTCACGGTGGGCTATTTATCATACTCAGTAGTGGGATCTGCTCCCCATGACTCAAACATCTATCAGAACCCATCTCCAGCATTGTTGATAAAATTTCAACATGATGTTTGGGGTAAACAAAAATACATACCATAGCAGGGCCTTTCTTCTGTTGAGATATGTTTCTTCTATGCCTAATTTGTTGAGAAGTTTTATCATGAAGAGATGTTAAATTTATCAAAAAAATTTTTGGCCATCTATTGAGGTTATCATATGGTATTTCTCCTTCATTCTGTTGGTAATGTGTCATATTTATTTTATTTTTAATGCTTGCTGTATTACAAGTCGTCACGGTGAGCTATGGGGAAAAGTTTTCAATTAGCAATAATCACAACGTGGCTAAACCTCACTGGCTATGATACTGCCTCTGCACAAAGCTTCACATTTATTGATTTCTGTGTGAACCATCCTTGCATCCCTGGAATAAATCCCACTTGATCATGGTGCTTTTTTTAAAAAAAAAAATATGTTGTTTGATTCAGCTTGCTAGTATTTTGTTGAGGATTTTCACATCTACATTCATCAGGGATATTGGCCTATAGTTTTCTTCTTTGTTGTTGTGTGTTTTCTGATTTTGGTATCCAGGTAATGCTGGGCTCATGGAATGAGTTAAAAAGAATTCCTTCCTCTTCAATTTTCTGAAAGTTTGAGAAGAATTGGTGTTAATTCTTTTTTATAAGTTTGGTAGAATTCAGCAGTGAAGCCATCTGGTCCCGGGCTTTTCATTTGGGGGACTTTTTATTACTGACTCAATCCTGCTACTTGTTATTTGTCTGTTCAGGTTTTCTATTTCCTCCTAGTCCAATCTTGGTAGGGTTGTAAGTGTCCACGTGTTTATCCATTTCCTCTAGGTTTTCTAATTTGTTAGGGTATAGTTGTTCAAATAGTCTCTAATGATCTTTTGTTTTTTAGTGGCATCTGTTGTAATGTCTCCTTTTTCATTTCTGATTTTTTTGGGATTTTCTCTCTTTTTTCTTGTTTAGGCTAGCTAATGGTTTATTGACTTTTAAAATCTTTTCATAAAAACAACCTTTTGTTTTATTGCTCCTATGTGTATTTTTTAGTGTCTACCTTGGTTAATTCTGCTCTGATCTTTATTTTTTTTGCTTCTATTAATTTTGAGTTTAGTTTGTCCTGGATTTCCTAGTTTCTTGCAGTGCATTGTTACGTTGTTTATTTGGAGTTTATTACTATAAATTTCCCTATTAGTATCACTTTTGCTGCATCCCATAGGTTTTGGTATGTTATATTTTGATTTTCATTTGTTTCAAGAAGTTTTTGATTTCCTTTATAATTTCTTCACTGACCCTATGATTGTTGAGGAGCATGTTGTTTAATTTCCATGTATTTGTACAATTTCCAATGTTCCTCTTGCTATTGATTACTAGTTCTATTCCATTGTGGTATGAAAAGATACTACTTTTAAAAAATCATATATGTCTCTAACTTTTGAACAAATGGCATACAGTTATAATAACTTATATCCATGCCTGCTAATTGCAACATCTGTGCCATTTTGGAGTTGGTTTCAATTGATTGACTTTTCACTTATCGTGGGTGTTATTTTCCTTCTTATTGGCATGCCTGGTGTACTAGTTTCCTAAGGCTGCTGTAACAAGTTACCACGAACTTGGTGGCTTAAAACAGCAAACATTTATTCTCTCATGCTTCAGGAGGCCAGATGCCTGAAGTCAAGGTGTTCACAGGGCCATGCCTCTTCTAGGGTAGAAATCCTTCCTTGGGTCTTCCAGCTTATGGTGGCTCCAGGCATTCCCTCACCCACAGCTGTATAATTCCAGTCTCTGCCTTGACTTTCACATGGCATTTTACTGTTCCACCCATGTGTCTCTACTCTGTGTATCTCTTACAAAGACATTTCTCATTGGAATTTGGGCCCGCCTGGATAATCCAGAATGGTATCATTTTGAAATCCTTAACTACAACCGCAAAAACTTTTTTTTTTGCCAATAAGAACACATTGACAGGTTGTGGGTGTTAGGAGTAAATTTGTGTTTTTGGATATATGGTTTTCAGCTTTGTTTTGGGATGAAATTACTTGGAAATAGTTTGATCCTTTTAGATCCTGTTTTTGTAATTTATTAGGCAAGTCCAGGGCAGTGTTGAGTTTGGTCCAATTATTCTCTACTACTGAGGCAAAACATTCCTAAGCATGCTACCTAATGATTCACGAATTAATATCTTTTCAGTCTGGCTGGTTGGAACAGGAATTATTCTCCAGCCCTATGAGTCCTCAGCAATGCTCCCTCTAATCCTTTTCAAATGTTTCTTTTCCCAGTGTTGTGGAGTTTCCTCACACACATGTATTCACCAGTACCCATCTAAACACTTGAGAAAGACTCACTTGAGAAAGACCCTCGAAAGATATCTGGAATACTCTGTGCCTCTCTTTTCTCTCTGGTATTCTGTCCTCAGCAAGCTCTAGCTGCATTGGTTTCCCTGGACTCTTGGCTCTGTCTCTTCAAAACAGATGAAAGTGTAAATCCAGTCACTGTTATTGTATCTTGACCAGAAAGATAAGAAATTCCATATAATATATGTTTAGGGGAATTATTTGAGAGATGTGTCATCCAGAGTACTGCATTTGCTCCTGCCTGGTGTCTGCCTGTTGACACTATCAATATGTACTAAGTGATCCATTTGAGGCTTTCAGACTACAAATACATGAAGGTTGGTGGTTTCACATTCTTTGTTTTGCAGAGATGGGGTGTTGTTATATTGCCCAGGCTGGTCTCGAACTCTTGGACTCAAGTGATCCTCCCATTTGGCCTCCCAAAGTGCTCTGATGCTTTGATGAGCTTTAATCTTCTAATGTATTAAACATGTGATTATCCTTTCCTCACAGGATTACAGATGTGAGCTACAATGTCAAGCCAGTTCCAAGTTCTTTGTAGCTTCCTTTCTTCCCTCTTTCTCTCTTTGGCCTAATTTGAAATAGTCATTTTTTCTGTAGTCTGTGTGGTGGCAACAGGCATAGGTTTATTTTTGGTTCACTGTTTCAGTGAGGCCATCATCCTCTGGGGTCCTAGCTTTGTTGTGGTGAGCCATTTAGTCTTCCCCATCTTGGACAATCCCTAGGTTTTGTCTCCTGTTTCATAAACCTGTGATTTTTTTTTTTTTAAGACAGAATTGGGCCTGGTGCAGTGGCTCACTCCTGTAATCCCAGAACTTTGGGAGGCCGAGGTGGGTGGATCACAAGGTCAGGAGTTCAAGACCAGCCTGGCCAACATGGTGAAACCCAATCTCTACTAAAAAATACAAAAATTAGCCGGGGGTGGGCACCTGTAATCCCAGCTACTTGGGAGGCTGAGGCAGAGAATTGCTTGAACCTGGGAGGTAGAGGTTGCAGTGAGCTGAGATCGCACTACTGCACTCCAGCCTGGGCGACAGAGCGAGACTCCGTCTCAAAACAAACAAACAAACAAACAAACAGTCTTGCTCTGTTATCCACACTGGAGTAGAGTGGCTCGATCTTGGCTCACTGCAACCTCCACCTCCCGGATTCAGGGTCCAAGCGATTCTCCTGCCTCAGCCTCCCAAGGAGCTAAGATTACTGGCATGTGCCACCATGCCCAGCTAATTTTGTTTTATGTAAAGACGGGGTTTCACCATGTTGGCCAGGCTGGTCTCAAACTCCTGACCTTAAGTGATCCACCTGCTTTGGCCTCCCAAAGTGCTGGGATTATAGGTATGAGCCACTGCACCTGGCCACCTTGTGAAAATTTAACGTGGATTCGGCTCAATACATGGTCTCAGGTAAAAGCTGGTTTCTGCTCTTGGTATACCTGAATTTAGTCATTATTCGTCTTGAGTATTTTGCACTTTCTGCTATATTATCCAGGATATTTACTTGTTCTCAGTGGAAGGGTCAATCTAAGATCCAGACTGCCCCATTACTGCTCCTTTTTGAGTGCTTTAGTGTATCTGTTATTCCAATATCTTTATGTCTAGATTGTACATTTGTTAATAATTCTTTTTAATGAGGCCCTGTAAACTACTTTTATTTCTAGTGTCCTAGCTTTCTGTCTCATAAGCTCACAGTAGATTCAGAGACCAGGCACAACTTTACCCACCATTTCACAACTTTACCCACTATTTCTCTATTACTCTTTTTCTTTTTCTTTTGAGATGAGGTTTTGCTATGTAGCCAGGAGTGCAGTGGTTATTCTTAGGCTCACTCAGAGGATACTGCAGCCTGGAACCCCTAGCCTCAAGCGGTCCTCCTGCCTCAGCCTCCCAAGTAGCTAGGCCTTCAGCCTGCGCCACCACAGCTGGCTATCACAATTTTTAAATTGGTGGCCACCTGAAGCCCCCTTCCCTTCTCAAGATTGCCACGTCACTCCTTTCATCTAATCTTCAAAATCTGTGAGGAAAGGATAATCACATTTTTAATATATCAGAAGACTAAAGCTCATCAAAGCATTATACAAGGTTATATAACCAGTGAGTGAGCCAGGACTCCAGTCTTTCAGGCTTGAAGTCTGGTTACTTCAAATGAACAGTACTAGCTTTCTCCTGTTTTTAGGATATCTTCATTTTTATGTGGACCTTTCTGTCTTCATTCATCACTAATGCGGTATTTGCAGACCTAAGTTGTCTTTCTTCTCTAGATGTGATTGTTTCCATGGGTGTGAAAATGTGTTCATTTGGACTAGTTTAATAAGTTGCTTTTAAAATTATCCCCATCCCTACCGTTTTCCCCTAAAGTCTAATTCAACTCCAGAATCTCCTTCAATTTTGTGCAGGAAAAAAGCCAAATTCTTAACACTGACATTTTATATACCTTCCCTTCCCCTTCTCCGTTTTTTTTGATGGTGGTGCTGAGGAACTCTCACATGCTTACAAACCTGATTCTGAGAACACATTCAACAAATATTTCACACATAGTTGAGACTTGTGCGTAATATAGTTAGGCTTTAGGGGTACAATGGTGAGCAATGAACAATGGACATGAATTTCATGATCACACATCTATAAAACAAAAGGACATTTTGAACATCCAATGAAAGCTAGTTCAACATGAATAAGACTCTTATGCTAACCATTCTTAGGAAGTCACAAAGCTCCTGTCCATGCATAAAATTAAACAAATTCAGCCTCTTTTGCTGAAACTACAGCACTGAAGAAAAACTGGATACAGACTGTTTCCCCTAACCTTATTTACATGCAATCCTAATTTACCTATGCTCCTTTACAATTGTAATTTTTCCTTTCCCCAGTAACTATTTCAATTTTCCCTAAGTTCCAAGTTACCACTGCCTACTATCTTAAGCCTGTAATTCTACTTCGCATTTTCTTATAATTCTTTTATAAATGGGTCTGAAATGAAACATTTTTCATTTCCCCTCAATTTCTTTTGAATAGCCTCTCTACCTGCTTTTCTCTTCTTGGAACACTAAATAAGTGTTCCAAGTGTCTACCTCTTAAATTAGCTTATTGAGTCTCACAATAACTTTGACAACACTGCAGGTGAAAACCTGTTACTTAGTGAAATAAAGTGACCTAATGAAGGCCACATAGACAAAAGTTTGGGGTTAAAGTCTGACTGTCAGGCTCCTAAATCCTTCCACTCCCCATACTGTTTTTCTACACCAAACTGTCCTTATTACCCCTGGCAACGTTGTGCATCCTAGGTGTGTTTTTATTTTTCCTGCTTCACCCATCACGTATATAGGTATGTCTTTTTCTGACCACCACATAAAGTTTCTTTTCCTCTTCTCTCATTCTTTCTTTAAACTCTCTTGTTTTAATCAACACTAAGTCACCTTTCTGGCTTTATCTGAGAAAAATGTTGATATTGCCTACTCAGCTCTAGAAGTCCCTGGTTGGGATTCCAGAGTTCACTCTGTAAGTTTACTGGACTTTTCCTTTTCACAAAAGTTGGTGATAACCCAGTAATTGCAGGAGGCAGCCACATCATTACCCTCTGCATAAGAAACACTGTACCTGACTATGCCACTTTAAAAAGGCTTGAGCATCATCTCCAAGCGGCTCTTTTTAATCCCCAAGATTATTGTTCCTAAACACGTTGCTCTTCCAGTAATCCTGTTCCATTTTTGTTCTGATAACATTTTCTGAAGAGCGCAATCTCTCCAAATACTGAAAGCTGTTACCTTTGTCTAGGAATTCATTTATGCTTAGATTAAAATTGTGTAGTGGTCTTCAACACAGTTCATTGCTTGGTTAGCTGTTCGCATTTCCTCCAAACAGGTGTTACCAATAAACTTTTTCAAAAGTCAAATTGTCCTTTCTCTTAAACTATTGAAGGCTGGTTCCTCTCCACTTCTCCAGACTATGTGGACATAACAGTGATATTTAATAATCTTCCTCTACTTGCAGTGAGCCGAGATCGCGCCACTGCACTCCAGCCTGGGCAACAGAGCAAGACTCCGCAAAAAAAAAAAAAAAAATCTTCCTCTAATTTCCCATCTTCATGGAAACCTTTTGTTCATTATTCTGTTCAAGCTTTCAGTTTAATATAGCACTTGACTTCAAACACCCTGTTTGTAGCTGACAGCATATGCCACTCATTGTTACAAAATGAAACTATTGACTCTGCACATCTAGTTTTTTAGTTCGTTCCATTAGTAGTCTTCCTGATGAATCTCACCCTCTGCTTCCTGGGTTAGATACACAAATAGTTAAGAAACGCTGGCTACTTCTCCTTCACTTTTTCTTTCCTTCATGCACCATTCATACAGGTAAACAATGTGCTGCTGGGTGCAGTGACTGGCACTTGTAATCCCAGCATTTTGGGAAACCAAGCATTTTGGGAGGATCGATTGAGCCCAGGAGTTTGAGACCAGCCCGGGCAACATAGCGAAAGCCTGTCTCTACAAAAAAATGCAGAAATTAGCCAGGTGTGGTGGAACATGCCTTTAGTCCCAGCTCTCGGGAGGCTGAGGTGGGAGGATCACCTGAGCCCAGGGAGGTCAAGGCTGCAGTAAGCCGTGATCATGCCACTGCACTCCAGCCTGGGTGACAGAGTGAAACCCTGTCTCGCATTATCTCCCTTTTTAACAGGTAGAGGAAGAACTGCAACCAGGATTTAATGTCCTTTCTCCTAGAATATTTTATTGTGCTGAATCCAAAGGATGTTCACAAGTAATAAAATGGGCCAACATGGTATGTCCTACTCTGTAGCACAGGAAAAAAAAAAGGCAAATAGTGCATAACGCTACACTTGTCAAGCTCTCTGCAGAGGTAACTAAAATAAAAATAACCTGTTTACCATCCTTCCATTGTAAGTACATATTTCTATTAAATTCTTTTCAAATCACATACTAGGAAAATAATGCTTTTTCTTTTTGCTAAATGGCCTTTGACTTGCCACATGCAAATGAACATTTACAAAGTCAATAGATTTGACTATTGTGAGCCAAACTATGTCCCTTTCGTTTTCAGAGCTATGGCCGTACAATTCGTATGTATGCACACACGTAAAAATTTTTCTCATTTAAGAGGTACTGAACCATATGTACTAACAATTCCATTTACTCAGTTGTCACATTAAGTGCCACTTCATGTTGTCTTGCTGATTCAGTAATAATTTATAATCCAGCAAAAGTCAAGATTTTACTGACTTATGTTCTGCAAAATCTAAGTCGAATAATCAACAGTAAGACAAGTTAACACACAATATTAATAACCAAACTATAAAGAAATGAGGGGCCATATAGCCTTTAGAACTATGTATGTAGTTTCCAAAATGTTTTTCACAAACACCATCTTTTAGTCCCAATCCAGTAGCTCAGCTATTAAAAATTCCTATTATATAAATGAGACAACAGTTTCTGTCTATATCTGACACTAATGCTTTACCAATTTAGGCTTTTTTTGAGTCTCACTCTGTCGCGCAGACTGAAGTGCAGTGATGCGATCTCGACTCACTGCAACCTCTGCCTCCCGGGTTCAAACAATTCTTGTGCCTCAGCCTCCTGAGTAGCTGGGATTACAGGTGTGCACCATCACGCCCGGCTAATTTTTGTATTTAGTAGAGACAGAGTTTCGCCATGTTGGCCAGGCTGGTCTCAAACTCCTGGCCTCAAGTGATCCTCCTGCCTCAGCCTCCCAGAGTGCTGCAATTACAGGCATGAGCCACCACACTGGCCACCAATTTAGGCTTTCCAATTATACCACTATACTAGTTGCATGGACCTCAACCTTTTTTGTTTTTTTTTGAGAGAGTCTTGCTTTGTCACCCAGGCTGGAGTGTAGTGGCGTGACTTCGTATTACTGCAACCTCCACCTCCTGTGTAGAGGCAGTTCTTGTGCCTCAGCCTCCCAAGTAACTGGGATTACAGGTGTGCATGTGCCACCATGCCCTATCGGGGGAACCACCCCCAATATTTCATGTAGGTTCTTTCCTATTTCCCTAAGTGTCCGTCGGTCTCAGAAATAAAGGGAAAGAGTACAGTAAAGACAGAAATTTTAAAGCTGGGTGTCCGGGGGAGACATCACACGTCAGCAGGTTCCGTGATGCCCCCTCAAGCCACAAAACCAGCAAGTTTTTATTAGTGATTTTCAAACGGGAGGGAGTGTACGAATAAGGTGTGGGTCACAGAGATCACATGCTTCACAAGGCAATAAAATATCACAAGGCAAATGGGGGCAGAACGAGATCACAGGACCTGGGTGAAATTAAAATTGCTAATGAAGTTTTGGGCATGCATTGTCATTGATAACATCTTATCAGGAGACAGGGTTTGAGAGCAGACAACAGGTCTAAAATTTACTAGGCGGGAATTTCCTCATCCTAAAAGGCCTGGGGGTGCTACAGGAGACTGGGGCTTATTTCATCCCTTATGTGCAACCGTACAAGAGACATTCCCAGAGAGGCCATTTCAGAGACCTCCCCCTAGGAATGCATTCTCTTTCTCAGGGCTGTTCCTTGCTGAGAAAAAGAATTGAGCGGTATTTCTCCTATTTGCTTTTGTAAGAAGAGAAATATGGCTCTGTTCCGCCTAGCTCTCAGGCAGTGATACCTGATGGTTATCTCCCTTGTTCCCTGAACATCGCTGTTATCCTGCTCTTTTTTCAAGGTGTCCAGATTTCATATTGTTTAAACACACATGGTTTATGAACAATTTGTGCAGTTAACGCAATCATCACAGGGTCCTGAAGCGACATACAACCCCAGCTTACGAAGATGACAGGATTAAGAGATTAAAGACAGACATAAGAAATTATGAGTACTGACTGGGGAAGTGATAAATGTCCATGAAATCTTCACAATTTATGTTCAGAGATTGCAGTAAAGACATGCGTAAGAAATTATAGAAGTATTAACTTGGGGAACTAATAAATGTCCATTAAATCTTCACAATTTATGTTCTTCTGCCATGGCTTCAGCCAGTCCCTCTGTTCAGGGTCCCTGACTTCCCGCAACAACGCCCGACTAATTTTTTTGTGTTTTTAGTAGAGATGGGGCTTTGCCATATTGCCCCAGCTGGTCTCAAACTTCTGGCTTCAAGTGATTTGCCTGCCTCAGCCTCCCAAAGAGTGGCGATTACAGGTGTAAGCCACCATACCTGGCCTTGGACCTCAACCTTCTAAGCCTAAATACGTAAAAAACTGTGGGCCTAGAATTGAACTCCTCCTGCAAGCAACTAAATGATCCCAGGTACAATATCATATTTAAAACCAGAATATTCTATGTAAATTTGGCTTCCTATTCCAGGAATTTTAAATCTCAAAGATGTTATAATATTCAAATATCATTAACCCCATCTCAGAAGTTTAATAACTTTCTATAAATCATAAATGATTTAATATCAAGAAAAACAATATGTAATTATATGTAATTTAAAAAATACGTAATTATATTCCTAAAAACTTGGGGAAAATCAATTTTTCCTAACAAACTAAAAAAATTCAGTGGTTCTTAAAAAATACACCAAAAAAAGTTACAGTAATATATAACCACCCTGCAATCTGTTCAGATCATGTTTAAACTGTAAGATTTCAATGAAGCACACCATCACAGATTCATTTGAACCACGGACAAACTACAATCAACTTTTAAGATTTCAGTTTCCAACCAAAGGGTTTAATGTTGGCTGCCTATTATTCATGTAATACATTAACAACATATTTCTCCACAGGAATGATTTTTTTTTTTTTTTTTGAGGCAGATTTTTGCTCTTGTTGCCCAGGCTGGAGTGCAATGGCATCATCTCAGCTCACCACAACCTCCACCTCCCGGGTTCAAGCAATTCTCCTGCCTCAGCCTCCCAAGTAGCTGAGATTACAGGAACATGGCCACCACGTCCGGCTAATTTTTTGTATTTTTAGTAGAGATGGGGTTTCTCCATGTTGGTCAGGCTGGTCTCGAACGCCTGACCTCAGGTGATCCGCCCACCTCGGCCTCCCAAAGTGCTGGGATTAAAGGCTTGAGCCACCACACCTGGCGGATTGACTTAAATTTTAGAATCTACACATTATAGCAACCTAGTTAAGACTAACATTAATAGTGACATTCTAATTTTTTCATCACCCATGACCTAAGTATATTCAAGTTTTAACTTGTACTGGTTACACAACTGTCATTCTTTTTAAAAAATCAAAGTTTGTGTTTTAAATTGAAAAAGCATTTATCTTAAAAACATTTAAAAATCTCCTAGATGGAATATATGTTGGCTATAAAAAAGTTCAACTCATGACTCTGCAATGTGAGTAATATTAAGTCATTTCATTTCAAAATTTAGAAGTTACTTTGCATTATCTGTAATGTTAATACTAAATGTAATAGTTTTAAACACTAAAAGCTGCTTAACAATGAGGGATAAATTGACCTGTTTGAAATCTGTATTTACTGTAAATCATTCAGTAGTGATATATTACACATATTTAAACGTACTTTTACATAGCCTGCTTTCTGTTTAGCATTGAAACACAGAATTTACTAAAGTTAGCAGTAGATTTTGATACAATTGGTTATCTCTAGGATAAAAATTTCTTCTTTTAAAAAATAATCTTTTAGGTAATGTGCAAGCAGTCTTATGCAGAAATGGGAAAGGTTTTTGCCTAACCAAAGAACATACTACACGAAACACAAATGAAAGAAGAAGAATACTTCAGAATGGAGCAGTCATTAGTTCAAATGAACCATACGGGCTTGTAGAGGGGCAAGTAAAAACTACACGAGGACTTGGATTTCATGGAAATCTCAAGCTGAAAAAATCCATTATCCCAGCACCTCAAACTATTTCTGTCCCTATAGATGACCTATGTCAATTCCTTATTGTAGCTACTAATGGACTTTGGGAAGTTTTGGATAAAGAGGAAGTTACTGCCCTGGCAATGACAACATTTCACATGTATAAAGAAACATACTGTCCTATCATACCTAACAAATCACCATCCAAAGGGCCTCTGCTTTTTTCAACCAGTGAACCAAACCTTACTAAATCACAGAGTAATATCCACGTATTGTTTCAGTATAAATCTGTATCTGAAGTACGTGTGTCAACTACAAATTCCAAAGAAAATTTATCCGATTCAAACTATTCTAAATACTGTATTTATAACCCTGAGAATGTAGAAACATTTCCAGCAGAAACGACTCATCGTAAACCTTGCAGTGAAAAAGTAACTGACAGACCAACTAGTGTAAATGATGTGGCAACAAATGAAAAAGAATCAGACACTAAGAGTTTCTATGAAGGCGCAGCTGAGTATGTTAGCCATGAACTTGTAAATGCTGCTTTACTGGCTGGCTCCAGAGACAACATTACAGTTATGGTAATATTTCTCAATGGAAGTGAATATCAGCTTCTGACATAAAAAAATAAAGTTCCAATTATCCAGAGCACCAAAATATAAAGTGATTCTTCAATGATCCAGCTATTAGGATGATTCATCAATACCATGCAAATAATTTTATGAACATAGTAAAGAAAATATAAAAGCGGATACTAGGTCATATAGTATCATTTATATATATTCACTGTTTTATGCCAAAAAAAAGGAAAAGAGAAAAGCCGATACTTGCTTTTTATACCACTTTATTCCAACCTGAGCACCTCAATATAAAACTAAACACTGGTGAACCGTTTTCCTAATTCTGCATTATCATAAATGTACAAGTTCTCCTAGCAGTCCAACACTTAAATAGATTAAATCATCTCTGACACATGGTAGCTTTCATATAATGAAAATACCTAAAATAATTAGTGCAATATACTGAACTGATCAAAATAAAATGAACTTTGGAAAGGAAGGCTGCAAGATTGTTACTAACATATTGCAATACTTTATGTTACAAATTACGGGTACATTGTTTATTATGGTTCTAGCCATGGAGGAACAACTGAAGCCCCTTCCTGTCAAAGGGGGAGAGAGAAATAATTAGCTGTTTTAGTAACAGTACATTTTGTATGCTTTTAAGCAACTCTTAAATATTACAGAAAAGTAATACAGATATGGAGACTACAATGCAGTACCCTATTTACAGTACAGCTGAAGATCGAATTTAAAATAATCAAGTTTGAATATACATAATTGTTAGTGCATTGACTATATTATGTCAAAAGGGAACAAAAGCCCCCTCCCCACCCCAAACAACAAAACCTGTGTAATGGCCAGCGGTGATTAATTAGAAATCACAGACACCTGGTTTATTTCATTTTTGTTAAAGAACTCACATGTTTGAAAGGAACACTGACCATTAAGGTGCATTTATTAGTTCTCAAAATTCCTAAAACAAGATGGGGTTGCATTTGATTTTTACCCCATTTAAAAAAAAAAAACCAGACTGGGTATAATTAAGATACCATTAATACTCTTCCCCACCCCTGACCTTGTATATGTGGGATTATTTTCTTGTGGTTAATTTATTAAAATGTGGAATGTACATTTTAAATACAGGTACCAGGAGAAATGAACATTTGCCTGAATACTATGGCTAAGCATCATAAATAACTTTAGAATCTCCTTCTAAACAAAGAATGTTTTTGAAAAGCCCAAATTAGTAAGTTCCAATTTTTTTTTCACAGGTGACTACTGTACCAGTGTGGAGAAATGGGCTGGTTAACTGTGTGGGCCCAGACAGTCATTTGTCTATATTCCTAGTGATGAGAAATTATTCCCCCTAACCTTCCAATGAAACAAGTGTCCACATAGTTCTCATTTTTCCCTATTGTTGAAACATTAGTGAGAGGGACCCATGCATGTTATTAAAAATTAAGTTCAAAACACTTAAAATAATTCTGTATTAGAAACTTGACTCTATCATAAGTCTCTTCTTTTGGAAGTCATACTGGGCTGGTTAAATGCTCCAATTCCATTGTTATTAACATTTAGGAAGCAGAAGACTATTCCAGCTAGTTCAAACTAGAGGTTTAGTTACTACAACACTGATTCCTGGTTGGTTGTGTGGGTTCGGTAAGGTCTACTCCTCTTCCTCTGGCAGAATTTGCTCCTGGATTTTGTGGTTCATTCTTTGGCAATTTTTTAGCTGAAAGAAAATGATCAAATAAATAGAATATTTGAATACTCATATTAATATCAGTTTCACCTGCTTATCTATAATTTTTCTTTCCAGTTAGGTTACCCCCAAAGTATCATATAACCATATGTTCATTCTTTTCAAATGTTTACTGAGTATTGAATGCCAAAATATTGGTTGCTGTCTTAGGGAGTTTGATTTCTGGGGTAATTGTGTTGGGGGAACGGTAGATGGGGACTGGTTGTAGATACAATTAAAACTTAAGCCTAACTAGTGCTTTATGTAATTCTCTATACCGATTCACTCAATAATACCAGAAAAGTTCTATTTTATTTTATACTCATTATTACTTCTTTTTTTTTTTTTTTTTTGAGATGTAGTCTCACTCTGTCACCCAGGCTCACCTAGGCTGGAGTGCAATGGCGTGATCTCAGTTCACTGCAACCTCCACCTCCTGGGTTCAAGTGATTCTCGTGCCTTGGCCTCTCGAGTAGCTGGAATTACAGGCATGCCCCACCACACCCAGCTAATTTTTGTTTTTTAGTAGAGACGGGGTTTCACCATGTTGCCCAGGCTGATCTTGAACTCCTGACCTCAGGTGATCCACCTGCTTCAGCCTCCCAAAGTGTTGGGATTATAGGCGTGAGCCATGGCACCTGGCCTCATTATTACTTCTATTAAATAAAATCTAAGTCAATAAAGATGATGGCCAGCCAGTAAGTTTATAAAGAAGCTCAGCTCATATCAGCGTTCTCTAGACTGCCACAAACATTTTTTAGAACAAGTCAGGATACAAATACCTTTGCAATCATCACCCCAACAAAACTTGTCCTCTACTGTGCAACTAATTATCACCCCGAATTGTGATAGATCATATCTACTATTTCCTTCCTGGCTTCCACAGCCTTTGGCCTTAAAACATCTATATACATGCTCTCTTTTTTTTTTTTTTTAAGAGACAAGGTCTCACTCTGTCACCCAGGATTAAGTGCAGTGGTATGATCATGGCTTACTGCAGTCCTGAGTTCCAAAGTGAGATGGGGTCTCACTTTGTTGCCTAGGCTGGTCTTGAACTCTTGGGCTCAAGCAACTCTTCCGCCTCAGACTCCCACGTGCTGGGACTGCAAGCATGAGCCACCATGCTCGACCGCTTAGTTTTTAAAAGAGAAACTTACACCTTGCAGAGTAACCATCAGCTGCCTTCAAATAAAGGGGAAATAGATAAGAGTTGCATTTTTGAGAATGAACAATTATAATCTATGCTTTGGGCAAAGGAAGGACAGATAACACCCAAGTTAGATGCCTGCATGTGTCAAAACTTAGCATACTGGAGGAAACATACTCACACACAAACATACCTTAGCATGCTAGTGGAAATACACTTAGACACAAACATATCCACATACATTTATACATACTCAACACTTCGTTGTGATCTTAGTTTGAATGTAGCCTGCAGCCATACTTCTTTTCATTTTGGAGACAAGGTCTCCCTCTGTAGCCCAAGTTAGAGTGTGGTGCATCAATCATAGCTCACTGCAGCCTTGAACTCCTGGGCTCAAAAGATCCTCCCACCTCAGCTTTCCAAGTAGCTGAGACTACAGGGTGTGCACCACCATGCCTGGCTTTTTTTTTTTGGTAGAGATAGGGTCTTGCTCTGTTGCCCAGGCTGGTCTAGAACTCCTGGCCTTGAAGATCATCCCACCGTGGCCTCTCAAAGTATTGGGATTATAGGAGTGAGCCACCTCAACCAACCTCATTTTCTCCTTTTATGGGCTGATGAATCCTAATCTGACTGACCAGTAGCTGTACCTAATCCAGATAGAATTATCCTGAAGACCTCATCTCCAAAAACTATTTCTTAATTTTATTTGAGTCCGATGAGTGTGGCTTGTCAAATTCAGACAACACTCTCAACCAGCAGTTACGGCTTTACCTCTGCCAAGCTCTATACAGCTAGTGGCTGTTCTCTGGAGTGTGCTTCCCACTGATTAAAAAAACTTACCTGCTGGATATACAGATGCTCCTTGACTTACAATGGGGCTACATCCTGATATATCCATCCTAAGTTGTATGTTTTTGATTTATGATTTTTTTTTTTTTGAGGCGGAGTCTCGCTCTGTCACCCAGGCTGGAGTGCAGTGGCACGATCTCAGCTCGCTACAACCTCTGCCTCCTGGGTTCAAGCAATTCCCCTGCCTCAGCCTCCCAAGTAGCTGGGACTACAGGCACATACCACCACACCCAGCTAATTTTTCTATTTTTAGTAGAGACGGGGTTTCGACATGTTGGCCCGGCTTGTTTCCTGACCAACTCCTGACCTCAGGTGATAGCCCGCCTTGGCCTCCCAAAGTGCTGGGATTACAGGTAGTGAGCCACTGCGCCCAGCCTGATTTATGATATTTTTAATTTATGATGGGTTTCTGTATGTAATCCCGTAGTAAGTTAAGAATGTACTAAATGCATATCACTTTCACCCCATCGAGTTATAAAATCGTAAGTCAAACCACTGTAAAGTTGGAGATTGCTGTAGTTTGTTTTAATACATAAGATCCTTGATGTGCTAAATTCATTTTTTGAGGGGAGGCAGAATATTAAAGATGACTAAGAGTACTGATTTTAAGAGTGGCTGCACACACTGATCTCTATCAATCTTGGGGACAGACCACTATGGTAAGACTCTAACTTTACCATAGCTTTGACTCAGGTTACTCAGAAATTGAATACACTCTGCTTTGAGATCGGATTGCCTAGTTGCATTGTGAACCTTTTATCCTTTATTTGTTCTACACATTCCATTCTACATCAGCATCAATCATTTTTAGAATCCTAGATGCTGGGTTGGGCAATGGATTTGGGAGCCAGGAGCACTGAAGTTTGGAAAGAAAGCCTTCAATTGGGCCACTTCTCTGGGACTGGCTCTGGGCTGGTAGCATAAATAGCATTATAATGGTAAATCTCCAGTCAAATGTATTTACAAGCAAAGCCCCAGAAATGTTGAACACTGGTACCTGGGACACAAAATAGCACTATATATTGTATATAATAACAACTTAGGTTCCAGATTGAGTAATCAATCATGTATCCCTTTAGCATGTTCCCTAAGTGTTTAAATCAGAGGTGAGTGAGATTAAGAGGATGAAGGAGGTAAACTAGAACGAGTAACTTTTTAGTCCTTGCATTGATTAGAGTTGTTATGAGTGCACTGTGTGATTTAAGTTACTAATCTATCAAAGTGTTCCTTCATAACAAAAAAAAAAAGAAAAAAAAATTTACTAACCTAGTGAAGGAAATGGAAAGGCCACAATTCCATTTACAACATAGATTTTCTTTTAAGAAGTGCAACATTCTGATTTCAGAAAAAAACAAAAAACTAAAATATGTAGGCTGCTTTCTAACTCGAAAAATGACTTTATTAGCATGTTTGAATAAAAAGGTACAAACTAAAGCCCATCTGGTAGAGTTTAAATATTGTGAGAAAGGTTTACAGTGCAGGCTGATTTGAGAGGCCTATTAACTCATTGTTTCCTCTAACTTTTCAGATGTGATTCTGGGTGTCATCTGTCACATTTGTAAAATGAGTATATTATCACACAATCCTTCGCAACTGTGCCAGCACTTCCCTAGCAAACTGCAAACTTGAGTTTTTCAGGAAAACAGTTTACATGAGAAAAGGCAAGTTCTTTCCCATTTCGAATGAAGTACCATTAAACTCTGTCACCTAGTGAAAAATAATAAAAATACTTGCAACTTTTACTGGGTTTTCATTATTCTCTGATTCAGCTATTAACTATTTATGAGTTCAATTTAAGAATATTTCTTACTTGGGGTTAGGACTGTGAACACCCCAGTTAAGAATCAGTGCTGTAAAATAAAAGGTGTTATGGGATGAGAAGAGTGCTGGGCACATGAAAACCACAGACGGCAAACTTTGAGAACCACCAAAACAGACCCTTCAGGTAGAATCTATACATTAAAACCACTGGAAAGAGGAAAGGGTTAAAAAAAAAATCCAAAACCAAAAAACAAAACCAACCTTTATTTTTGTTATAGAAAAAAGGAGGCTTATTACTACTCCAACTTCATTACTTATAACTGAAACAGCAATTACCATCAGTTAAAAGTACCTTAGGGCCAGGGGCAGTGGCTCGCGCCTGTAATCCCAGCACTTTGGGAGGCTGACGTGGGCGGATCACAAGGTCAGGAGATTGAGACCATCCTGGCTAACATGGTGAAACCCCGTCTCTACTAAAAATACAAAAAAAATTAGTCGGGCATGGTGGTGGGTGCCTGTAGTCCCAGCTACAGGAGAGGCTGAGGCAGGAGAATGGCGTGAATCCAGGAGGCGGAGCTTGCAGTGAGCCGAGATCGTCCCACTGCACTCCAACCTGGGTGACAGAGCAGGACTCCATTTCAAAAAAAAAAAAAAAGAAAGTACCTTAGGCTGGGTGTAGTGGCTCACGCCTGTAATCCCAGCACTTTGGGAGGCCGAGGTGGGCAGATCACGAGATCAGGAGTTCGAGACCAGCCTGACCAACATGGTGAAACCCTGTCTCTACTATAAATACAAAAATTAGCTGGGCGTGGTGGTGTGCACCTGTAATCCCAGCAATTCAGGAGGCAGAAGCAGGAGAACCGCTTGAATCCGGGAAGTGGAGGTTGCAGTGAGCTGAGATCGTACCATTGCACTCCAGCCTGGGCGACAGAGCGAGACTGTCTCAAAAAAAAAAAAAGTACCTTAAAGCAACAGCAAGAACATTGTGTAAGATCAAATGACCATCTGAGGTAATATAAAGTATGGATGTTGTTTTGTTTTCCTTTTTTCTCCTTACGCCTCTATGCTTTGAAATCATCTTCCTTATAATGTTTACATTAAAATAATTTGTCAATCTGTATACTTATGTGTCATGTTCTTCTGAGTTATATTTACCAATAATTTGATTTTTAAAAAGTATAATCTAATAAAAAAAATATTTATCCAAATTTCCCAGCGAAACCTTTGCAAAATCTGTCTGTCTGAACTATCAGGTTAAGAGGTTAAGGCTTAACTCACCTGGAAGAAGCTGCCTAAACTGACAGTATTACAACCTAATAGGTAATCATCTTTCAAATTTAACAATATTACCAACAAAATATTGTTTTGTGGAAGGGACTTAGAAAAGTGGTATAATCTCTCTCTCTCTCTCACACACACACATAAACATACACACAAACCCACCCCCAAAAATTTTTTAAAAAAGAGACAGTCAAACCAAATATGCTTCACACTTGTTTTGCTTATATTGATCATTTAAAAAGAGATATTAATCTTACCTATTGCCATGAATATTTCATTTACATTCATTGATGTTTTAGCGGATGTCTCCATGAATAATAAACTATTGTCATCTGCATAGGACTGTGCTTCCTGTTTACAGAACAAAAAATGAGATATATGAGATATATCTCTTGGAAATACACTACACCTGCTTTAAACTTGTTATAGAAAAGGAGACTTTCTTATTACTACAACCTGATTCCTATAATCATCTATAATCAACAACTATATAATAAGCTACAACAGAGGTAAGAGCACTGTGCAAGATAATTTTATAATGGACTATTTCCTTTTTTGTCTGAAATTCTTGCATTATCCCACCTTGATTAATCTTTTCTTACATTAAATCTGCTTTCAAATACTGAGTTCCAGAGATGGGGGAGAATTATCTTATTCTAAATAAAACTCTCTTTGATCTCAACGGCAATTTTTATTTGCACTTACTGTCTGCAATGAAGACAAAGGGAAACCAAATATCTAACACTGGCTTCAAACACTAAATGACAACCTCATATTTAATTTTCAATGACTTCTACAGCAATATTATAATCTTGAATATATCATAAATCATTCCTTTGAAAATTACATCACTGCCCTACATTTTTGTCATGCTTTTACAGTTTACATATATTATTACTTTTGATCCTCATAGCTGTTGTGAGGGGTAACCAATGATCTTTCCCATTGGACAAAGAAACAACTGAGGTTCCTCTGAACTGTTATGTGACAGGGCCACTTCTGACTGTAATTTAAGTGTTTTCTCTGCCACTCTTGTGCTGGGAAGGCAACAATTTTGGAAAGAGTAATGGATACTACATCTCACATCGTTGTCCTAAGAATTAAATAAAATTACAAATGTAACATGCCCAACTTAATACCTAATGATGCAAGAATACATGGATTCCATCTACGTCATCAAAAAAGAAAACTATTTCATCACTGATATATACAGAACAGCCACAACCGCCCTTCTAGTAGAGAAGCCAAAGAGCAAGAGAACAGGCACAGTTTTAAAAGGTCTAAGTATGCCGGGCGTGGTGGCTCACGCCTGTAATCCTAGCACTTTTGGAGGCGGAGGCGGGTGGATCACAAGGTCAGGAGATCGAGACCACCCTGGCTAACACAGTGAAACCCTGTCTCTACTGAAAACACACAAAAAATTAGCCAGGAGTGGTGGTGGGCGCCTGTAGTCCCAGCTACTTGGGAGGCTGAGGCAGCAGAATGGCGTAAGCCCAGGAGGTGGAGCTTGCAGTGAGCTTGAGATTGCGCCACTGCACTCCAGCCTGGGCAACTGAGCAAGACTCCATCTTAAAAAAAAAAAAAAAAGTCTAAATAGAGGACTTGCTTTGTTTTTAAGTGATTGCACTTGCCTATTTTGCAGCAGCAAACATTCTGAATTAGCAATCGTAATACAAAACTGGATTTTCTCAGCCTTAAAAAAATTTTTTTTAATTATTAGTTTTTAGCTTATTATTTTCCAACTCTGGATACAGATTGGCAGAACCTTTATGTTTGAATGCCCCTTTAAGAACAACCACATAAGTGTTTGCGTATGTACATATGTGGGGTACACACATGTGCTGATACATATTTGCACATGAGTAGAAGAGGGTTAGGACATAAAGTATGTGTGGGATGGAGGAATTAGGGCAGGATACAATCACTTTCTGCACTGTGAACAATGACTACTTTTACTGTTTTTCTTTTTTATTTTGAGACGGAGTTTTGCTCTTGTTGCCCAGGCTGGAGTGCAATAGTGTGATCTTGGCTCACCACAACCTCCGCCTCCTGGGTTCAAGAGATTCTCCTGCCTCAGCCTCCCAAGTAGCTGGGATTACAGGCATGCACTACCATCTCCAGCTAATTTTGTATTTTTAGTAGAGACAGGGTTTCTCCAAGTTGGTTAGGTTGGTCTTGAACTCCCAACCTCAGGTGATCCACCCACCTCGGCCTCCCAAAGTGCTGGGATTACAGGCGTGAGCCACTGAACCCGGCCTTTATTGTTTAAGTCTACAAAATCTTTGGGTCAGTTTATATATTACAATAATCTATTTAAAAATTTAGGTTTATCAGAAACATTTTATTATATGTAGTACTTTATATTTGTTTTAAAAATCAGTATTTTCTATTACTTGCATGGTTTTGACATTATAACTAATTCAAGTGTTGACATGAAAGAAAAACATACAGGAAAAAAGTGCCTTTCAAATGAGAGTTAAATTTAACATACCTGGAAATCTACTGCTCTTTTATTTGCTAGGTCGGCCTTGTTTCCCGATAAAGCTATTACAATGTTAGGACTTGCTTGCCTCTGAAGTTCTTTAACCCAATTTTTTGCTCTTGCAAAGGACTCCTGTTAAACAAAGAAACAGCCATTGAGCACAGGCTCAAAAAATGGTTACCAAGCATCTTTGTGATACAAGGCTTTAAAAGACTGTCCCAAGTGACTGTGGGAAAGAAATTATTAGGACTATTGTATTATGAGACATTTTCGTTTTTTTTTAAAACCAGATTTTCTAATTCACAAAAGCTTCAGCAGAAAGGTCATGACTATCAGAAAAAGATTTTCCAAAACATTTAATCAAAATTCTGAACACCAAAAGTGGGTACTCAAATTAGTTTTACTGTGGAATGCATCCATACTTACCTCATTTGTGATATCATATACAACTATGGCTGCTTGTGCTCCTCTGTAGTACATTGGTGCTAGGCTATGGTATCGTTCTTGACCAGCTGTATCCCATATTTCAAACTTTACTGTAGTGTCATCAAGACATACAGTTTGGGTTAGAAAAGCAGCTGAAAGAAAAGGACTACAATAAGTCAATCATTTTTCTCCAAATGTTTTCATAATATAGAAAACACCTGCTTGTATACATCTATCAAAATGTCACACTGTACCCCGTAAGTATGTACAACTATTATGTGTCAGTTAAAAGTAATAAATGAGGGGGGAAAAAAAAAGAAAACACCTAGAAACTTGACAGATTGCATACCCACAGCTGATAATAGCTTTAAATACTGGCAAACCTGTGCTTCTAAGCTATTTACATATATGCTTACATATAGGGCCTTTGTAGTGAAATCACAGATTGAAAAACTTCTGCATCTTAAAAAAGCTTGTTATAATACTAAATAAACTTAAGACTACATTTCTTTTCCTTCTTCTTTTTTTTTTTTTTTTTGATACAAGAGTCTCAGACTAGAGTGCAGGGGCGTGATCTCAGCTCACTGCAACCTCCGCCTCCCGGGTTCAAGCAATTCTCCTGCCTCAGCCTCCTGAGTAGCTGGGACTACAGGCATGCACCACCACACGTGGCTAATTTTTGTAGTTTTAGTAGAGATGGGGTTTCACCATGTTGGCCAGGCTGGTCTCGAACTCCTGATCTCAGGTGATCCGCCCACCTTGGCCTCCCAAAGTGCTGGGATGACAGGCGTAAGCCACCAAGCCCAGCGAAGACTGCATTTCAAAATTGCTCTACAATTAAAGAAATGCACTGATAGTCTTAAAAAATGAAGTTGGGGGAAACCCAGTGTGCCTAAAAGTACCATCTATACTGCTGACACCATGTCCTGTTCCATTTTACTAGTTTTTATTGGCGCACACTGGCAATTTAGTCCCAGTCAGTTACCACCAAATTAGTATTTCTTGTTATATTATCTTTTTTTTTCTTTTTCTGAGACACAGTCTTGCTCTATCTCCCAGGCTGGAGTGCCTCCCAAAAGTGCTGAGATTATAGGCGTGAGCCACCGTACCAGGCCTCTTGCTATATTATTTTTTAAAACATTGTGACACTTTAATTGTGGTAGTCATTATTACCTTAACCTAGATTTAATTTGTTCAGTTGATTCAATATTTGCTCCTACCTTTCATTCCCTGCCATAAGAATTTTTTGGATCTGTACTTTCCCTGATTCTAATTTTAACACTAGGAAAGTAGCATTATAGGCCAGGCGTGGTGGCTCATGCCTGTAATCCCAGCACTCTGGGAGGCTGAGGAAGGCAAATCACGAGGTCAGGAGATCAAGACCATCCTGGCCAACATGGTGAAACCCTGTCTCTACTAAAAATACAAAAATTAGCTCGACATGGTGGCGCTTGCCTGTGGTTCCGGTTACTCGGGAGGCTGAGGCAGGAGAGTCGTTTGAACCCATGAGGCAGAGGTTGCAGTGAGCTGAGATCGCACCACTGCACTCCATCCTGGCAACAGAGACTCTGTCTCAAAAAAAAAAAAAAAGTAGCATTATAAAATGATACAATATTGTTAAAATTAAAAGACCTACACACAGCCATTAGACCGCCCTCTGCTGCTGCTCTATCATTCACTGTAAATTGGTATGCTCCTCCCTTCCTTCTACATTTAGCTCAAGGTGTGATATTCAAGCCCTATTTCCAAATTGGTATGCACTTGAATTACCATTTTCTAAAACTGTCATATTATGCAAAAGAATTATGATATATTTCTCTAAATTACAGCCGTTTATCTAGTGACGTTGATAGAGATGTACTAACCAGTATCAAATGTGCTAAAGAAACAAAGTCTAATGAGATATATCTCTTTTACGTTAGACACAACATTTATTTTTCACGCTCTTTTAGGTTAACTGGTTGCTGGCTTTAGTATCAACAACTAAAATCTTCTGAATTTTGCAAACAATACTGTAAACATCTTCATTTGGACCTAGATTCTAATTAATAGTTTTATGAATTCTCATTAATCACATTGTAAATATATTCTAATCCAGTTCAAACTTTTTTTTAACCAACAATTAGCAGAATTGTCCATTTTCTAAAATATTGTATTTATGGTAAAGGATATCCAGACAGCACTATGTCACTTTTTGAAGGTCACGAGAGGTTCTCCTGTAGGATCAAAAAATGTTTTTAAACTAAAATTTTAAACTAAAATTAAGTCCCTAAGACAGTACTCTTACCAAAAAGGAAAAGAGGAAAATAAGTCACAATACATAAGCCTTTTTTCAAGTATAGTTTGATGCAGACTTGCAAAAAAAAAAAAAGGAATTAAAATGTGCACAGACTGTTTCATTTTTCAGACATACTATGATCACAAAGTCTACTAGTACTAAAAACATTCACTTATACGTCCATAAGTAAACTTCAGGCTCAGGGAAATAACTATAGTCATCCCTCAGTATCTGTGGAGGACTGTTTCCAGGACCTCCCCATATATCATGAAGGACTGGTTCTAGAATCCCCAATGGATAACAAAATCTGAGGATGCTCAAGTCCCCGATATAAAATTGCAAAGTATGTGTATATAACCTAAGCACATCCTCCTGTATACTTTAAAGCATCTCTAGATTACTTATAATATCTAATACAATGCCTGCACCTCACGTCATCCACATAGATTCAACATAGTATTAAGTGTGTGGCAAATTTAATTTTTGCTTTTTGGAGCTAAGTTAATTTTTTCCCCCTTAATATTTTCAACTTGCAGTTGGTTGCATTTATAAATGTGGAACTCACAGATTCAGAGGGCCAACTGTATTAGAGATGTTGCCTTAAAGAAAATATGATCCAATTCTCAAGCCAGTTAAAGACACAAGAGGCCACCATACATGTACACCATACATGTACAAAAATGCCAAATACAAAGAAATTGCAACAAATACATTAAGACAAACAAATGCCCATTACCAAGTACATTCTTTCAGAAATACAAAACTATTACATTAACAGGCTAATGAAGAAAAATCCATTTTATTTAAACAAATTACAAAAAGGCATTTGAGTCAATATCCATTCCTAATAAACACACGAGATTCTTCCTTATGGCAAAACAGGGCATCATTCCTAAATCTAGGAACAAAACCAAGGGAAATCATGCTGAACAGGAATGGATCCCATTCAGATTAACAAAGAAGATAATCAATTCATTCCTCAACTCTGCTTAGAAACCTTCCTTCATTCCACCCTAGTTAATATCTCCTACATCTGTGCTCCCAGAGTTCTCTGTGTAATAACGTTTCACACCTTTTATAATCATTGGTTTATATCTTTTTCTTCTCCTTGATTGGGAGTTACTTGAGCAATGACCACAGGTTAAGTATCCCTTATCTGAAATGCTTGGAACCAGGAATGTTTTGGATTTTTAAAGATTTTGTAATATTTGCATAATGAGATATTTTTGGGAAGGGATCCAAGTCAAAACATGAAATTCGTTTGTTTCACATAAAGCTTGTACACATAGCCTGAAGCTAAAATAATTTTGTGCATTAAACCAAGTTTATGTACACTGACTCATCAGAAAGCAAAGGTGTTAAGTGTGGAAATTGTTCACTTGTGACATCATATTGATGCTCGAAGAATTTGGGAGCATTTCAGACTTCAGATTAGGGATGCTCAACTTGTAGTAGCTCCTCTCTGTACCAACATTTAATATAAATCCTTGTTCATACAGATGTTCAAAAATGTCTACTAAAAGAAGGAAGTTCAAAAAGATACATGGAACCATTTAGAGGCTACTTCAGATAACATTTGAATGTAGAGAGAGGCAGCTCCCAAATGTGAAAAAATAGATATTTCACAAGGTATCTACTCAAGTTGTAACACAACCTCAAAAACAACATCAAGATATTTTTCACCTGATAACACTGTACTGGGCCAGGTGCGGTGGCTTCCACCTGTAATCCCAGCACTTTGGGAGGCCGAGGCAGGTGGATCACCTGAGGTCAGGAGTTTGAGACCAGCCTGACCGGTATGGCGAAACCTCGTCTCTACTAAAAATACAAAAACAATTAGCCAGGCATGGTGGTGCATGCCTGTAACCCCAGCTACTCGGAAGGCTGAGGCAGGAGAATCACTTGAACTCGGGAGGCAGAGGTTGCAGTGAGCTGAGATTGTGCCATTGCTCTCCAGCCTGGGCAACAAGAGTGTAACTCTGTCTCAAAACAACAACCACCACCACCACCACCACCACCGTACTACTGTTCATGTGGTATGATAAAGCATAATTTTGGGGGAGAAAAGACCAACATTAGAGGCCAGGGAAAATCAGTTTTATAATATACTTTAAAAAATGAAAAGTGCTACAGTACTAAATGAACAGAAATATTACTGGAATAGTGTAGCCCACTATAATAAACTCTTGATATACATAATACACCCTAAGACGTTCATGATTTCTCAAAGTCCTAAAGTTTTAAAATACTACTATAGTGTTTTTTTTTTTTTTTTTTGAGATGGAGTTTAGCTCTTGTTGCCCAGGCTGGAGTGCAATGGCGCGATCTCGGCTCACTGAAACCTCCGCTTCCTGGGTTCGAGTGATTCTCCTGCCTCAGCCTCCCGAGTAGCTGGGATTACAGGTGGCCACCACCACGTCTGGCTAATTTTTGTATTTTTAGTAGAGATGGGGTTTCACCATGTTGGCCAGACTGGTCTTGAACCCCTGACCTCTGGTGATCCATCCGCCTTGGCCTCCCAAAGTGCTGGGATTACAGGCATGAGCCACCACACCTGGCCAAATTCCACTACAGTGTTTAATTTCCCCTATAAAACTCGGTGAAGTGTAACTGACATTTAGGTGACATCTTCAAATCCTCAGTGCTCCTAAAAATACATTACTAGTAATTTATAAAGTTACGTAAACAAATTCTGCCACTGAAAAGATAAAACTACTACATCAATACTGTAGCAACATTAACCAACCACAAACTTACCTGAATCTGTAAAACCACTTTAATTTATCCAAAACGTCTATTTTCTGGCTAAGAACCATCACTCTTAGACCGCTTCATTTTCTCTTCACTTCCATCACCAGCACTAGCAGTTGGTTTTCTTTTCGGGCCCATATTTCACAAAGAAACAGCTTTTATCACTTCGAGAGTTACTGTGTACGCGATGACAAGTAGAGAAAAACAAAGCTGCGTTGAGATGTGGGTGCTGGCCTGTCTGATAGGCTCCCTCTGAGCTACGTGATCAGCTCCTATTTGCAAGCCTGGCAGCAAGCAAGTAACATTTCAGCCTCAGCAAAACTACAAATTACTTTACCACAGACCCTGGAATCAGGTGAGAATAGCTGAAGCTTTAAATGTCAAATCTGCAAATACCAAAGGCCTATTATAATATGCAAGACTTAAACAGTAAGCCAGGGGAAGACACTGTAACACACTGGGCAAGGGAAAGGATATTCAAATTGATGGCATTAAACCAAAGATTAATAATTAAAAAACAAAGTGGCTGGGCATAGTGGCTCACGCCTGTAATCCCAGCACTTTGGGAGGCCGAGGTGGGTGGATCACAAGGTCTGGAATTCAAGGCCAGCCTGACCAACATGGTGAAAACCCGTCTCTACTAAAAATACAAATTAGCCGGGCATGGTGGCCGAGGTGGGTGGATCACAAGGTCTGGAATTCAAGGCCAGCCTGACCAACATGGTGAAAACCCGTCTCTACTAAAAATACAAATTAGCCGGGCATGGTGGCATGAGCCTGTAATCCCAGCTACTCAGGAGACTGAGGCAGAAGAATCACTTGAACCCGGGAGGCAGAGGTTGCAGAGCCGAGATTGTGCCACTGCACTCCAGCCTGGGTGACAGAGTGAGACTCCGTCTCAAGAAAAAAAAGAAAAACAAAGTAACCGCCACCCCATAACTAAAATGATTCTACATGAATTAAACAGAAAGGGGAAAAATACAAAAACTGAGAAACCATACAACTTCAAGCCCAAACTTATTATTTATCAAAATTGACAGGAAAGAATTGCTTTATTAAAATTGACCAAAATTCTATATAAGACTACAGATTTGATTACACAAAAATATGAAACTTCAGGTTTGCAAAACTTGTGTCATAACATCCATAACAAAGGGGCAAACCTAATGAGAAAAATTTCTACAATGGATGCTAAGTGATTAGTATTTTCAATGTGTAGAAAGCTATTATAAATGTTTAGAAAAACTTTAGAACCTCAGGGATAAATGTGTAAAGACAATTCACAAAAGAACAGAAAAGGAGACCAGTAGTCAATGAAATCATCCACATAGTCAAAACAATTTTTATCTCCTAAATTAGCATAATGAAAAAATAAAAATACAGCAGGCATGGTGGCTCACGCCTGTAATCCCAGCACTTTAGGAGGCCGAGGCAGGTGGATCACTTGAGTTCAGGAGTTCAAGACCAGCCAGGAACATGGTGAAACCCTGTCTCTATTAAAAAATACAAAAATTAGCCGGACGTGGATGTGGGCGCCTGTAATCCCAGCTACTTGGGAGGCTGAGGCAGGAAAACCGCTTGAACCCAGGAGGCGGAGGTTGCAGTGAGCCAAGATCGTGCCTTTGCACCCCAGTCTGGGCAACAAGAGTGAGACTCCATCTCAAAAAAAAAAAAAAAACCAAAAAAAAAAAACCAAAACCAAAAAACACCAATTTGCAAAAAACCCAAGCACAGCTGGTGATTTCGTACAACTCCGTTGGAAAGGATTTTGGCAACATGTAGCAAAGGCAAGAAAATGCTAATACTTTTTAACCTAATAATCTCACTAAAATTCCAAAAGATAGTGTGAGGGCAGGAGAGTAGGTAGAACAAACTTTTATGCTCAAAGAATTTAAAACTATTTAATAATTAAAAACAACCTTGTTAGTGAAATGAAATCCATCATCAAGAATTGGAAGTAAGGCCGGGCACAGTGGCTCATGCCTGTAATCCCAGCACACTGTGGGAGGCTGAGGCAGGAGGATCACTTGAGGCCCAGAGTTTGAGACCAGCCTGGCCAAAATGGTGAAACCCTGGCTCTCTATTAAAAATACAAAAATTAGCTGGGCATGGTGGCACGTGCCTGTAGTACCACCTACTCAGGAGGCTGAGGCATAAGAATACCTTAAATCCTGGAGGCGGAGGTTGCAGTGAGCTGAGATTATGCCACTGCATTCCAGTCTGGGTGACAGACTGTCTCAAAAGAAAGAATCAGAAGTAAAGTAACTTGTGGGGAAAGAATGTAAAGAAAACACTGGGTAGTTTGGCTAGAGTATAATAAATCAGATTTTCTGGTTTTCAAAAATTTGAATTGCAGTAAAAGGAAATTTCGATGTGCTATTTTTTTCAATTTTCGGTAGTAAATAAATGTGTATAGAGAAACAATAATATAGACTGTCATATTTGAGTACCTTTAAAAAAACAATCCCAATGTGTAAGTGAAAAAAAATACTAGTAACTAAGTATTAAGTAGCAATTAAATTAAAACTAAAAGGAAAGGATGCATGCAGTGACTAGAGAGGGGAGAAAGGGTCTTGTTCAAAATTTCAGAAATAGAATGAGGCTTTGTGATAAAAAAAAATTCAAGTTAGAGATTGTTAGAATCAGGTACTAAAGTTATCAGTGAAGACAGAAATTGGTTCACTGGGAAAATGAGTACTAACAGCAGTAATCCGACATAACAGATTTTCTCAGACAGATAAGCACTAACTTCAGATGATAAAATTACACACAGAGAAGAATCATACATAGCCGAAAACAGGAAAAATAAAAACTGAGGCCATTTTTATTTCCTATGAAAGTGTGTGTATACAGGAAGCACCCAGTGAATGGACTGCAGAAGCGACAGTCGTGAGTGTAGTTAGGGAAGAGTTACATTGCAATTAATGTGAGGAAGAGTAAGAAATAAAAGTAGAATAGGGCTAAGTATTACTCAGCACCCAGGAGGGAAAAAAGAAAAAATAAGGCACAGTAAAGCATACACACTGTGAGTAAACCCAAAAAGAGAATATTCCAAAAGCCTAACAAGAAAATAAAAAATTATTATGTAGATAGCATACAGAAAGACAGCAATCTTCCCCAAATTAATCCATCTTAAGAGGTGATCTATACTAGTTTATCTACAATTCACTCTTAAAAATCAATGAGCATCTGATAAGGGACTGAAAGCTAGAACATATTAATGTAAGGAACTCCTACAACTCAGCAACAACAAAAAACCTGATTAGAAAATGGACAAAGGGCCGAGCGCAATGGCTCATGCCTATAATCCCAGCACTTTGGGAGACTGAAGTGGGTGGATCACCCGAGGTCAGGAGTTCAAGATCAGCCTGGCCAAAATGACGAAACCCTGTCTCTATTAAAAACACAAAAATCAGCTGGACGTGGTGGCGGTTGCCTGTAATCCCAGCTACTCTGGAGGCTGAGGCAGAAGAATTGCTTGTACCCAGGAGATGGAGGTTGCAGCAAGCCAAGATGGTGCCATGGCACTCCAGCCTGGGCGGCAGACTGAAACTCCATCTCAAAAAAAAAAAAAAATGGACAAAGGACTTGAATAAACATTGATCCAACGGATATACACAAATGACCAATAAGAGCTGGGCACAGTGGTTCACAACTGTAATCCCAGGACTTTGGAAGGCCAAGGCAATAGAACTGCTTAAGCAGGCGTTCAAGATCTGCATGAGCAATATAGTGAGACTCTGTCTCTATAAAAAATTTACATAGCCAGGCATGGGGGTATGCGCTGGACTACTTGGGAGGTACAGGCAGAAGAATCACTTGAGCTCAGGAGGTCAGGCTGCAGTGTGCTGTGATCATGCTACTGCACTCCAGTCTGGGTGACAGAGTGAGACCCTATTTCAAAAAAACCGAAACAAATAAATAAATAAATCCAATAAGCACATGGAAAGATGTTCAATATCACCAATCATTAGGGATATGCAAATCAAAACCACAAATTACCACTTCACTGCCACTAGAATGGCTATGATCAAACCAAGAGAAAAAGGTAAAGTGTGGGTGATCATGTGGAGAAACTGGAACTGCTTTGCAGCTGGTATGGAAAACTGTATAGAGATTTCTCAAATATATTAAAGATAGAATCACCATATGATCCAGCAATTCCTCTTACGGGCATACATCCAAAAGTAGTGAAAGCAGGAACTTAAAACACTCTTTGTACACCAATGTTCACAGCAACATTATTCATAACAGCTAAAGATGAAAGCAACCTAAGTGTCCAATGATGGACAAGCAAGATGAAGTATATACATACAATGGAATATTATCCAGCCTAAAAAGTTTTAGGAAGGAAAATTCTGGCACTTGCTTTACAACATGGATGGAACGTTGAGGACATTATGCTAAATGAAATAAGGAAACCACAAAAGTACAAATACTGTACAATTCTATTTATGTGAGGTAGCTAGAGTAGTCAGAGTCAGAGAGAAAAAGGTGAATGGTAGTTGCCAGACACGGGAAGAAGGGGTAGTTATTGTTTAGTGGGTGCAGAGTTTCAGCTAGGGAAGATAAAGTTTTGGATAGTTACACAACAATGTTAAAAGTACCTAATACCACTCAACTGTATATTCAAAAATGGTTAAAATGGTAAATTTTGTGTTACGGATATTTTACCGCAATTTTAAAAAGAAATCTGGGTAAGGCGCAGTGGTTCACACCTGCAGTCCCAGCACTTTGGGAGGCCCAGGCGGGTATGCTGCTTGAGCCCGGGAGTTCGAGACCAGCCCGGGCAACATGGAGAAATCGTTTCTACTAACAAAAATACAAAACAGGTGTGGTGGCGTGCACCTGTAGTCCCAGCTACTGGGCGGGGGGTTGGTGGGAGAGGTTTGTGGCTCAGGCAGGAGGATCACCTGAGCCTGGGTGGCAGTGAGACCCTGTCATCCCGTCCCCATCCCAACCCCTGCCCCAAAAAATAAAGGAAGGAAGGAAACAAATATAAAAATCTATGAGCAACATCTAAAGGTAATAGTTGTGAAACAATTTAAAATCCTGAAGAATATTAATGATACACAGGGAAGATCCTGCATGAAGTCAAGAGTGAGGTAAAGAATAAAAATTAGCATTTCTCCAACACTGTCTAGGATAAAGGATATTGAGAAGTCAATGCTTTTTACTATCACAGCTTGACAGCAACCCTTACGGGACACCCAACTCTAAGGGAATTCACTAACCAGTACATAAGACAGTCAGCCACATGTCACCAGCTGAACATCGTCGCCCTAAGTTTTTTTTTTTTTTTTTAAGACAGGGTCTCCCACTGTCACCCAGGTTGGGGCAGTGGTGTAATCATAGTTCACTGCGCCCTTGAACTCCTGGCCTCAAGCAATCCTCCCAAGTCAGCCTCCAGAGTAGTTGGGACTATAGGCACACACAACCACACCCGGCTAACACTAGGTATTTCTAACATACTGATGCACATTGTTTGAAAATTAATCTTAGGGCCGGGCACAGTGGCTCACACCTGTAATCCCAGCATTCTGGGGGGCCGAGGCGGGTGGATCACTTGAGGTCAGGAGTGCGAGACCAGCCTGGCCAACATGGTGAAACCCCATCTCTACTAAAAATACAAAAATTAGTCGGGCATGGTGGCATGCACCTGCAATCCCAGCTATCTGAGAGGCAGAGACAGGTGAACCCAGGAGGCAGATGTTGCAGTGAGCTGAGATTACACCACTGCATTCCAGCCTAGGGGACAGAGCGAGACTCCGTCTCAAATAAATAAATAAAGTAAGTAAGTAAGTAAATCTTAGGAGTTTTGGCTAGGCATGGTAGCTCCCGTCTGTGTAATTCTAGCATTTTAGGAGGCCAAGGTGGGACCTGAGGTAGTTCAAGACCAGCCCGGCCAACATGGTGAAACCTTGTCTCTACTAAAACTACAAAAATAAGCCAGACGTGGTGACATGCGCCTGTAGTCCCAGCCTCAGGAGGCTGAGGCACAAGAATCGTTTGAACCAGGGAGGCAGAGGTTGCAGTGAGCCAAGATCACGCCACTGCACTCCACCCTGGGTGACTCCGTCTCAAACAAATAAATAAAATTAAATTAATCTTAGGAGTTTGTTAGTATTAAGTTAGTGCCCCAAACCTGATCTCCCTAGAATAAACTGATAAAGTCAGTATGGGCGCCTTCAGGGCTAAGACCCTGTGATTGCCTCACCAAGTGGCATAATCCTAAGAAAGTCTCTGCTCACCAGATTAGATTTACGTAACAGGAACGTACCAAAACTGAATTGGGAAGAAGAATGAAAGAACACATTACAAAAACAAAGGGTATTTTTAAAAAAATGACAGGGTACGAGTTATTAACTAGAATCAGATAAAGGCTACCAAACAAATATCAACAGAGAAAAGGTTAAGGAAATTAGCTTAGCTTTAAGGGATATATAGATACAGATATATAGATATCTATAGGTAGGTAGATATATAAGTATCTACAAAAGACATTTTATCTATAGGCAACAGATACTTTACTGAACAGTTCAATAGTACTTCACTAAACTTGTCAAATGTGCAAGGATAGCGCCCAAGCTATTTTGCATACCAGGATTCCTTCCCTTCTTCTTAGTGATACCCCTTTTCTCCTGGTTCAAGAACCTAGCACATAATGCTTCCTAGCCCTCAAGAGAATCTTCCAGACCTTTAAAACATTACTGGCCTTCAAAGTGATTCTTTCATGCTTGGCAGTAAGCTTACATACTAAATGAATTTAAAAGTTCTAATATTTGGCTGGGCACAGTGGCTCACACCTGTAATCCCAGCACTTTGGGATTCCTGTCTCAGGAAGATTGCTTGAGGCCAGGAGCTCAAAACCAGCCTGGGCAACATAGCAAGACTCCATCTTAAAAATAAATTAGCCAGGCATGGTGGCACATGCACACGTAGTACCATCTACTTGGGAGGGTGAGGTGGGAGGATCATTTGAGCCCAGGGGGTGGAGGCTGCAGTGAGCCATAATCATGCCACTGCTCTTCAGCCTGGGTGACAGAGGAAGACCTTGTCTCTCAAAACAAAAACAAAAGTTCTGATATCTGAGAATTTTACAACATAATAGAAAAGAAGACTAAACAGAGAGGGAAAACTTTAAACTCCTATTAACAGTTAGAGGAAACCTGTAATCCTAGGATATAATTATCTATGCCAACCCCCAAAGAAACTGGATGTATCTCTAAGGGATGAAAAAGGATGAAGATTAGAATTCTTTTGATCCTACAAAACAATTTTATTAGGATAAAATTCCTTTGGGTTCAGTAATCACCTCTAGAAATTGATCTTACGAAAATAAGTCGGGGGGGGGGGGGGTGAAATTCTAAGATATCCCCTATTAGGTGATTACCTAAAACAGCAAACAAAAAAGCAAACATTAAATGCCCAACAATGGAACAGTTAAAAAATAATAAAAAGAGAAGATTGCCAGATACTAAAATATGACAATATAGATGTACTGAGAAATATTACCATTAATAAATCAAATGGAACACAGTAGTGTGACTATTATAAAGAAATCTACATAGAAGTAACATGAGGTTATGAATAGTTCACAGAAAAACTAAACACAGGCTGGGCATGGTGGCTCATGCCTTTAATCCCAACACTTTGGGAGGTCAAGGTAGGAGGATGGCTTGAGGCCAGGAGTTTGAGACTACCCTGGGCAACATGAGAACCCTTCTCTACAAAAATTTAAAAATCAGCCAAGTGTGTTGGTGCATACCTGTAGTCCCAGCTATTTGGGAGGCTGAAGTGGAAATATCATTTGAGCCCAGGAGTTCAAGGCTGCAGTGAGCTATGACAGCGTCACTGCACACCAGCCTGGGCAAGTGACACCCCGATTCAAAAAAAAATCAAAAAAGAAAAGAGAAACCAAACACACTGGGCTCTAAAAATATATACTGCAGATATACTCAGAATATGTGAGAAATTACTGCTGTTATTTAGTACAGTACTATTATAGCCAAAGATACAACAATGTGCATATCTAAAACTAGAGAACTGATATTACTAATATGACCCATGCAAGGGAATACTGTTACAGCCAAGAAAAATGCGGACGTTCTTTTGATATAGATAGGTCTTACGGCAGACAGTACTTTTTTTTTTTGAGATGGACTCTCGCTCTGTTGCCCAGGCTGAAATGCAGTGGTGCAATCTCAGCTTACCACAACCTCCACCTCCCAGGTTCAAGCCATTCTCTTGCCTCAGCCTTCCCGAGTAACTGGGACTACAGGCACGCGCCACCATGCCCGGTTAATTTTTGTATTTTTAGTAGAGAAGGGGTTTCACTATGTTAGTCAGGCTGGTCTCGAACTCCTGTCCTCGTGATCTGCCCACCTCAGTCTCCCAAAGTGCTGGGATTACAGGTGTGAGCCACCACGCCCAGCCTGTAGATTGTATTTTCTAAGGCAGCTGCAACAAGACATTCTACACCACATTCTTCTTACAGTGTGATGTTGACACTCTTCCCTTGAATCTGTACAGGCCTGTGACTAGAATAGAACAGATGCTATCTATCTATGTGACTTCTGGAGCAAAGTCATAAAAGGCTACTACATGTAGGTGTGTTCTAGCTAACAGCCCCATCTGAGGTCCCAACCAATAGCCAGCACCAACTGCCGGATGTGTTGAGATGATTCTTGCCCCGTAATGAACTGCAAGAGCAAGGAAAAGATCAGAGTGAGAACCACCTACTAAGCCCACTCACCAGAACCATGGAGATGACAAAATAATTTTAAGTCTCTACATTTTGGAGGAGTCATTTGTGTCTCAGCAATAGATAACTAGAACAGCATTAAAGTGAAAAATAAAAAGTGTATTACAGTACATCTGACATATTTCAAATTTTGTAAAAAGGGAGACAAGAATATATAGATTTGAGTATAGTAGTAACTTTGCAAGGATATATAACAAAGTAACATCATCTTTGGGAAAAAGAACTGAGTGGGCTAGATAGAAGATGAGGGGGAGATTTTTCACTGTAAACCTTATAAACTTCTTGAATTTTGACTCACATGAACAAATTAATGCATTTGATTAAAGGCAGTTAAAATATAGCGTGTGACACATGATGATGGCATAAAAATGAAAATGGTGGTGATAATTTAGGAATATGGACAATTTAAATAATCGTCTTATATTCTTTTGTTCTCAAAATACTTTCACATTATTTTCCTTAAGTGATACATAGCAAGAAGGCCCCTACCTGTCAAATACTACATATTATTTAACAGAACACTTGTCATGTGTACTCTAACTATGAGCCAAATTTTCTAGTCTGATAGGTTCTTGCAAGGAGAAATACACACATACACAGTACATTCCAGAACATGAATGGCATTTCAGAAAGATGTCTTTAATCCCAGCTGTCACCTAGTTGCAAAACTTCAAGCATATACTTAACCTTTATTGCTTCAGTTTCCTTGTCTATAAAATTAGTACCTTCCCATATAGCCATGGTAAGGTACAGATGAAACTTCTGAAAATCCTGTTTAAGTTCTAGGAATGTATCACATAACAAGTAATTATTATAAGTGTCCTATCTTTAAATTATCCTTTATTTCCTAGAAGTCACATTTTTCTAAAATTTACAAATTACTTATGAATGCAATAGAGGAGAAAATTCTATTCATGTTATACCTCAAATAAAAACGATAGTAACTAGGTGGAATATATTCTGGCTCTAGTTTTATGCAAAGATAAAGAACAGTTTTTTGACTGAGAAAAGCTGAAGGTGTCTGATAATTATGCAGTGACTAGTCATGTATCAAGATTACCCACTTCTTCTTTGGGGCCCAAAGAATATCCAACAACTACTACTGCGAACACTTAAGGCTTAAAAAACCATGAATAACTAACCGGTTCTTCATCCTGCTTCTACCTTTCCTCAAACGGAGGATGAATGCTGTTTAGCAACACTTACTTCAGATATTCTGATTTGTAGAGCATTCTTATTTTCAAAGTCCAACATATGACTTCAGTAACACTTAACTTTCATCTTGAGGAATTTAGCAACTAGGTAACTAAAGTTTACATATACATCAAGGTAGCCAATGAATTAAAAGACAAAAAATGATGCCTGAAAAAGTGGCTTACGCCTGTATTCCCAGCACTTTGGGAGGCTAAGGCAGGTTGATTGCTTGAGCTCAGGAGTTCGCGACCAGCCTGGGAAACATGGAGAATAGCCATCTCTACCAAAAATACAAAATTAGCCGGGGGCAGGGGCACACATGCCTGTGGTCTCAGCTACTCAGGAGGCTGAGGTGGGAAGATGGCTGGAGCCCAGAAGTTGAGGCTGCAGTGAGCCATGATCATGCCACTGCACTCCAGTCTAGCACAGAGCGAGACCCCATCTCAAAAACAAAAACCTTTAGAAGTACTCTTATTGCTTTTCTTACTCTCACACATCTTTATTCTCCTTCACAAAGAGGTTTGCTGAAAAGGCTTTTGATGTAACTCCAAATGATACTATCCTATCATAAATTTACTCAGCATACTTCATAAACAAGATTATGTATATGCAATGTCAGGTTATTATGGTATATGACCTAAAAAAGGGAGAAACAGTTTGCCAAAATTTCCCATGTTTCTATCAAGTAAGAATTCTTATTCTATTCTAAAAGCAAAATTTTAAAACACTTCCCATCCCACAGCCTCCACCAATTATTATTCAAAACCAAGTGTCTTTCATGTGCCTCTGAGTGTGTCTCCAAAAAGATCAATTATCTGGAAACCTTATATATTCAGAACACAGCCTAGCGCGGTGGCTCATGGCTATATCTCAGCACTTTGGGAGGCCAAGCCAGGAGATCACTTGAGGTCAGGAGTTTTAAGACCTGCTTGGGCAACACAGCAAGACGTCGCCTCTACAAAAATTTCAAAATTAGCCAGGCATGGTGGTGCACACCTGTAGTCCCAGCTACTTGGGAGGCTGAGGTGAGACGACTGCTTGACCCAAGAGGCTGAGGCTGCAGAGAGCCATGATCACATCATTGCACTTCACCCTGGGCAACAGAGCAAGACCCTGCCTCAAAAAAAAAAAAAAAAAAAATCAGAACACAACCAGAAAGCTAGCAAAAGAAGAGTAAATGCAGCCAGAATAAATCTCACAAAGTCCATGCACTAAAGGTTATGCAAATTTACAGATTTCCTCGGAATGTAACTGAGACCACTTTCTATGTATATCTTCTTTTGGAGATTGATTTATATATACATACATATATATATATATAAATTAGTACATAACAAGAAGATCAGTTGGAGATTTAGGCTTAATTTTTAAAAAGTGGCATATAATATCACTTTTAAAAACCTTTAATATATAGCACCAGATTACAATGTTCACTCAATCTGTCTCTCAAACTATACCAAGAAGTTGTCCCTGATTTCTAGTTTTAGAATCATCAGAGATGATTTCTGGTTTTATTTTGATTTGCTTTAGACAACCTAATATTTCCCATATATAACAAATAAAAGCAGTAAATTAGTGAATCAGTAGCAGTTCACTAAGAGCTATTTGGCAAAATCATTCTACCAAACAGCTTGAATACTTCCAAAGCACCAGAGGACATCAACACATTAAGCACGGCAAGGCAAAAACTGATGCTCATAATGATTCCAAATCTTGAAATACATTTTAAGAAAACAAAAGTTAAATTGTATTGACTGTATTGTTTAATGAGAAGAGTACACAGTTTATAAGAACATCTGCTCTACAAGAATCCTTTTTTCTTTTTTTGAGACAGAGTCTCGCTCTGTCACCCAGGTTGAAGTGCAGTGGTGCGATCTCAGCTCACTGCAACCTCCGCCTCCCAGGTTGAAGCAATTCTCATGTCTCAGTCTCCCCTACCTCAGCGCCCTGTCACCCAGGTTGAAGTGCAGTGGTGTGATCTCAGCTCACTGCAACCTCTGCCTCCCAGGTTGAAGCAATTCTAATGCCTCAATAGCTGGGATTACAGGCACATGACACCACGCCCCACTAGTTTTTGTATTTTTAGTAGAGACAGTGTTTTGCCATGTTGGTCAGGCTGGTTTCGAACTCCTGACCTCAGGTGATATGCCTGCCTCGGCCTTCCAAAGTGTTGGGATTACAGGCGTGAGCCACCACACCTGGCCTACAAGAATCCTTACCTAGAGTTCAATACTCTCGTGTTACAAATGTGTAAACAGAGTTCACATAAATGCTTATGAAAGCATGTGAGGATTAGAACCATGCATACTGACTCCCAGCTCACGGGAATGTTTAAGTAGCCACATATGATAATATTTTAACCTAAGAAATTGGGGAATAATTAAGACTACCGAAAGATTTTTTTAGGTTGTGATATAAATTTGAAATATCAAATCTCTACCAACTTCTCTGGGTAACAACCTCTCAAATTCTGAATATGTACTTTTTAGGAGAAAATATGATGAACAAAGATATTATTATTTTGCTTGAAACCAAATGATTAACTTCCACAAATTTTAACTATCAATGTATCAGAAAGTAGAATGAATACTTCAAACACACAATTTTTCTCACGAATCAAAAACCACATGCTGGTGGTTTGGTCTCTAGGTCTTCTATCCTTTCTCAAAAGCACTTTTAACAATGTGCACATGCAAAAAGGTAAAAGCACATTAAATAAATGCACAGATTATAATTATACAAAGAAGTCATTCTGAAGGCTAACAAGTGAAGGGCAATTGTAGAAAGCTTTCTACTACTGGAAAAACATGAGTTATTTGGATTTAAATTTTCTGGCTAGCTTTTCTGTTTAGGAAGTAACTTTATTCCCCCCAGCTTTATTAAGGTATTGTTGAAAAATAAAAATCGTTATGTATTTACAATATATACATATGTATATTAACATGATGTTTTGATACATGTACACATTGTGAGGTGACTAAATCAAGGTAATTCAATATTGATCACCTCGCCTACTTACCTTTTTTTTTTTTTTTGAGACAGAGTCTCACTCTGTTGCTCAGGCTGGAGTGCAGTGGTGCTATCTCAGCTCACTGCAACCTCCGCGACAGAGTCTCACTCTGTTGCTCAGGCTGGAATGCAGTGGCGCTATCTGGGCTCACTGCAACCTCTGCCTCCCAGGTTCAAGCAATACTCATGCCTCAGCCTCCCGAGTAGCTGGAATTACAGGCATGCGCGACCACGCCCAGCTAATGTTTGCTTTTTTTTTTTTTTTTAGTAAGGATGGGGTTTGGCCATGTTGGCCAGGCTGGTCTCAAGCGATCTGACCACTTTGGCCTCCCAAAGTGTTGGGATTACAGGCATGAGCCATGCACCCGGCACTTACTATTTTTTAATGGTGAGGACATTTAAGAATTTAGCAGTTTTCAAGTACACATTATTAAGTAGTTACTGGAAAAAACTTTAATATATGCACACGTGTAGTACTTTAGCCCTGTAATTTCTCCCTCTGAGAAACTTCCACAAATAACACAGTTGGGCTGGGCACAGTGGCTTACACCTTTCATCCCAGCACCTTGGGAGGCTGAGGTGGGAGGACTGCTGTAGCCCAGGAGTTTGAGACCAGCTTAGGCACCAACAGTGAGATCTGTCCCTACAAAAAAATAAAAAATTAGCCAAGTGTGGGGTGCATGCCTATAGTCAGTCCCAGCTACCTGGGAGGACCACTTGAGGCCACGTCAAGGCTGCAGTGAGCTTTGATGCCACCACTGTACACCAGCCTGGGCAACAGAGCAGGCTGTTTAAAAAAAAAAAAAAAAAGGAAAAAAAACACAAAATTTTTCAAATCTTCAAATTTTCTAAATCAAACGCTATGCACTAGGTGTAACAGCTACCATCTCAAGATAATAGTATGTCATGACCAAACAACAAAAATATCAACAATGACAAAACGATTCAGCCAAAAGTTAACAGTGGTGATGGTAACTGTAATAGCTATAATTTAATAAACCTTTTACTGTGCCAGGCATTGTGGTAAAAACTTCAATCTGGATACAGTCTCTCTTAACCACAATAGTTTATTCTTTAGAATGACTTGGCCATAAATTGTTAGGTAAAATAGTATGTTAATAATAACTTTGAAATAAGCCTTGTTTTTCTTCATTTTAACAGTAACTTTTATTCCTGTTACAGGTTGTTTTAGACTAAAAACAACTAGTTGGCCATGCTAACCAATTTAGATGGATGTTAAATATGTAAGTAGAAACAGCACTTCACTTAAGAGTTAATAATTGCACTAAATTTCCTTTTTTTTGAGACGGAGTCTCGCCCTGTCGCCCAGGCTGGAGTGCAATGGCGCGATCTCGGCTCACTGCAACCTCCGCTTCCTGGGTTCAAATGTTTCTCCTGCCTCAGCATCCTGAGTAGCTGGGGTTATAGGCACCCACCACCACGCCTAGCTAATTCTGGTATTTTTACCATGTTGGCCAGGCTGGTCTCGAACTCCTGACCTCGTGATCTGCCAGTGTGCTGGCACCCTCCCAAAGTGCTGGGATTACAGGCATGAGCCACTGCGCCCGGCCTACACTAAATTTCTTAATTAATTTTGTGTATTATCAGGCCTTGATCATTTGTGACAAGAAAGGAGAGCAGCAGTGGTACAGATGACTGAAAACTATGGGTACTCCCTAAGTAGAGAAAAAGCAGAATACTCTTGATTGGACAGAGGGATCATACTTTCCTAAAGATGTCTGGCAGGTGGCTAACAGGAAGGCATTCTCCTATAAAGAGATACAGATAACATGTAATGTGAGCAGTACATAATACATGTAATTCTCAAACTAGGTTAGTTGCATGAACAATTTTTTTTTTAAGACGGAGTCTCGCTGAGACACCCAGGCTGGAGTGCAATGGCATGATCTCGGCTCATTGCAACAACCTCCTCCGCCTCCTGGGTTCAAGCGAATCTCCTGCCTCAGCCTCCCAAGTAGCTGGGACTACAGGCGCACGCCACCATGCCTGGCTAATTTTTGTATTTTTAGCAGAGACAGGGTTTCATCACATTGGCAAGCTGGTCTCGAACTCCTGACCTCGTGATCCGCCCGCCTCAGCCTCCCAAAGTGTTGGGATTACAGGTATGAGCTACCGCGCCCAGTCAACAATGTTTTTAAAAATCTGACAAACACCACACCTCAAAAAAACCCCCCAATTATTCCATGTATGGGTGAATCAATGTTAGTACCAATGTAAAATCAACTACTCAAACGTAACATGCCATTAGAATCATCTGGAAAACTTATTAAAACCTAGATTGTTGGTCCCACCCAAATGTTTTGATTCAACACGGGATTCTACATTTTAACAAGTTCCTAGTTAATGCAGCTACTTCTGGAAGTGGGAACGCTCTTTGAGGACCACTGTTCTAAGCTAATGTACAAAAATCACAGAACCAGCAAGAGGAATGTTATTTTCATGTACAGTTCCATCATCTAAACTTTAGAGTTTATAACACATTTTTTGATTAGTGCATACAAAATTGTAACTGTGGTATGAAGCACTTTTCTCAGAAGAGAAAAAAAGGATTGTCTGCTTGCTATTTCACTGCATATTCTAACCACTGAGGATTAATTTGTTTATAAATATCACATAAATGTCTTCTTAAAAATAAGTATTTTTTGAGAGTATTTACTGAAGAGCTACCAAGCCTAGAGATGCAGTACCAAGTAAAGAAGGAAGACAACTCTCTGAGCCTACTGCTCCCTGCTAATCTCTGGGCTAACTTTAGACCAACAATAGAAACATAAATGTCATGCAAACTTTAAACCCATACAAACAAGCTAGAATTCTCTAAATTGCTAAATCTACGGCACGCAATTTCATCAGAAGTGCTATAGGGGTAGGATGCATGAAGTATGGTGAGGCAACAGGGATTCTTTGTTTTGTTTTGTTTTTGAGACAGGGTTCTCACTGTCACCCAGGCTGGAGTGTGGTGGTGCAGTCTCGGCTCACTGTAACCTCCGCCTCTTCAGTTCAAGCAATTCTCCCATTTCAGCCTTCTCAGTAGCTGGGACTACAGGTGTGTGCCACCATGCCCGGTTAATTTTCGTATTTTTTGTAAAGACGGGGTTTTGCTATGTTGGCCAGGCTGGTCTCAAACTCCTGGACTCAAGCGATCTGCCCACCTCAGCTTCCCAAAGTGCTGGGATTACAGATGCAAGCCACCGCACACAGCGCAACAGGAATTCGTAAATCAAGTTATTGTATTTAGGAAGAACCACACAAATTACAGAAGAAATCTTGATATTCTTAATGAATCCAGAATCCACAAATCAAGAGTGTAACATATGATATCCACCTTCGAACACAATCAAATAGAGATTAAAATTTTGAGTGCTTCAGAACAATAACTCATGTTAGGAGATATAAACAGTAAAGTGAAAAATTAAACAGTTGAGGCCAGGCGTGGAGGTTCACGCCTATAATTCCAGCACTTTGGGAGGCCGAGGCAGGTGGATCACTTGAGGTCAGGAGTCTGAGACCAGCCTGGCCAAGATGGCAAAACCCTGTCTCTACTAAAAATACAAAAGTTCACTGGGATTGGTGGTGTGGGCCTGTAATCCCAGCTACTCAGGAGGCTGAGGCAGGAGAACTGCCTGAACCTGGGAAGTAGAGGTTGCAGTCAACCTAGATCACACCACTGCACTCCAACCTGGGCCACGTAGTGAAATTCCGTCTCAAAAAAAATAAACCAACAGTTGAAATGCAAAAGAGTTGGTTGGCTTCATTTTTCAGGTAACTTCTACCACATGACAGTCAAAACAAAAATACGTATTACCTACAAGTTATGGCCCTTTCAGGTTGATCATGAAATAGCTCAAACCTTAAAATTCTTAAATGCTTTACATCTACTCTAGTTCCTAAAGGTGAAGAGCTATGAGTACAGAGCATAAAAGAATAGTGTCCACAGCTATAACCATAATGGTACTGTCATACCTCCTGAATAGTATTCACATGGGGTCAGCACAGTGAAAAAGTATCCAATAAAGATTAACAGAAAGTTGGGCCAGGGGCAGTGGCTCATGCCTGTAATCCCAGCACTTGGAGAGCCCGAGGTAGGCAGATCACTTGAGGCCAGGAGTTCAAGACCAACCCGACCGACATGGTGAAACCCCATCTCTACTAAAAATACAAAAATTGGCCAGGAGTGGTGGCTTGCGCCTGTAGTCCCAGCTACTTGGGGGGCTGAGGCATGAGAATTGCTTGATCCTGGGAAGCGGAGGTTGCAGTGAGCCAGGGCTACACCACTGCACTCCAGCCTGGGCGACAGAGACCTTGTCTCCAAAAAAAAAAAAAAAAAGGATTAACAGAAATTTGGATGCAAATTCCTTTTTGTTTTTAAACAGGAAGCTCTACACATAGAAATGAAAATCTTTATGAAAAATTCATTAATGAAATCTAGACAATCTAACTGGTGTTACATGGAGATTATATAGAGATACACACATATCAGAGATATATTTATGATACACAGGATATGGGGTTACATTTTTCTTTTAAACATCCTTCTTGAGCTATCATTAGGAAAAAATAAACTTAGAAGTGCATTATCCAAAACAAGATAAAAATTCTAATCTTAAGCTCTTGCAAAGCTCCCCAGGAATTAAGTCCTATACTACAGTACTTCAGAGTTTTTATTGTTTTAATAAAATAATAAAGAGAGAGGAGAAGAGTAGCATATAGTAAGTCCCAAACCTACGTGGCCCAGGTTATTTAACCCAGAATGCACATATACTTTGGGAAATGCTTCCATTAACAGTGAAATAAGTGGGTGGACATGATCTAGCAGTCTTTAAACTTTTCCTACTAGATGGGACAGTTAGCTTTGACCAAATCACTTCTGGAGGAAGCAAAGCCTTCTTGAGAAGTAGTATTTCATTATTAAACTGGATATAATGTATTAACAATAACAACAACAACAACAAAATCACACGTGGATGTACTTTCAGGGAAAAAAAAAATCACAAAGATGTCTAATATATTGTGTATTAACATTTTTTAAAATGCCAAGACTTCTGACTCAAAATAAAAGCTCCATGATGCTTTCTGATGCTCAGCCATTAGAAAAAACATAAAACATTCTAATATAACATTTTAACAAGATATACAAAGGCCAGGAGGTAGTAGACTTCTGTAACTTATCTTACTAGAATGGGTCTAAGATTATGAATAACATTCTCAAGTATATTTGCAGAAGAGCATTCACTAAATGCACAGTATAAAGTTTTGCTTCTGAAAGACAGATTCCAAGAAGTTGCCACATGCCAGTTGGTATCTACCTGTCTTATTTCCAAAGTTTGACTTTAATTTTACAGGATGGGGTTAAAATATATACATGAATACCTTAGAAAACAGCATTGCTTAATTATATATCACTTGCAAAATATTGTGAATCTCAAACCGTGTGGCTCTTGCCACACATCATCTAATTGAAAAGCATCATTTCACAGATGAAACAGAGGCCCAAAAGAGGCTATCTTGTCCCACTGCTATATAATTATAGGTTTCTTTGATTAAAGTCAATTTTTTTTAAGAGATGGGTTCTCATTATGTTGCCCAGGCTAGACTTGAACTCCCAAGCTAAAATAATCCTGCCTCAGCCTCCAAATACCTGGGACTACAGGAATGCACCACCATGTCCAGCTAAAATTCAATTTTCCCATTTCACGTCCTCTCTTGACAATACTGTACTGTTTGTTGTCTCCTTTTCACCCTGCATCTTACCTTCCCCTCATCTCTGTCCCACCATAACCACCCTTGTCAGTGCCTACTCTTTCCCTTCTTCTTTCATCTTTTTCTTCAGGTTCCATTTTCCTGTTATGTCCCTTTCCATTAATCACTTTTTCTCTTCCCTCAGCTTAGGAGCATTCTTACATATGCATCTCAGCAGGGAGCACCTGTAATCACAGCTACCTGGGAGGTTGAGGCTGGAGGCTCACTTGAGGCCAGGAGTTCAAGACCAACCTGGAAACACAGCGAGACTCTGACTCTTAAAAAAAAAAAAAAAAAACTTGCCTGGCATGGTGGCATGCACCCTTAGGTCCAACTACTTGGTGGGAGGCTAAGGCAAGAAGATCATTTGAGCCTAGAGTTTCAGGCTGCAGTCTGCAGTGAGCTATGATCCGGACACTGCACTCCAGCCTAGGCGACAGCAAGATCCCATCTCTTAAATACCAAAAAAAAGTACATCTAGCAGTATTTAATTACATTTAATTTTACAAGTAAGTATAATTATTTGCAAATACTTCAGTTATATAGATCAGAATTTAAGGTTACCTTTTTTACTATTCATTTTAAACCAATATAATTGAGCACAAACATGTACTGTATTAATTTGAAGAAGCTTCTAGTTGTTAGCTAGAAATAGGTATCAGGTCAAATGTTATTACTTGAGACACTGATTCTACTCATGTTTTTTATCTGTATTTTAGCTACAATATAACCACAAGGGATTAACCAAACAATCAAATATAAAAACACATCATTTTAACAAAGATAAAGGCAAGTTTTAAAGCTAAGGTAAGCTGAACAGCTCTTTTCTTCACTCTATGACTTATTTAGCTATTCATAATCACACAATTGGAACATCAAAATATTTTCTGTCAATGTATGATTCGATTAAATGAAGCAGGGAAAAAAGAAAATCTCACCCCCAATGGTACTCTCTTGAAATTCATGAAATTGGCCTTTCACAAAACGAAGCACTAGGCTTGATTTGCCAACAGCGGACTCTCCCAGAAGTACTAGTTTGAACTGGCATATTTTATTTCCCGTATTTGGCCCGTTGGGTCTTGTTGCGCCTCGACTAGCCATGTCCAAATTTGAAATAAGTCCCTAATTTCAGACTCTTCAATGAACTTCCAGAATTCAAGGGGCCAATATTCTTCTTTCTGGAGGTAAAGAAACCTGTAAAGAAACAATTATGAATTAAATATACAAATCAGTAAAGCAAATTTACTATTAATCACTTTAAATATTGCCTATAGCATGATTATCTTAAACTCTACTAGACCTTCAATGCCCTTTAGATTATGTCACTATCTTTTAAAGGAAATTCAAAGGTATAGGATGTGAGTCCAAAATTACTTTTTTTTTTAAAGGCTAACCTCAAAGCTTCAAGTTTGTGCCAGGCAGTGCTTTAAGTACTTAACTTCTCAACAATCCTATAAAATGAGATATTATTACAATCCTTATAAATGAGGAAACAAGCACAGAGATGTTAAGAAGCTTAATTGAGGTCACACAGTTATTGTCACAGAAGTGACAGAGCCGAGTTTCAAACCCAGGCAACCTGAGAGATGACTCGAGTTCAAGTTCTGTAGCCAGGCTACTTGGATTAACATTGTTTTGAGAAAAATTATGTTATTAATAAATGGGAAACTTTTAGAACAGATCCTAAAATTTAGTATTATTTGAAGTTTTCTGTTAAACGATGCATTTTTCATTTAATTAATGGTAATTTTGGACAACAAATATTTTCAGTCTCCCAGGTTTGTGTGCCTAACGGCAGACTTAAAACTGTTTCCTCATCTGCTCAAGCACACCATACACAGAAATGCTAACAGTTGTTCTCCATGTGGTGATTATTACTGACTTATTTACTTACAATAATTGTAACTTTTTTGTAGTCTTTAGACGAACAATATACATGCCATTTTTAAAAAAATTTTTTTGGAGAAAGGGTTTTGCTCTCTCACCCAGGCTGGAGTGCAGTGGCGTGGTCACAGCTCACTGCAACCTAGACCTCCTGGGCTCAAGCAATCCTCCTGCCTCAACCTCCTGAGTAGCTGAGACTACAGGCGCTCAGAACCATGCCAGGCTAATTTTTTGGTAGAGACACTTAACTGCTATGTTGCCCAGGATGATCCTGAACTCTCGGGCTCAAGCAATCCTCCTGCCTCAGCCTCGCAAAGTGCTGGGATTACAGGTGTGAGCCACCACGCCCAGCCTGCAGGCCATTATTTTTTATTTAAACAACACATTAAAGAAATCTAGCCTGAATGGCGACTTCTATGCTAATTTTTAATCTCTAAGGAATTAGTGAATATTTGAAGAACCTTTTTCAATCCACTCACAAACCAATCTTAACAGTTTCCTTCTATCTTTAATCAAAATCCGAATACATGCTAATATATTAAACCTGATGATTCCCTCTCTAAAAACCCTGCTATATTTCATTTAGCTACCTCATATAAGAAATACGTCTTTCACACTGGACAGAGTGGCTTATACCGGTAAATCCCAACACTTTGGGGGTGAGGCAGGAGGACTCTGAGACCAGCCTGGGCAACACAGTGAGACCCTGTCTCTATATTAAAAACAAAAGAAAGAAATATGCCTTTCCCATAAAATGAGCTTATAATACGCTCTTCATAATGAATTCCCTAACATGTCCACGAGATCTTAGTTCTTAAGGCAATGAAACTACCTCCTTGCCTTAACTAAACACCAGCTTTTTAGAGTCCTTATCTTTTACCATTACATACTGAAATATTTACAGATTTATTGACGTAATATCTGAGTTGCTTCCAAATAACAAGGTATAAATAAAAATGCCCCCTCCTCCACAAACATACCAGATTTAGGGGTGTAATCCTGGCTATACCAATTTCCGTCTGGGCAAACTCTTTAATTTCCAAGTTTCTATTCCCATAATATCTAACTTGCATAGCTGATGTGACAATTAAATAAAACAATACATGTAAACAATCTCTAATATACATAGTAGGGATTGAAATTGCCAATAATGTGCTCCTTTGATAAGAAAATGATAAAATATCAATAGAACATCATATATACTGAAAATGCACCAATACATCTTCAGATATTACACACAATCAAAACATTTTCCATTTGTCTTTTTATTTAAGAAAACAAGAAATTACTTATCAAGGACAATATGCTCCAAATTTCTACGGCACTTCCAAAATTTTAGGGAAAATATCAGACTCCCATTAAAAAAAAAAATCAAACAAGATTCTGATTTCACTTTGACTTTTAAGGTTTAAAGCTACTTAATTGTGGCTACTCCCCCTAAGGATCTCAAACAGGAAATAACTAAAGTTAATGGTAAATATACACTTAGCATAACACTAAGGTTAAAAATTACGTGCATTCATTTGTATTCACTGCTTACTGAAACTTCTGTTTTGCAAAACAAGAATTTTGCATAATATACATTTGTAATCTTTTGAAAATAACTGTTATTCATTCTATAGTTAAAATCCTTCTAAGGGTTCTTTGATCAAAAAATTGACTGGGCACTTATTTTGTGCCAGGCACTGTTCCATTTACTTTGTTTATACAAATGCTGAGTTATCACTTCCATTTTACTTTAGGAATAAAGTTTATGAGCAGTCTTGAGTATTCCCAGAGGTGTACAAGTGTTTTTTTCTTATTATGTGAAAGGCAACTGATTGAACGCTTTGATTCCATTTAAGCAAGACAAAAACCAAGTATGTGAACTATGACGTTCAGAACTTAACAAGTTTGAAAGTCTCAGAGGTAAGCAGCTTCCAGGGAAGATAACGCCAGAGCAAGTTCCATGGTCTCTACCCAGTGAAGGAGTTCAGCGGTCCTGTTATCTTGAATTTATTTAACGCTGTAGTTCACTACCTTCCAAACAGAAAACAAGTCTCTAGACAGCCTATTTTGACGAGCCTCCCACCCACCGACACTACTCATCTTTGGAAGTTGAAGATAGGCGGAGCTCCCCACATTGACACCTGCAGTAGGCCCAGGTTCCTGCTTGGAGAGCACCTGAGTAGCTAATAGCCAACTACAGATCGCCTGGATAAGCAGCACTCGCCAGGTCCCTTGGCCTTTCCAACCTCCTCCCCCGAACCTGCCTTGCTTTGACCGAGACCCCCAGGACTGCCAGGACGGAGACCAGGCGGAACCGCGGCCTCCAGTACACTTTCCACGGCGCCATCTTGAGAAGGGAAAGGGTGACACCCGTCGCTCCCTCAGTCAGTCCCCAAATCCCGGTCTCCAGAGCCCCTGGAGGATGAGTCACCAGGGCTGGCAGAACAAGACGCCGGGTTCGATAGTTCTCTGGTCCAGGGCACTGCTGCGCGTGAGGGAGAAGGGGTGGGGGGTCTCAGTACCGGCAGGGCCGCGGACAGGCTGGGGACCGCGGATAACCTGGGGTCCAGGCCCCCGCTGCGCAGGAGGAGGGGCGGTTCGGTTACCTGAGACCGCAGCAAGCCGAGCTGCGGGGCCGAAGCTTCCTGGCAGCAAGGCCCAGGCGTGGCCCGTAGGATGAGAGTGTATCTATGGCGGTGGTGGTGGCGGCGGCGGCGTCGCCTGCTCTTAGCGCCGCTCCCCTCACACTGGACTGTGCGGGGCTCGTGCCGTGGTGCCGCCCCTGTCGGGCTCCGTCTCCGCCTCTCGCCGCTCCCCCTTCCTCTTTCCTTTCTCCTCCTCCGCCGCCGCCGCCGCCGCCGGCGCTGGAGTTCCGACTAATTCTTCCTCCTCCTCCTCCCTCTGCCTCCTCCCCTAAGGCCAGCCGCCGGCTCCTTCACGAACCAAAACACAAACACTCAAGTCCCACCGCCGGAGCCACTTCCGCTGCCCGGTGCCGGCCCCGCCGCCACGTCGCTGCACGCAGCGAACTGCGCCACTTCGTCACTTCCCATCATCGCCAGTCCGCCTGCTCCTTCCGCTTCCTCGCCCCTTCCCGAATCCCTCCCCGCCTAGGTTTGTTCGCGGGGCGGGGCGAGGCAGGATGTCACGTGACCCTGCGAGTGGCTCAGATCCGAACTGGCCGCCTTTCTCCCCTTCCCCCACCCCAGGTACGCGCGGCCACGCCCTCTCCAGCGCCATTGTTATTTAGGCTGGGGGGTCTCTGGGCTCCTGGCGGCCGGGGTCGGGGGAAATTCCTTTACTATTCTTTGGGGGAAGATCAAAATAACTTGTGTTTTTTTGTTTGTTTTTTGTGCCCAGCCCTTGTGGGAGCGGCGAGGTTCCCTAACCCCAATCCTGGCATCTCGGCTAAGGGGCTTTATTAGAGGGAACTTGTCTAGCACGAGAGAACCTCCTCCCACAAAATGGCCCTGGGGTTGGGTAGGTCGGTAAAGGCTGCTAAATCGCATTTACCCCAAGGAGGAAGAAAGGACCCTCCCTATCCCAAAAGCCGCCTTTAGGCGCCTGACAATAAGAAGTCGCTTCTGTTAAGAGTTTACGTGGTTTTGGTAGGGGGCGGGGAAGGCCAAATCCTAAAATAGTGTCTGCCTTTTATTCAGAATTTCCCTTCGCTCTTTACTGTACTAAACGCTTTACAGGAATTATCCCATTGAATTCTTACACTCGAGTCTTTCATTCTGAAACTAACTTGTTAATCGTCTGTTCCCTACATTCGAATTTTAGCTCCCCTTGGTGGTCCTCACCGCTGTAAATCTATGTCTAGCCCAGTGCCTGGCAGCCAAGTCTTCAGTTCTAGTTGTAGATGTTTTATAGGTAAAGAATTTGAGACACAAGAGATTGAGTAACTTGTCCGAGATCACGGCTGTGTGGTGCAGAAGCTGGATTCTGATCTGCGGCGGGTTGGCTCCAGAACGTGAGTTGTTGAACACAATTCTGGTGAAAGACAACCCAAGATGTTCGTTACCCTCCACGGGGGACCTACTGAAGATGTGCTGCTTTAGTTGAATCCCACACCACATTCAGTCTCTGGCGAGGCTTCAGCCACCACCCCCTCCCCAGCCTCCGCCAAAAAAATTGTTTTGATAATTTAGTGGAAGAATATTAAATTGATTTTCCTTCAGAATAAAGGCTACTTTTCAGTTTGCAGTTTACAATGTATAGCTCTGTTGTAAGGGCGAGAATATTGTCTTTGAAGTGTACCGGGTTAAGGTATCTTATGGGCGTACAGTCGGCGGCATTGTGCAATTAAGATGATTTGAACTTTGAACAGCCCGTCTTTCAGATCAACTACCTAGTTGCCAGAAGAACGTAATGTGTCATACGTAAATGATACCTGTGGCATTTTATTCTCAAGGAGTTGTTCAATATGAACTATTAATCATGGTAATAGCTCTGGGACAATCCCAGGAGGAGTCAGGAAATAGGATATGTGACATCAGTTTTGTCATGTCAACAGTATGCCCAAAACGAAACCTATTCCACTCCAAACCTGCTTCTGCTTAGAGACTGGCATTAACATCCTCCCAGTCACCCAGACTTGGAACTGCAGAATCAGCTTCACCTCTTTCTTCTCCTCACAAACCATTGTCCATTCTATCAACAAATTATCTAATCCCCAAATTTGAAGTCTAATCCCAACACCTGGTCCATGGTAGTGTTTATATAAACTGAAATTAATGCATACTGCTGTTCTTTCTGTCCATTCTTTACATTTTAGCCACTCTACTAAAAAATGTTCAATGCTATGTCATTACTTGACAGTCTAAAGTTCTTTAACTCTAGTCCCAACCCAAGTTTCTTTCATTCTATTTCTATAGAATTCCTCTCCCCATACTCTTTATTTGTTCCCTGATCACACGTATCTGGTCTGTGTTCCCTGAATATTGCCTGTGTGTTGCCATCTTGGTATCTGATCACTTTATTTTCTCCACATGGAACACTATCATTGCCCATAACTGCTGGCTCCGTCTTAGCCAGGACACCAGTTCCTTTGGACCGCATCTGCAGATACTTCTACTGGATTCAATTATTATTTTTTCTGTAATTTCACAATACTTTGCCTTACTCTGTATAATGGCTGTCTTAAAATCTGCCTTATTTTAATAGCTAATGAGCACCTGGACTTTTCTCCTTAGCCTTTCATTGAATTATAAGGTTTTTAAGGGCTGTGACCATCAGTTATTCATCATTTCAGTTCTTCACAGAAGACCCTTGACTGCTATAATAGGGACCCCCAAAGTATTGGTGAACTTAATTACATTTAGAATCACGAACATTAAGAAGACCTCACAATGAAAAACATTTGATGCTGAAATTTATAAATTGCAAAAAACTCCCTATTTCATCGTTCCAGTATGTTGCTTCTTCACTCGTTCCTGTTTAGTGATTTTGTCTTCACCTCCTTCATGAATACTTTTCACAATATTTTACAGTTTAGTCATAATGTTTGCCTGGAAGAGTGCTGCCCTGGTGGCTGGCATTTCTAAAGATCCGGTAGTAGTTTTAGAGAAATTGAAATGACACAGTAAAGCTCTGTTGTTTTATTGCCACTTGCAATATGCCTATGTTTTCTTTTTCATAGCCCCAGATAACTGAGGAGGACTGATAATTGTATATATTTTAGTGTCAAATGTGGAGTCCTACCAGTTGATAGAACTTGTTAAGGAAGGTACAAAATGGATAAATAATCATGAAGACTTAAACACTGTCTTTGATGCTTATACTGCCCTCAAATCTCTAAATACTCAATAACAAATTCCCAGTGGCAGGTGTCTCTCTACCATTCACAGGATCCCATAACCTTTTCCTTCTCTTCCAGGAAATCTGTCCTCCCTTGTGTAGCTAAAGAATGAATCTTTGCATAGATGATAATGAATGGTTACATTTACTTTTAACTGGAACTGTCTGGAGACAATTCAAAATTTTTCCTGGAGACAAACCAACGGTAACTCTAACATTGGCGTAGTAGCAAGTCAGTGAATAAAAGGCTGTGAAAACTTAAGCTAGTCATGTTTCAAAAGCTTGTGTCTTTGGAGGGCATCATTCAGGCTTCAGCTCAAATGTCATCTACCTAAGGGACTTCTAAGCCCACTAATTCTAAATGCTTTGTTACATATCGAAGTAGTCTGTTGTCTTCATAACAGCACTGTTTGATATGATATTATGCATTGTCTTCATAACACTTAGCACCATTTGATATGATATTACGCATCGTTCCACTTAATGGTTATCTATCCCTACTAGAATATAAGCTCCATGAGATAGGGGTTGGGTTATACAGTCAGTCCATCTGCTTGTGATTGGTTCTTGGACACTCCCTTATTCCCCCACCATATGGGTACCAAAATTTGCAGATGCTCTAGTCTCATGTAAAATGGTGTAGTATTTGCATGTAGGCTATTCTGTATGCTTTAAATCATCTTCAGATTACTTACAATAAGTAATACAATGTAAATGATATGTAAATAGTTGTATTTTTTTAATTTGTATTATTTTGTGTTTTTTTCATTTTTTAACTCAAATACTTTCGATGGAATACAGAGGGCTAACTGTATTCCCAACACTGACACAAAATAGGGAGGGACTCAATACCTGTTTGTAGAATGAATGAATGAATTGAATGAGCCCTTACCTGGATTTACATACTGCAAAGTCATTTGAAGAATTTATGGGGATTTATTGAATGCTGTGGCCACTTTTGGGGTTCCTATGTCTTTCTTCAGAATCCAATCCGGCCTACATGCAAACAACCCTGTTTAAAGGACCTGCAGTTGGTATTCATCTTGGCACCATCTACTCTTGTGTGGGTGTTTTCCAGCATGTAAAAATAGAGGTAATTGCCAATGATCAGGGAAATTGAATCACTCCAAGCTATGTCACCTTTACTGATACTGAACAATTGCTCAGTGATGCCACAAAGAATCAAGTTGCAATGAACCCCATGAACACAGTTTTTGATGCCAAATCTGATTGCTGATTGGACACAGACTTGATTATGCTGTTGTCCAGTCTGATATGAAGCATTGGCCCTTCATGGTAGTGAATAATGTTGGCAGGCCCAAGGTCCAAGTAGAATACAAGGGAGAGATAAAAAAAACTTCTGTCCAGAAAGGTGTCCTCTAGGGCCATGGACTGGTACTGGACTGTGGCCTGTTAGGAACTGGCTGCCCAGCAGGAGGTGAGTGGCAGCAAGTCAGTGAAGCTTCATCTGTATTTACAGCTGCTCCCCATCATTCACATTACCACCTGAGCTCCCCCTCCTGTCAGATCAGTGGCAGCATTAGATTCTCATAGGAGTGTGAACTCTATTGTGAATTGCACACACAAGGGATCTAGCACTTCTTATGACAATCTAATGCCTGATGATCTGTCACTCTCTTCCATCACCTCCAGATGGGACCGTCTAGTGGCAGGAAAACAAGTTCAGGGCTCCTACTGATTGTACATTATGGTGAGTTATATAATTATTTCATTATATATTACAATGTAATAATAATATAAAGTGCACAATAAATGTAATGTGCTTGAATTGTCCTAAAACTATCTTCCCCCGATCCTACCCCCTGCAACTTGGTCTGTGGAAAAATTGTCTTCCATGAAACTGGTCCCTGGTGCCAAAAAGGTTGGGGACAGCTGCTCTGTTATTCTGACAAAGATGAAGGAAATGGCAGAAGCCTACCTTGGAAAGAGTGTTACCAATGCTGTGGTCACAATATCAGCTTGGTTTAATGATTCTCAGCATCAAAGCTACCAAAGATGCTGGAACTATTGCTTATCTCAATGTACTGAGAATTATCAATGAGCTAACTGCTGCTTCTATTGCTTATGCCTTAGGCAAAAGGTTGGAGCTCAATGAAATGTGCTGATCTTTGACCTTAGAAGTGGTACTTTTAAATTTTTATTTATTTATTTTCTTGAGATGGATTCTCGCTCTGTCACCCAGGCTGGAGTGGTGCGATCTCGGCTCACTGCAATCTCTGCCTCCCAGGTTCAAGTGATTCTCCTGCCTCAGCCTCCTGAGTAGTTAGGATTACAGGTGCCCACCACCACGCCTGGGTAATTTTTTTTGTATTTTTAGTAGAGACGTGGTTTCACCATGTTGGCCAGGCTGGTCTCAAACACCTGACTTCAGGTGATCTGCCCCCCCTCAGCCTCCCAAAGTGCTGGGATTACAGGTGTGAGCCACTGTTCCTGGCCTTTTTTTTTTTTTTTTGATGGAGTCTCACTCTTGTTGCTCATGCTGGAGTGCAGTGGCGCAATCTTGGCTCACTGCAACCTCTGCCTCCCGGGTTCAAGCGATTCTTGTGCCTCAGCCTCCCGAGTAGCTGGGATTACAGGCATGCACCACCATGCCCAGCTAATTTTCGTATTTTTAGTAGAGACGGGGTTTTTCCATGTTGGCCAGGCTGGTCTTGAACTCTTGACCTCAGGTGATCCGCCTGCCTCAGCCTCCCAAAGTGCTAGGATTACAGGCGTGAGCCATTGCGCTTGACCTGGAAGTGGCACTTTTAATGTGTCAGTCCTCACTGTTGAGGATGGAATCTTTGAGGTGAAATCTACAGCAGGAGACACCCACTTAGGTGGAAAACACTGACAACCAAGTGGTCCACCATTTTATTGCTGAGTTCAAGTACAAGCATACAAAGGACATCAGTGAGAATAAGAGAGCTGTCTGACATCCCCATACTGCTTGTGAACATGCTAAGTACACTCTTTCTTGAGCAGCCAGGCTAGTATTGAGATCCATTTTCTCTATGAATGAATCAATGTCTATACCTCTTACACATGCCCTATTTGAAGAACTGAATGCTGACCTGTTCTGTGACACCTGGACCCTATAGAGAAAGCCCTTCAAGACACCAAACTAGACAAGTCACAGATTCATGATATTTTCCTGGATGGTGGTTCTACTTTTATCCCCAGGATTCAGAAGCTTCTCCAAGACTTTTTCAATGGAAAAGAACTGAATAAGAGCATCAGCCCTAATGAAGCTGTTGCTTATGGTGCAGCTGTCCAAGCAGCCATTCTGTCTGGCAACAAATCTGAAAATGCTCAAGATTTGTTGCTCTTGTATGTCATTCTTCCTTCCCATGGTATTGAAACCGATGGTGTAGTCATGACTGTTCTCATTAAGCATAATACTACCATTCCTTCCAAGCAGACAGACCTTCACTACCTACTCTGACAGGCAGCCTGATGTGCTTATTCAGGTTTATGAAGGTGAGCATGTCATGACCAAGGATAGCAACCTGCTTGGCAAGTTTCAACTCACAGGCATACCTTTGGCACTCCAAGGTGTTCCTCACATTGAAGTCACATTTGATATTGATGCCAATGGCATCTTCAGTGTCTCTGCTGTGCACAAGAGTACAGGAAAAAGAACAAGATTACTGTCACTAATGACAAGGGCCATTTTAGCAAGAAAGACATTAAATGTGTGGTCCAGGAGGCTGAATAGTACAAAGCTGAAGATGAGAAGCAGAGACAGGTGTCATCAAAGAATTCCCTTGAATCCTATGAATTCAACATGGAAGCAACTGTTGAAGATGAGAAACTTCAAGGCAAGATTCACGATGAAGACAAACAGAAGATTCTTGTCAGGCGTAATGAAATTATTAACTGGATAGATAAGAATCAGGCTGTTGAGAAGGAAGAATTTGAACATCAGCAGAAAGAGCTGGAGAGAGTCTGCAATCCCATCATTACAAAGCTCTAGCAGAGTGCAGGAGGAATGCCTAGGGGATTCACTGTTGGTGGATCTCCTCCCTCTGATGGTGCTTTCTCAGGGCCCAACACTGAATAAGCCAGCCCAAGTACAGATGTAGCATTGTTCCACACACTTAAAACACTGAAGGACCCAAATATGTAGCAAATTCTGTGGCAGTTTTTTTTCTTTTTTGATCAGTCAATGTAGTTTAATTTTTCCCAGTCAAAATTTGCCTAAAAAGGCCTGTAATCTCATAAAAAAAGAAGTACATAGAAAGTAAGCCTTTAAAGGAATTGGACAGATCATTCCAAACTGGGGCAGGAAATTGAGTAGTCTTCATGAGGAAGGTGGTGTTTGAGAGATGTCGGAAGATGGCTGAGTCAATAGGGGCAGTGGGCCTTAAACTCCTGTAGAGGAGATACAATCAAATCTATAACACTAAGTTGTTGGAGGGTGCCAGAGTGTCATCCATGCCAGTTCAATATCAATTGTTCGGTTTTACAGTGGTTTATCAAAGCCTTTTTTAGATCAGACCCTGTGCATTCTATTAGAAGGCTTGCTCTTCAAGGAGCATCTAGTTTAGTACACAGACATGGAAACCCACATAGATCATAGTAGGATAAATACTGTTACAAATAAGTTTGAGGTGCTATGGGAGCATGAAAGAGGGAGACCCATGGGCGGGTGCGGTGGTTCACGCCTGTAATCCCAGCACTCTGGGAGGTCGAGGCGGGCGGATCACGAGGTCAGGAGATAGAGACCATCCTGGCTAACACGGTGAAACCCCATCGCTACTAAAAATACAAAAAATTAGCCGGGTGTGGTGGCGGGCGCCTGTAGTCCCAGCTACTCTAGAGGCTGAGGCGGGAGAATGGCGTGAACCCGGGAGGCGGAGCTTGCAGTGAGCCAAGATCGCGCCACTGCACTCCAGCCTGGGCGCGACAGAGTGAGACTCCATCCCAAAAAAAAAAAAAAAAAAAAAAAAAAAAAAGGAGACCCAACCCAGTTTGAGTGGCAAGACGTGCTACTGGGAAGAAGTAATCCCTGGGTTGAGTCTTGAAGAGCATTTACCAGGCAAGGAGGGCAGAGGATGAGTTGGAATAAAGCATTCCAAGCAAGGGGGACAACAGGGGCAAAAGCAGAAAGTCATAAAGTAGGCTGGGCATGTTGACTCGTGCATGTAATCCAGCACTTTGGGAGGCCAAGGCAGGTGGATCACCTGAGGTCAGGAGTTTGAGACCAGCCTGACCAACATGGTGAAACCCTGTCTCTACTGAAAGTACAAAAATTAGCTGGGCATGGTGGCGGGTGCCTGTAGTTTCAGCTACAAGGGAGGCTGAGGCAGGAGAATCGCTTGAGCCCTGGAGACAGAGGTTGCAGTGAGCCAAGATTGTGCCACTGCACTGCAGCCTGGGTGACAGAGTGAGACTCCTTCTCAAAAACAAAACAAAAGCAAACCAGAAAGTCATAAAATAGCCCAGTGTGCGAGTGGAACTACACGCCCTGGGTTGAGCTGTAGTACAGGCCGCAGTAAGGTGGCAAGCGTCAGGGATAAAGCTGAAGAGGTTGGCAGAGACTGGATCACGGAGGTCCAATTTTTGCTTCTGAAGGTTCTCTCTGGCGATCCTTGGGGTGAGGAGAGACTGCAGTGGGCTAACATGAAGGCCAGTGTAAAGGTGATTGCAAGATTCCAGTTAAGATGTAATGAGGTCTAAATCAAGTCTGTGACTGTGAAGATACCAGAGATGTTGACCCACATCTCTTATTTTTTTCCTAACATTTTATGATGAACATTTTCAAACATTCAGAAAATCAAAGTAATTGTACTGTGAACACCCATATATCTACCACCCAGATTCTACAATTAGCATTTTACTACACTTGGCTTTATCACATATGTCCAGCCATGTATCAACACTTTATGCATTTCAAAATTATGAGCATGTGTACACATTCCTTTAAACATTTCATCATGCATGCCATTTACTAGAGTTCAATATGTGAACCTTTTTAAAGTTCAAATATCCATAAAATGAAGTAAATGCAAGCGTCTTAAGAGTATAATTTCATGTTTTGACAAATGTATATACCTGTGTAATCCACATCCCTATTGAGATACGGAACACTACCGTAATCTCAGAAAGTTGCCACATGTCCTTTCCCAGTCAATCACAGCCCTTTCTCCTTTCAGAGTTGGCCTTGAGTTTGGAATGTGTGAAAATAGACATTCCAGGTGAAGGGAACCTAGGTGGCTCCCTCTCCAGCAAAGGCATGGAGGCAGGTAACTAGGGAAGAACACATAAATGTTAGTAAACAAGTTCGGATGGATGCCCTTCAGTCTTCCACCTCTCTCACTACTAAGCCCCGTCTTTTTGGGTCAAAGCATAAAACATTGAAGTAGAGAGGAGTTGAGTCAAGGGACTGTCAGGCCGCAGGAGCTAACAGTCTTCAGGGGAGGAGGAGACAGAAGCACTGACAGTCACAATTTAGTGTAACAAATGTTGAATGTTATCTTGTACCAGGGTCAGGGCTATAACCAAGGGAAGGGCAGAAAGTTAGGTAAAATACCACAAATATGCCACAAGCGTTTGTTGTATGTGTGTATGTCTGAGAGAGAGAAGTGATAAGGTGAGTGACTCAGACTCTTGGTACTGGAGGAGCTCAAAGGAAAAGAGAGAAGAGTATTTACCAGCCATGAAAAGTTTTCTGGAGGTAAAGTCTTAAGGGATGTTGACTGTTAAGTGTGGTAGACATAAAGATGTTTCAGTTACAGATAACAGAAAATGTGAGTCAAGCAGGGACATTGGCCCATGTGACTGGTAAGTCTAGAGTTATGTGAGTTTTAGGTACAGTTTGATCAGAGCTTTGGTCCTGATGATCTCGGTGCTCTCCTATTTTGTGTGTGTTAGCTTTGTCTTCAGAATACTTCTTCATGGTCACAATATGACTGTCTGTAGCAGTTTAAAAATTGAGCTGCTATAGTAAATTCTTGGGCATTCTCAATACTTGAGTATGGAACATGTGCATGTGGAAGGAAATAACATTGCACTTTATAAACACTGTATTGCAAATGGAAAATGCAATGTCTTAAATAAAACTATTTAAATTTGGCACCATAAAAAAAGAACTAAGGAGAAGAATATTTATATTAACCTTCTAGAAAGTTGTAGAAAATAGTTTTTTGTGTTTTTTTTTGAGACAGTCTTATTCTGTTATCCAGGCTGGAGTGCAGTGGTGCGATCTCGGCTCACTGCAACCTCTGCCTCCCCGGTTCAAGTGATTCTCCTGCCTCAGCCTCCCGAGTAGCTGAGATTACAAGTGAGCATCACAATGCCCAGTTAATTTTTGTATTTTTAGTAGAGATGGGGTTTCGTCATGTTGGCCAGGCTGGTCTCGAACTCAAGTGATCCTCCTGCCTCAGCCTCCCTAGTATATCCTTCTCACTTTTTATTTATTTATTTATTTATTTATTTATTTATTTATTTATTATTTTGAGATGGAGTTTGGCTCTTGTCATCCAGGCTGGAGTGCAATGGCGCAATCTTGGCTCACTGCAACCTCCACCTCCTGGGTTCAAGCGATTCTCCTTCCTCAGCCTCCCTAGTAGCTGGGATTACAAGTGCTGGCCACCATGTCCAGCTCATTTTTGTATTTTTAGTAGAAAGAGGGTTTCACCATGTTGGTCAGGCTGGTCTCGAACTCCTGACCTCAAATGATCCACCCGCCTAGGCCTCCCACAGTGCTGGGATTACAGGTATGAGCCACTGCGCCTGGCCTTATTTTTTATTTTTATTTTTTGAGACAGGATCTCACTGTATCACCCAGGCTAGAGTGTAGTGGCATGATCATATCTCACTACAGCCTTCAATTCCTGGGCTCAAGTGATCCTCCCACCTCAGCCTCCTGAGTAGCTAGGACTATAGGCATGTACCACTACACCTGGCTGATTTTTGAAATTTTTTGTAGGGATAGGTCTCACTGTGTTACCCATGCATGTCTTGAACTCCTGGACTTTTTTTTTTTTCAGTCTGTCGCCCAGGCTGGCATGCAATGGTGCAATGATGGCTCACTGCCGCATAGACCTCCTGGGCTCAAGTGATCCTCCCACTTCAGCCTCTCAGATAGCTGAGACTACAGATGTGAGCCACCACGCTGGGCTAATTGAATTCTTGGCGTTAAGCAATTCTTCTGCCTTGGCTTCCCGAAGTGTTGAGATTACAGGTGAGTGACTATGTCCAGACCCCTACACACTTTTAAAAAAATATTTTTGGATTTTAAGGGGTTTTTGTAGAGTTCTGGAATCCTGTAAATTCTTTTCAAATTCTGTTTTGCTTTTTTTTTTTTTTTTTTTTTGAGATGGAGTCTCACTCTGTCGCCAGGCTGGAGTGCAGTGGTGTGATCTCGGCTTACTGCAACCTCCGCCTCCCAGGTTCAAGCGATTCTTCTACCTCAGCCTCCCAAGTAGCTGGGACTACAGGCGCCTGCCATCAGGCCCAGCTAATTTTTGTATTTTAAGTAGAAACGGGGTTTCACCATGTTGGCCAGGATGGTCTCGAACTCCTGACCTCGTGATCCACCCGCCTCTACCTCCCAAAGTGCCGGGATTACAGGCATGAGCCACTGCGCCCGGCCATTTTTGGTTTTTTATTTTTAAATGGAATCTCACTCTGTTGTTCAGGCTTGAGTGTCGTGGCACCATCAAGGCTCACTGCAACCTCTGCCTCCGGGTTTAAATGATTCTCTTGCCTCAGCCTCCTGAGTAGCTGGGATTACAGGCGCTGGACACCATGCCCAGCTAATTTTTATATTTTTAGTAGAGACAGGGTTTCGCGATGTTGGCCAGGCTGGTCTCAAACTCCTGACCTCAAGTGATCTGCCTGCCTCGGCCTCCCAAAGTGCTGGGATTAAAGGTGTGAGCCACTGTGCCCAGCCTAATTCAGTTCAAATTCCAAGCTAGGGGTTTCATATCCTATATGTGTAGAACATGACAAATATTTACCAAATATACTTTCATTAAAATCTGAAAGGTGAAACCTCAATTTAAAAAAAAATCTCCTACTTAAAAACAATGAAGTTTTAGTTTGCCACATTATCTTTAAAATACAATATGCCTTATTGTGTAGCATATCTCAAACTTTAAAATATTTAGTTTAGGCCAGGAGCAGTGGCTCACGCCTGTAATCCGACACTTTGGAAGGCCGAGGCGGTGGATCACTTGAGGTCAGGTGTTTGAGACCAGCCTGGCCAACATGGTGAAACCCCGTTTCTACTCAAGATACAAAAATTAGCCTAGCATGGTGGCGCATGCCTGTAATCCCAGCTACCCGGAAGGCTGAGGCAGGAGAATCGCTTGGACCCAGGAGGCGGAGTTTGCAGTGAGCCCAGATTGTGCCACTGCACTCCAGCCTGGGCGACAAAGGGAGACTCCATCTCAAAAAAAAAAAAAATTACTTTAAATGTGATTTAAAGCCTAGTTGTTAAAGTGTAAGTGTTCTCAAGGACTTTAAGATGTCTTTATGCCACAGTTGTCAAATATAATATTTCTAGAATTTAAAGTCATTTTTTAGCACTAAAATAACTACATGCAGGGCGGAGGTACTTGGACAAGGAAGGACCTAAAAAAAGTGTTCATCACCAGAAAGTTTATTTGTTCATCATCACCAACATTAAGAGGCCAATGGCCAGGAAGAAGCCAATTGTTGAAACCATTCTAAAACGACTGTGTTGCTTGGGAAACCAGAGAAGTTGGTGAACATTTGATGCGCCGAAAGCCACATCACTCAAATTTTCTCGCCCTCCAAATCTAGCAAAGAAAAAGAGAGAGGAAGCAGGGATAGAGGGGAAGAGGGGGAGGGAGGGGAGAGAGGGAGAAAGGAGAGAGGAAAGGCAAGAGAGAGAGACACACAGAGAGGGAGAGAGAGGGAGAGGGCAAAGGAGAGGAGAGGGAGAGAGAGGAGAGAGAAGGGGGGGCAGAGAGAAACAGAGGAGAGAGAAGAGGGGAGAGAGAGAGACAGAGGAGAGAGAAGAGGGGAGAGAGAGAGAGATTGAGAGAGAGAGAGAGAAGAATGAGAGATGGGCAGGGATCTGTCCAAGCAGGACTTGAGCGCCAAGCCCCGCCCCTGTTTCCCAGGTAACCTGATAAACAGACTCCATCTTTTCCTCTGTGAACTCGGCTAGGTGTTAAGAGGCAGGCAGGAAGCAATGGACAGGGAGTCCGAGTGAGGTTGTGCTCTTTCCTGAGAGAGGGGTTCCGCAAGGGATTGGAGGCGTCTTTGTAGCCAGGTACAGCTTTCCCCTTAGAGATGAGCGCTCTTGGAGAAATGAGAATGGGGAGAAATCGTCCATGAACATGGAGATTGGACATCCCCACGAAGGAAAGGATGATTTAGGAGACAAGAGGGTCATCATGGGAACAAAATTTCCCATGGAGTTGGGGATCAGAGTAGGATTAGGAAAAGAAGATTCCCGATGCGGGGAGAGCCCTGTGGTTAGTAATAAGTGTGAGGGAAGGATGGCACCACCAGAAACAAAATTTCCATTGAGCAAGGGGCTTGAAATGGGATTAGAAAGACAGAATATTTCTAGGACTGTCATGCAGAGGGGTAGTTTAGGAGTCGACAGTGTCTCAGCTTCACAGGGAACAAAACCTTCTCTGTTGCCAGGAAGAATGGGGTTAGAAAATGAGAGTCTTCTTGCAGGATATACCCATGAACGGATAATACAGCCTCCTTTGGGCAGGGTGTGTGGAAGTTCACAGGCTGCAGGGAGCAGGAGAGCTCCTTTGGCTAGTGGCCCTGAAGGGGTAGAGGAATTAGTGGGAAAGCCTGCTTTCGTTATGGAACCAAGACAGGAAATGGAAAAAGAGTCTACCTGTGTTTTAATGAAACCCAACACAGAGATTAAGCTTCCTGTGGAGGTGGACATTGGACTAACCCAAGCCGAGGGGCCAGATGAGACTAAGAATACAGAGCCCCAAATGGGCTTGGTGATAGAACCTCCCCAATGCCAGTTTGCCCAACAACATGAACAGAGAAAGGAGGCTGGAAACATTGAATCAGGAGTGGAACCTCCAGATCGCATCAGACCCATATACTCTGGGAAGTTTTTTGATCGGACCCCTTGCTGGCCAAGTGTAAGTTTTTTTCCACTTTCCATAGGAACTAAACTGTGTATAGCCATGTCTTTATTGAGATGATAAAGTGATAAAATTTGTTTTGGTTTGAAGAGACAAATCACAAGGATTTTATGAGATTCCTATATTTCTTGCCCCACTGGAATCTTTGCAGATGTTACTTAGATTTCTGATTCTCTGCCTCCCTTCCTAGATGTCAGCTTTGTTTTCTCTGCACACCGGTGGTTTGTTCTGATTTCTCTTTTCTCCTTTAACCTTCATTTCATTTTCCTCAAGCCTCTCACATATTGAAATACATGAAGATACATGCTGTGCCCTAATATTCATACTATGAATGGAAAAGAAAAGTGTTTCTTTTTCCATTCATTGTTTAGTCTGTGAGTTATTTGTTCTTTCAGCAAAGACTTGTGGTAGCCATTGTGCCAGGTACAGGACAAACTAAATTGAAAAGTACATGGTCCCTACCTCTAGGTTTAGGCTCACTCCAGTAATGGAGACAGATAACTAAAGGAATAGTATACAGTTATCTAAATTTATAAAAACACACATGATTCTTCCTTCATAGAAGTACACTCTGAATACAGAGCTCAGTGTAAAGATTGCACAATTCTGTTTAGAAGAGATGGGAAAAGCTTAATAGGGAAAGTAATATTTGAGCTAACATCGAAAGGTGTCAGTATTTGTCTGAAGAAAGAATGAGGTTAGAGCATTTTGGGCATAAAAAGGTATAGAGCACAACCAAAGCTTCCTATGTTCGAGAGGCATAAACAGTTGTATTCAGCCAGCAGGGTGTTGAGAGATGAAGATGAAGAAGAAATATGTAGAAGACATCTAAAGGCCCAGAATATAGGGATAAAACATATGGATACAGTATCAATGGTGGATCTTAATAAGGGTAAAAATAAATAAAATTTGCCTTTTAGAAAGATAATTCTGATATCAGTAGTTATGATGGACTGGAAGGGGGAGATACTGAATGACAAGTAGGTAGTTAGAACAACATTCCAAAGTTCTGATGGACTGGAATTAATGTAGAGTTAGAAAGAATAGAAAGGAGACTGCACTTTTGAGAGGTTTTTAGATGACATTTTAAAAAATTGCCACTCAGTTGTGGATCTACGTGGTGAGTAAGGGAAGTTGGTGGATGACTCAGGAGTTTCTGTGTTGATAATGATCTCTTTGGGTTTGGTGGCAAATGAATGTCCAGTGTTGGCTATCTTCAATATGAGATGACAGGTAAAGAAGCCAGGGAAACACTTGGTAATATGAGACAATTGATGCCCCATGGGTGTGAATGGGAGAAGAAAGTCAAGGCAAGAATCTTGGGAAACATTGACATGAGGTGGTCAGTGAAAAAGATGTCAATAAGGTGAGTTCTTGAGGGCAAGGACTATATCTTGTTCATTGTTTACCTTCATGTCATACCACAATACCTGGCTTATGGTGGTCATTCAATAAATACATGTTTGATAAATAGAAGGAAACCCGGATGATTAAATGGGAGAAAGACCAGTCGGAGAAGAAAAAAGTAAGTCTGAGACATTGGTATTGAGAAACATAAGAAAGTGTCCTTAAGTTATAATGTGAGTAAGAGATTCCACACACTGAAATTTGAAAATAAAACTCAGCTGAAGAGGTCACAGGGCTTCCACAGAATTTTGTCTGGGTTTGAAGACTTTTCCCCTTCAGACTCAGAATGTTCTTTTCTTCTTTGTCTCACACTGCTTTCTGGTTTCCTCTTTGGGTTTTCCCAGCCACTTTACTTGACCACACCGGTTCCCATTTCTGGATTGGTTCTGCAATTTACAGCTTCTGATCTGATCTGATCTCACACACATGCAGACACCAGCTTCCAGTTTCCAGCACAGGCAATTCTAAAACCTCTGCTTCCTCCCACTTCGCATACCTTCCTTTCTAAATGTGATAGGACAAGAAAGAGAGTGTCAAGGAGAGAGTGACCAGCAGTGTTAAATCATCTCTGATAGGCCTTGTGCAGTGGCACTAGCTGTAATCCCAGCACTTTGGGAGGCTGAGGCAGGAGGGTTTTTTTGTTTTGTTTTGTTTTTTGAGACAGAGTCTCACTCCATCACCCAGGCTGGAGTGCAGGGGTGCAATCTCAGCTTGCTGCAAACTCGGCCTCCCAGGCTTAAGCGATTCTTGTGCCTCAGCCTCCCAGTAGCTGGAATTCTAGGAGCATGCCACCACACCCGGCTAATTTTTTTTCCTTCTTTTTTTTCTAAATTTAATTTTTGTATTTTTAATAGAGAAGGGGTTTCGCCATGTTGGCCAGGCTGGTCCCCTACTCCTGACCTCAAGTGTTCGGCCCACCTTGGCCTCCCAAAGTGCTGGGATTACAGGCATGAGCCACCACGCCCAGCAGGCAGCAGGATTTCTCGAGGCCAGGAGTTTGTCATCAGCCTGGGCAACATAGCAAGACTCTGCCTATACAAAAAAGAAAAATTAGCCAGGTGTGGTAGTATGTGCCTGTAGTCCTAGCTACTTGGGAGAGGTGCGAAGATCATTTGAGCCTGGGAGTTCAAGGTTCCAGTGAGCTATGATCACACCACTGCATTCCAGTCTGGGTGACAAAATGAGATCCTGTCTCTAAAAATAAAGTAAAAATAAGATTAATTAACTTTGGACATTAAGAAATTACCAACATTGTTAGAACGACATAATAGAAAAAGAATTCAGATTATAATATACTGAAGAGCGAATGGGTTATTAGAATCGGAGAAAGCTATCATGAAATTTTTTTCTCTTAAGAAGTATGACAGTGAAGAGAAAGAGTAAATATTCCACTTAGAAATCTTATTATTTAGTGAATCAGTGGAGGAGTTTGAGATAACACAAAGGAAGAGAATGGGTGGAACCAGATTCTAGATGAGTGGAAGGGAATGGAATTAGGATTATAGGCAAGAGGAGGGATTCTAACTTTGTTAGAAACAAGGCTTCATTTAAAAATAATTTTTAAGATGTTAAAATATTTATTTTGATTATAACACAAGAATAATAACATTATAGAAAATTTAGAAAACAGGGATGAAAATGCCTAGAATCTTATCACCTTAACACAATGCCTATTAGCACTTTACTGTTTCACGATTATTAATATTTATTGGTGGCTTACTATATTAATATGGCTATTCATAGACCTTTGCAGGTATTAATTCGTTTGCCCTTATTGCAACCTGTGAGTCATCTACTATTACTAAATCCTATTTTACAGGTAAAGAAATGGAAGCAAATTTAGGTAATTCGGCTAAAGTCATATAGCTAAAAAGTGGTGGGATTTGAAATCTCAAATTCCTATTTGAGAGCCTGAGTTGTTAGTTACTCTATACTTTTTATGACACTTTTATCCAAATGCACTTTTATGTAGTTGTTATTATCGAGTGCAAAATTTGTTTTGATTTTTCATTTGTTATTTATAAGATTTAACTATTACTACAAAGACTTCAAAAAGATCTTTTAATGATAAAAAATATTTAAGCCAATTCTTTTTTTTTTTTTTTTTTTTTGAGATGGAGTCTCACGCTCTCGCCCAGGCTGGAGTGCAGTGGCACCATCTCGGCTCGCTGCAATCTCCGCCTCCTGGGTTCAAGCAATTCTCCTGCCTCAGCCTCCTGAGTGGCTGGAATTACAGGTGCCTGCCCCCACACCCGGCTAATTTTTTGTATTTTTAGTAGAGATGGACAGGGTTTCATCATATTGGCCAGGCTGGTCTTGAACTCCTGACCTCGTGATACACCCACCTCAGCCTCCCAAAGTGCAGGGATTACAGGCGTGAGCCACCACACCTGGCCAAGCCAATTCTTTAGTTAACTCTTTCCCTCTATTGTTGGGTATTCATTTTTTATTCTTCCAGAATTTTCTATAAAATAGTTTGTCAGCCAGGCATGGTGGCTCATGCCTATAATCCCAGCATTTTGTGAGGCTGAAGTGGGAGGACTGCTTGAGCCCAGGAGTTTGAGATCAACCTGGGCAACATAGTGAGACCTTGTCTCTTAAAAAAAAAAAAAGTTAAAAAAAAAGTCTTTTTATATGTATTGGAATATTTGCTTAAGGATAGAGTTTCAGCAGAAGCCAAAAGCATGGATCTTTTTCTAGTTTCTATTGCCAAATCTCTTCCTAAAAGATTGTAGCAATAAATTTTAAAAATCATAATAATTTGTTAGGCATTATTTTAATTTATGTTTCTTTAACTTATAATTAGATTGAAAATTGCTCCATATGTTTGTTTTTATTTTTTTTTAATCCTTGTGTGTGGTCACCTTGCTGAACTCTTATTAGTCATAATTGCTTATCATTATTTCCTTTTTTAATGACTATTTTGCTTGTGTATGGATATTTTAGGTTGACAATCATATTGACACTTTTGTCCTTTTCTCTTTAGTATCTATACCTTTCATCTATCTCTATTTCCTACCTCACTGCATTGGCTATGATAAGAAAAAAAATACAATATTAAAAACAATGTCTTTTGGACGGGCACGGTGGCTCACCCCTGAAATCCCAGTGCTTTGGGAGGCCAAGGCAGACAGATCACCTGAGGTCAGGAGTTTGAGACCAGCCTGGCCAATATGGCAAAACTCCGTCTCTACTAAAAACTAAAAAATTAGCTGGGTGTGGTGGCAGGCACCTGTAATCCCAGCTACTCTGGAGGCTGAGGCAGGAGAATCACTTGAGCCTGGGTGGCGGAGGTTGCAGTGAGCCAAGATCGCACCACTGTCCTGGGCGACAGAGCGAGACTCCGCCTCAAACAAACAAACAAAACAACAACAAGGTCTCTTTTCTGATTTTGATGGGAATGATTATAATGTTTCACTATTACATGTGATTTTGTGGGAGATTTCTGATATTTAAAGTTAAGAACACTTGTATCCATTTCCAGTTTGCTAAGAAAGTTTAAAAATCAGGACTAAACAATCTGTGAAAAGCTTTTCCCACATTTATTGAAATATATATTTTTTCTGAATTAAAATAGTTCATTTTCTAAGGGTAAACCATCTTCATATTTTTGGCCTAAGCCCTCCTTGTGATATATTATGTTCATAATATATCCCTGGATTTGACTTGCCAGTGTTTCACTAGGATTTTTGTATTTGTGGTTCTCTGTAAATTTAGACAGTAGTTTTTCTTTTTGTGCTTGGTATTAGGGTAACGCTAGTATATAAAAAGAATTGAGAAGCTTCCCAGCTTTCCAACTGTCTTTATGCTTTCTTTATATGTTATGTATAGTATTAGCTACTATATTATTTACTATATATATAGTATATACTATATATATACTATAGTATTTGTTTATATATACTACAGTATTTATAGTATTATTTACTTCTTGTAAGCTTGGTTAAACTCAAACAGCTGAAAAAGGAAGAGAAGGCAATCCCTAACATCCTGACCAGGGGATGGGATGGTAAAGTATTTGATGCCCCTGAGTCTCAGAGTAGGAAGGAAGTGCATTTGGGTGAGGTTGAAACCCAGTGTCAAGCATGGCTGTGAGGAGAGTTTAGATGAAAATCCCCATTGTGAATAACCTGCAAGATCAATGCTTGAGGATAATCACTTTGCATCAGGGTGCATTCAGGGAACTGGAAGAACTTACTTTAATGAGAGATCTTTCCAGTTTTGAGCGAGGAAGAGCAGATACACCTTATTTCAGGAATACTCATCCTATGGTTTGAAGTTGCTGCCCAAAGTTGGTGTTTAGTTGCGGGTGAAGGTTTGCTCTGTTGGATTTATGAGACCCATCAGGCAAGTTCTTCTAGTAAAACAGTCATGGATGTGGAACCAGTGCAGGAAGGAAAAGTTTCCAAGAAATACTGGCCTAAGGAGAGATTTCTGGTGTGTTCTTAAACAATCAAAAAGATTCTTGTGAAAGGAGGTCCTCTGTGTGGAGGCCTGGTAGCCCTTGAAAGGGCACTTGACTTTTGAAAAACACTGTCAGAGATCAAAATCTCTACAATGGTTATTTTCTAAGCTATCCCGAGACTGTCCCTTGATTTCCATCAATGCACTGACTAAGGCAGAAACCTGGAGTTATTAAGACAAAACATCTGAAGCATACAAAGTGCATTGGTAAATGATATTGAGCCCTGGAATAGAAAGACGAAGAAGGAAGGAAAGCTTCAAGGGGAAGTTTACAAAAATTATAGTGTCCATGATAACATAGGGCTATGGGAGGTTGAGGCTGCAATGAACTCTGATGGTATCACTTCACTCCAGCCTGGTTGACAGAGTGAGATCCTATTTAAAAAACAAAAACAAGTCCGGGCGGGGTGGCTCATGCCTGTAATCCCAGCACTTTGGGAGGCCGAGGCGGGTGGATCACCTGAGGTTGGGAGTTCGAGACCAGCCTGACCAACATAGAGAAACCCCGTCTCTACTAAAAATACAAAATTAGCCGGGTGTGGTGACAGGCGCCTGTAATCCCAGCTACTCAGGAGGCTGAGGTGGGTGAATCACTTGAGCCCGGGAGGCGGAGGTTGCTGTGAGCTGAGATCATGCCATTGCACTCCAGCCTGGGCAAAAGAGTGAAACTGTCTCAAAAATAAAAATAAAAAAGCAGGCTGGGCGTGGTGGCTCAAGCCTGTAATCCCAGCACTTTGGGAGGCCGAGACGGGATCACGAAGTCAGGAGATCGAGACCATCCCGGCTAACACAGTGAAGCCCCGTCTCTACTAAAAATACAAAAAATTAGCCAGGTGTGGTGGCAGGCGCCTGTAGTCCCAGCTACTCGGGAGGCTGAGGCAGGAGAATGGCGTGAACCTGGGAGGTGGAGCTTGCAGTGAGCCGAGATTGCGCCACTGCACTCCAGCCTCGGCGACAGAGCGAGACTCCGTCTCAAAATAAATAAATAAATTTTAAAAACCCCAAAAAACAAAAAAAACCCCAAAAAAACCAAAAAACCCATACACAAATAAACGCTGGGGCCACATAGATGAAAAATTACATACTACCTGCATTCAAGGAACTTAGAGACTGGAGACCAATAGACAAATGACTTTATGATATGACAAATGTCATGCAAAGGGGTGCCTTGCTTTTTCCTGTTCTATACTAGTAGAACCTGACAGCTATTTTGGGAATAGGTGGAGGGAAAGGTGCCACCTGTTAATAAATCTTGTGGGACCTTCCTAGTTATGCAGGCCCTGGTATTGGAGAAAATACCAGGTAAAAAGATTTATTTTGTATGAATTTCCAAAGCTAATCTCTGCAGAATTCTGGGAATTGGATGTTTTTATTTGCATAATGGATTCAGTGTCTTCTGGGCAGAAAGGGAATGGGTACCATCACTCCTAATGCTCTCTGAGATGTTTAGAATTGGGGATCTCTCTGAGTAAAACAGAGGGATCTTGACCAAGGGCAAGTGGGAGAGCTGTAACCATTAAGCTAACCCACATTGAGTTTGAAGAGTGGAAGGTGGTGTGATGATTATGGGTCTGTGGGTCTTGAGCAGCTGAAAATGGTCTTATATCAACCTTCCTGAGTTGACTTGAATCTTGGGACTCACTTGTATGATAAATGAAAGAGGTACTTGGCCATTAAAGCCTGTAACACTGGGGGTTGAGTGAGGAGGTGGCCAAGCAAGGTGTCTCCGGTGTTGTTAGGGACCGAGCAAAGAGGCAGCTGAGCAAGGAGATGGTTGGTGCAGTTTGGAGTTGGGTTACAGACAGAAAGCCTAAGCAGATAAGTAAATATATTTAGGACAATAATGCCAGGGTTATTTAGGACAATAACCCTTTTCTCACTGACAGAGAAAAGTGTTATAAATATGGAAAGGAGAATAGAATGAATCCTGTTGTGTTGGATTGTGATTAGAGGTATTCATATACATTTATGATATATCTATATATCTATGACCATGGATTCTAACTACACACATTTAACTAGACAGAATATTATAGGATCAATATACATGCAAGTGTGCGGGGGTGTTTGTCTATTCATACATTTCCTAACTCTATTTTTTTTTTTTTTTTTTTGAGAAGGAGTCTAGCTCTGTCGCCCAGGCTGGAGTGCAGTGGCCGGATCTCGGCTCACTGCAAGCTCCGTCTCCCTGGTTCACGCCATTCTCCTGCCTCAGCCTCCCGGGTAGCTGGGATTACAGGTGCCGGCCAGCATGCCCGGCTAATTTTTTGTATTTTTAGTAGAGATGTTTCACCGTTTAAGCCAGGATGGTCTTGATCTCCTGACCTCGTGATCCGCCCACCTCGGCTTCCCAAAGTGCTGGGATTACAGGTGTGAGCCACTGCGCCCGGCCATCCTAACTCTATTTAAGAGAGCTTAGAAGCGGTATTTCTCTAGTAGCAAAGAGCACACCAAAATCCAGATCTTTATTTCTTTTTTTTTATTATTATACTTTAAGTTTTAGGGTATATGTTCACAATGTGCAGGTTAGTTACATATGTATACATGTGCCATGTACTATTCTCTTTGAAAAGAAATTAAGCTCCTTGGAGAAATGGCTGACTCTAGGACTTGCACAGGCAAGTACAATATGAACATGGAACATCCTCATGAGCAAAAAAATGAGAAGAATCCTAAAGAATCATGCAGATATAAAACAAACTTGAAGAAACAAGGTTGATGAGTCTTCCCCTAGACCAAACTGGTGTACATTGAGTATTGAATAAAATTACCATTGAATAAAATAGAAATCCACGAGTACATAGGGATGTAAATACATAAATGTGTGAATAAATAGTGAGAAAAGGCCTGGCGCAGTGGCTCATGCCTGTAATCCCAGCACTTTGGGAGGCTGAGGAGGGAGGATCACGAGGTCAGGAGTTTGAGACCAGCCTGGCCGACATAGGGAAACCCCGTCTCTACTGAAAATACAAAAATTAGCCGGGCGTGGTGGCATGTGCCTGTATTCCCAGCTACTCGGGAGGCTGAGGCAGGAGAATCACTTGAACCTGGGAGGCGGAGGTTATAGTGAGTCAAGATCACACAACTGCACTCCAGCCTGGGCAACAGAGGACGACTCTGTCTCAAAAAAAAAAAAAAAGAGAGAGAGAGAGAAAAGAAAACTTCCTTGCAGTATAATGCAATTAATAAATATAGAAAGAATGCTAAAATTAGAAAGTCCTCATTTGGCAACCATCATAGGAATAATGATTTAGGAAAGAATCATCACTAGTTATTATTATTTTTTTAAAGAGATAAGGGTCTCACTTTGTTGCCCAGGCTGGTCTTGAACCCTGGGCTCCAGCAGTCCTCCTGCCTCAGCCTCCCAAAGTGCTGGGATGATAGGCATGGGCCACCATGCCCAGCTCATCAGTACATATTAAAACAATAGGTGAAAAGTAGAAATTTTATTTAGATTATCATATTTAAATTCTAAAGAGTTATTTCTTCTCAGGTTGTCTTTTAGAATTTCTAATATAGTTTTATAAATGCAATAAATGCAACATCTTATATCTCTCAGGTAATCTCTTTTGTTTATTTACATTTTCCTATTCCCTCTATGTTTGTGTATGTTTTTTATTAGCTTGTTTTGCCCCTCCCTTTCAAACTGGAGTCTAATAATTCATATTAAAACATTAGGCAGGCTGGGCGTGGTGGCTCATGCCTGTAATCCCACCCCTTTGGGAGGCCAAGGCAGGCAGATCACTTGAGCTCAGAAGTTCAAGACCAGCCTGTGCAACATGTCAAAAACTCGTCTCTACAAAAAAAATACAAAAATTAGCTAGGCATGGTGGCCCACACTTGTAGTCCCAGTCACTAGGGAGGCTGAGGTGGGAGGATGGTAGAGGTTGCAGTGAGCTGAGGTTGAAAGGCAGAGGTTGCAGTGAGCTGACATCTGCACCACTGCAGTCTGACCTAGAAGACGGAATCAGACCCTGTCTCAAAAACAAAACAAAACAAATGAAACATTAGGTACTACAAAGAAAATTATTAGCTGTGTGTGTGTTGCATGGCTTGTTTACCTTGGGGCTTTTTTTTTTTTTCCTTTTGAGACAGAGTTTCACTCTTTTTGCCCAGGCTGGAGTGCAGTGGCGCAATCTCGGCTCACTGCAACCTCCGCCTCCTGGGTTCCAGTGATTCTCCTGCCTGGGCCTCCCAAGTAGCTGGGACTACAGGCATGCGCCACCATGCCTGGCTAATTTTTATATTTTTTTGTAGCAACGGGGTTTCATCATGTTGGTCAGACTGGTCTTGAACTCCTGACCTTGTGATCCGCCCGCCTTTGCCTCCCAAAGTGCTGGGGGTTACAGGTGTGAGCCACTGCATCTGGCTGGGGCATTGTTATAGGGTGATGAAGAGATGAGGCAGCCTTTATTTTGGGAGAGTCCCGAATATTAATTTTTTTCTTCTAGGTTATTCAGATTTTCCAGAGAATAGTAATGTAATAATAGTTGAAACTTATATAGCACATAGCATGTGTGGACACTGTTCTAAGCGTTTTATATGTATTAACTCATTTAATTCTCAACGATCTCTATGAGGTTGGTACTGTTATCACCATCTCCATTGTGAGCAAATTGAGGCTGAGTAACAGGGTGACACAGCTTATTTATTGGCAGATATTTGAACCCAAGAAAGCTGGCTTCCAAATCTCTATTTATATTCATGATGCGCTACTGCCTTTCCTATACACTGCCCACTGGCTAGAGGGCTGGCTTAACTCCTGGCTGCTGGCTTTCCAGGGCCCAGTGGGAGAGGAAGCTAGAGGAAATGCATTACAGAAAGTATACTTTTACTTATTAATGCTCCTATTAATGCCCCGCTACCTTACCTTGGGTTTGATGTTTCTGGCTACAAAACCCCTTTGCAAAAACACATCCACAGTTTGGCAAGAGGGGTTGAGAGTTTGTGTGAAGACAAGGATAACATAGGATGAAGAAGAACTGGGGATACAATTGCCCTGAATACACACTTTCAACCAATCTTTCTATTTTCATATCCAAGCTTTACCACACCTTCTTCCAAGTGTTGAACTCTTCCTGTATCTGCTGATTCTTAACTGCCTTCAGCTCAGAATAATCCATATGCAAAAGTGGCATATTTTTGGACAGCATATTCTGATTCCCTTCATAATTTTATTTTTCTTTTTTTGAGATGGAGTTTTGCTCTTGTTGCCCAGGCTGGAGTGCAATGGCATGGCCTCGGCTCACTGCAACCTCTGCCTCCTGGGTTCAAGCAATTCTCCTGCCTCAGCTTCCCGAGTAGCTGGGATTACAGGCACGCACCACCATGCCTGCCTAATTTTTGTATTTTTAGAAGGGACGGGGTTTCACCATGTTGGCCAGGCTGGTCTTGAACTCCTGACCTCAAATGGTCCACCTACCTTGACCTCCCAAAGTGCTGGGATTACAGGTGTGAGCCACCTTGCCTGGCAGCCTTCGTATTTTTAAAAATGACTTGAGTTCGTATCCTAAGTATAGAGAGAGACAATATTCCCTGGTATTAGTGAGATTTCTTATAACTTACAACTGAATTAAAAAAAATCTCACTATATCTCTTCTCCATCTTCTCAGTCTTGCTTTTGCCCAGGTTAGAACACAGAACACAGCTCCTTTCTTTTTTTACACAAAGTTCTTCTCACACAATGTAATTGTGTGGGTAGAATTTACTGAAGATACAGCATTAAGACTGGGCTGCTTCTTACTGTCTTATTTCCCATCTTGGCCCCCCCAGCCTCTCACCCTGTTGCTAGACCTTGGACTCCACACACTTTCTCAATTTATTTGTCATCTCCTTGATTTTTCCTTCTTCATGTATCTAATCAGAAGTTGTTTTGCCCCTCCCTTTCAAACTGGAGTCTAATAATTCATATTAAAACATTAGACACTACAAAGATCATATTTTCTCCCATTTTTTTTTTAACAAAGCAATTCAGTTTTCTGCCTGGCTATGTCTGTGGGCTTCCTCTTTTATACCTAGAGATGTCAGCAAGACAGTCTCTTAAACCCTAAAGACTCTCTCACTAAAAGGAATTCCACACTCAACACTTAACATAATAATAAACTTTCACCTACCCGTATGTATTCATTCATATGTTCACCCACATCTACTCATTCATCCATCCACTCCACTCCATTCTCAATTTCTCTGCTTTTGTCTGTTTGTTCTCTTTCTTTCTCTGTCGCTCTCTACTCTTTCCAGAGACCCAGAACACTATGGGAAGTTAGTTTCTTTCTCTCAGTTTTAAATTTTATTTATTTATTTATTTTCGGAGGCAAGGTCTTGCTCCATTGCCCAGGATGGAGTACAGTGATGTGATCACAGCTCACTGTAGCCTCGAACTCCTGGCCATGAGAAACCCTCCCTTCTTGGCCTCCCAAAGATCATACTTCTATTTCACTGTTATATAGAACAATGAATAATTAACCTGTGATCTATGAGAAGATTGTTCTGAAGGTTGAATTCCTCAACATGTCACAGAATTCCTGTAACTGGATGAATCACTAACAATGTTAGTGCTGTAAAAATATATGCTTACAATTTTATAAATGTTTATAATATATACATAGCATTTAATGTTTGTTACGTATGAAGATTGCTTTACATTTACTATTTGTTCTTCCTTTTTTATGTTAGTCAAAAGTAACTTTGTAGCCTCAGAGGCATAGGACAAGTTTGAAATAAATTTCATTCTTCAAAATGCTCCTCTTCCACCCTGGCAATGATCAACCCATTTTTTTCCCCCAAAGGCAGGAAAAGTTATTCCAGTTGGTTACAGAGTTGCAACCTGCTTGACTGAAAAACTTCCCAGGGTGAGCACTTTCAATATACCTTTATATTTCTATTTTTACCTTCTATGTGAACATTAAGGAATAGGCAACTCAACGTTCCTTATGAAAGTGGTATAAACTTAATGTGGTCAATTTGGATTCTTTGCTGTATTTTGAGGCCTTCTATTGATTTTGTCCAAGAAAGTGAAAATCCCAGGCTTACAATTTCTAGCTCTACAGGGATTCAATTACAGGGGATTCAATTTATTTCAGTGGGAATAACGGTATGCTTTGTAACCTGGATACTTCCTGGTTGTTTTCTAAATACAACATTTAAAATATGTTGTTTAGGACACATGTTCTCAGGATCTGTGTCATGGAAAAAAATGTTTTTTACTTTCATTAATAAATAAATACATTTTAGGGGGATGTTCATTATTTGGGGCTGTAGTTCCAAATGCATTTACTACATACATGCACTTAAGGTTGTTGGTTGATTGGTATAGATCAGTCCTGTTAATATTTTTAGAAACTGTACTTAATACTATTTTCTTGCCTCACTCTTTGTAGCTAATTACTCCACCTGAAGCAAAAAAGTATTTCAACTTCAGATATCCACCTGCTGGAGTAGAAAGAGTATTTTACGGAAGAGCAAATGATCCCCAGATTGCACCTTATTTGACACATGGAATTAGATCTAAAATTTCAGTACTGGTAAGTTATTTTCTTTTTTTCCTTGTACATTATTAATTTACCAAGGTGAAAATGCACAAATCAGGTATTAGTGAAATTCATCAGTTCCAATCTCCTTCCCACCCATATTTTTACTAGGCTTTTCTCAATCTGTCTTCCAAAAGCATTTATCTTGAGCAGTAAAAAAAAGCCAAGCAGCAGCAGCCAAGACAGTGTGAAGAAATTAATAGTTTAAGCCACAAACTATCTATTGTTCTCTCAAATGATAAAAGCCTAGTTGCATTCCATTTTCTCACAATAAAGAGAAATACTGTCAGGTTGTGTTAGACAATAAAGAGGACTGTTTTGGCAGGGCATGGTGGCTCATGCCTGTAATCCCAGCACTTTGGGAGGCTGAGGCAGGGGGATCCGCTAAGATCAGGAGTTTGAGACCAGCCTGGCCAACATGGCGAAATCCTGTCTCTACTAAAAGTAAAAAAAAAAAAAAAAGCAGCTGGGGCATGGTAGCAGGCGCCTGTAATCCCAGCTACTCGGGAGGCTGAGGCAGGAGAATCACTTGAACCCGGGAGGTGAAGATTGCAGTGAGCTGAGATCATGCCACTGCAATCCAGCCTGGGCAACAGACCGAAACTCCATCTCAAAAACAAACAAACAAACAAAAAAAGACTGTCTTGGTGACTTGCCTAGAGGCACTATAGAATACTTATATGGACATTGAGTAGAGGTGGAGTCAAAATGTTGGTTATCTGCTATTGATTGAATGCACAGTCTAGATTCAGAAGACCTGATCTCTATATCTGAAGAGAACTTTTGGAAGTCAAGTGGTTCTTGTGCTTTTCATTTTCACTTTTCTTCTTTTTTTTTTTTTTTTTTTGAGACTGAGTCTCACTCTGTCGCCCAGGCTGGAGTGCAGTGGTGTGGTCTTGGCTCACTATAACCTCCACTTACCGGGCTCAAGCCATTCTCCTGCCTCAGACTCCTGAGTAGCTGGGACTACAGGCGTGTGCCAGCACACCCGGCTAATTTTTTTTTTTTTTTTTTAGTAGTTATGGGGTTTCACCATGTTGGCCAGGCTGGTCTCAAACTCCAGACCTCAGGTGATCTGCCCGCCTCAGCCTCCCAAAGTGCTGTGATTACAGGCGTCAGCCACTACACCTGGCACCACTTTTCTTAAATATTTGAGTCAAGTAACCTGGAAGCTATCATTGTAAACCTTTTAGTATCACTGAAACCTTTTAACTCATTAGAAAGTTCTTGTAGGCGTGTTTAAACTTCATAGCCAATTCTGACAGTTCATTTGAAGGTGAGCAAAGCCAATAATGATAATGAAATGTTTTCCCACAATCGTACAGTCTCCTCTCCCCAGCTATTGATTAGGGTTTCTATTTTCAGATTTATACTTTTTTTGTTGATATATTTGTGCATTGTATGATTTCTTTAGGCAAACACATTGATAAACCCACAGCCTATTACCACATTTCAACAGAAAATTAAAGATAAAAAAGAATCTATATATCTTAGCAATCGACGAGCACCATTAGGAAAATCTCACGATCAAGCACCAGGATTACCAAAAGGCATGGACACAACCAATACGACATTTGGGACAGCAGTCATCAAAGGTAGTAAAAAAAAAAATAAGGGGTGGGAAGGGGCTGGTAAAATAAGTCTCTTTGGAAAATTTGATTAAATATCTTATTTGTATGATGTTTGGTGATGGTGTAAACGATGACTCAAGAAGGAAAGATGGGATTGTTGCAAGAAAGTTACTCTCAGAACCAAAATCCTTGACGTGTATGTATGCAGAGGCAGGAAAAATTCAGGTATTGGAGTCCAGATATAGTGAGCATAGTAGGCATGGTGTAAAGACAGGAAAGAACTCAACAAAAATTGGCTCTGGGGCTAGCTAGAGAACTACAATCCCTTTGCCTTGGACATCCATTTGTGTGTTTCATTTCCATCAGTGCTTCACATGTGTTCATGACTCCGAACTCTTTATGCAACAGAGTTCATGGCACAGATAAGTATGGTAAATGCTGTATACTGCACTCCATTCATGCAGATCCGTGAGGTCTACCTGCGTACTAACCAAATACAGAGCAGAGTGCATAGTTGACTTCCACTCTGATTTTGAGAGGGAGTAGAGTACCATCATTCAACAAATAACTCATTAGAGTTGATCACAGGCCATTCTTCCCTCTGAAGACCCAGGTTCCTGCCATGTTGTTGGGTACCTTTCTTTACACCTTTCTCAGATTTCTCTCCTCTACTCTTTTTCAGGTTATCCCCTCCCTCTAGGAGTCTTACCATAGGAGATCTCAAATTCCATCTTTCTTTATTTTGTGGAGAAATTCTCTCTTTGTCTTTCCATACCCATTGAGGCTCTCTTCCAGGAACCTTAGCTTTGTTCACCGAAAGGCTCATTAGATTATTTTCCTTAAGGTAGTGACATCTACTCTGAAGATAGATTATACTTTGGAATGTAAAATCTGGAGTTGTACCTTATTGCATCATATCTGAAGTTTTAAAAAATATGACACATGAAAAATGTATTTTACAGTAGATTAAATATCCTTTCCTTTTTATGTTTCTATATATATGAAACATATATATTTATATTTATAAACTATATATATTTATATTTATATAGAGGCTGGGGTCTCACCATGTTTCCAGGCTGGTCTCAAGCTCCTGGACTCAAATGATTCTCCCACCTTGGCCTCCCAGACTGCTGGGATTACAGGTGTGAGTGACTATTCCCTGCCTCTTCTTTTCGATAGGTTTAAGAAATCCGATGTATATGAACTGTTAGACATGGCATTATTTTAGGATTAGTTTATTTAATGTGGAAAGTATTCTCTAAGTGTTCCTCATTTAAATATATAAAAGAAACAATGTTTCAAAAAATGTATATATCTGTATTATTAAGTGTAATGTTCATATATCAAAAAGAAGTTCTGCTTTACAGGATTATTTTGATTGGAATCATCTTCTGGTATTCTTAACTATTCGTTTATATAACTCAATTCTTAGCAGAAAGGCCAAAAGAAAGGAAATTTCTTAATCTATGTTGTTAGGTCGAAAGGGAAGAGTGAAATTGTAAATGGAGTTACATTTACAAATTATTATCTAAAACAGTAAAAACAAAATTATTCACTGTACACAAAACTGGGTACCACTAGTCATGGGAATGCAGCTATTAAACAAACATCTTTTCCAGATTTAGGACCAGTAGAAGAATTTCTCCCTGATTCCAGTGATTTCCCTGGTACCTCTGGCTACATTGAGGATACAGATTCATTTTTTAAATTAATTAATTAATGAATTAATTTTTTTTTTGAGACGGAGTCTCACTCTGTTGCCCAGGCTGGAGTGCAGTGTCGTGATCTTGGCTCCCTGCAACCTCTGCCTCCCAGGTTCAAGCGATTCTCCTGCCTCAGCCCCCCGAGTAGCTGGGATTACAGGCGTGTGCCACCACGCCTGTCTAATTTTTGTATTTTTAGTAGAGACAGGGTTTCACCATGTTGCTCAGGCTGGTCTTGAACTCCCGACCCCAGATGATCCACCCACCTCAGCCTCCCAAAGTGCTGGGATTACAGGCCTGAGCCACTGAGCCCAGCCTGGGAATACAGATTCAGATCAAAACAGACACAGGGTGTATGCTTCCATCTAAAACTGCCAAAATTTACACCATGGCTACCCCACAGGGCATTAGGGGTTCTAATTTGTGGTTCAGATTTGTTTAGATCATCTTGAGAAGTCTGCAGCAAACTAAAATAAAAATTGTACAGAGATTCTCAGGATCAGGAATTTAACTGTGCTTGGAGTATGGCTTACCACAACTAAACAGTTAACTGATAATATAGTTTTTTTTTGAGATGAAAGTTTCGCTCTGTTGCCCAGGCTGGAGTACAGTGGTGCCATCTCGGCTCACTGCAACCTCCACCTCCCGGATTCAAGTAATTCTTCTGCCTCAGCCTCCTGAGTAAAGTAGCTGGGACCACAGGCACGTGCTTCCACACCTGGCTAATTTTTGTATTTTCAGTAGAGATGGCGTTTCACCATGTTGTCCAGGCTGGATTTTTTTTTTTTTTTTAGTAGAAATGGGGTTTCACCATGTTGGCCAGGCTGATCTCGAACTCCTGACTTCAGGTGATCCACCCTCCTTGGCCTCCCAAAGTGCTGAGATTACACACGTGAGCCATTGCTCCCAGCCAGTGATAATAGAGTTCTAATATGCTCTGACTTATAGGGGATGAGCCAGGTCAAGTGGGCTTCCCTTTCTTGATAAATCATTTATGTTGGCTTTGTGATCTCTCGGGATGTCTATGTAGCCTTGCATCCAGCATACCTAATTTCTCATTTGTTCTAGTCAATATAAACGTATTATAAATAGGTTAAAAAGTGACTTGGAACTGATTTTATTAATTCTTCCTTCAGAATACTCTGCTAAAGATGTGGTGAATCCACCAAAATCCTATGAAGAAGTATTTAAAGAAGGAAATGAAGGACATGATTTGTATGTTGTTTCTCACAATGATTATTATGCAGGTAAGTGTCCTCCGATGCAAAATGGGCCTGAGGATATGGGACTCTCGGATTTGTGAAGAGGAATAAAGGAAATTGGTACATAAAGTTAAATGCCTGCCATGTAATAGGTAACTAATACAATATTATTCATAAGGTCATAAACCATGATAGCTGGGAAAACCTGTACTGCATATACTTACGGTTTTTAAAAAAATTTTATTTAAATTTTTTTTTTTAGACAGGGGTCTCTGTTGCCCATGTTGGAGTGCAGTGGTATGATCATGGTTCATTGCAGTCTCCACCTCCTAGGCTCAAGCAATCCTTCCACCTTAGCCTCCTGAACAGCTGAGACTACAGGTGTGCACCACCACGCCTGGCTAATTTTTTGAGTTTTTAAATAGATATGAGGTCTTCCTATGTTGTCCACGCTGTTCTGAAACTCCTGAGCTCAAGCGATCCTCCCACCTTGGCCTCCGAAAGTGCTGGGATTACAGGCATGCACCACTGCACTCAGCTCAAGACTTATTCTAAATGCTTAATTTTATATTAAGAATATTGGGTGATGGTCAAGTTCACAAATTTTTGAATCAGATCAGGTTCAAATCCTAGCTCATCCATTTACTATCTTTTAAAATTTGGGCAATTTACTTATTTGATCATTATATATTCTTATCTCTTAAATGGGTATAGTAATATAGTGAGGATTGAGTAGATGTCAGATGCTTAACATAGCACCTGGAACAGAGTTAAGTGCTGATAATTATTAGCTATTATTATTATTATTATTAGCGATCTTGTCTTAAAGTTTCATGTCTAGTAGCGTATTACTAGAATTATTCCATAGCACAATTAAAAAGGCATTAGATGTTTATAGTGCTATAAAATAAAACTCAATTGCCAGTATGTTGATGCTAAGTAAAGTCTTGACATAATAAAGGATTGAGAAGTAGACTGATACACGTCCTGAGAAAGCCCTATGGATTGTGCATGGTTTATAAACTCAGTCTTGTGAAAATATTTTATTCACGTTTGAAAAATTTCATGTCTATTGCACAGTCTAATCCAATGCTCTTTAATTGTTTTAAAAGAACTTTGGTCTGGGTGCGGTGGCTCACTCTTGTAATCTCAGCGCCGGATCACTTGAGCCCAGGAGTTTGAGACCAGCCTGGGCAACATAGTGAGAATCTCTATCTACAAAAAATAAATTAAAAAATTAGTCAGGCATGGTGGTGCGTGTCTGTAGTTCCAGCTACTTGGGAGGCTGAGATGGGAGGATTGTTTGAGCCCAGTAGTTCCAGGTTGCAGTGAGCCACGATTGCACTACTGCACTCTAGGCTTGGGCAGATGAATATCCAGTTTTCCCAGCACCATTTATTGAAGAGACTCTCTTTTCCTCAGTGTATGTTCTTGGCACCTTTGCCAAAAATGAGTTCACTCTAGGTGTATGGATTTGTTTGGATTCTTTATTCTGTTCCATTGGTCTATGTGTCTGTTTTTCTGCTAGTACCATGCTGTTTTGGTTACTATAGCTCTATAGTATAATTTGAAGTCAAGTAATGTGATTACTCTAGTTTTGATCTTTTTACTTTGGCTATTCTGGGTATTTTGTGGTTTCATATACACTTTAGGATTTTTTAAAATATTTGTGTGAAGGATGTCATTGGTAATTTGGTAGGGTTTGCATTGAATCTGTAGATTGCTTTTGGTAGTATGGACATTTTAACAATATTGATTCTTCCAATCCATGAACATAAAATAGTTTTTGATTTTTTGGTGTCCTGCTCAATTTCTTTCATCAGTGTTTTATAGTTTTCATTATAGAAATCTTTGATTAAGTTAATTCCTAGATATTTAATTTTATGTGTGGCTATTGTGTTTAATACATGGGATTACTTTTTAAATTTCTTTTTCACATCATTCACTGTTGGTATATAGAAATGCTACTGATTTTTGTATGTTTATTTTGTATCTTGTAACTTTACTGAATTTATCAGTTCTAATAGTTTTCTTGTGGAGTCTTTAGGTTTTTCTAAATATAAGATCATATCATCTGCAAATAAGGGTAATTTGGCCTCTTTCTTTCCAATTTGCATGCCCTTCATATCTTTCTCTTGTCTGGTTGCTCTAGCTTGGACTTCCAGTATGAAGGAAGAACTTTCAGTCTTTCCCCATTCAGTATCATACTAGCTGGGGTTCTGTTGTATACGGCTTTTATTATGTTGAGGTGTGTTCCTTCTATATCCAGTGTGTTGAGGGTTTTTATTATTACAGGCATTAGCCACTGCTAATGTTGAATTGCTACTATTATTATTACAGGCATTAGCCACTGCTAATGTTGAAGGGATGTTGAATTTTATCAGATGCTTTTTCAGCATAAATTGAAATGATCATATGGTTTTTTACTCTTCATTCTGTTGATATGATATATCCCATTGATTGATTTGCATATGCTGAAAAATACTTGGGTCCCAGAGATAAATCCCATGAGACTTGCAAATATTATCTTAAACCCATTATTTTAACCTGATAACAACTTAACACTATTTGCATAAACAAACAACAAAGAAAAATAAAATAAAAACTCTATGCCTTAACTTTCTCCCCTTAACTTTTTAACCCTGTTGTTTCTATTTATATCTTATTATAATCTCTATGTCTTGAAAAGTTGTTGTAGTTACTATTTTTGATTGGTTGATTGTTTAGTCTATCTACTCGGGATAAGAGTAGTTTGGATACCACAGTTACGGTGTTATACTACTCTGTGTGTTTCTGTGTGCTTACTATTATCAGTGAGTTTTGCACCTTCAGGTGATTATTCATTGCTTATTATTATTATTTTTCTTTCTGATTGAAATTGAAGTACTCCCTTAAGCATTTCTTGTAGGACAGGTCTGGTATTTATGAAATCCCTCTGCTTTTTTTTTGGCCTGTGAGAGTCTTTATTTCTTCATCATGTGTGAAGGATATTTTCAGCAGATAAGATATACTATTCTAGAATAAAAGTTTCTTCTCTTCAGCACTTTAAATATGTCATGGCACTCTCTCCTGGACTGTAAAGTTTCCACTGAAAAGTCTACTGCCAGATTTATTGAAGCTCCATTGTATGTTGTTTCTTTTCTCTCACTGCTTTTAGATTCCTTTCTTCATCCTTGACCTTTGGGAGTTGGATTATTCAATGTCTTGAGGTAGTCTTCTTTGGGTTAAATCTGCTTGGTGTTCTATAACCTTCTTGTACTTGGATATTGATATCTTTCTCTAGGTTTGGGAAGTTCTCTGTTATCCCTTTGAATAAACTTTCTACTCCTATCTCTTTCTCTATTTTCTCCTTAAGGGCAATAACTTTAAAAATAAAATAAAATTAAAAAATAAAAAATAATAATAAATTTAGTCTCACTATGTTGCTCAGGCTAGTCTCGAATTCCTGGGCTCAAGTGATCTTTGCACCTTGGCCTCCCAAAGTACTGGGATTACAAATGTGAGCCACCATGCTTGGCAAGGCCAATAACTCTTAGATTTGCCCCTTTTAGACTATTTTTCTGTATCTTTTAGTTGTACTTCATTCTTTAAATTTTTTTTCTTTTGTCTTCTCTGATTGTATTTTCAAATAGCCTCTCTGCAAGCTCATTAACTCTTTCTTCTGCTTGATCAATTCTGCTGTTGAGAGACTGATGTACTTTTCAGTTTGTCAATTGAATTTTTCAGTTCCAGAATTTCTGCTTGATTCTTTTTGTTTTTGTTTGTTGTTGTTGTTTTGTTTTTGTTTTTTGAAATGGAGTCTCACTCTGTTGCTCAGGCTGGAGTCCAGTGGTGTGCTCTTGGCTCACTGCAACCTCTGCCTCCCAGGTTCAAGTGATTCTCCTGTCTCAGCCTCCTCAGTAGCAGGGATTACAGGCACCATCACGCCTGGCTAATTTTTATATTTTTAGTAGAGATGGGGTTTCACCATGTTGGCCAGGCTGGTCTTGAACTCCTGGCCTTAAGTGATCTACCCACCTTGGCCTCCCAAAGTGCTCAGATTACAGGTGTGAGCTACCACGCCTGGCCTTTGCTTGATTCTTTTTAATTATTTCAGTCTCTTTCTTAAATTTACCTGATAGAATTTTGAATTCCTTCTCTGTGTTATCTTAAATTTATTTGAGTTTCCTCAACACAGCTATTTTGAATTCTCTATCTGAAAGGACATATAGCTCTGTTGCTCCATGATTGTTCCTTGGTGTCTTATTTAGTTTATTTAGTGAGGTCATATTTTCCTAGATGGTGCTGATGCTTGTAGATGTTCCTTGGTGTCTGGCATTGAACAGTTAGGTATTTATTGTAGTCCTCACTGTCTGTGCTTATTTGTACCCATTCATCTTGGAAATGCTTTCCAGATATTTGAAAGGACTTGTGTGTTGTGATCTAAGCTGTATCTGCTTTAGGGGGCACCCCAAGCCCAGTAACACTGGTTTTTGCAAACTTGTAGAGGTACTGCCTTGATGGACTTGGACAAGATCTGGGAGAATTCCCTGGGTTACAAGGCAGAGGCTCATGTTCTTTTCCTTTACTTTCTCCTAAACATACAGTCTTTCTCTCGGTTCTGAGCCACCTAAAGCTGGGGGTTGAGTGACACAAGTACCCCTGTGGCCACCACTGCTGACTGTATTGGATCAGACTTGAAGCTAGTGTAGCATTTGGTCTCACCCAAGTCCTGCTGTACTCAACCTCTGGCTGCAGCCTACGTTCACTCAAGGTCCTGGGGCTCTACAATTAACAGGTGGTAAAGCCAGCCAGGCCTGTGTCCTTCCCTTCAGGGTGGTGAGGTCCCCCAGGCCCTGGGTGGGTACAGAAGTACTGTCTGGGAGTCAAGGACTAGAGTCAAAAATTTTAGACGTCTACCAGGTATTCTACTGTATTGCAGCTGAGCTGGCACTCAAACCACAAGATACAGTCTTTCCCACTCTTCCCTCCCCCTCCCAAAGACAGAGGAACCTCACTGGGTAGCCACCGCCACCCCAGGCCATGAGGAATACTGCCAGACTACCACCAATGTTCTCTTAAGGCCCAAGGTCTCTTAAGTCAGCTTGAAGTTAATGGCCTGGGACTTACCCTTCAGGGAAGTGGATTCCTCTATGGCCCAGAGCAGGTCTAGAAATGCTATTCAAGAGCCAAGTCCTGGAATCAGGAACCCTAAGAGCCTGCTTCGTGCTCTGCTCCCCTGTGGCCATGCTGGTACCCAAGGTGTAGGACAAAGTTCCCCTTACTTTTCCCTCTACTTTTCTCAAGCAGAAGGAGTTTTGCTCTGTAGCTACCACAGCTGGTAATGTGCTAAGTCTCTTCTGAAGCCAGGAAGTCTCAGAGGCTTACCCAAGGCCCTTGATATACTACCTGGGCCCTGAATAACTGCAGCTGGTTATTCAGGGCCCAAGAGCTCTTCGGTTAGCAGGTGATGAATGCTGCCAGGATTGGGTTCTTTCCTTCAAGGCAGTGAAGGAAAGACACATCCTTTTGGCCCCGGATGTGTCTAGAAACGTCATCTGCAAACCAGGGCCTGGAATGGCGGCCTCCTGAGTCCCACAGTGCCCTATCTTGCTGTGGCTGAGGTGGTGTCCTAGATGCAAGGTGAAGTCTTCCCTGCTCTTCCCTCTCCTCTCCTCAAGCGGAAGGAAGGGGTCCCTTTTGGAGCCATGAGCGGAGCTGTGCAGCCTGGGGTTAAGGGAGGGGTGATGCCAGCATTCCCTTGGCTGCCCCAGCTGGTGTCCCAGTATGACATGTATCCCACCACCTACCCCACCCCCAGTCCACTGTCTCTGGGCCTGGTTCTGCTCTGGGAGTCGCCTAAGAGTTCCAGTCCTTATGGCCTAGACTGCCTTTCAAGGTTACTTGGAGACACAGAGTGCTGTAGCCCTTGGTGGCGAGGTTTGCAGGCACTCAAGTTTGGACTACTGGGATTGGCAATTCCTTTTCTGGTGGGGCTGATTTAAATGCTGCCTCTGGGGACGGGCATCAGCTGAGTTTGGTTCAGTTTTCCATTCTGCTCTAACAGGAAAGCACTGAGTTTGATACCTCACAATTGCTGTGTTCTCCCTGCCCTGGTGCCAGGAGAAGCTCTGCCCATCACTCTGCTGCTGCCGGGGTTGGGGAGGGGTGGTGTCTGTGATTCAAAACTATTTTTTCTATCTCTTGAGTGCCTTTTTTTTTTCAGTGCTATGAAGTTAAAATCAAGTACTATGAGTTGCCCACCTGATTTTTGAGATGGGCACTCATATCTGTGTAGATAGTTGTCAACTTGGTCCTTGTAGGGGGTGGGGGGCGGGTGTGGGTCTGGGACACGGGACTGGGACATGATCAGTGGAGCTTTCTATTCTGCCGTCTTGCTCCACTTCCTCTCTCTGAACATTTTTTCTAACCCCCATCCATTCAGCCATTAAATCATTAATCATTAAATAAATGGGATAATACTCTCCATGCTTTTAGGGAGCCTGCTCTATATATTTTAAATTTTTTACTTAAATAATATGTAGATAGCAATAAATATGGACCTACAACATTTAAAATACACTTAATACTTTAAAATAACTTAATTTTAATCATTACTAAAGTGATAGATACTTTTATAAAATGAAAGCTATACAGAAATATACAATATACAAAAAATTCCCACAATTCTCTATCTCACACAGAACTTTCTTTTTCTTTCTTTCTTTCTTTCTTTCTTTCTTTCTTTCTTTCTTTCTTTCTTTCTTTCTCTCTCTCTCTCTCTCTCTCTCTCTCTCTCTCTCTCTTTCTCTCTTTCTCTCTTTCTTTCTTTTTTTGAGACGGAGTTTTGCTCTTTCGTCCAGGCTGGAGTGAAGTGGCCTGATCTCGGCTCACTGCAACCTCTGCCTCCTGGGTTCAAGCAATTCTCCTGCCTCAGCCTCCCAAGTAGCTGGGATTACAGGCGCCCGCCACCATGCCTGGCTAATTTCTGTATTTTTAGTAGAGACTGGGTTTCACCGTGTTGGTCAGGCTGGTCTCGAACTTCTAATCTCAGGCGATCCATCTGCCTTGGCCTCCTAAAGTGCTAGGATTACAGGCGTGAGCCACTGCGCCCAGCCGATAATATGTTCATAGATGTTTTTCTTTGCACTTTTGTATATATCAGTATGTATGTTCATTTTGTTCCACATCATATATACATTTTTCCTTTTGCTTTTTTTGTCTTATGAAATATTTTGGAATGTCTTTTCATGTCAGTATCTACATTATATTTTCACTATTACAAAAACATATTGTTGATATACCTTTGTAAATGTGATTGGCTATTTCCTTAAGTTACATTCCTAGATTTCTGAGAAATTTTTACTTTTAGAGCCAAACTGTCAGCTCAAATTACTGCCCAATTTGCCCTTAGACCCAGAGTATGAGAATATCCATTTCTCCACACCCTTCCCAATAATGAGCTCAGCCAATCTTCTTTATTTTTGCTTAACTAAGAGACAATTATAATTTCTTGTTACTTCAATAACAAGACATTTACTGTTTTTATTTACATTATTTGAGTTACTAGTGAGGCTGAATATCTTTACTCCAACATTTCTTACCCTCTTGGTTGTTCTCTAGTTTCAGTCCTACTTTCTTATCTCGAAATAGAAAACTAATACCACATCAAGACTTGAAAAGAAAAAAGCACAGTATTCAGTTTTAAATAAAAAGACTCCTCTGTTGGTTTCTCAGCTCTCAATCACCCTTTGAATGTTTCTAATATGAGGTAAATGAAATATGAGGGTCGCAATGTTCTGATGATCGCACCAAATCTCAGTGAGAACAAGTGCAAAACACCAAACCTCTCAAATCTTAGCATAGTGGAAAGTGCTGCCAGAGACCTAAATCATTGCCATACCTCCCTTGATCTTCAGGATTTCCATAACAATGGTGGAGACCCTGCAGTTTTTCATCATTGATATCTCTTTTTCCCATACAATGTCCTTACTTACTTTCTAAATATTAAAGTTCTTCACCCATTTTAAGAATTGAGCTACATATTTTCTATAAATTTTGAATATTAACCCTCTATCAGATACATAGTTTGCAAATATTTTTTTCCCAACTCATAGGTTGCCTTTTCATTTTGGTGATTGTTTCCTTTGCTATGCAGAAGGTTTTTAATTTGATGTAGTCTCATTTATTTATTTTTGCTTTTGTAGTCTGAGCTTTTGTATCTAAGACATCATTGCCAAGGCCAATGTCAATAAGTTTTTCCTCTATTTTTTCTTCTATGAGTTTTATGGTTTCAGGTCTTAACGTTTAGTTTTTTTTTTTTAATCTATTTTTAGTTGATTTTTGTGTATGGTGTTGCATGTGGAAATCAGGTTTCCCAGGACCATTTATTGAAGAGACTATCCTTGTGTCGTCATTTCTTCTTGCTGCCCTTGTTGAAAATTAGTGTATTGTATATGTTTGGATTTATTTCTGGGCTCTCCATTCTGTTCCACTAGCCTGTATGTCTGTTTTTATGCCAGTACCATACTGTTCTAATTACTACAGCTCTGTAATATAATTTAAATTTAGGATGTGTGATGCCTCTAACTTTTTTCTTTTTCCTAATAATTACTTTGGCTATTCAGAGCCTTTTGTGGTTCTATATAAATTTTTAAGATTTTTTTTTTTCTATTTCTGTGAAGAATGCTATTGGAATTTTGATAGGGATCACATTGAATCTGCATTTTGCTTTGGGTAGTATGAACATTTTAAGAAAATTAATTATTCTGATCAATGAGCATGGAATGAATATCTTCATTTTATTTGTGTCCTCTTCAATTTCTTTCATCATTGTTTTATAGTTTTCAGTGTACAGGTCTTTTACCCCCTTGGTTAAGTTTATTCCTAAGTATTTTTTTATGCTATCATAAATTGAATTATTTTCTTGATTTCTTTTTTGTCTAGGTTGTTATTTTTTATAGAAATGCCATGGACTTTTATGTGTTGATTTTGTATTCTTTGACTTTACTTAATTCACTTATTAGTTCTTTTGTTTTTTGAGAAAGAGCCTCACTCTGTTGCCCAGGCTGGAGTGCAGTGGCACGATCTTGGCTTACCACAACCTCCGCCTCCTGGGTTCAAGCGATTCTCGTGCCTCAGCCTCCGAAGTAGCTGGGATTACAGGTGCATGCCATCATGACCAGCTAATTTTTGAATTTTTAGAGAAGACACGGTTTCACCATGTTGGCCAGACTGGTGAACTGGTCTCGAACTCCTGGCCTCAAGTGATCCACCAGTCTCGGCCTCACAAAGTGCTGGGATTACAGGCATGAGCTACTGTGCCCAGCCAAATTCATTAGTTCTAACAGTTTTTTGATGGAGTCTTTGGAGTTTTTTACATATGTCTTTTCAAATATTAACACAACGTATTGTTGTGTGTAGCATCCCACCAGTCTCCCAGCTCACATGGGGGAATGCTTCTGTCATCTGTAGCTAAATCTGTGCAGTTTCTGCACTGTTACAATTTCATTTTTTGTTCCATTCTCATTTTCAATGTCAATGAGAACATAGTGTGCATCTTGCATGATAAGGTTATTCGTGTTGCTTAAGTCATAAGTCTTCCTTTCTTTTTCCACAGGAGAGGCAAAGAACCGAAAGTATAACCCATCAAGTTTCCATAGGTGTAGTGTGTATGGAGTACCAACACCACATTTTAATGATGGACGAGCCATGGCAAAATCTCTATATTGGCTCCATGAACTACAAATGTAAGTTTAATTATACTGTGCCCAGGAACAAGTGTTAGACATTTGGACTTAAAGAAAAGTTGATTTTTAAACTTTATTTTTTGAAGAGGTAATAAAATGATATGGTTCAAACAAGATGACTAGAAAAAAATAGAAAAAACAGTGTAATGTATTTCACTTCTGACACCCATCCTATCTAGTTCCTACAGAGGTAAAAATGATACTTTTTTTTTTCTATCTTTATTCTGAAGTTGCAAGCAAACATAAAGACATATATGCATGTTTTAATTCTCTGGGATCAACTTTATTTGTGTTTCTTAAATATAATGGACTTTCAAAACTCTACCAAGACAATTGTAATTGACTTGAAATTTATTTATTTATTTATTGAGACAGCATCTTGCTCTATTGCTCAGGCTGGAGTACAGTAGGGCCTTCATAGCTCACTGCAACCTTGAACTCCTGGACTCAAGCTATCCACCTCAGCCTTCTGAATAGCTGGGAATAAAGGCATGAATAACCATCCTGTCTTGACCTGATATTTGTTATTCAGCTTTGTTGAATAGTTATTTGGGCACCTGAGCATCACTCAACTTTTTCAAATTGTGACCTTTTTATCTCTTCATTCTGTAAAGACTACTTCCTTAGAAAACAAAATTGGGTCATTAGTTTTTCATTTCCTGCGTTATATTTTATATCCGAGCCAACACATAAACTTTGGAAGATTGCTCATAAAAGTCTAGATATCTTGTTATGCTTAAAAAAATCAGAAGATTGTGGATACTGGTACCATGGTTTGAACGTTGTAAATACTGGTGCCGCCCCGCCCTCCACAAAAAGATATGTCTATGTCCTGATGGCCAGAACCTATGAATGTTACTTTGTGTGGAAAAAGGGTCTTTGTAGATATAATTAAGGATCTTGGGATGAAGAGATCATTCTGGATTATCTGAGCGGATGTTAAATCCAATGATCAGTATCCATAGAGGGGAAGAAGAAAATTTGATACACAAGAGGAAAAGACATGCAGAAGGGAAGGTATGTGAAGATGGAGATAGACATTGGTGTGATGTGCCTATAACCAAGGAATGCGAAGTAATGCCAACAGCCATCAGACTTTGGAAGAAGGAAAGAATGGGCTGGGTGTGGTGGCATATGCCTGTAGTCCCAGTGCTTTGGGAGGCTGAGGTGGGAGAATGGCTTGAGCCCAGGAGCTTGAGGCCAGCCTGGGCAACATAGCAAGACACCATCTCTAGGGAAAACAACAAAAAAAGCAAGAAATGAATTCTCCCCTAGAGCTGTTAGAGGAAATGTGGCCTTACTGACACTTTGATTTCAGACTTCTGGCTTCTAGGACTGTGAGAGAATACATTTTTTTACGCCATCAGTTTTTGGTAATTTCTTATAGCAACCACATGAAACTAATGCATGGGCCTCGCATTCATATTTGTCAATGATAGGGGTAGATTTGTTCTGACCTCTGCCCTCTTTAAAGGAGACAATGGCCCTCTAGGTTTCCGTAGGCCCAACATGCACACAAACTTAGCATTACTGCAGGTATCCAACCTGCCTCACTCTTGCCTATTTTGTCTCTGTGACAATAACAGCTCTCAGTTATAGAGGCAAAATTCTGAGCACTTTATATATTATTAGTTTAATTCTACTAAGAACTCCACAGGATAGGTGTATTATAACTTTTATTCTTCCCATTTTACAGGTGAAAAAGCTGAGGTACAGAGGGGTTAAATCATTTGCCTAAGATCATGCAGCTCAGACGTATCAGGGGTAAGAATGAAACCCAGGCAGTATTGGCTCTAGAGGCAGCCCTAACCACTGCACCAGATCTATAGGCACTTTATTCTTGATCACCTCTTTATGGGCTTCAAAAATGATTTCCATTCCTCTTTCACTCCTTTATTACATGAGTTTCTGATACTCGAATTATTCAAAATAAGGATGGTAAAACACACACATAAAATAAATTTTTACAGTATCATAGTAACCCTGTATGAGATAGTTTTTATTTAGGATATGGATGAAGCATTTACATAATAAATATTTCTTAATTATTATTATTAAAATGGTTAAACTATGTGTAAAGTATGAAGATATTATTTAAATATTTAAGGACTACAGATATTTATAATTAAATATAATAAATAAATTGATACTTAAAAGGAGACAAATATGGTTTATCCATTTTCAATGGGTTAGAAATATAAACTTGCTATCAGTTTGTAAAACATATGAGGTAAACACATTAACAACAATGTGGTCCTCAAGAACATCCTAAGAGCAGAGCAAATATCAATGATTTAGTGTTGCCATAGAAAAAGACACAAAGTTTATAAGGGCAAACAGTGTGCAGTGCATGCTTCCCTCCAACTTGTCTCTACTCCCAAGAGGACACTGTTTATGGAACAGTGTTTTATTTGATCATACATTTTGTATTTTTTTTTTTTTTGAGATGGAGTCTCCCTCTGTCACCCAGACTAGATTGCAGTGGCATGATCTCGGCTCACTGCAACCTTTGCCTTCTGGGTTCAAGCAATTCTCGTGCCTCAGCCTCCCGAGTAGCAGGAATTACAGGTGTGTGCCACCATGCCTGGCTAATTTTTGTATTTTTAGTAGAGATGGGGTTTCACCATGATCGTCAGGCTGGTCTTGAACTCATGACCTCAGGTGATCCGCCCGCCTCAGCCTCCCAAAGTGCTGGGATTACAGGCGTGAGCCACTGTGCCCAGCCCTTTTTGTATTTTGAAACTTAATTGGAATGTTATTGCTAGCAGTAGAGAAATTCTTTATTCTTTTGGTTGCAGTTTAAAAAGAGCTCACTACTTCATTCAGTTTGATTTCTGTTACAAACGTGGAGTCAAGAGTGTTAGTCTACATTTTGAGGCATCTAATTTTATATGCACGATTTAATGTAAATTTGGTTTACTCTCAACTTTTATGGGATATATTTCCCCTGTAAAAGAGGATCTCTATTGGCTGGGCATGGTGGCTCATGCCTGTAATCCCAGCACTTTGGGAGGCTGAGGCAGGCAGATCACAAGGTCAGGAGTTCGAGACCAGCCTGGCCACATAGTGAAGCCCTGTCTCTACTAAAAATACAAAAATTAGCTGAGTGTGGTGGCACGCACCTGTAGTCCCAGCTACTTGGGAGGCTGAGGCAGGAGAATCGCTTGAACCCGGGAGGTGGAGGTTTAAGTGAGCTGAGATGGCGCCATTGCACTCCAGCCTGGGTGACAGAGCAAGACTCTGTCTCAAAAAACAAAAACAAAAACAAACAAACAAACAAAAACGATCTCTATCTATATTTTGCCTGTGACCTTTGGTTTGAATAATCAAACCAAAGTCAAATCAAACTTTGGTTTGAGTCATCAGATGTAGGCATGCCTGTGCGAGTGCATGTGTTTGTGCGCATGTGTGAACGAATGAATTCACTGGCACACAAAGAGCTTTATCTGAGTTGGTTCGTGAATGCAACTCAAGATTGTTGTGTAATGATGTTGCAGTTATTGATATTCTGACATACATGGTTGCCCACAGATACTTCCTGATTGTTGCAGAAGCATACTCCAGGCAGTTCTTGACTAAAAAGAGTTGGCTCTGTGCCTGACAGTTCTTTTTCTTATCATCTCTGCATGTTCCTAATTATGTACCTTGGAGCTGATTTTTTTTTTTTTTTGAGACAGAGTTTCACTCTGTTGCCCAGGCTGGAGTGCAGTGGTGTGATCTTGGCTCACTGCAACCTCTGCCTCCTGGGTTCAAGCGATTCTCCTGCCTCAGCCTCCCAAGTAGCTGGGATTACAGGTGCCCATCACCAGGCCTGGCTAATTTTTGTATTTTTAGTAGAGATGGGGTTTTGCCATGTGGGCCAGGCTGATCTCGAACTCCTGACCTCAGGGTGATCCACCTGCTTCGACCTCCCAAAGTGCTGGGATTACAGGTGTGAGCCGCTGCGCCTGGCCTGGAGCTGATTTTTAGATTGTTAACTCTGTTTGTTCAAGTTATAGCCCTAAACTGCATTGATTTATTCTGACTCCACCTACATTCTTCCCCCCCGCCAACAAATGGGAAGGAAATGAAGAAACGAGATGAATTACTTATGTTTCTTCTTTTGTTCCTCCACAGAGTGTCACTCTTCTCCAGAAATTTATTCAGCTCAGTAGTTCAATAGTACAGGAGATACTTTGAAAAGCAAATGGAGTTTTAAGAATGTAATGTTCATTGTCTTTAGTCTTAGCAAAACAATAGAGAATTTATTAATTTTAATGTTATTAAATAGTAGTGTTGTAATTTTACACGTTTCAAAAGAAATTTTATTCATTTAATCACAACAGTAGAAGTAACAAAATTATTTTACAGAAAACTGGCAAAATAAAATCGCTCATAATCCTGTTCACTTTAATTCAGCCATTATTATCATTTTAATGTATTTTTTCCTAGTGTGGCTCCCTATGTAGATTTTTGCATAGTTTTTACCAGAGTGCAATCCCATTTTATATCCTGTTTTCCACCTAACATAAAATAATTATATATTGCTGTATATGCCAGCATTGAAAATGCATGCAGTGTATTCTTATTGATGTGACAGAATTTAATTACCCTCCACAACTGAACATTTTGATTCTTTTCTTTATTCCACTGTCATCAATGAGGCTACAAACATTTTTTATACATATAACTTTTCTACATTTTTTTTTTTTTTGAGACAGGCTCACTTTGTTGCCCAGGCTGGGGTGCCGTGGCATGATCTTGGCTTACTGCAGCCTCTGACTCCCAGGTTCAAGTGACTGTCCTGCCTCAGCCTCCCAAGTACCTGGGATTACAGGCGTGTTCCACCACACCTGGCTAATTTTTGTAGTTTTAGTAGAGATGGGGTTTCACCATGTTGGTCAGGCTGGTCTTGAACTCCTGACCTCAAGTGATCTGCCCACTTTAGCCTCCCAAAGTGGTGGGATTACAGGTATGAGCCACCGTGCCCAGGCTCTTTTCTACATTTTTAATTGCTATCTGGATTATATCATTATTATTGGTTCCCAGATGTGGATAAAAGGGCATGAGTGTTTTTATGCTTTTTGATTCATATTGCCCAATTATTTTCAAAAGAACTGTAGGAATTTGCACTAGCAATCTGTAAGTGTTTTACCATATTTTTTTGCCAAAGTTAGATATTCTTTCTCTCTCCATATGCTTATATATATTTGCTTGTTTACTAGGTTAGAAGTGGCACTTTGTTATTCTTTTATTTTACATTTATTTTATTACTAGAGAGTATTATAAATTCTCCATGTATTTGCTTACTAGATGTGAGTTATTTGTTTATATCCTTTGGCTATTTATTTATTTGATGCTAAATTTTTTTATTTTTATTTTCATTTTTTGTAGAGATGGGATCTCACTATGTTACCCAGGCTCGTCTCAAATTCCTAGCCTCGATTGATCCTCCAGCTTTAGCTTCCTAAAGTATTGAGATTACAGGCATGAACCACTGTGCCTGGCCTGATGCTTAATTTTCTTCTAGCAATTTTACGAGTTACACTTACTTTATTTTATTTTTTTGAGACAGGGTCTCACTCTGTCACCCAGGCTGGAGTACAGTGACGTCATCTCAGCTCACTGCAACCTCAGCCTCCCAGTCTCAAGCGATCTTCCTAGCTCAGCCTCTCGAGTAGCTGGGACTACAGGTACATGCCACCACGCCCAGCTAGTTTTTGTATTTTTTTAAGAGACAGGGTTTTGCCATGTTGCCCAGGCTAGTCTCAAACTCCTGAGCTCAAGCCATCTGCCCACCTCAGCCTCCCAAAGTGTTGGGATTACAGCAGTGAGCCACTGTGCCCGGCCAGGAGCTACACTTACAATAGTGATATTAACACCTTGTTTTATTTATTAAAAATATTGTTTGCTTACCTTATTCATTAATCAAGGTTTATTTTATTTTAGTGTAAATGAAAGAAAAATGAACACATAAAACTTTCTTTTTAGCAGAGAGTTTCTTTTGAAACTACATTTGTTCCTGGAAGGCCTAATGATACTATGGTATTCTTCGCCTTATGTATATTTGGCAGCCAAGAATACTTTAGGTAATAGAGATACCTGATAATGTTCTAATTTTGCAGGAAAAGAGGAGCTAAGTTTGTATCCAAAAGAGCAGATGATTTCAAAGAAAAGTTTCAACATAAACTTGGAAGAGTTTTAGATCCGTAAGTTAATGATTAACTTCAAATTGATAGTTTCTTTGCATAGAATTTAAAAAATACTCTTGTGGTAACTGTTGGTGTGCCTATTAGATTCTATCTATTAAATAAGAAAATCATTATTTTATTGTTAATCAGTTAATCTGTTAATATCTATAGAATTTGGGATTCCAGGAAAGCAGTGAGTTCTCCAAAATGCAGAAGGCACTGGAGAAGAGAGAGGGATAATTTTGCATAAAGCATTATTTCTGGGATATCAGAGATTTAACTTACTGTGTTTATATTTTTCTTTGTCTTTCCTGTCTGTCTGTCTTGCTCTCTATTTATACTTTGGTAATTTTGCTTTGAATGTGTTCTGTGTGTTCTGCTTTTCTTTGTAATTCTGGGCTCCTGAAAGAGGGTGAAAACATTCAGTCATTGTTAATGCAAGTGGAAGATCAGACAAAAGATCTATTGGAGAACTTTTGTTTGATCTTCATAGTTTGGTTATGAGATAAAATATGGGCTACTAAGAACATATGGCAAACATATTTTAAATTCCAGAGATGCCATGTGGTGGGTATTTTAACTAAGGATTTGTTTTCTTTGATAGCATTGCAGAAACAATGAATGTTCCCCCAGACTGCACATTTGGAGCTTGTCTCCGTCCTGAGGAATATGGTAAATATACACACTTTCTCCGTAAAAAACCCCAAACAAACAGCAACAAAATCCCCACAAAGTTATGCAGTTAAGCTCACCATCTCCTTATTTCAAAGCTTCTAATTTTAAAGACTTAAAATGTTGCATTAACATTAATGAGAAAAGTGTATAACACAGAAGTAAATTTTTTTTCATATTATGTTTGAAATAGGTACAGTTGGAAGCCCTTGTAATAAGTACTGTAAGTGTAGTTAAGGCTTTGAATTTTATTTAGGAAAAATAAATATGGCCTATATTAAACAAGCCAAAGTGAAGTGGGGCAGCTTTTTAATTAATTTGGATATTGTCCTAGTCCTAACGTCTCAAAGTGTGGTCTGCAGACTGCCAGTATTGGCATCCCCTGGGAGCTCCTTAGAAATGCAGAATCTCAGGCCCCATCCCAGAACTATTGAATCAGAAACTGCATTTTAACTATATTTCCAGGTGAATTTTAAGCACATTCAAATATGAGAAAGCACTGTACTCTACAACCACATAATTAAGAACCACTCTTTTCCTACCAGCCAGCCAGCTAGCCAGTAAGTTGATCAATCAATCAATACATAAAGTAGCAGAAGAAACTTACTTGGATTTTGTCTTTATTTCTAGCCAATCTAAACAGCAGATATCCAAAGGGAAAAATATGCTACAGCTTATCAGGATTGGGCTGTATATCAGTGGTTTTCAAAACATGGGCTGCAGACTACCTGCATTAAAATCATCCAGGGAGTTTATTAAATCTGCACCTTCCTGGGACCCATGCCCTAGATATTCTGATTCAGTAGGTTCTTATATACACTAACGTTTAAGAACCACTATGAAAAATGTTTTGGCTAAAGTCAACTCATTGACAGGTAGAATAAATATTTATTGAGCTTATGCAAGACAGTGGTTTGGAGCATCATTAATTACTACATTAGGAAATTGTATTTGGGTTCTGTTTTTACACAAACTACTAATGTTTGATGGATGCCTATCCATCTTAGAGGCTTTAATATCTTTTGAAGAGGGTAAGGGATGATTAGGAAACCATCAATTAGCTTGAAAAAGAAGTAGGTAATCATGGTAAATTCTGCCTGTTTGAGGGCAAGCTTCATGCTGGTGGGTGCTCTGTCTTGCTGTCTGTTGGATCCTCAGGGTCCAGCACATAGGACATCTTTCATCAATATTTATAGCATGAATTGATGAATTAAAAAAGGAAGAGAAAGCTGAGAGTCCTGGCAGAAAGATGGGAGATGTGTGTACGCCAGGGAAAATGAAGAGAGGCAGGAGGTCTCCTCTGGCGATATCCACCGAGCCGCCACATCTGGAGCAGCATGGTCAACTCTAGTTGGGGTGTGGGTCAGGACTCTTAGTTAATGGAGCCGTGAAGGGAGGCAGGCCTCTAGTGCTGGTGGTGGCATGAGTGGAAGCAAGGCTGAGAAATGGGAAGTTGGTATGCAGACTGACGGCCAACTGGAAACTCACATAGGAGAGGGTAGATAATTTAATTTTTACAAGGCTCTCCCAGTTTAGTCAGTTCCAAGGCACACTGAGTGGTCCCCACCTGGAATCAGCCCTAGCTTTCAGATCCTCAGCACTGTAGACAAATGGCCAAGAGGTAGTCAAGCAAGAACTTCACTGTCCAGGGAAAAGACTTGACAGTTGAGTGCGGTTGGTGATGTCCACACAAAATTCATTCTTTTAGATTTTCTTCTTGAGCAGAGAGGTAACATAAACCAGGAATATTAATTTTTATCAATTAATTTATGTACTTTAGAGTACATAAGGATTTTCTGACATGCTGCATAATCATGTCAGAGTTAGATGTTTCTTTCATTCACAGAGGTTGCTAGATCTCTCACTTTTTTTAAAAGATAGAAATAATATAGAAAGACTTTAAATTTATGTAAAAAGTTTTTTCTCTCTTCAATAGGAGTTGGTGATCTCATCCATAATAGACTTCCGGATGAATATCTTCGAGGCAAGGATAGACAGCGAGCCCTGATTGCAGCAGTTCGGCATCACCTGAAGAAAGTTAATTACCAAAAGTTTGACACTTTGCTGGCAGCCTTCAGGCACTATGACAAGGCCAGTAATGGGGGAGAGCTTTTTGGTAATGCATGGGCTTACAGATCCCAGCAGTTTGGTGTAGATCAGGGGTCAGCAAACTATAGCCTGTGGGCCAAATCCAGCCCACTGTTTGTTTGTGTCAGTAAAGTTTTACTGGAACACAATCACGCCTGTGTTGTTTTCAGTATTGTCTGTGGCTGCTTTTGCAGTATGAATACAGAGTTAGGTAGTAGCAACAAAAACTGTATGGCCTTCAAAACCTAAAATATTTACTATTTGCCCCTTAACAGAAGACATTTGCTGACCCCTTTTGTAGATTATTGGTTGTCAAAGTGTGGTTCCACTACCACCATCACTATCACTTGGGAACTTGTTAGAAATGCACATTACAAGGCCCATTTCAGAAAATACTGAGTCAGGAACTCTGGGGTGGGACCCAGCAATTTTTGCAAGTGCTCTAGTGATTCTGATGCACATTCAAGTTTGAGAACCACTGTTATGGATTATTAAACTGCAGTGTGCTGGGAGCAAGGGGCAATGGGTAGCACTGGGGATCCCTGGGGAAGACTTGACAATCTACACCTAAATCTGAATATGTACACAGAGTACCTGCATTCTAGGTCCAAGTCAAGCTTAGAATGTCTTTTCCCTGGGGAGCAGGGTGTGGTTTTAGTTTTGAGAGTGTAAGATCATTCAATGTTCAAGCTACTCTAAATTTTATTCTTTGAATAAAATCAGATCAATCTAGGGCTACATAATTGCCTTGCTTCATTTTAGGCCATCACAGAATTGCTTTTACCGAGCTGCACTGCCTTTAGCTTATGCTGAGGAGCACTATAAGAAACTGCCATTGAAACGTGGCATATTTTTTGTTAGTATGCCCATGAGGCTTTTATTTTTGTCAGATGCATCTTCCTTATAAGAAACTCAGTCTTGACAAAGGAAATAATTGCACTTCATCTAAGTATCTGATGACTGGTTTTTATCTCATGGATAGCATGTATTTTGTATTGATTATGCACACCTTTTTACTTTGGTTACCAGGAAGCTTGGAGCCAACTCAATAAATAATGGTAGTGACATGAATAAGAGAACCTGCCATAATACGTAGTGCCCTGCTTTTAAGAATTCTTCATTTTAAATGTAATTAAAGGAAAGATGATCATCTTAATAGCTGTTGATTATCTAAGTAAACCACCAGGCATATTCCTTTTTTTTTTTTTTGAGACCGAGTCTCGCTCTGTCGCCCAGGCTGGAGTGCAGTGGCGCCATCTCGGCTCACTGCAAGCTCCGCCTCCCGGGTTCACGCCATTCTCCTGCCTCAGCCTCCCGAGTAGTGGGACTACAGGTGCCCGCCACCAGGCCCGACTAATTTTTTTGTACTTTTAGTACAGACGGGGTTTCACCGTGTTAGCCAGGATGGTCTCGATCTCCTGACCTCGTGACCCACCCGCCTCGGCCTCCCAAAGTGCTGGGATTACGGGCTTGAGCCACCGCGCCTGGCCCAAGCATATTCCTTATGATAAATTAAGCAGGGAGGAAATTACTGAGAATTATTTAATGCTGATATGCCTTACATATACATATATGCTTATATATAAATATATGTTGATATATAAATATAAATTATGTATATATTTATATATTATTTATAATATATAGATATAAACATTTATATATAAAAACTATATATTTTTATATATACATATATATATTTTTTGAGACAAAGTCTTGCTCTTGTCCCCCAGGCTGGAGTGCAATGGCGTGATCTTGGCTCACTGCAACCTCCGCCTCCTAGGTTCAAGCGATTCTCCTGCCTCAGCCTCCCAAGTAGCTGGGATTACAGGCACCTGCCACCACACCCTAATTTTCGTATTTTTAGTAGAGACGGGGTTTCACCATGTTGGCCAGGCTGGTCTTGAACTCCTGACCTCAGGTCATCCACCTGCCTCGGCCTCCCAGTGTTGGGATTACAGGTATGAACCACCGCGCCTGGCCTTGATATACCTTTTAATAGTTAACTCAATATGCACAATGTAGCATTCAGTCACCGTAAGGAGCTTTTTTTCTGAGAGGGTAATAAGATGTGGGTCTAGTACAGCTGTAGGTTAATTTTTGATTATTTAAATCTTATATTATTGGATGCCACATTTAATTTAATGGAAAAACAAAACACAAACACAACAGAGCAAATAAACTATGATTTTCTAAATGAATCTTCTTGGCTTATGAAATTAATTCTGCTATTTATTGAGTAATCATAATACATCAAGCATTATTCCAGATAATGTGTAGACATTCCATTTAGGGAATGGAAAATCTAGAGGGAGAGTTACACATTGGGTAGCAGTAGTGTGCTAGAGTTGGCTTGAGAGAGCATACTGTTAAATTTGCAGCAAGCTTACAAGCCAGTTGACATCACAATGGTAGCTAGAAATTACCATGATGAGAGTATGAACACCATGGAAAGCAGCACCTGCTACAAATCAGGGCTTTTTTCCACCACACTGCCAAAAAGTCAGTTGTTGAACATATGTAACACAACACTGAAGTAGAGTGAGGCCCAAGTACTATGATAAACTCAGAGTTGCAATCAGGGATTTTTGCTCCTAGCTATCATAGACTATGTAATTCATGACAGATGTTCTTAGCAATGCAAGTCAGCTGATGATTTTCTCTTTTAATTAATTGTCTAATTAAGGATGTATAGATTTGTGCTCACTTAAACAGCACATTTGTTGTCAATATGTAAACATTGTTAACTTAAAACTAGAATAGTTTCCTAAAATAAATTTTGCTGCTAGGCTATAGGATTCTCAGTTAGGTTCAATAATTGTGTATAGTCCTTGTTTTTGGAGGGGCTGCATAAGGTCAGTAAGTCCAACCTCCTGTCTGTCCATGCCACCAGCTGATGGTATTTGCTCACCTTGTGGAATGACTGCAAATGGGGCTGGGGAAGATACCCAAAGGTGTTCAATGTGGAGGTGCAGTAACTAGGGTCATTCTCTGCTGTTTCCAATAGATTTCTTGGTAAAGTTGAGGTGGATGTCATTCAAATTGTGGTCAGAACTGCCTGGCAGTCAGTTAAAACTAAGGTGTCACCAACAGTTTGAGAGAACTGCACTAAGGCATTTTTCTTTATGATGCAGTCTTCAGGAGTGGGCTGAAAAACAAAATATCATGATGTCTGTCACTCCCCTGAACATCCTGGGTCTAAAGTGTTCTCTCTCCAAGAGCTCGGTTGCTGCGCTCCCCCTATTGCCACAAAATCAGGGTATCCCATTCCAGTAGCTATAACTTCACCTTTTTCCCATTTACCTCCTATTTTCACCTAGAACTTTTGTCTGGAAAGGTCAGGCATAAAAGAGAATAAAACAGATCTCTGGAACTTTTCTAAGAAATCCCTGGTCCCTCTTATATCTGACCTTTCCTAACAAAAGGTCTAGGCGAAAATAGAGAATATGGGCTGGGCATGGTGGCTCATGCCTGTAATCCGAACACTTTGGGAGGCCAATCACCTGAGGTCATGAGTTCGAGACCAGCCTGACCAACATGGCGAAACTCCATCTCTACTAAAAATACAAAAATTAGCCAGGTATGGTGGCACATGCCTGTAATCCTAGCTACTCGGGAAGCTGAGGCAGGAGATTGCTTGAACTTGGGAGGCAGAGGTTGCAGTGAGCTGAGATCACACCACTGCGCTCTAGCCTGGGCAACAAAGCGAGACTCCATCTAAAAAAAAAAAAAGAAAATAGAGAATATGATTGGGAAAAAGGTGAAGTTATAGCTACTGGGATGGAACATACTGATTTTATATTATTTTATTTTATTTTATTTTATTTTATTTTAGAGATGAGATTCTCACTCTGTTGCCCAGGTTGGAGTGCAGTGGCACCATCATAGCTCACTGCAGGCTTGAACTCTGAGCCTCAAGTGATCCTCCTGCCTCAGCCTCCCATGTTGCTGGGATTACAGATGTGAGCTACTGCTCCCAGCTCTCACACTGATTTTTGAGAAGTATACTCAACCAAGTGGTTATTATCCTTATGATCAAGGATTATGTAAACCCAACAAGAAAATCAGGAGGCTGAAATAGAATTAAATTTGAACCTCCTAGAATCCTTTTTATGCCTGGTTGCTACCAAAAGGGCGGACCAACCCTACTGGCCCGGGATTGCTGTTGCATGGTGCTGTTGCACCATGTCCAGGAATGGTCATGGAAGTAACACCAATTTTCAAAATAAGTCTTTATAACCCCTGCCCCTTTTATTCTGATTATTATTCAGGAAGCAGCTGAGATAGAATGAGTCCTTTCTGGGGACAGCTGCATTGAGTGACCAAACAGCTTTACTAAGATGTGGGCACCAGGAGCTGGTGAGAGAAGTAGACAGTTTTTGAGAAGGCCATTCCAATGCACAATAATACCATATGACAATGGACGGTAGGGAGTAAGAAAGCTTCATTGAATACCTTGACTAATAGCTCATTGCTGAATAGCTTTTGTGCTATAGGGTGCACCCCATTGACAGACTGAAAATGTTCCAGAAAGCAAAACGCACAACCCAGATTAACTTAACTTTATGGGCCCTACTGTTGGGACTAGACCCATATGATTGGACTGGAATGGCAATTCCATAACTTGAATAAGTGTCAATATTGGTGTGGCACCACCAATAGCTCTGAGGAGGGAGGGGTCAGAGGTTCACTGTAGTCAGTCTGTCAGGAGCATGAGGGAGATCCCTATGTGTGATGTGTCCTCTCTCACCGTAAGACAAATGAGTCAACTTCTGGCAGTCACAAGTTTGGCATGTAGTGGTGGCTTCTGCATTAGAAACATGGAGTTCTTTACCTTGTGCTCTGTGTGTAATGGGGGTGTGTTGCCATGTATGTACAGGCAGCAATGTTGGCAATCTGGATGGTTCAGGCTTGATCAGCAGCTTGATTCCAATCATTCCCATGCTTATGGTGAGTATCTACATGAACTACCCAGATAGTTCAATCAGTAGCCATAATTTTTGTCCTATAGTTTGCAGTCCCTTAAAGGGGTGTCTTTAATCTGCTATTTTATTGTTTTCCAAGTGGCCAACCAAATAGGTAGGCCACAGTCAACAGCCCAAGAGTCAGTAAAAATATAACAGGTTTATCAAGGGGAGTATTTGCCAGAGCCATGAGAATGGCCTTTAGTTTAGCTCAGTGAAGACCACCAGGTTTCAGCTCAGCCAGACTATAAGTGAAACAGGCCCAGGCATTTAGAGGAGGTTCTGTGAATTGAGGGTCCTCTTGAGCCAGTGGCTTTGCTTCAGGTGACAGAGTGGTGAATAATTTTTTTTTTCTAAAGGATCACTTCTCAGCTGAGTGTGGTGGCTCACACCTACAATTCTAGCATTTTGGGAGGCTGAGGCAGGAGGATAGTTTGAGGCTGGGAGTTTGAAACCAGCCTGGGTAACATAGTGAGACTCCATCTCTACAAGTAAACACAAATAGTTAGCCAGGAGTGGTAGTGCCAGCTACTCAGTAGGCTGAGGCAGGAGGATCACCTGAGCCCAGGAGTTTGAGGCTGCAGTGAACTATGATTGTGCCACTGCATTCCAGCCTGCACAACTGATTGATAGCCTGTCTCAGCAGCAGCAGCAATAACAACAACAAAAATATTGCTACTCTTTTACACGTAAAGCTGAGATGTTACTGGGGTTGGGCTGGCTGCATTCTTGAATATGCCATTTCCATTTGACATATGAGGCTTGTTTGCTCCTTTTTCATTTTGTTAGTCATTTAGTCCAAGTTGGCCGGCCTCAAAATGATTATTGGCTGGAGAGTCAGAAGGCCTCCATGGGTCCAGTGTTCAGTTTCCAGAAGAGCTCAGTGACAGGCTAATAGCTGCTTTTCAAAAGAGGTCTACCTGGTAATTATGTTAGGGAGGCAATAAGTCCTAAACTTCACGGTGCACCTCCAAGTGAAGGTTGCCTTTCTTTTCCAGAGGCTCTAATTGGCAAAACCACCAGTTATAGACTTGTAACTCAAAGGAGTCATTAGGGTTATGGGGTCCCAAAGGTAATAACAATTGTCTATACATGGCTCTTCTTGATCAGGATAATCCCCTCTGTCACATATGAACATTCACTCTACAGACATGGAAAGCATCAATACCAATTAAATATTCAGGCTTGGAAGCCGTAGCAATAATACATGGTTATCTTTAATTCTTCTCTGCAAACTGTGCCCAAACCCCATTAACTGAATTCGGACATCCTTCCCTACCATCCTCTCCCAGGACTGACTATGATGATGACTTTGGGAACTGTATCCAAACCATAAAAATGTGAGAATCTCACCCCACTGAACAGATGCATCCCTCTTGAAGACCTGGAGCCCTTGGTCCTACTTCTAATCATCTTTCTCCCTAAAGCGGATGAGATCAGGGCTTGGGGGAGGGAGGGATTAAGGGTGCAGAGGGAGAGAATGGCTTTGCACTAGTAAGTAAGAAATATTTACTTTGATTTTGAGTGGCATGGTGGTGGCATGGTAGCTCCATGAAACAAACCACCAGTGTTTTCAGTGCACACAAAGCCCTGCATATTAGGCGGTAATTTATCGTTGACAGCATCTGTTTCAGTTTTGGGGCTCTCTTGATTCAACAGCCACATCCCGCATTGCTTTTCAGCTAGGATGAGTGTGGGTTTGCATTTTTGGTTGTAGTAGAGACTTTTGTTTGTTTTTGAGATGGAATTTCACTCTTGTTGCCCAGTCTGGAGTGCAATGGCGCAGTCTCGGCTCACTGCAACCTCGGCCTCCTGGATTCAAGCGATTCTCCTGCCTCAGCCTCCCGAGTAGCTGGGATTACAGGCATGTGCCACCACGCTGGCTAATTTTGTATTTTCAGTAGAGACGGGATTTCTCCGTGTTGGTCAGGCTCCCAAAGTGCTGGGATTACAGGCATGAGCCACCGTGCCTGGCCTGTAGTAGAGACTTTTATAAAGGAGTCTGCTTTAATCCAGGGCATTTGCAGCTGTATTGTCAAGATCATATATTTTAAGTTCTCATTCTGTTTGAATACAAGGGTTAAGTAGGGAAGTTTTCCAGGGCTGTGGGTCTGACTGCAAGAATTTATAATTCATCGAGTCAGTTTCTCGTTCTCCAGGGGATTGCCTCCATCAGCATTGTAAATCCAGTCCTGGGCAGTAAGAGCTTAAATACTACGCAGTGACTCATTTATGATTCCTCTTGGGAGTTATTTCCTCTCAGGGAAGTCTCTCTGAGGGGGCCAAAGCTCCCTTATAGCAGGAAGAATTCACTGCAGAAACAAACAAGAAAACTGGGACCTTTGCCATCATCTCTGAATGGATTTAAGGTTGGCTTGATAGACTGCAGGAGGGACTGAGTGCTAAGATGTCCCAGCTGTTGACATTCTTCCTTAACGAACATTGTGTGCTCTGCCCCTTCATCTCCCAAGTGAATCAGCCAGTTTCTGCTGAGAGCCCTTATACATTTCCCTCTGTTCATACTCAGTGTAGGTACTTCTGTCTTTAACTGCTGTCTGAAAGGAGGTGAGACTTTTTCCCTCCACCCTCCTCCCCCTACTTACCAGGATGAATCTTAGTGTTACTTGTTTCAATGGGGCTGACCATCAGATTGGTAGCATTTCCCTCTTGCCCATAGGAGTGTTATGAAAACCAGACCACTGTCTTTGAACCCACCTCCGTGAACTTGTCCTGCAACTATCTCCCCAATTTCTCCTTAATAACAGGCAATGAAATGAAGGGCCATTTATTGCCAGGTTAAAACACAGAAGGTATTAAAAACTTTGTAAGGATAAAAATTGTAGAGAGCTGTCAAAAGTACACACCTATTGGTCATATGAAATGTCAAGCCCATATCATGGTAATAATGCTCTACCACGGTCTAACCAGCGTATTTGACTCCTCTTCTGTGAAAATTGAGACAAATTTGAATTTATGTGATGAAGCTATTTCTTTTTTCTTAAACTAAATAATGTTGCCTACTCTGCTCTTGAAGACAACTCCCATTTTATGTTCTTTTGCTTCCTGTATAACAGAAGGGAGATGGGATGATAGATAAAGACGAGCTGCAGGAAGCTTGTGACCAGGCCAACTTGAGTTTAGATGACAAGCTCCTGGACCAGCTATTTGACTACTGTGATGTGGATAATGATGGCTTCATTAACTATCTGGAATTCGCAAATTTTCTTAACTGGAAAGACAAAATGCTTCTTAAAGAGTATGAAGAGAGGGTCATTATTAAAGGTATTTAATTTTTGAAGGTTTGATGAATTATTATTTTTTTAAATTTTAAAATTTATTATTATTATTTTTAATACAGACGAGGTCTCACTATGTTGCCCAGGCTGGTCCTACTTGCCCTTGAACTCCTGGGTTCAAGGGATTCTCTTGCTTTGGCCTCCCAAAGTGCTGGGATTATTGGTGTGAGCCAGCATGCTTAGCCATTTGCTGAATTCTTAAATGGACTTCTGTATTTTAATTTTTCTAAGAGCTCAGCTATATTCAACTTTAATATTATATGAAAAATAAAAATATACATTTATACATGGTTTTTATTTGCTTGTTTATGCATGGAATATCTGTAGTAGTGTAGGAAAGAATCAATAATATTTATTATTTCCAGGAAGAGGCAGTTGGATGGCTGAGGGACAGGGTGGCAATGAGATTCACTTTTTAATCTATATTTTTGTATCTTTTGAGTTTGGAACCATGTATTATTTATTCAAAAAAATTAAAAGCACAAAACTTACACTGAAGCTCAAAATATAAAAGACAGTTTCTCAGAAACCTGTTTAAAAACGATTATCTGAGTAGTTAATTCCCTTTCCCAGGAAACACACAATTTGACATAAAATTAGATTTTAAAAATTTTGTATAAAAAGGAAAAACAGCATAATCTTTACTTTTGATTCAAATGTTATAATGTTTACATCAAGCTTGTCCAACCCTTGGTTCAAGACAGCTTTGAATGCTGCCCAACACAAATTTGTAAACTTTCTTAAAACGCTATGAGATTTTTTTGCGACATTTTGTTTTTAAGCTCATCAGCTGTCCTTAGTGTTAGTGTACTTTATGTGTGGCCCAAGATAAGTCTTCTTCCAGTGAGGTCCAGGGAAGCCAAATGGTTGGATACCTCTGGCCTACATTTTATCTTTCTGTATCATTACATATATAGATATACATATATACATATGTGTATATGTATATATTTTAAGCATGTCTAAAATAACACTGAACATACTATATAAGGCTTTTTAAAATTTAACTTTCGCATTTCTCTTCTTCCTTTTTTTTTTTTTTTTTTTGATAGGGTCTTGCTCTGTTGCCCAGGCTGGAGTGCAGTGGTGTGATCTTGGCTCACTGCAATCTCTACCTGCCGGGTTCAAGTGATTCTCGTGCCTCAGCCTCCAGAGTAGCTGGGATTATGGCAGGTGTGTGCCACCATGCCTGGCTAATTTTTTGTATTTTTAGCAGAGACAGGGTTTCACCATGTTGCCCAGGCTGGTCTCGAACTCCTGGCCTCAAGTGATCCTCCTGTCTTGGCCTCCCAAAGTGCTAGGATGACCGACAAGAGCCAACATGCCCAGCCAGCTTTCATATTTCTAAGGAATGAAGAAATGCTTTTTTGGTTTCTATGAACTACATTTCAGTTCCCTCATGCTGATATATTATGATTTACTAAACCATTTCTTCACTCTATGAAATTTAGGCTGTTTCTAGATATTTTAAAAGTAATATGCACAATGCTATAATGATCATATCTCAAAAAGCTTTTTATTTCTCATTTCTTATGAATGTTATTATTGTCTCAGAAGTAACTCTATTTTCATTTTGCTTTTCTAAATGATTTTACTGATTTGCAATTTTATCAGCTAAGTCTGTGAGGTTTTACTCCAATCTCACTACCATTGAGTGTTATTTCAAACAAAAATTCTTACATTGTTGTACTTTAGTTGGTTTATAATAATACCTCATTTGCCTTGCTTTTTTTTTTTTTTTTTTTTTTTTTTTGAGACAGTGTCTCACTCTGTTTGCCCAGGCTGGAGTGCAGTGGTGCAATCATAGCTCATTGCAGCCTTGAACTCCTGGGCTCAAGTGATTCACCTGCCTCAGCCTCTTGAGTGGCTGTGTTGCCCAGGCTGGTTGTGAACTCCTGGCTTGAGGGATCCTCCCTCCTCAGACTCCCAATATGCTGGGATTACAGGCATGAGCCACTGCATCCAGCCTACCTTAATTTTTGTATCTTAATTATTAGAGGTTCAGCTTTTTAAAAAGATATTTACATTTTTATTTTCTCTCGGGATGTCTCTCTTCTAAAAAGTGGAGATACTACTATTTTCACTTTTATTCTTGGGTCATGCCTTTCTGTGAAGTCAAAACCAAATTTTGGTCTCTCTTGATGATGCGAGCCCTTATGGGTTAGCCTTTCTATTCTATCCACTAGGAAAGCATCAGAATCTTCCCTACCTAATGAAGCTTTTTATAGAAAACAGCTCTACTCCAACCCTTTCATAAACAGGGGTGACAGAGCTTCCTTCTTGGCACAACTCATGAAGTAGTGGTAGAAAGCAAAAGCTTATTTCAGACCAGATAATTCTTCAAATTGTTTCTGGTTTTTGGATGCTGATTTCTTCAGCCATTTTAAATGGAGTTTTTAAGGATTTTCATCTTCTATGATTTTAGGGTAGAAACTGTCAAGTTTGTAGTCAGTAGGTCTAGAGGGGGCCCAGGAATGTTCTGCCAAAATTTTTCTGATACCAAATTCTATCTTACTGTTGACTTTTGGAGAAAAGTGGGTAAGTAATCTTCCAATTTTTTGAGAAATTCTTTTTCAAACTTTGTCCAGATTTCTACTTTTGGTGAGGTGGAGGGTTAGAGGATCTGGAACAGTGGGCCTGAGAATTTTCAGAGCAGCAATTGGCAGGAACTGAGTGTGGGGAGAGGTGGGGTTGCGGGGAGGAATGCGTTCTTCAGAGACGTAAGTCTTTTCTAGTTTGCCACGGTATCCACCCTTCTCTAATACCAGCAGGTCACTTGCCTTTGCAACCCTTACTTGGGCTCCCCCAGAACCTTTAGAATTTTTCTAAAGATGGGAACACCACAGCGCTCTCTAGTGGTATATATGTAGTAACCAGATCTGAAAAAGATTGCAGGAATTTATTCCTAAATTTCAGAATTGGCTCAGCAAAGCAATCTGCAAAAGAGGACAGTCTTACAACTTCAGTTCTATCTCAGGGTTTTCTTTTGTACACTGACTTGTCAGGAGTTAGTTGTAGAAACAGTTCTTGAGCTCACAGTGAGTTCTTATCATCTCTCTTGATGTTGTAGTGCATGCTCCCCCCAGTCAAGTAGATGTGGAATTTTCCACTACAAGCATGTCTTGTCTTATTTCTCCCTAGTGCATAGTGCTAGGAAAAACTCTGTAGTTCAAGTTAAATATTAAAATACGCTTTTTTTTTTTTTTTGAGACGAAGTCTCACTGTTTTCCTCCAGGCTGGAGTGCAATGGCGCGATCTCGGCTCACTGCAACCATTGCCTCCCTGATTCAAGTGATTCTCCTGTCTCAGCCTCCTGAGTAGCTGGGGTTACAGGCGCCTGCCACCATGCCTGACTAACTTTTATATTTTTAATAGAGACGGGGTTTCATCATGTTGGCCAGGCTGGTCTCGAACTCCTGACCTCAGGTGATCTGTCCACCTCAGCCTCCCAAAGTGCTGGGATTACAGGCGTGAGCCACCGTGCCTGGCCGCTCTATTTTTTTTTTTTTTTTTTAAGAAAAGAAATGAATGGATTCTGTGTTTACATTTGGTCTCTCATATTTCAAAGCTTTATTCTAGAATAAAGTGAGTGGAGTAGCAGAAGAAAACATTAGGCCATGTTCAGATTTCCTGGCATATGACATTGGCCTGAACTTACTCTTCCACAGTTGGGTGTTGGGTCAGTGGAGGGGTCATGCCAGCTGTTTCCATTAGCAAGAAGAGACTAGATGGGAAAACTTATCCTGTTACAGAGCAGCAAGCACTAAGTAGTAATGTATTCCTGCATTTTTTCTTTCATTTATTTTCCTTAAAGGTAGAAAACCAGATTGTGTAAACCCTACTGAGGCTAATGTTGAAGAACCTGAACAAACTCTCCTCATAAAGCCAGAAGATATTGTCTTAAAAGAAGCAGGAAGCACAGAAAAGACTCTCCGGACACTTCTGAGACCAAGTGATAAAGTTTCCAACTACTATAAGACAACTTCTTCTGAGATCAATGCAATTGTAGGAGCCATTCCTTCTACTTGTATGTCACTTATTTGTCAAGTTTTAAAAGCATCAACAAACTGTCCTCTGTCTGTCCTTGCATTGTCCCCTGCCTTTCTCCGTTAGATTAAGTTTCCCAAAGCTTTGTACCTTGCATTTAATTCATATTCTAACCACCTGGGGAGGAGAGGCCCACATATAAATGTTGATTGAACGGAATTGCCAATGATGACCAAAGTAAAATGATTCTTTATATATTAATGAAATGGAAACCATTATAGATCAGAACATTGAATGTTATACATTGTAGTAATTCAGACTCCACCAAGTATTAATATTAGACGATTTTAAAACCATATGATTCTTAGCTCCATACATATCTGCCTTCAAATATTTAAAGAGCTTTTACATAACATTTCTCTGCATATTCATTCCCCATGTGTTAGTTTGCTGGGGCTGCTGTATCAAAGTACCACAAACTGGTGTCTTAATAGAATTTTATTGTCTCACAGTTCTGGAGGCTTGACGTGCAAGGTGTCAGCAGGATTGGTTCCTCTGGTGGATTGTAAAGGAGAATCTGTCCATGCCTCTTCCCTAGTTTCTGATGATTTGCTGGCAGTCTTTGGCACCACTTGGCTTCTTCAGCATCACCCTGATCTCTGCCTTCATCTTCACGTGGTGTTCTCCCCATTTTCATGTCTGTGTCCAAATTTCTCCATTTTACAAGAACTCTAGCCATATTAGGTTAGGGGCCCACCATACTCCAGTATGACCTTATCTTAATTAATTATACCTGAAAAGACCTTATTTCCAAATAGGGTCACACTCTGAGTTAGTGGAGGTTAGGACTTCACCATCTAAATTTTGGGAGGAGACAATTCAACCTATAACATCCATATATCAATATGAAGCATGATGAATATTGGTGATATAGAAAAACTATTTTATGTTGATCAAGATCACATCCTTGGAATAAGGACATGATTGAGGATTTACATATTTTTCTCAACTGGATTTTTATAGACATGCTATACATTCTAGAGTAATGAAATCTTGTTACTCTCGTTAGACTGTGTTGTCCAATAGAAATAAAATTGAAGTCATCTATGTATTTACAAACTTTTTAGCATTAAAGAAAACCAGGCTGGGCATGGTGGCTCATGCCCATAATCCCAGAATCTTGGGAGGCCAAGGTGGGAGGATCAATTGAGGTGAGGAGTTCAAGACCAGCCTGGGCAACATAGTGAGACCCTGTCTCTGCAAAAAATACAAAAATTAGCTGGGCATGATGGCAAACGCCTGTAGTCTCAGCAACCTGGGAGGCTGAGGTGGGAGGATCACTTGAGTCCAGGAGTTCAAGGCTGCAGTGAGCTGTGATCATGCCACTGCATTCTAGCCTGGGTGACAGAGTGAGACCCTGTCTCAAAAAAGAAAAAGAAAAAGAAAAAAAAGTCATGTTAAAAAAAGAAACAGGTGAAATTAATTTTAATACGATATATATTCAAAATATTATCATTTCAATAACTAATCAATATAACAATTATTAAATATTTTCCTTTTTTTACTAAAATGTTTGAATTTTACATTTGGAATACACCAAAATTCTTCCTAGCTACATTTTAAGTGCTCAGTATGCACATGTGACTGGTGGCTACTGTGTTACACAGCTTTGTTTTAGAATGTCTGTTTTCTTCCCTCATCAATGACCTAGGTTACCCCATTTGTGGTGTTCCAACCATTCGATCTGACATTCCTGCTCCCCGAATTCGTCGCATCAGTGACAGAACTAATTATGGTGAAGAAGGTAGTGCATATTCACTACTATATCCTACCATTTTTGCCCGGAAAGGAGTGTTTGAAAGAGACTTCTTCAAGACCAGATCAAAAGAAGAGGTATAGCATATAAGCATACAAAAATGGAAATGTTTTCTCTATCAACAACTACTATTTTAGAATTTTAAAAACTTGAATTTTTATATTTACAAAAGTCTACAGGATCCCCAAGTATAGGATTCTTGATGAATAATCCTCAACTTGGTTGTGACATCTGGTACAATTCTTGAGGTAGAATTTATGCTGTGACAGAAAGAGCAAATTCATATTTTACATTCAATATGGTCCACGTAAAGAAGAAAAATATTTTTCTAAAACATTTAATACTATTCTAGTTGAGAAAAGGAACAGGATCAACCCCTTCCTTATGTAAGCATCCTGATGGCCTTGGGCCTCTAGAACTAAGAGTGGGCATGAGGATGGTCACTTTGCTACCCTTCTTGTCCACTGGTATCATATGTCTCAGATTATCTGTGACAAGCATTGATTTAAAATATTCTGTCTTGTTGCCACAACACAGGTAAGGTAATACATCTGTCTTATTTAATTATTTATTTATTTATTTATTTATTTATTTATTTATTTATTTATTTTTGACTCAGAAAACATGATGCCCACATCTGAGATGTTCCTCTTCCTAGATGAGTTATAAAGCTAGGGTTATAAAACCAGCTAGGTCTGAATAGCCACTGGGGTGCTGAGGGCCAGAGATTGATAGCAGTGCTCAGTTAGACTAGCCTGTCTACATCTGTGCTTATGGAAAGCAGGTATAATTCAGGGAGTACTTGCTTCTTCAGAACCTTCATAGCTGGAGCTAGAAATGATAAAGGAAAAGACATACGATGTCTTTTCGGACTTCAGATGAAGGGTTGATGGCTTGGAAATGTATTAAATACTAACCGAATTAATGGCAGATGCATCCCAGCAATTCTTTCACACGGACGCAGGACAGAGAGGAAGAAGAGACAGAGGCTGATGCTTTCTTACTGGCCCCAAAGGAGGAACTTGGTATCCTTCCTGTGGGTCAAAGAAGAAAACCTCCAGATTGTGTTTTCACTTTCCTCAATCACTCTGAAAGGCCTATGAAATAGAACTTTAGGGTTTCCAAAAGAAACAGAAATCTCCTGCTTGTTTCATAACCCCTAAAGGAAGTCATCCTTTTAACTAGGAAGTCATCTTTTATCCCACAATTCTAGACAAAAAGTAAGAAGTCAAAGACCTGCTTGGAATAATAATGTTGACTTGAGGATGGATAGATTTCAGTAGACATGTTAGGTAGTCAGCATACTACTGATAGAATGCCAAACCACTGGAGCAAAGCCTCCAAGGAGTGGGGAAGGAAGCAGGGGAGAAGGTCTGGGATGCTCAAGACTGACTCAAACCATTCCTGAGCTCACTCTGCAGGGGCCTTTTTAAACTACCAGTGGGTGGGGAAAATAGCAGCTATGCATAGGGGTATTGTGTTTTTGCTTTATAGCTGCAGTTGCTAGCAGCTCTGCTCTTCTGAATTTCAGAATTTGATTTGTATTTGAATAGTACTTAATTTGTATTTAATTACACTAATTTCCCACAAGGGTACATCATTTCTAGGGGATTTTTTAATTGTTGAGATTCTGTTTAATAGATGTATTCTGCAACTATTTTATTTCTTTGGCTATTCGCTTCTAACCTTTTCATTTCCCTTTTTGTTTTTTTTTTCTGAATGCTTCATAGTAAATGCTTCTTTTAAATTTAGTTTCATTTTAAAATTTTGTTTTCACATACTTTATTCCCACTACTCATTCTATTGTTTCTTCCCGCTACTAGTTCTTACTTTCCTTTCCTATATTTTTCTTAAGACATAAGAAGCATGTTTTTCCCCGCCTTCATCTGTTTTAATAATTATCACTGTAGAGAGATTATTTGTAACCAAAGGTTGCTGGTTTTCAGTGTGCTTGGCTTTTAGTGTCCTCTCTTAATCATGGGTACACTATCTGCCATTTGCACACATAGTTAAAGTTCCAACAGGCCAGTTAGATACATTTTATAAATGTTTGTATTTTAAAGAATACAAAACTTGGCCATGCCTAGAGGCTCATGCCTGTAATCCCAGCACTTTGGGAGGCCGAGATGGGTGGATCATTTGAGGTCAGGAGTTCAAGACCAGCCTGGCCAGCATGGTGAAACTTCATCTCTACTACAAATACAAAAAAATTGGCCAGGTGTGGTGGCACACACCTGTAATCCCAGCTACTCAGGAGGCTGAGGCAGAAGAATCGCTTGTACCCAGGAGGCAGAGGCTGCAGTGAGCCAAGATCACACCACTGCACTCCAGCCTGGGCAACAGAGTGAGACTCTGTCTCAAAAATAAATAAATAAATAAATAAATAAATAAATAAATGAAACTAATGTTCAAGTGGCTTAGGTGACATACACAAGACCAAAATGACAATAAATGACTGAAATGGAACTCAAACCTAGCAAGTCTTCTTTATTTTTTTCACTCTTTTTACTTAAATTTTGCTACCTCTCCTTAAAATAATGAGACATTTAAAGTTGAAAATAACTTTATATATTGGCTAGTGTATTTGAACACCCTCATATTATAATAACAAAATTATTCCTGAGCTGACAGTATTAGAATTTTGATATTTTCTCATTATGTATATATACAAGCACATGCACACACACAAATACATACACACACATACTTTTCACACATACTTTTTTGGAAAAATATCCATAGTCTTAGATGTTATAAAGATATTTTTCATTACAAGTTTTAAAACATATAAATCATGGTCTATTTTAAATGCCTTTTTCTAGATTGCAGAGATATTGTGTAACATTGGTGTCAAACTGTCTGATGAAGAATTTGAAAATGTATGGAATCTTGCATCAAAAAAGCATCACAGAGGAGAAGTTTGTGTTGAGAACATCAGAAATGTTCTAGATGAGCTACGGCATGCAGACCGGATCAAGTGTAAAACACTCATGTGATATTTTTGGACTTCATTCATTCAAGCAAAAGAATTATTAACTCTGTGTTTATCTAAAATGTTGAATCCATTCTGGTTTTAGATATTATGTTAGAGTTCACAGTGGTAAGACTCATATGCCTGTATGTGTTGCTAATAAATTAGATTTTGGATTTTAAAATTTATTGTTTTCCATAAAGCACCTAAGAGCTTGACAAGTGATTGAAGAGTTAACATTCAGCCTCAGCAAAGACAGTTCAGAATGATATTAGAAGTTTTGTAGGCCTAAGAATTCCATATATTTTAGTTGGCCGTCTGAATTCATAGTGTGATTTGTGATGCCAAGTTTAATTTTCTTTGTTGGTTAAGCCAATTTGAACTGCAATTTCTGTCACAGGTGATCAAAATGTAGTAACACACCAAGAGTAAGGAGATTCATGTTTATGTAGTGGACTAAAAGCTAGATCTTGTGCATGGAACTACAGGTGAATTTTTTTTTTTTTTGAGATGGAGTCTCACTCTGTCACCCAGACTGGAGTGCAGTGGCGCAGTGTTGGCTCACTGCAACCTCTGCCTCCTGGGTTGAAGCGATTCTCCTGCCTCAGCCTCCTGAGTAGCTGGGACTACAGGCGCGTGCCACCATGTCAGGCTAATTTTTCGTAGAGACGGAGTTTCACCATATTAGCCAGGCTGGTCTCGATCTACTGACCTTGTGATCTGCCTGCCTCAGCCTCCCAAAGTGCTGGGATTACAGGTGTGAGCCACCGCGCCCGCTACAGGTGAAAAATTTTAAGAAAAAAAAAAAGCGATCTTGACTTCCTTACATTTCCTTTTCTATTAAAAAATTACTTGTCTTTTAAAAATTAATTCTTTAAAAGAACAAATGAAGAATACAGCTAGAGGAGCTCTTTCCATATATTAAAAACCACAAATTGAAAGCTTTTAAGACAGCAAAAACAAGACAAAAGAAAACATTATAAGGTTTGGGGAATAAGCAATCTTTTCCAAATGATCTCTAAACTCATGCTTTCTTAACACGTTTGGCTTAAGTCATCAAACTATGGTCAAGCAGGCATGGGGCCGTTGCCCTTAAGGGAGGAGATAAGCCATCTTTCAGGATGGTCCTGATTCACTTTCCTAAATCTACTCTAAAAGTACCAATTGAGGTTCCTTTGTGTATCCTCCTCCTACCACTGGTGGGTTCTTTATATTTTGTCCCTGGTAGCCTATAAAATGGGTCAGAACTGTACGTTTTCAATGTCAAGGAAACTCCATTGACAAATAAAAAAGTTATCATTTTATTCTATTTCTCATTCCAACTTATGCCCAGTCATGTGGTCCAACATAGCGTATAAGGGATTCTACAATGAGAATTCTACAATGAGAATAAATAATAGCATTGAGATACTCTGGTAATAAAATGCCAACATAAAGATGATAAACATGAAGATGATAAAATTTGAATAAACTTTCTAGTGTCAAATTCACAGGAATAAATAATACCCAAATGTTAAATTTCCTTGCCAGTTAAAATCTGAAGATAAAATTCAAAGTAATTCAAGACTGAAATCAAATTATCTAGTGTCCAGTGAGTTAAAAATCCAAGGAAATTCTCTCTCCCTTTTTTCTGCTTCTGCCTAGTTTCAGCCAAGGTGTTTGGAAGACCTGGGGAGAGGTGTGTTTCCTTTAAGCAGCTGCGTCTTGAGCTGCTTCTCACTGGGAAGACCATAGGTCCATCCTGGCTCTTAAACTCATAGTCACTTAACTGAAGTGACTCAGCGGGCTGAGCTTCAATTTTAGGAAGTCAAAGATGTAACAAGGCATACAAGATTTCATAGCTCCCACCAAATTTAGGAAATAAGCCAATTCTTAGCTCTGAGAGCAGTTATCTCAGAGCAATTTTCTCAGTGAAAATTGTGTTTCTACAACCCAGTATCTGTATGTCACCGAAGCCATAGAAGAAATTATGTGATATCTGAGTGAAGGAGAGAAATGGAGAAAACCTTGATTTGAAACTTACCAGGGTGCTCATATGTGTACATTAGCTAGAATTTATGACCTATGGACTTAAACTAATTTGGAAGAAATGAAGTTAATTTTGATACTATGCATTTACTATATCTGGCCTAAAAATCTACTTTATGTATACTGTCTTCTCTTATTGGAGCACGACATTTGAAACATTATTTCCTTCATGCAATTTAGAAATTTTGGACGGAAGCCCAGTCTTTCCTTTTTTTTTTGAGATGGAGTCTCTGTCACCCTGGCTGGAGTGCAGAGGCACGATCTCAGCTCACTGGAACCTCTGCCTCCCAGGTTCAAGCGATTCTTGTGCTTCAGCCTCCCAAGTAGCTGGGATTACAGGTGTGTGCCACCATGGCAGGCTAATTTTTTGTATTTTTCGTAGATATGGGGTTTCACCATATTGGCCAGGTTGGTCTTGAACTCCTGACCTCAGGTGATCCATCGCTTTGGCCTCCCAAAGTGGTGGGATTACAGGTGTGAACCACTGTGCCTGGCTGGTCATTACTTTTTATTATGAAGTATCTGTCTTCCCTACTCAGCCTATTCTATACTTTTCATTATTCTTTGAGGTGCTAGGGACTGAATAGAGTGCAGGTGCTATTTAGCAGTCTATTGTCAATATTCTTTTCAAGTGCACCCCTTCAATTCTGTGCCTAGGAATTGCTTCCATTGCTTCTTGTTTCGGAATTGCCTAGGATTCAGAAACATACCTCCTGTTGAAGTTTCTTCTATGAGTTAAACCAGCTAGAATCAAAGTGGCACAGGTGATGGAAGTGATCCTTGAGCCACATGAATTTAAGTTTAGCTGATTGAGGGGTTTGCTCCCTGCCCTGAATGCAGGATGGCTTTGGGGCAAGGGACCTAGTGCTGCTTATCTGGGCAAACCCTGTTTAAAAGTTTGAGCCTTTTAATAAAAATTAGGGTAGCTGAACTGACATCATTTAAAAGCTTCACCTCTTGTTGTCTAGAAGATATGGATACATGGGGGCAACCCCCTTTGGGTCCCCTCCCTTTGTATGGGAGCTCTGTTTTCACTCTATTTTACTTTATTAAATCTTGCAACTGCACTCTTCTGGTCCATGTTTGTTACGGCTCCAGCTAAGCTTTCGCTCGCCGTCTACCACTGCTGTTTGCCACTGTCGCAGACCCGCCGCTGACTCCCATCCTGCTGCTGATTCCCATCCCTCTGAATCTGGCAGGGTGTCCGCTGTGCTCCTGAACCAGCCAGACTCCCATTGCCACTCCCGATCATGCTAAAGGGTTGCCATTGTTCCTGCATGGCTAAGTGCCTGGTTTCGTCCTAATCGAGCTGAACACTAGTCACTGGGTTCCACGGTTCTCTTCCGTGACCCACGGCTTCTAATAGAGCTATAACACTCACCGCATGGCCCAAGATTCCATTCGTTGGAATCTGTGAGGCCAAGAACCCCAGGTCAGAGAATACGAGGCTTGCCACCATCTTGGAAGCAGCTCGCCACCATCTTGGGAGCTCTGTGAGCAAGGACCCCGGTAACATTTTGGTGACCACGAAGGGACATCCAAAGTGGTGAGTAATATTGGACCACTTTCGCTTGCTATTCTGTTCTATCCTTCCTTAGAACTGGAGGAAAATACCGGGCACTTGTCGGCCAGTTAAAAACAATTAGAGTGGCCACCGGACTTAAGACTCAGGTGTGAGGCTATCTGTGGAAGGGCTTTCTAACAACCCCCAACCCTTCTACTGGGGACGTTGGTCTGCCCGGAGCCAGCTTCCACTTTCAATTTTCTTGGGGAAGCCGAGGGCCAACTAGAGGCAGAAAGCTGTTGTCCCGAACTCCCGGCAGTAGCCGGTTGAGATCATGGCACAGCCAGAAGTCTCTACTCAGCAGTGCGCCCCTACCTTTCCTTCTGAACCATGCCTCCTGGGTCCTGACTGGGACTTTCTTGAAAGTGTAGCCCCAAAATTCTCCTTACCTCTGAATCTACTTCCTCTGATCCCTGCCTCCTAGGTACTAATGGTTCAGACTTTCATTTCCTCTAGCAAGTTGTATCTCCAAAGGGATCTAAGGAGGCGCTACGCTGCGTCCTTAGGCACCTAGGCTATAACCCAGGGAGTCTTATCCCTGGTATCCCTTCCAATTTAGGTACACAGCTCTCTACATGGGCAGTTACGTGGGACCCGTTCCCCACCACCCTTGCCAGGGCCCCAAGTTTGTAAGGCTGAGAGAGAGAGACGGAGAGAGAGAGAGAGAGATGGAGAGAGAGAGAGACAGAGAGACAAAGAGGGAGTCAAAGAGAAAAAGAAAGAAAAACAGAAATAGTAAAAAAAAAAAAAAAAAAAAGTGTGCCCTATTCCTTTAAAAGCCAGGGTAAATTTAAAACCTGTAATTGATAATTGCAGATAATTGAGTGCAGAAGCGCGATCTGTTGTTGTCAGTGTAAATAAGGGCGTAGCAAGTCCTTAGCCCAGTAACCTGCGGATGGGCCAAATGCATTCAGTCGGTAGCGCAACTGCTTTGCTAAAACTAGAAAAGTAACTGTTAGAGGAAACCTCGTTGTGAGCACACCTCATAGCCAAAAAAACCAAAAAGGTAGCTTACTAACTCAAAAATCTTAAAGTATGGGGCTATTATGTTAGAAAAGGGTAATGTAACTCCAACCACTGATAATTCCCTTAACCCAGCAGATTTCCTAACAAAGGATTTAAATCTTAATTACCACACAAAGGTCCGACCAGACCTAGGAGGAACTCCCTTCAGGACAGGACAGTAGATGGTTCCTCCCAGATGATTGAGGAAAAAACCACAATGGGTATTCAGTAATTGATAGGAGACTCTTGTGGAAGCAGAGTTAAAAAATTGCCTAATAATTGGTCTCCTCAAATGTGTGAGCTGTTTGCACTCAGCCAAGCCTTAAAGTACTTACAGAATCAAAAGACTATCTCAATCCTGACTCAAAAGGTTAGCTACACCCTCTCTGAAATGAATTTGCATAAGAACTGTTGTTTATGGGAGTGCATCTTGATGGGGCAGCTGGGTTGTTATGAAATACTCAGGAACCCAGCCCAGCTCTAGGACTCACCCCTGAGTGCAAAGGCAATGTTGGGCATGCTGGTAAAGGACCACTAGAATCCAGCAGCCCAGACCGCTTTCCTTGTGGTCAAGAAAGGCAGGAAAACAGATGCAGGAGTGCTACATCGGTGAGCGTAACTAATCCGATAAGCAGAGGTCCATGGGTGGTTACGCACCCTGGAAAGGAACTCACCTCTGAGCACAAAGGCAATGTTGGGCACGCTGGTAAAGGACCACTAGAATCCAGCAGCCCAGGCCCCTTTCTTTGTGGTCAAGAAAGGCGGGAAAAGGAGTGCAGGACTGCTACATTGGTGAGCGTAACTAATCCGATAAGCAGAGGTCCATGGGTGGTTATGCACCCTGGAAAGGAATAAGCATTAGGACCATAGAGGAAGCTCTAGGACTAATGCTCATCAGAAAATGACTAGGGGTGCTGGCATCCCTATGTTCTTTTTCCAGATGGGAAACATTCCCCCCAAGGCAAAAATGCCCCTAAGATGTATTCTGGAGAATTAGGACCAATTTGATCCTCAGACTCCAAGAAAGAAACGACTTATATTCTTCTGCAGTACTGCCTGGCCACAATATCCTCTTCAAGGGGGAGAAACCTGGCCTCCTGAGAGAAGTATAAATTATAACACCATCTTACAGTTAGACCTCTTTTGTAGAAAAGAAGGCAAATGGAGTGAAATGCCATATGTGCAAACTTTCTTTTCATTAAGAGACAACTCGCAATTACGGTGTATGCCCTACAGGAAGCCCTCAGAGTCTACCTCCCTATCCCAGCATCCCCCCGACTCCTTCCCCAACTAATAAGGACCCCCCTTCAACCCAAACGGTCCAAAAGGAGATAGACAAATGGGTAAACAATGAACTAAAGAGTGCCAGTATTCCCCGATTATGCCCCTTCCAAGCAGTGGGAGGAGGAGAAATTGGCCCAGCCAGAGTGCATGTACCTTTTTCTCTCTCAGACTTAAAGCAAATTAAAATAGACCTAGGTAAATTCTCAGATAACCCTGATGGCTATATTGATGTTTTACAAGGGCTAGGGCAATCCTTTAATCTGACATGGAGAGATATAATGTTACTGCTAGATCAGACGCTAACCCCAAATGAAAGAAGTGCCGTCATAACTGCAGCCCGAGAGTTTGGCGATCTCTGGTATCTCAGTCAGGTCAATGATAGGATGACAACAGAGGAAAGAGAACGATTCCCCACAGGCCAGCAGGCAGTTCCCAGTGTAGACCCTCATTAGGACACAGAATCAGAACATGGAGATTGGTGCCACTGACATTTGCTAACTTGAGTGCTAAAAGGACTAAAGAAAACTAGGAAGAAGCCTATGAATTATTCAGTGATGTCCACTATAACACAAGGAAAGGAAGAAAATCCTACTGCCTTTCTGGAGAGACTAGGGGAGGCATTAAGGAAGCATACCTCCCTGTCACCTGACTCTATTGAAGGTCAACTAATCTTAAAGGATAAGTTTATCACTCAGTTAGCTGCAGACATTAGAAAAAAACTTCAAAAGTCTGCCTTAGGCCTGGAGCAAAACTTAGAAACCCTATTGAACTTGGCAACCTCGGTTTTTTATAATAGAGATCAGGAGGAGCAGGCAGAATGGGACAAACGGGATTAAAAAAAAAAAAGGCCACCGCTTTAGTCATGACCCTCAGGCAAGCAGCTTTGGAGACTCTGGAAAAGGGAAAAGCTGGGGAAATCGAATGCCTAATAGGGCTTGATTCCAGTGTAGTCTTCAAGGACACTTTAAAAAAGATTGTCCAAGTAGAAATAAGCCACCCCCTCGTCCATACCCCTTATGTCAAGGGAATCACTGGAAGGCCCATTGCCCAAGAGGATGAAGGTCCTCTGAGTCAGAAGCCACTTACCAGATGATCCAGCAGCAGGACTGAGGGTGCCGGGGCAAGCGCCAGCCCATGCCATCACCCTCACAGAGCCCCGGGTATGCTTGACCATTGAGGGCCAGGAGGTTAACTATCTCCTGGACACTGGTCTGGCCTTCTCAGTCTTACTCTCCTGTCCCGGACAACTGTCCTCCAGATCTGTCACTATCTGAGTGGTCCTAGGACAGCCAGTCACTAGATACTTCTCCCAGCCACTAAGTTGTGACTGGGGAACTTTACTCTTCTCACATGCTTTTCTAATTATGCCTGAAAGCCCCACTCCCTTGTTAGGGAGAGACATTCCAGCAAAAGCAGGGGCCATTATACATCTGAACATAGGAGAAGGAACACCCATTTGTTGTTCCCTGCTTGAGGAAGGAATTAATCCTGAAGTCTGGGCAATAGAAGGACAATATGGATGAGCAAAGAATACCTGTCCTGTTCTAGTTAAACTAAAGCATTCTGCCTCCTTTCCCTACCAAAGGCAGTACCCCCTTGACCCAAGGCCCAACAAGGACTCCAAAACATGGTTAAGGACCTAAAAGCCCAAGGCCTAGTAAAACCATGCAATAGCCACTGCAATACTCCAATTTTAGGAGTACAGAAACACAACGGATAGTAGAGATTAGTGCAAGATCTCAGGATTATCAATGAGGCTGTTTTTCTTCTATACCCAGCTGTACCTAGCCCTTATACTCTGCTTTCGCAAATACCAGAGGAAGCAGAGTGGTTTACAGTCCTGGACCTTAAGGATGCCTTTTTCTGCATCCCTGTACATCCTGACTCTCAATTCTTGTTTGCCTTTAAAGATCCTTCGAACCCAACGTCTCAACTCACCTGGACAGTTTTACCCCAAGGGTTCAAGGATAGCCCCCATCTGCATTTCTATCACTTGTTTCAGGCTTTAAGCACAGCCTCTCATTCTATTTTTTTTAAGCATGCACACAATCTGCTGGGATTTTTATTGTGATTGCATTGAATCTAAAGATCAGTTTGGGGAATTTTACTTTTTTTTTTTAAAACAATGTTTTGACTTCCAAACACTAAATATGGTACATGTATACATTTATTTAGCTTTTCTTTATTGCTTTTTAGTTTTCAATGTTGAGATATTGTACCTCTTGCATTAGATTTATTCCTAGGTATGTTTTTGATGTGATACATTTAAAAATTGTGTATCGATTTTTAAATAGGGTTATTGAGGTATCATCTATACACAGTAAAAAGCACCCTTTTTAGTGTGCAATCCTAAGAGTGTTGACAAATGCATATAGGTTGTGTAACTACCATCACAAACAAAATGAAGAACTGTTCCATCACTCTCTAAAATTCTCTTGTGCCTTTTTGTAGTAAATCTCTTCTTCCCCATCCCAGCCCATCATAACCACTGATCTGTTTTCTGTTCCTATTGTTTTGCCTTAAAAAGAAGCTCATATAAATGGAACCATGGAGTGTGTAACCTTTTGAGACTGGCTTCTTTCACTCAGTACACGTTTTCAAGATCCATCATGTTATTGCATGGATTAGTAATACATTCTTTTTATTGCTGAGTAGTATTCCACTGCATAGATATGCTACAATTTGTTCATCTACTTACCATGTAAAGATGTTTGGGTTGTTTCCAGTTTTGGGGAATTCTAAATAAAGCAGCTATAAACTCTCATATATATGTTTTGTATTACCATAACTTTTCATTTCTCTTGAAAAAATACCTATCAGGTGGGATTGCTGGGCTATATGTTAACTTTATAAGAAATCAAAAGATGGTTTTCCGAAACAGCTGCATCACTTTGCATTTTCACCAGCAATTCATGAGTATTCCAGTACATCCTTGCCAGAATGTGGTATTGTCACATATTGTTAGTTAAAAAAATGTTTTAAGCATTCTATAGGTATGCAATAATAGCACATAGTAGTTTTAATGTGCATTTCGGTAATGACTAATGATGTTGAATGTCTTTTCATAAGCTTGTTGGCCATGCATGTGTCTTCTTTGGTAAAGTTTCTGTCTTAGTATTTTGCCATTTTTAAAACTGGCTTATCTTCCTATTACTGAGTTTTGAGAGATATTTCTGTATTCTGGATACAAGTCATTTGTCAGATATGTGTTTTGCAGATATTTTCTCCTGTCTTTAGCTTGGATTTTTATTTTCTTAACAGTGTCTTTCAAAGAATAGAAGTTTTAAATTTTGATGAAGCCCAATTTTTCATTATTTTCATTAATGGATCATGCTTTTGGTGTCTTCTCTATGAAAGATTAGCTTACTTCAAAATCTCATAGATTTTTTTTGTGAATGTTGAGTTATTTTAGCACTATTTTTTGAAACAGTTATTCTTACATTGAATTAATTGCCTTTGTACCTAGGCCATAAATCAATTGGCTATATTTGTATGAGTCTATTTATAGACTCACTATTTTGTTCTATTGATTTATGTGTTTACACTTTCACCAATACCACACTGTCTTCATTACTATAGCTTTAGAATATGTCTTAGAATCAGTGTGAATGCTCTTTGTTCTTTATTTGGAATTATTTTGGTTGTTCTAGTTACTTTGCTTTTCTTTTATTAGTTTTAGAATCAGTTTATTTATGGCCAGGTGTGGTAGCTCACGCCTGTAATCCCAGCACTTTGGGAGGCTGAGGCAGGCAGATCACGAGGTCAGGAGATAGAGACCATCCTGGCTAACACGGTGAAACCCCGTCTCTACTAAAAAATACAAAAAATTAGCCGGGCGTGATGGTGGGCACCCGTAGTCCCAGCTACTCGGGAGGGTGAGGCAGGAGAATGGTGTGAACCCGGGACGCGGAGCTTGCAGTGAGCTGTGATCGCGCCACTGCACCCCAGCCTGGGCGACAGAGCAAGACTCCGTCTCAAAAAAAAAAAAAAAAAAAAAAAAAAAGAATCAGCTTATTTATTTGCATAAAAATCTTTCCTGGATTTTTATTGGGATTGTGCCACATTTATAGATCACTTTTGGGAGAACTGCCTTCCACCGTACCTATTCAATTTCTGGAACATCTGTAATCTGTCACTACCTCTCCATTCACAGGCATTCTCCTTGTTTGACAGTGCTTCACCTATGCTTTGATGATTTTTTCTACTTATAGTCCATTCTATTCCAGCCTTTACAATCTTGCCACTACTATACCTTAAAACTTTCAACAGTTTTCCCATTTTTTAGAAAAATGTACATTCTTAGCCTAGCATCATAAGGCCCTACAGTGTTTTCCTCTAATGCTTCTTTTTGACCTCATTTCATATCACTCCCTTTCATCTATTCTTTGCTTCAGCAAGAACTGAACTATATGACGTTTCTGTGACTGCTATCCACTATACTCATATCTTCCCCTGGAAATACTTCCATCCTCCTTTCCCCACTTTCTACATGCCTACATTCTACATCTTTTTTAAGGAATAGTTCAAAGTTTACTATTGTTACAAAATTTCCCGGAATCATTCTCTGGCTACAAAGAATCTGTCTTTCCTTTGAACTTGCTTAGTTCTCTGTGCCTTTGTGAGACAACAATTACTTTGTATTTTGTCTGATAATTAGCTATATACTTGCCTCTTCTATTTAATTTATAGTATACGTTTTCTGAGGACATAATCCAAATTGACAAATTTCTAGATACACATTACCTGGCATGGAGTAGTGCTCCATAAATCTTTGGGGAACTAATGAAAAAGATATACAGACTAAACAGGGACAACAGTATGCAATCACTCACAGAATATTGGAAGAATAAAGATTGGCCCATCAATGCCAAGTCCCAATTTAAGCCATCTATCACCTATGTAAAACTTAGATGAGAAGGTTAAGCCCTGCTCTTTCATTTGCACTGGAATCTGGGATTGGTTCTGCACTCTTAATATTTTTGGGGTCATTAATTCAACAGACGTTTATGGAGCACTTACTCAAGTGAAGAGGTATTTTAAGAAGGAGGGAGAAATCAACTGACAATGCTATTTGGAGGTAAAGGTGAAGCCTGAGAATTGACCATGAAGTTTGACAATTGGATGTTACTGGCAACCTTGACAGGAGCTCTTTTGATGCCAGTAGTGGAGTCGCAGTTTCATGAAAATGGGTTCACAAAAGTTTAGGAGGTAAGTAGTGTGTATGATGGAGAACTCTTTAACAAACTCTGCTATGAAGAGGGCAGAGAGGGCCGGGTGTGGTGGCTCATGTCTGTAATCCCAGCACTTTGGGAGGCTGAGGCGGGAGGATTGCTGGAGCCCAGGAGTTTGAGACAAGCCTGGCCAACATGGCAAAACCCCATCTGTACTAAAAATACAAAAATTAGCCAGGTGTGGTGATGCTCACCTGTAGTCCCACTTACTGGGGGGGCTGAGGCATGAGAATCGCTTGAACCTGGAAGGCGGAGGTTTGCAGTGAGCCTAGAGTGTGCCACTGCACTCCAGCCTGGGCAACAGAGTAAGACACTGTTTTTTTTTTTTTAAAGAGGGCAGAGAAAAGATGCTTTTTAAACATATGAGATTTTATAGCACAATTCGTGTTGATAGGAATTGTATAGTTGAGGAGAATAAAGGAGTAAGAGGAAATAATTACAGGAGCAAATTCTTGAGTTGGGAAAGGGGTTGGGATACAGTGTAGAAGTGGAGAGGTTTCTTTGGAACAGCTGTCAGTTGTATAAGAGGACAACAGGATGGCAAGTTGTATATATAAAAAAGGGTTATCAGCTGAGAGTAAGAAAGGAGGAGGGTGTGTTGAGGGCTGGACGAAAGGTGAGGAAGGAGAACTGATTTAGAGAGTGAGGCAGTGACTTGACTAGAAAACATAGTAGGACTGCAAGCCCTCTTGAATTTTTTAATTATAAATTTAAAATGAGATTGGTCACTTGGTTTTGTGTTTTTCTTCAGTCAGTTTTTTTCTTATGCAACTACTAGACTTTGGATCTGGAATAAATGGAGATTTATATTTGACTAGGGCTGGAATTTTACCTGCGGAATAAAATGGTGGGAGGGAGGCACAAAGTTGAATTTATGCAAGGAAATAGTTCTAGTGACGTGACATGGAGACTAAGATCTGTCAGGAAGAAGTTCAGAAATGAGATGGTACTGAAAAAATGGCAGGGATAATGAACTGGGCCATTCCTATGGGTCAAAAGTTGTAGAGGAATACTATAAAAAATAAGCTAGAAAAATAAGTGTTGGTGATCAGAGTGGAATGCCTGCAAATGAGATTCTGCAGGTGGTAGAGATGTTGGTAATAAAATTTAGGGTGTGATAATGGGCCTGAGTGACTAAAGTAGGTGGAGAACAGGTTCATTAAAAAAGGGAGTTCAAGAAGTGAGAAGTCTGATGTTAAGTAGATGAATCACCTACAGGGACACTGATACCACCAAGAAAGATGACAGGGAAGGTAGTGGAGAGAGAGTGACCCAGGTTATGTATACCTTTGAAATAATGATGATAGCTATACACACTATTATTTTAGAAAAATGCATATACGTGTATACTTTTGACCATGTGATATTCAGTCACCCTATCTCCCACAGATCTCTAGACCAGATGAATACTCAAGTAGCTTCTAACTTCAAAATTTCAAATTTATCCTCAGGTAGATTTACTACCTGCCTCTGTCTCCCATCCATCCATCCATCCAGCCATCCATCGGTGTGACTAATTGCTTATCTGTGCTTTGGTTAAATACCCTTTTTGGGAGAATATTGTTCTTTGAATGGCGTGGCTAAGAAACGTGATTTCCCATTTTAACGGTAGGGGGCACCCTAGCATTTCCAAACTTAGCGATGAACCTTAGCCAACTGTGTGGAATAGCAGCAGCTGAAAAGAGAATGTTAAGCTGGAGGAAGAAGTCTACCACAACGCTTTGCAAAATCCAGGATGATCTATGCACTTTCTTTTTTAAAATTATTATTTGGTGGCAGAAATTAGGCTGAAAAGGCACATTTTAAATAGTACTAGCAACCTAGAGAGGAGATTTGCTTGGATCATAAAGTGTCATCTGTTAGAGAAAGAAGTAAAACAATGTGAAATACTCAGATGAGATATAAATAAATATTCAAATATATCACCATGTTCTCACCTAAACTATGTTTCCATAGTGTTCAGGATAGTCTCGTTAATAGTAGAATATATTGAACCTATAAAAAGTTTTAAAGACTACTGTTTCCTAGCTCAGGCAAATAAACTTAATACATTTTGTTCACAGCATGGTTAACCAAGGAACTTGTTGGAAATATTATATGGGCCAATAAAGGGTAATTTTATTTTATGTAGTAACCACTTATGAAAGCTCACCATGGCTTGACGTGAAGAGCTGGGCTAGTTAGAGGTTAACACCCCAATCATAAACCAACAATGAGGATAGACTTGAAAGGCATTTCTTCTATTATAAAACATTTACAGTAATAACCTCGCAAAAAATAATGGGATCTATTTAAAGCTCATTTATTTCCCAGCTAAGTGGCAATTTCCCATCACTCAGAATGCTAATACTTCCTCCTGAAACCCTAGGGATAATCCAATTCATGTGTGTTCATTAAAAAAACCTGGTTAAAATAAGCAGGTGATTCTGTTTTAATAATATCTGTCCTGCCAGCAATAAGACAGTCTCAGTTGCAAATAAATATATCAACAAACAGATTTTCTTTAAAGCACATGGGGTCTCATATCATTCCCGAATTAGCCAATTAGCATGATGCTATTGGAAGAGCTAATTAAAAAGTGCATTTAGACTAAGAAATGTTTCCTGAGAGTAATCTGGAGCTTATAGCTCTTATTCCATCTGTAATTACTCTGCCAGATTTTCTACTCTGTAAATAGAGGTGAACACACCTTCACCTGAGCAGAGGGAAAGTCTTTTTCATTCTCTTGGAGTAAATTATATATATTAATACCTTGAAGTGATTAACATACGCTTATCTTTTTAAAAAGGCACTCCCCATGCCTAGTCTCTCAGTTGTTAGGTGGTGGTTAACTAGTAATTTAGACAGACTAAGAATGCTCTTTTGTCCAGAGATCCAGCCTGTAGTTTGCCCTGTTAGAAATATTTTCATGATTAGAATTTTTGGTCAGCGGTAAATTAATCATCTTCTGCAGTAAATATACCTATCTGAATTACTGAGATTTACAGATAGACTAGCACATCCATTAATGAAAAAGAGTAACAAAAACTAAAAAAAGATTTACAGATATAAAAATTTTGCTAGGAGGAAGTGTGAATTGGGGACAATAGGGAATGAATAAATTTATATTTGATATCCTCTAAGTTAGTGTGTTTTAAATTTTAATGTGCATATAAATCACCTGTAGATCTTGTTAAAATGCAGATTCCGATTCAGTATGTCCAGGGTGGAGCCTGAGATTACGCATTTCCAAAGCTTCCAGGTGATATGATGCAGCTGCTCTGGGATCTCACTTTGAGCGAGAAGGCTTTGAGCTTTGTGACATTTATGTGACTAAGCTCACAATTATTCACACTTGTGATGGTTAATAGTGAGTGTCAACTTGATTGGATTGAAGGATACAAAGTATTGATCCTGGGTGTGTCTGTAAAAGTGTTGCCAAAAGAGATTAACATTTGAGTCAGTGGGCTGGGAAAGGCAGATCCACCCTTAATCTGGTCGGCACAATCAAATCAGCTGCCAGCAAATGTAAAGCAGGAGGAAAAATGTGAAAAGGAGAGACGGGCCTAGCCTCCCAGCCTACATCTTTCTCCCATGCTGGATGTTTCCTGAGCTTGAACATCTGACTCCAAGTTCTTCAGTTTTGGGACTTGGACTGGCTCTCCTTGCTCCTCAGCTTGCAGACAGCTTGTTGTGGGACCTTGTGATCATGTAAGCTAATACTTAATAAACTCCTGTCTGTCTATCTATCTATCTATCTATCTATCTATCTATCTATCTATCTATCTATTCTATTAGTTCTGTCCCTCTAAGAGAACCCTGACTAATACAGATATTGGTACCAGTAGAGTGGGGCATTGCTGAAAAGATACCCAAAAATGTGGAAGTGACTTTGGAAGTGGGTAACAGGCAGTTGTTGGAACAGTTTGGAGGGCTCAGGCTCAGAAGAAGATAGGAAAATGTGGGAAACTGTGGAACTTCCTAGAGACTTGTTGAATGGCTTTGCCCAAAATGCTGATAGCAATATGGACAATAAGGTTCAGGCTGAGGTGGTCTCAGATGGAAATAAGGAAATTGTTGGGAACTGGAGCAAAGGTGATTCTTGTTGTTTTAGCAAAGAGATTGGCGGCATTTTGCCCCTGCCCTAGAGATTTGTGGAACTTTGAACTTGAGAAAGATGATTTAGGATATCTGGTGGAAGAAATTTCTAAGCAGCAAAGCATTCAAGAGGTGACTTGGGTGTGTTAAAGGCATTAGTTTTAATAAGGAAATAAGTGCATAAAAACCCAGAAAATTTGCAGCCTGCCTATGTGATAGAAAAGAAAATCCCATTTTCTGGGGAGAAATTCAAGCTGGCTGCAGAAATTTGCATAAGTAGCAGGGATCCTAATTTATTATTATTATTATTATTATTATACTTTACGTTCTAGGGTACATGTGCACAACGTGCAGGTTAGTTACATACGTATACATGTGCCATGTTGGTGTGCTGCACCCATTAACTCGTCATTTAACATTAGGTATATCTCCTAATGCTATCCTTCCCCCCTTCCCCCACCGCACAACAGGCCCCGGTGTGTGATGTTCCCCTTCCGGTGTCCATGTGTTCTCATTGTTCAATTCCCACCTATGAGTGAGAACATGTGGTGTTTGGTTTTTTGTCCTTGCGCTAGTTTGCTGAGAATGATGGTTTCCAGCTTCATCCATGTCCCTACAAAGGACATGAATTCATCCGTTTTTATGGCTGAATAGTAGTCCATGGTGTGTATGTGCCACATTTTCTTAATCCAGTCTATCATTGATGGACATTTGGGTTGGTTCCAAGTGTTTGCTATTGTGAATAGTGCTGCAATAAACATACGTGTGCATGTGTCTTTATAGCAGCATGATTTATAATCCTTTGGGTATATGCCCAGTAATGGATGCCTGAGTCAAATGGTATTTCTAGTTCTAGATCCCTGAGGAATTGCCACACTGTCTTCCACAATGGTTGAACTAGTTTACAGTCCCACCAACAGTGTAAAAGCGTTTCTATTTCAAGGAGCCTAATGTTAATCCCCAAGACCATAGAGAAAATGTTTCCAGGCATGTCAGAGACCTTCACGACAGCCCCTCCCATCACGGGCCTGGCTGCCTGGAAGAAAAGTGGTTTTGTGAGCTGGGCCCAAGGTCCCTGTGCTGTGTGCAGCCTAGGGACTTGGTGCCCTGTGTCCCAGCTGCTCCAGCCATGACCGGGAGGGGCCAACATACAGCCTAGGCTGTGGCTTCAGAGGGTGGAAGCCCCAAGCTGTGGCAGCTTCCATGTGGTGTTGAGCCTGCGGGTGCACAGAAGTCAAGAATTGAGGTTTGGGAACCTCCACCTAGATTTCAGAATATTCATGGAAACGCATGGATGCCCAGGCAAAAGTTTGCTGCAGGGGCGGGGCCCTCATGGAGAACCTCTGCTAGGGCAGTGCAGAAGGGAATTGTGGGGTTGGAGTCCCCACACAGAGTCCCTACTGGGCACTGCCTAGTGGAGCTGTGAGAAGAGGGTCACCATTCTCCAGACCCCAGAATGGTAGATCTACTGACGGCTTGCACTGTGCACCTGGAAAAGCCGCAGACACTCAATGCCAGCCTGTGAAAGCAGCCGGGAGGGAGGGGCTGTACCCTGCAAAGCCACAGGGGCAGAGCTGCCCAAAACCATGAGAACCCACCTCTTGAATTAGCATGACCTGGATGTGAGACATGGAGTCAAAGGAGATCATTTTGGAGCTCTAAAATTTGACTACCCTGCTGGATTTCAGACTTGCATGGGCCCTGTAACTCCTTTGTTTTGCCCAATTTCTCCCATTTGGAACAGTTGTATTTATCCAATACCAGTACCCCCATTGTATCTAGGAGGAAGTAACTAGCTTGCTTTTGATTTTACAGACTCACAGGTGGAAGGAACTTGCCTTGTCTCAGATGAGACTTTGGACTGTGGACTTTTGAGTTAATGCTGAAATGAGTTAAGACTTTGGGGGACTGTTGGGAAGGCATGATTGGTTTTGAATTGTGAGGACATGAGATTTGGGGGGGCCTGGGGCAGAATGATATGGCTTGGCTGTGTCCCCACCCAAATTTCAGCTTGAATTGTATCTCCCAAAATTCCCACGTGTTGTGCGAGGGACCTAGGGGGAGGTCATTTAATCATGCGGGCCAGTCTTTTCCGTGTTATTCTCATGACAGTGAATACGTCCCACGAGATCTGATGGGTTTATCAGGGGTTTCTGCTTTTGCTTCTTTCTCATTTTTCTCTTGCTACTGCAGTGTTAGAAGTGCCTTTTGTCTCCTGCCATGATTCTGAGGACTCCCCAGCGATGTGGAACTATAAGTCCAATTAAACCTCTTTTTCTTCCCAGTCTCGGGTACGTCTATCAGCAGCATGAAAATGGACTAATACAATACTCATAGTTCATATAGATGTTTTTCTATTTACACTCCAGGTGTGTGCACATGTGTTCTCTCCTACTCTCTCTCTCGGTAATATTCACTTTGTTTTAAAAAATAAACTTTTAACTTTAGAACAGCTTTAGGTTTACAGAAAATAGTGCCCTACACCCAGTTTCCCCAATTACTAACTTCTTACTTTAGTAAAGTACATTGGTTACAATTAATAAACCAATATTGAAATATTATTATTAACTAAACTCTATACTTTATTTACATTTCCTTCTTTTTTTGTTTTTAAAATTTTATTTAAATAAAAAATGGATGACCTTTATAGAGTGATCGATTGATTTGTTAACTCAATGGGTGCACCACTTTATCAGATTCAGGACAGTAATTGGGGTTAGGGGAGAAAAATCTAATGGAGAAGGCAGTCAATCCTGAGAACGAGTGGTTGGGAGGAGTCAGAGGAAAAAAATTCAGCGGGGGAAAAGTACATAAAGTTAAGGCTGGAGATGACACAACATAATACTACTATCTACCCTATTTGTCCTAGTTCATTTGTCTCCCATTACCTCAGAAGCAACAACACCTTTACCATGTACTTAAAATTCCTTTCCCAACCAATCCCCCTAATCCACTCTCTGGAGGATCTTGTATCCTACATGATGATGAAAATGGAAATCATCAAATGGAAACATCTTCAAATCCTGGGATCCGCCCTACAAATTTATCTGCTCTAGGGCAACCCTTGCTCCCTCCTTTATGTCACAGAGGAAGTTTCTCCTTTCCTATGTGGGGAAGGAGATAGGGAAGCTGTGTTCTAAATCAATCCACTCTCGCCTCTTCAGAAATCTTGTCACTTTAGGAAAAGACTTCATGACCAAGAACTCAAAAGCAAATGGGTTATCTCTGAATTGTATATTTTAAATTTAGGTTAAAAATTTTTTTTATTTCAATAGTTTTTGGGAAACAGGTGGTTTTTGGTTACATGGATAAATTCTCTAGTGGTGATTTTTGAGATTTTGGTGTACCCATCACCAAAGCAGTGTATCTGTCACCCGATGTGTAGTCTTTTTTTTTTTTTTTATTATACTTTAAGTTTCAGGGTACATGTGCACATCGTGCAGGTTAGTTACATATGTATACATGTGCCATGCTGGTGCGCTGCACCCACTAACTCGTCATCTAGCATTAGGTATATCTCCCAATGCTAACCCTTCCCACTCCCCGCAACCCACAACAGTCCCCAGAGTGTGATGTTCCCCTTCCTGTGTCCATGTGTTCTCATTGTTCAATTCCCACCTATGAGTGAGAATATGCGGTGTTTGGTTTTTTGTTCTTGCGATAGTTTACTGAGAATGATGGTTTCCAATTTCATCCATGTCCCTACAAAGGACATGAACTCATCATTTTTTATGGCTGCATAGTATTCCATGGTATATATGTACCACATTTTCTTCATCCAGTCTATCATTGTTGGACATTTGGGTTGGTTCCAAGTCTTTGCTATTGTGAATAATGCCGCAATAAACATACGTGTGCATGTGTCTTTATAGCAGCATGATTTATAGTCCTTTGGGTATATACCCAGTAATGGGATGGCTGGGTCAAATGGTATTTCTAGTTCTAGATCCCTGAGGAATCGCCACACTGACTTCCACAATGGTTGAACTAGTTTACAGTCCCACCAACAGTGTAAAAGTGTTCCTGTTTCTCCGCATCCTCTCCAGCACCTGTTGTTTCCTGACTTTTTAATGATTGCCATTCTAACTGGTGTGAGATGGTATCTCATAGTGGTTTTGATTTGCATTTCTCTGACGGCCAGTGATGATGAGCATTTTTTCATGTGTTTTTTGGCTGCATAAATGTCTTCTTTTGAGAAGTGTCTGTTCATGTCCTTCGCCCACTTTTTGATGGGGTTGTTTGTTTTTTTCTTGTAAATTTGTTTGAGTTCATTGTAGATTCTGGATATTAGCCCTTTGTCAGATGAGTAGGTTGTGAAAATTTTCTCCCATTTTGTGGGTTGCCTGTTCACTCTGATGGTAGTTTCTTTTGCTGTGCAGAAGCTCTTTAGTTTAATTAGATCCCATTTGTCAATTTTGGCTTTTGTTGCCATTGCTTTTGGTGTTTTAGTTGTGAAGTCCTTGCCCATGCCTATGTCCTGAATGGTAATGCCTAGGTTTTCTTCTAGGGTTTTTATGGTTTTAGGTCTAATGTTTAAGTCTTTAATCCATCTTGAATTAATTTTTGTATAAGATGTAAGGAAGGGATCCAGTTTCAGCTTTCTCCATATGGCTAGCCAGTTTTCCCAGCACCATTTATTAAACAGGGAATCCTTTCCCCATTTCTTGTTTTTCTCAGGTTTGTCAAAGATCAGATAGTTGTAGTATGTGGCGTTATTTCTGAGGGCTCTGTTCTGTTCCATTGATCACTATCTGTTTTGGTGCCAGTACCATGCTGTTTTGGTTACTGTAGCCTTGTAGTATAGTTTGAAGTCAGGTAGCGTGATGCCTCCAGCTTTGTTCTTTTGGCTTAAGATTGACTTGGTGATGCGGGCTCTTTTTTGGTTCCAGATGAACTTTAAAGTAGTTTTTTCCAATTCTGTGAAGAAAGTCATTGGTAGCTTGATGGGGATGGCATTGAATCTATAAATTACCTTGGGCAGTATGGCCATTTTCACGATATTGATTCTTCCTACCCATGAGCATGGAATGTTCTTCCATTTGTTTGTACCCTCTTTTATTTTATTGAGCAGTGGTTTGTAGTTCTCCTTGAAGAGGTCCTTCACGTCTCTTGTAAGGTGGATTCCTAGGTATTTTCTTCTCTTTGAAGCAATTGTGAATGGGAGTTCACTCATGATTTGGCTCTCTGTTTGTGTGTTATTGGTGTATAAGAATGCTTGTGATTTTTGTACATTGATTTTGTATCCTGAGACTTTGCTGAAGTTGCTTATCAGCTTAAGGAGATTTTGGGCTGAGACAATGGGGTTTTCTAGATATACAATCATGTCATCTGCAAACAGGGACAATTTGACTTCCTCTTTTCCTAATTGAATACCCTTTATTTCCTTCTCCTGCCTAATTGCCCTGGCCAGAACTTCCAACACTATGTTGAATAGGAGTGGTGAGAGAGGACATCCCTGTCTTGTTCCAGTTTTCAAAGGGAATGCTTCCAGTTTTTGCCCATTCAGTATGATATTGGCTGTGGGTTTGTCAGAGATAGCTCTTAGTATTTTGAGATATGTCCCATCAATACCTAAGTTATTGAGAGTTTTTAGCATTAAGAGTTGTTGAATTTTGTCAAAGGCCTTTTCTGCATCTATTGAGATAATCATGTAGTTTTTGTCTTTGGTTCTGTTTATATGCTGGATTACATTTATTGATTTGCGTATATTGAACCAGCCTTGCATCCCAGGGATGAAGCCCACTTGATCGTGGTGGATAAGCTTTTTGATGTGCTGCTGGATTCGGTTTGCCAGTATTTTATTGAGGATTTTTGCATCAATGTTCATCAAGGATATTGGTCTAAAATTCTCTTTTTTGGTTGTGTCTCTGCCTGGCTTTGGTATCAGGATGATGCTGGCCTCATCAAATGAGTTAGGGAGGATTCCTTCTTTTTCTATTGATTGGAATAGTTTCAGAAGGAATGGTACCAGTTCCTCCTTGTACCTCTGGTAGAATTCGGCTGTGAATCCATCTGGTCCTGGACTCTTTTTGGTTGGTAAACTATTGATTATTGCCACAATTTCAGCTCCTGTTATTGGTCTATTCAGAGATGCAACTTCTTCCTGGTTTAGTCTTGGGAGAGTGTATGTGTCAAGGAATTTATCCATTTCTTCTAGATTTTCCAGTTTATTTGCGTAGAGGTGTTTGTAGTATTCTCTGATGGTAGTTTGTATTTCTGTGGGATCGGTGGTGATATCCCCTTTATCATTTTTTATTGTGTCTATTTGATTCTTCTCTCTTTTTTTCTTTATTAGTCTTGCTAGCGGTCTATCAATTTTGTTGATCCTTTCAAAAAACCAGCTCCTGGATTCCTTGATTTTTTGAAGGGTTTTTTGTGTCTCTATTTCCTTCAGTTCTGCTCTGATTTTAGTTATTTCTTGCCTTCTGCTAGCTTTTGAATGTGTTTGCTCTTGCTTTTCTAGTTCTTTTAATTGTGATGTTAGGGTGTCAATTTTGGATCTTTCCTGCTTTCTCTTGTGGGCATTTAGTGCTATAAATTTCCCTCTACACACTGCTTTGAATGTGTCCCAGAGATTCTGGTATGTCATGTCTTTGTTCTCGTTGGTTTCAAAGAACATCTTTATTTCTGCCTTCATTTCGTTATGTACCCAGTAGTCATTCAGGAGCAGGTTGTTCAGTTTCCATGTAGTTGAGCGGCTTTGAGTGAGATTCTTAATCCTGACTTCTAGTTTGATTGCACTGTGGTCTGAGAGATAGTTTGTTATAATTTCTGTTCTTTTACATTTGCTGAGGAGAGCTTTACTTCCAAGTATGTGGTCAATTTTGGAATAGGTGTGGTGTGGTGCTCAAAAAAATGTATATTCTGTTGATTTGGGGTGGAGAGTTCTGTAGATGTCTATTAGGTCCACTTGGTCCAGAGCTGAGTTCAATTCCTGGGTATCCTTGTTGACTTTCTGTCTTGTTGATCTGTCTAATGTTGACAGTGGGGTGTTAAAGTCTCCCATTATTAATATGTGGGAGTCTAAGTCTCTTTGTAGGTCACTCAGGACTTGCTTTATGAATCTGGGTGCTCCTGTATTGGGTGCATATATATTTAGGATAGTTAGCTCTTCTTGTTGAATTGATCCCTTTACCATTATGTAATGGCCTTCTTTGTCTCTTTTGATCTTTGTTGGTTTAAAGTCTGTTTTATCAGAGACTAGGATTGCAACCCCTGCCTTTTTTTGTTTTCCATTTGCTTGGTAGATCTTCCTCCATCCTTTTATTTTGAGCCTATGTGTGTCTCTGCACGTGAGATGGGTTCCCTGAATACAGCACACTGATGGGTCTTGACTCTTTATCCAATTTGCCAGTCTGTGTCTTTTAATAGGAGAATTTAGTCCATTTACATTTAAAGTTAATATTGTTATGTGTGAATTTGATCCTGTCATTATGATGTTAGCTGGTGATTTTGCTCGTCAGTTGACGCAGTTTCTTCCTAGTCTCGATGGTCTTTACATTTTGGCATGATTTTGCAGCAGCTGGTACCGGTTGTTCCTTTCCATGTTTAGCGCTTCCTTCAGGAGCTCTTTTAGGGCAGGCCTGGTGGTGACAAAATCTCTCAGCATTAGCTTGTCTGTAAAGTATTTTATTTCTCCTTCACTTATGAAGCTTAGTTTGGCTGGATATGAAATTCTGGGTTGAAAATTCTTTTCTTTAAGAATGATGAATATTGGCCCCCACTCTCTTCTGGCTTGTAGGGTTTCTGCCGAGAGATCCGCTGTTAGTCTGATGGGCTTCCCTTTGAGGGTAACCCGACCTTTCTCTCTGGCTGCCCTTAACATTTTTTCCTTCATTTCAACTTTGGTGAGTCTGACAATTATGTGTGTTGGAGTTGCTCTTCTCGAGGAGTATCTTTGTGGCGTTCTCTGTATTTCCTGTATCTGAACGTTGGCCTGCCTTGCTAGATTGGGGAAGTTCTCCTGGATAATATCCTGCAGAGTGTTTTCCAACTTGGTTCCATTCTCCCCATCACTTTCAGGTACACCAATCAGACGTAGATTTGGTCTTTTCACATAGTCCCATATTTCTTGGAGGCTTTGCTCATTTGTTTTTATTCTTTTTTCTCTAAACTTCCCTTCTCGCTTCATTTCATTCATTTCATCTTCCATTGCTGATACCCTTTCTTCCAGTTGATTGCATTGGCTCCTGAGGCTTCTGCATTCTTCACGTAGTTCTCGAGCCTTGGTTTTCAGCTCCATCAGCTCCTTTAAGCACTTCTCTGTATTGGTTATTCTAGTTATACATTCTTCTAAATTTTTTTCAAAGTTTTCAACTTCTTTGCCTTTGGTTTGAATGTCCTCCCGTAGCTCAGAGTAATTTGATCATCTGAAGCCTTCTTCTCTCAGCTCGTCAAAGTCATTCTCCATCCAGCTTTGTTCCGTTGCTGGTGAGGAACTGCGTTCCTTTGGAGGAGGAGAGGCACTCTGCGTTTTAGAGTTTCCAGTTTTTCTGTTCTGTTTTTTCCCCATCTTTGTGGTTTTATCTACTTTTGGTCTTTGATGATGGTGATGTACAGATGGGTTTTTGGTGTGGATGTCCTTTCTGTTTGTTAGTTTTCCTTCTAACAGACAGGACCCTCAGCTGCAGGTCTGTTGGAGTACCAGGCTGTGTGAGGTGTCAGTGTGCCCCTGCTGGGGGGTGCCTCCCAGTTAGGCTGCTGGGGGGTCAGGGGTGAGGGACCCACTTGAGGAGGCAGTCTGCCCGTTCTCAGATCTCCAGCTGTGTGCTGGGAGAACCACTGCTCTCTTCAAAGCTGTCAGACAGCGACATTTAAGTCTGCAGAGGTTACTGCTGTCTTTTTGTTTGTCTGTGCCCTGCCCCCAGAGGTGGAGCCTACAATGGCAGGCAGGCCTCCTTGAACTGTGGTGGGCTCCACCCAGTTGGAGCTTCCAGGCTGCTTTGTTTACCTAATCAAGCCTGGGCAATGGCGGGCGCCCCTCCCCCAGCCTAGCTGCCGACTTGCAGTTTGATCTCAGACTGCTGTGCTAGCAATCAGGGAGATTCCGTGGGCGTAGGACCCTCCGAGCCAGGTGTGGGATATAGTCTCGTGGTGCGCCGTTTTTTAAGCCCGTCTGAAAAGTGCAATATTCGGGTGGGAGTGACCCGATTTTCCAGGTGCGTCCGTCACCCCTTTCTTTGACTTGGAAAGGGAACTCCCTGACCCCTTGCGCTTCCCAGGTGAGGCAATGCCTCGCCCTGCTTCGGCTCGCGCACGGTGCGCGCACCCACTGGCCTGCGCCCACTGTGTGGCACTCCCTAGTGAGATGAACCTGGTACCTCAGATGGAAATGCAGAAATCACCCGTCTTCTGCGTCGCTCATGCCTGGAGCTGTAGACCGGAGCTGTTCCTATTCAACCATCTTGGCTCCTCCCCCGATGTGTAGTCTTTTATCCACCACTCCCACTCTTCCATCCAAGTCCCCCAACTCCATTATATAATTCTTAAGCCTTTGCATCCTCACAGCTTAGCTCCCACTTATATGTGAGAACATACGATGTTTGCTTTTCCATTTCTGAGTTACTTCACTTATAATAAGGGTCTCCAACTTAATCCAGGTTGCTGCAAATGCCATTAGTTTGTTTCTTTTTATGGCTGAGTAGTATTCCATGTTGTATGTATATCACATTTTCTTCATTCACTTGTTGGTTGCTGGGCATTTAGGTTGGTTTCATATTTTTGCTATTGTGAATTGTGCTGCTATACATATGCATGTGCAAGTGTCTTTTTTCATATAATGATTCTTTTTCTTTTTTTTCTTATTTTCACTATTTATAAATATAACCTTTTTTATTATTATACTTTAAGTTCTAGGGTACATGTGCACAATGTGCAGGTTTGTTACATATGTATACATGCGTCATGTTGGTGTGCTGCACCCATTAACTCGTCATTTACATTAGGTATATCTCCTAATGCTATCCCTCCCCCCCTTCCCAAACCCCATGACAGGCCCCGGTGTGTAATGTTCCCCTTCCTGTGTCCAAGTGTTCTCATTGTTCAATTCCCACCTATGAGTGAGAACATGTGGTGTTTGGTTTTTTGTCCTTGCAATAGTTTGCTGAGAATGATGGTTTCCAGCTTCATCCATGTCCCTCCAAAGGACATGAACTCATCCTTTTTTATGGCTGCATAGTATTCCATGGTGTATATGTGCCACATTTTCTTAATCCAGTCTATCATTGGTGGACATTTGAGTTGGTTCCAAGTGTTTACTATTGTGAATAGTGCTGCAGTAAACATACATGTGCGTGTGTCTTTATAGCAGCATGATTTATAATCCTTTGGGTATATACCCAGTAATGGGATGGCTGGGTCAAATGGTATTTCTAGTTCTAGATCCTTGAGGAATCACCACACTGTCTTCCACAATGGTTGAACTAGTTTACAGTCCCACCAACAGTGTAAAAGTGTTCCTTTTTCTCCACATCCCCTCCAGCACCTGTTGTTTCCTGACTTTTTAATGATCGCCATTCTAACTGGTGTGAGATGGTATGTCATTGTGGTTTTGATTTGCATTTCTCAGATGGCCAGTGATGATGAGCATTTTTTCATATGTCTGTTGGCTGCATAAGTATCTTCTTTTGAGAAGTTTCTGTTCATATTCTTCACCCACTTTTTGATGGGGTTGTTTGTTTTTTTCTTGTAAATTTGTTTGAGTTCATTGTAGATTCTGGGTTTTAGCCCTTTGCCAGATGAGTAGATTGCAAAAATTTCCTCCCATTCTGTAGGTTGCCTTTTCACTCTGATGGTAGTTTCTTTTGCTGTGCAGAAGCTCTTTAGTTTAAACAGATCCCATTTGTCAATTTTGGCTTTTGCTGCCATTGCTTTTGGTGTTTTAGACATGAAGTCCTTGCACATGCCTATGTCCTGAATGGTATTGCCTAGGTTTTCTTCTAGGGTTTTTGTGGTTTTAGGTCTAACATTTAAGTCTTTAATCCATCTTGAATTAATTTTTGTATAAGATGTAAGGAAGGGATCCAATTTCAGCTTTCTCCATATGGCTAGCCAGTTTTCCCAGCACCATTTATTAAATAGGGAATCCTTTCCCCATTGCTTGTTTTTCTCAGGTTTGTCAAAGATCAGATGGTTGTAGATGTGTGGTATTATTTCTGAGGGCTCTGTTCTGTTCCATTGATCTATATCTCTGTGTTGGTACCACTACCATGCTATTTTGGTTACTATAGCCTTGTAGTATAGTTTGAAGTCAGGTAGCGTGATGCCTCCAGCTTTGTTCTTTTACCTTAGGATTGTCTTCGCAAGGCGGGCCCATTTCTCATTCCATATGGAATTTAAAGTAGTTTTTTCCAATTCTGTGAAGAAAGTCATTGGTAGCTTGATGGGGATGGCATTGAATCTATAAGTTACCTTGGGCAGTATGGCCATTTTCATGATATTGATTCTTTCTATCTTTGGTTGGATACCCAGTAGTGGGATTGCTGAATCAAATGGTAGTTCTCCTTTTAGTTCTTTAAGGAATCTCTACACCGTTTTCCGTAGTGGTTGTACTAGTTTATATTCCCACCCACAGTGTAAAAGTGTTCCCTTTCCACCACATTCATGTCAACATCTATTATTTTTTGATTTTTTAATTATGGCCATTCTTGAAGGAGTAAGGTCATATCTCATGGTGGTTTTAATTTGCATTTCCCTGATAGTGATGTTGAACATTTTTTCATGTTTGTTGGCCATTTGTATGTCTTCTTTTGAGAATTGTCTATTCATGTCTTTTGCCCACTTTTTGTAGGGTTGTTTTTTCCTTTCTAATTTGTTTGAATTTTTTGTAGATTCTGGATGTTAGTCTTTTGTCAGACACATTGTTTGTGAATATTTTCTCCCACTCTGTGGGTAGTCTGTTTACTCTGCTGCTTATTTCTTTTGCTGTGCAGAAGCTTTTTAGTTTAATTAAGTCTCATCTATTTATCTTTTTTTGTTGCATTTGCTTTTGGGTTCTTGGTCCTGAAGCCTTTGCCTAAGCCAATGTCTAGAAGAGTTTTTCCAATGTTATCTTGTAGAATTTTTATGGTTTCAGGTCATAGATTTAAGTCTTTGATCCATCTCGTGTTAATTTTTGTGTAAGATGAGAGATGAGTATCAGTTTCCTTCTTCTACATGTGGCTTGCCAAATATCCCAGCACATTTGTTGAATAGGGTGTCCTTTCCCCACTTCATATTTCTGCTTGCTTTGTTGATGATTAGTTGGCTATAATATTTGGCTTTATTTCTGGGTTCTCTATTCTGTTCCATTTGTCTGTGTGCCTATCTATTTTTATACCAGCACCATGCTCTTTTGGTGACTATAGCCTTGCAGTATAGTTTGATGTCAGGTAATGTGATGCCTCCAGATTTGTTCTTTTTGCTTAGTCTTGCTTTGGCTATGCAGGCTCGTTTTTGTTTCCATATGAATTTTAGGATTACTTTTTCTAGATCTGTGGAGAATGATAATGATATTTTGTAGATTACTTTTGGTAGTATGGTCATTTTCACAATATTAATTCTAACCATCCATGAATATGGGATGTGTTTCCATTTGTTTAAAAAACCCATCTACGATTTCTTTCAGCAGTGTTTGTAGTTTTCCTTGCAGAGGTCTTTCACCTCCTAGGTTAGGTATATTCCTAAGTATTTTATTTTTTTTGCAGCTACTGTTAAAGGGGATAAGTTCCTGATTTGATTCTCAGCTTGGTTGCTGTTGATGTATAGCAGTGCTACTGATTACATCAATTTTGTATTCTGAAACTTTACTGAATTTATTAATCAGATCTAGGAGCTTTTTGGATGAGTCTTTAGAGTTTTCTAGGTATACAATCATATCATTGGCAAACAGCAGCAGTTTGACTTCCTCTTTACTGGTGTGGATGCCCTTTATTTTTTTCTCTTGTCTGATTGTTCTGGCTAGGACTTCCATTACTATGTTGAATAGAAGTGGTGAAAGTTGGCATTCTTCTTTTATTCCATTTCTCAGGGAGAATGCTTTCAACTTTTCCCATTGAGCATAATGTTGGCTGTGGATTTGCCATAGATGGCTTTTATTACATTAGGGTATGCCCCTTCTCTGCTGATTTTGCTGAGGGTTTTAATCATAAAGCGATGCTGGATTTTGTCAACTGCTTTTTCTGCATCTGTTGGGATGATCATATAATTTTTATTTTTAATTCTGTTTATGTGATGTGTCACATTTATTGACTTGAGTATGTTAAACCATCCTTGCATCCCTGGTATAAAACACACTTGATCATGGTGAATTATCTTTTTGAAATGCTGTTGGATTTGTTTAGCTAGTATTTTGTTAAGGATTTTTTGCATTTAAGTTCATCAAGGATATTGGTCTGTAGTTTTTTTTTGTTTGTTTTGTTTTTTTGTTGTTGTTGTTACATCCCTTCCTGGTCTTGGTATTAGGATAATATGGGTTTATATAATGATTTAGGGAGGATTCTCCCTCTATTTTTTGGAATAGTTTCAGTAGTACCACCTCTTCCTTGATTGTCTGATTGAATTCAGCTGTGAATCCATCTGGCCCTGGACTTTCTTTTGTTGGCAGTTTTTTTTTTTTTTTTTCAATCTCATTGCTTGTTATTGGTCTGTTGAGAGTTTCTATTTCTTCCTGGCTTAATTTAGGAGGTTTGTACATTTCCAGGAATTTATCCATCACCTCTAGGTTTTCTAGTTTGTGTGCATAAAGGTATTCATAGTAGCTTTGAATGATCTTTTGTGTTTCTGTGGTATCAGTTGTAGTACCTCCAGTTTCATTTCTAATAAAGTTTATTTGGCTCTTCTCTCTTCTTTTCTTGGTTAATGTTGCTAATGATCTATCAGTTTTATTTATCTTTTCAAGGAAGTAGCTTTTCATTTCTTTTATCTCTTGTATTGTTTGTTTTGTTTCAATTTTATTTATTTCTGCTTTGATGTTTATTTTCTTCTGCTGTGTTTGGGTTTGGTTTGTCCTTGTTTCTCTAGTTCCCTGAGGTGTGACCTTAGCTTGTCTATTTGTGCTCTTTCAGACTTTTTGATGTAGGCATTTAATGCTATGAACTTTCCTCTTAGCGCTGCTTTTGCTGTATTGCAGAGGTTTTGATAGATTGTGTCACTATCATCGTTCAGTTCAAAGAATTTTTAAATTTTCATCTTGATTTCATTGCTGACCCAAACATCATTCATGAACAGATCATTTAATTTCCATGTATTTTCCTGATTTTGAGGGTTCCTTTTGAAGTTGATTTCCAATTTTATTCCACTGTGGTCTGAGGGAGTACTTGATATAATTTTGATTTTCTTAAATTTATTAAGGTTTGTTCTGTGGCCTATGATATCATGTATCTTGGAGAATATTCCATGTGCTGATGAATAGAAGATACATTCTGCAGTTGTTGGGTAAAATGTTCTGTAAATATCTGTTAAGTCCATTTTTTCTAGGGTATAGTTTAAGTCCATTTGTTCTTTGTTCACTTTCTGTCTTTATGAACTGTCTAGTGCTGTCAGTGGAGCATTGAAGTCCCTCCACTATTATTGTGTTGCTGTCTATCTTATTTCTTAGGTCTAGTAGTAATTGCTTTACAAATTTGGGAGCTTCAGTGTTAGATGCATATATGTTTTATTAATTTGGACGCTCTAGTGTTAGGTGAAAGATTATGATATTTTCCTGTTGAACTAGTCCTTTTATCATTATATTTGTCTTTTTTAACTGTTGCTGCTTTTTAATTTTTTAATTTTTTTTTGTTTTTTAACTGTTATTGCTTTGAAGTCTGTTTTGTCTGACATTGACATTAACATTTAACTGTTATTGCTTTGAAGTCTGTTTTGTCTGACATTGACTAGCTACTCCTTCTCACTCTTGGTGTCCATTTGCATGGAATATCTTTTCCTCCCCTTTCTCTTACGTTTATGTGAGTCATGTGTTAGGTGAGTCTCTGGAAGAAAGCAGATACTTGGTTGGTGAATTCTTATCCATTTTGCCATTCTATATCTTTTAAGTGGCTCATTTAAGCCATTTCCATTCAATGTTAGTATTGAGATTTGAGATACTATTCTATTCATCATGCTAGTTGTTGTTTGAACATTTTGTTTTTCTTTTTCCATTGTGTTATGTTTTATAGGCCCTGTGAGATTTATGCTTTAAGGAAGTTTTATTTTGGTGTGTTTTGAGCTTTTCTTTCAAGATTTGGAATTCTTTTATCATTTCTTGTAGTGGTGACTTGGTAGTGGTGAATTCTCTCAGCATTCGTTTTTCTGAAAAAGACTTTATTCCTCCTTTATTTATGAAGCTTAGTTTTGCTGGATATGACATTCTTGGCTGATAATTATTTTGTTTAAGGTGGCTAAAGATAGAACGCCAATCCGTTCTAGCTTGTAGGGTTTCTGCCGAGAAATCTGCTGTTAATCTGATAGGTTCCCCTTTATAGGTTACCTGATGCTTTTGCCTCACAGCTGTTAAGGCTCTTTCTTTTATGTTTACCTTAGATAGCCTGATGACTATGCCTAGGTGATAATCTTTTTGTGATGAATTACCCAGGTGTTCTTTGAACTTCTTGTATTTGGATGTCTAGACCTGTAACAAGGCCAGGGAAGGTTTCCTTAATTATTCCCTCAAAGACATTTCCCAAACTTTTAGATTTCTTTTCTTCCTCAGGAACACCAATTATTCTTAGATTTAGTTGTTTAACATAATTCCACACTTCTTAGAGGCTTTGCTCATTTTTAAAAAAAATTCCTCTTTTTTTGGCTTTGTCAGATTGGATTAATTTAAAAGCCATGTCTTTGAGCTCTGAAATTCTTTCTTCTATTTGTTGGCTTGTATTCTTGAAACTTTCCAGTATATTTTGCCTTTCTCTAAGTGTGTCTTTCATTTCCAGAAGTTGTGATTGTTTTCTATTTATAATATCTATTTCTCTGGAGATTTTTCATCCATATCCTGTATTATTTTTTAATTTTTTTTGAGACAGAGTCTCACTCTGTCACCCAGGTTGGAGTGCAATCTTGGCTCACTGCAGCCTCCACCTCCTGGGTTCAAGTGATTCTCCTGCCTTAGCCTCCTGAGTAGCTGAGATTACAGCACCTGCCACCATAGCCAGCTGATTATTGTATTTTTAGTAGAGACGGGGTTTCACTATGTTGACCATGCTGGTCTTGAACTCCTGACTTCAGGTGATTCACCCACCTCGGCCTCCCAGTGTGCTCGAATTACAGGCATGAGCCACTGTGCCCAGCCAGCTTTTTTGTTCATTTCTGTTTATTGATGAATAACATTCCATTGTCTGGATGTACCACATTTTCACCTATTGAAGGCTATCTTTGTTGCTTCCAATTTTTAAAAGAATGTTAAATAACATTATATTTACTACAGAACATTCATTCATATTATATTTTATAATATTAAAGAATATTTTGTTTCTTTATGTAATATTTTAATTTTTTTCATTGACAACCATTGTACATATTCATGGTAAACATAGTGATATTTCAATGCATATAATGTACAGTAATCAGATCAGAGTAATTAGCATATTTATCATCTCAAACATTTATCATTTCTTTGTTTTGGCAATGTTCAATGTTCTACTTGTAGCTATTTGAAACTACATAATAATGTATTGTTACCTATAGTAATTCAGTGGAATAGAACACTGAAACTTATTCCTCCTATCTCACTGTAATCGTATCCCTGAAAAACTTCTCCCTATCCCTCCCTTCTCCCTACTCTTCCCAAACTCTAGTATCCTCTGTTCTACTTTTAACTTACATGAAATCAACCTTTTTAAGCTTCCATACATAGGTAAAAATATGCAGTGTTCAATTTTCTGTTTCTAGGTAATGATGATGTTGATGATGATAATGATAATGATGATGATGATGATTATTATTATTATTATTTAAGACAGGACCTCACTCTGTCCCTCAGGCCAGAGTACAGGGGTGTGATTATGGCTCACTGTAGCCTCAACCTTCTGGGTTTAAACAGTCCTCATACTTTAGCCTCCTGAGTAGATAGGACTATAGGCATGCACCACCAGGCCTGGCCACCCTGTCGTTTGTAGAGACAGGGTCTTCCTCTGTTGCCCAGGCTGGTCTCAAATTCCTGGGCTCAAGTGATCCTCCCACCTTGACCTCTGAAAGTGCTGGGATTACAGATATGAGCCGCTGTGTCTGGCCTTATTACTTTACAGGCCCATCTGTCTCAGTATTTCTGGCTTATTTGACTTAACATAATATCCTCCAGTTCCATCCATATTGCCATGAATGACAGGATTTTATTCTTTTTTTTTTATGGTGGAATAGTATTCAATTGTGTATGTGTATATATATACCACTTTAAAAAATCCATTTGGTCTAGATTCCTCCTCTCTGGGCAGGGCATCTCTGAAAGAAAGGCAGCAGCCCGAGTCAGGGGCTTTTAGATAAAACTGCCATCTCCCTGGGACAGAGCACCTGGATGAAGGGGCGGCTGTGGTGCAGCTTTAGCTGACTTAAACGTTCCTGCCTGCCAACTCTGAAGAGAGCAGTGGATCTCCCAACACAGTGCTCGAGCTCTGCTAAGGGACAAGACCGCCTCCTCAAGTGGGTCCCTGACCCCCGTGCCTCCTGATGGGGAGACGCCTCCCAGTAGGGCTTGACAGACAGCTCATACAGGAGAGCTCCAGCTGGCATCTGGTGGGTGCCCCTCTGGGGCAAAGCTTCCAGGGGAAGGAGCAGGCAGAAATCTTTGCTGTTCTGCAGCCTCCGCTGGTGATACTCAGGCAAACAGGGTCTGGAGTGGACCTCCAGCAAACTCCAGCAGACCTGCAGAAGGGGGCCCTGACTGTTAGAAGGAAAACTAACAAACAGAAAGCAATAGCATCAACATCAACAGCAACAAAAAAGCAACCACGCAAATACTCCATCTGAAGGTGACCAACATCAAAAACCAAAGGTAGATAAATCCACAAAGATGAGGAAAAACCAGCGCAAAAAGGCTGAAAATTCCAAAAACCAGAATGCCTCTTCTCTTCCAAAGGATAACATCTCCTCACCAGCAAGGGAACAAAACTGGATGGAGAGTGACTTTGACAAATTGACAGCACTAGGCTTCAGAGGTGGGTAATAATAAACTCCTCTGAGCTAAAGGAGCATGTTCTAACCGAATGAAAGGAAGCTAAGAACCTTGATAAAAGGTAACAGGAGCTTCTAACTAGAATAACCAGTTTAGAGAAGAACATAAATGACCTGATGGAGCTGCAGAACACAGCATGAGAACTTCGTGAAGCATACACAAATATCAATAGCTGAATCCATCAAGCAGAAGAAAGGATATCAGAGATTGAAGATCAACTTAATGAAATAAAGGAAGAAGACAATATTAGAGAAAGAAGAATGAAAAGGAACAAACAAAGCCTCCAAGAAATATGGGACTATGTGAAAAGACCAAACCTACATTTGATTGATGTACCTGAAAGTGATGGGGAGAATGGAACCAAGCTAGAAAACACACTTCAGGATATTATCCAGGACAACTTCCCCAACCTAGCAAGACTGGTCAACATTCAAATTCAGGAAATACAGAGAACACCACAAAGATACTCCTCAAGAAGAGCAATCCCAAGACACATAATTGTCAGATTCACCAAGGTTGAAATGAAGGAAAAAATATTAAGGGCAGCCAGAGAGAAAGGTTGGGCTACCCACAAAGGGAAGCCCATCAGACTAACAGTGGATCTCTCTGCAGAAGGCCTATGAGCCAGAAGAGCGTGGAGGCCAATATTTAACATTATTAAAGAAAAGAATTTTCAATCCAGAATTTCATATCCAGCCAAATTAAGCTTTGTACATGAAGGAGAAATAAAATCCTTTAGAGACAAGCAAATGCTGAGAGATTTTTGTCACCACCAGGACTGCCTTACGAGAGCTCCTGAAGGAAGCACTAAAGATGGAAAGGAAAAACTGGTACCAGCCACTGCAAAAACATACCAAATTGTAAAAACCATTGACACTATGAAGAAACAGCATCAATGAATGGGCAAAATAACCACCTTACATCATAATGACAGGATCAAATTCACATATAACGATATTAACCTTAAATGTAAATGGGCTAAATGCCCCAGTGAAAAGACACAGACTGGCAAATTGGATAAAGAGTCAAGACCCATTGGTGTGCTGTATTCAGGAGAACCATCTCGCGTGCAGACACACATAGGATCAAAATAAAGGGATGGAGGAATATTTACCAAGCAAATGGAAAGCAAAAAAAAAGCAAGGGTTGCAATCCTAGTCGCTGATAAAACAGACTTTAAACCATCAAAGATCAAAAAAGACAAAGAAGGGTATTACATAATGGTAAAGGGATCAATGCAACAAGAAGAGCTAACTATCCTAAATATATATGCACCCAATACAGGAGCACCCAGATTCATAAAGAAAGATCTTAGAAACCTACAAAGAGACTTAGACTCCCACACAATAATAGTGGGAGACTTTGACACCCCACTGTCAATATTAGACAGATCAACAGGACAGGACAGAAAATTAACAAAATTAGTATTCAGGACTTGAACTCAGCTCTGGACCAAGTGGACCTAATAGACATCTACAGAAGTCTCCACCCCAAACCAACAGAATATACATTTTTCTCAGCACCCCATAGCACTTATTCTAAAATTGACCACATAATTTGAAGTAAAACACTCCTCAGCAAATGCAAAAGAATGGAAATCATAACAAACAGTTTCTCAGACCACAGTGCAATAAATTAGAACTGAGGATTAAGAAACTCACTCAAAGCCACACAACTACATGGAAATTGAACAACCTGCTTCTGAATGACTACTGGGTAAATAACAAAATTAAGGCAGCAATAAATAAGTTCCTTGAAACTCATGAGAACAAAGACACAATGTACCAGAATCTCTGGGACATAACTAAGATCAGAGCAGGGCTGAAGGAGATAGAGACACAAAAAACCCTTCAAAAAATCAATGAATCCTAGAGCTGTTTTTTTTTGAAAATATTAATAAAATAGACTGCTAGCTAGACTAATAAAGAAGAAAAGAGAGAAGAATCAAATAGACACAATAAAAATAATAAAAGGAATATCACCATTGATCCCACAGAAATAGAAACTACCATCAGAGAATACTATAAACACCTGTACACAAAAAAACTAGAAAATTTAGAAGAAATGGATAAATTCCTGGACAAATACACCCTCCCAAGACTAAACCAGGAAGAAGTCAAATCCCTGAATAGACCAATAACAAGTTTTGAAATTGAGGCAGTAATTAATACCCTGCCAACCAAAAAAAAAAGCCCAGGACCAGAAGGATTCACAGCCAAATTCTACCAGAGGTACAAAGAGGAGCTGGTACCATTCCTTCTAAAACTATTCCAAACAATAGAAAAAGAGGGACCCCTCCCTAACTCAGGTTGTGAGGCCAGCATCATCCTGATACCAAAACTTGGCAGAGACACAACAAAAAAACTGGGAGTGTAAATTAGTTCAATCATTGTGGAAGACAGTGTGGCAATTCCTCAAAGATCTAGAACTAGAAATACCATTTGACCTAGCAATCCCATTACTGTGTATATATCCAAAGGATTATAAATCATTCTATTATAAAGACACATGCACATGTATGTTTATTGTGGCACTATTCACAATAGCAAAGACTTGGAACCAACCCAAATGCCCAGCAATGATAGATTGGATAAAGAAAATGTGGCACATACACACCATGGAATACTATGCAGTCCTAAAAAAGGATGAGTTCATGTATTTTGCAAGGACATGGATGAAGCTGGAAACCATCACTCTCAGCAAACTAACACAAGAACAGAAAACCAAGCACCACATGTTCTCACTCATAAGTGAGAGTTGAATAACGAGAACACATGGGCACAGGGAGGGGAACATTACACACTGGGGCCTGTCAGGGGTTGGGGGGCTAGGGGAGGGATAAAATTAGGAGAAATACCTAAAGTAGATGACAGGTTGATGTGTAGAGCAAACTACCATGGCACGTGTACACCTATGTAACAAATCTGCACATTCTGCATATATGCTCCAGAACTTAAGGTATAATCCAAAAAAAAGAAAAAAGAAAAATTTCAGGCCAATATTCCTGATGAACATGGATGTGAAAATCCTCAATAAAATACTTTCAAACTGAATCCAGCAGCACATCAAAAAGCTTATGCACCACAATCAAGTCAGCTTCATCCCCAAGATGCAAGGGTGGTTCAACATACTCAAATCAATGAATGTAATCCATCGCATAAACAGAACCAATGACAAAAACCATGTGATTCTCTCAATAGATGCCAAAAAAGCCTTCAAGAAAATTCAACATCCCTTCATGCTAAAAACACTCAATAAACTAGGTATTGGTGGAACATATTTCAAAATAATAGGAGTTATTTATAACAAACCCATAGCCAATATCATACTGAATGGGCAAAAACTGGAAGCATTCCCTTTGGAAACTGGCACAAGACAAGGACACCCTCTCTCACCACTCTTATTGACATAGTATTGGAAGTTCTGGCCAGGGCAATCAGGAAGAGAAAGAAATAAAGGGTATTCAAATAGGAAAAGAGGAAGTCAAATTACCTCTGTTCACAGATGACATGATTGTATATTTAGAAAACCCCATAGTTTCAGCCCCAAATCTCCTTAAGCTGATCAGCAACTTCAGCAAAGTCTCAGCATCCAAAATCAATGTGCAAAAATCACAAGCATTCCTATACACCAGTAATAGACAAAACAGAGAGCCAAATCAAAAGTGAACTCCATTCACAATTGCTACAAAGAGAATTAAGTACCTAGGAATACAATTTACAAGGGATGTGAAGGACCTCTTCAATCAGAACTGCAAATCTGCTCAAGGAAATAAAAGAGGACACAAACAAATGGAAAAAAAATTCCATGCTCATGAATAGGAGGAATCAATATCATGAAAATGGCCAGTTGCCCAAGTAATTTATAGATTCAATGCTATTCCCATCAAGCTACCATTGACTTCCTTCACAGAATTAGAAAAAACTACTTTAAACTTCATATGGAACAAAAAAAGAGCCCATATAGCCAAGACAATCCTAAGCAAAAAGAACAAAGCTGGAGGCATCACACTACCTAAGTTCAAACTATACTACAAGTCTGCAGTAACCAAAACAGCATGGTACTGGTACCAAAACACATATATAGACCAATGACAGAACAGAGACCTCAGAAATAACACTATACATCTACAGCCATCTGATCTTTGACAAACCTGACAAAACAAGTAATGGGGAAAGGATTCCTTATTTAATAAATGGTGTTGGGAAAACAGTTTAGCTAGATGCAGAAAACTGAAACTGGACCCCTTCCTTACACCTTATACAAAAATTAACTCAAGATGGATCAAAGATTTAAACCTAACACCTAAAACCGTAAAAACCCTAGAAGAAAACCTAGGCAATACCATTTAGGACATAGGCATGGGCAAAGACTTCATGACTAAAACAATAAAAGCAATGGCAACAAAAGCCAAAATTGACAAATGGGATTTAATTAAACTAAAGAGCTTCTGCACAGCAAAAGAAACATCATCAGAGTGAACAGGCAACCTACAGAATGGGAGAAAATTTTTGCAATCTATTCATCTGACAAAGGGCTAATATCCAGAATATACAAGGAACTTAAACAAATTTACAAGAAAAAATCCATCAAAAAGTGGGCAAAGGATATGGACAGAACCTGCTCAAAAGAAGACATTTATGCAGCTAACAAACATATGAAAAAAAGCTCATCATCACTGGTCATTAGAGAAACGCAAATCAAAACCACAATGAGATACCATCTCATGCCAGTTAGAATGGCAATCATTAAAAAGTCAGGAAACAACAGATGCTGGAGAGGATGTGGAGAAATAGGAATGCTTTTACACTGTTGCTGGGAGTGTAAATTAGTTCAACCATTGTGGAAGACAGGGTGGTGATTCCTCAAGGATCTATAACTAGAAATACCAGCAATCCCGTTACTGGGTATATACCCAAAGGATTATAAATCATTCTACTATAAAGACTTGCTCATGTATGTTTATTGTGGCACTATTTACAATAGCAAAGACTTGGAACCAACCCAAATGCCCATCAAGGATAGACTGGGTAAAGAAAATGTGGCACAGATACACCATGGAATACTATGCAGCCATGAAAGAGAATGAGTTCATGCCCTTTGCAGAAACATGGATGAAGCTGGAAACCATCATTCTCAGCAAACTAATACAGGAATAGAAAACCAAACACTAGATGTTCTCAGTCAGAAGTGGGAGTTGAACAATGAGAACATATGGGCACACTGAGGGGAAAATCACACACCAGGGGCTGTTGAGGGGTGGAGGGCAAGGGGAGGGATAGCATTAGGAGAAATACCTAATGTAGATTATGAGTTGATAGGTGCATCAAACCACCATGGCACATGTTTACTTATATAAGAAACCTGGATGTTCTTCACATGTATCCCAGAACTTAACATACAATAATAAAAAAAGAAGAAAACTAGTTAGAAAAACAGGAGTATAATAGGATATACAAAAAAAAAGAAACAAATCCATTTATCTGTTGTTCAAAGCCTAAATTGATATCATATCTTGGCCTTTTCTGTATTTATTAAGACAATCATTTGGTTTTTGTCTTTAGTTTGGTTTATTTGATGAATCACATTTATTGCTTTTTGTATGTTGAACCACACTTACATCCCAGAGATGAAGCCTAGCTAATCATGGTGGATTAGCTTTTGATGTGCTGCTGGATTTGGTTTGCAAGTATTTTGTTGAGGATTTTTGCATTCGTGTTCATCAAGGATCTTTTTGTTTTTTTAATTTAAAAGTAAACTTTAATGTCAAAAATGCAAACTTGGGGAGGGCAGAAAGATCACACACAAGGCTGCCACTTCACACTTGGAGGGTTGCACAGCAGCCGGGCAGAGGCGCTCCTCACTTCCCAGATGGTGGGGCAGCCAGGCAGATGTGCTCCTCACTTCCCAGATGGTGGGGTGGCTGGGTAGAGGCGCTTCTCACTTCCTAGATGGTGCGGTGGCCAGGCAAAGGCGCTCTTCACTTCCCAGATGGTGGGTTGCAGGGCAGGGGCGCTCTGCACTTCCCAGACTTTGGGGAAGCCAGGGAGAAAAGTTCCTCACTTCCCAGATGGTGTGGCGGCCAGGCAGAGGCACTCCTCATTTCCCAGACGGGGTGGCAGCTGGGCAGAGGCACTCCTTACTTCCCAGACAGTGGGGTGCCCTGGCCTGACATTTTATTTTTTTGTTGTTTCTCTGCCAGGTTTTGATATCAAGATGATGCTGGCCTCAGAATAGGTTGGGGAGAAATCCTTCCACTTTAATTATTTGGAATAGTTTCTGTAGGAATGGTACTAGTTCTTCCTACATCTGGTAGAATTTGACTGTGAATCAGGTCCTGGGCTTTTATTTGGTTGCTAGCCTATTTATTATTACTGATTCAATTTCAGAGCTCATTATTGGTCTGTTCAGGGAGTCAGTTTCTCCCTGGCTCAGTGTTGGGAGGATATATGTGTCCAGGAATTCATCCATTTCTTCTAGGTTTTCTAGTTTGTGTTTGTAGAATTTCTGATGGTTGTTTTTATTTCTGTGGGGTCAGTAGTAACATTCCCATCATCATTTCTAATTGTGTTTGTCTCTTTTCTCTTTTTTTCTTAATTAGTCTAGCTAGTGGCCTATTTTATTAATTTTTTCAAAAAACCAACTCCTGGATTTATTTATTTATTTATTTTGTCTCCAGGCTGGAATGCAGTGGTGCAATCTTGGCTCACTGCAACCTCCGCCTCCCAGGTTCAAGTGATTCTCCTGCCTCAGCCTCCTGAGTAGCTGCGACTACAGGCACATGCCACCATGCCCAGCTAATTTTTGTATATTTTTTTAATTTGAGACAGAGTTTCACTCTTGTCCCCAGGCTGGAGTGCAATGGTGCGATCTTGGCTCACCGCAACCTCTGCCTCCCAGGTTCAAGCGATTCTCCTGTCTCAGCCTCCTGAGTAGCTGGGATTACAGGCATGTGCCACCATGCCTGGCTAATTTTATATTTTTAGTGGAGACAGGGTTTCTCCATGTTGGTCAGGCTGGTCTTGAACTCCTGACCTCAAGTGATCTACCCGCCTTGGCCTCCCAAAGTGCTGGGATTACAGGCATGAGCCACCGCACCTGGCCTGAGCAATTCTTTATCTTTTGGAGTCTTAATGTATTCCTAGCCCTAGGAGTGATTTAGGGTGGGTATTTTTAATAGAGACGGCTTTCCCTGTGTTGGCCAGGATGATCTCGATCTCTTGACTTCGTGATTCACTTGCCTCAGCCTTATTGGTCTTTTGAATGGTTTTTTGGGTCTCAGTTTCCTTCAGTTTTGCTCTAATATTTGTTATTTTTTGTCTTATGCTAGCTTTGGGTTTGATTTGTTTTTGGTTCTCTAATTCTTTCAATTGTGAAGTTAGGTTGTTAATTTGAGATATTTCTAACTTTTTGATATGGGCATTTTAGTGTGTGAATTTCCCTCTTAACACTGGCTTAGCTGTGTCCTGGAAATTCTGGTATGTTGTATGTTTGTTCTTATTATTTTCAAACAACTTCTTGATTTCTGCCTTAATTTCATTATCTACCTAAATGTCATTCAGGAGCATGTTGTTTAATTTCCATGTAATTGTATAGTTTTGAGTGATTTTCATTGTGTTGACTTCCTTTTTTATTGTGCTATGATCTGAGAGTATGTTTGATATGATTTTGGTTCTTTCACATTTGTTGAGGGTTGTTTTATGCCTAATTGTGTCAATTTTACAGCATGTGCTATGTAGCAACGAAAGAAATATATATTCTGTTGTTTTTGGGTGGAGACTTCTCTAAAGGTCCATCAGATCCATTTGGTCCAATGCTGGGTTTAGGTCCTGAATATCTGTTAATTCTCTGCCTTGATGACCTATCTAATATTATCAGTGGAATGGTGAAGTCTCCCACTATTATTGTGTGGGAGTCTATGTCCCTTTGTAGGTCTGTAAGAACTTGCTTTATGAACCTGGCTGCTTCTGTGTTGGATGCACATATATTTAGAATAGTTAGGTCTTCTGTTTGAATTGAACTCTTTACTATTATGTGATGCCCTTCCTTGTCTTTTTTTTTTTTTTAACTTTGTTGGTTTGAAACCTGTTTTGACTGAAATTAGGATTGCAACCCCTGCTTTTGTCTGTTTTCTATTTGCTTAGTAGATTTTTCTCCATCTTTTTATTTTGAGCCTTTGTGTGTCATTATGTGTGAGCTGGATGTCTTGATGACAGCATATCACTGGGTCTTGGTTTTTTATCCGGCTTGCTACTCTATGCCTGTTAAGTGAGGGCATTTAGCTCATTTACATTTAAGGTTAGTATTGATATTTGTGGATTTAATCTTGTCATTGTGCTGTTAGCTGGTTATTAGTTTGGCTTGTTTGTGTGGTTGTTTTACAGTGACATTGCTCTACGTGTTCAAGTGTGTGTTTGTAATATAATATCAGGTAGTGGTCTTTCCTTTCTCTATTTACTGCTCCTTTCAAGATCTCTTATAAGTCAGGTCTGTTGGTAATGAAGTCCCTCAACATTTGCTTATCTGAAAACGATCTTATTTCTCCTTCACTTAAGAATCTTAGTTTGGCTGGATATTAAACTTTTGATAGAAATTTTTTTCTTTAAGAATGTTGAATATAAACCCCAATCTCCTTTGGCTTGTAGGGTTTCAGCTGAGTGGTCTGTTCTTAGCCTGATGGGAATTCCTTTGTAGGTGACCTACCCTTTCTCTCTAGCTGCCTTTAACATTCTTTCTTTCATTTTGACCTTGGAAAATCTGATGATTATGTGTCTTGGGGTTGATCTTCTTCTATAAATCTTGTAAGACTTCTCTGTATTTTCTGAATTTGACTCTTGGCTCCTCCAGCAATGTTGGGGAAATTTTATGAGCTATATCTTGAAATACATTTTCCAAGTTGTTTGCTTTCTCCCTTTCCCCTTCCTGGATGCCAGTGATTCCTAGATTTGACCTCTTTATATAATCCCATAGTTCTCAGAGGTTTTGTTCATTCTTTTTTTTTAATTTATTTTTTGTCTGACTGTCTTATTTCAGAGAACCAGTTTTCAAGTTCTGATGTTCTTTCTTCAGCTTGGTTTATTCTGCTGTTAATACTTGATGGCGTTGTGAAGTTCTTGTATTATGTTATTCAGCTCTGTCAGACCCATTAGGTTCTTTTTTGTACCAATTATTTCATGCTTCAGTTCCTGTATCACTTTATTGTGGTTCTTATTTTTCTTGGATTGGGTTTTGCAGTCCTCCTGAATCTCAGTGATCTTCATCTCTATCCATATTCTGAATTCTTTTTCTGTCATTCCAGCCAGTTTGACCTGGTTAAGAACTCTTGTTAGAGAACCTGTGCAGTCATTTAGAAGACATATGACATTCTGGCCATTTGAGTTACCAGAGTTCTTGTGCTGGTTCTTTCTCATCTATGTCTGTGATTGTTCCTTTAACTGCAGTGTAGATTGAGTATAGTCAATAGACTTCCTTTCTGGATGTTTTCACTGGACCAAAACTTTTGTAGGGTTTTATTTGAAGTTGACTTTTTGTCTCTGGTTTTAGATGAGGGTATGTTAGTGAGGTATTTTTGGTGTTGAAGCTTTGGGGTGTGATCCAGCAGGTAACACTTCAGCTATTGGCCAGTTGGTAGACTCTTGTTTGGTTGTGTGGCTTCCATATGTTTCCTCAAAGTTGCAGCCATGTTCCTTCTCAGTGCTCTGAAAGTGTGGCCCCCTCTCCCCCTTGAGTACTGGCTGTAGTTCACAACTTGGCACTCTTGGGCTGCCTACTGCAGCTCTAGGGTGATCTCAGTGTTTGTGTTCTTTCCCTAGCTTAGCAGCAGCAGAGAAAGAGATCTTAGTAGTGATTGTGGCTGAGGGTTGTTTGCTTGACTGCTGGGGGCTCCATCCCAGAGAGATGGAGGTTAGCAATCACTCAGTGCTGTCAGCTCAAGATGAAGAGTTTGTACTGTGGGCCCAAGCCAGGGGTTCCCTGTCTGGTGATAAGCCATGGGGGGTGTGTGGGACTCATGTGAGATGGATTGGTCTCCTCTCCTTGGGCTGACTGCAACTTGTTGGAGGTGTGGATAAAGCATTTATGATGTTTGTTCCTTTGTTAGTTCAAGGGTGGCAAGGGCAGTTCGACTGCAGAGGCAGTGGCAGAGAGGCTTCCAGTTGCCCCTGGAGGCTCTGTCCAGAAAGTTGCTGAGTTGGTACTGGCTCTATAGCTCTTGTGGTGGATGGCTGGAGGCCCAGGCCTGGAGGACCTGCCCAGTGAGAAGATATGGGAACAGCCACCCATGTAACAGTCTAGCTAATTTTCATAGGGCTGCTGTGGTATGCCTGGGACCCACTCCAGTCCCAAATCACCTTGGATTTTCCAGAACCTGGTGATGTCACCAGTGAAGGCTACAAAACAGCACAAATGGCAGCCTGTCTCTTTCTCTGGGAGCTTTGTCCCAGGGAGGTACAGACCTGTTGCTGGCCCCATTGCTGGCTTCCAAAATCTTGCTAGAATAATTTGACTTTGATCTAGGCTAACAGTGACTGTGAGACTCCATTTACTTACAAGACATGTTGTAATTCCAAAGCTCCTAAAGTATGAAGAAACTTGCATCATTGACAGGATAAAATGTGATAATCAGGAAGGTGACACAGTGATGCTTGGATTTAGGTTGAGATCTGAAAGATGCTGGCCTTACCTTAATGAAGAGGGTGGGAAGAACATTCCAGCCAAAGGCATAAACACATGCAAAGGGCCTCAGAAGGGGGAAACACAAAGCAAAGGGAGCTGGAGGGCACTGGCATAGCTGGAACATAGAAGAAGGGAGCATGGTGATAGGTGAAACTGAAGAGGTGGGCCAAGGTGAGCCCTCACCGGGTCTTGTAGGTCATGTGAAATAGTTTTGTCCAGATTCTAACAGAAATGGGCAGCCTCATATGTTTGAGGATGGGGAAAGAGTTTGAGAGAATCACATTTGAGTTCAGAAATAATGATTTTGGGTACAGTAAGGAAAAGAGATTGAAAGTGAATGGAAGTTTAGTGTGTGATGCTTACATTTAACCCTTAGTGAAGGCTCTCTTCTTTGCAATAAGGATATCCCAGAAAGACTGAGGCCCACTTTGGACCTGACTATCTGAAAGGGAATAGTCCTCAGGTATTGAAAGAACAGAGTGTCAATGTGCCAGGAGGTCACTGGTGGATCCTAAAAGTAGCATTTGGCATTTTTGTAATATATTTCATAAGACATTGCTTGCCACTTTTTTTCCTCCTTAAGTGAGCAGCTAAAAAGCCACGCTTTTGAATGATATTTTTATAGCACAGATGATAATGCTTTCTTTAAATTCCCACCTGCCTTATTTTAAAATAAAAACCTACTGAAATTCAATGACTAGGTCTGGTTTTATAGTAAGAGAAAGGTAGGATGCTGTCTCAGTGATTGAATTTTCTATGGTTGATCTTTTTGCAGATGCCCTGTATCTGGCTTTTAAAATTTCTCAGGAGTATTTTATTTTTAAACTCTAAATATAGTGTCAAAAAAGAGTGACTTACAAATGGACCTAACAGACATTTATAGAATATTTCATCCAACAGCTGCAGAATACACATTCTTTTCATCAGCACATGGAACATGGAACACTCTCCAGGATAGACTATATGTTAGGCCACAAAGTGGTCTCAACAAGTTAAAAAATGTCAAAATTATATCCAGAATCTTTTCTGATCACAATGGAATAAGACTAGAAATCAATAACAAAATAAACTTTGGAAACTTTAATTTCCATGTACAAATACATGGAAATTAAACAATATGCTGCTGAACAACCAATGGGTCAATAAATAAGTTAAGTAGAAAATTTAGACATGTCTTGAAGCAAATGAAAATGGAACACAATATACCATGACCTATGTGATACAGCAAAAGTGGTACTAAGAGGGAAGTTTATAGCAACAAATGCCTACATAAAAAAGCAGACTTGAAATAAACAATCTAACAATGTACAAGGAAATAAAAAAGCAAGAACAAACCAAACCTCAAATTAGTAGGAATAATAAAAATCAGAGTAGAAGTAAATGAGATTGAGATAAAAAGTACAAAAGTTTAAGCAAATGAAAAATTGTTTTTTGAAAAGATAAACAAAACTGACAAACTGTTAGCTACACTAAGAAAATAAGGGAGAAGATCAAATAAATAAATAAATCAGAAATGAAAAAGGAAACATTACAACTGACACCACAGAAATACAAAGGATCATTAGAGACTATTATGAATAACTACATGCTAAAAATTTGAAAACCTAGAAGAAATGAATAAATTCCTGGACTCATACAGCCTACCAAGATCGAACCATGAAGATATAGCAAACCTGAGCAGATCATTATTGAAAAATAGATCAGGACAGTAATAAAAAGCTTCCCATTAAAGAAAAGCCCACGACCTGATGGAGTCACTGCTGAATTCTACCAAATATTTGAAGAGGAAATAATACTAGTTCTTCTCAAACAATTTACAAAATTGAAGAAGAGTTAATACTTCCAAATTTATTCTATGAAGCCAATATTACCCCGATACCAAAACCAGACAAAGACACCACAAAAAAAGAAAACAAACTCTACGCCAATATACCTGATGAAACATTGATGCAAATATCCTCAACAAAATACTAGCAAACCAAATTAAATAACAAATTAAAAAGATCATTCACCATGATCAAGTGGGATTCATCCTCAGGATGCAAAAATAATTCAACATATGCAAATTAACAAATATGATACAACACATGAGCAGAATCAAGGATAAAAATCAGATGACCATTTCAATAGATGCAGAAAAAGCATTCAATAAAATTTAACATCCCCTCATGATAAAAAAAACCCTCAACAAATTGGGTATATAAAGAACATACCTCAATACAACAAAGGTCACATGTGACAAACTCATAGCTAACATCATACTGAATGGGGAAAAGTCAAAAGCTCTTCTAAGAACTGAAACAAGTCAAGGATGCCCACTGTCATCACTCTTATTCAACATAGTACTGGAAGTCTTAGCTAGAGCAGTTAGATAAGAGAAAGAAATAAAAGTATCCAAATTGGAAAGGAAGAAGTCAAATTATCCTTGTTTGCAGATGACATGATCTTATATATAGAAAAACCTAAGGACTCCACAAAAAACTTTTAGAACTGATAGATAAATTAGTAAAGTTGCAGGATACAAAATCAACACACAAAATCAGCCGTGGTAACTCACAAATCTATATGCTTACAGCAATCAATGTGAAAGAGATATCAAGAAAGCAATCCCATTTGCTGCAGCTACAAAAAATACAACATGGGAATATATTTAACAAAAGAAGTAAAAGATCTCTTCAAGGAAAACTGTAAAATACTGATGAAAGAAATTGAAAAGGATACAAAAAATGAAAAAAAAAACCTATCGGAAGAATTGTCATTAAAATATCTATAGTACCACAAGTGATCTACAGACTCGAAACGATTCCTATCAAACTACCAATGTCATTCTTCACAGAAATAGGAAGAGCAATCCTAAAATTCGTGTGGACTCACAAAAGACCCCAAATAGCCAAAGCAATCTTAAGCAAAAAGAACAAAGCTGGAGGCATCACACTACCAGATTTCAAATTACACTACAAAACGATTGTAACTGAAACAGCATGGTACTGGCATAAAGAGACATAGACCAATGGAACAGGATAGAGAACCCAAAAATAAATCCATGTACTTACAGCCAACTTATTTTTGACAAAGATGCCAAGAACGTACATTGGGGAAAAGACAGTCTCTTTAATGAATCTAGGACAGTCTCTTTTATGAATGCTGGGAAAACGGGATATCCATATGCAGAATAATGAAACTAGCTCTCCATTTTTCATCATATACATCATATACAAAAATCAACTCAAAATTGATTTAAGACCTGAAACTATGAAAGACCTGAAACTATGAAACCATTGAAAGAAAACTTTGGGGAAATGCTGCAGGACATTGGTCTGAGCAAAGAGTTTTTTTGGATAAGACTTCAAAAGCATAGGCAAGAATAACGAAAGTAGACAAATAGGATTATAGCAAGCTAGAAAAGCTTCCACATAGCAAAGGAAACAATTAACAAAGTGAAGATAAAACAGACCAAATGGGAGGAAATATTTACAAACTATCCATCTGATAAAAAACTAACAGCCACAGTATATAAGGAAGTCAAATAACTCAGTAGCAAAAACAAAAATATAATGGAATATTACTCAGCCATAAGAAGAATGAAATCCTGTCACCTGCCACAACCTGGATGGAACTGGAGGTCACTAGTTTAAGTAAAATAAGCCAGGAACAGAAAGACAAATATTGCATATTCTCACTCATATGTGGGAGCTAAACAAGTAGATCTCATGGCAATAGAGAGTAGAATGGTGGTTACCAGATACTGGGAAGGCAACGTAAGGGGATGAAGAGAAGTTGATTAATGGGTGCAAAAATCCTGTTCGATAGAAGAAATAAGTTCTAGTATTTGAAATTAGGGAAATTATAGTAAACAATAGCATGATTTATAACATAAATTTTAAATTTACTTATCAATTTATAACACATTTATTTAAAAATTTATAACAATTTATTGTATATTTCAAAATAGCTAGAAGATAAAAATGTAATGTTCCCAACACAAAGAAAAGATAAATATTTGAGGTGATGGATATCACAATTACCCTGATTTTTTTTTTTTTTTTGTGACAGAGTCTCATTCTGTCTCTCAGGCTGGAGTGCAGTGGCTTGATCTCGGCTCACTGCAACCTCCACCTCCTGGGTTCAAGCAATTCTCCTGTCTCAGCCTCCTGAATAGCTGGGACTACAGGTGCATGCCACCACACCCAGCAAATTTTTGTATTTTTAGTAGAGATGGTGTTTCATCATATTGGACAGGCTAGTCTCGAACTTCTGACCTCAGGTGATCCACCTGCCTCAGCCTCCCAAAGTGCTGGGATTACAGGCGTGAGCCACCGTGCTTGGCCCAATTACCCTGATTTGATTGTTACACATTGTATACACGTATTGAAATATCACATAGCATTCAAAATATGTACAACTATGATATATTAATAAAATACAAAAAAGACTGACTTCTAATACCTACCAGAGATTTAAAAAGTTTGCTTTCTAAATTTTATTTTTATTTTATTTTATTTTGTTATTTTTTGAGACAGGCTCTTGCTCTGTTGCTGAGGGTGGAGTGCAGTAGTGTGATCTTGGCTCGCTGCATACTGAACCTCCTGGGCTTAAGCAATCCTCCCACCTCAGCCTTCAGAGTAGCTGGTACCACAGGTGTGAGCCTCCATGTTCATTCTAATTTTATTTATATTTTTTGTAGAGACAGGGTCCCACTATGTTGCCCAGGCTGGTCTCAAACTCCTGGGCTCAAGTGACTCTCCCGCCTTGGGCTCCCAAAGTTCTGGGATTACAGGCATGAGTCACCATGACTGCCCCTCTATTGGTTTTTAAATTGGCTTTAAAATTAGCATAAAATAATATAAAATTGATTAATGGCACCGTATCATCCATAATAAGGTTTTATTCAGTGAATTTTTTTTCCATTTTTAAAGCTTGCTTCCCTCCATCACCTATCCTTCCTAGTCCATGATGCCATATCTGCTCTGTCAGCCCAGTAACCCATTTAATTTATTTTTATGTATTTAGTTAAAACTTATATAGTGCTATACAAGCTAGGCACTATTTTAAGCCATTGGCAAACTTTAGAAATCTGGTGAATACTGTAGATTTCTTCTGAAAATAATGTTTTTAAATGTGTAAAATAGAATATATAGGTTTATAAAGTAAAGAAAATATGTTGAAATACATTTATTAGATCTCAAGATATTGTGATATAAAGTATATGATTTTTAATAACACATTAAAAACAGTGTTAGGTTAAATAACTGTCATATTTTAAAGTAAAGATGAAGATAGATGATATTTTGAGATACTGAAACACCTCTAATGTGATGTGAAAATATCTATGTTTCTATTCATAGCAGTCTTAGGTACTGCAAATGATATTGAGGTGTGTTGCCTGTATTCATAATTGAAGGAAGTGTTAAACTTCAGTTAATTGTAAAAATAAAAGCATGTTTTTTTCCGTTTAATTTGTGGACCAACTCTAGGTTAAAAACCTTTTGGTGGAAGAATTCCATTTCTGCTAAATGAACAGTGTTTGTGTAATCAAAGTTCAAAGGAATGTGTATGTAGTTTGGCTATTGGGTACTAGGCTTAGTGTCACCAATACCTGGGTGAAAAAATAATTCATACAACAAACCCTTGTGACACAAGTTTGCCTATATAACAAACCTACACATGTACACCTGAATTTAAAATAAAAGTTTTCTTTTTAAAAAAGGATTATAGTTTGGTATTAAGGGAAATCAAAGTGTATGTTTACCATGTTAGTAACAAATAGAAGTTGCAATGAGTACAGGGAGGATGTATTTTTCTACAGAGAACATATTATAATAGGACATAGTGGGACCTCAAAATCATGCTAACTTGACTCTGGGTAGCAGGGTTGATTTAAACTAATAAGAAATCTAAGAAAAGAATCCTGAAAAATATTGGTTGAATTAATTTTAACTACAAGAGAAGAGGACAAATTGAGTATTCATAGATAGCAAGCATTTTTTCATTTACTTTGAAAAATTTGAAGAAATCAGTGTCTTTATATTATACATTTTGTTTTAAATGAAATGCTCCGGGACGCTTGGATTCCAATCTTGATGAGACATACAGGTTTTGTTTACTGTCGGACAAAATGTTGATGTTAGTGGTGGAAAGAGCAAAGATACCTTCTTGGTAGGGCAGCTTAATTTCATGATCATATTGATAGAGAGAGCTTCACATCCCTTGTTTCTATTGTAAAGAATAATTGATGGCTTTAGATCACCCACTTGAAGTTTCAGACATAGAGCTTGCTGCTTAGTGACTGGAGAAGCCCTACAACTATGCTTTAAACAGTCCTTTCAAACTTTTTAAATTGTGATGTTCAAGAACAAAATACATTTTATGTTGAGAGGCAGTATACACACCCATATGAATGATGCAAAGATTTCACAAAGCAATACTAACCTTTAACGATTTGGAATGCACTGATATTTTCTATTTTTGTTCATTGTATTCCATTTCTTTTTTTCTATTTATTCCAGGTATGTCATATAGTTAAAGTTCCTGCTTGGTACCAAAGGGCTCCCGTTAAAATGTAATGGCTTTTAAGGGGCTATCTGCTGTTGAGTATTTTCCTGGGGACATTTTAGAGCAGTGATTTCCAAGTCAAGGGTTATAGTAAAAATTATATATATATATAAAATATATTATATATATATATAATATATACACACATATACATACATAAATATATATACACATAAATGCATTTAATATATTCTCTATTACACATATATGTGTGTATATATGTATAGACTTTTTTTTTTTTCGCTATTGATCTCAACCAAGAATTGAAAGCCACTGTTTGAGACTAATTGCAGAGCTTCTCGAATCATTTAGAAGTAAAAAGCAGCAAAATGTGGCCCTGTTCTTTTCCTCACATTTCCAGCAGGCTGACTTTGTGGCTTAATCCATCGTGCCCATGTAATGAAGCCTCCATAAAAACCCAAGGGGACAGGGTTTGCAGAGCTTCTGGATGGCTAAACACGTGGAGGTTCCCGGAGGGCGGCACACCCAGCAGGGGCATGGAAGCCCTGAGCCGCTTCCCCCATAGTCTCCCTGTGCATCTCTTCATCTGTATCTTTTGCAATATCCTTTATAATAAACTGGTAAATATACATAAGTGTTTCCCTGAGTTCTGTGAGCCACTCCAGCAAGTTAATCAAGCCCAAAGAAGGGGATGGGGAGCCCCCATTTTAAAGCCGGTCAGAAGTTCCAGAGTCCCGGACTTGTGTCTGGGGGTGTGGGGTGCAGTCCTGGGGACTGAGCCCTCACCCTGTGGGATATGACCCTGTCTCTAGGTAGATAGTGTTGAAATTAATTTGGAGGACGCTCAGCTGATGTCCACTGCTTGATGTTTGAGGAAACCTCCCCACACATTTGGTGACAGAAGTCTTCTTTTGCATTAGTAATTGTTGTAATGGTGTTAGAGTTTAGGAAAAACCTGGTTTGCGTTTATCGGGAACACGGGAATAGAGGAATGGAGGAAGGGGGTACCTTAAGGACTTGTAGGCAACTGGGACATTTGAAGTTGTAGCAGGATGAGGTTTCAAGTTTGTGGGTTAGGCACACTTTTCTGTAATGTGTTACCCCTGACAGCCTGATCTCTGTAGCTGAACAGCATCATTTGGCTCCTTTCTCTGCTAAAAATACTTAATTTTTTTTATTTTTACTTTTTTTGCGACAGGGTCTTGCTCTTCACCCAGGTTGGAGGGCAGTAGTGAGCTCTCGGCTTGCTGCAACCTTTGCCTCCCAGGCTCCCAAGTAGCTGGGACCGCAGGTGCCTGCCACCACACCCGGCTAATTTTTTTATTTTCGTAGAGATGGGCTTTCACCGTGTTGGCCAGGCTGATTTCAGAGCACTCTTGAGCTCAAGAGATCTGCCCACCTTGGCCTTGCAAAGTGCTGGGATTACAGGGGTGAGCAACCAGCCTGGCCCCTACTTAATACTTAAATAGATAAACACCCACTACATATTTCCTTCATTCCTTTATTTTGTCCAGTCACGTTATCAGCATATCTCTTTCTTTACTTTCACTGTGCACCTTTTTTCAAGAGATCTACATTCATTGCTCCTTTCTCATCACATGTCCTCCTGTAATCACGCTTCTAAGACAATTTCTCTACTGAAACTGTTCTTTCAGAAGTTACTAAATTCTTTACAAAGAACTAAATTTAATGTCTTAAAAACATTTTATTATGGAAAACTTCAAAATGTACAGAAGTAACAATAGAATAATGAGCTACAATAAATCCATCAACCAACTCTGACAATAATCAATATATTACCATTTTTTTTTGAGATGGAGTTTCACTCTTGTTGCGCAGGCTGGAGTGCAATGGCACAACCTCGGCTCACCGCAACCTCCGCCTCCTAGGTTCAAGGGATTCTCCTGCCTCAGCCTCCTGAGTAGCTGGGACTACAGGGGCCCACCCCCATGCCCAGCTAATTTTGTATTTTTAGTAGAGATGGGGTTTCTCCATCTTGGTCAGGCTGGTCTTGAACTCCCGACCACAGGTGATCTGCCTGCCCTGGCCTCCTAAAGTGCTGGGATTACAGGTGTGAGCCACGGACCCCCGGCCCATTCTTTTATTGTATTCATCCTCTCTACTCCCGTGATATTTTCCTTAATTCACCCCCTCTTTGAACTTCTTTGAAGTGTCTAATTCAAGTAAATAAACTTTCTTTCTTGAAGTTCCTTCCTAGATTAACTTCTAAGACTTGCCTGTCCTGGACCTTTTCTTATATTTTGGATTATTTCTTCTTGACTGGAAAATGGCAAAATGTGGGAGGATGAGTTCAAAACCATCCTCGGTAAGATCCTGTCTCTTAAAAAAAAAAAAAGCAAACAATAAATATCAGGGGGTCATAAAAGCTTTATTCAAAATTGCTAAAAACTTAAACTAAATGTCTGTCAACAGAAGAATAGATAAACAAAGTGTAGTATATTCATATAGTGGAATTTTATACAGCATGAAAAGAACTACTGGGCTGGGTGCAGTGGCTCACGCTTGTAATACCAGCACTTTGGGGGGCCAAAGCGGGCAGATCAGGAGGTCAGGAGTTCAAGACCAGCCTGACCAACATAGTGAAACCCCATCTCTACTAAAAATACAAAAATTAGCCACGCGTGGTGGTGGGTGCCTGTAATCCCAGCTACTCAGGAGGCTGAGGCAGGAGAATCGCTTGAACCCAGGAGGCGGAGGTTGCAGTGAGCCGAGATCGGGCCATTGCACTCCAGTCTGGGTGACAGAGCAAGACTCCATCTCAAAGAAAAAAAAAAAAGAACTACTGATGCATGCAACAGCACAAATGAATCATAGCCACAAAGGGTTCATACTGTATGATTCCATTTATATGAATTTCAATAATAGGCAAAAGCAATCTATGGAGTTAGAATCACAGCTCTGAGAGACAGTATTAACTAGGATGGTGCAAGAGGCAGTCATCTAAGATGTTGGAAATGTTCTCTATTTTGATCTGGATGGTGATTATATGAGTGTATTAAGTTTTTTCTGCTCTTTCACATTGTTTAAATGGAATCCAAAGTGTGGATTCTTTGGCCATAGAAATCAGAACTTTACCTGGGTGGTGGTTATGCAGGTGGATGCAGGTGGATATGTATGTGAAAAATCATCAGATGGTACACTTCAGATGAGATCTGGTTCACTCACGGTGGTATGGCTGTAGACGAGGTTGTATATTTCAGATCTTTACACTTTATGTATCTTATAATATAATTTTTTTTAAAGATTCCCTTGTCAGAGAAGACTGTGGCAGGTGATTAATGTTATAGTCAACATCTGAAGATAAGGCCTTAGGCTCCAAATTCCCAGGAGCAACTGGAAGTTTGCATCCTGAAGTATTTTTTTTCCTTTTATGAATCTATCTCATCTGAAATGCCAATTTACAGAAAATAATAAACATAGGATTATAATACCAGAATTGGAAGAGTATGATTAATTCTTAAAATAAGACTAAAGGCCATGCAAAATTATTTGTATTAAGCACTCAGTAAACATCAGGGGTTTGAGACCTTTGCAACAGTTTTTTCCTTAGTAGGCTGGGAGAGGTTGGGATTCTGTGTCCCAGGTGGGAAGAGGGCATTGGTGTCATAGAACTAGTTCTCTATTGGAAGTCTTGACATTTCTGTTCATTTGAAGTCTTTCTTGATGGCCTCAGTGATGACTGCTTTGAGGCATCTCATGTAGACTTTAATCACCACCTTCACAAGAGCCATAACCGCAGAAGCTACAGACAGAACAGCACACAGATAGTCACTGCCCATTTAATGGCCTCCCAAAGGCAAACAGTCTTTTACCACCCCTGGAAGCCAATTCAGTGCTCAATCTTCTATTTTTATTCTGCTGTTCTCACCTCTACTGGCATTATCCTGGAGGTTTTCACTTATTTCCACTCACAAACTAGCATTTGAGTAAAATGTACCATCTCTTTGCACAGCATACTCTTTTATATTGAAATGGCTGGTTTGTAAGGTAGCATCTTCTCACATGCACATGGCAGAAAGGATATTGCAGAAACATACTAGAAGTATCCTGAATATTAGTCCAGATATTTTGTTTGTCCAACTTGTTATACTAGATAAAACAGTAGCTTCATTTACATATGTAGAAGCTAGAATTCTTCCCTGAAAGATAATGGGATTAAACAATGACCCCTTTTCTTCTCTGGAATGGCTCTCCATCTGCCTAGCTGCTTTATGGAATTGTTAATACTTATAAAAATATTTTTATTTCTTTCAAATTATATATATAATAATTTGTTTGAACAGATAATACATGAATATGGCTTAAAACATCACATAAGTCAGTGAAAAGTTTATTTCTTTCCTGCTCCTGATCTCTGTGCCTGTCTTTTTTCTTAGACACAACTGTGGTGACTGGTTTCCTATGCAGCCTTCCATAAACATATCCAGCATATTCAAGAATCTATATATACCTGTCCTTAGTGGTGCTCAATTTTGTAATCTAAAATTATAAACTTAATTGAAGTATTTACATAGAGATACTTTGTCAGTGAATTTAAGCCAGCATTTGAAAATCTGCTAAAGTATTTTCTAAACTTCAGTTGTGTTGGATTTTTCTAGATATCTTTATTCTTCTAGGTGTTCTAATAAATGCCATTGAGTAGCAGGTAATTGCCTAATTACCTGGAAATTCTTTACCAGTCATTAAGTAATCTAAAGCTCCATTCTAGACCCTACAGAGAGAATATGCCCAGTATGGAAATTAGCACAATATATATTTCTTGGGGTGTAAATATTACTGCCATAGGAAGCCTTAAGTTGTAGCTAAAGATAGGAATGAATGGTTAAAAGTGGAAGAAAAGTCTGGTTATAGTCTTTTTCTAAATTATAGAACACTAGTTTGTTGAAAGACTCTTGTAACTAACTGGGCGATCACTTATTGAGAGTGTTCATTACGAATTAAGCAACCTTTTTAGTTTCTTACACATATCATGTCTCCTCTGTGTATAATAACTCTGCTGAGTAGTTTTTGTCATCTCCAATTTATAGACAAGGGATATCATACAAAGACTATTTGTTAAGTCACAGAACAGGAATGTAATTTAGGCTCATTAAGATTAGAATCCTAGTTGGCTTTATTCCAAAGTTCATACTTTTTGTTTTTTTCTCTCCTAATTCATGCTAACATTCAATTCATAACTTTACTAGTTTCCAAAGCAGCTAAGGACTAGCCTATTTCATGTAGGAGAATGAACTCGGACTAGGTTCTGAGTTGCTTAGAATATATATTTTTAAATTTATATTTTCAAACAACTTGAGACTTATAAAATGTTATAAAAATAGTTCAGAGAGAGCAAGATGGCAGATTAGGAAATCCCAGCCCTCACTCCTCCACAAAAACAATTATCAAATCAACTACCCACAGATGAGGATAGCTTTGTGAGAGCCTAGAAGTGCAGTTAGGGGGCTGCAGTAGACCAGAGGAGCACAGATAATGGGGATGGCCACAGAGAAAGAGTGAGGAAGAATTCTGGCTGTGTTGCCCATCTCCTGGGCCAGCATGATATTAAAAGGAATTCCCTTGGCCATGAGTAATTCATGTAGGGTAAGAAGGATAGTAGGGTACCTCAGCAGCCTGTGCCACTGAGGATCCCAGCAGCCCTAGCCACTGCTGCAGAGGACTCTTTGGGTTTCTGCTGATGTGGACCCCAGCTGTTGGAGCTGTCCAGAGCCAGAGCTGCTGTGTCCTGTGAAATCAGAGCCTCCAATTGCTGCCGCTTCCCACCTCTGGAGTCAGAGCTGCTACTTCACCCTTATCCCTGGTCAGGCTATGTATGCCTGCACCTGGGGATGGGCACTTACCACCAAGCACATTCCTGTGCACTGGTCCTGGTGCCCACCCGTGCCACCATGCATGTGTCCATATGCCCACTGGACTAGGTGCCTACCATAGCTGTGCATGCACAACTACAGGACCAGGCACCTGCCAAAGCTGAGTATGTATGCCTATAGAATCAGGCATATGCTGCAGCTGTACCTGCTACTCAGCAGACTGAACCCTTGTGCCCCAACTGCCACAGAGTGCATGCACACCTGTGGACCTACTGGCCAAGGCTTCTGCTACAACCCTGTGTGTGCCCATGAGCCCGGCAAACCCAACCCCTGCATGTCCCTGGAACTGATGTCTCCGGACACAGATCCAGACCTGGAGCCACTGTGCACTTTGCCCAGCTGGCACGCTCACAGCTACCCATGGGAAGAAGTCTTTCCCTACCTAGGCCAGTCCTTGAAGTTTGGAAGGGGTACCCGATCCCTTCTTTGAATCAAAGGTGACAACATAAGACTACAGCAACATAAAAACTAGAGAAACATGACACCACCAAAGGAACATCTGTCTAGTAACCACGCCAAATAAATGGAGATCTATGAATTGCCAAGCAAAGAATTCAACATAATTCTTTTAAACACTCAGCAGGCTACAACATCTACTCATAGATGACTCAATGAGATCAGGAAGACAATACAAGAACAAAATGAGAAGTTTAACAAACAGATAAAAATCATAAAAAAGAACCAAACAGGAATTCTGGAGCTGAAGAATACAATGACTAAAATGAAAAAACACAACAAAGAGCTTCAGCAGCAGACTTGATTAAGCAGAAGAAAGAATATGTAAACTTGAAGACAGATAATTTGAAATTGTCCAGACTGAGGAGAAAAGAAGAAAATATAATAAAAGAGTGAAGAAAACTTGTAGGATTTATGTGACTCCATAAAGCCTTAAAAAAGAAGAAAAATTCTGCCATTTACAACAACATAGATGAACTTGGAAGACATGACACTGAGTGAAATAAGCCAGACACAGAAAGAAAAACACTGCATGGTCTTACTTATATATGGAATCTTACTTATATATGGAATCTTCTTGTAGAAGAAGAGAGTAGAATGGAGGTTACCAGAGGTGGGTAGGGGAAATGGGGAGACACTGGACAAAGGGTACAAAGTTTTAATTACATAGGGTAGATAAGTTCTAGAGAGCTAATGTACAGCACAGTGACTATAGTTAATCATGCTGTAGAGTATACTTGTAATTTGCTAAGAGTAGAGATCTCTAGTGTTGTCTTTCTTTATTTTTAGTTTTTGAGACAGGGTCTCACTTTGTTGCCCAGGCCGGAGTGCAGTGGCGTGATCTCAGCTCACTGCAACCTCCTCCTCCCAGGCTCAAACAATCCTCCCACTTCAGTCACCCAAGTAGCTGGACTATAGGTGTGCTCCAGCTAATTTTGTATTTTTTGTAGGGATGGGGTTTCACCATGTTTTCCAGGCTGGTCTCCAACTCCTGGGCTCAAGTGACTCACTGGCCCTGGCCTTCCAAAGTGCTGGAATTGTAGGCATGAGCCACTGTGCCCGGCCTAGATCTCCAGTGTTTTCACTACAACTGCCCTCCCACCTAAAAAAACAAGGCAACTATGTAAGATGATGAGTATGTTAATTAGCTTGACTATAGTGATCATTTCATCATATATCTCTATCTATATATATGTAATCAAAACATCACATTGTACAACTTTAAACGTGTAATTTTTATTTAATTTTTTTTAGGAAGTTCAGAAAGTTTTTTCTGCTCTTCATTGAGATTTTCCTGTTAATATGTTGCATAACCACGGTGCAATGCTCTAGATCAGGAAAATAACATAGTTGCAATATTAACTAACTTATAGACCTTACTTGAATTTGTCTCTCGTTCCACCAATGTCCTTTTTCTGGTCCAGAATCCAATTCAGGATTCCAAATTACATTTAGTTTGTTTTTTCTCCTTAATCTCTACAATCTCTGACAATTCCTTAGCCTATTTTTGTATTTTATGACCTTGCACTTCTGTGGATTCCTGGTCAGCTATTTCATAAAATATCTCTCAATTGGTGCTTGTTTCATGTTTTCTCATGTTTTAATTAGGTTATACATTTTTATCAGGTAAACCACAGAGGCTATGTATTTTTCTCAGCACATCATATCAGGAGATGTATAATATTAATATTTTATTTTTGTGATGTTAACTTTGGCCACTTGGTTGAAGTCATGCTTGCTAGATTTCAACACTGAAAAGTGACTATTTTCCATTTTGTAGTTAGTAAGTCTCTCATGGGGAGACATTTTGAGACTACAAGCTTAGCCAACTTTGGTTCTAGACTTATGGCTACCAAAATCTCAGCCAAAATATTTCTGTATTGGGTATTCGGGGCCAAGACCTAAGAATAACCACTGGTTATTCTATGTTGATATATTTTCCTAAGGTACTTTGATGGAAAGAATTAGTTGGTCTAAGACAGGATTTGATTGTTTCCAAGTCCCTTGACTTAACACTGTCATCTTATAACGCTTTCCAATTCCCAAATACCTTTAAGGTTTGGTAAAAATAATATACCTTCCACAAGTCATTTGATTTTTGTGGGCCTTAGTTTATCGACCTATTTGGATAGATGGGATGAAAAACCTTAGAGCCATCTTTCCTTACTCATTCCCCCTGCTAGTGAGAGAGAATTCAGTGGAATCAGAAATGGAATGAAGCATATACTTGGAGAAGTAAAAGAAATTTCCCATAACAAAAGACAGAAAGGGCCCAGTGAGCAATATAAATATGTATTTTATGTCCATATTTAGGCATATTGCAATTAAAGTTCAAAATAACAAAGATGATTTGAAAATATTATGTATCAAACACGGTTTTACTTACTGGACAGTATGTAGTATAGGTTGTGCATTTATTTAACACAACTTTTAAGCATTTCTTGGGGGCCAGGCATTGTGTCAGATGACTAGGGATTTAGAAACATATGAGAGATGATTGGCATAGTCAGCTTTGGCTGCCATAACAAGATGCTATAGACTTGAGGCTTAAGCAACAGAAATTTATTTCTCACAGTTCTAGAGGCTAGGAAGTCTAAGATCAAGGAGCAAGCAAGGTATGTTTTATTCTGTGGTCTCTTCTCTTGGCTTACAGGCAGCTGCCATCTTGCTGTGTGCACACAGCACAGACCTCTTCTTCATGCATCGGGGGAGAGAGAGACAGACAGAGAGAGAGAGAGAGAGAGAAAGCAGTTTTGTGTCTCTTCTTATAAGGGCACTAATTCAATCATGAGGGCTCCAACTCACTTACCTCAAATTACCCCCTATCTCCAGATATTGTCACCTTGGGGTTTACAGGCTCAATATATGAATTTTGGGGAGACACAGCAATAATCGTTTCCTTAAACTCTTTGGGGGCAGCAATAGACATGTCAGTGAATAACTGCAACTACAGGCTAACAAATGGGACAATAGAGTATACACTTAAAAAGATGGGGCAGCACAAGGGGGCAATTAGCCTGGTCAGGAGAGACCAATGGAAATATTTCCCATCCAGCTGAATTGCTCTGGTAATAAGCTGTGGGCGTGAAAAGACTGGCGGCAGGGAAAACACAGGTGTAAGGTATGTTACTGAAGTCTAGTTACTAGGGTTAATGTGTGGTTACTGGAGTGATGCACAGAGGTCCAAATGATTTCTGGAAAGCTTTCAATCACAAGCAAGTCATGAAATCACAGACTAGGGAAATAAACCTAACTATCTATGTTTCGGTTGTATCTCCAAGGAAAACAAAGGAGCAAAAAATTTATGTAGAATTTTAAGGGAAGAATACATTGTTTCTTTTATTTTTTTTATTTTTTTGAGTCAGAGTCTTGCTCTGTCACCCAGGCTGGAGTGCAATGGTATGGTCTTGGCTCACTGCAACCTCCACCTTCTGGGTTCAAGCAGTTCTCCTGCCTCAGTCTCCCGAGTAGCTGGGATTACAGGCTCCCGCCACCACGCCTGGCTAATTTTTGTATTTTTAGTAGAGACAGGTTTTCAACATATTGGCCAGGCTGGTCTCTTGGCCAGGCTGGTCTCGAGCTCCTGACCTCGGGATCCACCCACCTCAGCCTCCCAGAATGCTGGGATTACAGGCATAAGCCATGGTGCCTGGCCTGCATTGTTTCCTAATAGTGTGCTTTGAGTTGACCTTACATGGCTTTTATCTACAAAGGGGCTACGCAATGGGGTAAGTTGAGTTAGTAATAAACACAGTGAACCCTTTTGTTGTTGAAATCTGTAAGTAAGATGGTATTTCGTTAAAACTTTTTTGTTATTTAGCTGTTGATTATTAAAAGAAAGGTATCACCAGTACTGGAAATAATTTAAAGTGGTTTTTTTTTTTTTGGCAGGGTCTCACTCTGTCACCCAGGCTGGAGTGCAGTGGTGCAAACTTGGCTCACTGATGCCTTGACCTCCCTGGGCTCAGGTGATCCTCCCATCTCAGCCTCTGGAGTAGCTTGGACCATAGGCATATGCCACCACGCCCAGCTAATTTTTGTATTTTTAGTAGAGACAGGGTTTTGCCATGTTGCTCAGGTTGGTCTCGAATTCCTCAGCTCAAGTGATCCACTCATCTCGGCCTCCCAAAGTGCAGAGATTATAGGTGTGAGCCACTATGCCCGGCTAATTTAAGGTTTTATAAAATAACTTAGCTGGAGACTAATACCCCAACCAATTTATACAGGGAACTAATGATAATAATTAAATAAATTGCAAATATGGATATAATTGAAATAATGAGACTGTTCTATCACCTGCAGCTCTCTACATAAGTCCTAGCATACTGGTTCTATTACCACTCATGTTGGTAAGAAAATGCTAAAGGGAACTGGATGTATTCGATTCCACATTGTTAGACTATATTTCCATGATGGTTATAAAAAGACAATTCGACATGGTGGAATGAAGGGGTAAAATTAGCTGATGAGGGGTTGTGCCTTCACAGTCCAATCTAATTTCAACAAACAAATGCATAAGTGATTGTTAATAGCATAAACAAAATTCTAGCATTACATCATGTGGCACTTATGGTGAGAGGGTCATTTGTTTTCCATCTTTTCTTAGGTTCTTTGATTCTAAGGTCTATGTTTGTTTGTTTGTTTCTGGGTACCACAAATGTGTTCCTAGGAGGTAGTCATGTTTGGATATAAACTGTTAGCCATTTCCACCTTTTCAAGAATAAGTTGCTCAAGTTATCTAGCTTAGAAAACAGAGTGAGCTATTATGCATGTGACAGTGGACAGGCAAATCTTGCTAAGAAGGAGTGAGGGATATGGACATGAGACAATTCTTTGGGAAACAGTGGAGCAAAATTGCAAACTTTGGCTTTGATGCCACCTCCTCTTTCTGAACATACCTCCTCTCCACAGTCATCACATCCTGGAATCTCATCCTACTTAATTCACGATCAATTAATTGACACATATGGGTGACAATGTGTTTTTCTTCCTAAAAGCATATATGCCTTTTAATAATAAAGCTATTGTAACTCAAAAATGCATTGTTAGTAGACTTTAAGCAAACGGTCTTAAATAGAAAATCTTTAGGAGATCTAAGGAAGGCCAGTCATAGAAACTTCAGCTGGAATCCCTTGGCAGGCATAAGGAAATTCAAAGGACAGGGAAGTTGTGTGTGCTGGAAAGAGAGGCTGATAACAAAAATGGTAATATTGAAAAGATAAATATGGTAGGCTACACCAGTGGATGGAGGTAGAAAGAAGGGAAACCAAGGTAATGGCATTCAAAAAATAATTAGCTTTAGTTCTAGAGATTGCATGGCAACTCTTATTTTCAAACTTTTGAAGAACAGGGTAACAGTCACCTCTTTGAAATTTTATGTGATACACAGCTTGGATTCAAGAAAGTAATCATTCCAGGCCTCGATCCCCTGAGGCCTTCTGAGGAGATACCAGGCTAACTAGGATTCAGTCTTTTCTTCCTCTCAGTCTTTAGTTCTGGCATTTTTCATCAACATATGTGTCCTTTGGGTATTCTAACCACGAACATTAAAAAAAAGTTTTTATTGTGGAAAATTTCAAGTGTACACCAAAGTAAAGAGAATTGCCTAGTGAACCCCATGTACCAGCTTCACGTGGTTTCAACAATCATCAGCATTTGTTAGTCTTGTTTCCTTATTCCCACGTAATGCTCTTCTCACCTCCTTTTTAAGCTAAAATATTTTGAAGCAAATCCAAGACAGGATGTCATTTTACCTGTAAATATTTCAGTAAAACAATGGCCATCTTGACTTAATAAACATAGATATAGAAATTGGAATAAAAATATATTTAAGTTCTACTGTGTTCAGAACTCTGTGCTAAGCACTTTGCCTGTGTTATGTCGTCCTTTCACCATCCAGTGAGCCAGGCTTAATTGTTCTCACTTTTCTAATGGGGAAACTGAAGCCCCAAGAGGTCCAGTAAATTGCCAAAGATCACATAACTAGGAAGTGATGCAACTGGGATTCAAATTTGCTTTCACTCTCAAGAGCTTGTGCCCTTAACCATTGTATACAAATGCCTCAGCAGTACAACATACCTGTCTTCTGAAAACAGGCCCACAAGGAACACTCTTGCATAGGTGAAAGAATGACTTTGCATAACACAATTTATTCTATTGCTTAGTGTCCTTAAATAAATCTCTTCTTGACTGAGAATTGTTGAGCAGAAAGAATACTGGGTTTGGAGTCAAATGGCTTTAGGTTGGGCACGTTGTTTCATCACGTTATGGAGGCGAGACTTCGGGCAAGTTACCCAGGTTCTGAGTCTCAGTTTTCTCATCAATTACTGTGAAGATTAAATGAGATACTAGAAGTCCTAGAACAGTTCACTGTATGTAGACTGGAATCAAGTATATGTTGGTACTCTCCCTCTACTTTTCCTTTCATCTATTCCCTACACTTCACTGTGAGTGTGCTTTTCCCTCGCCTCCTATGACCTTTCCTCCATCCTATGTTGTGAGGACTATATTTATATTCATATGTCCTAAATTTCCTCATTTAGCATGATTTTGGCTTAATTTCCACTCCTTCATTAGTTTCCAAACACATTTTGAAACGGCTGAGACTGGCTATTACCTTGTGTTAATTTTACACATTCTTCTCATTGCATTTTTAAATGTAAGCTGCCTAAAACACTTTCAGGAAGTCAGCAGGGTACAAATGACCAGTCTCATTATTTATTGCCACATTCTGTAAAGGATTATAAGGTAGTATGTGCTGCTTAAGCCATGGCACATATTTGTCATCATTGTGTTGTCAATTTCAATTAAGCTGAGGTTATCTGACGAATAGATTGGGTTGGCCAGGGGAGGGGAGGGTCATATAGGCTGATGGTTGTTTTGTCAGCCTGGCATATTCTTCAAACCAATTTACAAGGCTGCTTTAATTACCTTGGCAGCTTTCCTTGGAACCCTCTCCAAGTTCCTCACATTAAAAAGTTTTCTCATCAGCACAACCAAAATTATCAATGATTAAAATGTCATAAACCTCCCAGCTCTCTGCTTGGCTCATGATATGGATGAATGCTAAGGTTTTATTGTCTGAGATGTCAAGCTGATTCTCTGGTTGCCATTGGAAACAGTTTAAATCTCTTAAAAACATGAAATAAGCTCTTCAGGTCAATACAGCGTATTCATATTGTGACTACTGAATTAATAAAATTAGATTAATGAATCTTTTTAAAGAGTTACAGGGGCTTTTTGTTGGAAATTGATGCATTATTAGTTGGCACTGGGAAACTTACATAAAGAGATTAGACATCCATGTATGTTGCATGACTCAAACACATGTAGAGTTAAGTGTAATTTTGACTTTGTTGAGATTTAGGGAATATACATAAAAATGAGTACATGTGCACTGATACATACACATACACAAATGCACACACATACACAGACACACATTTACAGATGTTCCTCACACTCAAGAATAGCCATAGGAAAATTGTAATTTTATTAATTTAATTTATTTATTTAACATTTTTTAAAAAAAATAGAGGCAAGGTCTCCTTATGTTGCCCAGGCTGGTTTTGAACTCTTGGGCTCAAGTGATCCTCCCTCCTTGACCTCCCAAACTGGTGGGATTACAGGCATGAGCCATCACTCCCAGCCGGAAAAGTGTGGTTTTAGAGTCTGAGGGAAGATCTAAAGTGGGCATGGTAGTGGCCTTGGAATTACAGGACAGAGGTATAGATATAATAAAGGAGAAATGGGGAAATTTCTATAATTTCATGTGAGGCAAAGCAAAATGGGAATGGGGCAAGGCTGGCATGGGAAATGTTGACAGGAGGAGGAAACAAGCCTGCTGGCTTGTTCGGGCTCCAAGGCAGTGTTTCCTGCCTGGCCATCATTCCCTGGCTTTCTAAAAGACCCAGAGAGATGAGCCTCAGAGTGTGGTAGAGATAAGGGAGTAGGGAAAAAGATAGTGCATCAGTTAACTATTGCTGTGTTACTAACCTCTCCAAAGTTCAGTGTCTTAAAACAACACCCACTGATTATTCACAATTCTGTGGGTCAGGAAATCTGGGTAGGACCCAGCAGAGTTAGCTTGGCTCCCCATATTGACTGAGCTCACTCATGCAGCACTGTTCATCTGAGGGTTGGGAGAGGCTGTACATCTAAGATGGTCTCACATACTGGGGTGTGGTGTTCCCTTCTATCCTCTGGGTTGCTTTAATCCATCTCCACCTGGCATTTCTATTCATGCAATCCTTCTTTCTATTAGGATAGCTTAGGATAGCCCAGAGTTGTTGTTGTTGTTGTTGTTTTTTGTTTGTTTGTTTGTTTGTTTTTGAGACAAACTCATGCTCTGACACCTAGGCTGGAGTGTAGTGGTGCAATCACAGTGCACTGAAGCCTTGACCTTCTCGGATCAAGCGATCCTCCCTCCTTAGCCTCCCCAGTAGCTGAGACTACATGGACATGCCTGGCTAACTGAAATTTTTTTTTTTTTTGGTAGAGATGGAGTCTCACCATGTTGCCCAGTCTAGAGTTCTTTACTTGTGGATTGGGGCAGTAAGCAAGCAGAAGAGGAGTTGCCAGTTATTTTTTTTTTCCTCCCCGAGACGGAGTCTTGTTCTGTCACCCAAGCTGGAGTGCAGTGGCGTGATCTCGGCTCACTGCAACCTCTGCCTCCCGAGTTCAAGCAATTCTCCTGCCTCAGCCTCCTGAGTAGCTGGGATTACAGGTGTCTGCCACCATGCCCAGCTAATTTTTATATTTTTTGGTAGAGACAGGGTTTCACCATGTTGGCAAGCTGGTCTCGAACTCCTGACCTTGTGAACTGCCCGCCTCGGCCTCCCAAAATGCTGGGATTACAGGCGTGAGCCACCGTGCCTGGCTTGTTGCCAGGTTTCTTAAGGCCTAGGCCTGAAACTGGCACAGTGTCATTTTTGCTGTGTTCCATTGGTGAAAGCCAGTCACAGTGCCAGCCCAGATTTAAGGGAAAGGAAAAAGACTTCACTTCTGGATAGGAGATATGGCATGCGGCTACAGAAATTATGGGTGGTCATCTTTGCAGATAATTTTCCACAGATGGCTGCCCAAATACATTACAGTAAATGTCTGGTGTCTTTGGCTCTTGGTAGGGAGCAATGGCAAACTTTTCAAATCTCACAGTGGTAGATGGTGATATTCTGATTCAGTTTTCTTTTGTTGGGAAGGTGGTCTAGGAGGAAGAGCACTGGTTTTGACTTTAGCTCTGGATTCTGGTCCTTAATTAGCCATTCATAAGTTGTATGCCCATGGACCCACTTCATACTCTGTGAACATTACTTTCCTAATCTCTAGTTGGTAATAAATGTTACCTGTCTCCTAGGGTTGTGTTAAGATGTACTGAAATTACTTACACAGTATCTAGACCAGTGTTTAGTCAAAATAAACCCTCCGTAATACTAATCTCCTTCCCTCCACATCTGATCCAGGAGAGGCATAACTGACTGCTCATAAGGAAGGTGACCATATAGTTTATCTAACCCAGGACACTTTTGGAGTGCTATGAATAATTATGGAGGTGCTAATAATAATTATGCCAGACAAGAGATGTAAGCCAGGAGTGTCCCAGGTAAACTGGGTCCTCCTGGTCATAAGTAACTGCTGGATTGGGGCAAGGATAGGGCAGTAGTGGTTGTCTTCAGTGAGAACTTGGCAAGGTCTATTTGTATTAAATATGTTCTATATTAAATGCCTCATAAAACAGACAAGAAACCTCACAAGAGGAAATCAGAACTCAGAGTAACTGCAGAACAATGGTGGCTCACGACTGTAATCCCAGCACTTTGGAGGCTGAGATGGGTGGATCACTTGAAGTCTGGAGTTTGAGACCAGCCTGGCGACCATGGTGAAACCTCATCTCTACTAAAAACACAAAAATTTGCTGGGCGCAGTGGCACATGCTTATAATCCCAGCTACTCGGGAGGCTGAGGCAGGAGAATCGCTTGAACCTGGGAGGCAGAGCTTGCAGTGAGCCAAGATCGCGCCACTGCACTCCAGCCTGGGTGACAGAGTGAGACTCCATCTAAAAAAAAAAAAGAAATCGTTTGCCTTCTATTACTCTGAGTTTCTTTGTCAGCAAAGATGTATCTTGTGACAAATTTATCTTCTGTGTGAGGGTTACAAAAAACTTACAAGAAAATCCACTTGAAATCACCCTCTACCCCCTTCCTACTCCCCACTATTTCTCTTTCTGGATCCCCTTTCAGTCTCTGCATTACTAAATGTATAATTCCAAGAAAGAATAATTGAGAGTAAGGCCATGAGAATTCATGTTGTCAGTCTGGTACAATGGGAATGAAGCAGCAAAGAGAAAAAATTCCACCCCGTACAGAACCACTTAAAACATGGTTGGTAAAGAAAAAAATCAGACCCATGATGTTAATAGGGAATTGTTTTGCTTTGAGAAGTCTGTAGGAATGATAGGATCTTGTGAGTCCATAATAGAGATGTAGACATGACAAGCAGAAGAATAAAATAAGTTGGAACTGAATAAAAATGATCATGATTGCATGTTATCATGATTTTATGTCCAGATGGTTATAATGTTAAATATTGATGCAGGATTTTTTGCCCCTTAGTTCAGCTAGGTCTGGGTTCTTGTCACAACACCAGGAAAAAGTAGGCACATGGACCCTCAAAGAATGAGTGGAATAGAATTTATTAAGTGAAAGGAAAGCTCTCAGCAAAGAGAGGGGTCCTGATAGCAGGCTCCTGGTTGTCTCCTTCACAGTTGAATACCAGGGGTTTTATATAAAAACTGATGGGGCTGGGTATAAGGCGTGAATTCCTGGTGGCTCCACTCCCTCCCCACAGTGCACATGAGGTCCCTTAGTCTGCTGTGGGGATGTTCAGGCAAGCCCCATGTGCAAGTTCCCTTATCTGCACAAAACATCTGGTGCAAGCACTTGTGGGGTGGGTTGGAGATTCTCCGAGGGCACTTCCCTTACTGTCTGACTAAAGCAAGCTGGCTAACTCCTTTCAATATTAGTTCCATATCTCTCGACTATAATTCATATCAAGTGTTAATGTCTTTTTGTACTTGTACAAAACAAAATGGGCTCAATCCTAGATTAATTTCTGCAGTGCTGTTTTCCAAATTTAAGAAAAACAAGAAAAATATAATTCCCTTGGTAATGGACATAGAAATTATATATTAAGGTCCCACTGTGTGTTAGGCTGTCACCAGTGCATCCTCACACATAGTAAACTATGTTTTTATGATGCAGTCTAAAAAGTAATCAATTTATTCATCTCGTTTATGAACAACACAAAAGTTTTGGCATATTAAACATCCCTCCAACATCCCCTCATTATTGTTTTCTCCCATGTTATTGGTGCCCAATATTTTGATTCCACATTGCTTTTAAATATAAATTATTTACACTTTTTGCAGTTAATTGTAATAATGATAATAGTGATTTATATTTAAGAATATAGTTTGCTGATTTTCTTTACTCCTTACTTCTGGGTTTATTTTTCTTCCTATCCAAGTATATGTAGCTTTCAGTATTTTGTTTGGCATAGGTCTGTGGATTCAAATTTTTTTAGTTTCAGGTAGGTTGGAAATGTTTTTATTTTTCCTCTCAGTCTCAAAGGATGTTTTGGCTTGGTATAGAATCCTAGGCTGAGAGCTACTTTTCATCAAGTGTTTTAGAGATTTTTATTGTTTCTGGCCTTTATTCAGTGATGTGCTGGTAAATGTTTTCTGGAGGCTGGAGAAAGAACTCTGGTTTGTAGCATTTATCAATTTCTATGGTATAAATACTCCCACCATAGCTGATTTTAAACTACTGACATTTTAATGACTGGTTCACAAAATTCCTGGAAATTTCTCAGTTGGCTCTTGTGAGTTGGTGCAGGCTGGCTCCAGTATGCCACAACATTTATTTATTGTTGCTGATTCATTGATGTTAGTCTGTTCATCTTTCTACTTTAGGTAATAGTCTTTCTTCCTGGTAGCTTGTCAGGCTTTCTTTTACTATTGATGTTTTGTAGCCTTAAAATGATGTTTAGGTGTGGGTTTACTTTTATTTATACCACTTGGGACCCAGTGTGCCTTCTTCATCTAAGGACCCAAGTCTTTCGTCAGCTCTTCAAAAATCCCAGCATAGGCTAGTTGTGACGGCTGACACCTGTAATCCCAGAACTTTGGGAGGCCGAGGCAGGAGAATTGCTTGAGCTCAGGAGTTTGAGACCAGCCTGGGCAACATAGCAAGAACACATCTCTACTAAAATTTTAAAAAGTTTAGCCCTGCATGGTGGTGCATGCCTGTAGTCACAGATACTTGGGAGGCTGAGGTAGGAGGATGACTTGAGCTGGAAAGATGAGGCTGCAGTCAGGTACGATCATTCTACTATCCTCTAAACCGGGTGACAGAGAGAGACCCTGTCTAAAAAATCCCCAAATCCCAACATAATGAAACAGTCATTGCCCCTTCCCTCTTCTTTCCCTCAGGAGTTCTGATTTGATGTAATTTGGAGTATCTAAGTCTAGCCTCTGTGACTTTTGTTCATATTTTCTATATATTATTCTTATGTGTTTATTTTGGATTTTCATTCAGTTTATTCTTTAAAATTTACTAATTCTCTTTTCACTTTTGATGAATTTACTATTTAACATGCTTACTAAATTTTTTATTTTAATGATTATACTTCTCATTTTGAGATTTTATAATCTACTACTTTTTAAAAAAATCTGTATTTCCTTCATAAATTACTGTTCTTATGATCTGAAAGCTTTTAATTATACTTATTTTAAAGTCACTTCCAGATTTCTCAATTAACTCTGCTCGTCTAGTTTGACTTCCACTTTTTAGGTCTGTGGATTATCTCTTGGCTATGGAATAAAATAGTTAATATTTATTGAGTGTTCATTGTGGACTTTATGTGTATTAACTCTCTTAATCTTCTCACAAAGGTGGATGCTATCATCCTCATTCTGTAGTAAAGAATACTGAAATGTTGAGAAGTTGAGTAACTTGTATAAGATCTTGTATAAGTAACTTGTATGGGAGAGGCAAAACCAAGAATAAGTCAAGATTCAGAGTGTCCACTCATAATCACGATTGAAGACAGGCTCCCACGTGTCTTTTTTTCTTAATGATCTTTCTATTGAAGCATGAACATACATATATAAAAGTGCAAAAATTGTAATGGAAGAGCTTGGTGAATTTTCACAAAATAAACTCAACCACATGCAGACCGAAAAACCAAACAACATGCTTCCAGCATCCTGGAAACTCCCTGTGTATATTTTTCAGGTGTTTTCAGCCTTGGATTCACTTATTAATCCTAGTAATTTGTCTCTAGATTATCTGAGAATAATTGCAGTTTCTCTTTTTAAAATTCTGAGCCCTCCCCCCACCTTTTTTTTTTTAACTCTGTCTTATGGCTAGGGACTCCTGTACTAATGTTGGATAAAAGTAATTCTTGCAGGCACCCTTGTCTCATTCCCCAATCTAAGGAAAAATGTTTTAACATTTCATCATTAAATATGTGGCCTCTTGTGAATTTTGGGTGAATACTGTTGGGGCTCAGAAAACAATATCCTGAAATGTGCCACTTTGTACTTTACACTGAGAACACTGGGGGAGCAGCAAATGAAGGGAAGGCCTTTTTTCTGAACTTTGCCTATCTACCTAAAGTCCAGATCCTCCAAAAGACATTCAACTGTTGTGAATCTCTTCCCCAGATGTCTCACTAACCATGGGAAATTGATGCATATCGCAGGAAGGAAGGTGACACCACACCCAGAGCCCAGAAGAGCGTTGTCCCAGGCTATTGTTTATACTTTGGGCTCATTCATCTCCCCTAAAAAATCATTTACTCTTCCTCTAAAATTGCCTACATCCCTCACTTTCCTCTCCCCTGTAGAGAGAGTATTTAAGCTTCAGCTATCTGGTGCTTCTTTGAGTTTCTATACTTTGTGTGACTCCGTGTGCTTACATATTAATACATTTATATGCTTTTTCTTTTATTAATCTGTCTATTATCAGTTTGTTTTATGGACTCAAATTCTTGAATATTCAGGGTATGAAAGAACACCTTTTATGAATCTCGACAACACTCTCAAATTAAGGAATTTCATTCCTATTCCCTGTTAGGTAAAAGTTTTATCATTAATGGGTTCTATTACATGTCTGTTACTGCTGTAAGAAATTAATACTGATTTAGTGGATTAAGCCAACACAAACTTATCATCCTACAATTCTTTAGGTAAAAAGCCTGACACGGGTCTCATGGACTGAAAATCAAGGTTTTGACAGAGATATATTCCATCTGGAGGCTCTAGGAGAGAATCTGTGTCTTTTTTCCAGCTTTTACAGGTCACTAATATTCTTTGGCTTGTTGCCTGTCTCCTCCATCTTCAGAGCCAGCAATGTTCAATCTCTCACCATTCTCCCATAGTCACATCTCTCTCTAACTACAGTCAGGAAAGGTTCTTATTTTAATCAGCCACATAATTAGGTTACCACATGATTAGGCTGGATAATCCAGGGTGCTCTCCCCATCTCAAGGCCGTTAACTTATTTGCATCTGCAAAGTCCCTTTTGTCATGTCAGGTTTTGGAGATTAGGATGCGAATATATTTGTGGGGGCATTATTCTACCTGTCATATGGATGTTGCATTTTTTTTACATTTATAAGCTGATAAACTAATTTTCTCCTTTATTCTGTTATGTAGTGAATTACATTGACTGATTATTACATATTAGACCAGGCTAGCTTACTATTCCAGTTTTGTTAGAATAAATGAAAACTTGGTAGTTATATGTTATCTATTTTCTATTATTGTATTTGATTTGGTAATACTTTATTTAGGATTTTTATATCTATATTATGTGAGAGATAGCCAGTAATTTTCCCGTCTTAAAATTTCTTTGCCAGGTTTTTTAGTATTAAGATTTGCAGAACTCAAAAAAATGATTTGGAAAATGTTATTTTTTTCCCTAGAATATGGGTGAGTTTTGTAAAATTATTGCTATTTCTTTTTTAAATGTTTAGAAGAATTCACTAGTAAAGATATCTGGGCCTGGAAGTTTTTTTTTTTTTTTTTAGTTTCAACTTTTTTAGATTTAGAGGGTACATGTGCAGGTTTGTTATATTGGTATATTGTGTGATGCTGAGGTTTGGGGTACAATTGATCCTGTCACCCAGGAAGTGAGGCTAGTACCCAATAGTTAGTTTTTCAATCCTTTCCCTACTCCCTCTTTCTCTTCTCTAGTAGTCCCCAGTGTCTATTGTTGACATCTTTATGTCCAGGAGTACCCAATATCTAGCTCCCACTTAAAAGGGATAACATACAGTATTTGGTTTTCTGTTCTTGCATTAATATGCATAGGTTAATGGCCTCCAGCTGCATCCATGTTGGTGCAAAGGACATAATTTTTTTTATGGCCATGTAGTATTCTGTAATATATATGTACCACATTTTCTTTATCCAGTCTACCACTGAGGGACGCCTAGGTTGATTCCATGTTGCTGCTATTGTGAATAGTGCTGTGATGAACATATGAGTGCATGTGTCTTTTTGGTAGAATGGTTTATTTTCTTTTGGATATATACCCAGTAATGAGATTGCAGGCTTGAACAATAGTTCTAAGTTTTTTGAGAAAAATTTAAACTGCTTTCCACAGTGGTTGAACTAATTTACATTCCCACCAACAATGTATAAATGTTCCCTTTTCTCTGAAGCTTTGCCAGCATTTGTTATGTTTTGATTTTTTAATAATAGCATTCTGACTGGTCAGAGATGTTGTCTCGTTGTAGTTTTGATTCACATTTCTCTGAAGATCAGTGATGTGGAATACTTTTTCATATGTTTGTTGGTTGCCTGTATGTCTTCTTCTTTTTTTTTTTTTTTGAGACGGAGTCTCACTCTGTTGCCCAGGCTGGAGTGCAGTGGCACGATCTCAGCTCACTGCAACCTCTCTCTTCTGGATTCAATTGATTCTCCTGCCTCAGCCTCTGGAGTGGCTGAGACTACAGGCGCTCACCACCACGCCCGGCAAATTTTTTCTATTTTAGTAGAGATGGGGTTTCACCATGTTTCCCAGGCTGGTCTCGAACTCCTGAGCTCTGGCAATACGCCCACCTCAGCCTCCTAAACTGCTAGGATTACTGGCATGAGCCACCATGCCTGGCCTTGCTTGCTTTTTAATGGGGTGATTTGTTTTCTTCTTGTTGAATTGTTTATATTCCTTATAGATTCTGGATAGTAGACCTTTGACGAATGAATACTTAGTGAATATTTTCTCCCATTCTGTAGGTTGTCTGTTTACTCTGTTGATGGTTTCTTTTGCTGTGCAGAAGCTCTTTAGTTTAATTAGGTCCCACTTATCAATTTTTGTTTTGTTACAGTTGCTTTTAAGGGCTTAGTTATAATTTTTTTTCCCAAGGCTGGTGTTCAAAATGGTATTTCCTAAGTTTTCTTCTAGAATTCTTATAGTTTGAGGTCTTACATTTAAATCTGTAGTTTATCTTGAGTTAACTTTTATACATGGTGAAAGGTAAGGGTCCAGTTTCATCCTTTGGCGTATGGCTAGGCAGTTACCCCAGCACCTATTGAATAGAAAGTCCTTTCCCCATTGCTTATTTTTGTCAGCCTTCTCCAAGATCACATGGCTGTAGGAATGCAGCTTCATTTCTGGGTTCTCTATGCTGTTCCATTGGTCTATGGTCAATTTTTTTTTATGGTATAGGTTGAAGTCAGGTAATGTGATGCCTCTGGCTTTGTTCTTTTTGCTTCAGATTGCTTTGGCTTTTCAGGCTCTTTTTTGGTTCCATATGAATTTAAATTTTTTTTCTAATTCTGTGAAAAATTGCAATGGTAGTTTGAAAGGAATAGCATTGAATCTGTAGATTGCATTGGACAGTGTGGCCATTTTTAACAATGTTGATTCTTCTAATCCATGAGCATGGAATGTTTTTCTATTTGTTTGTGTCATCTATGATTTCTTTTAGCATTATTTTGTAATTCTTGCAGATATCTTTCTCCTCCTTGGTTAGAGGAGGAGAAAATACCTAGGCATATTCCTAGGTATTTTTTTGTGTGGCTATTGTAAATGGGATTGCATTCTGGATTTGGCTTTCAGCTTGAATGTATAGAAATCCTACTGATTTTTGTTCATTTATTTTGCATTTTGAAACTTTACTGAAGTTGTTTATCAGTCCCAGGAACCATTTGGTGGAGTCTTTAGAGTTTTCTAGGTGCAGAATCGTATTGTCAGTGGAGGTAGTTTGACATTTTCTTTTCCTATTTGCATGCCTTTCTTTCTCTCGCCTGATTGCTCTGGCAAGGACGTCCAATGCTATGTTGAATAGGAGTGGAGAGTCGGCATCCTTGTCTTGTTCTAGTTCTCAAGGGGAATACTTCCAGCTTTTCTGTGTTCAGTATGATGGCGGCTGTGGGTTTGTCATAGCTGGCTTTTATTATTTTGAAGTTTCTTTCTTCGATGCCTAGTTTTGTTGAGGGTTCTTACCATGAATGAATGTTGCATTTTATCGAGGCTTTTTCCATGTCTATTGAGATGATCATATGGTTTTTGTTTTAAATTCTGTTTAAGCGGTGAATCACATTTTTTGATCCATGTATGTTGAACCAACCTTACATCCCAGAAATCCCAGAAATGAAGCCTATTTGATTAATGTGAATTAACTTTTTGCTGTGCTGCTAGATTTAGTTTGCTAGTATTTTGTTGAGGTTTTTGCATCTATATTTATCAGGGATATTAGCCTGAAGTTTTCTTTTTTCATTGTGTCTTTGCCAGGTTTTGGTATCAGGGTGATGGTGCTGGATTCACCTTTGGTTAAGGACCATTGCTGGTGAGCTAGTGTGAACCTTTGGTGGTGTCACTACATTCGATTTTTTATTACGCCAAAATTCTTGCATTGGTTCCTTCTCATCTGGAGACACAGGCACTTCTAATTCTTGAATCTATTTTCTTATGGATAGAATTTTTTCTTTTTCTTTCTTTCCCTATAATAATATTAGTTTGTAAAATTTCCCTTTCCCTCTCCCCTCCTCCCTCCTCCTCCCTCCTCCTCCCTCCTCCCCCTTCCCCCTTCCTAGGAGGGTGTGACTGTAGAGAATGCTGAGTAGGGTCCTTTGATTTTGTTACTACAGCACTATGCACTTCTGTTCACAGGTTTTATATTGGGCTGTGTGATTGGACCTACAAGCCAGTGGATGGTGCTTAGAGGTCAGAGCTTATAGGTCAATTTGTTTGGTATATACTTGACCCTTGTTTCCTGGGAGAAGCTCTCTGTTGCTTCAGGCAATGGGCTGATCCAAGGAGGGAACAGTGGTCTGAACTCCCTGCTCAGTCCCAGGGGTTGGTTGGGAGCAAGACAGGCAGGGCTGGACTGGGCAGGCTCACCTACAGGTCCCCCAGTTGCAGGCACAAGCACTAGCACTGAAGGAGAATCTAATGGGCAGCCACCAAGCACCCAGAGGTGTGCCTAGGCATGGAGCTGGGAATCATCCTCAGCTGGAAGTTCTCGGCGCAGGTGGTGTGGGTTGAGGAGATGCAGGCAGTGTGGTTTGGGGAGGCTAAACTCTTAATCCAGGAGAGTCAGAGCTCCAGATGCCTGGAGATATGCTTGGGTGTGGAGGGTAGAGGGCTCTGCTGAACCACAATCTCTGCACAGAGAGGATGGGGCAGATGACGCTGCTGATCCAAGTGAGTGGGGGCTTCAATTGCATAGACATCTGCCTGGGCATGGATCAGAGATGGGCCCCCCTGCACCTAGATCTTTGCACAGGAAGGGTGGGGTGGTCAGGCTGCCAATCCTGGTGAGCAGGTGCTCCAGATGCCTGGAGATCTGCCTGGGTGTGGAGCGGAGAGTGCTCTCCTCCAGCAGGATCGCTGCATAGGAAGGGCAGGGTGACTCAGGCTGCTAGTCTATGTAAGTGGATGCTCCTGATGTTTGCAGATCTGCCTGGTTGTGGAGTGGAGAGGACTCCACTGCACAATGATCTATGCACAGGAAGGGTGGGATGGCTCAGGTTGCTCATCCAAGCATGTGGGTGTTCTAAATGCCTGGAGTTCTGCCTGGGGGTGGAGTGGAGAGGGCCCTGCTGCACCACAATCTCAGGCGAGTAGGTTGAGGCACCCAGCAATGACACATAGAGACCAGTTCCAGGTCACCAAACTGGCCCAGGCTGCAATTCTTATCACCTAGGAGAAATCACAGCTGTGGCGGATATCCTGCCCCAAGTCTTCCATGGGGGAGAGCACAATTCCAGTGCCTACTGCTGAGGGGGCTTTCCACAATTCTGGTTATAGAGGCCCCTACTCTATTCCAGGGCAGGTGCTCATCTCCAGCTCAAGACTAAAATGCCTGTGCAGCCATGGGGCCTAGTCACCAAAGAATGGCTGGTTTGTATGCACTCAGATTAAAAACGGTGTCCTGTTCTCTGTCCTGGGACTGGGAAAATGTCTGCAGTTTTTCCCACTATTTTTCCCTCATAACATCTCCAAGACTCTCCCCAAGTTAACTACAGGGCTTGGAAGAAACAAAGTGCTCTCTCTCAGCTTTGGACCCCCAGTGGAAAGGTGAGTCACAGAGGGAGAGTCTCTTCCTCTCTCGTATACTGGGGCTTCATTCACTTTTATCAGTTGGATACCTGTCATGGCAGCTGTTTGCCTGTGTTCTCTTTCCTATGATCTGGGGTGTCCTTTGTGATTTTGGTGCATTCCCGTTTTCCTTCTTGCATGAAAGCTCACATAGTTGATTCTTATGTGTGATCTTGCTACTTTCAAGGCACTGAGTCGTGCTAAAAGCCCCTAATCCACCATCTTGGGAAAACTGGAGATTTCTTTTGGGAAGGTTTTTATAATCAGATTAATTTCTTTTATAGATATAGGCTATTCGAATATTGTATTTCTTCCTATGTCAATTTTTTAAATTGTGTTTTTCTAGGAACTTTATTACTTCATTAAAAATTAAAAATTTATTTGGTTCGATTTGTTTATGATAGCCTCTTCAGTTTTTAAAGTCCGTGTGTTTCATTCCTGACTACCGTAATTTGCACTTTCACATTTTCCTTTATTAATTTCCCCAGAGGCTTATCACTTTCACTGATCTTTTCAAAGAACTAACCAAGGTTTGACTTTGTTTATTTTTTCTAATGTACATATGTTTTCTATTTCCTTTATTTTGGTTCTTATATCAACTATTTCTTTTCTTCTATTTTCAGTTTGATTTTCTGCTCTCTCCCCCTTTTTTAACTATATGAGACGGATACTTAAGTAGTTGACTTTCTTCTTTTCTAAGTTATGCATTTGTAACTGAAGCTTTTTCTCTCAACAAAAAATTACCTGAATTCTATATGTTTTTACATGTCATACTGAGACAGCCAGGTGGCAGATGGGAGGGGGTCCCTGGAGAAACTCCAACCAGCCTGCCCACTGCGGTGGAGCCTAGGGAAGTTCACACCGTTTGCAATGGGGAGGAGCCTGGCCCCTCCTCTTCCTGTGTGGAACCTGGGATTCAATCAGCTGGGCGGGAAGTGCTCTAGCGGAGAGACTCAGGCCTTGTGATAATCCCTGTTTCCTCCTTTTTTTCCCTTTTCACCCAATAGAACCCTGCTTTACTCACCCTTTAAACCATCTGCAAGCCTAAATTTTCGTGGCTGTGGGATGGGCAAAAACCCTGTCTTTAGCTGAACTAAGGAAAAGCCCTGAAACAATATTTTCATTATCATTTGGTTAAATATGTTTTATAATTTCTATTATATATATTTTTTATTCATGTGTTATTTAGGATAATATTTAATTTACAAATATTTTGAGATTTTTTCTTTGTTATTTATTTATAGATTAATTTTATAAATAGATCCTGATTGATATCAATCCTTTGTCATTTGCTGAGAGTTGCTTTATGAACTAGCCTATTGTTTATTGGAGTAATTATTCCATTTTACTGAAACATTCCACTTATGTTTGAGTGCAGCGTTTGTTCTAGCTACATTTTGCTGAATAACATCAACAACTTTAGTGATTTAAAACATTTATTTTGAATGCAAATCTGAAATTTAGGAAGAGTTCAGTAGGGACAATTTGTCTCTTCTCCACATGGTATCAGCTGGAATGGCTTAAAGGCTGGAAGCTAGTATACGTCATTCATGAAATTTGTTCCTTTTATCTAAGTAGTTGAATTTATTGACAAAAATTTATCTATGTGTTTTCTTTATTAACCTTTTAATATCAGTGTGACTGTAGTAATGTACCCTGTTTAATTCCTGAAATTATTTTTGTGTCTCCTCTTTTTGTTGGTCTAACTGACTAGAGCTTTTGCAATATTTTTGGGGTTTTCAAAGAACTATATTTTTGTTTTACTGATTTTTTCTATTAGTTTTATGTTTTCAATTTTATTGATTTTGGTTTTTATCTTTATTATTTTTTTCCTTCCATTTGATTTCGTTTGGATGTAATTCTCTCTCTCTTCTTTTCTCATTCCTTAAGGTGGAAACTTAGATTATTTGTATTGAGACGTTTCTTCTTTTTTAATACAAGAATTGTAACGCTGTAAATTTCCTTCTAAGCACTGTTTTATTTGCATCTCATAAATTTTGATATGACATATTCTCATTTTTACTCAATTAAAATATATGCTAATTTTCATTGTGGCTTTTCTTCAAACCATAGTTTTATTAGAAGTGTGTTGTTTATTTTCCAGATATTTGAGGATTTTTCAGATATCTTTACTAATTGATTTGTAGTTTAATTCCACTGTGGCCAGAGATATTTTGTATAATTTTATTTGTTTTGTTGTCCAATGTCTTGGTCCATTTGGGCTGCTACAACAAAATACCAAAAAACTAGGTGGCTTATAAATCAACATAAATTTATTTTTCATAGTTCTAGAGGTTGGAAAACACAAGATCAAGGCACCAGCAGATTTGGTGTTTAGTGTCAGCTACTTTCTGATTCACAGACAGCCATCTTTGCCTGTGCCTTACATGGCAGATAGGGTGAAGGAGCTCTCTGGAGCCTCTTTTATGTGGGAACCAATTTCATTCATAAGTTCCCTACTCTCATGACCTCATCTAATTTTAATGACTACCCAAAGTCCCACCTCCAAATTCCATCACACTGGGGCTTATATTTCAACATGTAAATTTTGGGGGACATACATTCAGTTTATAACACCCAGAATATGGTGAATGTTCCATGTGCACTTGAAAAGAAAGCGTATTGTGTTAAGTTGGGTAGAGTGCTCCCTAAATGTAATTATGTCACATTGGTTGGTAGTATAGAAAAACTAGTCAAGTTTTTCTATAAACTTGCTAATTTTTCAGTCTACTTATTTTGCTGATTACTGAGAGAGTACTGTCAAAGTCTTCAATATAATTGTGTTTGTCTATTTTTTAGTTACATTTGTTTTGTTTTTGCATTTTGAAACTTTGTTGCTAAATGCATATAGATTTAGGATTTTTATGTCTTCTTAGTTGATCCCTTTATTATTATATAACATCCTTCTTCTCTGATAATATTCCTTGTTCTAAAGTCTACTTTGATATTTTTAGTCACTCTAGCTTTGTTATGGTTAGTATTTTGGGGGTATATATTTTTACATCTTTTTAATTGCAATCTTTCTCTGTCTTTATATTTAAAATGAATTTCTTGAAACAACATGTAACATTGCCTTATAATTGGAGTATTTAGTCCATTTACATTTAGTGTAAATAATGATATATTTGAATTTACAAATATACATCTCTTTTTACAATTTGCTCCTCCTGTATTATGTTCCCCTTCATTTTCTTCTTTTGCCCTAATCTAGTAATTTTTTTATTGGCTTTTTCATTGAACCTTATTTTGCTAACATTTTAGCAGTTACCCTAGTAAGTCCTTGACTTAATCATATTTCATATATAAGTACTTTTGTCACTAACCTGACAATGCTAGGACTTAAGAATACTGTAACTCCATTTGTTTTTATGTTATTCTTGTTATGCGTTTAAAATTTACATATATTTTAATTTTTAAAAGAAAGTTATTCTTTGGGAAGCTGAGGTGGGAAGATTCCTTGAGGTCAGGAGTTTAAGACCAGCCTAGTGATACTACGTGTCACAAAAAATAAAAAAATTAGCCAGGCATGGTGGCCCATGCCTGTAGTCCCAGCTACTTGGGAGGCTGAACTGGGAGGATCGCCTGAGCCCAGGAGGTCAAGGCTGCAGTGAGCCATGATCCCTTCACTGCACTTCAGTCTAGGTGACAAAGTTAGACCCTGTCTCAAAACAAACAAACAAACAAACAAACAGTTATAATTATCTTTTTGTTCAGTCAATTTACTCATATATTTACTCTTTCATTTATTTTTTATTTTTATTTTATGTTTCTATCTGGAATAATTTTCTTTTCTTTTCTTTGTTTTGCTGGCAAGTTTGTAGAACAATAAAGTCATTTTCTTCCTGTCTAAAAAACTCTTTAGCATGAAGCATGAATGTGCTGACAATAGATTTTTTGTTTTTGATTTTTTGTTTCACTTTTGAAGGATATTTCACTGGGTTTAGAATTCTGTGTTGGAAGTTATATTCTTTTAGAACATTAAAGATTTTATGATTGTCTTTTTGCTTTCAGTCTTATTTTCTACTTTGAAGGTAGTATGCCTTTTTTTCATGGTTGCTTTTATCCAAAGTAATTTATTGTGGAAAATTTCAAGCAACTATGAAGTTTTACAGAATATTATAAGGAACCCCATGTATTGATCATTCAGCTTAAAAAATTATGAATTTGTGCTTAATCTTCTTTAATCTCTATTCCCAACTACTTATTATTGTGAGGCAATTTCTCATCAACTTATCATTTAATATTTCAGTATGTATCTCTATTTACTAAGAGCTCATTTTATCTTTAAAAAAAGACATAACCACAATACTATTATCATGCCTAAAATTAAGAATTCCTTAATACAATCCAATATTCAATTATTTAAATTATTTGAAAACAGCAAAAATAATATATGAAATCCACACATATATATTTAACATTCTTAACATATTCAGCATGTGTGAGTGCATGTGTGTGTTTGATTATCTTTTGGTTTGAATATGAAGTCAAATAAGTCTATTGTTCGGATTGGTTGAGGTATCTTTTAAGTCTCCTAATAGACTTCCCTGTCTCTTTTCTTTTCTTTCCTTCCTTGCTTCCTTCCTTCCTTCTTTCCTTCCTGCCTGCCTGCCTTCCTGCCTACCTCCCTGCCTCCCTGCCTTCCTGCCTTCCTCCCTTCCTGCCTTCCTTTCTCCCTTCCTCCTTCCCTCCCTCCGTTCCTCCTTTCCTCTTTCCCTCCCTTCCTCCCTCACTTCCTTCCTCTTTCTTTCTGTAGTTTGTTTGTTGAAAAAACTGGATTATTTGTTTTGTTGAGTTTCCTACATTCCACAGTTTGCTGAATGCATCCTTTTCTTTCTGTAACAGTTTCATTGTTCTCTGTATTTACTGTGATGTGGTAGTTGGATGTAGATTCAAGCTTTTTGCTTTGGGCAAGAATACTCTAATGATGGAGGTGGGTTCTCTCATCAGGAGTTACAGAATCTCTGGTCATCTTTTTTGTGATGTTAGAAACCATAGAGAACATATAATTAATTAAAGGTTGCCAAATGTGATATTCCATCATTATTTTTAGTTGGAATTTTACCTACTATATGGTAATTCCATGGTACAGTTTGTACAAGAAAGACAGATAAATGTTTGATTTTTCCCCTTATTATATCAGTTTTTAAAATAATGAAGTGCTCTACTCACATTCTTGAGTGGTAGTCACTCTTATTTTGGTCTAATATTACACAATGCAGTTATCTGCATTGACCCTTAAATTGTTCCATATTTGCCTAATGGAAGTTTTTAAAAAAGTTACTCCTAAGCCATTTTGACACAGTCCTTGTTTTGTTACTATCTAAAATAATTACATGGTTCTAAAATCGAAGCTACAAAATAAGTTGTATTCAACAAAGTCTAGCTTATATCCCTATCCCCTCCACTCATTTCCTTTCTTACTCTATAATCATTTATATTTGTATGGTTTTCATTTTAAAAAGTTATATAGATATATGCGTGTATATATGTAAAATATATTTTCTTTTTACCTTTTCTTTACATCCCTTATTTCTTAGATTATCAGTAACACACTATATAAATTTTTATTTTTTCACTTAATATATTGTAGTGATTACTCCATGGAGAATATTCACAATTCACTATTATAGCTCCAGAGTACTTCATTGTATGGAGACACCACAGTTTATTCAACCAGTCCATTACTGATGCACATTTGGGTTGTACGTAGTCTTTTCCCATTACAAATATTTCTGTCATGAATAGCCCAGGTTGTATGTCTTTTGTCATGTTTTTCACTCTATTTTTGGGTTGGATTCCAGGAGTCCATGTAATTTTCTTAGGTATCATGAAATTCCCCTTTATAAAAGTTGTACCATTTTGAATTCTCATAGGCAATGTATGAGAACAGTTGTTTTTCCACAGCCTCACCAACAGAATATGTTGCAGAATGGTTGGATATTTGCCTGACTTTTATTTTATTTTATTAAAAAAATTTTAAAAATAGAGATGGGGTCTCCTTATGTTGCCCAGGCTGGTCTCAAACTCCTGGGCTCAAGTGATCCTCCTGCATTGGCCTCCCAAAGTGCTGGGACTACATGCATGATCCACCTCACCCAGCCTTGCCTGGCTTTTAAATAGTTTTCTTTCTATTTGTTTTTTCAGTAATTTTACTACGGTGGGCCTATATGTGGGTCTCTATAGATTTATTTTGTTTGGGGTTTGCAATGGTTCTTCAGTCTATGGCTTCATGTCTATCATCATTTTTGGGAAATTCTCAGCCACTGCCTATTTAAATATTGCTACGCTCACATTCTCATTCTTCTCCATCTTTGGGGCTCTAATTACATATTAGTTAGACCTTTTGTTGTGTTCCATGTGGATCTTGTGCTCATTTTCCTCTTTCTATCCTTTTATCCTTTGTGTTTTATCTGGACACATTTTTCAGTTCACAAATTATCTCTTCTGCTATATCTAATCTGCTTTTACAGATGTTTAGTTCTTAATTTGAATTAATGCATTTATCAGTTCTAGAAGCTTTATTTTTCATGGATTTTAGTTCTTTAATAATTTAATCATCTGTTTTGTTAAACACAGTAATTTTAAACTCTGTGTTAGATAATCCCAATAAATGGGTCCTTTGTGGTTTTATTTTTTCTAGATATTCCTGGTCATTTTTTACTTAATGATGACCATTATATATGAAAAATTATAGAAGCTCTTGAGGATGCAATTTTTCTCTAAATAGGGTTTATGCTATTGTCTGGTGTAAGGCAGACAGAATAGAAAGGCAGGTAGAATAGGTATAGGTTTCATTAATTCTGTTAGGAACTGAGTTCACTGGCACTCAGTTCAGGATGCACTTCTTGTGAAGCTCTGTAACATGGATTTATCCCTGCCCCTGGGGTATGGCCATTTTAAGGTCCTGCTGAGAGTCCAGATGAAGTATTTACTGGACTCTTATACTTTTTTTGGTCTTGAATTCTAATTTTCTTTCTTCAGCACTTGAGACTGCCCAAAATTCTTTCTTTTCAGCATCTTTGTATTTAGCTTCTTAGATTTTTGTCTTATGCAGCATAAATATTCAACAATTGCCTTGGCTGAAAACCACCATGTGTTAATCTTCTCTTCATTCCTTTCTCTTCAGGATCTTGGCCATTTAATTATTGGCTGCATTAGGATGTGCAAGGTCTAATTTTTGTCTCTTCATCCCCATGAGTTTGCCAGAAGCTCTGCTTTTGTAGTTCTCTTTCTGGATTCTGATGCCATGCAAAGAATTTGCAAATGCCTTGAAGGTAAAAGTGGGTGGTTTGCTTGGCTTACTTCTCTGTAATCCTGATGTCTCAAGTCCTAGTTGCTTTGGTAGCTCTCTGATACCTTCAAATAGATTTTTTTAGAGAGGTATCATATTCAGTTTTCTAATTATTCTTGGAGGGAGAGTTGTTCCTCAGCAAGCTATTCTATCACACCAAGAAGGTAAAGTCACCTATGTATTTGTTCAGCACCTGAATTTTATAACATGAATATCTTCTATATCTTATAATTTCTGTGAGCTCTTTAAAGGGAGTTATCTTATATGTATGTGCATATTTGTGTTTGTGTGTAGGGGGGTCCTGCATATACTTTTAGTTGTAGAGACCTTTCTATGGGGTGGTTTCATTTTTGCGTTTCCTGGGGCTCTATGGCATAAATCATTTTTGTATCTGTCATCATGTTTGTTTCTGTGATTGGAGCTTCTTCATATGTGGGTGGTACACATGTGATCCTTACCCATGTGTAATTTAAAATTTAGTTTTTCTTGGCCTGGTAGGGTGTCTCATGCCCATAATCTCAGCTCTTTGGATGACCAATGAGGGAAGGCAGCTTGAGGCCAAAAGTTTGAAACCAGCCTGGGCAACATAGTGAGAGCTCATCTCTAAAAACAATTTAAAAAAAAAATTAGCCAAGTGTGATGTCACACACGGGTAGTCCCAGGTAGTCAGGTGGCTGAGGTGGGAGGATCCCTTGAGCCCAAGAGTTTGAGCCTGCAGTGAACCATGATCGTGCTACTGCACTCCAGTCTGGGTGACAGAGTGAGACCCTGTCTCAAAAAAGAATTAGTTTTCCTCAGATAAGTCTATCTCCACTCATGACTTGAGTAGATGACTGATTTTTATTGCAATTTTCAGCTAGCAGGTTGAGATCTTGTGATCTTTGTTCACTGAATATAGAGTATTTTCCTTGTGTCTGGACTCTTGATGAAATCATAGTCTGGGTCATGTGAACAAATGGTGCAATATATCACCACATTTTCAAAACTCCATTGACACTTGATGAAAGCAAATTTATAGCCATTATATGGAAACACTATTACTTATAGAAAGTAATAAACTACAGAATATATTACCCACAAGAGAATTATAGGCTAAAAATAGAAGTGTACGACAGAGTATTTATAGAAGTATTAGTAAAAGTGGGAGAACTAATAATAATAAATCTAATATACATTAACATTTCTAGCTTCAAGGGTAAAATATAGGAGTGAAATCCCTGTTGGAAGTATAAGACAAAGGAAAAGAACCATAAGTTGTTAAGTCATTATACATGCCAGGTACTTTATACATTTTATTTCTTAAACAATCTTATCAGCAAAATGTTGGTTTCCCCATTTTACTAATGTGGAAACTGTGACTTAAAGTAGCAGCTCATTTAAAGTTACAAAATCCCTTTGGAGGCAGCATAGCCCTAAATTCAAGTCCTTTCAGTCTGATCAATATATATGGGGTAGAAACTGGGGTTATAGGGCTAGAAGACAGAATAGGTCTTTGACATCATAAATGGATGAAACGCCCATTTGGCTTCTCTTTTCTTGTTTTCTTCTGTCATGTCATAGCTCATTTTGTATGTAATAATCTGTCTGCCACTTACTCTAGGCTGTGGGTTCCTTGAGTGTAGTGACAGAATTATATCCATCTTTGTATCCTTAGTGCTTAACATTGTGTATGATGCATTAGGTGGATAAATAAAGTAACAGCTAGTAATTGCTAGATCCAATGTTCAAATGGAGATCCATCTTACAACATACTTGTGCTGTTCCCCTTAATCCAGGGAGCCATGGAAAGAGGAGAATGTGCTAGGAGAAACTGCCTAATGAAATATGCCACTGACATACTCCTCAGTGTATAAGCTGTGCATCAGCACCAATAGGATGAATCATATTTCATTTTGATTTTAGAAACAGTTAGCTTTGATAACATACAAATAATTTTTCCCTTTACATCACATTTCTTTTACTGAATAATGGGAAATAAAAATGATGAATAGTGGTATAAATGGCTATCTTCTCTAATTCCTTTTCAATTTTTTTTGCCTTTAAATATCTTTCTCTTATTACTTAAAGCACAGTGGCTTAACAGTGATATAAATGGCTAACTTTTCCAATTTCCTTTAAATAGTTTTGCTCATAGATGTAACTCTTTTATTATGGAAAATACAGTAAATTCTAATGGTTGGTTAGTATAGTTTCCATAGCAAGGTTTGAAATTTTTTCATCGTTAACTTAGAAAGACTTATTTTGACAGCTTCTTCTGAAGTTGGTGGCAGTACTTAACATATAGGCAAAGCTGGTATAACACAGGAGCCCCAAAACATTGTGGTTTAAAGAAGAATGTCATTTAAATAATTTAAGTCTCACAGGAGTTTTGAAGAGAGTGGTCTAGGCAAGGACAGCTCAGCTCCACACAGTCATTCATGGACATAGGTCTCTCGCATCTTGTGGTTCTTCCGCACCCTAAGGTCTTGTTTTCATCTGCCTGGTCAAACTAAACCTCAGGCACAACAGAATAGGAAAGAGTGGCACTTCCAACTAAGTTTTCCTGGTAAGTAAGTGAAACTAAGTTGAACATCGTACTTTTTCTGTTCATCTTAAATTGGTAACAACAGTCATATGGCCACACTTAGCTTTAAGGGTGGTCAGGAAATACAGTGTTAATTGGACAGCTATTGCTGAAATTTTATTACTGTAGAAGAACAGGGTAACAGATTTTGCTAGGCAATTAGCGGTCTCCACTACTAAAGGTAGTACTGGAATTGACATGACAGAAAATGAGTTTTGGGGGTGGGTTCTGGAAAATCTTTGGTATTGGTTATTTATAAAAAATGACTTAATATGGCTAAGCTGCTTTCCGGAAACTGAAAATTTACACATTTTAATTTCCTAAGGAGAATTTATTTAGTTAGTTCTGAAAATCCATCTCTATTACACTTCAAGGTAGCTGGCATAATATAATTCCCATCTCTTTTTTATAATTTTAAAAAAATTTAAATTGATATATCATAGCTGTATATATTTTTGGAACATATTTTGATGTTTTGATATATGCATATAATGTGTAATCCTCAAATCAGGGTAATTGGGATATCCATCACCTCAAACCTTTATCTTTGTGTTGAGAATGTTACAATTCTTCTGTTCTAGCTATTTTGAAATATACAACAAATTATTTTTAACCATAATTTCTCTACTGTGCTATTGAATACTAAAAGTTATTTCTTCTGTCTAACTGTAATTTTTATCCCATTAACCAATTTATTTCCATTGTCTTCCTCGCCTTCCCTTCTCAGCCTCTGGTAACCGCTATTCTACTCTCCACCTCCAGGTGAGTGAGGTAACTCACACTTACGAGTGAAAACATGCAATATTTGTCTTTCTGTGCCTGGCTTACTTCATTTATAGTATGACTTCCAGTTTTATCCATGTGCTGCAAATGACAGAATTTTATTCTTTTTATAGTTGAATAATATTCCATTGTCTACGTATACCACATTTTCTTTATCCATCCATCTGTTGATGGATACTTAGGTTAATTTCATACTTGCTTATTATGAATAGTGCTGCAATAAATATGGGTGCAGATATCTCTTTGATATACTGATTTCTTTTCTTTTGGATATATACCCAGCAGTGAGATTGCTGGATCATATGATAGTTCTAGATGGAAACTCCGTACTGTCTTCCATAACGGCCGTACTAGTTTATTTTCCACCAACAGTGTACGAACATTCCCCTATCTCTTCATCCTCACCAGCATTTGTTATTTTTTTGTCTTTTTGGTAATAGCCATCCTAACTGGGGTGAGATGATATCTCATTGTCTTTGTAATTTGTGTTTCCCTGATGATTAGTGATGTTGAACATTTTTTTTTTCACGTACCCACTGGCCATTTGTAGTTTTTTTTTTTTTTTTTTTGAGACAAGGTCTTGCTCTGGTGCCTAGGCTGGGGTGTAATGATGCCATCATGGCTCATTGCAGCCTTGACCTCCCAGGTTCCAGCAATCCTTACCTCAGCCTCCCGAGTAGCTGGGACTATACACTTGTGCCAGCATGCATGGCTATTTATTATTATTTGTAGAGGAAAGGTCTTTCTGTGGTGTCCTGTGGTGTCCAGGCTGGTCTCAAGCTCCTGGGCTCAAGCAATCCTCCCATCTTGGCTTTTCAAAGTGCTGGGATTACAGGTGAGAGCCACCATGCCCGGCCCTGTTTGTATATGTTCTTTTGAGAAATGTCTATTCAGGCCTTTTGTACACATTTTAATTCTTTTCCACTAATTAATCAGAGATACATTACTTGCCTTTTGCCCATGACCATGTCTGGTCAGTTGGATGTATATTCCAAAGCACAGACAGAAGGAGTCTTGCTTTGCTAAGTGTTAAAATGATGGCAGAATGACTTTCTGAGCCATTCAGGCTGGAATGTGATTTTATTTAATAGAAATTTATCAAGTGCTGCTCATTGAGGGTGATCCTTTTGACACAGGCTGCTATCAGGCATTCTTGCCTGGTCATTTTATGCTCTTCAAGTGTTGTGTTAAGCCTTCTTAAATATGAGTTGCTGAAATAGAGCCCTTTGGGGCCCCTGGTTGAGTCTAAAATGATATTTATGTTATGTCCTAAATTGCCCAAATTGTCTTTATGGTTTTAAAAATGTTAACTTGCAGGGGACATGTGGGAAATCTCATTAACTTCTGTTCAATTTTTTTGTGAACCCAAAGCTGCTCTAAAAAATAAAGTCTAATAAACATAAACAAACACTAGTTTGTAGATGGAAAAACATGAAAAGTAAAGAGGTAATTTTATTTTGTAACCAACCCTACTGTATAGCATGATTGGCTTGGGGTATTTGAAATGTCTGGTGATAATGTTCACAGACAGACCCAATAATTTTGTGTTTAGTCCTCAAACATTCTGGTATAAATAAGAGAATAAATGCTTGTGTATTATTGGTTTCGAAACTGGTCTGACTAAACTAGACCCTTGTTACTTGAAGCACGGCCCCTGGACCAGCATCATCAGCATCATCTGGGAGCTTGTTAGAAATGTAGAATATGAGGCCTTGCTCCAGAACTTTTAAATCAGAATCTGTATGCTAACCATATCTGCAAGTGTTTCTATGTACATTTGAGCTTTGGAAGCACTGCAGTAGAAAATCAGACATCTAATGAAGCCTGGTTATCTAGTTCCTTATAGGACTACCTCAGATTTACTGCTCCATAAATAAAATACCTCCATTGACCCTAGTCTCCTTGATATTTTAAAAACATCATAAAGCCCTGTGGTCCATCATATAAGTAACTCCTTTTAATTTAACCTGGTTTAATAGTTCAAGCTGACAAAAATGGAAATGCAAACCACAGGCTGAGAGAAATGATTAACAATATAGATATTTCACAGTGGACTTCTATCCAGAACATATAACAAGCTCTACAACTTGATAATAATAAGATAGACAACTCAGGAAAAATGGGTAAAATATTTGAATAGACACAAAGAAGATATTTGAATGTCAATAAGCACATCTAAAGATGCTAAATATTAGTCAGCACAAAAATACAAAGTAAAGTCACAATAAGATTCAATTTGGATGCCTACTAGAATGACTAAATTTAAAAGCATTATCAATGCTAAGTGTTGAAAAGGATGTGCAGCACACAAACATTGCTACTGGGAGTGTAGAATGGTATAAACGTTTTTGAAAAAGTTTCATTTCTTAGAATGTAAAACATATGACAAAGAAATTATACTTCTTAGGTATTTACCCAAGAGACAAGAAATCATTTGCCCAAAGAAAGACTTTTACACAAATGTTCATAGCAGTTTTATACATATTAGTCGCAAACTGGATATAATTCAAATGTCCATCAACAGGTAAATGCATAAAGAAACTGTGGTTTATCTGTATAATGGAATACTACTGAACCATAAAAAGTAATAAACTACTGACCCATGCAACAACCTGGATGAGTCATAAAAGCGTTATGCAGAGTGAAAAAATTTTATCTTCAACACTTACATACCGTATGATTCTATTTACCTGAAATCCTAGAAGAGAGAAATCCTTTCCTTAGTGGCAAAAGGTAGATAAATGGTTATCTGGGGTTGGGGGTTCAGAAGGCTTGACTGCAAATGGAAACAAGGGAATCTTTTGGGGTAAGAGAAGTATTCTATATTTCAATTATTGTGATAGTTTCAAGTGTGTGTATGTGTATAATTTGCTAAAACTCATGGAAAAACACACTTAAAATGGGTGCATTTTATTGTATGCAATTATTAATCAATAAAATTAATTTAAAAAATCCCAAACAAACCTCAACTCTTAACTGCCAAGCTTTACACCTATCCTCCAGGGAAGTCTAATTCAGAGCAAACTCATGCTACTCTAATATTTAGCTTCTTTTTATCTTCTAGCACCTAGGGATTTCTCTTTCCTGTAAAGCTAAATTAAAAAAAAGAAAGAAGAAGAAAAAAAAAAACCTAAGGATGGTTATGTTTTATGTAGCACTTCTAGACTTTTTGTTGGTAGGAAGAGTTTAAATACTATTTTAGTCCATTTTTTTTGAATCTCCAATTTCTGTGAACATTATGGAAGTATGTGAGTAGTGTATTTTTTTTCCTAACCACTAGACAACCAGGGAATGTGACTAATGTAAATCTCTTCTCCTTATCTTCTTAAAATCTTTTAATAAAACCTGATTTCTTACTATTGTCTTGTGCAGTGCTGAGTTCTGTTTACTGGTGAGGGTGAAGTCAAAATTTTCCTAAAGAAAACTAGGTGCATACAGATGACAGGCAGATGTCTGGAGAGCTAAATGCTGAAGTGATATATCACTCAAGACTCTTACAGAAGTGTCCTAAAACTTTCTAGATGATTTGAAAACAATATATCTTCATTGAGGTCTCATGACATTTCTTAAAAATGTCCTATTGAGCTTTTTGATGTGCTGCTGGATTTGGTTTGCCAGTATTTTATTGAGGATTTTTGCATCAATGTTCATCAGGGATATTGGTCTAAAATTCTCTTTTTTTTGTTGTGTCTCTGCCAGGCATTGGTGTCAGGATGATGCTGGCCTCATAAAATGAGTTAGGGAGGATTCCCTCTTTTTCTATTGATTGGAATAGTTTCAGAAGGAATGGTACCAGCCCCTCCTTGTACCTCTGGTAGAATTCGGCTGTGAATCCGTCTGGTCCTAGACTTTTTTTGGTTAGTAGGCTATTAATTATTGCCTCAATTTCAGAGCCTGTTATTGGTCTATTCAGGGATTCAACTTCTTCCTGGTTTAGTCTTGGGAGAGTGTATGTGTCCAGGAACTTATCCATTTCTTCTAGATTTTCTAGTTTATTTGTGTAGAGGTGTTTATAGTATTCTCTGATGGTAGTTTGTATTTCTGTGGGATCGGTGGTGATATCCCCTTTATCATTTTTTATTGCATCTATTTGATTCTTCTCTCTTTTCTTCATTAGTCTTGCTAGCGGTCTATCAATTTTGTTGATCTTTTCAAAAAACCAGCTCCTGGATTCCTTGATTTTTTTGAAGGGTTTCTTGTGTCTCTATCTCCTTCAGTTCTTCTCTGATCTTAGTTATTTCTTGCCTTCTGCTAGCTTTTGAATGTGTTTGCTCTTGCTTCTCTAGTTCTTTTAATTGTGATGTTAGGGTGTCAATTTTAGATCTTTCCTGCTTTCTCTTGTGGGCATTTAGTGCTATAAATTTCCCTCTACACACTGCTTTAAATGTGTCCCAGAGATTCTGGTATGTTGTGTCTTTATTCTCATTGGTTTCAAAGAACATCTTTATTTCTGCCTTCATTTCGTTATGTACCCAGTAGTCATTGAGGAGCAGGTTGTTCAGTTTCCATGTGGTTGAGCAGTTTTGAGTGAGTTTCTTAATCCTGATTTCTAGTTTGATTGCACTGTGGTCTGGGTGCAGCACACCAACATGGTGCATGTATACATATGTAACAAACCTGCACATTGTGCACATGTACCCTAGAACTTAAAATATAATAATAATTTAAAAAGTCCTATTGAGGACATACTTTAAAAGTGGACTTCTGGTTATTTATTTTTTGTTTTAAAGTATTTTTAATTATTATGGGTACTGTATTAATTTGTTCTCACATTGCTGATAAAAACATACCTGAAACTGGGAGGAAAAAGAGGTTTAATTGGACTTACAGTTCTACATTGCTGGGGAGGCCTCAGAATCATGGTGGGAGGTGAAAGGCACTTTTTACATAGTGGGAAGAGAAAAAAATGGGAGGAAGCAAAAGCAAAAATCCCTGATAAACCCATCAGATCTCGTGAGACTTATTCATTATCATAAGAATAGCATGGGAAAGACTGGCCCCCATGATTCAACTACCTCCCCCTGGGTCCCTCCCACAACACGTGGGAATTCTGGGAGATACAATTCAAGATGAGATTTGGGTGGGGATACAGCCAAACCATATCATTCTGTCCTTGGCCCCTCCAAATCTCATGTCCACACATTTCAAAACCAATCACTCCTTCCCAACAGTCCCCCAAAGTCTTCATTCATTTCAGCATTAACCCAAAAGTCCACAGTTCAGAGTATCATCTGAGACAAGGCAAGTCCCTTCCACTTATGAGCCTGTAAAATCAGAAGCAAGCTAGTTACTTCCTAGGTACAATGCAGGTACAGGTATTGGGTAAATACAGCCATTCCACATGGGAGAAACTGGCCAAAACCTAGGGGTTACAGGGCCCATGCAAGTCTGAAATCCAGTGGGGCAGTCAAATTTTAAAGCTCCAAAATAATCTTCTTTGTATCCAGGTCTCACATCCAGGTCACATTGATGCAAGAGGTGGGTTCCCATGGTCTTGGACAGCTCTGCCCCTGTGGTTTGCAGGGTACAGCCTCCCTCCTGGCTGCTTTCACGGACTGGCGGTGAGTGTCTGCGGCGTTTCCAGGCACACAGTACAAGCTGTCAGTGGATCTGCCATTCTGGCCTCTGGAAGACGGTGGCCCTCTTCTCACAACTCCACTAGGCAGTGCCTCAGTAAGGACTCTGTGGGGGCTCCACCACCACATTTCCCTTCTGCACTGCCCTAGCAGAGGTTCTCCATGAGGGCCCCACCCCTGCAGCAAACTTTTGCCTGAGCAGCCAGGCGTTTCCTGGCCTGAAATCTAGGCAGAGGTTCCCAAACCTCAGTTCTTCTGTGCATCCACAGGCTCAATACTACATGGAGGCTGCCAAGACTTGGGGCTTCCATCCTCTGAAGCCACAGCCTGAGCTCCTCTACATTGGCCCCTTTCAGCCATGGCTGGAGTGGCTGGGACTCAGGGCACCAAGTCCCTAGGCTGCACACAACAGGGGGACCCTGGGCACAGCCCATGAAACCACTTTTTCCTACTGGGCTTCTGGGCCTGTGAAGGGAGGGGCTTCCATGAAGGTCTCTGACATGGCCTGGAGACATTTTCCCCATGGTCTTGGGGATTAACATTAGGCTCCTTGCTGCTTATGCAGATTTCTGCAATCGGATTGAATTTCTCCTCAAAAAATGGGTTTTTCTTTTCTACTGCATTGTCATGCTACACATTTTCTGAACTTTTATGCTCTGTTCCCCATTTGTTTTGTTTTATTTTATTTTATTTTATTTTATTTTATTTTATTTTATTTTATTTTATTTTTTTGAGATGGAGTCTGGTTCTGTCGCCCAGGCTGGAGTGCAGTGGCGGGATCTCAGCTCACTGCAAGCTCTGCCTCTCGGGTTCATGCCATTCTCCTGCCTCAGCCTCCCAAGTAGCTGGGACCACAGGTGCCCGCCACCGTGCCCAGCTAATGTTTTGTATTTTTAGTAGAGACGGGGTTTCACCGTGTTAGCCAGGATGGTCTCAATCTCCTGACCTTGTGATCTGCCCACCTCGGCCTCTCAAAGTGCTGGGATTACAGGCATGAGCCACCGTGCCTAACCTTTGTTTCCCTTTTAAAACAGAATGCTTTTTAACAGCACCCAAGTCACATTTTGAATGCTTTGCTGCTTCGAAATTTCTTCTGCCAGGTACCCTAAATTATCTCTGTCAAAGTTTCACAAATCTCTAGGGCAGGGGCAAAATGCTGCCAGTCTCTTTGCTAAAACATAACAAGCCTCACCTTTGCTCCAGTTCCCAGCAAGTTGCTCATCTCCATCTGAGAACACCTCAGCCTGGACCTTATTGTTCATATCCCTATGAGCATTCTTGTCAAAGACATTCAACAAGTCTCTAGGAAGTTCCAAACTTTCCCACATTTTCCTGTCTTCTTCTGAGCTCTCCAAACTGTTCCAATCTTTGCCTGTTACCCAGTTCCAAAGTTGCTTCCACATTTTCAGGTATCTTTTCAGCAACACCCCACTCTACTGGTACCAATTTACTATATTAGTTTGTTCTCATGCTGCTGATAAAGACATACCTGGAACTAGGAACAAAAGAGGTTTAATTGGACTTACAGTTCCACATGGCCTGGGAGGCCTCAGAATAATGGTGGGAGGTGAAAGGCACTTCTTACATGGTGGTGGCAAGAGAAAAATGAGGAGGATGCAAAAGTGGAAATCCCTGATAAACCCATAAGGTCTTGTGAGACTTATTTGCTATCACTAGAATAGCATGGGAAAGACTGGCCCCCATGATTCAATTACCTCCCCCTGGGTCCCTCCCACAATATGTGGGAATTCTGGAAGATACAATTCATGTTGAGATTTGGGTGGGGACACAGCCAAACCATATCAGGTACATAATAGTTGTGTGTATTTATGAGGTACACGTGATGTTTTCACACAGGCATACAATGTGTAATGATCAAATCAGGGTACTTGAGGTATTTATCACCTCAAGCATTTGTCATTTTAACAATGGACTCTCAATCTCCTTACTTGACTGCACCATTTCCCAACTCTATACTTTTTGCATTAGAGAAGGCTTCTCTAAAGAAGTTCATCCATTCCTACCTTTGCATGTTTGCCCTTCCTTATGTTTCAAATAATTGTTCCTTTTCATGCATTTGATGAATGTATGCTTGTCTTTTCAATTTCCCTTTATCTAGGAAGCATTGGTAGCCAACTACAGAAAAAGTAAGTTGCCTTTCTCTATATATCCTACAGCATCTTGTATACAGTTCCATTAAATACCTTAACCCATATTAACATTTCATTTATATATCTGTCTTTCTTACTACACTATGAACATTTGGAGGAAAGAAAATGCATTCTAAATGTTTTGCCTAACACTGAGCTTGGCACATAGGTAGTTTTTGATAAATCCATATCATTGAATAATAATATTCCTTTCAGAGCTTAGGGTAAAGCAAAGGGTTGAACTTTTAATAAACTAGTGTATTTCCTTCTAATAATAATAAAAGGGTACATAAGTTATTCTCCTATTTCTCTGTCAGAAATTCAGAGCAACAGTTCTGATAAACAATTCTACAGCTTCTTGGCATTCCCTTGTTTACTTGTGTCTGTCTTCTGTCCAATTTTAATCATTTTTAAAAATATTATTCTGCCTGTGTTTTTTAATGGAAGCAACCCCAATTTTTTTTAAGACATAAAGAGTTAATAAAAACTGAAGAATACCAAAAGGATGGATTCAAGGGAATGTGCTTAGTAGGAGCATCTTAGAATCAGAAAGAAGTGGGAGCAGTATCTTCTCTTTCTTTTTTTTTTTTTTTTTGAGACAAAATTTCACTCTTTTGCCCAGGCTGGAGTGAAGTGGCACCATCTCTGCTCACTGCAACCCCTGCCCCATGGGTTCAAGTGACTCTCCTGCCTCAGCCTCCCAAGTAGCTGGGATTATAGGTGCCTGCCACCATGCCCAGCTAATTGTATTTTTAGTAGAGATGGGGTTCACCATGTTGGCCAGGTTGCTCTCAAACTCCTGACCTTAGGTGATCCACCCACCTCAGCCTCCAAAAGTGCTAGGATTACAAGCATGAGCCACCGCACCTGGCCAGTACCTTCTCTTTAATGTCTCTGAAGGAGGGGAAAACATTCATTTTATATCCATCAAAAGTAGAGAAAAACTTCCCCAAGCAATTGATTAGGTCCTTAACTGGAACCAGTTTAAGGAAAGGTATGGAGATTCTCTGATTTATTGGGTGTGTTAGTACATTGTAGAGTCAAGTTTGAATAATGTGATTCAACTATTTTCCAGATGCCTTTGAATTCCAAGAATGTCTAATAAAGTTAACAGCAATAATTTTCAAGTGTCACATTTTTCTAAAGCTGTAAGGCAATTTTACATTTGAAATACAATTGACTTTCTAAACCCCAAGGGGAGGAAAACATAGTAAATTAGACACCGAAATGAAGTCAACTTTGTGATCTTTATTTCTTTTTATATTCACTTGTAAACACACAACTTCCAGTATTTGAATACTTTTCTTTAGGGTGACTTATGAACACATAGGATTTCTTGCCCTACTGCACAGTCTCTTACATTGTCTCCTTGAAACCCCATGGAAGCTTCAACTGCTTAATTCTTCACTTATCTTCTAGTCTAGGGAAAAGAGTCAAAGAAACAGGGGCCTTCATCTTCAGGGTTTCAAGATAGTAAATCAATTATATCGTGAATTCAAGTCCTTGAAAGTGTATTTGCTGTATCTTGAGTTCCCCAAAACCAAAATTGTGTCACTTCCTCAAGTCTGACCATTCCTGCACTCTAGTCTCAGTGAGACCTTTTCCCTTGTTCCACCTATTCCTAAAAAAAAACCCAACTGGTTTTGCTTAAATAATATGTAAAGGTGTTATGTAAATCTGGACTGGGTAGGAAGAGGGGAGTGAGAATTAGGGCAGGTCTAAGATAAGTAGGAAGTTACTTAGAGGTCACTTTTTTTTTTTTAAATAAATCTGCCTGGACATACACTGTGAGCCAGGTGAGAAACTGTAAGTCCCGGAGTGTGATAGTGGAGAGGCTGCCTCCAGGATATACACCTTACTGAGGAACCTGCTAATCTAGCCCATGGGAGAAGGCTTTAATGCTACCTAGCACTGAAACTGATTTAGGGAGCAGTGGAAAATAGAAAAGTAAAAGCAGCAGTGGGAAGAGCTTTGCAGGTACTTCCAGTCTCCATCGAGGATTGAGGGAAGCCATCCCTGATTCTATGTCACAGGGGACCTCGCTGAAGCCTCCTAGCTAAGTGAGGCAATGGTCATAGGTTGAGAGAAGCTTCTAACTGAAATTCATAATATAAATCCTGAGTTGGGACAAACTATCTTGGCTAGAAATGAGGGGTGAATGGGAAGTACGCTGCAGCCATGTGTGCAGGAGCTGGGTGCCTTGTCTCCGTGGGCAAACTGGGAGGGGCATGGCCTAAAAGCCAGAATTGCTTTCTCAGTGAAGAAGACTCGTGGTTTTGGAGCAGTTCTGAGTTATGAGCATAGACTGCCTGGGACTTAGCTAGCTGCTGCTAGTGGAACACCATGAATGTGAGGCCTCCCTCACATGGGAGCTGGGTAGGGCCTACTGCTACCTGCTACTTCCCACTCCCTCCACAAACTCTTCTGTGCAGCAGAGGCAGCTGTGTTCCTCCCTGGAACATTACCCCAGTGGCCAGAGAACTGTCCCCAACACCCACAGGGGCAACTGCTTGCCCTGCATGTGAAGAGCCAGAGTGCAGGCCTGCCTAACCCAGCTCCAACCTGGCTTTGCCCTTCTACCTGCCCTGGTAGCTTAACACAAAGGAAAGAAACATTTGAGAGCTCTGTAGCCCCACCCATCTCTGGAGAAACCAAAGTACCTCCCCTAAGTAATGTAAGGTCATTTGGTTTGGATCTGTGTCCCCACCAAATCTTATGTCAAATTGTACTCTCCAATGTTGGAGGCCAGGCCTGGTGGGAGGTGATTGGATCATGTACATTACTTGGGTGATGGGTGCACTAAAATCTCAGACTTTACCTCTATACAACTCATCCATACAACTAAAATCACTTGTACTCCCAAAGCTATGAAGATAAAAAATAAATAAATAAAGCTGCCTGAAGCTTTGCTAAAAGCTTACATACATGATAGTTGGTACAACCTTACCTTTAGAGTCTAGCCTGATTTCCACTCCCTGGAGCAGCCTTAAGGCCATTTCATAATTTCATTGTCTTCTTACACCTTATATTCTAGGCCAGGGGTTGGCAAACTACCAACCCAAATTTTTATACAGTCCAAAAATTAAGAATGGCTTTTACATTTTAAAATAGTTTACCAAAAATCAAAAAGAATAATATATTTTGTGACATATGAAAAATCATGTAAAATTCCAATTTCAGTGTCATTCGTTATTGTCTACAACTGCTTTCATGCTAAAATAGCAAAGCTGAGAAGTTTAATAGAAACTATAGGGTCCACATAGGCTAAAATGTTTACTATAGGGCCCTTTACAGAAAGTTTTTGCTGATTCTGGGCCTAGTTCTTCTCTTGGCTTCTGTACTCCCTTGTCCATGAGGGCTGTTTCTAATTTTCCCAAGGACATCCTAAATGTGCAAGCACATTCCGTCATTGTTTTGACAAAAAAAAGTCATTCCCATAAAGTCTTTTTAGATTCTTAAAGGGTTTACTGAGTTTTGGGGGAAGGAAATAAGCAGGGATCACAGAACACACTGTACATTTTTGTCATTTTGCTTGCAATATCCCTTTTTTCCTCGTTTCTTTTCTTCCCTTCTTCATCTAAGATAACCAGGAATTTCCTTCATGTCACTTTCATGAACTCTCAGGTTTCCTGCAGGTCTCATCATCCCTGAGGCTGGTGTAAGATAAATTGTTTCCAAAGCCAGTGTGTTCCTGAAAAGGATCTGGTGAACACAATTTTCTCTATTTCATTATAATGGGAGGACAACAGTTCTCTAGGGATTTTAGCTGAGGCTCAGAGCCTTCTCTGGGTGCTAATGACTTTGCGTTCCAATACTCATAAACTGGATCTTGGTTGGATTATGAAGCCTCTTTTAAGGTTTACTTCAACTATGTGTTCTTTTAGAAATTAGACCTCTGAATGGTCTTTCAATTTTAGTCTTCTTTTTTTTTTTCTTTTTTTTAATTATACTTTAAGTTTTAGGGTACATGTGCACAACATGCAGGTCAGTTACGTATGTATACATGTGCCATGTTGGTGTGCTGCACCCATTAACTCGTCATTTAACATTAGGTATATCTCCTAATGCTATCCCTCCCCCCTCCCCCCACCCCACAACAGGCCCCAGTGTGTGATGTTCCCCTTCTGTTGTCCATGGGTTCTCATTGCTCAATTCCCACCTATGAGTGAGAACATGTGGTGTTTGGTTTTTTGTCCTTGCAATAGTTTGCTGAGAATGATGGTTTCCAGCTTCATCCATGTCCCTACAAAGGACATGAACTCATCATTTTTTATGGCTGCATAGTATTCCATGGAGTATATGTGCCACATTTTCTTAATCCAGTCTATCATTGTTGGACATTTGGGTTGGTTCCAAGTCTTTGCTATTGTGAACAGTGCCTCAATAAACATACGTGTACATGTGTCTTTATAGCAGCATGATTTATAATCATTTGGGTATATACCCAGTAATGGGATTGCTGGGTCAAATGGTATTTCTATTTCAAGATCCCTGAGGAATCGTCACACTGACTTCCACAGTGGTTGAACTAGCTTACAGTCCCACCAACAGTGTAAAAGTGTTCCTATTTCTCCACATCCTCTCCAGCACCTGTTGTTTCCTGACTTTTTAATGATCTCCATTCTAAATGGTGTGAGATGGAATCTCATTGTGGTTTTGATTTGCATTTCTCTGATGGCCAGTGATGATGAGCATTTTTTCATGTGTCTTTTCGCTGCATAAATGTCTTCTTTTGAGAAATGTCTGTTCATGTCCTTCGCCCACTTTTTGATGGGGTTGTTTGTTTTTTTCTTGTAAATTTGTTTGAGTTCTTTGTAGATTCTGTATATGAGCCCTTTGTCAGATGAGTAGATTGCAAAAATTTTCTCCCATTTTGTAGGTTGCCTGTTCACTCTGATGGTAGTTTCTTTTGCTGTGCAGAAGCTCTTTAGTTTAATTAGATCTCATTTGTCAATTTTGGCTTTTGTTGCCATTGCTTTTGGTGTTTTAGACATGAAGTCCTTGCCCATGCCTATGTCCTGAATGGTAATGCCTAGGTTTTCTTTTAGGGTTTTTGTGGTTTTAGGTCTAACATTTAAGTCTTTACTCCATCTTGAATTAATTTTTGTATAAGGTGTAAGGAAGGGATCCAGTTTCAGCTTTCTACATATGTCTAGCCAGTTTTCCCAGCACCATTTATTAAATAGGGAATCCTTCCCCCATTTCTTGTTTTTGTCAGGTTTGTCAAAGATCAGATAGTTGTAGACATGTGGTATTATTTCTGAGGGCTCTGTTCTGTTCCATTGGTCCATATCTCTGTTTTGGTACCAGTACCATGCTGTTTTGGTTACTGTAGCCTTGCAGTATAGTTTGAAGTCAGGTAGCATGATGCCTCCAGCTTTGTTCTTTTGGCTTAGGATTGACTTGGCAATGCAGGCTCTTTTTTGGTTCCATATGAACTTTAAAGTATTTTTTTCCAATTCTGTGAAGAAAGTCATCGGTAGCTTGATGGGGATGGCATTGAATCTATAAATTACCTTGGGCAGTATGGCCATTTTCACAATACTGATTCTTCCTACCCATGAGCATGGAATGTTCTTCCATTTGTTTGTATCCTCTTTTATTTCATTAAGCAATGGTTTGTAGTTCTCCTTGAAGAGGTCCTTCACGTCCCTTGTAAGCTGGATTCCTAGGTATTTTATTCTCTTTGAAGCAATTGTGAATGGGAGTTCACTCATGATTTGGCTCTCTGTTTGTCTGTTATTGCTGTATAAGAATGCTTGTGATTTTTGCACATTGATTTTGTATCCAGAGAGTTTGCTGAAGTTGCCTATCAGCTTAAGGAGATTTTGGGCTGAGACAATGGGGTTTTCTAGATATACAATCATGTCATCTGCAAATAGGGACAATTTGACTTCCTCTTTTCCTAATTGAATACCCTTTATTTCCTTCTCCTGCCTGATTGCCCTGGCCAGAACTTCCAACACCATGTTGAATAGGAGGTGGTGAGAGAGGGCATCCCTGTCATGTGCCAGTTTTCAAAGGGAATGCCTCCAGTTTTTGCCCATTCAGTATGATATTGGCTGTGGGTTTGTCATAGATAGCTCTTATTATTTTGAGATACGTCCCATCAATACCTAATTTATTGACAGTTTTTAGCATGAAGCATTGTTGAATTTTGTCAAAGGCCTTTTCTGCATCTATTGAGATAATCGTACGGTTTTTGTCGTTGGTTCTGTTTATATGCTGGATTACGTTTATTCATTTGCGTATGTTGAACCAGCCTTGCATCCTAGGGATGAAGCCCACTTAATCATGGTGGATAGGCTTGATGTGCTGCTGGATTTGGTTTGACAGTATTTTATTGAGGGTTTTTGCAATGATGTTCATCAGGGATATTGGTCTAAAATTCTCTTTTTTTGTTGTGTTTCTGCCAGGCTTTGGTATCAGGATGATGCTGGCCTCATAAAATGAGTTAGGGAAGATTCCCTCTTTTTCTATTGATTGGAATAGTTTCAGAAGGAATGGTTCCAGTTCCTCCTTGTACCTCTGGTAGAATTCGACTGTGAATCCATCTGGTTCTGGACATTTTTTGGTTGGTAAGCTATTAATTATTGCCTCAATTTCAAAGCCTGTTATTGGACTATTCAGAGATTCAACTTCTTCCTGATTTAGTCTTGGGAGGGTGTATATGTCCAGGAATTTATCCATTTCTTCTAAATTAAGGGATCAGAGGTTGTTCTTCCAGATGCATTTAGCTACTTAAACCCATAATTATAGCAGTCTAATTTTTTTATTTTACAGTGCTTAGCAATTTGGTTTTTAATCAAAACAGCACACTCAACTTCAGTAAGAATGGTGTGTCAGTGATCTGTTGTTGCATGGAAAGATTGCCTGATGAGTAGCAGGGATTACTAAAATCTGTAGTGTTGTCTGAAATTCTGGCTGGAGTCCTGATTGAGACTGATTAGAGAGAATATTTATCAAGCTTTTCTGAGGGCTAGACTGTCTCTTGGTTGTGGTTTTAGAAGGGAGTTCTTCTTGGGGGCATAATTACAGATAGTAAAATATGTATATAAAATATGTAATTTTTCTTTCTGCATATAAAAAGAAATATAGTAATGACATTTTCATATTATCATAAATTTCTAGTCAAGATAGAATTGTAAATTCTACTCCAAACATGTGAAATGATAGATTAAATATAAAAGATATAGGTGGGCTCAATACGTAGAGGAACATCTCTATGGGCAGAAAAAAATCAAAGGTTTAACTGGATTTCAAAATGTGGATTTGCTGGGCTTTGGGTGATCATGCATACAGGGGTTGTAAGGGGTTCACTGCTTAAAGGCCTCTGCTCTGGAGAAGAGACAAAAAGAGGCTATTGTGGGTTGTGACTAATAGAAGTTTGTGAGTTCAGGGAATTAGAATTCGGTCTCACCAGTAGGAACTGAACCAGCCTCCCACTGGTTCAGTGAGTGAACTAGTTTTGCCATATTTCTTCAAATTACTCTGGGGAAAAGACTGAACTATCAGTATAAAACTGAAGGTCTGAGTGCAGTCAACCTGGAGTGGAAAGGAGTGAAGAGAGAAAGACAGACTGGAGGAGACAGAGAATGAGAGCAAATGAGCCAAAGCTTCCATTCAAAGAGTCTGAGACTCAAAATTCTACAATAAATGAAGAAATCTTAAGCTAAAAATGATGGTAAAGTAAATCAACAATCAGATGAAAAATTAGTCCAGATTTTTTAAAAAGCACAACTAATTCAATGTCATAAGGCAGATTGACAATTTTAGCTATATTAAAAAGCTGCTGTATCAGTAGTGGCAGTTAGATAGGATTTGACTGCTAAAGACTAGTCACAGCACCCCAAATGACAATGCTTTTAAATCTATAGTATTTTTTTCTTTGTAGTAGAATGATACAGCAACAGCATTAAAATAAAGATATGCATCACAACTAGAGGCAGCCTGGCAGCAAGCGATCTGGAGTGGCCAGGTGCAAACTCTAACTGTACTCTGTCTGATGGGTCATAGCAGGATACGTGTTAGCTCTCAGACAGGGAACCACTAACATGTGTATGAAATATCTCAGAAACAGGGATCCCCTAATGGAATCTCAGACTGGACTGCTTCTATTTTGCTGGTAAATTAGGCGTATTATTTCCACATAGCAAGCTCCTGTGGCAGAGCTCTTGTAGGGATCTTAATGAGACCAGGTTCAAATAATGTGTCTCACTATTATTAACAAACATGCTAAAAAGCTCATCTGCATTACTCCAAAACTCACTTGGAACCCATGCTTACAAAGCAATACTATTCATCAATTCATTTAATACCTTCACCAGAGATCAATATATGCAGGTAATTCAGCAAAACAGTTCAGACCAATTCTAGGCCTGCTGGAATTAATCCTTACAACACAGCCACCACAAACAAAGTCAAAAGACCAATGACAGAGAAGGAAAATGAATTACAACTTACATTGTAGATAAGAGGTTAATTTCCCTAACATATAAGGAATTTCTACAAATCAATATTGGAAAGACTAACAGCCAAATTGCAAAAAGTCAAAAGACATGGACAGATACATTACAGAAATGAAATCACTGCAACGTAAAAATAAGCATATGAAAATATATTCAACCTCATTCATGGTAAGGAACATACATATTGAAACTGCACTGAAATGCCATTTCTCACCTATTATGTCGGGAAAATTCAAAAAGTTTGAGTAAACATTGTGTTGGCAAGACTATCAGCTAACTAACCACTCCTCTTATAGCTGGGCAGAGTCCTTTCTTGAAAGGTCATCTGAGCATCACATTTTATTGCCTACTACAGTCAGATGTCTCTAAGATAAGATTTTTGCCTCCATAAACCCTTATACAGAGTTATTTTCTTCATACATAAATCAGTCAGTGTCCTCTCATTGTTCCTAGCCGCCCATTTTAACATCTCTATTCCTTGCTCCTTGCATTCAAGGTTATTGCCTCATATGCTAATCCCTTCACCCGGAATGCAAGAAATAACAATGCCAATGAAAACTGATACAATGTCAGCCCAGCTAATTAAATATTAACTGATAAGAAAACAGCTTAATTTTAGAAAGTTAAGAAGATAAAAATAAAGATATTCTGGATAAAAGTTACAAGATGAGTGGTGTGGAATGGGTGTGGGTATGTGTGTGCAATATTCAAAGTTTCTAATACTAATTGGGATAATGATCAAAATCCAAATACATAAATACTTTATTTTTTAAAATTAGCAGTAAAAATCCTTAAATAACTACATAGGATTGATTTATTCACTCTCTCTTCAAATATTTATGGAATGATTCTTTTCAATAAGTTTGCTAGGTATTGTTGGGGAATAGCAATGAAAAAGAGGCCATTTTTTCTTTGAGCAGCTTATGCTAGTGCCTATAAGGGAAGTAAAATGCATACATAGATAATCTGGAACAGAAGTTGGAAATCTTTTTCTGTGAAGGGCCAAATAGTAAATATTTTATGCTTTGCCAGTTGTATTGGCTCTGTTGTCACTATTCAACTCTGCTGTTGTAGTGCAAAAACAGCCACAGGACAATATGTAGACAAATGGGTGTGGCTGTGTTCCTTAAATTTTTTAAAAAATCTCTTCCTAGGAGAAAGAAACTAATAAGACTTTATTTATATACAAGTGGTGGGTTGAATTTGATATATGGGCCACAGTTTGTTCACACTTGAAAAATATAAAGTAATAATTCCATTTGAGAATTTCCAGGAAATAGGAATTTAGAGAAAGGAGAGCCTGCATCTACCTGGTAACAGTATAAAAAGACTTCATGGGGGTGATGATTTAACCTGGAACCTCATTGTTGTGTATAATATCAACTTTGGGGTATGGTAGGGAGAAAGGTGAGGATGAGGCAGGAAGGATACTCTTGGTAGAGGAAAAAATGTAAGCAAAAGTGTGGTGGAGTTGGTTAGCAAATGGGTGTGCAGTAGCAACTCAGTTTGTTTTAATGTAATAGCTTGCATTAATTAAGTAATGGTAACATAGGTGGAAAGAAAGGTTTCAGTCATACTAAGAAAGGCTTTACAATCAGGCAAAGAGGAATGAATTTATTATGTAGTCAACTTGGGTGGGTTGATGGTGGGCCATTGAATCAGAGAGTGGAATTGCCATTTCTGCCTTAGAAAAGTTAATCTGGTGTTCTGGGGGACCTGAAGCTTAAACAAGTAGTGGATATGCTTCAAGAGAAAGGATACAATATTATGAATTTGACATTAGGTATAGGACCTAATGGAAGGGGTCCATGTAAATGTTGGACCCCAAGTCTAAGTTTCACTAGCCTCTGGGAAAATCTACCTCAGTGGGTTGTATTACATAGGATGCCTCCAACAGTAGTCTTGGCAAGAGATAACAAGGAATTAATGTGGAAATGGCAGAGGAAATTTGGAAGAAGGGACAAATATAACACTTTGTGGAGGTAAAAGTTCAAGGCCTGCCAAATTATTGGATGCTGAAGGTGAAAAGGAGGAGACAAAGATAGGTCTGAGATTTGCAGTCTAGAGGTAACAAGGAGGGTGGTGATGGGATAGACAATGATAACACAAGAGGAGGTTCATGTTTTCAAGGACGAGAATGCAATCAATTTTGATCAGAATGAGTTTGAGATTGTCGAGGTATAAATGTTCAGCAAGTCATTGAAAATGTGAAATTAAAGACTATCTGAATTTGAAAGTCACCTATTTCTACATGCATATTGTGATACAATGAGATTGTCATGGGAGAGGAATACAGAGAGACCAGAAATCTTTGGATGGAGTGACCTCCTCATTTGGTAAAAGTTAAAATAAAAAAAATTCTGCTTATAGAACCAATACACTATCTGGATGTTTTTATTTGCTTTCTGGCTGCCAAAATTTTCTATGAATATCTTTTAACTGTAGCAGATTATTTAGAATAAAATTGCTTTTCATGCTACTTTATTATTCATTAGAAGTTATAGGTATTGCCCTGAAATTTAACATTTAAATAATTTATATTCATTTTTACTTTCAGCGCCTATTTCTTAAGATGACATTCACTGTGTTTTTTAGACTCCTTTAATGAAGATACAAAAATTTATGAAGTATATGTTCCCTTCCACTGACAGATAACCTTTAAATCTGTCTTCCTTCCCTAGTATTTACAATTATTCTACCTCAGAAGGGGGTCAAACCTCTAGAACTAGAAGGAAAGAACTCTTGAGATGCATGTAATTATAAGTAATAGTTATGCTCTTTTACTGTAATTACTGTTCCATTTTAGAGCTTCTGTCTGCCCCTCCATGATTCCTTCTGACACGAACAGGATATAAGAAGCTTGGTACAAGCTTCTGGAAAAAATAGATGTACTTTTTGAGAGTGTTTGTTTAATTATCTGGTCTCAAATGACTGGTACAAAAAAAACCCAGGATAATCAGGATGCTAATATCTATGCAATCAGTCGTCTTTCCTTCGTTAAGAAACTTAGTAATAATAACACATATTTTTTCTACTTATTGATTTTTCCCCCTAAAGTTTCCCAGTAATTATTTTTACTATTTTCAGAAACATAGTCCCTTTTCCAACATTCTTGGGATTATTTGAATATGGGGAAAGTACTTCCACCAGAGAGTTATTAGAAAAAATACTATAAAACTGGTTTCCAGCCTGGTTCATTATCAGAATAAGCTGGGAGCTCAAAAATACAGATTTAAACCATATGGGACCATCAACACTTAATGCCTTTTCTTGAGTTGGCATGCAGTACTTTCCTTCTTCTTTCCCTCCCTACATTTTCACTGATATTTCACCCATTCTCACAATAAAATGTCATTTAAATTTGGATAACACCCACATTTATATATCTCGTACAGTTCTTTCACCTGAATCTCAGAAGTGGCTAGGTGCATGTTGCTTACTGGTTGTTTTTATGCAAAGCAGTCCCATCCCATCTTTCAGTCGTGTAATTTGGATTGCGAGAATCACATTCTTCCAATCTTTATTAGTCTGCACTTGCATTACTATAAAGAAACACCTAAGATGGTTAATTTGTAAAGAAAAGAGGTTTAATTGGCTCACGGTTCTGCAGGCTGTACAGGAAGCATAGTGGCTTCTGCTTCTGGGGAGGCCTCAGGAAACTTCCCATGATGGTGGAAGGGGAAAGGGAAGCCAGAACTTCACATGGCTAGAGCAGGCGGAAGAGAGGCAAGGGGTGGGGGTGCTATGTATTTTTAAACAACCAGATCTTGTGAGAACTCTATTGTGAGAACAGCACCAAGGGGATGGTGCTAAGCCATTAATGAGAAACTACCCCACGGTACAATCACCTCCCCTCAGGCCCCGCCTCCATCACTGGGGATTACAACTCAATATTAAATTTGGTGGAGACACAGATCCAAACTATATGGCAATCCTATCCTTATTCCCACTCTGTGGTTAGAAATGCGACCCAAGATTTCAGTACACTCCATCAGCCTCCCATTCAGGACCAATCAACATTTTCTTGCTCATAGTTTTAGCTGGAGATGTCAGGAGCTTTGTGAACTGCTGGAGTTGTGAAACTGCTACCTCTCCCCTAGCTGCATGAAGAGGGTCATCCCCAGTAGGAGAGAAAGTGACCAATGTGTGAAGAAAAGAGATGCCTTGAGATGCAGTGTGGCTCCATTTATATTATCTCATGTAATCCTCACAATAACTCACTAGATTATCTATTGTTATTTCCATTTTGCTGGTGAGGAAAATGAACTCCAGAGAGATTAAGTAATATGCTTACATATTGCTGTTGGAGTTAGAATACCATTTAGCTGTAAGAAATATTAGCCTGTGAAAAATTAATTTCTGAAGTATCTGTGCAATATTAATTCTCTCTATCCAAGAAAAAGTTTATTATGAATATTCCACATCAATACGAAAAAACCATGTCTTAAGAATGTGCATAATTATTTACTAACAATGGCAAATCAACAGGACATGTGTTTTGTATAAAACGTTAGTGGTAGTGGTGGTTGGCAGATTCATTAAAAGACTCTACTATTGGCTCTGATGGATTAAGGTCAGTTAAGCAGTGCTTGTTCAAATTTAATGTGACTAGGAATCACCTGGAATCTTGTTTAAATGCAGTTTACGATTCAATAGGTCTGGGATGGGATCTGAAATTCTGCATTTCTAACAAGCTTTCAAGTGATGCCCATGCTGCTGGTTCCCGGAACACTCTTTCAGTATCAATGGGTTAGAATATCAGTGAAGTAAGTTATTTTCATTGCACAAATCTTCCTGTATCCTCCTGAAAGATTATAGCCTAAACTGTAATCATATCCAATAGGATAGCACACAAAATTCATTGATATTTAAAAGAAAAAAAGGACAACAGAGTTGGTGATCCTGTGATTAAGAGTGAGAGATCCACCGTACTGTGGATCTGGGGGAAGATTGGAGGAGACTTCTAAGACTCTTCTGGAAATATAGGTGAGGCTTAAATTCTTACAGGATTTTAAATGGAAGCTCTGGTGATGGGGAAGCTCCAGGAAAAACACAAATCATGGAAGTGAAGAATCTGTACAAGAGAGATATTTCTACCTACGAAGTTATTTCTTCCCAAATGTCACACTACACAAAGACCTAGAAATAAATGACTCTTGCTATTCAAGTATAGAACTATTCTTGGCAAATATACACCTTAACACTTATATACTTCAAAAGCAAGTTTTTTTTTCTAAACAGAGAGAGAGCATGTTTTATTTATCTCCCTGTCTTTCTGTCAAACTGTTTTCTTAGAAAAAGCAATTCATTTTATCCATTTGTAAATAAACTACTAGGGCTGAGAAGAATTCAGATTTCTGAAAAGTTGAATACCCTGGAGTACCTCTGCCAAATACATTATGAGAAAAATATCACTCAGTGCCAGTAGGGACATGGCAAAATCAATGAAGTTTTGTTTCATGAGAATTTACACATTGAAGTTTTGTTACAATTTTACATTGAGAAAGGCCATATTCTTAAAATTGGTAGCATGTTTCTTGTACTTGGGTCTACGGAGCAATAATTATTTTTTATTTTTGGAGGGGGCAGCAGTATCGGTGTGAGGCCCTGGGGTTGGGGAAGAAGGTAATACAGCATAATTATTTCATTGTCTTTTGTGAAATGTGAAGATAATTTTTTTTGTATGAATAGGATTGAGGGCAGGTCTGAAGGTTGTAGCAGACATGTAAACAAAAGGGATTAGTTTAAACTGAGCCCAGAGAAGGGCTTGCTGGGCAGTCTAGAGTTATTTGCAATATTTCAAAAAGCCTAAATGAAATTCTTTGGTGATTAGGCGATACATTGTGGCTTCTTAATTTTTACTGGTGTTATAGAATTTATGGAGATAACACCGATTATCCGGAGCCAATTGGAAGTACTGATTGGGATTTGTATGCCTTTTTTAAAAAATGAGATAAATAATTAATTGTAATATCATGGCCTAAGTCTCTCAAAAAATGGGACTGATGTGTGCCTAGAGAGACAATGAAAAGGCTCTTTTGAAAGTTGAAAAGTTTAGGGGGCAATTATTAAAAATCAAGTACATTACCTCTTAGGGAAAACATTTTGAACTAACCAATGAACTTATTTGTAGTCAGTCAGCAAATATTTAATGAGTATCTTTCATGTGCCAGCCACTGGGCTGGACATTTTGGAGAAGTAGTAATGAACAAGTTATGGCCATTGCCCTTATGGAACTTACAAGAAAGAGGAAACATTAAAGAAGCAGCTAACTACACAGTTTTAACACAGTTGGTTTTAGAGGCTTTTAATGCTAATAAAATGCGAATGCATTTTATTTCTTTATTTATATATTTAAGATATAAAATTCTGAAGAGAAACTGACAAAAAGTTATTTGTGACTAATACAGGTAGTGAAAGACTTGTGGTGCCTGTCTGATGCATGCACCGTCGTTTGGAGTTATCCTACAGACATGTCCCCTGGGGTTTTTTTTCTTGAGACGTTTCTCCTGTAAGCAACTCTTGTAAAAGAATTGGTGTCTCACACAGTGAAGTGAGCCACTTTCACCAAAACAGCATTTGTGGTGTATAAATGTTGAATTCTTGATGCAGATGTTTTCCATTTTATGGCTCAGAGTTCAAGCTCAAACCCTTCTGCAATGACCATCTTTTGACTATTTGCATTTGGTACTTTTATGAATCCTATTTTAGTTTACTCTTCTCATCATTTGTTCATCTTAGTTGTCATAGAGAGTCGTAAATGATCTCTTAGTCTATTCTCTATATCCTTTCTTCTACAGTTTTTCAAATGACTCAAGTCATTTTTACACTTTTAAAAATGCTTTAATACTGATTATATAATTAAACTTCCAGAAACACAAAAATTATTTGATTAAGTAAACTAATGCTCAGAAAAATAGTCACATTTATTAAATTCTTTCATAGGTAGTCAGACTTGGTGATATATGTATGATGTTATATATTGTAGGACTTTGGAGGTTAATTAAAGTGCTCTATTTCTTTTTTTCTTTGAGACGAGTCTTGCTCTGTTGCCCAGGCTGTAGTGGAGTGGCACGATCTCGGCTCACTGTAACCTTTGCCTCCCGAATTGAAGTGATTCTCCTGCCTCAGCCTCCTGAGTAGCTGGGATTACAGGTGCCTGCCACCATGCTTGGCTAATTTTTGTATTTTTAGTAGAGACGGGGTTTCACCATGTTGGCCAGGCTTGTCTTGAACTCCTGACCTCAGGTGATGTGCCCACCTTGGCCTCCCAAAGTGCTGGGATTACAGGTGTGAGCCACTGCGCCCGGCCTAAAGTGCTCTATTTCTTAAACTGCACGATGAGTTCATGTTCAGATAGATTTCCTTATTGTTATTTTTATGCCTTACAAATATTTTATTTATTATTTTAATGCACAAAATTAATTTTGTTGTGGTAAGAGCACTTAACATATCTACCCTCAACAAATTTTAAGTGTACACTACAATATTGTTGATATAGGTACACTGTTGTAGAACAGATCTTTCATCTTGATTAACTGAAACTATGCCCATTGATTAGTAATTCTCCATTTCTCCCTCAGCTCCTGGCAACCATCATTCTACTCTTTGAGTCTATGAATTTGACTATTTAGATACCTTATATAAGTGGAATCATGCGGTATTTGTCTTTATGTGATTGGATTATTTTACTTAGCATAATGTTCTGCAGGTTCATCATGCTGTCATATATTACAGAATATCTTTCTTTTTTAAAAGCTGCATAATATTTCATTGTATGCACACACAACACTCACACACACACAACACTCACACACACACACACACACACACACCACATTTTCTCTATCTGTTCATCTGTCAATGGGCACTTAGCTTGTTTCCATATCTTGGCTACTGAGAATAATGCTGCAGTGAACATGGGAGTGCAGATATCTCTTTGAGATCCTGATTTCAATTCTTTTGAATATGTACCCAGAAGTGGGATTGCTGGATCATATGGTGGTGCTATTTTGAATTTTTCGAGGAGCCTCCATACTCAAAAAGTTCCACAGGAGCTATACCATTTTGAGTTTCCACCATCAGGGTGCAAGCCTTCCAATTTCTCCACATTCTCACCAACGCATATAGTCCTTTGCTTTTTTAAAAGTAATAGCCATCCTAAAATGTGTGAGATAATATCTCATTGTGGTTTTGATTTGCATTTCCCTAATGACTAGTGACATTGAGTATTTTTTCATATACTTGTTGGACATCGGTATGTCTTCTTTGGAGAAATGTCTACTATTCAAAGTCCTTAGTCTGTACTTTATTTTAATTTTAAGTTTTTTTTGCTATTGAGTTGTAAGAGTTCCTTATGTATTCAGGAGATTAACCTCTTATCAGATATATTGCTTACAAATGTTTTTTCTCATTCAGTAAGTCACCTTTTCACTCTGTTGATTATTTCCTTTGCTGTGCAGAAGCTTTTTAGTTTGATATAGTCCCACTTGTTTATTTTTGCTTTTGGTTGTCTGTGATTTTCGTGTCATATCTATGAAAATATTGCTAAAAGCAATGTCTGGAAGCTTTTTCCTATGTTTTCTTCTAGGAGTTTTATAGTTCAGGTCTTATGTTTAAGTTTTTAATTCATGTTGAGTTGATTTTTGTGTATGGTATAAGATAAGGATATAATTTTATTCTTCTGCCTGTGGAAGTCCAGTTTTCCCAGCATCACTTGTTGAAGAAACTACTCTTTCCTCATTTTTGATACTCTTGCCAAAGATCACTTGACTGCATATATGTGGATTTATTTCTGGGCTCTCTATTCTGTTACAGGCTACCTATGTCTGTATTTTATAATTATTCCTTTCTATATAATTAATATTTAATAAAAAGGATAAAAGTTAAATTGAGATTAGAGGTTACAATCTCCAGTAATAGAAATCTGGAGAGAAAAGCTCAAAAGCTCACCCTAGAGCTTTTGAGAACTTAAAGATCACAATGAAGTGAACATTAAGCTTTGCTTCCATTGACAAAAAAGTAAATATTTCTGTAGTGTTTACCACAATACTAAGGTTGAACCAACATTCAGCATTTGTTTTGTTGAATTTATGTTTCCTAAACTGTTCACAGATTTCCTATTAAGTTGAAAGTTTCACTGTAATAATTCAAGGACTGGCAAAGGTTGAATGTTTATTATGGGCAAATATTGTGTTTGTTCACTTAATTTGTGAGTTATTTTTGCCACAGCTGGTTGGTTTTACACATCACTTTGTGATAATTAAGTCATTGATCTTATTCAATAAACATGAATGAGTTCAACAATTTAAAAAAACTGTGAGGATCTTTCTCTACATCAAGAAAATATCAAAAGGCCTTATTTGTTGTAAAATAAGTTTTACGAGTAGATAAATAACAATGTAACTTAAAAACAGGTAGAATCTTGATTTTCTGGAAACTATCAGCATTTACAAATTAAGGTGGCATTTTTGTGTGATCATTGAATGCTTGGGTATTCTTTGGCTGAATGTAAACACATAAATATTACCCCTAGTTGGACTTTGGAAATATTGCTGAGTTTTTTTTTCAGATAGGTCTACACACAGGCATACACACACATGCAAGTATGATTGCTATTATAGACAAAAATTAAAATGTGCAAAATATTGTATAACATGTGACTTAATTTCATCTGAGCACATCAAAATAAATGCTTTTGATAGACAGCAGTATGCTGTGGCACTGAAATACAAGTTAAAATTTAATTGGGAACGAGGCTATTGAAGAGAGGCTGAGGCAGGAAGCCAGGATGGGAGCACCTGGGTTGTGAAAATGAAAAAGGATAGTGGGGAGCATTTTGAAGTTAAACTGGCTTCTTCACAGCAAAGCGCATGCTGTGGTCTCTATCTGGAACATTATTCTTCCTCCTGCCACTCCTTACCTGTTCCTTTTTCTTTGTATGGTTGATTTTTTTTCTTATCTTTCAGGTCTCAGGTCTAATGTGTTTTCACTAGAAATGCCTTCTTACTTTAAGTAGTCACCGGTCCCCACTAAATAACTCTCAGAGCCTTGTTTATTTTTGTGATAGCACTTATGACAGTTTTCAGTCATTTAGTTGTTTACATTGTGGTTGTTTGTCTCCCTTTCTCATTTCTAGTTTCTAAACTTCATGACAAACCATTACATGTCCTAGTGTCTACTGGAGTGCCTGGCACACCACGGCTATTCAACAGAGATCTGGTACCCCTTATTGCTTTCAGGCAGCAATACAGGAAACTTATCTCTGACGCATGAGAATCAAGCATACCATAAAGAGGTTTCTATATAGGAAGGTCTGGAGATCCTTTTACCTTTCTTCTCCCCACATACTGCTGCCTGTCCCATTGTAGGCTTTTCATTAATTTAACATAGGACATATGTTTTATAGGTGGGACATTTACTCATTAAAGAACTTTCATAAGCCACTTGAATTGTCCTTAGTTGTTTCAAATAGAATTTCTTCTCTTTATTCAGTGATGATATAATGACTAGAAGGTCAAAAGCTTTCCATCTCTGTAGAATTTTATGAAAGCATGGCATGCTCGAGTTCTACCATTCCAGTGAGCCTTGCTTCATCTGGAGCAATGGGCTGGCTGCTCTCAATGTTGTTTTAATGTCCCCTGTAGACTTATAATTCTATAATTAATTTGTAATTTATCATTAGGCTGTGTGTTTGTTCATTCAGAAAGCATTCACTAAGTGTAGATGAGATAGGAAATTGAATAGGGGGTCACACTTGAGACATAAAGATTGAAGGTGTCTTCATCCTTGTATTTGAGTTAGTCAAAAACTAGCTAGGAGGAGGAGACATTCATACATCAAACAGTAAAAGGCAATTACAGGCTATTTAAAACAATCAAAATTTAGAATCAATGCAAATGTTTAGTAATAAGTGAATAGTTGAGTAAACCATGATATAGCTAGTTACATGATGAAATTTGACTTTATGTGAATTACATAGAAATGATTATATTATAAGGTTAAGTATGGAAAAAATCAGATTTCAAAACATCAAAAATTTAAATTGCAGGCCTCTTTTTCTGCTTTATTTTTGTCTGTAGCACCTAATACCATCTAACATGCTATACAGTTTATTTATTTATTGGATTATTGTATTCATTTATTTCATTAGCATATAAGTCCCATGGAGGAAGGAGTTTTTGTGATTTTTCTGCATCATAATTTTATTGTATCTAGAAGTGCACCTGATACATGGTAGGCACTTAATTAATGAATATATAATTAAAATATAGAAATGTGTAATAAAATAATAGAAAAATTATAAATGATGATTGTCTTTTGAAGTGGGATTATGAGGAATTTTTAAACATTTTCTTATAATGTTTTGGGTTTTGTGTAATAAATATGCATTACTTTTGTAACAAGACTCTCTCTCTCCATATATATATATATACGTATATACGTGTATATATATACGTATATATACGTATATACGTGTGTGTGTATGTGTATATATATATACACATACACACACACACACACACATACATTTAGGTCGTTTCACTTAAAGCTGCAGTCTCCAACAAGAGATGTCAAGTATCTAGGTATCTAGTCCAGGGTTTGAAATATAGCAGGCACAGGGTAAATAATATATAAATAAACATAACCACATACAGAGGATCCTCAATTATGACTTCTTGTTATAACACTGATGAGAAAAAAATCAGTTCCTGGCTGGGACCACTGTGTAGGATTTACACGTTCTCTCCATGCCTGCATGGTGTTTTTCTGGGTACTCCAGCTTTCTCCGACACCCCAAAGGTGTGCAGGGTTGGGGAATTTGAGTGTCTGAATTGTCCCAGTGTGAGTGCATCCTACAGTGGAATGCCATTCTGTCCAGGGTGGGTGCCCACCTTAACCCTGAGCTGCAGAGATAGGCTCTGGCCACCTGTGACCCCGAGCTGGAATAACTGAGTAAATAATTAACTTACTTTTAAAAATTAATCTTTCTTAAGTGTATGATAGCTCACATTTATTTCAATATTGAACATTGTAAGTGTTTTGGTCTTTATTGAGAAGTTTTGTGATGTTTTTGTGACCAGAAATATGCCATAGGAACTTAACTCTTGCTTATATCAATTAACCTGTGGTAAAATTGATTTCATTATATGTTGTTTCACTTAAAGCTGCAGTCTCCAGGAACCTACTGACAGTGTTAAGTGAAGACTTACTGGATATATATATATATATATATATATATATGACTGGATGGAAATACAGTAGAAAAATAGCTGTCTTTGCACTTGATCTTAGGCAAAGTGCTGAGAAGCAATACAATAGTTTCTTTGAATGATAAACTTTTCAGTAAGTCTTTAAAATTTTTTATTTGCCACATAAAATACAACACAAATTTATTAAATTTGAAGATGTTTTAAAAAGAAAGAAAAAAAGCTTTCATTTTTGGTTGTGGGAGTTTGGATTAAAATTTTAATTTATGTAAAGAAAAACACAAAAAGTTCTCTTTTATTCATGTCATTTATATTTAATAATGTGAACCTTTATTAAAAAACATTAGACAATTACGAGGCTTAAACTAAATTCTGTTTGTTAGAGATAATGTGTACATTGAAGCTTTACTGCTGAAAGGTCTTAAATAATTTAGACAGAAGTGATAGCAGAATATTTATAGATTTTTTTTGGAATTCAAGAATTTGTGCTTTATTCTTACTTTGACACTTTGTTACATATATCCTTTGAAAATACCAAATGTCATGAAAGGATTTAAAATAAGTCCTTGGAAATGTAACTTTTAACCTCAAATGCCCTCCGTAGCAAACAGTGATTAAAAAATGTTCCCTTGATAATAAAATAGGAAATAGCAAAGGAAGGAGTATCGCAACATGTAACATGAAAACTTTTAGTCAAGCTGTCAAGAGTTCGTTTTTAGAAGTGTAATTAATAGAACTTCTGGTTAAAATTTCATGACGAATGTTGTCTTCCATCAGGATCATTTCCAGTCTGATGGAATTCAGCTATGTGTTTTGCATATCAATTTAGGTTAAAAAATGAAGATGGGACACTGATTGTAGTTATTAACTTGGCAGTTGTTCTAAGTGCCTTCACTTCAAAGTGGGGAAACTTTAAGCTGTTTTGGTTAGGTGACCAGCAAACAACATTGTATTTCTTGCTTTTTTCAGGAATTATTTCTTTAGATCTCTTAGGTATATCATAAATATTTTGATCAGGTTGCTTTAGTAATCCATAAGCTAAGAACTTTTGGAGGTATATAAAAGTTGCCTTCTGGGTGATATAGTTGTTATTGTCAATCTGAACAATAAAATACAGAACATACATGCTATGGATATTAGGATATAATTTGGTACAGATGTGCAAGGAATAGGATTTCATTTAAAGGTAACTGGTGAGAAATTACAGGTATGAACTCATCTCTAAGGGTAACTTTAAAGAGCTGAATGTGAAAATTCTAATATTCTGCAGAAGTTAACATCCTTTTTTATTTAAAATTTAAATTAAAAATATCTCCTTTCTTTTTAAGAGATTTAATCCTATAGAGAAGAATTTCTTACTCTCTCAACTGTAGTGCTTTTCCAACTTTAATATGCACCACCTGGGAATCTTGCTAATGCAGATTCTGATTCAAGTGGTCTGAATGGGGCCTGAGATTCTGCATCTCCAACAAGCTCTCAGGTGATACCGATATTGTTGGTACTTGTTTTTCTACTGTACTTGTTTTTCTTGTGTTCATCATCTTACCTGCCCCTCCCAGATGACCTTAAACCCATTAGAATATGAACCGTTTAAGGAAAGGATGCTTTATTTCTTATACACATCCAGGATTGTTTTTTACAGCTCACCCCACTCAGTAATGTTCAACTAACACCAACCTATTGTGGGACTAGGAATATCTTATAAATAGCTTTCCTTAGTGCAACTTGGGGTTACTTGCAGAGAATTTGGCAATATTCAGCACTTGTTTTGTAACGTTCTGGTTTCTAAAGTGGTAGAATGGGAAAAGCATGGAACTGGGAGACACATATCTTCTGGGTGTGAACCCTCACTTAGCATTCAGCCACTTGCTACTTGTGATATCTTAAGTATGTAATGTCAGATTTCTGAGCCTCAGTTTCTTTAACAGTAAAATGCTAGAACTAATGCCTACATTGCAGAGTGGTTATAAAAATTAAACAAGAGAATGTATGTCAAGTATCTAGTCCAGGGTTTGAAATATAGCAGGCACAGGGTAAATAATAGTTTTCTTTCTTACCTCTTCTAATATACTCTGTGGTTCTGAAACAGAGGAGTAAAATTTCTGCAGGCTTGGAAGTCATGGCAAAAAGAGAATTAGAAAATAAAATTAGATCAGTTTGTGTGTCTCTCTTATTAGTATTTACTTCAGATCTAATTTAACCTTGTATATTTTAAAACAGAAAACTATATTATGGAAAATAGCTTACATCATAAAATTACCACAGCTGGTATTTTGAATATAAAAGTGCAGCTTATTTAGAGAGAAATCACAACTTTATTAATTGGACTAACTCTTTTTAGTCCAATGTTTAACCTTTTTTTGGTTATATTTGGAGCTAAAAGTTGCTCTACTTTATGAAATATGACAGAATTAAGTTTTGTCCAATTGTGAAAATAAAGCTGTATTAATATGATTCGCTACAAAACAATATTTTCACAAACTTAGTGGCTTAAGACAGCACACATTTATTATCTCACAGTTTCTGTGGTCATGGCTTAGCTAGTTCTCTGCAAGGATGAAATCAAGGTATCAGACAGGGTTGGGTTGTTATCTGAAGACTTGAATGGGGAAGTATCTCCTTCTAACCTCACGTGGTGGTTGACAGAATTTAGTTCCTTGAGGTTATAAGGTAAAGGGTTCCCAATTTTTGCTGTTGGCTCGAGGTCACCGCCAGTTCCCAGAGGCTGTCCTTAGTGTCTTGCACCATAGGCCTCTGAATCTGGTCACGTGCTTCATCAGATCCAGCAAGGGAGAGAGTCTTCTTGTAAGATGGAGGTCACAATTCTATGAAACGTAATCATTCAAGTGACTCACCATCACTATTGGCTAAAAGCAAGCCACAGTTCCCACCAACATTCAAAGGGAGGGGATTTTACAAGGGCATGGATACCAGGACATAAGGATCTGTGTTACAGAAGTATATGGCTGAAGTATAATGACTATTAACATACCAGTAAAAAATTAACATATCAGTCAAATACGTTTTCTTAGACTTTTTGTCCCACACAATGTCAAGCATCATGTGCAGGAAGTATCTACATTCACAAAACTAACTGATGGAACATAGGAGAAAAAATACCCTTAAACTCATTTGAATGTAAATTTGTCATTTGGAACTTGGTTTAGTCAGTTTAATTTTATGAATAACGTTATCAGAAATTCTTGCTTTGATGCTTTAGTTTCATGTTCACAGAGTATTGTAAACAAAAGTTTACCTCACAGAGACATCAATTTGTCTATTAAGAACTGATTTGGGATATTTTAAAAGGTGCAGCCAATTAATTTTGGGAGCTGCAGGCAAGAATAAATAGGCCTTGTCACTATTGTTTGATGGAGAGGTTTGGAAAAATCCTTGACTACCTTTCCTAACCCCAAACCAGAAACTTCTGTATCTGTAGCATTTGATGGTATTTACCCAAATTGACTAGTAAGTCTATGCCTTAATTTTCAGTTTAGCCAATTCCGAAAATAGTGGGCTCTTGGTTGCATTTCTATCTCTGAATCTCAAAACTAAAGAACATAAATCAGAATAAATTTTCCAGCTTATGATTATTTCTATTTCTGAATAAAATTGCTGTCTTTCTTCTGGAGTTGAAATCAGAAATGTTATTAGATGAAAAATATCTGTTAAATGTCCTTGTGATCCTATCTCCAGGAGTAATCACGGCAGACAGTTGTAGTTTAAAATCATTTCTTGCACTGTTTTAGGAATAGCTGGAAGCATAGTATGCTGAGTAGCAATGTATGTACATCATATATATTCTAAAACTCTAAGTTTTCCAGCTTTTGAAAAGGAAAAAACTATGTATAAAATAAAAAAGCCACAAAAGTACTTAACAAAATGTTTCTTCAGTTTCTCTTTTGAGATTATTATTTATTCTGTATAACTTTAAATGATCCTTTTTTTAATTACAAAAAGAAGAACAAAATAATTACCTCTAATACCAGTAGCATGAGATGATCAATAATGTTTTGGTCTATTTCTTTCTAGCCCTATCTTTATGTATAAATGCATTCATAAATGCATTCATATAAGTTTATTATTATGTTATATTACGTTTATTGTACAATTATATATATTACATATATTATGTGTGTGTTTAAGCATATATGTATTTTAACATTTTTGTTTGTATCCCTTGACAATATATCAACATCTTTCATGATCATTAAATGTCACTTATAGTATCGTTTATGATGGATCTGTTTATTGGGAGAACATATTATTTAAACATATACATTTACTTTTGACTATAAAAGCAATTTATGTTTCTAACACTGTGTCATGGTGAATTTCACACACATAGGAAAGTGGAGACATTTATTTACTCAACACTCAGCCTCACAGTTATTCGTACATGATCTATCTTATTTTTTCTAACTCTCTACCCATTCCTCCCACCCCTTGGATTATTAGAAAGGAAATCCCAGACATATTAAAATATTTCATCTGAAAATATTTCAGTATCTCTTTAAAATATAAGACCCTTAAAAAGTATAATCACAACACCATTTTCTTATTTAATATCCAGTTAGTGTTCAGATTTCCTTGAGTATTTTATAAACGTTAATTTGTTTGAATTGGCATCCAAAAAGCAACACATTATTTTTGTAAAAAATGGAACACTACAGATGTTCATGATGCAGAAAGTGAGTAATTCCTCCTCTGCCCGAATTCCACTCCCAGTGATAACTGTGTGAGCATTTATCTTGTATATTGTTCCAGATCCAAGATAATGCCTTTTCTGTATCAATCTAATGACTCCCAAGTGATGGCTATTCTTTCTGTCTTGTCTTTGAACAAATACATGTTTTAGCATATAATAATTCTAATTGTATATATAATTGTATATATTTTCTTATCTGGTTTTAATGTCAAGACATTTTGTATCCCTAAATAAAAGATGGAAGCAGAGCTTAGGAAATATCTGAAAGAGAGCAAAGTATCAATTGATAAGTTAGAAGATTTATGATCATGTTTATGAATTCATTTTCTCTGATATGTGAGTGCCTAATTCTTCCATAAACATGCACTTGCTAATACAACACATTTTAATTTTAAATGACCATATCAACATCTAACCAGATGCCATTTCAATAATTTATAGACCAGTTAGTCTTTTCACTGCCAACCTCACAAAGGAAGTACATTTGTTTGGTGAGAGATGAGAAGGGCACCCAGCTTCACTGTTTTCTCCTAAATGAGAAAAGCAGCTTTACATTTCCTGACTTTTACAACCTTTCCTTCACTTCTGACAAATTCCAATCTAAAAACACTGTCTTTTGGAAAGAGTGTCTATAATCATTCTGTTGCTAATAACACTGCCATGTCCACTTGTCTTGTACAGTTCTTATAAAGTGTCTTTTTCAGAGTCTAAAAGTAAGGATTCGGTGTCTTGCTTATTTTAAAAATCCCACCACAGGTCAGGCACACATGGCTAACACCTGTAATCCCAGCACTTTGGGAGGCCACAATGAGCAGATCCCTGGAGCTCTGGCATTGGAGACCAGCTTGGGCAGCATGGTGAAACCCCGTCTCTAGGGAAAAAAAAAAAAATTAGCCAGGCACAGTGGCATGTGCTACTCAGGGGGCTGAGGTGGGAGGATCTCTTGAGCCAGGGAGGTCAAGGTTGCAGTGAGACGAGATCGCGCCACTGCACTCCAGCACTCCAGCCTGGGCAACAGAGTCAGACCCTGTCTCAAAACAAAAACAAAAACACGGCAATTTTACACATAATGGTGGCTTAATTAAAGATATCTTACTGCTGTATGTGTATCACTTGCTTGTTTAAAATATTACTATGCTAGTTACTATTTCTGCATAAGAAATTACTACAAAATTTAACAGCTTAAAACAACTTTTTCTTTTTTTGTGCCCTTGGATTCTATGGGTGAGGAATTCAAATAGGTCTTAATGGCAATAAATTGTCTCTGGTCCAGAATGACTAGGGCCTTAGCTGGGAGGACTATAAGGCTGAAAGTGACTTAATGGATGGTGGTTGGAATTATTTGAAGGCTTGCTTACTTGCATGTTTGGTTCTTAGGCAGGAATGACTCAAAAACTAGGACTACAGCAGGAGTGGCATCTCTGTGTGGTCTGAATTCCTCACAGCATAATGTCATCAAGATAGGTGGACTCAGGGATCAAAATTTGAGTGTTCCAATGAACAATGTGGAAACAGTGAATTTTTATGACTCAGGCTTAGAAGTCACACAGTAGTGGGAAAGCAATGATCCTTGGATGGTAAGTGCAGGAGTAACCATATGGCTCTAGTCACATTGCTTTGAACACCAATTGTATTGTAGATGTGTTTGAGTGCCATTAGTACAACAATGGGCAATAAAGCATTCTTTTGTTTTTTGTTTTTTTTTTTTTGGTTTGTGTGTGTGTGTGTGTGTGTGTGTTTGGTCAGCATGACGTCAATCACAGCTCAAGAATTCTATACATGTCTGCATTTCATATTGCCACAATAGTTTTGTTGTGGCCTGGTAGACGATAATTTCACATTTGAAAAGGGTGGTTTAATCAATAAAGACCAAGAGTTTAAAGTGTGGTTTAATATATTTTCCATGATGCCTGTCCATGCTCCATGGCATCCTGTTTTTGTGCTTTTTTGTTCATTGCATTTCCCTTGCCAGGAATGCTTCCTATCTGCCTCTCTGTGTTAAAAACTTTCCCACCAGTCAAGCTTTTATTGGCATTGCTATATAGGTTATCTTCATAAGGATTCCAGCTTTTAAAAGTTGGAAAAAAAAACTATTCCGACATAAAAGCAATTAAGTATACAAAGGTTGATTTCAAGACTCAAATGTCCAGCAATGTGTCTCTTGGAATTATACATCTTCCAAGGTTACTGTTTCCTACCATCTTCTCTCTCTGTGACTTTTTCTCTTTTCTCCTCCTTCTTTTAGGTTGGTGTCCTCAGCTCACATATTTTTTTAACTAAAACTTTTTTTTAAATTCAAGGAGTGCATGTGCAGGTTTGTTATATGGGTGTACCGCATGATAATGAGGTTTGGGCTTCTATTGATCCCATCACTCAAATAGTGAACATAGTACCCAATAGGTAGTTTTCCTCTCCTCCCTCTTGAAATCCCCAGTGTCTATTGTTCCCATCTTTATGTTCATGTATACCCAATGTTCAGCTCCCACTTATAAGTGAGAACATGCAGTATTTGGTTTTCTATTTCTGCAATTATTCACTTAAGATAATGGCCTCCAGCTGCATCCATGTTGCTGCAAAGAACAAGATTTTGTTTGCCTTTTTGTGGGTGTGTAGTATTCCATGGTATATATATACCACATTTTCTTTGTGCAGTCCACCGTTGATGGGTACTTGGGTTGGTTCCATGTCTTTGCTATTGTGAATAGTGCTGCAAGAAACATATTAGTGCATGTGTCTTTTTGGCAGAACAATTTATTTTCTTTTGGGTATATACCCAGTAATTAGATTGCTGGGCCAAATGGCAATTCCATTGTTAGTTCTTTGAGAAATCTCCAAACTGCTTTCCACAGGGGCTAAACTAGTTTACATTCCCACCAATAGTGTATAAGCTCTATTTTCTCTGAAACCTTCCTGGCATCTGTTATTTTTTGATTTTTTAGTAATAGCAATTCTGAATGGTGTGAGATGGTATCTCACTGCAGTTTTGATTTGCATCTCTCTGATGATTAGTGATGTGGAACATTTTTTCATACTTTTTTTTGGCCATTTGTATGTCTCCTTTTGTTCAGCTCATATTTTAATGAGGTATGGCAGTCATCAAATGGGAAGGTGTTCATGTACCTTCCACCAGATCTATAAGCATACCTGCATCAGCCCCATCTTCTCTATCTTTGCTCCTATTATACCTGAGGAAAAGTGAAATTCTCAAAGACTTTATTCTTTCTCTAACTCCTCTCTCTCTCTTCCATTATCATTACTTCCTTTCCACTCAATATTCTCATCAGCCAACAACACCAATAACCTTTGGATCCTTTATCTAAACGAAAACTCTCCATTGACTCCCACATTCTTCTCCAGCTACAAGCCATGTTCAATTCCTTTTCACAGCTAAACTTGTAAAAGAATTGTCTGTCACATGAAAAATGCTCATCATCACTGACCATCAGAGAAATGCAAATTGAAACCACAATGAAATACCATCTCATGCCTGTTAGAATGGCAATCATTAAAGAGCCAGGAAACAACAGATGCTGGAGAGGATATGGAGAAATAGGAACGCTTTGACCCTGTTGGTGGGAGTGTAAATTACTTCAACCATTGTGGAAGACAGTGTGGTAATCCCTCAAGGATATAGAGCTAGAAATACCATTTGACCCAGCCATCCCATTACTGGGTATATACCCAAAGGATTATAAATCATGCTACTATAAAGACACATGCACACGTATGTTTATTGTGGCACTATTCACAATAGCAAAGACTTGGAACCAATCCAAATGTCCTCAATGATAGACTGGATTAAGAAAATGTGGCACATATATACCATGGAATACTATGCAGCCATAAGAAGGATGAGTTCATGTCCTTTGTAGGGCCATGGATGAAGCTGGAAACCATCATTCTCAGCAAACTATCACAAGGACAGAAAACCAAACACCGCATGTTCTCACTCATAGGTGGGAATTGAACAACAAGATCACTTGGACACAGGGTGGGGAACATCACACACCAGGGCCTGTCGTGGGGTGGGGGGCTGGGGGAGGGATAGCATTAGGAGAAATACCTAATGTAAATGACGAGTTGATGGGTGCAGCAAACAAACATAGCACATGTATACCTATGTATCAAACCTGCACGTTGTGCACATGTACCCTAGAACTTAAAGTATAATAATAAAAAACAATAATAATAATAAAAGAATTGTCTGTACTTCTGGTTTGACAAAACCAGAAAAGGCAGCATGACTTCATTCTAGAAATCCCTAGTTGTCCTTCCCCCTAAGAGAGGGGACTAGAAATGCAAACTCATCTTAGAGAACAACAGAAACACAAAATCACAAAATACATGGATGGGCTGCCAAAAACAAAGAGGAACAAGGGGGACAGTGGAGCAAAGATACCTACAACTTATAGACCTCAGAGAGCACAAGGGCACTCTTTTTCAAACTGAAAGGTCCTTCTTGAAGTTCAAAATCCGAATTCCTTATTGCAACAAGGGAAGCAAGGTGAAAGGAGAAGGTGCAGAAGCTTCCCTTAATATGGTCGGTTTTGAAAGTGAAGTTTGTGCTGAACAAATCATGTCACAGAGAAAATCCATATTGCAGGAAACTATTAGTGAGGCAGGGTAGTGGGGAGAGACTACACTGAGTCTTCAGAAAGCTGCTTCACTCCACTGGCAGGGGAGAAGTATAGGACTGAAGAATATGTTCCATTGCAGGTCATAAGGAAAGTTCTCCTAGCCTGGAACATGGCCTTGTTTCTTTCTACACAATCAATTTACCCATAGCTTGAGGAAGAATATTCCAAGATAAATAAATAAATAAGAAAGAGAAGCAGAAGTTAAACAAAAACAGTGCAAATACCATTTGACCCAGCCATCCCGTTACTGGGTATATACCCAAAGGATTATAAATCATGCTACTATAAAGACACATGCACACGTATGTTTATTGTGGCACTATTCACAATAGCAAAGACTTGGAACCAATCCAAATGTCCATCAATGATAGACTGGATTAAGAAAATGTGGCACATATATACCATGGAATACTATGCAGCCATAAAAAGGATGAGTTCATGTCCTTTGTAGGTACCTGGATGAAGCTGGAAACCATCATTCTCAGCAAACTATCACAAGGACAGAAAATCAAACACCGCATGTTCTCACCACATGTCCCTAATAAAAAGGGGCATTAGGGACAGAAAAAAATATAAGAAAATTTGCCGTGGAACAGATAAAAATTGTGTGTATAGGATGGTTCAACACACACAAATCAATAAACATGATAACATCATATCAACAGAATCAAGGACAAAAAATGGTAATTTCAATTGATGATAGAAAAGCATTCAATGAAATTCAACATCCTTCATGATAAAAACTCTTAACAAATTGGGTACAGAAGGAACATGCCTCAACACTGTAATGGTCATATATAACAAATCCACAGCTAGTATCATATGACGTGGGGAAAAATTAGAAGCCTTTCCACTAAAATCTGGAACAAGACAAAGATGCCCACTTCCATTTTTTTTTAAATTTTTTTATTATACTTTAAGTTTTAGGGTACATGTGCACAATGTGCAGGTTTGTTACATATGTATACATGCGCCATGTTGGTGTGCTGTACCCATTAACTCATCATTTACATTCGGTATATCTCCTAATGCTATCCCTCCCCCCTTCCCCCACCCCACAACAGGCCCCAGTATGTGATGTTCCTCTTCCTGTGTCCAAGTGTTCTCATTGTTCAATTCCCACCTATGAGTGAGAACATGCGGTGTTTGGTTTTTTGTCCTTGAGATAGTTTGCCGAGAATGATGGTTTCCAGCTTCATCCATGTCCCTACAAAAGACATGAACTCATCATTTTTATGGCTGCATAGTATTCCATGGTGTATATGTGCCACATTTTCTTCATCCAGTCTATCATTGTTGGACATTTGGATTGGTTCCAAGTCTTTGCTATTGTGAATAGTGCCGCAGTAAACATACGTGTGCATGTGCCTTTATAGAGCATGATTTATAATCCTTTGGGTATATACCCAGTAATGGGATGGCTGGGTCAAATGGTATTTCTAGTTCTAGATCCCTGAGGAATCGCCACACTGACTTCCACAATGGTTGAACTAGTTTACAGTCCCACCGACAGTGTAAAAGTGTTCCTATTCACATCCTCTCCAGCACCTGTTGTTTCCTGACTTTTTAATGATCTCCATTCTAACTGGTGTGAGATGGTATCTCATTGTGGTTTTGATTTGCATTTCTCTGATGGCCAGTGATGATGAGCATTTTTTCATGTGTCTTTTGGCTGCATACATGTCTTTTTTTGAGACGTGTCTGTTCATATCCTTCGCCCACTTGTTGATGGGTTTGTTTTTTTCTTGTAAATTTGTTTGAGTTCATTGTAGATTCTGGATATTAGCCCTTTGTCAGATGAGTAGATTGCAAAAATTTTCTCCCATTCTGTAGGTTGCTTGTTCACTCTGATGGTAGTTTCTTTTGCTGTGCAGAAGCTCTTTAGTTTAATTAGATCTCATTTGTCAATTTTGGCTTTTGTTGCCATTGCTTTTGGTGTTTTAGACATGAAGTCCTTGCCCATGCCTATGTCCTGAATGGTATTGCCTAGGTTTTCTTTTAGGGTTTTTGTGGTTTTAGGTCTAACATTTAAGTCTTTACTCCATCTTGAATTAATTTTTGTATAAGGTGTAAGGAAGGGATCCAGTTTCAGCTTTCTACATATGTCTAGCCAGTTTTCCCAGCACCATTTGTTAAATAGGGAATCCTTTCCCTATTTCTTGTTTTTGTCAGGTTTGTCAAAGATCAGATGGTTGTAGATGTGTGGCATTATTTCTGAGGGCTCTGTTCTGTTCCATTGGTCTATATCTCTGTTTTGGTACCAGTACCATGCTGTTTTGGTTACTGTAGCCTTGTAGTATAGTTTGAAGTCAGGTAGCATGATGCCTCCAGCTTTGTTCTTTTGGCTTAGGATTGACTTGGCGATGCGGGCTCTTTTTTGGTTCCATATGAACTTTAAAGTAGTTTTTTCCAATTCTGTGAAGAAAGTCATTGGTAGCTTGATGGGGATGGCATTGAATCCATAAATTACCTTGGGCGGTATGGCCATTTTCACAATATTGATTCTTCCTACCCATGAGAATGGAATGTTCTTCCATTTGTTTGTATCCTCTTTTATTTCATTGAGCAGTGGTTTGTAGTTCTCCTTGAAGAGGTCCTTCACATCCCTTGTAAGTTGGATTCCTAGGTATTTTATTCTCTTTGAAGCAATTGTGAATGGGAGTTCACTCATGATTTGGCTCTCTGTTTGTCTGTTATTGGTGTATAAGAATGCTTGTGATTTTTGCACATTGATTTTGTATCTTGAGACTTTGCTAAAGTTGCTTATCAGCTTAAGGCGATTTTGGGCTGAGACGATGGGGTTTTCTAGATATACAATCATGTCATCTGCAAACAGGGACAATTTGACTTCCTCTTTTCCTAATTGAATACCCTTTATTTCCTTCTCCTGCCTGATTGCCCTGGCCAGAACTTCCAACACTATGTTGAATAAGAGTGGTGAGAGAGGGCCAAGATGCCCACTTTCATCACTTTTATTCAACATAGTACTAGAAGTCCTAGCCAGAGCAAGTGGCCCAGAGAAAGAAATAAAGTGTATCCAAATTGGAAAGGAAGAAGTCGAATTAACCTTATGGTATGTAAGGCATGTTGCAACAGCTATAACCATTAAAAACATATAACTAATTGTTTAATAAAGGGGAAAATGGAAGTAAAAATGCCTAATGAGTATAGCAGAAGACGAGAAAGGGGAGAAAAAGGAATATAGAACAGATGGGGCAAATAGAGAACAAACAGCAAGATGGAAGACGTCAGCCATGCTACATCAGTAGTTACATTTAATGAAAATTGAATAAGTACTCCAATTCAAGGCAAAACAATGGTTAAATCAGATTTCAAAAGTCCTGTATGTTGCCTAAAAAAGCCATATTTTAAATATAAGGGCACAAAAAAGTTGAAAGTAAAAGAATGAAAAATAATAAGCCATATATACTAGTAGAAATTTTAGTGTGTTTATACTACTACCAGACAAAATAGACTTAAGGCAAGAAGATTGCTAGGGATGAAGAATATTTATCAATAAATTTCAAAAGATTAAAATCATAGAAATGAGAGGAGTGTCGTTCAAAATTTTCTTCTGTTCCATAACAGTCACATCAGTAACACAGGCTGTGGGAGCAGTGGAAGGCAGTCTACTCTGATCAATTGCTTCAACTTCCACACCTTTATGGATGTTACTGCTTCTCCCAGGAGGGTTTATTTAACCATTAACCCATCAAAGAAATTTTGGGTTGCCCCCATATTGTTACAATTATGAATAAAACTGCTCTGAATATTTGTGTAAAAAGGAGAAAATTATATGTAAACATTTCTTCATGAATTATGAAAAATCATGAAATCCTCTCATTTATGTTATAAGAGCATAAACTAAAGAAAAAATAACTCAAGTAGAAGAGGATGAGACTGCGTAAGAAGAGGAAACATGAGGTATCATAGTTCTAGAAAAAGTGAACTAATAGTAATTCTTCATTAAAGAGATTAATTGAAATTGGAAGTTGCAAACAGGGAAGTAGAGTCAGATCAAAACATTAAGTGATATAAAAGAGAAGAACAAGACAAGTAAGAAGGAAAGAAAAATAATCAGTGAAGTGTCAGGAAAAAAGAGGAATGGATGAGCAGGCTTAGGAGAGACAATATTTGCAAAACTTGAGTCTCCAAAGAAGAAACCAAAATTATAAAATAAAACAAATATTTAAAGATTGAACTTCCATTTTTTTTTGAGACAGGGTCTTGCTGTGCTGCCCAGGCTGGAGTGCAGTGGTGAAATCACAGCTCACTGCAGCCTTGAACTCCTAGCCTCAGTCAATCCTCCTGCCTCAGACTCCTGAACAGCTGAGAATAAAAGCACAGCTACCATGCTCAGCTAATTAAAAAAAAAATCATTTGTAGGGACAGGGTCTCACTAATGTCGCCTAGGCTAGTCTCAAAGTGATCTTCGCACCTTAGCCTCCCGAAGTGCTGGGATTACAGGTGTGAGCCATCACACCTCATCCCAGACAATTTTACAGAAACGAGAAAGATCTTGAATCTATTATAAATACTTTGAGAGCATACCGTGTCCTAGGAAAAAAAATCCAGAGTGGCCAACATTAGTTTGTATCTACTGAAAGTTACTGAAAGAGATGAAGAAATCCATTACCTAGTCATGCAAAAAATATCAAGACATTTAAGAATACAATGAAAATGTCAATATAACACTTAAGATACACTGAGAAGCCTTACTCATCTGTCAGATTGACCAAGATCAAAAAATTCGTGAGGTTCGAGATGGCCGACTAGAAAGCAGCGGAGTGGAAACAAAGTGGCGACAAAATATTAGCTCTTCAAGTGGATCCTCTAGGAGACCACGTTGGGATTCACCAAGAAAGCGAGGGGACCCAGAGAACAGAGAGGAGCAAAGCCGGGAAGCCACCCAACTGGGACGGTGGAGCTGTGGGAAGCTCCTGACGGTGGGGAAGGGGCGATTGAGTGAGAGGCCCCGGGGGATCCACACTTCCCACGCGGACCTTTGCCATCCTGGGCCCGGGAGAACTCCCCTCACCACCTTGGGCATCTAGACCCACACAGAGAGCCACGTGGAGTTTTTTCAGAGGCACCCCTCAAACCCACGTGGAGCCCCACAGGCCATGGATCCCTGAACAGCCGACCAGGTGCCAGAGCCCCCACAGAGGCCGCAGCTGTCATGCGGAGGAGTGGTCAGACTGCCCCGCTCCTCTTTGCCAGGTAAGGCTCCCCTGGGGCTTCCAGCGCAGCAACCCACCCCCTTGAACACTGCAAGCAGGCACAGCAATTCCCCAGGGTACTGCCCGACTGGCAGACGTGCGGCCTCTACCCCTGCTGCTGCTAGCCCGGGAGGCTCCAGATTTGGACTTCCCCGCAGCAACCCTGCCCGCGCCTGAGCACCGTTATGTAATTGTGGCTCTGCCTTCCTCTGGGGCAAAACTCCCAGAGGGAACAGACAACGCTTGGCACCTTTTGCGTGAGGGTTCCGGCCCTCCTCAGTGAAAGGTCCATGGCACAGCCACCCTGCCCCTGCCTCATCATTTCACCCGAGGCCCGGAGCCTTTCTGAAAACCCACCCCCACAGGCCTGTGATATTCCTTGGGCTCCCACAACCTAAGCGTTCTTCCTGCCCCTGCCAGAGAGTTTGGCGGGTGACCTGGGGAGCAGCTTGTCTGCTTCCCCATGACAGCCAGCACTTGAACTCTGGGCTAGGGTTTAGTCCCTTCGGGACTCATACTTGCTGTCCAGTGGGATATATGGGGGCCTGGGAACTGGGGAACTACCTGCCCCATTCCGACTATGCTGGCACCTGACCAGTTTCCCTGGGGCCTGAGAGCTGGCGGAGCCAACCAGCTGACCACCACCACAACCAACACCCACTTGCAGGGGCCCAAAGGTGGGCCCTACCCTCCTTTACAAGAAGAGCAGCACTGCCACATGGGAGAACAGAGAGACCTTAAAGCTATCTGTATCAGTTTGAGTGATGAACTTATGCTCTGAAACCACTCTCGCCGAGAGTCGCAAAACAGATGTTCCCTGTGGCTCTCAGCCGCATGGCGCTCTGGAGTTAAGACTACAGTGTGCATCTGAACTAGGAGTCCCAAGACCTGGGGAGATGGGGTGAGGTTGAAAAACTACCCATCTGGTATTATGCTCACTACATGGGTCTACACCAAACCTCAGCAACACACATTTTACCCATGTAACGGAACTGCACATGTACATCCTGAGCCTGAAAGTTAGAAAAAAAAGTTTGCTATATTGTTTTGGCAAAAGTGTGGGGAACACATAGTCTCATACACAGCTCGTGGATGTACAACCTTTGTGGAGATGAATTTGACAGTTATTATCAAAATAACTAAGGAACACACTCTTTGACACAGCAATTCCACTTTTAAGTTTCTTTTGTAGAGACACCTGCACATTTACAAAAGGACATATACACAAGGATATTTGTTTCAGCACGGTTTGCAATGACAGAAAGTCAAGTAGAGACTAAACTATTAGTTTCATTCAATAAAGCACTACAAAAGTTGAAAATGATAAAGGAAACTATATAGTGATATAAAGTGATCTAAGATATGTTTTTAGGTGAAAAAAGCAAGGCATGGAACTGTCTATATAGGTCACAGTCATTTGTATTAAAAAAAGAAATAAAAAGACAAGAATATGGCTTACTTATGCACAAAATACCTCAAGAAGAACAGTGGGGCTGAGGGATCCGTGTGGGAGGGAATCCTCTTTCTGCATACTCTTTAGCACTGTTTGAATTTTGAGTTCTATTAATGTATTTCCTATTAAAATATTAAATTAAAACAAACAAAAGGAATTGTGTGTGTGGGTTGCCTTTGCTTTCAGCTCCCATTCATTCCTCAACACACTGAAGCTGACTTGCCTGGCATGCCATGAAAATTGCTTTTGTTAAGGTCACCAGGTTGCTATTTCCAATGGTCACTTTTCAGGTTTCATTCTACCAAACTTCTGAGTAGCATTAGACCCAGTTTACTCTTTTACCTCTTGAAATATTCTCTGTTCTTGGGCTCCATGATAACACCCTCTCTTGGTTCTCCTCTTACATCTCTGTTCCTTCTCATTCTCTGTTGAAAACATTACAATCCTCTGACATTGGTTACAGGTACTCTCTCCTGTCTACATTCTCTCCCTAGGTGAGCTCATCTAGTTTCACGGTTTAAATATCATCTGTACACAGATAGTCTTGCTTTTACAATAGGTTTTTTTTTTCTAGAAGAAAACCAAGCTTGTGCTGTAAAAGCAGGGCTATTTGCTTTCTTCCATCTCATTAAATTCCCCATCTCTTTGGTACTTGAGCTGCCAGAATCTAAACAGTAATCATTGTATCTTTCAACTACCCTCCTCCACACACCTCCCTGACCACATTGAATCCATTAACAAGTCCCATTGTTTCTACTTCCAAAATACATCTCAACTTCATGCACTCTGTCTTCATTGCCACCATCATAGTCCAGCCAACTATTTTTTGAACTATTGCAAAACTCTTCCCATATTTATTTCTGCTTTAGTTCTTGCTGCCTCACACCTTGAACACCTGTTTCCCATACAGCAGCCAGAGTACTTTCTCTTTCAAATACTTAGATCAGATCATGTTATACCCTTGTGCAATGGCTCGCACTTCACTTAGCAGTACACCTTAGCACAGCCTGCCGCATGTATGAACCAGACCTTCCTAGCTCTTTAACCTCATTTTGTGTAGTTTTCCCCCCAGCTGATCACACTGGCCTACTTTAAGTTCCTGGAATATGGCAATCTCTTTCCCACCTCAGGACCTTTGTACATGCTGTTCCTCCCACTTGGGAAGTTATTTTCTTGCCTTTTTTCATGTTTTATTTTTTATCTAACACATCTTAGCTCAAATCTCTCTTCCTCAAAGAGGCTTTTTTTGGCAACCATGTATAGAACAGACCTTCTCCAGACATTTGCTACTATAGCCTTTATGATATCCTATCTAACCACTCTGTTTTTGAGTTCTTTTGAGGTTCTGTGGTGTTTTTCAGCAGGTTAAAAGTGATGACTATTTGACTATAGAAATGCTGAGAGAACAGAGGATAATGTGTGCTTTGTTATCAGCAAGGGATAAGTGAGTGTACATCATTTGTAAACTATATGTTCAGTAAAAGAGACAAGAACAAACTCAGAAGGGACTAATGATTATTATCCTGGCCTAAGGGAATTGGCAGATGGGGGAATAATATCCTTTGAGAGAAACAGGCATCCATTTACCATCTTGCAATCCCCAAAGATACCTAATTACCTCCAGCAGCAACATTCATTACAGTTTAAATATGGCATATTGCTTTAGATTTTGAGCACAGTTAGGACTGTAAGAGGTCTTTAGAGGGTGTCCAGTGTATCTTTCCTTTTTCTAAAAAGCTCATTAAGAACTGGAGAGGTTAAATGATCTGCCCAAGGTCATCCCACTACTGAATGGACTTGCTGAGATTTAGAATTCATATAGCCTGCCTTCTGCTCTGGGGGATTTCCACTACACCTTATTAATAATCAAGCTTTGAATTCCTAAAGGCAAAGGAGCCTGAGAACTGTATGGATCCAATGAAGCCTTTAAAAAATATTTTTTTCCTAGCAATGTCTGAAATAGGAGCACATCAGATTTTTTTTTGTCTATGGTTTTTAACATGCAGGCTTTTCATTTTCTTTCTAGATAAAACAACCTTTAAAAATATAAGGAAAGTGATCATTTAAAAATGACAAAATAGAGATCATTAAAAATGATAAAAATTATCCATGTAATTTCCCCTCATGCCCTAGATTATAGCATTTTGGTGTCATATTTGATCTTATTAAAAATGGCTCAAAACAAGAGAATTGTCTTTAATCTTCAGTCTGTGATCCTGCTACCAAGTAGAGTCAAGCGTGGGCATAAGTTTCTTATCTCCATAAGTTTCTCTGGAAGACAGGATAAGATAGGACAACAAAGTAGGTATACATTTTGGGCTTAAATGCTTTTTAATTTTTTATTTGTTTTAAGACATCTTCAATGAGACCTCAAATGCTTTCATTGGAATGTATGAAGTAGGTGGAAAATCAATTAAAAATACCTCTAGTTCTCTGAATATATTAATCCTGCTTTCAGTTATTTGCCTCATTTGATTTCAGCCCCATGAAACAGATGTGTGGGTGGGGTGCTATGGTTTTTTTTCTTTTGTTGTTGCTGTTATTTTTTTCCCTAAGCACAAACACATTTTCTTTGCCTAGGATCCAAGTTAGAAGCTTGTAGGGGAGGGGCCCGCTGACATGTGATGCTGAAGTGTGTGTGGGTGCTGTCCCAGGTGGTTACTAATGAATTAGAATTTCAAAGAAAGAAGGGATGACAAAAAATAATTCCCACTCTCTTTCAGCAAGTTGAAGACACCAACATGTTTTAAAAATGTACTCCCTAGCGAGTATATTAAAATCAGATTGCTTCCCCAATACACTTTGGAACCAACAAAGAGGAAAATAATGACTTGAGATGCCTTAGTGTGAAGTCACTGGAAATATCAGGCTTTCCCTCCTCACATCATTACATTGAAATCTTCAAACATTGAATTTAAGATAAATGCTCTGCTCTCTTTGTGGTCAAACAGAACTTTTTTTGAGTGTAAATTTTGTAATCAGATAGATCTGATTGTGAACTGTCTATTTTTGGGCAAGTTATTTATCTACATGAGCCCCACTTTTCTCTCATAGTCTTATGAGGAAAATTAAGTGAAACAGTTAGGCAAATAGTTTTGTACAGGTTCTTGGGTTCAACATATATTTCCTGCTTTATTTCTGGCAGGTCAGAGGGAGGAAGAGAAAGAGGAGGTCAGGAAGAGGTTTTGAGGGTAGGTTGTGAACTAGGATTGGAGAATAGTTATGTTACCAGGAGAAGGTTAAGCTAGATTTTAATGACAAAAATTCCTTAATTATATCAAATGATGTTTTTTCCATTGTGATTTTATACAGTTTCTATTGTTAAAATTTTAAATATCAAGGTGTAATAATTAAATACATGGTTTGTGATAGTAGTAAATGTGAACAATAGCTCTGGTATTTAAAAAACTGCAAGTCCCCCCTTGAGACTTAGTAGACTCTGAGCATCAGCCAGCATCATCCTGTGTAGTCAAATACTTGTACTTTTCAATGACCTTGGAGCCTTTAGTGGTTTTTTTCTCCCTCCACCTTCTCCTGCACCCCCTGATGTGCCTCTTTGCTTAATCAGGAATGAAGCTGAACTTCATTCTGCCACCCACTGCTTCTCAATGTATATGGATGGCTTTCTTTGAGTTGTGCCCAAAATAACATCTGATCTGAAAGCAACACTGGGAAATTAAATCATCTATGAAAAGAAGAGTGAAAAATAAAAGCCAAGTCAAGCCCCTTGAAAGTTCAGGTTCAGCCCTAGAAAATATAAGAAAGGTGATTAGGGCGAATCTATTTCTGGAAATTCCATTGCTCCAGCACAATATGTTGAACAGTGGGGGGATCCTTTTGTGTCTAATGCACACTCAGAGAGCGCTTCAACACTGTATCAGCCTTTTAACCTGCTGGAGAGCAAAGCTGGTCTCAGCTGCCTTACACCAAAGTTAATTCATCACTTGAGAGTTTTCTCTAGCGTAATATACTATAGCATCTACTCTGATTTTTTTAAGGTCTGCTGGGTCTTTGGCAGAGAAGCATTTAGAATTCATAGTAATACATCTAAACTGATTCTGAAGTTTATTTCTTATAGTTTGGTTTATTTCTCTCCCTCACTAATTTAATGAATGTACTTTTCCTTTAGAGACATTTCCCTGAATCAGGACATTCATATGCATGTTTCCCACACTATAATGAGACTTTTTCTTAGGCCTACTGTGAGAGAAATAGGAGAAATCCTGACAGAACATCCAGCCCATGCCTACTAATGCAAACATAAGCACTAATGTTGATGGGAGCTGCTGCTGCTGCTGCTGCTGCTCCTGAAATTACGACCTCCTTCTCCCCACTGCAACTCATGCCTTAAACCCAGTATTGACAGCTAGTTGTGAAGCCGCACCGCAAGTCTCTTAGGGGGGAAAAACCCCTAATCTTATATTCCTCAGGGCTTCTGGATTTGTGTGTACTCTATTCTTTTCTATTTTTCCTATTTACCCTTGGTTTAATTCCACAAGGGATGAGGAGTCCATCAGATTCATCATAGTCAGGCTCCAGCTCCTAATAAGTTCATCTGAACTTTTCTTTGTATAGCTATACTGAAGAGTATATTAAGAAAATAAACTCTAGTAACTATCAGCTCAACTCAACAGAAAACAACAACCAAAAAAAATCCTTTCATTTGGAATTATCTGGTGATTTCCAGGTGAAAGATTTCATTTTGCCTTGGACCATCAGAATAATTGGCTTATTTCTCCACTCTGCTTTGCTAGTGCCCTAGATGTTACTCTGAGCTTTGAAACCTTGTCTGGTTTCTTATTCCAGTGATTTGTGCTTCAAATATTTCCTCCTCCCACCTTATTCTATTACTTGTAACCAAGGAAACTGAAAAATACTAAAACTTTCTGGTAAATGCACTTTCTGTCATTGTCTTTTTCACTGCTGGCTGTTGTTTTTCCCCTCCCTCTTCTCTGGATTTTACAGGGAACCACAGTCCTTTGAAAGGAGAAATGACTGGTTCAAGATGAGGATGAGTGAATAGACTTTGGCAGCCCATGAAGTTGCCCTGGAATTATGTTGCAAAGAAGCACTATTTTTCAGTCTGTTTTATACCTTAGTTGGAGTAGAGTAGTGGCAGATAAATAGTCACAATATGTCAGCTGAACTTGGGTGACATCTCTGAAAGCAATGGAAAAATATCATGGCTGGTTTTCCCTAAGTCTTTCGGGCATGTGCCATCAAACATAGTAGCCACTAGACATTTGTGGATATTTAAATAAAAAATGATTAAAATTAAATGAATTAAAAAATCAATTCCTCAGTCACACTGGCCACATATTGAGTATGCAATAGCCACATGTGGCCAGCGGCTACTGCACTGGACAGCACTGATGTAGAACATTTCCACTGTGGCAGAAAGTCCTATGGACAGTTCTACTGCAGTCATCAGTTTGCCTAAGTTGTTTTCCAGCCAGAAATATGAGCTTCCCACATCGCCCCCTCTGCAAATCCTAGTGGCCTTCCTGATGCTTGGCTCACTCTCACCTCCACCATGCACTGCAAGACTGCTCCACACTGCATTTTCTAGTTTTAAAATTTCTTGAACAGCAATTGTAAAGTTTAGCATACAATGATATGTAGTCAGTATTCATGATTTATATGTTAACTCTAGAATTTTAACTATATTAAGAGATTCTTGTGGACAAGAATCGTATTTTTCAGTTTTATAGCTTTTTAGTGCCCTGCTCAACTCAAGGATCATTCTATTATTGTTACATTTTCAAAGCTTACTCCAGAACAAAGCTCAAGGATTTTGTATGTGTCTTCTTCTAGACTGTGCGCTCTTGTAAAATAAAATTCATAATTTATTTATTGTTGTATCCACAATGCCTGGAACATGGTAGGTTCTCAATAAACCTTAAAAAAGGGAGGGAGAATAATTTTATTTGATTTTTACAACATTGCAAAATAGGTATTTATCTTCATTTTTACAAATTCGGAAATTGAGTTTCAGGAAAGTTCAATAATATTCATTTATTTATTTACTTAGTAGAGATGAGGTCTTGCTCTGTTCTTCAGGCTGGAGTGTAGTGGCACGATCCAAGCTCACTGCAACCTCCAATTCCTGGACTCAGGAGATCCTCCTGCCTCGGGCTCCCAAGTAGCTGGGACTACAGGCATGTGCCTCCACACTCGGTTAAGTTTTACTTTTTTTGTAGAGATGAGGTCTTGCTATGTTGCCCAGGCTAGTCTTGAACTTCTGACCTCAAGCAATTCTCCCACCTCAGCCTCCCAAAGTGCTGGAATTATAGTTGTGACCCACAATGCCTGGCCCAAGTTTAATAATTTAATGATGCACATAAGCTTATAAAAATTGGATGTTTTGCACCTTTCTCTACACTTGGTGTCTCATCCTTTTCTCCAGCAGGATAACCTGGATTTTTTCCACGGCAGCTCAAACATCTTTGAGGGAAGAAGAGGTCTGAGATGTATCAAAATGCCACTTTCTCATCATTCTGTTGCTCAAAGCAATAGACAATCCAGCACAGATTCAAGGAGTGGTGGTATAAGTTTTGCCTTTGCATGCAGGAATAGCATGGGAAAACAGAGGAGGGAGAGATTTCTGGGGGACATCTTTGGAGACTAGCTACCATATGGAGTCACTGTCTCTACAGGACATGAGTTTCCTGGTACTATGGTTCCTTTTGTAGTAATTCTCCTGTTACCAGTGGAGGGTGTCCAGGTTCTTGGTGTCTTGAACAAAGAGTTGGACAAAACATGTGAACAAAGCAAGGAAAGAATGAAGCAAAGAAAGCAGAGATTTATTGAAAACGAACGTACACTCCATAGGGTGGGAGCAGGTCCAAGCATAGGAGCTCAAGAGCCTGGTTATAGAATTTTCTGAGGTTTAAAGACCCTCTAGGAGGTTTCCCATTGGTTACTTGGTGTACACCCTATGTAAATGAAGTAGTGTCCTGCAATCAGTCTGATTGGTTGTGGAAAGTGGCCGATCACAGGCTGAAGTGAAGTTACAAAGTTATACCCTATGCAAACGTCTGGTTGTGGAAGGTGACCAATCAGAGGCCGAAGTGAAGTTACAAAGTTATACTCCCATGCAAATAAAGACTTGGCCTGCATGACCAGACTGATTGGTTGTGGGAAGGGACTGATCAGAGGTAGTTTCAATTTTTCATCTGCCACAAAGGAAAGGTGGCGGGGGATGGGGGCATTCAACGGGAGTAGCCTCTGGTCTTTTTGTTCCTTGGGCATGGAAAGTTGAGATTTTCCTTTAGATTTAGTTCTAGGAAGTCAGCATGAATTGGCCTTAGGCTCCCTGCCTTCAGATCCTATTCTCCTGCCTCACTCCCACCTCAAAGCATCCTTCTGTGAGATTTGAAAGCTTTCAATGCAAAGCTGTAAGCTGCTGGAACATTCCCATGGAAAAAAAAAAGTTACCTGGGTTTGATTTTTAGAAATAAGTAGATCTCTGAAAAACCTGGGATGGTCTCTTATTCCACCAAGAGGGAACTATGGTTGTCAGAGGCTATGCAAGGAACTGATGCTCTTATCTTTCATGGGGATGCTTATATTTCCCAATCAGAGGCCTTTTGAATAAGTGCTCCAATGCTAGGGTTCTGATAGCTAGAATTCTTGCCTGTAAGGTAAAGTCCTTACAGTGAAGCTGGGACACTTGCATCTTCCTTCCAAAGTGAAAACAAACAAGTGCAGGCAAAGACAGGAAACACATTTCCCCCCAAAAGATTCTTTTGGCTCCCTTCCACACCCCACTCAGTAACTTCAGACTTCAAATAATGTCTTTTTAATACATGAGCATCCTTTATAGTGAGCTGGGCTTTTATAGTTGTGTGAATTACTCATGTTGGAAATAAGAAATAACACTTTAAAGAAAATCTTCTGAATTTACTAGGGTAATATTCTAAGCAATTCCTTTGAAAGAGAGAAATGTAACATGGAGGCTTGTGGATGTTTTTCTCCTTGTTGCTGTCAGAGAAGAATGCTGCTTTAGGGCCCCAAAAGGAGCAGTCAACATGGAAAAATGGAAGACAATAGAAGGTTTGAATTCAGTTCAGCTTCTGTCAGCTGAATTGTATTTTGGGGAGCAATTAATTATTCAACACAATGGGTGTTTTTAACAGCCCTCCCCCTCTCCACCCCACCCATGTGAGTATGTGTGTGTGTGTGTGTTTCTATCTCAAGTTTCCCTGGTAAAAAAGAAAATTACAAAAGCAGCTGAGCAAAGAATACTTTCAGGAAACCCAAAGTGAAGCTAAAGTAACTGAACCAGGCTCAGTTTAAAGTCTGGCTGTATCAATTCCTTAAAGATGTAGTGAGCACGGCTGTCTTTTCTGCAAGCTCCCTTGATCCTGTATTCCACTGTAGCTAGAAAGATGTTATGGCCTTGACCGGAAAAACAGAGATCTGAAAAAAGACAGCCCCAAGTGGACAAGCTTTGGTTCTGAATTATTCATCATTCTGAGAACAAGTGAGTCCTCTCAACCTCCAACTAAAGGACTGGGATTTAGATAGTAGTGTTCTGTATAGCCCTGCTCTGATGTAATTCACTTTGCAGCAGAATTTAGAAATTACTGGAGGTCTCAAAATGATTTGGTTAAACCTCTGTTCCGTTTACTATTGTATAGCAGTCTATCACAAACTTAGTGATATAAAATAACAATTTCATTATGCCTTCAAATTCTCTGGGTTGGCAATCTAATAAGGGCATGGTGGAAACAGATTTCTTTGCTTCATGATGTCTGGACATTCAGCTGGGAAAACTCAAATGGCTGGGAGCTGGACAATCTACTTCCAAAGATGGCTTCTTCCCTTGCACGTCTGGATGTTGGTGCTGGCTTCTGGCTGGAACCTTGGCTATGCAGCTCAACTTGAGCATCTGTGTGCAGATTTTCCATGGAGCAGAGCTTGCCTTCCTGCTAAGCATGGAGGCCTTGGGGTAGCTGGACTTTTTATAGGCTGGCTCAGAGCTTTAAATGTGAGTGTTTTGCTGAACAAGGCAGAAACTGTGTCATCTTTTATGACCTATCCTCAGAAGTCACAGAGTGTCACTGCTGCCATCTGTTATTCATCAAAGCAGTCATAGGCCACCGAAATTTGAGAGGAAGGAACATAGGCACCACCTTTTAATGAGTTTGTGGTAAGGTTACAATGTGGAAGAGCATGAGAAATGGGAGATATTATTGTGGCCAGTTTCAAAAATGCAATTGTCTATGTTTCTGTTTACTTAGAGCAGGGCTTAGGAATCAGTGTTACAACTTGCCTGGAGAGTCATATCCACCCACCAGTTACTCAGATTTATACTCTGTACAAGACAGTGAACAAACAAACTCATGTCTCATGGATGTGGAAGATTGTATGTATCTTCCTCTCATAACAGAGGCACAAGAACACAAGCCATTGAATCTGGGGTGGCTTTTTACACACCTAAGCCTGCATAATATATGCCATAAAATCAATATACCTTGTTCAACTTAATTTTCATGTGTCCAGCAAATAACCAGTAAAAGATGTAATTTTAAAACAATATTAAATATTGACACACACGTGCATGTATGTATGTGTGTGTAGAAAAATCTAGAAATAAATTTAACAAAAGACATGCAGCACCTTTAAGGAGAAATATATAAAAATTTATTGAAATACATTATAGAGGACTTCTTAATGAAGAGATACCTTTTCAAAGATTAGGGTTTCAGTATAGTCAACATGTTTGCTTTTCTCAAATTGGTCTATATATTCAACGTGTTCCAGTCAAAATCCCAACAGTGCTTTTTGTTGGTTTGGTTTTGTTGCAATTTTGTTTTGGTAATCTAATTTCCCTTTACTTAAGTTAGTCAAGAAGTTTTTCTGTTAATTGTCACCAAAGAACCCTAACTCACAAAATTGTTTAATTTATAGTTTATTCTCTCTTTCCTCAACCCTATCCTGTTGATGGGATAGCATTTTGATACAGGCACACAAATAGCATAAGAGAAGTAAACAAATGTTACTTTTCGCCATTCTACCAGATAAGGAGTGCTCAGTGGTTTAAACCAGGGCTTCAATGGCTCTAGCTCAGTTTTATCAGTATCTCTAAGGTTGCTACCAATGTAATTCAAATACTCCAGAATGGCTTTTTTTCACTTCACAATTATTCATCACTTATTCATTTTTATTCCCCAATTAATGATTTAGTGCCAACTGTGAGAGAGGTGCTATGCTAAGTGCTGGAGATAAAATGGGGTAACAACATCAGCTACAACAACAATAAAAACGTGATTTCTGCCCCCATGGAATTAACATTCTAGGAAGGGAGACAAATATAAATAATTAAATAATCACAAGATAATTTTATTTCATTTTTAAATTGACTAATAAAAATTGTACATATTTATTGTGCACAGAAAGTTGTTTTAAAATATGTATACATTCTGGACTGGCCAAATTGATGTAATTAACATACATATTACCTCACATACTTATCTTTTTTTGTAGTGAGAATACTTAAAATCTACTTTCTTAGCAGTTTTCAAGAATATAATACACTTTAGCCATCATCTTGTACTACAGATCTCTTGAACTTATTTCTAAGTGAAATTTTGTGTCCTTTATCAACATCTCCCCAATCTCACCCCCTATCCCATAGTAATAAAATAATTTCAGATTGTGGTAACTGCTACGATGTAGATAACATGAATGCTGTTTATCTAACTGGATGCAACTACATGGCTAAAATTTTCAAAGTAAGCGTCTATACATTCTTAGAAGAATGTCAAGTTATCTTGCAAGCACTTATCTTTCAACAGGATTCACAATATTTAGAATCAGACTATTTCATATTGGTTTCTCTTAGACAGCACAACAAAATTTTGTCTTCACTCATCTATCATATTTCCTACCTTCCCCTTATTAACAGAACTAATTTCTTCTGTTAAGTGACAAGTAAGAAAGTATCTGAGCCTGAAGTGCTGTGAAGATAACTCAATCTTTGGGAGTAGATTAGATTTAGAGGGAGTAATTAAAAAACATAAATTTAATGATTTTATTGGAAAATGGAATAAAAATTTAAAAGTATCCATTGTGACTAGTAAATAAATACCATTGTTAGCTTCAGTAAAAATTTAAAGTATTTTGATACAATTTTTTTTTTACAAATAACCGCTCTCTCTATAGCCCATATGACTCTTACCTCATTCTCTATCACTTTTCACTGTGAACTTCAGACAGATTGAACTTTTTATTTCTTCTATAATGTAAAGAATACATTCTTATCTTTTTCTTCCTTGAATGTCCTATTCTTTTGTTGTAATTTAGGAATGGATTCTCATACAGAATCCATCCACCTTCCAAATCTTGTGAGAATTTCTCGTGGCCAATGCTAACCTAGAACCATATACCGAAGGGAATTCTAAATCTAGCTCCATGGAGATGAAACTGTGCCAAAACCACTACACGTTTTCAGTGCACTTAGTACTATTAGGTATTCTACCAAACACTGTGTACACACACTAATAATTTAGAGAATTAATTTGCTAGTAATTTTCTAGTAACATGAATTACCTAGGCCAGAGTTTGTTTCCTTCAGCCAGTGGCTGAATTCCCTACATAATTAAATTATCTCAAAGGAGCCAGTGGCTGAGGTTGTAGCAACATCCAGAAGGTTTGTAAGTGGTAGGTAAGTGTATAAGCCTTCTAGAGATCACTTGAAGTATTTAAGATAGCTGACTAGTAGTCCCCCAGCTGTGTTCCTTCCTTGGACTGTTGAGGTCTTCCCCTTTTAAGTCAACCAGTATTTACTGAATACTACCCTATCTATTCCAGGCCCTGTGCTGAGGGTGGTGGGGACAAGGGTGTCACAGATTAGGTTCCCTGGCAAGCAAACTCTGAGACAGATATTAGTGTGTAGGAGGTATATTGGAGGGTGCTCATGGGATCAGCACCTGTGGAAGGGAAGGTAAAGAAGCTGGATGGGGTAGATGGAGAGGTTAAACTGTGATGCAGTTTCAATGGAAGCCTCAGGCAACCATATGAGGAGTTTAGAAGAATGAAGAATGACCTTTCAGATATGTTCTGCACTGGGGCAAGAAGGGCTGGCCCTTTATACATCTGCATCAATACTGGCCACTCCTAGGAGGGGGTACAACCTTGGCAAAATGACTTTTTTCAGTTTTCAGTTTTTTGCAGTCCCCAAAGCCGCTGGTAGCCGAGGGCTCTCCTCCAGCAGCTCTCCCAGAAACTACAGTACTAAGTTTCTTATTCTTTTTTTCCCTCAAATTCTGCCAAGTCCCAGGATAAGTCCTTTATTCTTAAAGGGAGATCTGGGGAGCATATCACAGCATCCACCACAAATGGTGGCCAGAAAATTAAGTGTCTAGTAGAGATGATGAGTAAAAATCTAATTCCAATGTTGTGTGATAAGGACTACAATAAGAGTGAGTGTCTCATACAGGGGAATTTAATGTAGTTTAGAGAGGAGAAAGGAGCAGCAGATAAATTCTGAAAGATTACTGGGAATTAGAGAGACAAATGTGAATGAAGAGGGGAGATTGGAAAGCTAGGAGGTTAGAAAGTAGGTAATGCTTAGGGAACAACTTCCAAACCGGATTCTTAAAGTATGGTTAGATATTCTAAAAGAAGTAAGGTATAAGCTGAGATATGAGGAATCAGCAAAGCTAGTCAGGTGAAAGGAGTGTGTATGTGTTTGGGGTGAGTAGGAGAGTGGGGTATTATAGACGAGAGAGCTTATGAGAAGGTTTGAAAGGAGGAAGTGAGGGAGGGAGAAAGAGGGGGAGGGAGGGAGGAGAAGAGAGAAAAAGAGTTGAGTAATTGAAGGAGGCTCCGGTTTGGCTGGAGAGTGGACTTTGACCATGAAGGTTCTTCTGTGCTATGTAAACAAGTTTAAACTTTATCTCGGGTGCAGGGGGAAAGGTCTGAAAGATTATAAACAGAAGAATGACAATCATTTTTGCTGTCATTTATCTCAGGATACCTCACATTATTTATTCTCTTAAGGTTTGTGTATGGCACCACTTAGGTACAACTGAATCTGAAATAATTTCATTTTCACATCTTGTCACAAAGCTACCATGTTGTATCAGTCAGCTCTTGACATAGAATAAGAAATCTATCTTGGGGTTAGACCTTAAGTAATTGTGGGAGCTGGTGGGACAGGCTATGCAGGCTGTTGTTTTGCATCTGATCTTTATCTGTATGTTGCTATGGTTCAGCTAGACCTATGATCAGGAAGAAAGGCTGGATGTGAATGACAGCAAGGACAAATGGGAATTCATAAAGATGAACTAGAACCCACGACTGTTTCTCACCCACCACCAATTTTGACAATGTGGGTGACTGTAGGAGAAGTTGACACCCTTCACTGTGGAGCTGCACATGCATCTGGCCCAGGTCCTGGAGAAGCTAAAGGAGGAGATATAGTGGGAGCCGGAGGAGCTCCAGATCTACGCACTTCTCCACGCCAGCCAAATGGGGCAGAGGTCAGTGATGATGTGTGTGGGCTGCCACAGCGCCTGCAAGGGCAATGGCTGCTGCTTCACTCCCATCTTCCAAATCTCGTGAGAATTTCTCTTGTGGCCAATCCTAGCTTAGAACCATACACAGGAGGGAATTCTGGGAGGCAAAATTCTAGTTCCACTGAGTTGAAACTGTGCCAAAACCACCACATATGTTTTCAGTACACTTAGAACTATTAGGTATTCTACTAAACACTGTGTACACATGCAAACATTATATATATATATATTTTAATTGTAAACTACAGACATATATATATATATACATGTATATACATATATACACATATGTATAGTTTAATTATTTCAACATCTACTGAAGGAATATAAACCTCATTTTACAGATAGGAAAAGAAATAGACTGAATGACTTGCTTTAGTAAGAAGGAAAATTGGCATTTACATTTATTGGTCTAGTTCCCAACCTATAATTTCACTCACTATGAAAAATAGCCTTCTCTGCCAAGTATTATAGAAAGGTAGACAGATGATATATATTAAAAACACCACGTTTGCCAACATAGCATATTTTGATACATCTAGCCCTAAAATGAAAGGAGATAATGCACATTGATGCTTGCTAATAACTTTTGATGCTTGATACTATGATCTCTCTTTGGCACTCTCACAGTCGTCTGGCAGCTCATCCATCACTGCTGTCAAAGGGGAACTGTGGCTTTAACTGGCTTCCTAATTTTCTGAGGCTTACAGAATATTTTAACCATGCATATCCAGATCTGGGATATACATATCTATTATCAGCAACCATACCCTGAAGTCCTCTAATGACTGCATCTTTGTGAGGCCTCTCCTGATTTAACACCTGTGAACACCTTATTACCACTGGGAGAGATCATTACTGAAGTTCTGATGTTCAAGGGCAGGAGAAGAAGTTCTGCTGGAACTACTTCCAGCAGAAGTTGTTCCTGGAAAGAGAGAAAATTCACCTTTCCTTTGCCTTTTTGTTCAATCTTGGGGCCCCAGCCAGTTGTATAGTGCTCACCCATATTAAGGGCAGATCTCCATTCAAATCAACTGGGGTTGAATCCTGATTTCCTCCTGGAAACTGAAGAATACACTCAGAGTTTTTTCAGTAGGGAGGGAGCTAATATATTTATCTACCACCTTTAGTCAGTCACTGGGTGAGGGCTACTCCTGGGATAACCACCTGGCAATTCTCAACCTTTCCTGTGTTTGAGCTAATCAACATTTCCTGTGGACAAAGAGAGCTCTAGACAGAGAGTTGCAGGGGCTGTGTATGGAAACTGAAGCTGCAAAGGGGATGCAGGTTGGGTTACAATGGATCTTCTATATAAAATAAGCACAGGGTGATACAGGAACATGTAGGAAGACCTAATCCAGTCTTGAAGACTCAAGGAAGACTTCCTGGATCAATGTATCTTGTCAATAACAACAATAAATATCTAGAAAGAACATTATAGCTTATAGATCATGTTATCTCATATAATTATTTCACTAACCCTGTAAATGATTATTTTGACAGATAAAAAACTGAGACTGAGCGAGCTTAAATAAACTGTTCATGACCCTTGAACTCAAGTCCAGGACCTTTTTGTTTTAAATACAGTTCTCTTTCTCCAACATGATAGTTTGAAAATGGTGACTGTCTTCTGTGAACATGCTGGAAGGCTACTTGGGGCACTATCTGAGTTTCTATTATTTAAAATGTAACTAATTTGGTAGAAGATCGTTTATTTGGAACTCTAAATACTAAAGTATTTAAATAAGGGAATTAGTTCTCAAGGAAACTTTTAAACAACTATGCATTTAAAACATCATCTCATTGTAATAACTGAACAGTGATTTGCTACATGTGTGGCATCTGGAAACCTCCAGATGCTTGGAGCCCTGGTGCTACTGACACCTACTGCCATTATTGTGGTGATCCAATCTATAGACATCAAGGGGGCATAGGATTCACACAGGATTCAGAAGTTATTTCAAGTTGTAAAAATCTCATGGATTTTATGAAACAAAGGCCATTTATACAGAGCAGAAGATACTCTAGATGTACAAGCTGAAAGAAATTTGAAAAAGAGGATGCAAGAGCAATCTGATAGCACTCATTAATCTTATTGATGTGTGGATGCATCATCTCCTTTTCCGGTTTCCACGGATGCTGATACCACAAATCATTAGGAATTTCCTGATCATTTATTTGTTCATGTTAGTCCATGATATTTATGTGTGTGTTGGGTGGGGGGTGGGGTGAGGTAAAGAAATAAGTGTGCATCGCCAACTTTGATTTTTAGTGCAAAAATTGATTGGTAATGTATTCATTCAATGAACATTTTATATAATATGTCACACTTTCACCTCATTTTCAGATGAACTCTGAGTTTTGATTGATGGGAAATTACAAATATTTGATATATATTTCACTTCATTTGTTTAACAGATTTATATTGAATGAAAGATTTTGTAAGCTAAATATACACATTTTAAACTTGCTTATTTCTTATTGAAACTTCAGTATGGACTTTTCATTCAATCTAGCTTCTGCCACTTGCTAACTAGCAATTTTGGGTAAATTATTTGACCCTTGTTACATTTCTTCATCTGTAAAACAGAGGTTATTATCTACCATTTATTGAATTTTTCAATTGTATCAGGCACTTTGTTAAGCACTTTACAAGTAATACTTATAAAATATTACTTTTATGAATGTAACATCTATTCTACATTCTTAAAGGCATATTTTATGCGTTATTGAGTTGTTTTAGAATTAAAGTATTTAAACTCCAAAGATACCATTATTAATCCAAGTCCTAGACACTTGTATATACTTCCTTCGACTTTGAGATAGTATTGTGTAATGGTTAAAGGTACAAAAATGAGTTGGACAAGTCACTCACTGTCTCTTTGATATAGTTCTTTAGCATGAAATGGGTACAATAATTTATTAAATAGGGTTATTGTAAGAATTAAATAAGCTAATGTGTTCATAGAACTTGGTGTAGTGCCTGACATAGAGTACACATTAATAAGTATTTGCTATTATTATTATTGTTGTTGCTATTACTCTTCTAAACAGTATGCAGCCTTAGAGGGCTTGTCAAGGCACCTAATAAAAGCAAATTTTTGCATTACTGCTGTTATTTTGCATGGCAGAGATTCCTGGTATGCTTTACAACAGTGAAACAATGGAGACCTAGGGTTAGAACTCAATAAATTGACATTTTTTTTTCATGGGCTTAAATATACATTTGCAAGATGAAATTTAAAACAATGTATATTCACACCTTCACAATGTTGCATCTTCCTGGGAAAAGATAAAACATATTTCTGTTGTATAGAAGGAATCTGTTTGGATTCAGTATGTAGACACATAGGATGTAATTCGCCACATTTATGATCTTCCTCTTGAAGCATATGCTTCCTGCTAGGTTGCACAGACACTTGTTTTCAGTCTCTCATCTTTTACTGTTTGATACTTTCCACTGTGTTCCTGGAGATCTAAATGATAAAACTGGCAGTGAGTTCTAAAGCATTCTACCTATACGGTTGACATGTGGAAGGCTTGATGTTCTGTTAGCCACATTTCTCTAGGAACAGATGACAACCTAAAGGGAAAATATCCACTAGTGCTGAATGGTAGCAAGGAGAATAAATCTGCATAATTCTGCCAAGGGATAAAGTGTGATGAAAATGATCACTTTCAACCTTGTTTCTTCCCATATCTCTATTCTGGGGTCCAGGGTTGGAGGCTATAATAAGGCCCTTCCCGTTTAGACTATCCTGAGCTTGTTTACATTCCCAAATTTTCTGGTGAAATAAAAGAATGCCAAGAGTGACATGAACTGATATGGGGGTGTAGGGGGTTAGATTTACTTCCATATTATTTTAGTAATTTTTTGATCTTCGGTATTTTCTTAAAATGATGCCTTGAATGTCTGGGAGTAGTCATCTTTCCTCTCAGGTCTTACCCATCAGTTGTTAACAGAATGGCTAAATTTGGTCTTAGTTTGTTTTCCTATAACGACTGGACTCAGTATTCTAATGCCTGGCTTGATAAAACTTCTGGATAACAAAGGTAAATGCGCACAAAGTAAAGCAAAGTTAAGCCAGGCCAGGCCAGGCCAGGCCAAGCAGAACCAAAAGAGCACAACCTGCAAAGAAATCAACCAAACCAAAACTGTCTGGGCTGATCAGTATTTGGAAGGGTGAACTACATTCTTATAAAGTTAAAATCTTCCCTTATGGTTTTTGTTGCCTCCAAAAACCAAGCCAAGTCAAACCAATTTAAGCCAAACCAAACACCAACCAACCAGTTAATAAACAAACAAAAATGTCCAATTTTAGTTTCTTTTTTTTTTTTTTTTGAGATGGAGTCTCGCTCGGTCGCCCAGGCTGGAGTGCAGTGGCGGGATCGCTGCTCACTGCAAGCTCCTCCTCCTGGGTTCACGCCATTCTCCTGCCTCAGCCTCCCGAGCAGCTGGGACCACAGGCGCCCGCCACCACGCCTGGCTAATTTTTTTGTATTTTTAGTAGAGACGGGGTTTCACTGTGTTAGCCAGGATGGTCTTGATCTCCTGACCTCGTGATCCACCCGCCTCGGCCTCCCAAAGTGCTGGGATTACAGGCGTGAGCCACCACGCCTGGCCCGATTTTAATTTCTATACCTTTTCCTTACCTCTCAGTTCAGTTCTCTAGAGTAACACATCTAAGTGGGAGAAATTTATTTTAGTCATTAGTTTCACCTAAAAAGGCAGGTTTGGAGAAACATTCTCCATGTATAATTAAATGAGAGGAGTCATGGACATTCTGATGCTGGCTGACACCTGAGAAATGGAAGACAGAACAAATATCACCATTTTTGTATTTTTTTGGTAGTTCTTAATTCTAGCTGCATGTCCAAGGTCTAGAAGATGTTGCAATCTGTGGAGTTGTAATAAATAGCTGTTGCCTGCATTCTGATCTACTTAAGTGATTTTCATTTCAATAAATGTTTTCCTGAGTTTCTACTATGTCCGAGGTATGATCATTGTCCTTGAGGGGCTTATAGCTGGGAGTGGGTGCTCCTAACACTTTTTAAATAACAATTTTGTTGAGATATAATTCACATACGATACAATTTACCCATTTTAAAGTGACAACACAGTGGTTTTCAGTGTATCCACAGAGTTATGCAACCATCACCACAATCAATTTTAGAATACTTTCATCATTTCAAAGAAAAACCCTATATCCTTTAGCAGTCACTTTCCATTTCTCCTCAACCTACCAGCACTATGAAACCAGTGATAGATGTACTTTCTGTCCCTGGATTTGCCTATTCTGGACATGTCATATAAATGGAATCATACAATGTATAATTCATGCTTGGCTTCTTTTACTTAGTGTAATGTTTTCAAGGTTCATCTATGTTGTAGCATGTAACAGTACTTCATTCCTTTTTATTGACAAATAATATTTCATTATGTTGATTTGTTGTACAAATTTTTGTGTAGGCATAAGTTTTCATTTCTCTGGGGTATGATAAAAGAAAAACTTTGGTCCAATTAAATTTAAAGGAGTTTGAGCAATGAACGATTCATGACGGGAAATCACAGCAGATTCACAGAGACTCCAGCGTAGCCATGTGGTGGAAGAAGATTTATAGACAAAAAAAAAAAAAAAAAAAAAACACGGAAATGATGTACAGAAATTGGAAGTGAGTTACAGAACAGCTGGATAGGTCACAGCTTGACATTTGCCCTATTTGAACACAGTTTGAACACTCAGCAGTGTATGAATGGTTGACATATGGCCATTGGCATTGGGCAAGACTTAGCTATTGTTAGAAGTGCACACTCCTAAGTTAGGTTTTCAATCTTGTACCTATTAAGCTAGGTTGCAGTTCATCCACAAGGACTCAAATATAGAAGTATGCAGTCCTTCTCAGGCCGTATTTAGTTTGCTTTAACAATTCCCCACTTTTGGTCATTCTCTCAATTTCGAGAGAATGACCAAAACTTTAGCTATTGATGTCACTATCACCATTGTAAATGTACTTATTTGGTCTTGAAACCCACTGGGAAACAGTAGAACGGCGAGTTTTACAAAGGTAGGCACAGGGATTGAGTAGAGGGTACCTCCTTATGCGGGAACATCCTGTTTACAGGAGAAAAACAAAACCTGGTCTGTTTTATGATCTATGTGTTTTCTTCAAGTCTTAGTTTGTTTATGTCACATTTAGCATGAGTAACTCCATTTTAGTTTGGTTTGGCCTGTTGGGGCCTAGTGCAAGAGCTTAGTTCAAAACAATGGCCTTCCATAATTTTGTTTAAAAAATTCCCCCTTTCAGGTCAGGTTCTCACTTAGGTGAGAGTGTGACCAAAACTTAGGGCCTTAGTGTCACTCTCTGTTACCATCATTTTGGGTTTCTGGTCTCAGCACGTCATTTGTAGGTTACAGTATCCTTATGGTCACTCATTTCTTTCAGCTTTTGTCATTCCTGTTGGAGAGACCATTTGACATTCTAGAGATGGCTGCATGCAAACATTTAAAACCTTTGAGAGAATACAGTGCACCAAGGAGATTATTATTATCACTATTGGGAGGATAATACCAAGAGTTTGGAGTATGCTCCTTACCCAGGGTTCCCATAAACCAAACCACTTAAAATTAAGTAGATTAAAGAATGAACTAGATGAAGATCTACTTGCTTGACTGAGTAGTCTTTTCGTTAATCCCCTACAACTCAATTTTTATAATCTACATTTGATGTATTTCTCTATAGGCCACAAGTGTTGGCAGCTGCAAAGTTACTGTTCTGTTTAGCCAATTCTATTATTTAACGTAACTTTCACATGAGAATTTAAAGTCTGTTGTGTAACCTTAACCTTCACAGTAGAATCTGCTATAAAGCCTATTATGAGGGATACATTTCTAATTATTGCCTATTTATTCTAAATCATGGAAAAAAGACCTAACAAATGATGTCCTTGTGGAAGAGTGAAGGCCTCCTGGCAATGTTCTCTTTAACCCATGATGTAGGTTAAAAGGAGTTTTGACGGATTATGAGGCAATGTATGTACCATTAAAGTTTCTCCCCTACCTTGGGACTTCATTTTTTAATCTATCTAAGTATAAGGTTATTCATGTATAATACTGGCTGCAAAGTTCTTAACAAATAAAAGTATACCCTGTAAGTGCACATAATAGACCCCTTTTCATTTCTATTGTTCACAGAGGCATAAACAAGGAAAATATTCAAAGGTAAGAGTCTCATGATAGTAGAAGTGTTGATCTGTGATCTTGGGAAAAGCTGTTCACATCAAGGATGCCATCTTCTGGGGAGAAACTTTCCTGGTTAGTTTTACTTTAAGGGTTCCAATGGGTGTACAGTTCCAAGAATGTGGAGGGATCCTTCTCAGTTGTGAGATTATGTATCCAAGGTTCAAGGTTCCAAAGTTTTGTTGCAGTGTGGATGGCAAGGAGAGTCTTTCTCTGATGTTTTCAGAAGATCCAATCTTCAGATTCTAGATTGTGAAGGGGTTAACTGTCCTTAGTGAATCATAAATGCTTTCTTTACCTGGTGAAAATATACTGAGGCATAATAATTAACTGTTATAAAACATGCATTGAAAATGACAATTGAATTAAATCCCTTTATAGATGTGTAAATGACCCATCAGGTAACCAAAGGTACCTGAAGGTTTGATTGTCTTCCCAGGAATATGGAAACAAACATTGGTGTTAAACTGTTTTTGCAATTTATAAGTCACCACATCAATATATTCAATTTGGATCATCTTATCTTTTCCATGATGAGTCATGGAATGCAGAAACTTTAATAACAAAAGCTTTAAGGACTCAGGAAGGACAAGGTGGCTGTTTTGATTTTCCATGAGTCTATGCTTACCATTGGACTTACGTCCTCTCGAATACCAATTGTTTCTTCAGTTTAGGTGCATAGCACTAATAACTAATGGGTTATTATAGGTATTTGACTTAGATCATGGAGTTCAAATTGTATATCCAAACAATTTCATTATTGGCTGGTTTAACATGAAACTCTGGCAAAGTATTTTCTTGGTATTTAATTAATTTTTTTGTTCTACTTGGGTTAGCAATTTTATACAAGGAAATTTGGCTATTTCTGTGGTATACAATACCTTAACATAGCAACCGTAATTATTATTGATAGCATATACTTAGACATATTAGAATTTTAGAAATCCTATACAATTTTGGAATATATATTAATATTCACTAAAATATAGCCTGAAGATTAAACATTATCTTTATTTTGACAATGCTTCCCATTTAACTTAACATGTTAAATAATTCTATTTACCTCTCTTTTGAATGCTTCAAGGACCCTCTGTAGCATTTCAAAGTTAGAGGTCAGAAAAGACTATTTTGAAGCTGAAATTTGATTTTGGGAAGCCTACTAAGTATGTTAAAGGTTTAAAACACTTGATATTATGAACTAGAATTCCAGATTATATAAATCATTCATTTAGCCAAAATGATGACTCAAAAATTTTTAAAAAGGCAAAAACCTTTGCTCATTGATAAAGAGAAAACTTAGCTTTCCAAACAATCTGTCTTTTGTCTTTCCCTTCTTTTTTTTTGGTACTGTATTTAAAAGGCAAACAAAAAATTTTCATTATCTTTTAATATTACACAAAAATCTTGTTCAAGAGAGAAAGCCAAATTTACCCCTTACATTAGTAAACTATTAATGTCAACCCCAATTTTTAATAAAACCTCATAGACAAATATATCCAATCTTAATCAGTTTGACTGTAAGGCAAGATTTTTATAAACCTTTTATAACTCTTTACAAATTTTTGTTAAAGAGCAGATTATTACTTTAAGAAATCCCTGTTGTGGTTTTATTTCTATGTTCAACTTATGGAAAAACTGAATAATACCCCTTTAAATTTAGTCAATATTTTCACACATAGATATTTCTTTTACAAGGTTAATTTTTACAAACCTTCCACAACCTGTTTAGACCTTTAGTTTTTTCCTATCTCACTTAAAACAATCCTTTTAACCCTCTAAACTTAGGCAAAAAAATTCACGTTCCTATGACTTTTAATAATCTTTTACCAAAAACACATTTCACTTTCTTTATATACTTCACATGTAAAACTGTTTTTTCAGTAGTTTCAAATACATGTTACACTGTTAAGCCTTAGCAACTTTTGCTTTTGGTGAAAAACCTTGGTAAGTTCAGGATTTTAATTAGATAGTAGGTGTGGAGCCTAGGACCCAGACAAAAATGCAAATAAGGTCTGACTCTTTCTAGCATCTCACTCCACGTGTCCCAGGCCTTACCTAACTGTAAAGCAAGCAAGTTGTACCATTAAGAGTCACAGTGGCATTTTACAAAGTATTTAGGAGGCCTAATCACCTTTAAATTGTACAACATTTCTTGCATACATTCCCTTTCATGAATTCTTTCATGGCTTACGTAGACCACCTACGGCATGCTTAGATTCTCTGACTTGTCCTAAACATCCTTTTTTTAAACAACCAGTCATTTTACTTTAGCTTAGGATGAGAATTTACCATACAAGATCCTTTCTTGTATAAAATCTCTTTTATTTAATACTTTTGCATAGCTAGGGGGCATGGCTAATTTCACATGTCCTCATGTCTTATCTAGAATTTAATGCTCCAAAAAGTAATTGAACAATTTTTAAAAGTCAAAGAAGCAGTTTATGACCTTAAAGCATTTAGCAAACTTAATATCTGACCTGCATAATTTAGACCAAATGTTTACACTTTTGAAGAAATTTTTATTTTACCAATAATCTTTAAAACTGTCTTGATTTCCCAAAGATTATTTAAGTCACATGAACTAAAAAAAGGCATTACACTTTTTACTTTTCTGACAAAATATTTAAGCTTTTATTTTTAAACCAATTAAAGCTCTTTCATATATAAACATCACACATATAATATATATAAATACATAGACAGCAAAAGATAAAGGACTCATTTTCCAAGCTGGGAATTGAACCCTGAACCTGAGCAACCTTTTCTCTTGTGAAAAGAGAAAGCATGGTCATGTGGTCACAAGGTCAAGCTCCCAAGGACACACAAGACAAGAGGGAAACCTCATCCAGTTTTTTTTTTCAGGGACCTGCAGCAAAGTTTATAACTAACCAGTTTGCTGGATCATCTTGAACAGTGGGCTTACAGGTATTCTAAGCCCATGTTCTATCCTAAGGTATACCCTTCTCCATTATAGGACACAGAAAGACACACAAAGCACACTACATTCACTACAGCTTAAGATTAGCCTCGTGAGTCCTTTTTCCCATTAATCAAAACTCTACAAAGGAGATAAACAGGGATTTTTACCATTCATTTAACCAGTTCACACACAGAGAGAGAGAGAGGCCAGAAGTCTGACTGGTAAGAAATTCTTACCCTCTTGCCAGCATGCCAGGCTTCTGGATTTCCTTTCCCTGAGTGGCCCTTGTGACCCAGCTCACTGCACTGTAGCCCTGGGGGCTAAGCCACAACACAAAAGAAAATTATCTTTTTCTGTTCCGGCCAGAGTAAAATACAAGTGACAAAACATAGACATTAACCACTCTGCTTAACATCCAATATTGAACTGGCAAGGCTTAAATTTGCCCTTAGATAGGCTCCATCATTTTTAGTCCAACCTCCAAATAGGAGTTTCATTATGTGGTCTCTGGGCAAGATGGCCGCTCTGAGTGGTAGAAAAGATCAGAGAGGGAAAAGAGAGAGGGAAAAGCATTGCCTATGGCAGGGTGTTGAAGGCAAAGAGCTCATGGAGGCCAGAGAAAGATCCACCCACTCATTACAGCAACACTGAAAATTTCAGGTAGCCGCTTGTCAGTAACGAAGGGACCTTTTCCAGCAGTCCCATCAGCTCTCAAGTTTCCCCTTTTGGGGAGGAAAAAGCTCCCCATGTCCCATGGTCCCTTATACATGCCTAATCCTGTCACCCATAGCTGTCAGCAAAGTGTGCAAGGCAGATTATTGCAAAGAGAATAGCAGTTAACATCCCATAGTGCCAAACTGTGTTCTTAGCTGAAAGGGACTTTACTGAGAGCCCTCATTTTAAAATGCGCTTCAAGGTGTTGTTTATTTGGAATGCTCCACAGTAAGTTATCTTTAGTAAGATTTTGCCATTTCTGTAAGACTTTGCTGCCTCCAGGCCTAATGTATAAGCCACAAGGAACTCAGTTTTCCAGAAATAAGGATCCCTCTGTCTTAAAATAATGACTTTACTCTCAGGTTCTCTTGATAAACTTTGCCAATGATCTTTTTTTTTCCTACCTAAGTGCACAAGAAAAATGAAATAAACACAAAAATCCCTGTGAATTTTCAAAAGCCAACTTTTATAACCCCTGCAATATTACTGCTTACTCTCAGTTCATTTCTGACCCAGTCAGATGTAAGAGGCCTCTACTTGGATCCAAGCCCATTAATTCCTGGATCAAATCCATTCCTGGACCCAGTCCAGTTTCTGTCATGACTTCCAAACCCAGTTTGGGTCAGGAATTTGCTCAAAGAAACTTGGGGAATCTCAAAACACAAATTCGTGGAGCACCAAAATCTGAAAGGGAGCTTACCCAAGATCCTGAGCCACTCTGGGAAATCCTTGGACACAAGTGGTCCTGCACCCGGTACCTTGTGTGTTCATTCAGCACTTCTGGGGGTCATGGGAAGCTCTACTTGAGATCCCACTTCTGGCACCATCTGATAAAAAACCAAAAACTTTAGCCAAATTACATTTAAAGGAGTTTAACTGAGCAATGAATGATTCATGAATCGAGCAGCCCCCAGAATCACACAGATTCATAGAGACTCCAGTGCAGCCACATGGTGGAAGAAGATTTATAGACACAAAAAAGGGAAATGACATATAGAAATCAGAAGTGAGGTACAGAATGGCTGGATTGGATACAGCTCAGCATTTGCCTTATTTGAACACAGTTTGAACACTCAGTAGTGTATGAATGGTTGAAGTATGGCCACTAGGATTGGCCAAGTCTTAGCTATTGTTACAGATGCATACTCCAAAGTTAGGTTTTCAATCTTGTCTACCTATTAAGGTAGGTTGCAGTTTGTCCACAAGGACTCAAATATAGAAGTATGGAGTCCTTCTCAGGCCATATTTAGTTCACTTTAACAGGTATATAGCTAGGAGTGAAATTGTTGGGTTATTTGGTAACTATATTTAATCTTTTGAAAAACTGCCAAACTTTTTCATAGTGGTTGCACCATTTTACATTCTTACCAGCAGTGTATGTTAGCACTTCTGTTGTACTTTCACCTGATAAAAGCATCAGCTTACCCTATCTCTACATCCAATCATTTATCAAGCTATCTAGCCCCTCACAATATAGGGTTTCTTTGATGTGTGTTAAAAATTCGCAGCCAGGCACAGGGGCTCACGCCTATAATCCCAGCACTCTGGGAGGCTGAGGTGGGCAGATCACGAGGCCAGGAGATCGAGACCATCCTGGCCAACATGGTGAAACCCTGTTTCTACTAAAAATACAAAAATTAGCCAGGCGTGATGGTGCATGCCTGCAGTCCCAGCTACTCAGGAGGCTGAAGCAGGAGAATTGCTTGAACCCGGGAGGGGAAGGCTGCAGTGAGCCGAGATTGCACCACTGCAGTCCAGCCTGGGAGACAGAGTGAGACTCTGTCTCAAAAAAAAAAAATTCCTTTCCATCCTCACTGCCACTCATTACTTTACAACTTCACAATAATAGCCTTAGTTGGTCTTCCTGTATCTGGTATCTCCTACTTTCTTTACATCCTCTGTTGTTACTCCAGAGTAATTTTTGTATGATAAAAAATTTTTCACACTTTATCCTTCCTTAAAATCCCTTAACACCCACCTTCCCTTCCCCAGTTGTCTACCCAATGTACATCAACTCTTCTGGTTCCAGCCTGCATCTCCAAGCTCACCTCCTGCAGTTCTGTCTCTGGCATACTGTGCACTAGCTATCACAAAACACTTGCTGATTCCTGTAACCACATGCTTTCTCAGACCTTGAGGACTTTGTCCAAACTGCCTCTTTTGCCTGGCTTGCCTTTCTCTCCTTTTGTCATTGATTCAACTCTTGTTTATCATTGGAGGCTTCAGCTCAAGAGCCTTTCTTTTTTCCTTTGAAGACTTTCTTTCTCAATAGCTCCAGGGAGAGGCAGTGCCTAGTTACCCCTGAATATTATTGTTGCACACATCCCATCATATGACACTTTGACTCTCTCTTGGACTATAAGACATTTTTCCAAGAGCAGAAGACTTAATAATCATCTGGTTGTCCTTTCTCTTTTGAAATATGGGACAACTAAGGCAGGGAAGGCACTTGTTCAAGGTCATTGCATAAATCTTTGTTCAACACCGCTGCTTCCTTCAAACCTAACTCACAGAAACTAAAAAGTTATTGTTTATCTTTTTCCTGGATTAAGAAAAAAAATCATTCCTTTAGTGGTGTTGATGGGTCCAGAGTAGTGGATAGGAATAAAGACCTATTATTTACTCTGATATTTAGGTTAGTTGGCTTCTTGGAAATACATTTAACCATAGAAGTCAAAGTTCTAAAATTGACTTTAAAACAGCTTATTGGCAGATTCTTAGTTTGCTGGGGTTTGACTGAAAGCATATTCAATGATACGCCTTTTCCGTTAAACATCCTAATGATATTTTCACTGAGTGATCAATGCCCATAGTTATAGAGATACCAAGCAAAAAATGTTCCTGCAAAAAATAAACTTACTTTCTCTCTCTCTTTCTTTTCCTTCCTTCTTTCCTTCCGTCCTTCCTTCCTTCCCTCCCTCCCTCCTTCCTTCCCTCCTTCCTTCGTTCCTTCATCTTTTAAAGGGTCTTGCTCAGTCTGTCACCCAGGCTGGAGTGCAGTGGCATGATCATGGTCACTGTAGCCTCGACCTCCTGGGCTCAAGCAATCCTCCCACCTTCACCTCCTAAAGTTCTGGGATTACAGGTGTGATCCATAGTGCCCAGCCAAAAATACACTTTCAAAATTAGATATTAACCAGTAGTTATACTGAACAATATTGTTGGGTTTATTTTACATTACTAGATATTTCCCTCTAGTTTTATTCACATCAAATATAATACAGGAAATAATGTAGTGGTTCTAGAAGGATATGTAAACAGTTTCTCTCTTGAGGTAGATTAAAATGCCTTTGAAAATCTGTCTAAGCTGTTTTCTAAGGCAGTGGAAATAGACTTATAAGCAGTTATTATAGATTGAATAGGTTTGTAAAGTCCTAAAACGTAGGCTGCATTTTGAGGCCACTTTCTGAGGGAGAATGGCAAAGGCTATAGAATCAGGAAGAAGAGCTGTTAGAGTAATAGATTTCTTCTAAGCAGTCCAGATATACGGTGATACTTTTGGTCTCATTTCATGTCTTTGTGTAGACATCATGTGGTGAGTTTTTATTTCAGTTCTAGAATATTGTTGTGGACATCAGTAGTTTTTACTGTATCTATCTTTTTTCCCCTTATTTATCTAACTCAGGCCTGGCTCTCATCTAATTTGTCAATAGCTTGCTGAATTTGGTTTCTGACTTGTCCAAGACAACCTATCATCTGACATCAAATGGATTCTGGATTCTACACAGTTCTGGTTATATCACTCCTTTTATTTGTGCCTTTATCGAGCAGCTACCATTTGCCAGGCATTGCCTAGGCACCACGGCACAGAGAGTTAAGATTGGTTTTGTGCATTCTTCCCAGGAGGGCAGACATTGCACAATGCACTGTACACTTGATGCACAAGGGGTGTTGTTAGTCACATCAATTGGAGAAAGAAAAGGTGAGCTTTTTAAGAACAGGAGACTGCATGTGTAAAGACCCTGATTTAGAAGAGCCTAACTGAAGTGTGGCAATCATGGGGGAAAGTAGAAGGAAATAAAGATGAAGATGAATATGGTCCAAATTGTGTAGGGCTTTGCAAACCATTTTAAGGAGTTGGAATTTCGCTTCATGTGTAATGGGGAAGCCAGTGAAGGGTTTCAAGCAAGGCAACAATGTGCTCAGGTTGACATTATAAAAAAAATCTTTGTTTCTGTGTTGAGAATGAATTGGAGAGGGGCAAAAGCTGAAGCAGAAGACCAGTTAGGAGACTATTATACCCATTTAAGTGAGATACCACATTGGCTTGGGCAAGTATGGGTTCAGTTAAAATGAGAGAAATAGAAAAATTCAAGAGATGTTTACAAGTTTGATTCTAGAGAATGTTATGATTGGATATAGAAGATAAGGGAGAAAGAAAAGTAATGATGGATCATAATTATTAATCTGGAAGAACTGGGTGGATGAAGATGGAATTAATCTGACATAGGGAACAATTGGGACAAATAATGAGTTCAACTTTACATGGTTAGCTGAAAGGTATCTGTGAGCTTTCCATATGGAGATGTTCTTAGGCAGTTGCATGTATGGGTGTGAACTCAGACAAGCTGGGCTGGAGATGTAGATTTGGGTAATCTAAGTTGTCTAGTGCCATAGGAATAGAGGTCATCTAGAGAAGACTGTGTAGAATGAGATGAGAAGAGGATAAAAAGTTAGCCATGAGTGATGCCAAAAGTCTTGAGTGGCTTCCAAAAGCCTACAGAATGCAAATCCAAATATTTATCTTGGCATTTAAAGACATCCATTTTCTTGCGGTTTTTCAGTTTCAAATTCTATTACTATTCCTCAACTTACCTTGTATTCTAAACACACCTAACTGTGCTATTATCCATGTTGTTTTTCAATCTGAATTCTCTTTTTTTTTTCTCTGTTTATTAACATTTTTATCTTTCAAGGCTTGAAACAAGTGCCATTATACTATGAAACCTCTCTGGATTCCAGAGTAGATATCCACTAAATGTGTAATGAATAAATGAAGGAACAGGGTATAGTAAACGCATTTGATTTACTACAATAAGAAGGAAACTATCATTTATTCAGTATCTAGTAAGTGTCAAGAATTGTGTTGAGCCCGTTACCTACAGAGTTTTGTTTGACCCTCACAACAATCTGTAAAACAGATGTTTTTCCATTGTTCCCATTTTACACACAAGGAAAGTGCCTGTGGCATTTCCATGACATCACAATGTTTTTTAAAGTAGTTATTTCTCCCATTTGCATAAGCATCAAAAAACATCTGAGTCAAGAAGTAATCCCAAACTCAGTAAGTCACTAAAAAATTAATGTTCACTAAGTCACCAGAAAATTAACGTCCTTTTTTTCTTTTCCCTTAGGTAAGATTTTATCCTATTATATTTTAATGGTAATAATTACTTTTTTCTTGTTAATGGTTTCTCCATCCTGCTTCCTTGACAACAGGTTGAACTTCACTCTCAGATTAAATCCTCCAATTTGGTAAATGACCTCTTGTTTTTCATGCCCAATGACCAATTTAGTTCAATTTAATAAACATTTATGCACCAAATACTACATGTAAGGTACTCTGCTGGATGTTGGAAGAAAATGCAAAGATGAGTAAGACACGCCACCTACCTCCAAGGGTTCTACAATCTCACAGTGGAGTTAATTTAGAAAAACAAATATGTGCAATACAAAATGGTCTCATTTATTTATTCAGCATACTATTTGTTACCTACTGTGTACCAAATGTGGTAGCCTCTAGGGTTAGATTAATGCAATATTATTATTATAATATAATAATATTATTATGTATTATTATTATAATATAATAATATTATTATGTATTATTATTATAATAATATTATTATGTAATATTATTATATATCAATGCCCTGCCTTGATATATAAAGGCATTCTCTGCAAGGAAAAGTAAAATGATAACTCTAAAGTAACAGAGAACACTCTGAATAACAACCTCAAATCAATAAACATTTCAAGATAGGCCCAAGTCAGTATCTAGAATAATGATATTGCCCTTGCTTTGTGTTGCTGCATCTTTCCTCTAGTTACACAGAGAAACATATGGAATATGTTGGAATGAACTGCAGGAATTATGTACTTTGTAAGAATAAAGAGTAGAAAATATTTTAGAATTTCAATACAGAGTGGTTGTCATCTACTGTAATGCTTCACAAAATGTAAATGTGTGAGAAATCACTTATGGATCTTGCTAAATGAGGTCTCTGATTCCATATTTTTGAGGTGGGGCTTAAGAATCCACATTCCAAGTTCCTGGTCTGGAGATTATACTTGGTATAATAAAGATCAAGTGTATGCAAATTTTATGATTGGCTTAGTGTTTAAGAATTATTATTATTCATTTTAAAGGTGAGAAAATTTGGAGAGAGTCAAAGAAAATATGAATGAATATTCTCAAAGAAAACTAACTCACTCTGAGTGGCTGGTGTCCCTTTCTGGAAGTATTTTCTGTCTGGTTTGGGAGAGGGGGTGATTTATAGGGCCCTGGCCTTAATAGGGCCCTCAGTCTAGGGTCTGTGGCAGTAGCACTTGGTGATGGGGTTTCTAAATCAGTAAAGGGGCACTATGGAACTGTATTATTGAGCCTAAATTGGGAGCAATAGGCAAAGTATGGGTCAGAATGGAGAGTCAATATATATTCTGGCAAAGAGCAGGAGAAAAGAAGATAAAAGAGGGAGGAATTTCCTGAACTCAAAGCTGCAGGGAGGGCCTTTCTTTTCTATTTTCCATGACCTCAAGATGGGACAAGCCCAGAGAACTCAAAGTTATAGTCCAGGAACTGAAAGAAACTATATTTTCTCCTTGTGCTTTGTGTGCCTCTTCTAGATACAGAAGAAAGAGAACATTCCATGTTCTCACTTGAGAATGCTGTCCTTAGTACCGAAGATAGGAAGCTTATAACACTGGGAAAGAACGGAGTCAAAATGTCTGAGTTTGAATCTAGACCTTCCAATTTACTATTCATAGGGCATTACACAAATTATTTACTTCTGAATCAGTTTTCTTATATGCAAAATGAAGGAAACAATAGTGCCAACTCCATAGAGTTCCAGTGATGATTAAAGAAAGTGGTACACATAAAAGATTTTTAACATTATTCTTGGAAGACTGTAAATATTAGCATTTATTATTATCACCAGTCACTTGGATTGGGCCTTAGCAACACACGGTTTCTATTGGCAATTACCTATGCCCATTTAACAACCTCTATTGATAACAGCAGGCACTGCTCTAGACATCGTGGGTATAATGATGAATACAAGAAGTTCCTTCTCTCAAATTACTCTCTGTTTTGCAGTAGAAATGGGATCATGTACAATAAATTTTAATATGACATAGCTGATTGTGTTCTAAGGTATAAAGTAAGAGTATGGGGGGACTGCATCATGTTCTTTTCCACCAAATTATGGGTTTGGGTGAAGGAAGTGTGTAAAGTGGGAACTTGCCCCCACTGAGCAAAAAACCTGTAAGGTTCAGACTTGCTAGGACAGAAGGGTAAATGAGTGAAAGAATGCCCTGTTCACGCTGTGCATGAAGTCATAGCCTCATCATCAAAGGATATTCTCTTTTCTTTAAGGTTTGGAATTATATATGCGTTTCTCCCAAACTTGATACAGAAAGAGATTTATAAGAAGCTTTAATTTGGGTTGAATGGCTTATTCTTAAACCCAAAAGGCTGGGTAAGTAATTGGATTGATCTGTGAATGTGTGTCCTTGAGATCCAAGTAAAATTTGGGGAGGGGACCTGAGTAGTGGATTCCGTTAATTCAGTTTATTTATTAAATAAATTATTTTCTGTTTTAAAAAGACATTGAGGAATATTTTAGGCAAAATTTTCTTACATGATGTCAATGAATCATAAGAACATTTCTTATGTTTAGAAGTTTTTTTTCAAGGCCAGGTGTGGTCGACCTGCGTGTAATCATAGCACTTGGGAGGCGGAGGTGGGATGAACGCTTGAGGCCAGGAGTAAGAGACCAGCCTAGGCAACATAGTGAGACCCCATCTCTACAAAAAATGAAAAATTAGCCAGGATTAGAGGCACGTATCTGTATTCCCAGCTTCTTGGAAGGCTGAGGTGGGGGAATCGCTTAAGCCCAGGAGGTTGAGGCTGCAGTGAACTATGAGCAAGAGTGAGACCCTGCCTCTAAGAACGACAATAAATCAAGTGACAAAAAAAAAAGAAGGTTTTTTTTTTTGGTTGTTGTTTTTCTTTTTTTTTTTTTCATTTCAAAAGGAAGGAGGGGTCATAGGGTAGATTCAAAACCTTTCAGAAAAAAGAAAATAATTTACTGAATGAACATTATTATAATTAAATAATGGAAATTTTATAAAAGAAAAATTCTCTTCAACAAATGATCTTTATTTTCAATAATTTCTATCATTTCTATCACTTTTGCCCATTTATATGGTGTCATTTATGTGGTTTTAACTGTAGAATAGGATATAATTTCTTTCTTTCTCTATAGTATCTTGGAAAGGTATAATATCTTGCCAAGTAATACGTTCAAAGATCTCATATCATGTAGATTCAATTTATGAATTTGTCAAATGCTTTGGTTTTGTGAAGAGATCTATCCTTATCCATAAAGAGTACAATTGAACTGTATTTAGTAGATAAACGTATGTTCAATTTGTTATCTATTCGAGCAAGCCTAGGCTCCTAAAAGTAACAGTAGTTTGACTGATATTTACCAGATTTTGATTTCTACTTGTTGAGTCTTATTTGAAATTCACATCAATCAGAAAGAAAAGTTGTACATGATCCATATATTTTACTTTTTTGTTGCTTTCTTAAGCTGTCATTCACTAAATGATAGAACAAAAGCAATGTTGCTAGGTGAAGCCTTGGTGAAAAGCCCATGTTCTTGGAGAAGAGCTGTGGGTGAAATAAAGGTGTAGAAGAATTACTACTACGTTGATGGTACTGTGATCAGTATAAGAACCCTGGAGTTTGAATGATCAGGGTTCAAAACCTGCCTCTGCTACTTGCAAATTGCATGATTTTAAACAAATTAGATCGATCCTCTGAATATTTTTTTTAATGTAAATATCGGCCATTTTTAGTATTATTTCTTACAGAGTGAAAAGTTGGCATTTAACATTCTTAAGACACAGTCTCTCATCAAGGTCCAGAGAATAAGTTCTGAAGTCATACTGCCTCAATTGCTGTATGAATTTGCATTGATTTCTTAATTTCTATTCACTTCAATTTCCATATCAATAAATGGGGATAATAATGTTATACACTTCATTTCATCCTTATAAGGGTTAAGTGAAATAATTCATGTAAAAGAATTTAGTATAATACTCAGCCTTTAGTAGAAACTCAATAAATATTTTAGTTTTCTAGTAGTGTGATGTAATTTTAACCACTTTATTCTTGAAAGGCTCTAATTACTTGGCTTCCCTAAGAGGAAACCCTCCTGTGCCTCCTACAACCCTAGTGACCAATTCTTTTTCAATTTCTTTCAAGGAATCCCATCTTTTACTCTGTAAATGTTGGTCGTTCCTAGCAGTCTGTCTTTGGGCTGCCTCTTATTACTATATGTATTACATACAATCTCCTTTTATCACTTTATTCATGAGCTATACTCCAATTAAACAAGAATCTATAACTTTTATGCCTGAGTTTTTCTGCAGGCTTTAGTCTTATACATATCCAACTGCCTTACCCAAATCTTCTCCTGGATATTTGAGCCAACATATTATTGGCTTCAATTTTTCACCCTTGTCTGCTTCCACACCCGTGCCATAGTCTCTTTGTGGGTAAAAGGTATTTTGACTTTGAATTTGGCCATGTGCCTTGCTTTGGCTATTGGAATATGGAGGGAAGTGATAGTATACCAGTTTTGAGCCTAGGCCTTAAGAGGCTTTGTGTGTTTCTGCCTGCTCTCTCCCACGTCTGCTATATTTATGGAAAAAAAAACCCAAACATGTCTTGAATAGCTCATTGGTTCAAGGAAAATGAATAAAACATAGAACAGAACCTTCCCATCCAACCATCCAACCCAAGACTTGTGGTGAGAAGCAGACCCACTCATTAATTCTAAATCAGAGTTGCCCATCTCAACCCAGCCTGGATCAGCCAAACTCCAGTCAGTCCACAGGTATGTGAATGACGATAAGTAATCTTTTTTTAACTACGGAGTTTTAGCATTGTTTATTTTGCATCAATAGCTAGCCAATATAATGTTTTACAGCATCTAAAACTTAACTTGCCTGAAATTAAACTCCCTTTCTACCACCCACCATAAACCTGTTCCTTTGTCCTGTATTTCTTTTAATGGTTGATGGAGTCACCACTCATCACTCAGCCAGACATTAGGATATCATTCTTGACTTTAACATCTTCCTTACTCTCTACATCCCACAAATCTCCAAATACAGTCAATTTCATTTTCTAACTAGTTCTAAAGCCTGTTTTTTTTCTTTTAAATACCCATCTTCAATGTCACCGTCAGGGTTTGTGGTGTAATAGTTATTTACCTGGGCTACTGGTCTAATGGGTCTTCCTGCTTCCATTATGACTGATCTGTGGTCCTCCACATGGTAACCAGAGTGACAGAAAATTTACCGTGTTATTTTGCTGTTTCAAATCTTTCTCTGGCCCTCAACATCAACAGGAGATGTCTGAGGTGCTTAGCATGACTCCAGACTTTATCATCTAGTGTTCATCTACCTATCCAAATTCATTTCACACTTTCCTCCCATTATGTTTATTATCTATTTATTTAAAACTATGTTAATTTCTCTCAAATATAGCATGGAGCTGCCTACTTGTGTGCCTTTGTAAATTATGTGGCCCTTAGAATGCTCTTCCTTCCCTTCTCCATAGGACAATCCCCTGTTCATCCTTTAAAATACGTCTTAGGTATCAACTCCTTTTGGAAGCTTTGCTGATCGCCTTAGACTGAGTTAATCATCTCTTCTGTTACTTGAAAATGTTTACCACTAAACTTATCACACTGAATTACGATTTTAATTGTCTATCTCTTCCACAAAACTCTGAGTACCATCTGGGCAAGGTCAGTGCCTATAATTTGTAGTTTTTAGCACAGAGCTTAATGTGTAAGAGAATAGACAGTCAGTACACATTTTCTTGGCTAAACAAATAGTGTTGTGGAAACGATGTCACTTTATTCAACTCTAGGGAGATAAGGAGGGCTGACAAGATGGATCAGGCAGCTCCCCATGAGTGCCACATCCAGAGCCAGAAACAACACTCCCTGCCCCAGAGGCCGGCTGTGTGCAATCAGGATGGTTGTGAATGTGGAGCAGGCTTTTGGAAAGGAGTAGGGTATGAGGCGACTTAGAGAAGAAGGAAGCCTGGGTGGTGACGGGTGTGATCTCTTTCCGTTATTCCTCAAGCTTTAAAAGCCCAAGCTAAACTTCCAAAAGCATGAGTGTGACTGGATTTTTTTGGTGTTAACTACTAAAGGGACAAGTTGCATCTACTCTACAAGAAAAGATCTTATTAGGATGTCACTCCCAGATGAAGGAGCTAAGGTTTTGAAGTAGAGTTGGGAGTCACAGGAGTTTTGGAGTGTGTATTAAGATTTGCATAGGCTGTGAAAGAGCTGTTTCAAGCCTCTAAACTGAAATCTCTGAGGTGCAAATAGGCTCAAGTCAGATCTAGATTACAATGTTTTTCTCATAGAGTTGATAGTTAGAGAAAATATTCCAAAGTATCTAGCACAGGGCATGACATTTAGTACTTATCAGTAAAAGTAAGTTTTCTTTCTTCCTAAACTTTCTTTCAGAGGAAAGAAAAAGAAAAACCACTTTAGTTTCCTCTTTAACTATCTCAATATAAACCTAATTTATCTACCTAGGTTTTTTATGGTTTAATTTCTGTTAAAATGTAAATGACCTGTTTATAGGGCGATATCTTAAATGTAACAATACAAATTGACAATTTACTATTTAACAAGTTCTTGAAAATAAAAATGAAGAGGAGAACTACTGTTGAAATGCTTGCTGACAGGTGTAGTTGACATATCTTGTACCCTTCCTCACACCCCCTGGGCACACAATTTACCCCAGCTGTTCCTGGAGTGACCAGCCTTGTGCCAGTGTAACCTTACCTCAGCAGAATTTTCTGACTCTGTTTGTTAACTGTGAAGCTGTGGGAGTTCACCTAGTATTTGCATAAGGATAATCTGCAAATGCACTGGTGTTAGCATCCCTGGGGTAACTCTTGATCAATGGGCATAGTAGCCAGGGAATAAATGTCTCCTGTCCCTGAGGTGTTCAATTCTGAGGCATATTCCACATGGCTTTTCAGAATATCTCAGCAGGACTGAGGCCTAGGTGCCCACAGCAGTGACCAAGCCAAGACTGCACACTTACATTGACTTTCTCTCCTTTTCTGTTTCACTCTCACTGGGTCTTCTTCAATTCTGTTGCTTAGAATCACTTCCCAAAATAACTACCTGTCTCAGACTGCTTTTTGAGAGAAAACTCAGGTTAAGAAAATAAACAAGCCCCTATAGTTTCCCAACTCATAAATAACCAGTTAAATTTTTGTGCCTTTTCTTAATTTTTAATTATGCATGCATTCATGCATGTATATACATGCAGACTCACATGTATAATTCCGTTCTGGAACTCTCCACCCACTTTTCACCCATTGAAAGTCTCCTCAGCCCTCAAAATCAGCTCTTTCAGAAGCTTTTTGATGAGTTTCTCTAATTTTTCATGTTGGATATTTTAAGACACATTATATTTTGCTTTGTAATACAGTTTTATTTTTGTTTATAGGTACTTATTTTCCCAATTATATTATAAACTTCTAGTCTAGAGGACAGAGTTCATATCCAATTAGTCTTTGAAATATCGTATTACCTGACCAAAGTAGTAAATTAATATTCAATAATTGAAGAAATACACAATACCGCCTATGCTTGTTTAACACCTTCATCACACTATTATTTCTTCCACATAATTATTTTATTACATACTTTTCTCCTTTATGAATCATTTCATCTATACATGTCTCATTTTACCAATTAGATTGTAAAATTTCCAAAGGGAAGGACTTTGCTTATATTTCTTTGTGTTCCCCATGGCATTTATCACATTTTAAATTACAGAGCAGGTATCTGGCAAACCTTTTGTTGATTCTCCACTGATATAGCCTAGCCATCAGATGCTGAGTATTTTTTTTCCCCTAACCACTTCAAAAGCAGATCAACTCTAAGTTTAGAAAATGATTAGAATCTGTATCTGTGATAGTCCATGGCAACTAAAAGGGGCTTGTCCATGAATGTCTGAGAATGGTTGCAACTTATTTCTGATGATCAATCACTCCTATTGAGAAAAATAATCAAATGTTTACAGACACTCAGTAAGTCCAGAGAAGTCAGCTTTTGAGAAAATGTAGTTTCCACTGTTAAATGTCAGAACCTTTCAATATGGGACAATTGCTTGTTGATTTCTAAACATCAAAATTCACTTGTCAGAGAGAAAACACTTAACAAATTCAATATTTGAACAATGCAATTAGCAACAGCACTAACTTTCTCCAAAATGAGATATGGCATGGGAAGGTACATTCTGTAGTGGGTGCTGCCCCTCTCCCCATGAGTGGCATGAACATTTTTAAAGATATTACCATGAAAATTTTGAGTTAGCCCTGGTTCTACTTACAGGTTGTCCATTTGCATCATGTGCAACCTTAGACAAGCCACTTACTCTCTGTACGCCTCCGTTTTCTTTTCTGTGTTACCTAGGTAACACTGCTATGATCTGAATGTGTCCCCCAAATTCATGTGTTGGAAATTTGATTCCCAGGGCAGCGGTGCTGGGAGGTGGGGCCTTTGGGAAGTGTTTAGGTCATGGAGGTTCTGCCTTCATAAATGGATTAATGCTGATATAATAGGAGCTTGTGTAAGTAGGTCTTCCCTCTTTCACTCTTCTGCCATAGGAGGACACAGAATTTATGTCTTGCCCTTCTGACTTCCACTATGTGAGGACACAGAGAGAAGGCTGCCATCAGATCCTGGTGTCTTGATCTTGCCTTTCCCAGCCTCCAGAACTGGGAGAATAAATATATGTTATTTACATAAATTACCCAGTCTATGACAGTCTGTTATAGCACTGCAAATGGACTAAGACATCTACCTTATAAGATTGTTAAAAGATTAAGAATAAGGTAATCCACGTAAAGGACAGAAATATGACAATCTGTTATTAATAAGTAGTTTTTACTGCTTATATTACTTTCTTTTCAAATTGTTAAAAAGGAAATAATTTGGCACTCATTAATATTAAATTGAGCATTTTTTATTATCAGATTCAGTATGCATCTTTTTTTTTTTTTTGCCTCTTTCCTGTTTTCCCTGTTTATGACTTTGCTATAGCACAGTAACTATAGCCACTTTCACTGGGGTTCTTAGGGTTGAAAAGGCTGCTGCCCCTCTTTGAATGAATCCTCATTAAACGTGGCAAATATTAATTACTGACATTAGAAGTAGAAGGGCTGTGAAGTACACAAAAGAGCATATTAGGGCAGTTAGCATGATACAGTTTTTTTCTTCTGAGAAAATGTGAGCAAATGACAGGTATCATAAACTCATTAATTGTTCTAATATGGGACAGGCTCACAGGTCTTGAGCATGAAAACACTTGTATTAAAATTGGCAAAACAACTTGATTAAATGGTATTGTATACACAGATGTGAAAGGTAAATTTCATTAATAATTATTATTATGAATAAGAACAATTCAACTCCAGACTCATTTTCTTTTCTTTTCTTTTTCTTCTCTTATTTTTTTTTTGAGATAGAATGTCACTCTGTCACCCAGGCTGGAGTGCACTGGTGTGATCTTGGCTCACTGCAACCTCCGCCTCCTGGGTTCAAGCAATTCTCGTGCCTCAGCCTCCTGAGTAGGGGGAATTACAAGCACGCACCACCACACCCAGCTATTTTTTGTATTTTTAGTAGAGACTGGGTTTGCCATGTTGCCCAGGATGGTCTTGAACTCCTGGCCTCAAGTGATCCACCTGCCTTAACCTCTCAAATTGCTGGGATTACAGACGTGAGCCACTACGCCAGGCCCGGACTCATTTTCTATGAGAAAAGGTGAAAAATTAAGAACAAATTGTGTAAAAATAAAACAATGTTTAAATCTGTATGCACTTCCATTTAGTTAATAATAGAAGTAGACAAGCTAATAAGTGCAGTGTTATAAAGACAAGTGAATGCATACTGACTTTGATGAGAGAAAATGCTCAGTTTAATACTAATGAATGCTAACTTTTCTTTGAGAGTCTGAGAAAGTCTTGTCTCTGTGCTGCAATGAAGCTCATTGATTGTCTTCAAAGGCTTTTAAAAAATGTAAAAAAATTTTGCCTCATAGAGAAGACAATGCAGATGACTATTAAGATTTTTTTTAAACTCCCCTGATTCATGCTATTTTTAAGAGAGGTACATGATAGCTCCTGCTTCCCACTTCTTATCAAATAATTGGCTGACCCTATTTTTGTTCTCTTTAATGTGCTTACCTCTGCAGAGCATTCCAGAATTTGTTCTGTTTGGGAAGATCCTTTTACCCAAGAGGTTTAATTAAAGAAAGTACAATGCTCACAGTCAGCAATGCAGAAACAGATGATGTGTAATATGTGAATAATACTGCCCAGGAACACTAACTGTAGGACTTGGAGGCCCTTCTTACCACTACCCACTATGCACAGATATAGATAGTCAAGTTGCTGATCAAGTATTAGGCTTATACATGAAGCTCAACAGGTGGCTTCAATTCCTGATGTGTTTCCCAGGAAACAAGTCACATACATAGATAAGCGTACCTACTTCTCTGAATGAAGAGATACTTTTAATCGTTTGTCTTCTGTCACCTTCTATCTTCATCACTGCACCTCTGACAGTGCCTGGCTCATGACGAAAGAAACAGCAGAATGGCTAATGGGTGCTGGGCTTAATACCTGGGTGATGGAATAATCTGTGCACTAAACCGCCATGGCGCATGTTTACCTATGTAACAAACCTGCATGCACATCCTGCACATGTATCCCTGAACTTAGAAGTCGAAAAAAAAAAATCAAAACGATTGAAAACTTAAGAAAAAAAGAGCAAGTTTTTTTTTTTAAGTTTTGCTTTTAGGTGACCAAGACTCACTATCCCTTTTCTAAAGATATAGTGCTTACTGTTCACAATAGCAAAGACTTGGAACCAACCCAATTGCCCATCAATGATAGACTGGATAAAGAAAATGTGGCACATATACATCAGGGAATACTATGCAGCCATAAAAACGGATGAGTTCATGTCCTTTGCAGGGACATGAATGAAGCTGGAAACCATCATTCTCAGCAAACTAACACAAGAACAAAAAATCAAACACTGCATGTTCTCACTCATAACTGGGAGTTGAACAATGGGAACACATAGACACAGGGAGGGGGTGGGGCATCACACACTAGGGCCTGTCGGGGTGTGGGGGAGCTTGGGGAGGGATAGCATTAGGAGAAATATCTAATGTAGATGAATGATTGATGGGTGCAGCAAACTACCATGGCACGTGTATACTTATGTAAAAAACCTGCACGTTGTGCACATGTACCCCAGAACTTAAGGTATAATAATAATAAAAAAAATACAGTGCTTAAACTTTGGCATCCATCAGAATCCCCTGGTGAGCTTTTTCACAGGACACACAGTAGGGGTCCTTCTTTATCCTACTGAATCAGTAGTTGGGGTTAGGCATGTGGCTTATGAGAAAAAGTCTTCAGGTGGTTTCCATGTATACCAAAGTAGAAAATCATCTGTTGATTTGGACAGATGATGCTGCATAAAGGTTTATGCTGCATAAACCTTGGACGATGTTGCTGCATAAACAACAGGAGTTTTCAGCTGCGTCTGCATAATGGAGCCATCTAGAAACTTTGAAAACTGATGCTGGATTCCACCCCCAGAGATTCTGATTTAATTGGATATTGGGCTTTGAGAGTTATGAAAGCTCCCCAAGTGATTTCAGTGTTCAGCCAATGTTGTAGACCTGCGATCTAACTACCTACCCAGCCCAGGTGAGAAGCATTTTGACCATTGAAAGTGCTGTATTTTATATGAATATACATTATCATTGTCTCTCACATTTCCCTTGATAGAACTGCTATATTGGAAGTGTTACATATAGGACTGCTATTTATAAAGGACAGCCTATATTCATTTGTTAATTTGTTCATTTATTCATTTACACATTCATCACATATGGGTCCTACCATGTGCTGTGCCTCGTCCTAGGGATTGTAGCAGTGAACAGTATATAGTCATTGCTTTCATGGTGATTAATATAACCATGTGTTTTGAGTTCTCTTCATTGACTGGCTTCTAGGTTTGTTTATATCTTCTTCTTTTGACCTTCTATCACATGTTCCAGATACTCCATTTTTACTAAACTTGTGCTTTCCTGAAGGAATAACTGTTTCTCATCCTTCTTGTCTCTGTTGTCATCTTTCTGTCTGATGTCCCTTCCTCTTCCTCCTTAACTAGCTAGCTTCCACCCATCTTTCCACAATCATTTTGGCTATCATCTCTTTTGGGAGCCTCTCTGGACTGGGGTAGATGTCTTTCCTTCACTCCCCACAGTCCCTTACCATTGGTAGAATTGATCAAAAAAGAAACCTATTATATAAGAGGAAGAAAGCATATTGCATTTGATATCAAAACAATATATTAAATCAGTGAATTCTTGGTGGTCATTTGGAGAAAGAAAGATGATATGGGTAAGATTATTGAGTGCTTACAATTTTGTGGCCATACACATTAGATGAGCCAACTGCACCATTGCATTCAACCTAAGGCGGTAGAGAGTCTAAAAGGGGCTGAAATTTATAGGTTTCCCTCCTAGTTGTTCTAGGTCCTCCTCATTTTGTGATATACTGAGAAAAGCGAAATGCAAACAACTCTAATAAGAGGCTGAAAAAGCAATGCTCTGAATAGCTCTATGTAATTACAGAAGTAATTTTTGAGGGTTTTATGCAATGCACAAAGGATAAGTCAAAGAGGAATATTTCTTGCGTGTTAAGTAAATGGTTGAATAAAGCGTGTGCACTGGGAAATTTTAGAAATATTGCAGATCTCTTTTTTTTCCCTGCTGTTGTTATAACCAGGATAAATAAATTAAATGTTTGTGAATTTTCATTGTCTCTTCTGTTCCAACTTGTGCCATCATTAGATGGGAGAAAACATAAGAACAGGGAAAGAATCAAGTCCATTGCCTTGATTGTATTCTTTATTCTTTTCTGCTACTGAGGAGGGTTAAACCCTTCCCAAGGGATTAGGATAGGCAGAAGATGAAGTCTCTACTTTTTGCTTTCCAGTGTTTTCACCGTCTATCACAATTGTTAGTTTGTTTCTTCTGTCCCCTATCCTGGATGTACATTTCTTGAAAGCCATCACCACGACCTTAACTTAATCTTGCTTGCCTGTTATGAGAACTGACATGGAGCAGGCATTCAGAAACATACATTAGTCAATATGTTCCTACTTCTACAGTGTTCATTAAAAGTTTTGCCATTTTGAAATATCTTGAGCAAAGTAAGTAGAGCACAAGGAGAATTTAAAAACCTAAACATAGTCTCTTTGTTGCTACTTCTTAAAACTTTATTTTTAACCTCCAGAGGCCAGCCTCTAAGAGATCTTTATGATTTATACCTTGCTATTACTGAGGGACTTTCTGATTTTTTAAAACAGGCTATTCTTAGGCTGTTGTTCAGTGCCTGAGGGAGGTCCCTCAGGTTTTTCAACAGACAAGTGTAGGTGAATTTCTACCTTGGAGAGGAAGTGGATGGTGGTTTAATAGGCGCACTGACATTTCCTTTTTTGAACATATTTATTTGTCTGTGAGATGGGAAGGGGAGTCAAAACAGTGAAGTGCCTCTCAAATGACTTAGATAGAAATAAAGGGACTAATATATAGACCTGGGAGAGTAAAATGATAACTTTGGATGGTGACTCAGTGGATCCCTCGTGAAATAAATTTAATAAAATTGTATGGGTTGGGGGTGGTGGCTCACGCCTGTAATTCCAGCACTTTGGGAGGCCGAGGCAGGCAGATCATTTGAAGCCAGGAGTTTGAGACCAGCCTGGCTAACATGGTGAATCCCTATCTGTACTAAAAATTCAAAAATTAGCCAGGCATAGTGGCCTGCACCTGTAATCCCAGCTACTCCAGAGGCTGATGAGGGAGGATCGCTTGAACCCTGGAGGTTGCAGTGAGCTGAGATAGCCACTGCACTCCAACCTGAGTGACAAAGTGAGACTCTGTCTCAAAAAAAACAGAAAAAAAATTAAATAGCCCATAGGTTATGAGTCTTGACTGAAAGTGTTCGCATATTTTCAACAAAGGTAACAAAGAGAAGTGGCCAGTCAACTTGGTTAATTAGGAAAGGAGGAATCCAGAGGTACTCTATCCATGCAAATAATCTCTAGGGTTAAAAAAAAACAAAACACCGTATCTTGGCAACTAACATGACCACTTGGTACCAAATGTATGTGTGATCCTTTTGTGAAAAATGGACACTTTGGATTACAATTTGGTAATAACCAAAGAATCATACAATTAATTTCTCTACCTTGGTCCCACTCACATCAAGAAATCGTCTGTGACTTGCCTTTTCTTGGAACTCTACATATTGAAAGAAAATGTGCTTATTATATGAATACTGTATTGGATATTCTAGGCTGAATAAAAATAATGCACATTGTTGTAAATGTAATAATTGATATCCTGTTTGTCCACCACTCTCTTTGACTCTACTTTGATATTTACCTTCCTTTACATTCTGGTTTTTGTGTCACGTACCAAGAAGCATTGAACATGAATTAACCTGATGCAAAAAACTAGTGTGCAATTGCCATATATCCAGTACACATTTTTAGAGCTGACCATTCTGTTCCTCTCAAAAAGTTTGTTGTACCTTTTGCGTCCAGAATTGGTGGGTTCTTGGTTTCACTGACTTAAAGAAGGAAGCCGCGGACCCTCCTGGTGACTGTTACAGTTCTGAAAGGCTGCGTATCCGGAGTTTGTTCCTTCTGATGTTTGGATGTGTTCGGAGTTTCTTCCTTCTGGTGGGTTCGTGGTCTCGCTGGCCTCAGGAGTGAAGCTGCAGACTTTTGCAGTACGTGTTACAGCTCATAAAGGCAGTGTGGAGCCAAAGAATGAGCAGCAGCAAAATTTATTGCGAAGAGCAAAAGAACAAAGCTTCCACAGTGTGGAAGTGGACCCAAGCGGGTTGTCAGAGCTGGCGCGGGCAGCCTGCTTTTATTCCCTTATCTGGCCCCACTCACATCTTGCTGATTGGTCCATTTTACAGAGAGCTGATTGGTCTGTTTTACAGAGAGCTGATTGGTCCGTTTTGACAGGGTGCTGATTGGTGTGGTAACAATCCCTGAGCTAGACATAAAGGTTCTCTAAGTCCCCACTAGATTAGCTAGACACAGAGTTGGTGCATTTACAAACCTTAAACTAGACACAGGGTGCTGACTGGTGTGTTTACAAACCTTGAGCTAGACACAGAGTGCTGATTGATGTATTTACAATCCTTTAGCTAGATATAAAGGTTCTCCAAGTCCCAACTAGATTAGCTAGATACAGAGTGCTGATTGGTGCATTTACAAACTTTGAGCTAGACACAGAGTGCTGCTTGGTGTGTTTACAATCCCTTAGCTAGTCATAAAGGTTCTCCAAGTCCCCACTAGACTCAGGAGCCCAGCTGGCTTCACTTAGTGGATCCTGCACCAGGGCCGCAGGCGGACGTGCCCGCCAGTCCCGCGCAGTGCATGCGCACTCCTCAGCCCTTGGGCGGTCGAAGGGACTGGGCGCCACGGAGCAGGGGGCGGTGCCCGTAGGGGAGGCTCTGGCTGCGCAGAAGCCCGCGGCGGGAGGGAGGCTCGGGCACGGCGGGCTGCAGGACCCGAGCCCTGCCCCGCGGGGAGGCAGCTAAGTCCCGGCGAGAATTTGAGCGCAGCGCCGGCGCTCCGGCACTGCTGGGGAAGCCGGCGCACCCTCCACAGGGCCGGCCAGCCGGCCGCTCCGAGTGCGGGCCGCCAAGCCCACGCCCACCCGGAACTCGCGCTGGCCCGCGAGCACCCGCGCGCAGCCCGGGTTCCCTCCCGCGCCTCTCCGTCTACACCTCCCCGCAAGTAGAGGGAGCCGGCTCTGGCTTCCGCCAGCCCAGTGAGGGGCTCCCACAGTGCAGCGGCGGGCTGAAGGCCTCCTCAAGCGTGGGCGGAGTGGGCACCGAGGCCGAGGAGGCACTGAGAGCAAGGGCTGCCAGCACGCTGTCATCTCTCACTTTCATGGGTCTCCATATTTTAAAAAGCTAAAGAAAGGACTTCAATTATGTCTCCAGGTTTGTAAAGCTCTTAAGCATTTATTCTCTCATTGGCTCCTCATAACAGCTCACGAATGTAGCTGGAACTGATTTTTCTTTTTCCATTAGGTTTTGAGGTGGTGGTGGTTGTTCAAAGTCACAGGACTTTGTATTGGTATAAGCAGAAGTTGAAAGCAAATTTATGTATCTTAAGCCAATAAAATGTCCACATCTCAAGTGTGAAAGAAAAATAAAATATCAGGACCCCAGACTCACTATGCCAAAGGGAAAATTAAGCGTAGGAGCTGAATCTGCAAAAACTGCCTTCCTTTTGTTGCTAGATAGCTGTAATTTCACATGTTTACTTTATCTATGTATATTAAATTTTAGATGTTGAGTTTTTCTCTCTTTTCACACGTAAAATGTGGATTCAGTGGGCACTAATCAAAGCGTCACATGAATGTAACACTTGCCTCACCTTCTACTCCACTCTATTCTTTTTTCCCCTCTCCTTTTCCTCCTGCCAGCTGTTTCTCCTTTAAATATTAAAGTCCTCAAAACCCTCTTTTGAAAAACAGGCCACAGATCCTTCAGTAACTTGTATTTATTTTTCCTACTTGTATCCTTAACCTTGGCAAAATAAACCTCTAAATCAATTAAGGTCTGTCTCAGTCAATTCTTGGTTTATGCAAATAACATATCAGATTGGGGAAAGGCGTAAACATTTCTCCACATTAGTCTCAATGAAGGATTCCATTGAATACGTTCTGTGATCATTCTAATAACTTTTGAAGAATCATTCTATTATAATATTATCTGTTCCTAGCCTTTTTTTGTTTATTTGGTTCACTTCCAATTTATGTATTTATATACTTGCCTAACGAGAAGAAATCACTATTTAAAATGAGAAATTTTGAGGAGAGAGGATCATTGTAGAGGAAACCTTAAGGTTTCTACTAGTCTTAATGCTGCCAAGAGAACAGACTTGCCGTTTGTTATGTTTAACTCAAGATCAATTAGGGATTCATCCAATATAAAGTAGACTTAGCAGTACATTTAGAAATAGTAGCCAGAGAGAACTAAAATACGTTAAGTAAATAGAGAAGTAAAATACTCTAAGAAAAATTGTTGGATTATAGGGGCATTTTAAGAAGGATTGAGGAAAGAGAACTAAGAAGAGAGGTGTTTAAAAAATTGGTAGAGGCTGGGGCATGAGCTGGAGAATGGCAGAGGGTGAGCAATCTGTAGTAGTAAAGTCAACACAAGAACTTTAGGAAGATTTTCCTTATAATCAATTTTAACTTTTTTTGTATTACTGTGCTACTTAAATACCTCCTTTTCTGCCCATCTCTCTAAAGCTTCAGTAAAGTCAGTTCTACACTTTTTTTTTCTTCAGGAGAAATCAAGAGAAGAGTCCAAGTTTTAAGTCTGGATCAATACAATATTGGAAAAAGGTAAGAATATGAGTGTCATGGTAAAATTATTCATAAATTAAGCTACTTTTGAAGAAGCAGATAATGGGAGACCTAGATGACCATAAGAACCTAGGCTCCCAGGCTATTTGCAGGAATCTTGAAGAGGTTTGAACTTCCCACTGCTAGGGCATGAGGTTTAGTTCTTGTCTTGATTTTAACAGGTAGGGTGACCCTAGCTGGCTTCTAGATTACTTTAAAAACGTTATTCTCATGATTAGCATAGCTCCTCCATAATCTTATTTGATTCACATTTTATTACCTTTTGGCCAAAAGCTGTGCATTAAAAATTTATCTTTCAAACATAAAAGATTAATTTCTGCAGGGTTATGACATGTTGTACAGTAAAGGTGATAGGGAGAAGTGATTATTTAATAAAGGATGCCATGGACTTGGTCAGAAGCAGATCATGCTAGTATAAACTATTTTTCATACTATTTACTTTGAGTATTTTAGTTCTCCCTGGCTACTATTTCTAAATTTAGAACTCATCATCAATACAGCAAGCAGTTTTGGATTTCTTTTAGAGGTGAAATATATCTGTTAAATTATACATTCTTGCAAACTGACACTAGTACATCTTTTTATATTGATGATTACCCTTCGCATTAAAAAAGCAGAAGTATAAATATGAAAAAGGTGAAACACCTAGGAATGCTGATTAGAAATATAAAATCCATGTGATGATACTATATATAACTACTACAATGAAACATTTACTATATACTGGGTCAGGGTTACAATTTTTAACATGTATCATTTAATTTTTGAAGCTTGGTAGAGAAGAGAATTATTCGTGTTAAATTAATGGAGAAACAAAGGTTTGGAGAGATTAATAACTTGCCAAGGTCACATAGGTAGAAAGTGTTAGAGTTTGGACTTGAACTTAGGTCTATCTCATTCTAAAACTGTATATGCTATCTAGTGAATCCTGGCAAGGATCTAGATGGGACCACTTTAACAAATTCATGTCACTTGGCATATATCAAAGGGTTACTACATGCTGCTAACTTCTATCATTCTGAATAGGCATCTATTGAGAAAACAAAGTAATCACCATCAACTTAGCCTTTGGAAAGCTGCCAATCTTGCCAAAAAATTAACGTTCCCCTTCTTTCTCTCTTATTCCATGGACTCTAAATTACATACTATTCTTTCAAATGTGTATTCCTAGAAATTTGATCAGGTTAGGTAAACCTCTTCACATGTCATGTCTTAAATGCTTTCTAATCTTTGTCTCAGTTTGTTTACCCATGATGTCCTGCTTCTTGTTCTCTAAACTTTTCTTATCAATCAACCAGTAGATACTGAGCGCCTATTTCATGCAAGGCACTGGAGGTGATAAAAAGAGGTATGAAATTTTTGAGGTGGATCCAGAAATTTGAGTGGAAAAAGGAAAAAGTAAAGGAGACAGAAAGGCAGAGGATAGACTGGGAAATGTAGGGAACAATTAAACAATGTTGCCTAACATAAAGTAAGGACTTCACAGATAATATTTTAATGAATGAATGAACGAACAAATAAATGGATAGTCACATGAGTGAGTAGATAAATGAGTGGGTGGATGGAATAAATTGATTTGAAAAAGATGGATTTGGAAAAGGTGATTACAACAAACATATATTACCTGTATGGACTGTGTCCTTTTAAGGGTAATCTGCTAAAAGATTTGGCAATGGTTCTAATCATTTTAAAAGGACACAAAATTACAGATCTTGACTCATGGTCCTCCCTGTTGTTCAGGTTTAAACAAGTCAGAAGACACTTGGGTACTAGGTGGTAGAGTAAACAGGCTCTTCGGTGTTTATCTAAACATTAAAAGTTGTTACCTTGCAGGAAATGTTACAGAGATGATTAGATACAATTTGTTTTCAAATTGATATAGAAAACCTATGTTTTTAACTAAACTCTACCACTATATATACTCCGATATTTAAAAAAATAGTGCTGAATAGAAAGAAGAAAGATGTTTACACAAAACACTCTTGGCACCAGATGAGAGAAAGAGGCAAGGATAGATACACACCTTAGCAAGGAAGAAGCTTATGGCTTTGGAGCTGGAAAACAGAACAAACTGTGTCTTGCTTCTGCTATACCAGCACTTTGCATCTCTATTAGTAACAGAAGATTACCCACTGGGGTGCACTGCCAATCTTCTAGGCCCAACTAACTATGCAGAATTTTTCTTCTTCTTTTTTTCCTTCCCTGCTGTGCCAGTTTTAGCATGAATATTGTCTATAGTCAGATCTATGCAGATTTTTGAAATATGGTTCTTTTTATGTCATTGTCTTTTCTTAGACAATGATTGCTAATTTGAACATTGATTAAATATCATGTGGTATAGTGGAAAGAGATCTTTTATGATCTTGGATAAGTTACTGAGCCTTTTTCTTCATCTATTTTATGAGAGTGATGAGACCTGACTCATAATGACGTTTTAAGCATTACATCAGATAACCCTGGTAAAAACCACTCATTTTCTAGACCTACTGTGACAACTTCCATGATATTCTGTGGTCCTATACAATTATATTAAGTCCTGTATCTTGAGGCTGGGTCTATCAGATAGATTTGCCTACTATTTCATTGTATAGCTGGAGACAGCAAATCACTTACCAGAATGTTTTTATTTTATTTTTTCTTTTTAATTTTATTGTGATAAGAACATATGACATGAGATCTACCCTCAACAAATTTTTAAATGTACAATACAGTATCAGTGACTATAGTTATGTTGTTGTACATCTTTTGATCTTTAGAATGTATTCATCTTGCCTAACTGAAACTTCATGCCTGTTGATTAGTAACTCGCCATTTCCCCCTGCCCCTAGTCCCTGGAAACCACTATTCCACAGTTTGATTTTATGAATGTGACTATTTTAGATACCTCATATAAGTGAGATCATGCAGTATTTGTCTTTCTGTGACTGGCCTATTTCACTTGTCATAATGTCCTCAAGGCTCATTCATCTTGTCACATTTTAGAATTTCTTTTAAAAGAATCTGAATAGTATTTCATGTGTGTATACACCACATTTTCTTTATCCATTCATATTCCAATGGACAATTGAGCTTGTTTCCACAATTGATTTTTGTGAACAGTGCTGCAATGAACATAGGAGTACTAATATCTCTTCAAGATCTTGATTTCAGTTCTTTTGGAAAAGTACCAAAAAGTGGAATTGCTGCATCACATGGCAGTTCTATTTTTAATTTTTGGAGAAAACCCCATGCTATTTTCTATAGCAGCTGTACCATTTTGCATTCCTACCAACAGTGTACAAGGGTTCTAATTTCCCCACTTCCTTACTAATACTTCACGTCTTTTTGAAAAAATAATAGTCATCCCGACAGGTGTGAGATGGCTTTGATTTGCATTTCTCTGATGATTAGTGATGTTGAATATTTTTTTCATATACTTGTGGGCCACTTGTATGTCTTCTTTGGAGAAATGTCTGTTCAAGTCCTTAGCCCATTTTTAAGTCGGGTTATTATTTTTTTACTACTAAATTGTAAGGGTTCCTTATATATTTTGGAGTTTAACCCTTTATTAGGTGTGTCTTAGGCTATTCTTGCATTGCCATAAAGAAGTACCTGAGACTGGGTAATTTATAAAGAAAAGAGACTTAATTGACTCATGCGTGGTTCTGAAGGCTTAACACGAAGCATAGTGCTGGCATCTGTTTGGTTTCTGGTGAAGCCTCAGGGAGATTTCAATCATGATAGAAGGTGAAGGGGGTGCAGGCACATTACAAACCAAAAGCAGGAACAAGTGAGAGAGTGTGGACTTTAAAAAAAAAAAAACATCTCACAAGAACTCACTCACTCATTACTAAGGGGATGGGCACTACGCCATTCATAAGGGAAATACTGGCATGATCCAGACACCTCCCACCAGGTCCTACCTGTAATACTGGGGATAACATTTCAACATGAGATTTGGTAGGGACACAGATCCAAGCTGTATTAAGGTATATGGTTTACAAATATTTTCTCCCATTATACTTAAGTTGCCTTTTCACTCTGTTGATTGTTTTCTTTGTTGTGCAGCAGCTTTTTAGTTTGATGTAGTCCCATTTCTTTATTTTTGGTTCTGTTGCCTGTGCATTTGATGACATATTCATGAAATCATTGCCAAGAACAATGTGTCATAAAGCTTTCTCCCTATATTTTTTTCTAGGAGTCTTAGAGTTCCAGGTCTTAATATTTGTTTTTAATCAATTTTCAGTTGATTTTTTGCATAGGGTGTAAGATAAAGGTCCAATTTCATATTTTGCAAGTATATATTGTCTTCCCAAAACCATTTGTTGAAGAAACTGTTTTTTCCCCATTGTGTATTCTTGGTACCCTTTTTGAAGATCAGTACTGTGTATGTGTGAATTTATTTCTCAGCTCTCAATTCTGTTCCATTGGTCTATATGTCTGTCTTTATGCCAGTACCATACTTTTAAAATCACTGTAGTTTTGTAATATATTTTGAAATCAGAAAGTGCAAGGCCTTAACATTTGTTTTTTTTCCTTGGGATTGCTTTGGATATTTGTGATCTTTTATGGTTCTATTTGAATCAATTGTTTTTTTATATATCTGTAAAAATGTTAATGGGATTTTGATAGAAATTGCATTGAATTTGTAGATTGTTTTGGGTAATATAGGCATTTTTAACAGTATTAAATCTTCAAGTCCATGAACACGAGATGTCTTTCCATTTGTGTCTTGTAGTTTTCAGTGTAAAAGTATTTCACTCTCTTAGTTAAGTTTATCCCTAATTATTTTATTCTTTTGGGTGCTATTACAAATGGAATTGTTTCTTAATTTTTTTTAGATAGTTTCTTGTTAGTGTATAAAAATACAGGCTGGGTGCGGTGGCTCATGCCTGTAATCCCAGCACTTTGGGAGGCTGAGGCAGGCGGATCATGAGGTCAGGAGATGGAGACCATCCTAGCTAATACCGTGAAACCACGTCTCTACTAAAAATACAAAAAATTAGCCTGGCGTGGTGGCGCACGTCTGTAGTCCCAGCTCAGGACGCTGAGGCAGGAGAATCGCTTGAATCCGGGAGGTGTAGGTTGCAGTGAGCCGAGATCGCGCTACTGCACTCCAGCCCGGGTGACGGAGTGAGACTCGGTCTCAAAAAAACAAACAAACAAAAAAACAAAAAACAACTGATTTTCGTCTGTTAATTTTATATCCTGCAATTTTACAAATTCATTTATGTTTTAGTAGTTTGTTTTTGAGTTTTTACAGTTATGCCATCTGCAAACAGCAACAGTCTTACTTCTTCCTTTCTCATTTGTATGCCTTTTATTTCTTTTTAATACCTAATTATTCCTGCCAAAATTCCAAATACTGTGTTTCACAAAAGTGGAAAGAGTGGGCATCCTTACTTTGTTCCTGATCTTAGAGGAACAGTTTTCAATTTTTTCGCCATTAAATATGATGTTAGCTGCTTTTCACATATGGAATTTATTATTTTAAGATAATTCCTTCTATTTCTATTTTATTGAGAGTTTTTATTATGAAAGTGTCAGATTTTGTCAAGTGCTTTCTCCACATCTATGGAGATAATCACGTAATTTTTATCGTTTTTTCTGTTAATGTGGCATATCACATTTATAGATTTGCGTATGTTGAAATGTCCTTGCATACCAGAGATAAATCCCACTTGGTCATACTGTATGATCATTTTAATGTAGTGTTGAATATATTTTTATTTGGTTTGTTAGTGTTTTGTCAAGGACTTTTTCTTCTATATTCCTCAAGGACATTGGCATGTAGCTTTCTTTTGTTATAGCATCTTTGTGTGTTTTATGCTGGCCTCATAAAAACTTTGGAAGTGTTCCTTCCTCTCCAGTTTTTTGGGAAGAATTTGAAAAGAATTGGCATTATAGCTTCTTTAAATGTTTGGTAGAAATTATCAGTGAAGTTATCCAATATCAAGCTTTTCCTTATGGAGAATATTTTATTACTGAGCCAATTTTCATACTTCTTTATAAATTTTTTTTTATTTCCATAGGTTATTGGGGAACAGTTGGTATTTGGTTACATAAGTTCTCAGTGGTGATTTGTGAGACTTTGGTGTACCCATCACCTGAGCAGTATACACTGCACCCTATTTGTAGTCTTTTATCCTTCACCACCTTCTCATCCTTTCCCTCTGAGTCCCCAAAGTCCATTGTATCATTCTTATGCCTTTGCATCGTTATAGCTTAGCTCCCACTTATGAGTGAGAACATAGGATGTTTGGTTTTCCATTCATGAGTAATAATAGTCTCCAATCTCATCCAGGTTGCTGTGAATGCCATTAATTCATTCCTTCTTATGGCTGCGTAGTATTCCATCATATATATATATATTTTTTATATATATAAAATATATATATCACATGTATATATCACAATTTCTTTATCCATTCGTTGATTGATGGGTATATCGGTTGGTTCCACGTTTTTGCAGTTGTGAATTGTGCTGCTATAAACGTGTGTGCACGTATGTTTTTTGTACAATTACTTCTTTTCCTCTGGGTAGATACTCGGTAGTGGGATTGGTGGATCAAATGGTAGTTCTACTTTTGGTTCTTTAAGAAATCTCTATACTATTTTACATAGTGGTTTTTCTAGTTTACATTTCCACCAGCAGTGTAGAAGTGTTCCCTGTTCACTGCATCCACACCAACATCTACTATTTTTTTTTTATTATGGCCATTCTTGCAGGAGTAAGGTGGTATCACATTGTGGTTTTGAGTTGCATTTCCTTGATCATTACTGATGTTGAGCATTTTTTCATATGTTTGTTGGCCATTTGTATATCTTCTTTTGAGAATTGTCTATTCATGTCCTTAGCCCACTTTTTGATGGGATTGTTTGTTTTTTTCTTGCTAATTTGTTTGAGTTTGTTGTAGATTCTGGATATAATCCTTTGTCGGATGTTTAGATTGTGAAGATTTTCTCCCACCGTGTGGGTTGTTTGTTTACTCTGCTGACTGTTCCTTTAGCCATGCAAAACCTCTTTAGTTTAGTTAAGTCCCATCTGTCCATTTTTGTTTTTATTGCATTTGTTTTTGGGTTCTTGGTCATGAAATCCTTGCCTAGGCCAATGTCTAGAAGGTTTTTTTTTCAACGTTATCTTCTAGAATTTTTGTAGTTTCGGGTCTTAGATTCAAGTTCTTAGTCCACCTTGAGTTGATTTTTGTATAAGGTGATAGAGGAGGATTCAGTTTCATTCTTCTGCATGTGGCTAGCAAATTATCCCAGCACCATTTGTTGAATAGGGTGTCCTTTCCCCACTTTATGTTTTTGTTTGCTTTGTCAAAGAGCAGTTGGCTGTAAGTAGTTGGGTTTATTTTTAAGTTCTCTATTCTGTTCCATTGGTCTATGTGCCTATTTTCTAGGTAAACAATCATATCATCTATCATATTATCAGCAAACAGTGACAGTTTGACTTCCTCTTTACCAATTTGGATGCCCTTGATTTCTTTCTTTCCAGTACCATGCTGTTTTGGTGACTATGGCCTTATAGTATAGTTTGAAATCAGGGAATGGGTTGCCTCCAGATTTGTTCTTTTTGCTTAGTCTTGCTTTGGCTATGTGGGCTCTTTTTGGTTCCATATGAATTTTAGAATTGTTTTTTTCTAATTCTGTGAAGAATGATTTTTTTTTTTTTTTGACAGTCTTGCTCTGTCTCCCAGGCTGGAATGCAGTGGCATGATCTTGGTTCACTGCAACCTCTGCCTCCTGGGTTCAAGGGATTCTCCTGCCTCAGCCTCCCAAGTAGCTGGGACTAAAGGCACGTGCCACCATGCCTTACTAATTTTTATATTTTTAGTAAAGATGGGGTTTCGCCATGTTGGCCAGGCTGGTCTCGATCTCCTGACCTCAAGTGATCCACGCACCTCAGCCTCCCAAAGTGCTGGGATTACAGGCCTGAGCCACCATGCCCAGCCTGATGTTGATATTTTTATGGGAATTGAATTGTAGATTGCTTTTAGCAGTGTGGTCATTTTCACAATATTGATTCTACCCATCCATGAGCATGGGATGTGTTTCCATTTGTTTGTGTTGCCTATGATTTCTTTTAGTAGTGTTTTGTAGTTTTACTTGTAGAAGTCTTTCACCTCCTTGGTTAGGTATATTGCTAAGTATTTTACTTTTTTTTGCAGCTATTGTAAAAGGCCTTGATATCTTGATTCGATTCTCCACTTGGTCGCTGTTGGTGTATAGAAGAGCTACATGATTTACGTGCATTAATTTTTTATCTGGAAACGTTGCTGAATTCTTTCATCAGTTCTAGGAGCTTTCTGAAGGAATCTTAAGGATTTTCTAGGTAAATAATTATATCATCAGCAAACAGTGACAGTTTGACTTCCTCTTTACCAATTTGGATGCCCTTAATTTCTTTCTCTCCTCTGATAGCTCTGGCTAGGCCTTCTAGTACTATGTTGAACAAAAGCGATGAGAGTGGGCATCTTTGTCTTGTTCCGTTCTCAGAGGGAATACTTTTAAACTTTTCCCCATTCAGTATTATATTCACTGTGAGTTTGTCATAGATGACTTTTAATTATATTGAGTTATGTCTCTTGTTTGCCGATTTTGCTGAGAGTTTTTATCATAAAGGGATGCTGGATTTTGTCTGATGCTTTTTCTGCATGTATTGAGATTGTCATGTGATTTTTGTTTTTAATTCTGTTTATGTGGTGTTTCACATTTATTGACTTGCATATGTTAAACCATCCCTGCATCTCTTCTATGAAACCCACTTGATCATAGTGAATTAATTTTTTGATACGTTGTTGGATTTGGTTAGCTAGTATTTTGTTAAGGACTTTAGCGCCTATGTTAATCAGGGATATTGGTCTGTAGTTTTCGTTTTTGGTTATGTCTTTTCCTGGTTTCGGTATTAGGGTGATACTGGCTTCACAGAATGATTTAGGGAGGGTTCCGTTTTCCCCATCTTGTGGAATAGTGTCAATAGAATTGGTACCAATTCTTTGAATGTCTGGAAGAATTCTGCTGTGAATCTGTCTGGTCCTGGCCTTTTTTTTTTTTTTTTTTTGTAATTTTTAAATTACCATTTCAACCTCGCTGCTTGTTATTGCTCTGTTCAGGGTATCTAATTCTTCCTAATTTAAGCTAGGAGGGTTGTATCTTTCCAGGAATGTATCCATGTCTTCTAGGTTTTATAGTTTATGCATGTAAAGGTGTTCATAGTAGCCTTAAATGGTCTTTTGTATTTCAGTGGTGTCAGTTGTAATATCTCCCGTTTCACTATTTATCGAGCTTATTTGAATTTTCTCTCTTCTTGGTTAATCCTGCTAATGGTCTGTCAATTTTAGTTATCTTTTCAAAGGACCAGCTTTTTGTTTAATTTATCTTTTGTATTTTTTTTGGTTTCAATTTCATTTAGTTCTGCTCTGATCTTGGTAATTTCTTTTCTTCTATTGGGTTTGGGTTTGGTTTGTTCTTGTTTCTCTAGTTCCTTGAGGTGTGACCTTAGAATGTCAGTTTGGGCTCTTTCAGTCTTTTTGATGGAGGTGCTTAGGGCTATGAACTTTCCTCTTGGCACCACCTTTGCTGTATCTGAAAGGTTTTGACAGGTTGTGTCATTATTGTCATTCAGTTTGAAGAATTTTTAAATTTTCTTCTTGATTTTGTTTTTGACCCAATGCTCATTCAGGAGCAGATTATTTAATTGCCGTATATTTGCATGGTTCTGAAGTTTCCTTTTGGAGTTGATTTCCAGCTTTATTCCACTGTGGTCTGAGAGACTGCTTGATTTAATTTCAATTTTTAAAAATTTATTGAGGCTCGTTTTATGGCCTATCATATGGTCTATCTTGGAGAAAGTTCCATGTGCTGTTGAATAGAATGTGTTTTCTGTGGTTGTTGGATGAAATGTTCTGTATACATCTGTTAAGTCCATTTGTTCCAAGGTATAGTTTAAATCCACTCTTTCTTTGTTGACTTTCTGTCTTGATGACCTGTCTAGTGCTGTCAGTGGAGTACTGAAGTTCTTCACTATTATTGTGTTGCTGTCTACCTCATTTCTTAGGTCTATTTGTAATTGTTTAATAAATTTGGGAGCTCCAGTGTTAGGTGCATATATGTTTAGCATTGTGGTATTTTCCTGTTGGACAAGGCCTTTTACCATTGTATAATGTCCCTCTTTGTCTCTTTTAACTGCTGTTGCTTTGAAATTTTTTTGTCTGATGTAGGAATAGCTACTCCTGCTCACTTTTGGTGTCTGTTTGCATGAAATGCCTTTTTCCACCCCTTTAAGTTTATGTGAGTCCTTATGTGTTAGGTGAGTCTCCTGAAGGCAGCAGATAGTTGGTTGGTGAGTTCTTATCCATTCTGTGGTTCTGTATCTCTTAAGTGGAGCATTTAGGGCATTTACATTCAATGTTAGTATTGAAATGTGAGGTACCATTGCATTCATTGTGCTCTTTGTTGCCTGTGTACTTTGTTTTTTTGTTTGTTTTTGCTTTTTATCATGTATTATAGGTCCTGTGTGATTTATGCTTTAGAGAGTTTTGAATGTGTTTTGTGCTTTAAAGAGTTTTGACGTGTTTACAGGATTTGTTTCAAGATTTAGGGCTCCTTTTAGCAGTTTTTGTAGTGATGGCTTGGTAGTGGCAAATTCTCTCGGCATTTCTTTGTCTGAAAAAGACTGTATCTTTTGTTTATAGATGAAGCTTGGTTTTGCTGGATACAAAATTCTTGGCTGACAATTGTTTTGTTTGAGAAGGCTGAAGATCTGGCCCCCCAATCCATTCTAGCTTGTAGGGTTTCTGCTGAGAAATCTGCTGTGAATCTGATAGGTTTTCCTTTATAGGTTACTTGTTGCTTTTGTCTCACAGCTCTTAAGATTCTTTCATTTGTCTTAACTTTAGATAACCTGATGACAATATGCCTAGGTGATGGTCTTTTTATGACAGATTTTCAAGTGTTCTTTGTACTTCTTGTATTTGGATGTCTCGGTCTCTAGCAAGGCCAGGGAATTTTACCTTGATTATTACTCCATATATGTTTTCCAAACTTTTATATTTCTCTTCTTCCCCAGGAACACTGATCATTCTTAGGTTTGGTCATTGAACATAATCCCAGACTTCTTGGAGGCTTTGTTCATATTTTTAAAATTCTTTTGTCTTTGTCTTTGTTGGATTGGGTTAATTGAAGACCTTGTCTTCAAGCTCTAAATTTCTTTCTTCTTGTTCAGTTCTATTGCTGAGACTTTCCAGATAATTTTGCATTTCTATAAGTGTGTCCATTTTTCCTAAAGTTTTGATTACTTTTTATTCATGCTATCTATTTTCTTGAATGTTTCTGCCTTCACTACTTGTATTGTTTTTTGGATTTCCTTACATTGGGCTTCACCTTTCTCTGGTGCCTCCCTGATTAGCTTAATAAGTAACCTTCTGAATTCTTTTGCAAGTAAATCAGGGATTTCCTTTTGGTTTGGGTCCATTGCTGGTGAGCTAGTGTAATTTTTGGGGAGTGTTAAAGAATCTTGTTTTGTCATATTACCAGAGTAAGTTTTCTGTTTCCTTCTCATTTGGGTAGGCTCTGTCAGAGGGAAGATCTGGGGCTGAACAGGGTCTAGGGCTAGAACCTGTTCAGATTCCTTTGTCCCGTGGGGTGTTCCTTTGATGTAGTACTCTTCCCCTTTTCCTATGGATGTGGCTTCCTGAGGGCCGAGCTGTAGTGATTGTTATCTCTCTCTGGATCTAGCCACCCAGCAAGTCTGTCAGGCTCTGGGCTGGTACTGGGGGTTGTCTGCACAGAGTTCTGTGATGTGAACCATCTGTGGGTCTCTCAGCCGTGGATATCAGCTCCTGTTCTGGTAGAGGTGGCAGGGGGTGAAATGGACTCTGTGAAGGTTATTAGTGTTGGTGATTTAATGCACTATTTTTGTGCTGTTTGGCTTCCTACCAGTAGGTGGTGCTTTCCAGGGTGCATCAGCTGTGGTACTATGGGGAGGAACAGGCGATGGGCAGGGACCTAGAACTCCCAAGAGTATATGCCCTTTGTGTTCAGTTACCAGGGTGAGTAGGTAAGAAACATTGGGTGGGGGCAGGGTTAGGTGTGTCTGAGCTCACACTCTCCTTGGGTGGGTCTTGCTGCAGCTGCTATGGGGGTTGGGGGTGAGGTTCCCAGGTCAACAGGGTTACATTCTTAGGAGGATTATGATGTTCTTTACTGTGTCATGCAGGTTGACAGGGAAGTGGGGGAAAGCCGGCAGTCCCAGGCCTCACCCAGCTCCCACACAATCTGAAGGGCCGGTCTCACTCCCACCATGACCTCCACCCAACAGCACTGAGTCTGTTTCCACGTAGTGGGTGAGCAGGTCTGAGAACTTGCCCCAGGCTACCCACCTCCCAGCTGTGAAAGCAAATATGGCTTTTTTTTCTTCTCCCACCTGTGGAGTCTGCACACCAGATTCATGCCCTCCCTCGAGTTCTGGCTAGGAGGCTTCTCAGTCACTTCAAATTGTTACAAAGTTCAGCTGGAGATTTCCTTCTCCCTGTAGCCTTTCCCAATGCCTCTGTCTGCCCTCCCAAAAGACCTCTGTGAGGCCAGGCAAAAACGGCTTGTTAGGGGACCCAGTGAGCTCCCAGTGCTTTTCCTGCTGCTTCTCCTAACACTGTATGTTTCTTGGCTCTCTAAACTCACTCAGCTCCAGGTAAGGTCAAAATCGTCTTCTGTAATCTAGGCCTTCAGTTTCCCCAGTGGGAGTGTGTGTTTGGGGGTGGACAATTTCCCTTTCCCAGTTTCATAGTTTGGGTACTCAGAGTATTTGAGGTGTCTCCTGGGTCCTGAAGGAGCAATCCGCTTTCTTCAGGGGGTCTGTGGGTCCCTTCAAGTTTCTTGATTTATTACTGCAGTCGTTCTGGAGCAAAAATTTATGATGCAAGACTCCACATGCTGCTCTATCCGTCCGAGTTGGAGCTGCAATCTAGTCCTGCCTCCTGTCTGCCATGATCCCCTGATATTTCCAATCTACGTAGTTCTTATAGCTCTGCTTAAAATTTCCATTTCTTCAATACCATTTGATCCAGCAATCCCATTTCTGGGTATATACCCCAAGGATTATAAATCATGCTACTATAAAGACACATGCACATAAATGTTTATTGTGGCACTATTCACAGTAGCAAAGACTTGGAACCAACCCAAATGTCCATCAATAATAGACTGGATAAAGAAAATGTGGCACATATACACCATGGAATACTATGCAGCCATAAAAAAGGATGAGTTTGTGTCCTTTGCAGAGACAAGGATGAAGCTGGAAACCATCATTCTCAGCAAAATATCACAAGAACAGAAAACCAAACACCACATGTTCTCACTCATAAGTGGGAGTTGAACAATGAGAACACATGGACACAGGGAGGGGGACATCACTCACTGGGGCTTGTTGGGGAGTGGGGGGATGGGGGAGGGATAGCATTAGGAGAAATACCTAATGTAAATGACGAGTTGACAGGTACAGCAAACCAACATGTAAACCTATGTAAAAAACCTGCAAGTTGTGCACATGTACCCTAGAACTTAAAGTATAATAATTAAAAGAAAACCTTTCTTCTATTTCTTCATGATTTAGTCTTGGTAGAGCATAGTTTTTAGAAATTTATTCATTTATTCTAGATAATTAATTTGTTGTTGTATGATTATTTCTAGTAGCCTCTTATGATGTTTTATTTGTGTGCACTAGTTGTAATGTCTCCCCTTTATTAATTTTATTTATTTTTGTCTTTTCTCTTTCTCCTGGTTAGCCTACCTAAGAATTATCCATTTATTTTCTCTTTTCAAAAAACAAACTCTTAATTTTGTTCATCTTTTTTTTAATCTCTGTTCTATTTCATTTATTTCTGCTCTAATCTTTGGTAATTCTTTCCTTCTGCTAACTTTGGGCTCCCATTTCTTGAGATGTAAAGTTAGTTTGGTTTTTTATTTGAGATCTTCTTTTTTTAAAAAATGTAGGTGTTTAATATGAGCTTCCCTGTTTGTACTATTTTGCTGCATCCCATAACTTGTGCTATGTTGTGTTTTCTTTTTCATTTGTCTTGAGGTATTTTCTAATCAAATTTTTTTTCCTTTGATTCAACGGTTGTCCAAGAGTGTGTTGTTGGCCAGGTGCCGTGGCTCATGTCTGTAATGTCAACTACTTGGAAGGCTGAGAATCACTTGAACCCAGGAGGCAAAGGTTGCAGTGAACTGAGATTGTGCCACTGCACTCCAGCATGGGTGACAGAGAGAGACTCTGTCTCAAAAAAGAAAAAAAAAAAAAAGAGTGTGTTGTTTAATTTATGCATATTTGTGAATTTCATTTTCTTTCTCTTACTGATTTCTGTTTTTATTCCATTATGCTCAGAAATGATACTTGGTATGACTTCAGTCTTTTTAGATTTGTTAAGACTTGTTTTGGGAGTTAACGTGATTTATCCTGGAGAAAGATTCCTGTGTGCTTGAGAAGAATGTGCATTCTGCTGCTGCTGGGTGGAGGGTTTTACATATGTCTGAATTTTAGGTCTGTTTAGTCTACGGTGTTATTTAGGTCCTCTATTTCCTTTTTAATCTTCTGTCTAAATGTTCTTTCTATTGTCAAAAGTGGGATACTGAAGTATCTTACTATTATCATATTTTTTTTATTTCTCCATTCATATATGCCAATGCTTATATATTTAGGTACTCTAATATTAAATGCTTATATAATTATACTTTTTGTATCTTCTTGGTGGAACAACACTTTTATCATTATAAAATGTTCTTTTTGTCCTTTGTGACAGTTTTTGACTTAAAGTCTATTTTGTGTGACATAAGTATAGCCATCTCTACTTTTCTTTCATTACCATTTGCACAGAATATCTTTTTCTATCCCTTCACTTTTAGCCTATGTGTATCCTTAAGTCTAAAGTGAATTTCTAATAGATGGTATATAGTTGGGTCTTGTTTTTTAATTCATTTAGATTCCCTGTATGTTTCAACTGGGTTTTTAAAAATACATTTACATTTAAAGTAATTATTGACAGTGAAGGATTTACTATTGCCATTTTGTTAGTTGTTCTTGGTTAGTCTTGTGGTTGTTTTGTTTTTCTTTTCCTCTTTTGCTGTATTCTTTTGTGTTTTATTGAATTTTCTTGTGTGTGTACTTACCTTGGGGCTCATATAAAACACTTTACAATTCTAACAGTCTATTTTAAGTTAATAACAACTTAAGTTCAATTGCACACAAAGACTCTACATTTTGACCACTCCCTGTCCCCACACTTTATGTTGTTATTGTCATAATTTATATCTGTTCATATTGTGTATCCTTTAATAATTTTTCAGTTATAATTATTTTTAATAATTTTGTCTTTTAATTTTTATTCTAAAATTAAAAATGATTTAGCCCCCACATTACACAAATACATTATTCTGTATTTGCCTATATATTTACCTTAACAATGAGTTTCATATATTATTCTGTGCTGTTTAGCATTCTCTTGCTTCAACTTGAAAAACTCCATTAAGCACTTCTTGTAAGGCAGGCCTGGTGATGATGAAGTCCCTCACTTTTATTTGTCTGGGAAATCCTTTATCTTGCCTTCATTTCTGAGGGAGCATTTTGCTGGTTATAGTATATTGCTCTCATGCCTCTCTAGCAACATTTTGGTGTAATTATTGTGTCCTTTATTTTCATGATTTCTGTTTGGTACTTTTAAATATTTTCTGACTTTGTTAAAGTTTTACCTTGTTTATGCTTTGTTTTCTTGACCTTGTTGAACATCTTCATGAGAGTTATTTTTAATTCTCCACCAGGTAAATCATATGACTCTGTTTCATTAAGGTCAGTTTTTGATTTATCTTGTTCCTTTGTTTGGTCTGTCTTTGCCTAATTTTTCATTTTCCTTGACTCTCTATGTTGGTGACTACACGTTAGACAATGCAGGCACCTCTCCATGTCCTCAGGGACTGGCCTCATACAGGAGGAAACCTCCACTAATCAGCCCATTCAGAGATTCTGGGGATCTTTGCCAAAACTTTTGCTCTCTAGAGAGAAGTAGACATCTGTGGTTGTTCACTTTCTTTGTGCTGAGATGAAGTTGGCAGGTGGCTGGGACTGGGGGGTTATGGCATCTATAGTTGCTGACATCCAAGATGCTGCCTCGGTTCTCCCTAAGTTAGATAGAATGTGACAGGCCTGCTAGAGATCAGAATTAGTGAGCTAGATGTTAATTCTTGTCTACTTGCTCAGTGTTAAGAAGGTGAGAGGATTAATAGCATCTCCTAGGCCAAACGGTTACCTCCAGTCTCCCTCATGTGACTAGACTGTGGCAGAACAATCAGGGCTTCAAGACAGGTAAGACAGAAGCCAGTCTGCTTGGGAGTCTCCTTGCAAAGTTGCAAACCAACTTTGCAATCCAGAAGGGTTGGATGCACAAAGCAAGCCCTTCCCTCTCGTGGGTAAAACTGGGAGCTTGGGAGTCTCCTTCTCATTATATGGCACTGCACTGGGGGCATGGTCTCTGGCAGTTTCAGTGTCCCAATCTCTCTACTGACTTCAGTGAGTCTGGTTTCATATTCTTCTGGGATGCAGGAGCCTCTCAATTAGTTTCTGATGTATTACAAAGGAAATATGCCTATGAGTTGTGTCTGAATCAGTATGTGAGGGGAAGAAGTGTCCAGGGCTTTCCATTTCACCATCTTGCTGACATCATTTCTCCCCAAAACTTTCTTTGCTTTTAGGATATGTAGTGTTTCGTCTTAGATATGTAATTGTAAGGACAATAGGTCCTTTCTGTAGCAGGTCACAGGCTGAAGAAGGTCACAAGTGCTAGGGTCATGGAGCCTTTGTAAGCAAAATTTCAAGGTCAAGACAATTTTTTTTAATAGAAATAAACTAATAGATTAAGAGGTTCTTTACTTGAAGATTTTCACTGGAATAAAATACACAATGAGAAAAGGGAATCTGCAATCATCACCCAATTTTAGTGCTAAGACTTTTGAGGGTTTAAGATTGGTATATGGTTGGCCAGGTGTTACAATGAAGTTAGCGTTTGGCTCAAAGTTTAAGAGATTATCCTTTATCATACTGGGAGATGAGAATGAGACAGCCAGAGTCTTCCTGTACTTTCTGTAATCTCAAAAAATTTAAGGGTGGGACAGACATAAAAAATAAGCAAAATGATTTTCTGACAATGTGACGTGAAGCCCAAATACTTTACATGTATATAAAAAAGGGATAATTTTCCCAAAAAAGTCAAGTCTGAATCTGATCAAGCCTCTAGATCCACAGGAAATATAGAAATTAGTATAAATTTATAGGAAACATAGAGGCATAGGAATATGTTACATGACAATGCAGGATTATAATCAGAAAAATGTCAATAATGAGAAACTCTATGATATGGTTTGGCTGAGTCCCCACCCAAATTTCACCTTGAATTGTAATAATCCTGATGTGTCAATGGCAGGGACAGGTAGAGATAATTGAATCATAGGGGTGGTTTCCCCCATACTGTTCTCATGGTAGTGAATAAGTCTTACAAGATCTGATGGTTTTATAAATGGGAGTTCCCCTGCACATGCTGTCTTGCCTGCCACCATGTAAGATGTGACATTGCTCCTCATTTGCCTTCTGCCATGATTGTGAGGCCTCCCCAGCCATGTGGAACTGTGAGTCAATTAAACCTCTTTCATTTGTAAATTACCCAGCCTTAGGTATATCTTTATTAGTAGCATGAAAACAGATTAATGCATTCTACAAGATGAACAACCTGGTTTCCACAATAAATAAATTGAAATGAGAATCAGAGAGAAAGAAAAGATGAAAAGAGACTGTAAAGGGACATAGTAATCTATTGTTGGCCTATTGTAACATATGAACCTTTTGGATCCTGATTTGAACACAACCTGAAAAATGGATAGAATGGGGGAAGAGTGAAGAGAGTCTGAATAGTTATTAGATGTTTAATTATATTAAGAAATTAGGGATTTTCAGCAAGATGGCTGAATAGGAAGAGCTCTGGTCTGCAGCTCCCAGTGAGATCGACTCAGAAGACAGGTGATATCTGCATTTCCAACCTGGTTGTCTCACTGGGACTGGTTGGACAGTGGATGCAGCCCCTGGAGGGCAAGCCGAAGCACAATGGGGTGTTGCTTCACCGGGGAAGCACAAGGGGTTGAGGGATTTCCCTTTCCTAGCCAAGGGAAGTCATGAGAGACTGTACTGGGAGGAACAGTACACTCCTGCCCAGATACTCCCACGGTCTTCACAACTGGCAGACCAGGAGATTCCTTCCAGTGCCTGGCTCAGCAGGTCCCATGCCCAGGGATCCCAGCAAGCTAAGATCCATTGGCTTGAAATTCTCGCTGCTAGCGCAGCAGTCTGAGATCGAACTGGGATGCTGGAGCTGGGCGGGGGGAGGGGCATCTACCATTGCTGAGGCTTGAGTAGGCAGTTTTATGCTCACAGTGTAAAGAAAGCCACAGAGAATTTTGAACTGGGCAGAGCCCACTGCAGCTCAGCAAGGTCGACTGCCTCCCTAGATTCCACCTCTGTGGGCAGGGCATCTGCCCCAGTCAGGGACTTACAGATAAATCCCCCATCTCCCTGGGACAGAGCACCTGGGGGAAGGGGCTGCTGTGGGCACAGCTTCAGCAGACTTAAATGTCCCTGCCTGGCAGCTCTGAAGAGAGCAGTGGTTCTCCCAGCACAGCGTTTGGGCTCTGATAATGGACAGACTACCTCCTCAAGTGGGTCCCTGACATGCGTGTAGCCTGACTGGGAGACAACTCCCAGTGGGGGTCAACAGACACCTCATACAGGAGAGCTCTGGCTGGCATCTGGAGGGTGCCTCTCTGGGATGAAGCTTTCAGAGGAAGGATCAGGCAGCAATATTTGCTATTCTGCAGCCTCCTCTGGTGATACCCAGGCAAACAGGGTCTGGAGTGGACCTCCAGCAAACTCCCAACAGACCTGCAGCTGAGGGGCCTGACTGCTAGAAGGAATACTAACAAACAGAAAGGAATAGCATCAACATCAGGAGAAAGGATGTCCACACCAAAACCCCATCTGTAGGTCACCAACATGAAAGACCAAAGGTAGATAAAACCACAAAGATGGGGAGAAACCAGCACAGAAACGCTGAACATTCCCAAAACCAGAATGCCTCTTCACTCCCAAAGAATCACAACTCCTTGCCAGCAAGGGAATAAAACTGGATGGAGAATAACTTTGATGAATTGACAGAAGTAGGCTTCAGAGAGTGGGTAATAACCAACTCCTCAGAGCTAAAGGAACATGTTCTAACCTAACACAAGGAAGCTAAGAACCTTGAAAAAAGGTTAGACGAGTTGCTAACTAGAATAACCACTGTAGAGAATAACATAAATGACCTGATGGAGCTGAAAAACTCAGCACGAGAACTTCGTGAAGCATACATAAGCTTCAATAGCCAAATCAATCAAGTGGAAGAAAGGATATCAGAGATTGAAGATCAAATTAAAGAAATAACATGAGAGGACATGATTAGAGAAAAAAGAGTGAAAAGAAACAAAAAAAGCCTCCAAGAAATATGGGACTATGTGAAAAGACCAAATCTACGTTTGATTGGTGTACTTGAAAGTGACTGGGAGAATGGAACCAAGTTGGAAAGCACTCTTCAGGATATTATGCTGAAGAACTTTCCCAACCTAGCAAGGCAGGCCAACATTCAAATTCAGGAAATACAGAGAACATCACAAAGATACTCCTCGAGAAGGGCAACCCCAAGACACATAATTGTCAGATTCACCAAGGTTGAAATAAAGGAAGAAATATTAAGGGCAGCCAGAGAGAAAGGTCGTGTTACCCACAAAGGGAAGCCCATCAGACTAACAGCAGATCTCTCTGCAGAAACCCTACAAGCCAGAAGAGAGTGGGGGCCAATATTCAACATTCTTAAAGAAGAGAATTTTCTACTGAGAATCTCATATCCAGCCAAACTAAGCTTCATAAGTGAAGGATAAATAAAATCCTTTACAGAGAAGCAAATGCTGAGAGATTTTGTCACCACCAGGCCTGCCTTACAAGAAGAGCTCCTGAAGGAAGCACTAAACATTGACAGGAACAACTGGTACCAGCCACTGCAGAAACATGCCAAATTATAAAGACCATTTATGCTATGAAGAAACTGCATCAACTAACTGGCAAAATAACCAGCTAGGATCATAATAACAGGATCAAATTCATACATAACAATATTAACCTTAAATGTAAATGGACTAAATGCTCCAATTATAAAACACAGACTGGCAAATTGGGTAAAGAGTCAAGACCCATCAGTGTGCTGTATCCAGGAGACCCATCTCACATGCAAAGACACACATAGGCTCAAAATAAAAGGATGGAGGAAGATCTACCAAGCAAATGGAAAACAAAAGAAAGCAGGGGTTGGAATCCTAGTCTCTGATAAACCAGACCTTAAACCAACAAAGATCAAAAGAGACAAAGAAGGGCATTACATAATGGTAAAGGGATCCATTCAACAAGAAGAGCTAACTATCCTAAATATATATGCACCCAATACAGGAGCACCCAGATTCATAAAGCAAGTCCTTAGAGACCTACAAAGAGACTTAGGCTCCCACACATTAATAGTGGGAGACTTTAACACCCTACTGTAAATATTAGATCAACGAGACAGAAAATTAACAAGGATATCCAGGACTGGAACTCAGCTCTGCACCAAGCAGACCTAATAGACATCTACAGAACTCTCCACACCAAATCAACAGAACATACATTCTTCTCAGCACCACATCGCACTTATTCTAAAATTGATCACATAGTTGGAAGTAAAGCACTCCTCAGTAAATGAAAAAGAACAGAAATCACAACAAACTGTCTCTCAGACCACAGTGCAATCAAATTAGAACTCAGGATTAAGAAACCCACTCAAAACCACACAACCACATGGAAACTGAACAACCTGCTCCTGAATGTCCACTGGGTAAATAATGAAATGAAGGTGGAAATAAAGATGTTCTTTGAAACCAATGAGAACAAAGACACAGTGTACCAGAATGTCTGGGACACATTTAAAGCAGTGTGTAGAGGGAAATTTATAGCACTAAATGCCCACAAGAGAAAGCAGGAAAGAACTAACATTGACACCCTAACATCACAATTAAAAGAACTAGAGAAGTTAGAACAAACAAATTTAAAAGCTAGCAGAAGACAAGAAATAACTAAGATCAGAGCAGAACTGAAGGAGACAGAGACACAAAATTGCTTCAAAAAATCAGTGAATCCAGGAGCTGATTTTTTGAAAAGATCAACAAAATAGATAGACTGCTAGACAGACTAATAAAGAAGAAAAGAAAGAAGAATCAAACAGATGCAATTAAAAAATGATAAAGGGGATATCACCACTGATCCCACAGAAATACAAACTACCATCAGAGAATACTATAAACACCTCTATGCAACTAAACTAGAAAATCTAGAAGAAATGGATAAATTCCTCGACAAATACACCCTCCCAAGGCTAAACCAGGGAGAAGTAGAATCTCTGAATAGACCAATAACAGGTTCTGAAATTGAGGCAATAATTAATAGCCTACCAACCAAAAAAAAGTCCAGAACCAGACAGATTCACAGCCAAATTCTACCAGGGGTACAAAAAGGAGCTGGTATCATTCCTTCTGAAACTATTCCAATCAATAGAAAAAAAGGGAATCCTCCCTAATTCATTTCATTAGGCCAGCATCATCCTGATACCAAAACCTGGTGGAGACACAACAAAAAAAGAAAATTTTAGGCCACTATCCCTAATGAACATCAATGCGAAAATCCTCAATAAAATACTGGCAAACTGAATCCAGCAGCACATGAAAAGCTTATCCACCATGATCAAGTCAGCTTCATCCCTAGGATGCAAGGCTTGTTCAACAAAAGCAAATCAATAAACGTAATCCATCATATAAACAGAACCAAAGACAAAAACCACATGATTATCTCAATTAGATGCAGAAAAGGCCTTTGACAAAATTCAGCAGCCCTTCATGCTAACAACTCTCAATAAACTAGGTATTCATGGGATGTATCTCAAAATAATAAGAGCTATTTATGACAAACCCACAGCCAATATCATACTGAATGGGCAAACACTGGAAGCATTCCCTTTGCAAACTAGCACAAGACAAGGATGCCTTCTCTCACCACTCCTATTCAATGTAGTGATGGAAGTTCAGGCCAGGGCAGTCAGGCAGGAGAAAGAAATAAAGGATATTCAATTAGGAAAAGAGGAAGTCAAATTGTCTCTTTTTGCAGGTGACATGATTGTATATTTAGAAAACCCCATCGTCTCAACCCAAAATCTCCTTAAGCTGATAAGCAACTTCAGAGTCTCAGAATACAAAATCAGTGTGCGAAAATCACCAGCATTCCTATACACCAATAACAAACAGAGAGCGAAATCATGAGTGAACTGCCATTCACAATGGCTTCAAAGAGAATAAAATATCTAGGAATCCAACTTACAAGGGATGTGAAGGACCTCTTTAAGGAGAACTACAAACCATTGCTCAACGAAATAAAAGAGGACACAAACAAATCAAAGAACATTCCATGCTCACGGATAGGAAGAATCAACATCGTGAAAATGGCCACACTGCCCAAGGTAATTTATAGATTCAATGCTATCTCCATCAAGCTACCAGTGACTTTCTTCACAGAATTGGAAAAAACTACTTTAAATTTCATATGGAACCAAAAGAGAGCCTGCATAGCCAAAACAATCCTAAGCCAAAAGAACAAAGCTGGAGGCATCACGCTACCTGACTTCAAACTGTATTACAAGGCCACAGTAACCAAAACAGCATGGCACTGTTACCAAAACAGATATATAGACCAATGGAACAGAACAGAGGCCTCAGAAATAACACCATACATCTACAACCATCTGATCTTTGACAAACCTGACAAAAACAAGAAATGAGGAAAGGATTCCCCATTTAATAAATGGTGCTGGGAAAACCGGCTAGCCATATGCAGAAAGCTGAAACTTGATCCCTTCCTTACATGTTATACAAAAATTAACTCAAGATGGATTAAAGACTTAAATGTTAGACCTAAAACCATAGAAACCCTAGAAGAAAACCTAGTCAATACTATTCAGGACATAGGCATGGTCAAAGACTTCATGACTAAAACACCAAAAGGAAGGGCAATAAAAGCCAAAATTGACAAATGGGATCTGATTAAACTAAAGAGCTTCTGCACAGCAAAAGAAACTATCATCAGAGTGAAGAGGAAACCTAGAGAATGGGAGAAAAATTTTGCCATCTATCCATGTGACAAAGGGATAATATCCAGAATCTACAAGAAACTTAAACAAATTTACAAGAAAAAAACAACCCCATCAAAAAGTGGGTGAAGGATATGAACAGATACTTTTTAAAAAGAAGACATTTATGCCGCCAACAAACTCATGAAAAAATGCTCATCATCATTGGTCATTAGAGAAATGCAAATCAAAACCACAATGAGATACCATCTCACGCCAATTAGAATGGCAATCATTAAAAAGTCAGGAAACAACAGATGCTGGAGAGGATGTGGAGAAATAGGAATGCTTTTACACTGTTGGTGGGAGTGTAAATTAGTTCAACCATTGTGGAAGACAGTGTGGTTATTCCTCAAGGATCTAGAACTAGAAATACCATTTGACCCAGCAATCCCATTTCTGGGTATATACCCAAAGGATTATAGATCATTCTACTCTAAAGACACACGCACACGTATGTTTATCGTAGCACTGTTCACAATAGCAAAGTCTTGGAAACAACCCAAATGCCCATCAATGATAGACTGGATTAAGAAAATGTGGCACATACACACCATGAGATACTATGCAGCCACAAAAAAGGATGAGTTCATGTCCTTTGCAGGGACATGAATGAAGCTGGAAACCATCATTCTCAGCAAAGTAACACCAAAAAGAGAAAACCAAACACTGCATGTTCTCACTCAGAAGTGGGATTTGAACAATGAGAACACGTGGACACAGGGAGGGGAACTTCACACACCGGGGTCTCTTAGGGGGTGGGGACCTGGGGGTGGAATAACATTAGGAGAAATACCTAATGTAAATGATGAGTTGGTGGTTGCAGCAAACCAACATGGCACAAGTATACCAATGTGACAAACCTGCACGTTGTGCACATGTGTCCCAGAACTTAAAGTATAATAATAATAAAAAGAAATTAATGCTAATTTCTTTTTCTTTCTTACTGCCTCTATAATTGCATAAAATGTTAATTTTTAACTTGACAATATTATTGTGATTCTTAAAGGAGTCTTTATCATTTAAGCCGTAAATATTTAACACTTATATACTTAAATATTATTGAATGAAGTGATGGAACATAGTTGTGTAAGAGAGCATGTCTTACTGGCACCACAAGCTAGTATAGCAGGTAATGTATATGGCACAAAGAGATCACTAGAGAGAATTGTAGTTTCTTCCTCCAGGTATAGCAAGGTAGATACTCTTGAATTCCTTTTCTGAATGTCTCTTTCTTTACAATATCAAAAGTTTATTCCTAATGCGTAAGTTTCTGTGTTTCAGATATTATAATTGATTTTACTTGGTATCCAAATACCTTCTCCAGAAATGAAGTTATCTAGAGTTAGTTAGGGTTAGAAGGAACAAACATTTTTGTTTACCATTATGCAGGAGGCAGAATGTGGTACAAATGCTAATGGCATGCATATCACTATTAGTATTTATTTGTACTGCACCAAGCTTTTCAGTGGCTTCTTGTATTGGTTACAGTGTTTCTGCAACAGCATGAGCTCGGCCAGTGAAATGCAGCTGGGATAACTTTGGATTTGGTAAAAGATATATTCCTGTCAAGTCGTTCATGGATTCTAAGGACTGTATCAAGCTCCCTGTTTTAGCTCTGAAGCATAAAGGAAATAATAAGTTTTTAATCTTTTCCCAGATACCATTCTCTAATGTAAACTGTAGCTATTTTCCCTAATGGAAAAAGCAGTCTGGCTCGGATTCATCAAATCCATCCATCCACTCATTGAATTCGTACATCCGTTCATTCATACATACATACATACATATTTATTATGTATCTACTTCTTACCTATGTATCTTCTGTGTAATTTGTTTGAGAATTTGATGTGACAAATTGAGTTTTATGCGATATATGTCACAATGATTGATTATTAGCATCATTATTTTGGGGGACATCTACTTCATATTTCAGTGAAAAAAGGTAAGGAGGAATCAGTAATCTTAAATAACTTGCTATATAATCTCAGAAAATCATAATTTTTTCTGTGCTTAATGTTCTATATAATTCATTAATAAAATACTTTTCTTGGGAAAAATCTTCCTCAGGAAATATTACTAATTTTTTAAAAAAATTAAAATTTTTTTTGAGATAGGGTCTTACTCTGTCACTTAGGCTGACATGCAGTGACACAATCACAGCTTACTGAAGTCTCAACTTCTCAGGCTGAAGCAATCCTCCTACCTCAGCTTCCCAAGTAGCTGGAACTACAGGCAAGCACTACCCTGCCCAACTAATTTTTGTATTTTTGTAGAGGGTATTTTGCCATATTGCCCAGGCAGGTCTTGAAGTCCTGGGCTCAAGCGATCCTCCAGCCTTGGCCTCTCAAAGTGTTGGGATTACTGGTGTAAGCCACTGTGCCCAGCCTGATTATTTTACATCATGTTCCAAAGACTGTTTAAAGAGATAGGATATTATGATAAAATATTAAATTGAAAAAAAAGTACTCTTCCAGCATTATCTCAAGTTTGTAATATATAGAATAAAAAATTCTGGCTGCAAATACATCAAAATTGGTATATTTCTCTAATATCTAAACTTGCTATAATTAAACTACACTTATTTGTGACATGGAAAGATGTTCTAGGAAAAGAATCTTGAAGATATAATGAGGCTACAAGTGTGAAAACCTGAAGAGCCAACATAATGTAATTGTTTGCAAGTCTTGTTTTATTTAGCAAGCTGCTGAAGATTAGAGAAGGGTAATCCAGAAGGAGATAACATAGATAAGTAATATTATTCTATTGTAGCCTTTCTAACTATATTAAGTTCAGCAATTACCTTTTAAGGATTTTCCATGCATAAGACAGTAGGCTAGGTCCAACAAATGTTATTCAAATGAGTAAAGGTAAATTAAAGGAATGAAACTGGTTTTCAGATGGGTTATTTGAGATTAAAAAGAGATTAATTAGAAGAGATACTTTCATAAGAAAATCCAAGTGTGAAATATGAGCCCTTGAAAAAGATCTAGAGTATCTAATCCAGCACCCACAATTAACATAAAGGAAAAAAGACAGTATATACATGCTTGCTTAAATGCATACAGACAATGTCAGACTTAGGACTCAAACATGGATTTAAAGGCAAGATTCTATTCATTGGCATTTTAACAGAAATCTATAGGCATTTAAAAATAAAGGGTATAATTAATTTTTTTCCGTCCAAAACAATAAGAGATTTTGAGACAGATGGTTTAGGGATGGGAGTGGAGTTCCCTGATGCCATCAAAAAAACAGACTCCTTCACCTTCAGTTTCGTGGAAGATGAAGAGATAGCACACTTCTGCTTATATTTAATTGGCCAACGCTGAATCTATATGGCCCCTTTAACCACAAGAGAATCTGCAAGGTTGAGCTTTTAGCCTTCCATCTACTGTAATTGAGAAAGGAATATAAAAGGAGTGTGAAATAGATGTTGAGTGAGCCAACCTTAAGTATCAGCTTTCCTGATTTTGGATACAGGGCTCTTCATTGACCCTTTATGTCTTACACTGAGCTTTGTTCTAAGGGACTGATAAAATACCAAAGTCTCCAAAAATGGATGAGGAAAGAATGGCCTACTAACTTTCCTCAAATACTAAAAGTGTTGCCCAATATGATGGTATTTGAAGATGGGACCTGTGGGATATAATTAGGTTTAGATGAGGTCTTGAGTGTGGGGCCCCCATGATGGAATTAGTGCCCTTATAAAAAGAGACACCAGAGAGAGTGCTCTCTCTCTCTGTTACATGAGAACACAGTGAAAGGGCAGTCATCTGCAAACCAGGAAGAGAGCCTCCGCAAGAACCTGACCATACTGGCACTGTAATCTCAGATTTTCAGCCTCTAAAATTGTGATAAATAAACTTCTTTTGTTTAAGCCACTCAGTCGATGGTATTTTGTTATGGGAGCATGAACTGACTAATACAGATTTTGGTACTGAGAAGTGGGGTGCTGTTGTAAAAAATACATGTGGAAGTGGCTTTGAAACTGAGTAATGGGTAGCAGGTGGAATAGTTTTGAGGTACTTGCTAGAAATATGAACATTAAGAGTGATTCTTGTGAAGTCTAAGAAATGAATATGTTATTGGAAACTTGGGGAAAGGTGATTCTTGTTATAAAGTGGCAAAGAACTTCAGTGAACTGTGTTACAGTGTTTTGTGTACGGTAGAAACTGTGAGTGATGACACTGAATATTTAGCTGAGGAGATTTCTAGGCAAAGTGTGCGTTAGTCCATTTTTATGTTGCTATAAAGAAATACCTGAGATTGGGTGATTTATTTTCAGCAAAGAGATTTAATTGGCTTACAGTTCTTCAGACAGTACATGAGGCATAGTGCCAGCATCTGCTTCTGGTGAGAGTCTCAGGAAGCTTCCAGTCATGGTGGAAGGTGAAGGGGAGCCATCATGTCACATGGCAAGAGCAGGATCAAGAGTGAGAGAGAAAGGGGAAGTCCAGACTCTTTTAAACAACCAGAGCTTGTGTAAACTAACTGAGTGAGAACTCACTTATCATCAAGAGGATGATGCTAAACCATTCATGAGAGATCTGCCCTCATGATCCATTCACCTCCCACCAGGCCTCACCTCCAACATTTCAACATGAGATTTGGAGGCAACAGACATTCAAACCATATCAGACTGGCTTGGGTCCTCCTGTGTTTTGGTTAAAAGACATTTTAACTGGGGTGAGATGATATCTCACTGTAGTTTTTGTGTGCATTTCTGTGATGATCAGTGATGTTGAGCACTTTTCCATATACCTGTTTGCCATTTGCATGTCTTCTTTTGAGAAATGTCTATTTAGACCTTTTGCCCATTTAAAAATCAAATTATTACATTTTTAAAATAGAATTGTTTGAGCTCCTTATATATTCTGATTATTAAACCCCTGTCAGATGGATAGTTTGCAAATATTTTCTCCCATTCTGTTTGCTGTCTCTTCATTTTGTTGATTGTTTCTTTTTCTGTGCAGAAGCTTTTAAACTTGATATGATCCCCTTTGTCCAGTTTTACTTTGGTTGCCTGTACTTGTGGGGTATTACCAATGAAACTATTGCCCACTCCAATGTCCTGGAGAATTTCCCCAATGTTTTCTTGTAGTAGTTTCACAGATTACGGTCTTAGATTTAATTCTTTAATCTATATTGATTTGATTTTTCTATATGGTGAGAGGGGTCTATTCTCATTCTTCTGCATATGAATTTCCAGTTTTCCCAGTGCCATTTATTGAAGAATCTGTCCCTTCCCCAGTGTATGTTCTTGGTACCATTGTCAAAAATGAGTTCACTGCAGATGTATGGATTTGTTTTGGCCTTTTCTATTCTTTTCCACTGGTCTATGCCAGTACCATGCTGTCGTGTTTATGCCAGTACCACGCTGTTTCAAATTATACTACAGAGCTATAGTAAGCAAAACAACTGAAGAGATGAGGGGACAACCAGCTGCAGAGAGGAGCCACCCTGTCTGCTGAGAGCTGAACACTCATTGGGACACCCTGGCTATGAAGAGGAGCTACCCACTGCCCACTGCTGGTCTCCTCTGAGCTGTTCTATTGCTCAATAAAACTCTTTGTCTTGCTTACCCTCCACTTGTCTGCATACTTCATTCTTCCTGGTCACAGGACAAGAACTTGGGACCTGCTGAATGATGAGGCTAAAAGAGCTGTAACACAAACGGGGCTGTAACACAAACAGGGCTGAAACATGCCCCTTGCTCACCACATTGAGAGCAAAGAGAAGGAGGGAAGAGCTGCAGCCCTTCAGGAAGCCCAGACCTGGAGCTTCCCTGAGCCAGGGCTGTGACTCCCTCTTTGGAGCCCTGTGATTCCTGGCATCTTCAAGCTTCCAGGAGCCACCTCATTCTCCAGTGCTAGCTGAGGAAGTTGCTTGTGGTGCACCTGGTCCAGCCAGAGCCTCACAGAGAGCCAGTGCCCATGCCAGCACCTAGAGCTGCCTACCCAGCAGCCAGTGTGTCTGTATGCAGTGGCCGGACTCCATGCTCACTCACACCCCCGCACCACCACGCCACACTTGATTTGCAGTCTCCCTTGGAGGCATGGGATCCAGGTTGGTAGCATGAGCTGAGTGCAGCCTGCCAGACTGAGAGGGTGGAATGAGCCCAGCAGGCCCAAGCAAAACTCGAGCAAAGGCACCACTGGACACAGAGGTTCCTGGTCAGAAAAGTAACACCCCAAGAATCCCGTAACATTAGGACTTCCAGTACTATGTTGAATCACGGTGATGACAATGGGCATCCTTTTCATTTTCCAGATCTTAGAGTAAAGGCTTTCTATTTTTTCCCGTTCAGTATGATACTAGCTGTGGGTCTGTCATACGTGACTTTTATTTTGTTGAGATATGATCCATCTATACTCAGTTTTTTGAGGGGTTTGATCCTGAAGGGATGTTGAATTTTATCAAATGTTTTTCAGCATCCATTGAAATAATCATATGGTTTTTCTTCTTCTTTCTGTTGAAATGATGTATCACACTGACTGATTTGTGTGTGTTGAATCATCCTCCCATTTGAGGGATAAACCCCACTTGGTCATGATAAAAGAAGAGAAATGTCTATTTGAGGTTACCATGAAGTCTGCAAATATTATCTTATAACTCATTATTTTAAGCTGATAACAACTTAACACTGCTTGCACAAGCAAATGAGCAAAAAAAAAAAAAGCTGATAAAATTGGTGCTCTGTAACTTCATCTGTCAACTTTTTAACTTTTTGTTATTTCTATTTATAGCTTATTGTACTGTCTATGTCTTGAGTAGTTGTTGTAGTTATTATTTTTGTTTGGTTTACTGTTTAGTCTTTTTAAATGATAGTAGTAGTTTACACACTACAGTTATAGTGCTATAATATTCTGTGTTTTTCTGTGTACTTACTATTACCAGTGAGTTTTGTACCTTCAGATGATTATTTATTGCTCATTAATGTCCTTTTCTTTTTGGTCGAAGTTCTCCCATTAGCATTTCTTGTCAGACAGGTCTGGTGTTGAGGAAACTTTTCAGCTTCTTTTTTTTTTGCATGAGAAAGTCCTTATTTCTTCTTCCTTTTTGAATAACTTTTGACTGGATATACTATTCTAGGGTAAACATGTTTTTCCCTTAAATACTTGGACTATGTCATACCACTCTGTCTTGGCCTGTGAGGTTTCCACTGAAATGTCTGCTGTCAAAAGCATTGGAACTCTATTGTATATTATTTGTTTATTTTCTCTCGCTGCTTTTAGGAGTTATTTATCCTTGACCTTTTGGAGTTTTGATGCTATTTTCTAGATCTTGTAGTCATGCTTCATTCCTTCAAACTCACTGATTCTTTCTTCTGCTTGATTCATTCTATAATTAAGAGACTCTGATGCATTCTTCAGTATGTCCATTGCATTTTTTTAGCTCCAGAATTTCTGCTTGATTCTTTTTAGTTATTTCAATCTCTTTGTTAAATTTATCTAATAGAATTCCAAATTCCTTCTTTGTGTTATCTTGAATTTCTTTGAGTTTCCTCAAAAAAGTTATTTTGAACTCTCTATCTGAAAAGTCACATAGCTCCATTTCACCAGATTTGGTCCCTGGTACCTTATGTAGTTCATTTGGTAAGGTTTTGGTTTTCTGGATGATCTTGATGCTTGTAGATGTTCATCAGTGTCTGAGCATTGAAGAGTTAGGCAGTTGTTGTAGTCTTCACTGTCTGCACTTCTTTGCACCCATCCTCCATGTGAAGGCTTTCCTGGTATTCAAGAGGACTTTAGTGTTGTGATGTAAGCTATATCTGCATTAGGGGGCACACCAAGCCCAGTAATGTTGTGGTTCTTGTAGAGTCTCTGATAAGATTCAGAAGAATTATCTGGATTACTAGGCAGAGACACTTGTTCTTTTCCCCAAACAAATGAAGTCTCTCTCTCTCTCTCTCTGTGCTGAACCACGTGGAGCTGGGAGTGGCATGACACAAGTAGCTCTGTGGCTACCACCACTGAGACTGTGCTGGGTCAGACCTGAAGCCAGCACAGAACTGGGTATCACCCAAGGCTCGCTTTAACCACTACCTGGTTACTGTCTATGTTTGCTCAAGGACCTAGGGCTCTATAATCAGAAGGTAATGAAGCACATCAGGCTTGTATCCTTCCCTTCAGGTGGTGAGTTCCCCGAGTCCCTGGGCAGGTCCAGAGATGCCATCCAGGAACCAGAAAACTTAGAAACCTAACTGATGTTCTATTCTACTGTAGCTGAGCTTGCATTCAAACCACATGACACAGTTCTTCCCAGTCTTCCTTGCCCTCTCCATAGGCAGAGGAATCTCACCCTGTGGTTACCACCATTACAGGCCTATGAGGAGTACTGCCAGACTACTTCCAATATTCACTTAAGGCCCAAGGGCTCTTCAGTCAGCTTATGATTATTGCTGTCAGGCCTGGGACTCACCCTTCAGGGCAGTGGGCTCCCCTTTCACCCAGGGCAGGTCCAGAAATGCTGTCCAAGAGTCAAGGCCTGGAATCAGGGACTCCAAGAGCCTGCTTGGTGCTCTTCTCCACTGTGGCCCAACTGGTACCTGTGGTGCAAGACAAAGTCCCCTTTGGTTTTCTCTCTGCTTTTCTCAAGCAGAAGGAGTCCCCATCTGCAGCCATCAGAGTATGGAAGTATGGGAATATGCTGGCTTCTTACCTGAAGCCAGCATGTCTCAGAATCTCACCCAAGGCCAAGGCATACTACTTCGGTATCACTGCTGCTTCTTAGGGCCAAGGGGCTCTTTTGTCAGTAGGTTATAAACTCTGCCAGGATGGGTCCTTCCCTTCAAGGCAGCAGGTTGCTTTCTGTCTCAGAGTTTGTCTAGAAATGCTGTCCAGTAGCTTAGGTCCTGGAATGGGAACCTCATGATCCTGACTGGTGTCCTATACTTCTGTGGCTGAGCTGGTACCCAAGATGCAAGAGAAAATTCTGTTTACTCCTCATTCTCCTCTCCTCAAACAGAAGGAAGGGGTCTATTTTGGAGCTGCAAGCTATATAACTTTGGGTTAGGGGATGGGTGGTCCAAGCATTCCCTTAGCTGTCTCTGCTGATATCTCAGTAGTTTGAGTGCCCCGAAAGCCCACTGGCTTTGAGCCCAGCTCAGTACTTCAACTTGCCTAGGAATTGCAGTCCTTGTGGCCTAGACTGCCCCTCAAGTTCAATTAGGACCTCAGAGCCCTTCAGCCTAAAGTGGCAAGGCTTGCTGGAACTCAGGCTCCCCACGGGGATGGCCCTCTGGCTAGAGCTAGTCCAAATGCTCCCTCCATGGGTGGGCATCAGCTGCATTCAGCCTTGTTTTGCTTTGTATTGTAACAGGGCAGCACTGAATTCAATGCTAAGACATTGACTTGTCTATCTCTTACTGAATCTCTATTTGGGTAGTGGCCAGATTAACATGGTACTTAGGTAAATTGTTAAAGGTAGCTGTCGAGTTGCTATATCTACATCTTTGCCTTCTAAAAAGTTCACCCGGACTACACAATTTAGAGATGAATGATCACTTCCTGATTTGGAGTGCTGTGGAATGGTTGGTGAGTTGGGGCAAAGTCTTCCTTTGAGATCATTGCTCTCTCCCTTTCCCAAGTGCATGGATTCTTCATGCCATATGGCCATTGCCAGAGGACAAGGAAGGGGTGGTATCAGTAATTCAAGACTGTATTTCCTATCCTCTTCAGTCCCCTTTTCAGTGATGTGAATTCAAGCCAGGCACTGCGAGTGTTCACCTGATTTTTAGTTCCTATGAAGGTGCTCCCTTTGTATAGACAATTGCAAAATTGGTGTTCCTGCTTGGGGGGATGATTCGTGGAGCCCTCTACTTAGCCATCTTGTTCTGCCCCTCTCTCATCTTTTATTCTTGTACATTTATTTTATATTCATAAAGATTTAATTTCTAGTAAGCTGCACACAGCTGAGTCTACAACAGTTAATTTAAAACTAAGCAAGGAAATACCACCTTTTCAATATTTTCAATGAAATTATTGAAAATGAATGAAATTTAATTCATAAATGAAATTTAAGCATATAATTCTAATGTTTATACATTCTATTAGACCATATCAGTTAACTGTTGTTTCATAAAAAATAACCACAAAATCTCAGTGTCCAATAACAAGCATTATTTTTCTAATGCACCTGCAGATTAGCTGGGAGTATAGGAGTCAGCTGACGATTCAGGCTTGGATTGATCAGCTTGCTTTGTGGATCTTGACTGGACTCACTCATGTGTCTGTGGTTGCTGGGCTATTGATCTAGGCTGGTTGATTGGAGCAGCTTGACTGAGTGGATTTGCTTCACATGTTCATCATCTCTTGGGACTAGTGGGCAAGCTCACACATACATTTTTCACAGAGATGGCAGGAACACAATAATGCAAACAGAAAAACACAAGGTGTTTTAAGACTTAGGCTGGAAATGAAATGAAATTTTATTTTTATCTAATTTATCTACTAACCAAAGCAAGTTACATTTTTAGTTCAAGTAACTGTAAAGTCACATGGCAAAACGTGTGGATATAGGGGGCAAATGTGAAGAATTGGGGCTAAAGATGCTATTTACCATAAAGACTATCTGATCCAAGATTATTTAATATAATTAACTTTCTCAGTTTTCTATTTAAACCCAATGGTGATATTTCTTTGCAAAGTATTTACCAGAGCTGGTGTCCTCTGCAGAACATTTAGAATTTTATTTTCCTAATGTATTCTGAAACCCTACCTACTTCATCATGAGCAAGTTAGGAAAAAAGCTTTAATTCTAGAGTATTTGTATTCTTTTGCAAAGAATGCTGTTCAAAATGCTTTATTTCTTTGATCTCACTTTAGTACATGCAAATAAGACTTTGTAATTTTAGAAATATACAAGTACAATAATTACAGACACATTAAACTGTACGAATATTGCAGTTGAGAGGCAACACACCTGGGTCTTCGCTAAACTTCATTAATTACATTATAAAAGCAAACAACAACTAAAATTATTTTAAAGTAGCAGTCCAAAATTTAGTATTAGATTCACAAGAAGAATTTTCCTAGCTGACAGTTATATGAACTCTAAGAATAACCCCAGAGTAAACTTCCTAGTGAAAGAGAATAAGGGGCTGCATATACCAGTGTTTCTATTTTTATAAAATCCGTGGTCCAGGTGCTTTGGTTTTTTGTTTTGTGGCAGAAAAATTTATACACACACACACTATATATATATATACACATCTATATTCCTTTGTCTGTATATCTGTATATATCTCTCTCAGTGTGTGTATTGTGTGTGTGTGTGTGTATCACATTTGGTGTATATGGGTATCACATTTTCTATATCATCTATATCATCCATCTATATCTATCTATCTATCTATCTATCTATCCTCTATTTATCCAATCTATATATGCATGTCTAGGGCAAAGTAAATAGTTTGGTAAGCTGGACAAAAAGATAAATATAGTTGACTGCAAAGGTCAGTAAGAGCTAGTTTATGACAGATCTTGACTTTGCAGCAGAACGAAGGTTGTGCTCACTCTAAATTAAGATGTGTTCAGGGCTTCCTGGAAGGGCAGAGAGGGGGCTTACCAGGAGCCTATTTGTATGAATAATAATAGTGCTCCTGGGGAAGAATCTTTCTGGAAAGGTACAGCATGTTGAGAAAAAATGTACGTTGCTATGATAACAATCCCCAAGCATTAGTAGGGAGAAGGCAATTTAAAATCCTCAGGTACCATCTGTGTATATTGAGCTGAGTCTTAGAGGCAGGGGCTACTAATGAGACTGAAAGTTAAGTTTCCCCAAGCTTGTTTTTTTGATCACATTCTAAATCTTTTTTTTTTAAATTTCAACTTTTATTTTAGATTCAGAGGGTACATATGCATGTTTGTTACGTGGGTATATTGTGTGATGCTGAGGTTTGGGGTATGATTAATCCCATCACCCAGGTAATGAACGTAGTACCCAATAGTTCATTTTTCAATCCTTGCCCCCCTTTCTCCTCCCTCACCCTTCTAGTAGTCCCTAGTGTCTATTGTTGACATCTTTATGTCTATGTGTACATGATATTTAGCTTCCACTTATAAGCAGTTTTCTGTTCCTGTGTTAATTGCTTAGCATAATGGTCTCCAGCAGTATCCATGTTTCTGCAAAGGAAATTATTTCATTTTTTTATGTCTGCATAGTATTCCATGGTGTATATATGTAACACATTTTCTTTACCCACTCTACTTTTGATGGGCACCTAGGTTGGCTCTAGTATTTGCTATTGTGAATAGATCTGCAAGGACATGTGAGTGCATATGTCTTTTTGGTAGACAGATTTATATTTCTTTGGGTATATACCCAGTAATGGGATTTATGGGTTGTATAATGGTTCTGGTTTAAGTTCTTTGACAGTTTGAGAAATCTCCAAACTGCTTTCCACAGTGGCTGAACTAATTTACACTTCCACCAACAATGTATAAGCGTTCCCTTTTCTCTGCAGCCTCCCCAGGATCTGTTGTTTTTTGACTTTTTAATAATTGCCATGCTGACTGGTGTGGGAGGGTAGTTCACTGTGGTTTTGATTTGCATTTCTCTCATGATCTGGCTGATATCCAGAATGGTATTTCCTAGCTTTCCTTCTAGAATTCTTGTAGTTTTAGGTCTTACATTTAAGTCTTTAATGCATCTTGAATTAATTTTTGTATATGATTAAAGGTAGGTGTATTTGTCATTCTTACATTACTATGAAGAACTGCCTGAACCTGGGTAACTTAGAAAGAAGTTTAAATTGACTCACAGTTTAGTATGGCTGGGGAGGTTTCAGGAAACTTACAATCATGGGGGAAGGTGAAGGAGAAGCAAGGCACCTTCTTTACAAGGCATGAGGAAGGAGAATGAAAGTGGGAGGAACTACCAAAATTTATAAAACCATCATATCTTGTGAAAACTCACTCACTATCATGAGAACAGCATGGGGGAAACTGTTCCCATGATTCAATTACCTCTACCTTGTCTCTTTCTTGAAACATGGGAATTACGGAGATTACAATTCAAGATAAGATTTTGGGTGGGGACACAGCCGAACCATATCAGTAGGGGTCCAGTTTTATTCTTCTGCATATTGCTAACCAGCTAATCCCAGAAGGACTCCCTATTAAATAGAGGGAGTCCTTTCCCCATTGCCTATTTGTGTTGACTTTGTCAAAGATCAGATGGCGGTAGGTGTGTGGCTTTATTTCTAGGTTATACATTCTGTTCTATTGGTCTATGTGTCTGTTTTTGTACCAGTACTATGCTTTTCTAGTTACTGTAGCTTCATACTATAGTTTGAAGTTATGTAATGTGATGCCTCCAGCTTTGTTCTTTTTGCTAAGGGTTGATTTGGCTATTTGGTCTCTTTCATGGTTTCATATACATTTTAGAATAATTTTTTTCTAATTCTGTGAAAAATAACACTGGTAATTTATAAGAATAGTGTTGAGTCTGTAGATTGCTTTGGGCAGTATGATTATTTTAATGATATTGATTTTTCAAATCCATGAGGATGGAATGTTTTTCCATTTGTTTATGTCATCTATAATTTCTTTTATCACTGTTATGTAGTTCTCCTTGTAGAGATCTTTCACCTTCTGAGTTAGATATAGTCCTAGGTATTTTATATCTTTTGTAGTTTCCCCATGATACTAAGTGACATTGAAAGCACAGGTATTTACTCTTTTGAAACATGTAGGGGTAAACATATGTGCCTCATTCCTCAGGTTCCTGGTTCAATACATAATGAGTTTAAGGACTAAGTGAACTTTTGTTTCTCAAGCCCTTTTGGAAATGTAGAGAAATACTGGTTTTACTTACTCCTACTAAGGTGGGGGTGGTTAAGTAAAGTAGCTAATTTATTAGGCAGGGTTTTGTTCACTGAGATTTGTCTATAAGAGGGAAGGGTGTTCACATATGACATGCCTTCTCTACTCTTCCAGTTACTAGCATTTTTTGTCTCCTTGTGCTTAGCCTGGGAAGGGTCCACAGCCTGTCTTATGAAGAAGGTCTTGTGTGCTCGACCACACACAAAAGGGGGTCTAGATTTGGGATTAGCAGATATGACTTCTTTAATTGGTCCAACATTACTGTTACTTTGATTTACTATGGTCTCAGCAAGTAACATAAAAAAGATACATGATATTAAGGATGCCTGAAGATACTCATAAAGGAAGCTCCCTAATACATCCTTGATCCTCCTGGAAGCATAGCTGAAGTTTTGTCTTAGTAAAGAATCCTCCAGGTAAGAGAAGGGAAGGGTAGGAGGGAGATGGGCAAGTCAAACTACCTAAAATGAATGTTTTGATGTGCTATACGTACAGACTCTCTCAGTTTATTTCTTGCTATATCTTTGGGAAAAGCTTTCTTTCAGCAGTATTAGTCATAACTGGCTTCACATCATCATTCTTCAAGCTCTCTCTGTTCTGCATGTAACTGGGTGTTCAAGGCAGGCCTGTTTGTGTAAGTGATATGGAGTCAGGTTTGAAGACGCTGTTTATGCCTCTGTGTGCATACCTGAGCATACAGGCTCTAAGATTTTTGGGTAGAATAGGAGGTAGGAGGCTCAGCTTGGGTCCCTCATCTTGCTTTCCCACAGTAGTTTCCAACCATGCTTATCCAAAGGCCCAGCATTTTGGAGATTCTCATATAAATAAACCAGTACTTTATTTTTTATTTGTCTTGCATGTGTTGCAGCTTTCATAACTGCTAACAAGGTACATTTAGCAGAGAACTACACAGGTGAGACCATTTTTTTTCTCCACTGTGACTGCAGCTGAGAATATAAAATGCCAGTGCTCTACTGCGGGCACTGGGCTATCAGCAGGGGAGGGCACCAGCCATATTGGAGTTTTGGCAGCTTCAGCAAAGCACCATATGAGCACGGCATGACTTCAGCAGACCTTGACAAAATATCTCATCGGAGGCGGCATCAGTGAAATTGCACATTCATCAGGCTTCACAGAGATTGGGATATAGCTCACATGGAGCCAGAAATGAAGTCACCGCAAGAATGGAGGAAGTGGTCACTAAGACAGCCTCACACATCAGTACCAGTGGGAACTCTTCAGGGGACACGCAGGAATGCTTGCAGGAAATTTTAAAGAGCATCTGGAAGATATTCAATAATAAGTGAGAGAAGAATTAGGAAACTACTGTGTTTCTATAAATATGACTCCTGTCACTCCCAAACTGGTAGAGCCTAAGGAAACATAGGTGCGAAAGAGTTTGAACAGGGGTTTTGCATATCTTTTCCTTAACTCTAGTCATAACTAATCTGATAATCAACTTGGGTGCATAAATGAACTCTTGATTGGTTTGATAATCTTAAGTATTTTCTTTTCTTTTGTTGTTGGCTGTGAATGGGGAGCTTTAACGTCTATGTTCAGCATTTTGACAGCTTCTGCATTACTGATTTCTAAATCTGTCAATTAAAATTTTATTGGTCGCTATGTCTGCACTCTGTGTATATGTGACAGGAGAGGATGATGGGTGATAAATATGTATGCAGAGGAAAGTGATATAGGCACAGGTGGAGGGGATTTAGCATAACATAGGAATTTCAAGTTTACCATATTAGGTTATAAACCCCACAAAGACTTTTTTTTTCATTAACATTGTATTTTCAACTCCCATCACAGTGCATGGCATGCAGTGTAGAAACTGTATTTTTGATGAGTAAAGGTTTACTACATATGTTAATTATCATATATGCAACATTCAAGAGAAACAGTCCAGTTGTGCTTGAGGGGACAGAGAGGAAACAGAACCGGGAAAAGGCAGAGAAAAAATTGAAGACAAAGTGGTTTGAAGAGGGAGCATGACATGAATCTGTCATTTTAAACCCTAAGCCTACCATCAATCAATTTAGCTGCTTTTCTTGGGTTTTTCTCTATGTTCATTGCTTCCTCTTCAAACAGGAAAAACTGCACTTATTTTCTGGGAATGTTTATTCAAGAAAAGTAATTCAATCATAAGATGGAACAGACTCTTGGCTGCATATGAACAATTTGTTTCTAAAAATCAGATCTAAATGTTTTTGTATGTGGTAAAATGAAGATTAAGGCCAGGATCTTCCCAGCCTTTTATGTCAACTCACATCTCTTCATCATAATGGATAGCCCTGTCTCATTTGTTAAGGCCATCAACTATGGGATGGGGAGAGAAGAGAAAGTGCTGAAATGGCACCTACACATTTTTGTGCCCCTATAGTCACCTCAGATAGCAGAGTGCCTACAGGTGCCATCAGAGTCATTGTAAGAATTCTGAATATTAAAAAAAAACTATCCTTTTTTGGAATGAAGAGCAACAGAAACCCTTCAAAAGGGACACAGCTATGGGCAGCCTGATGTATATTTTCAAGTTGAAAGTGGGATAGTATTTTTTTTTCCTTAAAAATAGACTTTTGTAGGCAGGGCACGGTGGCTCATGCCTGTAATCCCATCTCTTTGGGAGGCCAAGGTGGGTGGATCACCTGAGGCTAGGAGTTTGAAATCAGCCTGGCCAGAATGGTGAAACCCCATCTCTACTAAAAACACAAAAAATTACCCGGGCATGGTGGTGGACACCTGTAATCCCAGCTACTTGGGAGGCTGAGGCAGAAGAATCATCTGAACCTGGGAGGCAGAGGTTGCAGTGAGCTGAGATTGTGCCACTGCACTCCAGCCTGGGCAACAAGAGCGAAACTCTGTCTCAAAGAAAAAAGAAAGTAGACCTTTGTAATAAGATAAAATGCTGCAACCAATTGTCAGTTTCACTATTATAACTTTTTCAGTTCCTTGAAATTAAAATTTTGATTAAAACTTGAAGCAGACATGCTTTAATTAAAAAAATGAAAGTATAAAATTGATAGGAGAAGAAAGAATCTTCCTCTTCTCCTTCTCCAACAATCCTGGAGTGACAACAATGACAGTGCATTTCCAAGAAATGAAAGGGTATATTTTGTTACCTTCATATGCTCAAAAGATACGTTTTGTTTTTTGTGATGTGCTTCTCACAAATTCTTCTTATAGATGTTTTTTTCTTTGAGAACTTGTTATGAAACTGTCACAATAAAGATATGTTTACGTTCTTAATTTTTTTTTTTTTTGTAAAGATGGGGTCTCCCTGTATCACCCAGGCTGGTCTTGAGCTTCTGGGCTCAAGCGATCCTCCCGCCTTGGCTTCCCAAAGTGCTGGGATTACAGGTGTGAGCCGCTGCACCTGGTCAAGATATGTTTACCTTCTTCTTGAATTATTTCATTGATGGCTTCCTGCTCTCCATTTTCTCTAATCTTTTTTTCTGGACATACTGGATGGATTGATCATTTAATGACTTCTCTTTTCTCCCCTATTTTCTATTTCTGTTTCTTTGTCTTTTAACATAATGTCCTTGACATTATATTTCAAGCTCTCTCTTGACTTTTTAATTTCTGTTATCATCTTTTTCATCCCTGAGGTTTCCTTATTCCCCAAATGCTACTTTTTGCTATTAAAAGTAATGGCAAAAACTGCAGTTACTTTTGCACCAACCTAATAGCATCCTGTTCTTATTTCATGTGTTCAATTTATTTTCTCTTAGAGTACACTGGTATGTTTTTCGTGAATTTTCTTTTGTTTTCTATTTATTTGTTGTAATCCCTATCTTTTGTGTTAGAGACTTTCCTCAGATTTTTGTTTGCCAACACTTATTAGGTGTCAGGGACAAAAATGCTGATTAGATGCCCTGCAGACATATGTAGGCCTTGTTGATTGTACACTGCAATATACAGTAATACAGTTGGAAGTTTCTTGGGAAGCTCATAATATGAGTATCTTTGCTTTTTCCCCTAGACTCTCAGATTCTATAGAGATTTTCCAGTTTCCTGCCTGGGTAGCAAATGCGGTTTCTGCATCTTATATTTACACAAAAAACTACACATTAAAGTTCATGGCAGCTTTATTCATGATAGTCAAAAACTGGAAACAATCCAAATGTTCTTCAGTGAGTAAAATGCCTAAATAAAAGGTACATCCATACCACAGAATACCACTCAGCAATATAAAGGAATGAACTATAGATGCATGCAACCACTTTGTGGGATTTCAAAGGAATTATGTAGAATGAAAAAAGCCAGTGCAGTTTTCTGCATTTACTACCCAGGCAGGAGACAAAAATTCCGAGAGTCCTGTGGGGAAAGAGATTGGCTTTTTTTTTCTCCACTCATCATAATTCTCTTAAAATCATCAAAGTTGTTGTATCATTAGGTTGTATAAATGAAATTATACAGTGTATAACATTTTGAGATTGGCTTTTTCACTCCACATAATCCCTTTGAGATCCACCAAAGTGGTTGCATGTATCTACAGTTCATTCCTTTATATTGCTGAGTAGTATTCTGTGGTATGAATGTACTACATTTTATTTAAGCATTTTATTCATTGAAGGACATTTGGATTGTTTCCTGTTTTTGACTATTATGAATAAAGCTGCTATGAACTTTAATGTGTAGTTTTTTTGTGTAAATATAAATTTCATTTCCTTAGTACAAATGCCCAGAAATGTGATTGCTGGGTAACATAGTAAGTGTATGTTTAGTTTCAAAAGAAACTGCTGAGCTATTTTTTAGAGCATGGTGGTATTTTGCATTTCCACCAGTAATGTATGAGTGACCATGTTTTCCTGCAAATTTTCTAGAATTTGGTGTCTGTTCACTTTTAAAAAGTGCAATATCAATTTAATTTACTGGGATGCAATGATGATACTCAAAATTCTGGAGGTTTCATAGTTAAATACATTCATGTCACCATCACCCCAAATTATTACCATCTCAATTCCATGCAGCTCTTTTCCAGTCATCTTTCTCAACTTTAAAAAAGTTACATTGCCATAGATTAGTTTTGTTCATTTTTGATTTATTTCTTTTTCTTCAACTTTTATTTTAAGTTCTAGGGTACATGTGCAGGATGTGTAAGTTTGTTACTTAGGTTAATGTGTACCATGGTGGTTTGCTGCACCAAACAACCCATCACCCAGGTATTAAGCCCAGCATCCATTAGCTATTCTTCCTGAGGCTTTCCCTCCCTGTGTGCCCCACAGTAGCCCCCAGTGTGTGTTGTTCCTTCCACCCATGTGTCCATGTGTTCTTATCATTCAGTTCCCACTTATAAGTGAGAACAGGCAGTCTTTGGTTTTCTTTTCCTTTGTTAGTTTGTTGAGGATAATGGCTTCCAGCTCCATCCATGTCACTGCAAAGGATATGATCTTATTCCTTTTTGAGCCTTCTTGCTGGTGGGGACTCTGCAGATTTACAAAGCAATACAGGGCATCACATGGCAAAGTGGCTGAGCATGGTGGCTCAGATCTCTTTCTCTTCTTATAGAGCTACCAGTTCTACTCCATGATAATCCATTAATCTATTAATTCATTAATACACGAATGGCTCTGCCTTTGTAACCCAATTACCTCTTAAGGGTACTACCTCTCAATACTGCCACACTGAGGATTACATTTAAACGTAAGTTTTGGGGGGGACAAATATTTAAACCGTACCAGTTAGTCTAACTAAGGGTTTGTAAATTTTTTTTAGCTTTTTAAAGAAATAACTGTTAGTTTGTTTGATGTTTTTTCTATAGTTTTTCTCATCTCTACTTTTACATTTCTGCTTTGAAATAAATTTTATTGTTATTTCCTTCTTTTTGCTAGCTTTGGGATTATTTTTTGTTCTAGTTCCTAAGGGTGTAATGTTAGGTGTTTATTTAAGATCTTTATTCTTTTTTGATATAAACATATATGTTATATAAAATTTCCTCTTAAAACTGCTATTGCTGCATCCCATAACTTTTATATGTTGTGTTTTTATTTTCCTTTGTCTCAAGATATTTTTTAAGTTTTAAAAAATTTCTTCTTTGAGCCAATAATTATTGGCTCAAAGCAATAAGAACATATTGCTTAATTTCTACACATTTGTTAATTTTCTATTCCTCTTGTAACAATTTCTAGTTTTGTACCATTGTGACTAGAAAGTGTACTTGATATGATTTAAAATTTTTTTTTCAATTTGTTAAGACTTATTTTGTGGCCTAACATAATCTATTATGGATACTGTTTTCTATGAACTTGAGAAGAATGTGCATTCTTTTGTGGTTGGATAAAATACTCTATTAATATATATGTTTGGTAGGTCTGTTTGGTCTAGAGTGTAGTTGAAGTTCAATGTTTCCTTATTAATTTTCTGCCTGGATGATCTGTCTCTTATGGAAAGTCAAGTATTGAGATCCTCTATTATTATTGTGTTGCAGTCTATGTCTCTCCTCACATATTTTAATGTTTGTTTTATACATTTAGCTACTCCAGTGTTGGGTGGATATATATTTACAATGTTATATCCTCTTGATGAATTGACCCCCTTATCACTGTGTGATATTCTTTTTCTCTTCTTACAGTTTTGACCTAAAGTTTATTTTGTCTAATATAAATATAGCTACCCCTGCTCACTTTTGATTTCCATTTGCATAAAATCTTTTTCTATCCCTTGACTTTGAGTCTATGAGTGTCCTTTAAGGTTAAGTCTTTTATAGGCAGCATGTAGTTGGGTCTTGTTTTTTTATTCATTCAACCACTATATGCCTTTTGATTGGAGAATTTAATCCATTTACATTTAAAGTAATTATTAATAGGTAAGAACTTACCATTGCCATTTTGTTCATTGTTTACTCGTTGTTTTTCATGTCCTTTCTTCCTCTCTTGATTTCTTTCTTTGTGGTTTGATGGTTTTCTGTAGTGGTATGTTTTAGATCTTATTTTTTATCTTTTGTGGGTCTATTATTGACTTTGGCTTTGTGGTTACTATGGGGCTTAAATAAAACATCTTATAACTGGTAATTTTAAGTTGATAAAAGCTTAATTTTGATGGCATACACAAACTCTATGCTTTTACTCTCCTCTCACATTTTATGTTTTTGATGTCATAATTTACATCTTTTTTATAATTTGTATTCCTAACAAATTATTGTAGCTTTCATTGTTTTTAACAGTTTTTTCTTTTGACCTGTACAGTAGAGATATAATTTATTTACCCACTACCATTACAGCATTAGTGTTTTGGATTTGACAGTGTACTTACTTGTACCAGTGAAATTTTATATGTTTGTGTGTTTTCATGTTACTAATTTGTATCCTCTTCCTTCACCTTGAAGAACTCCCTCTATTACACTTTTTAGTTTGGTTACAGTATTCTTCAGCTCTAGGATTTCTGTTTGGTGCTTTTATATACTTTCTACCTCTTTGTTGAAAATTTCATTTTGTTCTTGCATTGCTCTCTTGACCTTGTTAAATTCTCATAAAGTGAGCATCTTTATAACCATTATTTTGAGGTCCCTGTTGGGTAAATCACATATCTCCATTTCACTAGGATTGGTTTTTGGAGATTTTTGTTCTTTTATTTGGTGATACGGTTTGGCTCTGTGTCCCCACCCAAATTTCGTCTTGAATTATAATCCCCATGTGTTGAGGGAGGAACCTGGTGAGAGGTGATTGGATGATGGGGACAGTCTTCCTCATGCTGTACTCATGATAATGAGTGAGTTCTCATGAGATCAGATCATTTAAAAATAGCAGTTTCCCCTATGCTCTCTCTCTCTTCTGCTGCCGTGTAAGAAGGGCCTTGTTTCCCCTTCATCTTCTGCAATGATTGTTAAGTTTTCTGAGGCCTCTCTAGCCATGCAGAATTGTGAGTCATTTAAACCTTTTTTCTTTATAAATTACCCAGTCTCAGGTTATATCTTTATAGCAGTGTGCAAATGGACTAATACAGAGAATTGGCATCAGATGGGTGGGGTACTGCTATAAAGATAACCGGAAAATGTGGAAGTGACTTTCAAACTGGGTAATGGGCAGAGGTTCGAACAGTTTGGAGGCCTCAGAAGAAGACAGGAAAATGTGGGAAAGTTTGGAACTTTCTAGCGACTTGTTAAATGATTTTGACCAAAATGCAGATAGTGATATGGACAATGATATTCAGGCTGAGGTGGTCTCAGATGGGGATGAAGAACTTAATGGGAACTGAAGCAAAGGTCACTCTTGCTATGCTTTAGCAAAGCAACTTGTGGCATTTTGCCCCTGCCCCAGAGATCTGTGGTCTTTGAACTTGAGAGAGAGGATTTAGGGTATCTGGCAGAAGAAATGTCTAAGCAACAAAGCATTTGAGAGGTGAACTGGCTTTTCCTGAAATCATACAATGATATGTACTCAAAAAGAGATGGTTTGAAATTGGAACGTATGTTTAAAGGGGAAGCAGAGCATAGAAATTTGGAAAATTTGCAGCCTGGCCATGTGGTAGAAAAGAAACACCCATTTTACTGGAGAGAAATTCAAGCCAGCTGTAGAAATTTGCCTAAGTAACAAGGAGCCAAATGCTAATTACCAAGACAATGAGGAAAATGTCTCCAGGGCATTTCAGAACACTTCAAGGCAGCCACTCCCATCACAGGCCCAGAGGCCTAGAAGGGAAAAATGATTTTTTGGGCCCTGCTCAGGGCCCCACTGCTCTGTACAGCCTCAGGACATGGTGCCCTGTGTTCCAGCCACTCCAGCTCCAGCCATGGCTAAAAGAAGCCAAAGTATAGCTCAGGCCATGGCTTCAGAGCATGCAAGCTCCAAGCCTTGGCAGCTTCCATGTGGTGTTGGACCTGCAGTGTGCAGAAGGCAAGAATTGAGGTCTGGGAATCTTTGCCTAGATTTCAGAGGATATATGAAAATGCCTGGATTTCCACACAGAAGTCAGCTGCAGGGGTGGAGCCCACATGGAGAACCTCTACTAGGGAAGTGTGGAAGGAATGGAGCCCCCACACAGAGTACCCCAGCTGGGGCACTGCCTGGTGGAGTGGTGAGAAGAGGGCCACTGTCCTTCAGACCCCAGAAAGGTAGATCCACTGACAGCTTGCACTGTGCACCTGGAAAAGCCGTAGGCACTCAAAGCCAGCCTGTGAAAAAAGCCATGGGGCCTGTACCTTGCAGAGTCACAGGAGTGGACTTGCCCAAGGCCTTGGGAGCCTACCCTTTGAATCAGCATGCCTTGGTTGTGAGACGTGGAGTCAAAGGAGATTATTTTGGTACTTTGAGATTTAATGAGTGCCCTGCCAGGTTTTAAACTTGCATGGGGCCTGTGGCCCCCTTGTTTTGCCAATTTCTCCCATTTGGAATGGGAACATTTACCCAATGCCTGTACCCCCATTGTATCTTTTTTTTTTTTTGAGACAGAGTCTCGCTCCGTAGGCCAGGCTCAAGCAATTCCCCTACCTCAGCCTCCTGAATAGCTGCAATTACAGGCGTGTGCCACTACGCCTGGCTAATTTATTTTTTATTTTTTATTTTTTTTGTAGTTTTTGGTAGAGACTGGGTTTCACCATGTTGGCCAGGCTGGTCTCGAACTCCTGATCTCAGGTAATTCACCCACCTCAGCTTCCCAAAGTGCTGGGATTACAGGCGTGAGCCACTGCACCCAGCCCCAGATTATATCTTGGAAGTAACAAATTCATTTTTGACTTTACAGACTCCTAGGTGGAAGGGACTTGCCTTGTCTCAGATGAGACTTTGGACTTGGACTTTTGAGTTAATACTAGAATGAGTTAAGACTTTGGGAGACTTTTGGGAAGGCATGATTAGTTTTGAAATGTGGAAAGAACATGAGATTTAGGAGGGGCCTGGGGTGGAATAATATGGTTGGCTCTATGTTCCCGCCCAAATCTCATCTTGAATTGTAATCCCCATGTGTCGAGGGAGGGACACGATGGGAAGTGACGGGATCATGAGGCAGTTTCCCCCATGCTTTTCTCATAATAGCAAGTGAGTTCTCATGAAATCTGTTGGTTTAAAAGTGGCACTTCCCCTTTACTCTCTCTTCTGCCACCTTGTAAAGAAGGTACTTGCTTCTCCTTCACCTTCCGTCATGATTGTGTTTCCTGAGGCCTCCCAAGCCATGCAGAACTGTGAGTCAATTAGACTTCTTTCCGCTATAAATTACCCAGTCTCAGGTATTCTTTATAGCAGTGTGAAAATGGACTAACCCAATTTGGAATATATTTCCTTTTTTCCTCACTTTTCTTGACTCTCTGTGTTGGTTTCTGTGCATTTGATAAGACTACTGCCTCTCTCAGTTTTATCGGACTGGTCTTTTTCAAAAGAAGGATCTCACCAGTACCTGCAGCCAGACATTTTTAGGTGCCTCTCAAATTTTTGTTTGTCCAAACTACTGTATCTGTTTTTAGTGGCTCTCTGGAGATTAGAACATGCCATGTCCTGTTAGTGCCCTGAGATTGGTAAGGCTGAAGCCAGACCCTCCAGATGGAGCTAGAAATATGAGGGTGTCAGATGGCTGTTCCAGTTTATTCTAGTCTCACAGTAAGGCTGACTACAGGAATTTCTCTCCTACTGTCTCTGCACTAAGCTAGGAATTTGTGACAAGTTGCTGCACTCCCATTCAGATTGCACCCTCTGATCCTGAAGAGATAGCTTCTAGAAGTGGATCCATTGTATGTCTACTTATTTGTTTTCTGTGGTCCTTGGATATGCAGGAATGCAAAACTCCATCAACTCCTAGAGCTAGGTTGTTAAAGAGATGGGAGCTATAGATAGGAGCTATAGAAGTTGTGAGACTTGGTGTATAAACAAACTTTCTTCCAGGAAAAATAGGTAGACCTGAATTTTTCACTGGGGTGAACCAAAGGAAATGCTTGGGAAATGCCAAGCTCATGCTTAGGCTGCTGGAAGTCTACTGTTTGTCTGTGTCTGTTAACTCCTTAATACAAGTTAGTTAACAGCCAGGCCATAAAGTAGCCACTGGAAGATTATGCAGTAAACCCCTTCCAGAGAGAAAATGGAAGTTGTGTATTCCAGCCTCTTTTCTGAACTACTGCCAGTTGGTGTGGTCTGTAGCTGTATTTGGACACTTATTTAAAACCACCTCTTTGTTCTATGATCTAGGGAGACAGGCATATGCCTAATCCTCCCTACTCCCAGAGCTAGAGGTATAGAATGCATCCCTTCAGGTTGAAGCTATAAAAGTTGTGGCTTTCAATGTGTGGACAAATTCCTTTCAGGAGGGATTAGTAGAACTGGCATCCTGGGGTGAGCTGGGGGGAAAAGCTTGGGAAGTGCCAATCTGCATTTCAGCTGCCAGCAGGCTGTTTGCACCTTTGACTCTCCAATGTAAGTTAGTCAGAAGCCAGGTCATCATGTACCCACTGGAAAAGAAACAGCAAGCTGCATTTTCAAGCCCCTTTTCTGTACTACTCCCAGGTGATGAAGCCCCTAGATGTACTTGCATGCCCACATAAAATTGCTACAGAGACTTACGTATGCCTAATCCCCTCTGCTCCCATTGGTGAATTAACAGCCAAACTGTGCATGACCTTAGAGTTAGGGAACTATATGTGTGGCCAAAACCCTTCTCTCCACAGAGATAAGTTGGGTGTTGAGGATTCCTTCTTAGTTTTATGGTGCAGTGCCCAGAGAGGGGATCTGTGCCTGAGTGTGCCTCAGCAATTCCTGCCCATTAAATGTGGATATTTTCTGAGTTGCTCAGTGGGTGAGAGTCTCTTTACTGTTTTTCTGACTTTCTCACAGAGGAAATTGATTCATAAATAGATGTTTATTCGGTGTGTGCCTGAGTGGAGAGAGAGCCAGGAGCCTCCTAGTCTGCCAAGTGGCTGATACCACACTTCTTAATAGTCTGTTTACCTTTAATTAGGTTGTTTGCTTTCCGATTATTGAGTTTTGAGAGTTCTTTACATATTCTGGATACAAATTATTTTTTTTTGAGTTAGCACTTTATATTTTTAAATTAATTGATTTTTTTAAAATTATACTTTAAGTTCTGGGATACATGTGAAGAACGTGCAGGTCTGTTACATAGGTATACATGTGCCATGGTGGTTTGCTGCACTCATCAAGCTATCATCAACATTAGGTATTTCTCCTAATGCTATCCCTCCCCTTGGCACCCCAACCCCTGACAGGCCCCAGTGTGTGATGTTCCCCTCACTGTGCCCATATGTTCTCATTGTTCAATTCCCACTTATGAGTGAGAACATGCAGTGTTTGGTTTTCTGTTACTGTGTTAGTTTGCTGAGAATGATGGCTTCCAGCTTCATCCATGTCCCTGCAAAGGACATGAACTCATTCTTTTTTATGGCTGCATAGTATTCCATGGTTTACATGTGCCACATTTTCTTTATCCAGTCTATCATTGATGAGCATTTGTGTTGGTTCCAAGTCTTTGCTGTTGTGAATAGTGCTGCAGTAAACATATGTGTGCATGTGTATTTACGGCAGAATAATTTATAATCCTTTGGGTATATACCCAGTAATGGGATTGCTGGGTCAAATGGTATTTCTAATTCTAGATCCTTGAGGAGTCACCACACTGTCTTCAACAATGGATGAACTAATTTACACCCCACCAACAGTATAAAAGCCTTCCTATTTCTCCGCCTTCTCTCCAGCATCTGTTGTTTCCTGACTTTTTAATGATCGCCATTCTAACTGGTATGAGATGGTGTCTCATTGTGGTTTTGATTTGCATTTCTCTAATGACCAGTGGATGATGAGCTTTTTTTCATGTTTGTTGGCCACATAAATGTCTTCTTTTGAGAAGTGTCTGTTCATATCCTTTGCCCACTTTTTGATGGGGTTGTTTTTTTCTTGTAAATTTGTTTAACGTCTTTGTAGATTCTGGATATTAGCCCTTTGCCAGTTGGATAGATTGCAAAAATTTTCTCCCATTCTGTAGGTTGCCTGTTCACTCTGATGATAGTTTCTTTTGCTGTGCAGAAGCTCTTCAGTTTAATCAGATTCCATTTGTCTATTTTGGCTTTTGTTGCCATTGCTTTTGATGTTTTATTCATGAAGTCTTTTCCATGCCTACGTCCTGAATGGTATTGCCTAGGTTTTCTTCTTGGGTTTTTTATGGTTTTAGCTCTTACGTTTAAGTCTTTAATCCATCTTGAGTTAATTTTTGTATAAGGTTTAAGGAAGGGGTCCAGTTTTAGTTTCTGTATATGGCTAGCCTGTTTTCCCAACACCATTTATTAAACAGGGAATCCTTTCCCCAGTGCTTGTTTTTGTCAGGTTTGTCAGAGATCAGATGATTGTAGATGTATGATGTTATTTCTGAGGCCTCCGTTCTGTTCCATTGGTCTATATATCTGTTTTGGTACCAGTATCATGCTGTTTTGGTACCAGTATCATGCTGTTTTGGTTACGGTAGCCTTGTAGTATAGTTTGAAGTCAGGTAGCATGATGCCTCCAGCTTTGTTCTTTTTGCTTAAGATTTTCTTGCCTTTGCGGGCCCTTTTTTGTTTCCATATGAAATTTAAAGTAGTTTTTTCCAATTCTGTGAAGAAAGTCAGTGGTAGTTTTATGGGAACGGCATTGAATCTGTCAATTACTTTGGGCAGTATGGCCATTTTCATGATATTGATTCTTCTTATCTATGAGCATGGAATGTTTTTCCATTTGTTTGTTTCCTCTTTTATTTCTTTGAGCAGTGGTTTGTAGTTCTCCTTGAAGCTGGAAGCATTCCCTTTGAAATCTGGCACAAGACAAGGATGCCCTCTCTGACCACTCCTATTCAACATAGTATTGGAAGTTCTGGCTAGGGCAATCAGGCAAAAGAAAGAAATAAAGGGTATTCAAATAGGAGGAGAGGGAGTCAAATTATCTCTCTTGCAAATGACATGATTTAGAAAACCTCATCATCTCAGCCCAAAAACTCCTTAGGCTGATAAGCAACTTCAGCGAAGTCTCAGGATATAAAATGAATGTGCAAAAATTGCAAGCATTCCTATACAACAGTAAAACAGAGAACCAAATCATGAGCAAATTCCCGTTCACAATTGCTACAAAGAGAATAAAATACCTAGGAATACAATTTACAAGGGATATGGACGACTTCTACAAATTATTTTTTATAATAATTTCAATTTTTATTTTAGATTTAGTGGGTATATATGCAGGTTTGTTACATGGGTTTATTACATAATGCTGAGGTTTGGGAATGATTGTGGATACGTATTCTTTCTCAGATATTATTTCCAAATATTTTCTTCTAGTCCATGGCTTGTCTTTTCATTCTCTTAACAATGTATTTTACAGAGGAAAGGTTTTTGATTTTGATGAAGTCCAATTTATCAATATTTTTATTAATGAGCTGTGCTTTTGGTGACTTCTCTATGAATAACTTAACCCAGGGTCACAAAAATTTTACCTTGCTTTCCCCCAGAAGTTTTAAAGCTTTAAGTTTTACATATATCTTTGACCAATTTTGAATTAATTTTTATATATATTACAAGATACAGGTCTTTTTTTTTTAATATGTGGATATTGAATTTATTCAGCACAATGTTAAAAAGGCAATTCCCGGCCGGGCGCGGTGGCTCACGCCTGTAATCCCAGCACTTTGGGAGGTCGAGACGGGCGGATCACGAGGTCAGGAGATCGAGACCATCCTGGCTAACACGGTGAAACCCTGTCTCTACTAAAAATACAAAAATTAGCCGGGCATGGTGGCACGCGCCTGTAGTCCCAGCTACACGGGAGGCTGAGGCAGGAGAATGGCGTGAACCTGGGAGGCGGAGCTTGCAGTGAGTCAAGATCGCGCCACTGCACTCCAGCCTGGGCGACAGAGCGAAACTCCGTCTCAAAAAAAAAAAAAAAAAAAAAAAGGCAATTCCTTCTTTCTGGGGTTTTATCTTACATCTGTAGAAAATCAATTTACCATGTTTTTGATGGTCTGTTTCTAGATTACTTTCTTCCATTGATTTATATATTCTTTTGCAGATACCACAGCTTTGTAGTAAGCCTGAAGTCAGGTGGTGTAAATCTTACAAATTTGTACTTCTTTTAAAAAATTGTGACTATTTTATTTGCTTCACTTTTCCATACACCTTTTAAAATCAGCTTGTCAATATATACAAAAAATCCTGCTAAGATTTTGATTGAAATTGCAATGAATCTGTACTGTAGACCACTGGGGGAGAATTTATATCCTAACAATATTGAATCTTCTAATCCCTGAACATGGTATATGGTTTCATTTATTGAGGTCTCTTATGATTTCCTTCATCAGTGTTTTACAGTTTTCGGCATATAAGTCTTGCAAATATTTTTCTATATTTGTATCAAAGTATTTCTTATCTGTGGTGCTATCTTAAGTGGCTGTGACATTTATCACCATAGCTCAGGTGATTTTTTTTTTAGCTTTTACTCCTCAGTGGTGAGGACATTGTCTAGTATGGACTAAGAACTCAGTAAATATTTGTTGACTACTGGCCTTAATGTTAGAAAATTTGAGTTCTATTCCAGGCTCTACTCTACTCATTGTGATATCTTAGGTAAGACACACAACTTCCCTGAGCCTTATTTTACCCATCTGAAAATAGTGCAGTGGGTCTAGATGATGTCTAAGATTATTTGACGCCTACTTATTCTGTGAGTCTATAACTGAGCCAATATGACATAAGTTGCCAAAAGCATATCTTCTTCCCTTCTTATTTGGAATGACTGATCTGAGACAGAAGAATTAGCAGAAGATGAGGGTGGGGTAAAGGGAAAACTTACCAAAGTTTTTCTTAACCCATTCCATAATTTAGCTGAATTGAATACTCTTAGCATTAAATGTTCAAAATTTTAAAAATGTGTGTTTATTGGGATTAGTGGGTTGAAATAGAAAGAGTAGAGAGTCATGATAACACCTGCTTATTTTCTTCTTCATCTCACAATTCTTGGAGAATAATTTAGGGTGACATATTCTCATAGTCTGGGCATTCTCCAAGATGTACATGACTGGTGTTAAATGATCTGATAGTGATTACTTCTAGGTTATAAAGTTGATTATGCATGATAATCTTTATATCTAAAAGAGTCAGGTTGGTCTCATGGGCTCATGCAAAGTAGAAAGTTGTGGCAAACATAATTTTAATGACCTTCTCTCCTCTGTCTTCCATCTAAACTAGTACCTATTTTATTACTCACTGGTGACTCATTGTCTCAGGTTGTTACAGCAGAAGAAGGGACTTAATTTTCATTGGCTATTTATTCCTAAGAATATGTCAGAGAAGTGGTGGCCTAATTATTGTGGGCTTAAATATTTAACCTTACTTAAGGGGAGAAACAAGATTTGATAATATTGGAATTTAATCACTCTTGTGGGCTAGTCTCACTAGCCAGTACAAATAGTTATCTCTTTTTATTTAGTGAAATTATTGTGTCTTAAATTAGAGCTGAGTATAACTGTCACACTTCTCCAAAGTCAAAATAATCACAATATTTTCTAAGGAAAAAAATCTTTTTTTTAAAATTGTCATATTCACTACTAGTATTTCTTCTCTACTTCTTTAAGATTGCATATCTGCCATTCAGTGAAAACTGTTTTTGTAAAAGCTATCTGTAACTCCATTTTTGTTTTCCTTTACTCTTAGATGCCTCTGAGTCATTTAAAGTCAATGGCCACAATTTCCTTGGCATTTTCTCCTCCCTTGGCTTCCATAACATTTCTTGAAGTCATTTCTTTTACCTCTGTGGCTTTTTTTGTTACTTCTTTGCAAGTTTTGCCAGAACTGAAGAGGCCTTGCAATTGTGAAGAGAAAAATGCAGCAGTGAGTTGGAACTGACGACCAGAGAACAGTTGGGAGGGCAGTCATGCTGGATGTCAGCAGGGCAATGATGACAACCCCAACACCTTGGCACAATGTAGCCCTTCTGGGACTATGGGCACAAGTGAAACTGAAGTAGGGGGGAAGCCTGAATCAACTGAGATTAATTTTTCACACCTAGGGAAACGGGAACTCAAAATTAAAATTAAATTTAGTTGTGAAAATACAATTACGTTGTATCTTGGCAAATCTCAGATTATGCGCTAAGATCTATGTGTACCCCATATAGCATTTTTGAATAGCTCTCTCTTATCATTGAACCCTGATAATGTTATTAAGAGGAGTCAATTATGGTTGCTCTCCACTCAGTTAAGCGACTTTTCCAAAGTCCATAAAATTCAATACTAATAAGGCAGGAATTGGATATTAGAACCTCTGATCCACAATGCCATGACCTTTCCATTGGATCATACAGACTTAGGAGTTATCTTATTATTTAATAATTGCAGAAAAAAATGTAATGATCCATCATCAATGGCACCAATCTCAAGTCAGATCCAAAAAGAAAGATGTAGTCCTCTGTAGCAATGGAAACTATGCTTATATGAAATACTTTCAAGTCAAACCAGTTGACATAGCAATCAATAGAGCTGATTGCTCTTCAGTATATATTGAGTCATCCTACTTTGTCACTTTAGTGTTTAGAAAGAATGCTGTAGGTTTCAAAATAAAGAAATAGTATTTTAGAGTTGGATTTAGCCTCTTTTGCAGCTTCTTTCATTTCACAGGTAAGAGAACAGAGGTCCAGGAATGCTACAAATTTTTGCAAGGTAAGATGGTTAGTGATTAAATCAGAGCCAGGACTAGGGTTTAAGTTTCCTTCGCACTGTCTCACCTTTTCAAAAACTGAAATGATAGACTTATTTTTATTTTAGGGTATCTATACAGGCTGAGGAAGTACAAGACTTCTGCAAATTGGATTTACTGTGTCCCAAGCTTCCTGAGCTAGATGTTCCTCCCTGCATTCTGCTGTCCATTATCAGAGTATTTTAGTAAGCTTACTAGAGGGTATTTGTATTATTAAAGTAATAACCTTTCCTTGGAAAATATGAATATTTTTGACTTCTAAAAGTAGGGCTTATCTCAGAGTACTTGCTTAGGGTGTGGTGGGTGGTAAATGTATCTTCAGTCCATTAGCTACCAGCTTTCACAGTCATTTTAAAAAGTTTTCTTTAAGAGAGTTGAAGTTCATGCATTTTTTTTTTTTTTGCCAGACATATAAGGCATCCAGATCTTAATTCTTATTTTATTTTACTGTGGGATGGTCATGTAAATTGCTTTGTTTCCCATTTGCTTATTACTCTCTTTAATTTTTTTCTTTTCCTAGTGCTTTTGATTACTTTTTATCTCAATGGGATTATGTTTCCCTCTTTCTCCTCACACCAACCCCTATAACTTGGACAGCAAGTGTACTTCATTCCAAACATGGATACTGTCTTAATTCATCAACCATGTGGTCAATTAATTAGCCTAAATTCTTGAGCACCTGTTAAGTCTTGCTGAGTTGGCAGGTCCTTCTCCTTCCTTACTTTCATTTTATGCTTTGTCTTTTTGACGAGTCATCTGGTTCCAGTGATGAATCATGTGGTTTTGCTGCTTGTTAAGAGTGTTTTTAAGTGGAAATGTGAACCTATGGTATTTTTCTACACCATACAAAATATATTTAACCACATTTTGTCTATTTTTACTCAGCAATATACATAGTTTCTCATGAGTCAATGTTAATTACTGAAGTATTAGGGGGCTGGATTATAGCTATTACTGCTGAAACCCAGGCACTTGTCAACCCTAAATGAGACTACTACATTAGCTTCCTAACTGGTCGTCTTAAATCCTTTTTATGTCTGAGGATTACTTCTTCTCTGATCCTCCAAGTTTCTTATATTCCAGTATATTAAGACACTGAAAGGATAGAATTGTATGATTGTTCCCAAGAATGCTTCAGTGCCTTCTTTTCCCCATTCTACCGACATTAAATGCTCACACCTTTTTCACCTATTGGACATTAAATGCATGAAGTCTTGCTACTCCCTGCTATTTACATTGGCTTCCTAGAAGCACAGCCTGAGGCAGAAATCCAGGTGCACATGATTTATGGTAGAGGTGCTCTTAGAGGGAACCCATAAGTGAGTGAGGAAAGTAGGATGGTATATTAGTCCATTACCACTTTGCTGTAAAGAACTACCTGAGACTGGTAAATTATAAAGACAAGAGGTTTAATTGCTTCACAGTTCCACAGGCTGTACAGGAAGCATGGCTGGGGAGGCCTCAGGAAAGTTACAATCATGGCGGGAGGTGAAGGGGAAGCAGCACAATCTTCACATGGTGGACAGGAGAGAGAAAGTGAAAGGGGAAGTGCCACACACTTTAACAACCAGATTTTATGAGAACTCACTTACTATCACAGCAAGAGAACAGCAAGGGGGAAATCCGTCCCCATAATCCAATCACTTCCCACCAGGTCCCTCCCCCCAGCATTGGTAATTATAATTCCACATGAGATTTGGGTGGGGACACAGAACCAAACCATATCAGGTGGTAAAGGGGAAAGAGCCTAACAAGGTTTCTGTCTTAGGAAAAGTCACACCTTGACCTGACCCACTGGTGGTGGATGGCTGCCTCTAGAGCGCAAATCACACCACAAAACTTTCTTTCTATAAGACAAGGGGTCCAGTCTTTTGTACCCCAACATCAACTAGTTCTGACTATGGACTGACTTGGTGGTTGATTCATAAACTTCCCAGGCATGTGGCTCTCATCAATAGAGGACTATCTTTTTAACAAAGGGGTGTCAACTTAAAATAATCAAAAAGGTCAGAATCTAGCTTAAAGAGAGTTTGTTAAAGTACAGAGGTTGAGGATAGGATCACCTGGAAAGCACAGATTTCAAGGAATGGAAATCAGTGTTCTAAAGTGTAGATGTTTGGGATTGCTTATGCAGACAAAACTGAGGTAAGTTTCACAGAATTTCAGTATCTTTCTATGTAAGTCTTGATGCACAGTTGCAACTAGTGTGATTAATCAAGGTGGTCTTTGCCTTTTGGAAAAGGTATATTTAACGTTCCACATGGAAGATGTCATTGTCATGGAGTGTTGTGTGCCATCTTGTCTGAGTTAGATATAACACAAGGAAGGAGGCATTTATCAATGACAAAGATCAGTGATTGCAAAGGGGAAGGTCTGCTCTTTCCTTGTCATTTACAGAAGAAGAATAATGAGAAAGAAAGTTGAACCATAACCTAAGAAGCAGAATTGCAAACATGCTATGTGACTTAGTCTCCAGGGCTTAACTTCCCCTTTGACATAATAAATTTAGAGGGTCTTGAAGTTTTGTTTTCTTTTACAGGGGTATTTGTGAGCTCTTTGCAGCTAAAACTTAGAGCAGCTGGGACCCAGTAAATGTAACAGAGAGCGCCCCCAACAGCATCTAAAACATCAACTAAATTGGAATTTTTTACATCCTCTTTTGTGTTTTTACCCTATGTGATTATTGCTTGCTTCAACTATCATATGCCTCCTAAATTTTTGGAAAGTTGGAAGTATTCAGTGGCACCCAGAGCAGTTTATTCTTATGTTAATATAACTTCCAAAGGTTTCAACAGTAAGATCTTAGCTCAGATTTTAGAAAAAAATGCCTTTTATTGAGTTCTTCAGTTTGCAATGTGAATATAAATAAAAGCCAAGGTTTAAAATTTGTGACACTTGGGCTAAGAATATGAATAAGCAACCCACAGGAAGTAACAGAAATAGCCTAAAAGCATATGAAAAATTATTAGCTTCATGAATAATCAAAGTAATACAATTTTTAATAAAGGTTACAGCCACAAAATTGATAAATAGTATAAAAGATCCTAATATCCAGTGTTAGTATAAATGTGGAGAAATAAACCCTTTCGTGCATTGCTAACAGGTGTCTCAATTGGTGGTCTTTTTTGTGGGAGTGCCAACTTAGCAGTGTGCATCAAAGTGTATACTCTTCATTATAGTGATTTCACTTTCTGGAATTCAACCTAAAAAATAATTGAAAAGTACCCAAAGAAAACATTTTAATGACTAAAATACTTATTTTAGTATTGTTTATAAGAGTGGAAATTTGCAAACATTTTAAAATAAGCGATTAAGTAATCTGATATATTTATACACTAGAAATCTATTTAGCCTTTGAAATGATGTCAGTGAGTTTATTGACATAGAAAGATACTCAGAAAACATCAAGTTTAAAAATTAGGTTATTAAACAATAGGTAATTGCCTTCTATCATTTAAATAGGACTCCCTGGCACTATAGCAGGACAATGGACTGGGTAAAGGAAGAATATGAATATATATTAATAGCAATGATGTTACATTAGATAATTACTTAGCTTTTCTGAGAATCAGTTTTCTCAACTGCAAAACTTCAATACTATATAATTTGCAAAGATACAAGAATTGGAGAAAATGTACTTAAAATGCCTAGTGCAATGCTTGGTGCTTAGCAAACTTGTAGTAAGTGTGAAAAGCCATCATGAGCACCACTATCGCTACCACCACCTCTATGCCAGTATCAAACAGGAGGGTGGTACACTTATGGACAGAGCTATTTCAAGGTAATTATGGAATGGGGGCTACTCAGCACATATGCATTTTTACACATTTCGTATCAGGCTACATCAGAAATTCATGGAGTGTTCCTGCTGGAAGAGATCTTAAAATTCACCTGACTAATCCGCTAAAATTATAAATGAGACTCACAAAGTTTAGATTATTTGTACATGATTTGTCAGGGTCAGAGCCAGGAGCAAACTCAAACCTTAAGGTTCCTATCCTGCACTCTGCTACAAACATAGGTACTTTGCTCAGAAGAGAAAAGATGCTCCCAAAGATGCACACTGAGGAGTGCTCAGGGCACTGAAATTCTTTCTCTGCCCAATCCCTGAATTCTTCTGTCCTATGCACAATTGAGCGCCTACTGTTTTTATTTCTCCAGAATCCCCCCACCTCTTCTCTTTGTTCTTTGGTAAACTGTTCCTTTCTCTCTAATCCTGGAGGGGCCACCAATAATAGTATTCTGCAGCTCCTGGCCACAGAGTGTGGGGCATGTACTAAGCCTGGCCATTCATAGCATCTGTTTTCCTTTGTCACAGCCTTAAGGCTTAGTCACACTAAGAATTGGGTCATTAAGAATCCTTCCTTGTCATTCCCAAGTCTTGCCATCCCTGTCTACTGCATGAATGGCCTTCTCAGTTTTGTGAACCAAATTATCTGTCTCTCTCTGTTCTTAAACTACTTTGAGCTGAGGTTTTACCATTGTGAAACCACTAGCTGCCATCTACACTGCCAGCACATCACATTTAGTCCCTTCTCTGTTCTCAGTTATTAGCCAAGGCACAGGAGGTATCTTGAATCCCTCGTTCACCTCCTGTCCTTGTCGTTTGGCTACTCATGCTTTATTGAGATGAGCTATTTGGAGGGGAGACTGGAAATCTATTAGAGGAGTTATCTTTGATTTTCATCTTTTCCTCTCACCAACACTTCTTCCATTTCAAACAGGTAGAGATTTTAGGGGTTAATTAATTTAGCTCCATTATTTTATCAATGATAAATCATGTTTTTAGAGGTGTTTACTAAGGTTAGAGGCAGATAATGACTCAAGGGCCACCTTTACTGTGTTGTCCAAGAGTCTTTTCACTACTGTATCCTTTATCCTTTCGTTCCTTGCTTTATGAAGGACAGGTCCCTATCCTCCAACCTCAATGGAGTCATCCCCTCTCCTGGAATCTTGTGGAAAGATCACTGCTGCCTTGGTTTTAGTTAGTGAAGGAAGAATTCACACCATGTTTACAAAATAGACCAATACCCCTACATTCATATATTTAACCTATTTACATAAACTACAAATTCTGTAAAACTAATTTGAATGAGTGTGGGATATTTCACAAAGTCTGTATTAGTTTCATTTGTCAGTTTATCAAAAAACACTCAAAGAATAGAATATTTTTAGTATTTTTATGATTCTAAAAGTAAAAATGAACCAAGAATTAACCATCTCCCTCAATTTCCAAAGGGCTATTACTTTCTGAATATTCCACCTTTTAGTTCCAATGTAAACATTAATATTACAATGAATCTTTTTCTCTTACAAAGGGTCTGCTTATCAACTGCAACCAATAACACAGATTACAGACCTGAAAAAGATATTGTTAAAATAACAAGTTAATTTGTTAGCAACATTAAAAGATTTCAAATCCACCACAAAATCTTTGTTGGGAAGTAAATTGGGATGGGCCTCATTCTTGCAGCACACATTGTAATATATTTTGACATCAAGAGCAGATTAATTTTCCACTTAAACCTGGGGAGCAGTGAACAAAGTTATTTATCCTTTCCTGTCATCCTCAGAAATAAATGGTCCTCTTATTCACATTGTTTCATGTATAAACTTCCCACATCATCAACTCTGTCTAATCTCATTCTTTTTGTAACGTCCTTTTCGTTTCTTGCTTTATGAAGGACAGGTCCAATAAAAGAACTCTGGTGGTATAGTCAGTATCTTAATCTGTTTTCTGCTGCTATAACAGAATACCACAGAGTGAGTAATATATAAAAAAAAAAGAGGTTTATTTGGCTTATAGTTCTAGAGGCTGAGAAGTCCAAGATCAAGGGACTGCTTTGTTAAGGGCCTCCTTGCTGTGTAGTAACATGGCAGAAGGCCAAACTTATCCTTTTATCAGGAGCCCATTTTTATAATAACTCACCTACCTCCAAGATAGTGGCATTAATTTATTCATGTGGGTGGAGCCTTCATGGCCTAATCACCTCTTAAAGGTCCCACCTCTTAATAGTGTTACAGTGGCAATTTAGTTTCTAATACATGAACTTTTGGGGGACACATTCAAACTATTGCAGTCAGGGAGGGACCTAATCATCTTTTTTGTTAGAAAGTCTATGTGAGCAAGAAAGGCAAATCCTCTGAAGTCTTCATGTGAATTACCTGGAAATTCCTGAGGGAGGGAACAAACAACAAAATGTTACACTTTTTTCTAATAAAAGCCTTTAGTTCTTAATCTCTGGAAAGGACAAAAATCGTATCTTAGATGTTCAGTTACAAACAACTTAGAAGACCAGGCTTTCTATATTTTGGGAAGATGCAGCTTTATAAGCTTGGAATATGGAAATCTAGACTGTCCTTTGATGCATATTAACTGCATGACACAGGATGAACTAATACGTCAGGTCTTTAGATTGCACTCCCTCAAAGTACCTTGTAGTATCTCATGACTATTCTAATAATGAATTGGGACTATGGAAGCCTGTCAGAGGCATGTCTGTGGATGTACATACTATACAGAGCAAGTAGGCTCAATAATCTTTCTATGTGGTTAGCTCATTTCCACCTCCTCCATGTATTCCCATAGAGGAATAAGGACTCATCAGGACTCTGCTAAGTACCTGCAAAACGATTTATGTGTGTTTTTTAGAGACCATTCTACTATAGTCTTGATATTTAATTGGAAAGATTACTCCTTTCTGAGTCATTCTTGCTGATTTCAAACAGTGGCATTTTCAGATTTTATCCCTTGAAACACCATTAACAAATGTTCCTCATTAAAAAAAAATCTGTAATGAAATAGATTTCACAGACCCCATATCCTGTGATTGCCTTGGCAATTCACGTTATTCTTTAGATACTAGAAGGTAACTGAAGTTCTGCTGGCGAGATCCCTGTTTAATTTCATTTAAAATAGCATAGTAGGCAAAAGAGTTCCCAAAGGTACCTATGTTCTAATCCTCAGAACCTGTGAATATGCTATGTTACATGACAAGGCAACTAAGTTGCCGATAGAATTAAGGTTACTAATCAGCTGACCTTGAGGTGGAGAGATTATCCTGGATTATTTGGGTGGAGGCAATGTAATCACAAGAGTCTTTAAAAGCAGAAGAAGGAAGCAGAAGAGTCAGTTTTAGAGCTGGACAGAAATAAACTTGACTGGCTGTTGCTGACTTTGAAGACAGAAAGAGAAGTTCTCTATAGGCTGAAAAAGGCAAGAAAATGATTCCTCCCTAGATGCCTTCAGAAAAGATGCAGCCCTTCTGACATCTTTATTTTTTTATTTTTATTTTTTTTCAGTTTTGGTATCTTTTTAATTTTTTTTATTATACTTTAAGTTCTAGGGTATACATGTGCACAATGTGCAGATTTGTTACATATGTATACATGTGCCACGTTGGTGCGCTGCCCCCATGAACTTGTCATTAACCTTGGGTGTTTCTCCTAATGCTATCCCTCCTCCCTCCCCCACCCCACAACAGGCCCTGGTGTGTGATGTTCCCCTCCCTGGGTCCAAGTGTTCTCATTGTTCAATTCCCACCTATGAGTGAGAATATGCAGTGTTTGGTTTTCTGTCCTTGTGATAGTTTGCTGAGAATGATGGTTTCCACCTTCATCCATGTCCCTCCAAAGGACATGAACTCATCCTTTTTTATGGCTGCATAGTATTCCATGGTGTATATGTGCCACATTTTCTTAATCCAGTCTATCATTGTTGGACATTTGGGTTGGTTCCAAGTCTTTGCTATTGTGAATAGTGCCACAATAAACATATGTGTGCATATGTCTTCATAATAGCATGATTTATAATCCTTTGGGTATATACCTAGTAATGGGATCACTGGGATGAATGGTATTTCTAGTTCTAGATCCCTTAGGAATCGCCACACTGACTTCCACAATGGTTGAACTAGTTTACAGTCCCACCAACAGTGTAAAAGTGTTCCGATTTCTCCACATCCTCCCCGGCACCTGTTGTTTCCTGACTTTTTCATGATCGCCATTCTAACTGGTGAGATGGTATCTCATTGTGGTTTTGATTTGAATTTCTCTGATGGCCAGTGATGATGAGCATTTTTTCATGTGTCTTTTGGCTGCATAAATGTCTTCTTTTGAGAAGTGTCTGTTCATATCCTTTGCCCACTTTTTGATGGGGTTGTTTGATTTTTTTCTTGTACATTTGTTTAAGTTCTTTGTAGATTCTGGATATTAGCCCTTTGTCAGATAGGTAGATTGCAAAAATTTTCTCCCATTTTGTAGGTCGCCTGTTCACTCTGACGGTAGTTTCTTTTGCTGTGCGGAAGCTCTTTAGTTTCATTAGATCCCATTTGTCTATTTTGGCTTTCGTTACCATTGCTTTTGGTGTTTTAGTCATGAAGTCCTTGCCCATGCCTATGTCCTGAATGGTATTGCCTAGGTTTCCTTGTAGGGTTTTTATGGTTTTAGGTCTAACATTTAAGTCTCTAATCCATCTTGAATTGATTTTTGTATAAGTTGTAAGGAAGGGATCCATTTTCAGCTTTCTCCATATGGCTAGCCAGTTTTCCCAGCACCATTTATTAAATAGGGAATCCTTTCCCCATTTCTTGTTTTTGTCAGGTTTGTCAAAGATAAGATGGTTGTAGATGTATAGTGTTATTTCTGAGGCCTCTGTTCTGTTCTGTTTGTCTATGTATCTGCTTTGGTACCAGTACCATGCTGTTTTGGTTACTGTAGCCTTGTAATATAGTTTGAAGTCAGGTAGCGTGATGCCTCCAGCTTTGTTCTTTTTGCTTAGGATTGTCTTGGCAACTCGGGCTATTTTTTGGTTCCATATGAACTTTAAAATAGTTTTTTTTTCCAATTCTGTGAAGAAAGTCATTGGTAGCTTGATGGGGATGGCATTGAATCTATAAATTAACTTGGGCTGTATGGCCATTTTCATGATGTTGATTCTTCCTATCCATGAGCATGGAATGTTCTTCCATTTGTTTGTGTCCTCTTTTATTTCGCTGAGCAGTGGTTTGTAGTTCTCCTTGAAGAGGTCCTTCACATCCCTTTTAAGTTGGATTCCTAGGTATTTTATTCTCTTTGAAGCCATTGTGAATGGGAGTTCACTCATGATTTGGCTCTCTGTTTGTCTGTTATTGGTGTATAAGAATGCTTGTGATTTTTGCACATTGATTTTGTATCCTGAGACTTTGCTGAAGCTGCTTATCAGCTTAAGGAGATTTGGGACTGAGGTGATGGGGTTTTCTAAATATACAATCATGTCATCTGCAAACAGGGACAATCTGTCTTCCTCTTTTCCTAAATTGAATACCTTTATTTCTTTCTCTTACCTGATTGTCCTGGCCAGAACTTCCAACACTATGTTGAATAGGAGTGCTGAGAGAGGGCATCCCTGTCTTGTTCCAGTTTTCAAAGGGAGTGCTTCCAGTTTTTGCCCATTCAGTTTGATATTGGCTGTGAGACAAAGAAGGCCTTTACATAATAGTAAAGGGATCAACTCAACACGAAGAGTTAACTATCCTAAATATATATGCACCCAATACAGGAGCACCCAGATTCATAAAGCAAGTCCTTAGAGACTTACAAAGAGACTTAGACTCCCACACAATAATAATGGGAGACTTTAATACCCTACTGTCAATATTAGACAGGTCAATGAGACAGAAGATTAAAAAGGATATGCAGGACTTGAACTCAGCTCTGCACCAAGCGGACCTAATAGACATCTACAGAACACTCCACCCCAAATCAACAGAATATACATTCTTCTCAGCACCACATCACACTTACTCCAAAATTGGCCACATAGTTGGAAGTAAAGCACTCCTCAGTAAATGAAAAAGAACAGAAATCACAACAAACTGTCTCTCAGACCACAGTGCAATCAAATTAGAACTCAGGATTAAGAAACCCACTCAAAACCACACAACCACATGGAAACTGAACAACCTGCTCCTGAATGACCACTGGGTAAATAATGAAATGAAGGTGGAAATAAAGATGTTCTTTGAAACCAATGAGAACAAAGACACAGTGTACCAGAATGTCTGGGACACATTTAAAGCAGTGTGTAGAGGGAAATTTATAGCACTAAATGCCCACAAGAGAAAGCAGGAAAGAACTAACATTGACACCCTAACATCACAATTAAAAGAACTAGAGAAGTTAGAACAAACAAATTTAAAAGCTAGCAGAAGACAAGAAATAACTAAGATCAGAGCAGAACTGAAGGAGATAGAGACACAAACAACCCTTCAAAAAAATCAATGAATCCAGGAGCTGGTTTTTTTGAAAAGGTGAACAAAATAGATAGGCTGCTAGCAAGACTAATAAAGAAGGAAAGAGAGAAGAATCAAATAGACACAATAAAAAATGATAAAGGGGATATCACCACCAATCCCACAGAAATACAAACTACCGTCAGAGAATACTATAAACACTTCTATGCAAATAAACTAGAAAATCTAGAAGAAATGGATAAATTCCTGGACACATAACCCTCCCAAGACTAAACCAGGAAGAAGTTGAATCCGTGAATAAACCAATAACCGGCTCTGAAATTGAGGCAATAATTAATAGCCCACGAACCAAAAAAAGTCCAGGACCAGACGAATTCATAGCCGAATGCTACCAGAGGTACAAAGAGGAGCTGGTATCATTCCTTCTGAAACTATTCCAATCAATAGAAAAAGAGGGAATCCTCCCTAACTCATTTTATGAGGCCAGCATCATCCTGATACCAAAGCCTGGCAGAGACACAACAAAAAAGAATTTTAGACCAATATCCCTGATGAACATCGATGAGAAAATCCTTAATAAAATACTGCCAAACTGAATCCAGCAGCACATCAAAAAGCTTATTCACCACGATCAAGTTGGCTTCATCCGTGGGATACAAGTCTGGTTCAACATATGCAAATCAATAAACGTAATCCATCACATAAAGACAACCAAAGACAAAAACTACATGATTATCTCAATAGATGCAGAAAATGCCTTTGACAAAATTCAACAGCCTTCATGCTAAAAACTCTCAATAAATTAGGTATTGATGGGACGTATCTCAAAATAATAAGAGCTATTTAAGATATCTTTATTTTTAACTCAGAGCAACTCGATTCTGACTTCTGACCATGAGAACTGTAAAATAATAAATTTGTGTTGTTTTAAGCCATCAAGGTTGTAGTAATTTGTTACAGTAGCCATACGACATTAATATACACAATATTTTTGAAAAGTTATGTGACATAACTTTTGGAAAATGTTGGAAAATCATTTTCTTGCCTTTTTGAGCTTATAGAGACCTCTTCCTAGTATCTAGTAGGTGATACTATCACCACTAGTGGCCATAATTTCCCCTTCTAGTGTCTCCTATATCTAGTGTCCTGGAGGACATTTGAGGAGAATGCTGATCTCAACCCACCTTTCTTCTCTAAATTATCACTATCCAATAGAACTTTCTGCAGTGATGAAAGTGTTCTATATGTATGTTGTCCAATATGGTAACCACTAGCTACAGGTAGCACTGAGCACTTGCAATGTGGCTGGTGCAACTGAGGAATGAAAATTTAAATTTTACTTCATATTACTTTAAGTTTGAATGGCTACATGTGGCTAGTGGTTACTGTAAAGGACAGCAGAGCTTTAGATCAAAGTTTCCAAATTCAGTTGCCTACAGGAGCTCCGTAGGACATGAAAATATGAGAAGTAGATGAAAGGTAAACAAGTCAGCAGTGAAAGAGTTATGATAAATGGTACTGACTCTTAGACTTCAGTGTTTCAGAGACTATAAAGAATAGTGGAGAATGTGAGGAGAGGTGTTTACAGGATATGCCTTAGCTACAAGGTGTAGAGCTACTCTGCTCCAGCGTCTTATTTCAATGAGAAAACACTTAGTATAATCAGAGCTCATATTTCAAAAGAAGCTAGAAATTTGGATTTTTAGCTCAATTACTCTGTTCAAAGTTTCAGACAAAAGCAAGCATAGCTATGGGGCACATCCACCTTTAGACTTCTGGTTTAGAATTCCCAAACAAGAATAATGCAGAAATTTTTCCTTTATTTTGATTCTGAAGTCCTGGTCTAAGGGATAGCATTCAAGGTAGAGCTGTTGATGGTTGCATAGACTGGCATTGCACAAGAGCACCCATCATGAGTCACCATTCACATTGCACACAAAAGGTGTTTATATTTACCAGACAATTTTTTGACAGATAGCAGTAAAGTGTTTCACTCTAAGAAAGCCAGCTTGTTTTGACGATTTTCCAATGGATGGAAGTAAATTGCCTTGAAGAAAGGAAGTGTTTTGTTTGTTTGTCTTTTAATTTGCACAGTTGCGGTGTGGGCTAGTGGCAACTTTGATGAAAATAAATGTGAGTTCAAAGAAGAATATCTAGGAAGGCTGCAAATCAGATAATATACAGCTTAAAAGCTGGGCTTTAGTAGTACAAATGAACCCATTGTTTTGAAACTGCTGAGCTGACTTTTTTCTTATACACTTATTAAAAGAAAAGATCTGTATCTTTTCTCAAAGGGTACCAGATCACTTATAGATACTACGCTGGGAATTCTTGCTCTGTCCTTCTTCCGAGAGAGTACTCAATTTTCATATCACTACTATTCATTGAAATGGCTTATTTAATTGATTTATCTTTATAGTCCAAGTGCCTGCTAATGCAGAGACCTCATATAGAATCTGCTCAATAGATCCTTGTTGAAGAAATATTCTTTCATATTTACCTCTTGCCCATTACAAGTTTTCCTTTCCTTTCTAGCTCTATCTGTTTTGTTTTGTTTTTCAACTCTATCTTTGCCTCTCTCCATCACTGTTTGCCTTGGACTCTTTCTCACTTTCCTTCTGCCTTCATCTTTATATCTCCGGTCTCCTCATTCCTCCTCTTACATTGTGCCTTCATCATCCACTGAACTGCTTTCATCTCCCTTTCATTTTTTCTTTTTTCTCTCTCACTTAACTCTGCTTCACTAATTTCTAGCTCTGTTGGTCTTTGATTGCTTGTTTCCTCCAAGCAGGGATTTAGAATCCACAAAATTGACATAGCAAAAGATGTGACACATCAGCCTTAATTTTCCAATTGTTTCTTTATCAGACATTTTCAGACTTTTCCTCTTTCCAAGGGATAATGCCAGGTTGGAGAAGTGAGTGGCAGCTGCTTCCAACTATGAAACTCTTTCTTAAAAGCATCAGCGTAAGGCCATTTGTAAAGTCATTGACCTTTTGCAGCAGGAGCCCCTGGTGGCAGCTTCCCTTTTCTCATTCCTTTTTTAAAAAAAATCTTAGAAAATACATTGGTAGCATCAAAGGGGAATTTCCTGCTTTAAATGAGACTCAAACACCTGCTTATTTCAGTTTCCATGGAGCTGGCTCCTCTTAGTCCAGAAGAGGTAGAGAGCCAAGCATTCAGGGAGATGAGTCTGGCTCTACCAACACACCAGCACCATGGGAGAAGACGGCTGAGCTGAGGAGGTGAAAATGAAGACAGAACATTGGCTGGGCCTTGTATTCTTTCAGCCTTGCTTTCAGATGCTCAGCTGTGAAGAAACTGAGCTTTTGTCTTACCTGACACAAAGTACTTTGCTTTAAATCATTCTTCACTGGGTCACAAGAGCCAGTAACAGGCGTTCAAACGAAAGGCTTACTTGGTTTCTCTAAGGGCTGTTTGATATTTTAGAGGGATTTTTGTAGAGGCAAAATTTTTCCAGTTTCAATTCAGTATGCATGATCCTGGCATCAGATTTACATATAGTAAACCTACATATTTATACCTGGTAGAACCTCCTAGTTCTGCTGAGTCCCCTTTCTCTCTTGAAGTAAGTGGAAATCAGCTAGTCATAGCAACTGAATTCAGAAGGAAGTTTGTTTGCATGGTGTGGGTACACTAAAGTCTTGCTTTTCCATAAATGACAAAAGGAATCAGTTCATGAACCAGCAATGAGACGTCTTATTTAAATTGTGACTGAGTTCAGCAAGAATCTTCCAGTTGGCCACCTCCTCATGTATGTTTCAATGATTTCCTTATAACCAGTCAAAATGACTTTTTTCCTTAGTTAATTAGTAGTCTTGCCTTGACATACATTTGATTGAGCAAACCTGGTGATTCAGAGAGTAAATGCATGTGCTGTCTTTTGGCCTTGCTTTTTTATTCTCTTGAATTTGCCACACTTCTTCCTGCCACTGGAGCTTTGAACAGGTTATTTATTATTCGTGGACTGCTCCCTCTTATCTTCTACTGCTTAATCTCTGTTCATCTCTTAGGTCCTCTCAGGTACTACTCCCTCAGAGAAACTTTCACTGACTTCCTGACTATTATTTATAATAAGCCTTCTAAATCTAGGATTTCACATGATATGTATTCTTTATGTATTTTTCCTTTATACAATTTAATATTACTTTCTGTGATTATTTGATTAATGTCTGTCTTTCTTGCCAGAGTACATGCTGCACAAGTACAGGGGCTGGGTTTACTCATTCTGCTTCTGTAGTGTTTGGTGCTGAGCTTAGCTTGGTGAACACTCAGTACATGTTTTTTGAGTGAATGGATGGACTACAGGCCTAGAGCACTGCAATGCTATTACAATGAATCAGTTTAGCCACTAGAAGAAAGACTTAAAAGACAGAAGAATGGATCAAGGCTCATCTGAGAATAAATCAAGGATAATCTGACTACGTCCAAGGCTTCCTGTATTCTACATGCAAGTGCTAGTAAGTGCAAGTAAAATCTATTATTGCTTGCAGTGAGGGTATGATGGAAAATCACAATGAGATAGGAAAATATTCATAATCCGGGGTCAAGTATCCAGGGGAAAACAAAAGTGCCCAATAATTGTGACCCCAAAGCTTCATTCTAATCAGACTGTTCGTATAATACAGTATTAGCCTGAAAAGAAATTTCCCTCAGTTCTTAAAATAGTTCTTAACTATTTTCTGAGTCTGGTTTTTCTGTCTTCCCATTAGCTGTGTACTCTCTTCCTAATAACTTTCCTGATAATCTTCTAACAAATTATTTATCAAATCCTAATGCTTGCAAACAAGATATCTTGGACTTTTATATGAAATGGGAGACAAAATGTCAGGAAAAGGCTCTCTCTAATGAACCCCTTGAACAAAAACCAAGCAACCCAAATCTAGTATCCTACAATGGCCACAGGTGGGAAAGTGTGGATTCTCTTGGCAGATCAAGTGAAGTCTTGGCAAGAAGAAATGCCAGAAGAAGCACCTTGGGGGGCAAGGTTTCCTCCGTGGCATGTCAATTCTTTTGGAGATAAGTCTTCATGAGATCTGTCTCTCTGACCACCAGACTGACTGTTGGAGCCTAAACACTCTTGGTTCAGAGTTGTAAGGGATAATCTAATTTAGTAATTTTCAACTGAGGCAATTATCCTTCTCCCTGCTCCCCGGAGACATTTGGCAATGTCTGGAGATATTGTTGATGTCACAACGGGGGAAGAGGGTTGCCACTGGCAATACACAGGACAGCACACAATCAGGACTTATTCACCAAAATGTTAGTATATTGAGAAACTCTTATCTAAATAATTGTGCCTGAAACTATCTTTCTTCTTAGTAAGATCTTGGATTGGAAAGCCTACACTTAGAGTTTTGTTTGATCATTTTTAAAGAAAAATGTTAATTTAACATTTGAGGTAGTATCTGGAACTGCATTGTCTGATAGACACGTATTGCTGTGGAGCACTTGAAATATGACTAGTTTAAATTGAGATGTAATGCATGTGTAAAATACACTCTGGGTTTCTTAGCATAAAAATAATGTAAAATACTCATTAGCAATTATAAAATATTGATAACATGTTGATATTATAATTTTGAAATATCAAAATAAATAAATAATTCAAATTAATTTCACATGTTAAAAAAACTGTAATGTGGTTACTAGAAAATTTAAAATCACATATGTGGCTCACATTATATTTCCATTGGATAGCTTTGGCCTAGAAAAGGAGAAAATGGTGAGTTAGAGATTTTGGGCATAAAATATTCTGCTCATACTGAAAAGAGCAAGAGCTGAAGGAGTCTATCATTTATTCTTGAATTTCTTTGTCCAATAGACATTTTTGAACATATGCTATGTGCTGATCATTGGGTTTATTAAAGATAAGTATCTTTTCCTTTGTGAAGAACTCATAGTCTATTGAAGAAGTCAGAGTTAAAAAAGGGGTTGCAGAAAAAAAAAAGTGTGTATAGGTGTGTATCAAGAAAAGGTAATTAGCTACTTGGATGAGTCTGGGAACATGCCCACAGAGAAGGGTGTTGAAGTTGGACTGGAATCTATCTCTCCATTCTTTGAGTATGATCTTATCATTTCCTCCTCTTCGGCTTACCATCTGGAATGTGGTCTTCACTTCTCCCTGTCAACTAACATCGTGCCTATGTTGGGCTAAATGACTGAACCATATCTGGACCACTGTAGTCCAAAGTGATTATTATATTGAACTTCTTTGAGGTCTTGACTTGTTGACTTCAATAGGTACTTATTAACATAGTTCTTGCCAAGACTCTCCTGTTATATTGTAAAGTACATGAAGTACTGAAACAAAATTACACAAATATATTTGGTGAAGGCAAGAAAGACCATTTCTAGAAGGTTTCATTCCATTAACTCTTACTTGTAATTCATTCTTGAATTTACAGGAAAATACAGTAATACACAGTCAGTGTATAGATTTCTGCACTAAATGATCCCACTGTGTACTCTCTCTCCTGTATTCCCCTTGCAATTTTCCACATTTCCTTTGACTGCATATGCCCTGTTTAGCCTTTAGGTCTCAGCCATATCCTCCAGTAAGCCTTTTTTGACCACTGCTACCTTAAAGGATTATGTACTTTTTCTCCCAAAGTACATAATCTTCTGAGAGAGTGCTTCTCATATTTTACACTAATGTTCATTTGATTTTCATCTTCTTCATTGGACTGTGAGTTTTAAGCAGCACTGTCCGTGTCTGATTTGTTTTTCTTTATATTCTTAGCATCCAGCCCCAAGTCTGACACTTGGTATGTTTTCTGCTCCAGGAGCAGACACCAGGGTGAGGAAATGTGTGTAGATGACTTCCCAAGAAAGTGTTTGCAGGGGAAAGAGAGTTGGGGGAGCAGGAAAGGCAGGGGAAGGAAGCCAAGCAGAGGTGCAATTTCAGCTCATGTCCCAGCCTCACCCTGATCCCATTGAGAGCTCTGGAGTCTTATACCCCTGAGTTGCTCCCAGTTGAAGTCAAGGGATTTAGCAATCCACTGCTCAATCATTAGAACTGAGCCATTCCTGGGAGAAATAAACTCTTACACCTTGCAGGAAAAGCAGGTAAAGTGGCTCTGGTAAGCACAGTGAAGTTTTCTGAAGAGGGTAGCAGGGGCAAGACATAAAAATCAAACACACAGTTGTTGGAAGAAGTCTGCACAGAAACTGTGAAGGGAATCTGAAAGATCCAGCAGCAGCAGAGACAGTGTCCACTACATAGTAAATGATAAATAAATATTTGTTGTATGAATAATCTAAAAATTCTCTATCAGATTGACTGGCAGCAGCAAAGTTAATCTAAGTAGTTATGTAGGTATTCATGCATAATATAATTGACAAAACTGGCAAATATGAAATTGTACCTTGGCAATTTTGGAATTAAAAAATTTTCTGTTATATTTTATGGAATGTGTGATCAGCAACTGATTAATCTACCTGAAAACAATTTTACAAAAAGTTTGGATAAACTAATTAGTTATAAATCCACAGTATGTTTTCCAGGGGAAAGTCAAGATCTTTCAAAGCATTTGTCCAATACTTTTAACTGATTTTAAAGAGAGAAGCTACAATACCTGTTTACAACTTTTCTTAATACTATAGTTATAGAAATATTTTGTTTGCTGAACCAGTAGCCTTACCTATTATGGCATTACTTACAGATACACCCGTTACAGACAAAAACACAGAATGGCAATACTCTTAATTGTGGTAATTGTAAAAGTAAGTGATATGGCAGTTTACTCTGACTGCAGAGCTGAATAGAAAAATCTGCTGTCTGAAATCTTTGATCAGTATTTTTTAATGATTATGGCAACCACAATGCTTCCCTTGAATTTATGAGGTTGTGTGGCACCTGGTAGAGGAATCATTATTTATTATAAAAACAGTTTAGTCTCACCAGGATGACTTATGACAGTGTTTATACTCCCAGAGTTTGCCTTTATACCAGAGTGCCTGGCAAAATATAAATAATGTGGTGTTTACTACAGAAAAAAGAAGAGAGTGATCAATGTAATGGAGATTACAGGATAAATGGTTTCAGATCAAATGTGTGATTCTTCCTATAGCAGGAATCTTATTTTTAATAGTTTTCAAAGATGTCAACATTGTGTGAGATTATTTACAGCTATAGTGGCTCTAACGTCTCATTTCATTTATTTTAGCAACATAGACTTCATTAGAAAAAATAAAATTCAATACAAGGATGAATTAAGGAGAATGTTATTTCATCTGGAAGAAACCCTTGATGTCACCTCAGATTTTGTCTTTATTATTTTGAATGAGAGCAGTACTGACTTCCTTGTTAATGAGTGAAAAAGCTATTTTATCAGAAGAGTGCTAGAGAAGACATAATAATAAACATATTTCTATTTTCTGGAATGTACTATTATTAACCTTGTTATAAAGAAAAATTGCCAATAATAAAAACGTTTACTCATTCCAGGTAAAAATTAATGTTACAGATCTATGTGATAAGACATTAAAATTTGTATATTTATTTTGATGGGGTCCTTCAATTAAAAAGACAAGAAATCACAGGTAATATGAAAGAGAATTACATATATAGAAAGGGAACTAGTAAATGTTAAAAATCAACTCAATCAAGGATATTGGTCTAAAATTCTCTTTTTTGGTTGTGTCTCTGCCCGGCTTTGGTATCAGGATGATGCTGGCCTCATAAAATGAGTTAGGGAGGATTCCCTCTTTTTCTGTTGATTGGAATAGTTTCAGAAGGAATGGTACCAGTTCCTTCTTGTACCTCTGGTAGAATTCGGCTGTGAATCCATCTGGTCCTGGACTCTTTTTGGTTGGTAAGCTATTGATTATTGCCACAATTTCAGCTCCTGTTATTGGTCTATTCAGAGATTCAACTTCTTCCTGGTTTAGTCTTGGGAGAGTGTATGTGTCGAGGAATTTATCCATTTCTTCTAGATTTTCCAGTTTATTTGCGTAGAGGTGTTTGTAGTATTCTCTGATGGTAGTTTGTATTTCTGTGGGATCGGTGGTGATATCCCCTTTATCATTTTTTATTGCGTCTATTTGATTCTTCTTTTTTTCTTTATTAGTCTTGCTAGTGGTCTATCAATTTTGTTGATCCTTTCAAAAAACCAGCTCCTGGATTCGTTAATTTTTTGAAGGGTTTTTTGTGTCTCTATTTCCTTCAGTTCTGCTCTGATTTTAGTTATTTCTTGCCTTCTGCTAGCTTTTGAATGTGTTTGCTCTTGCTTTTCTAGTTCTTTTAATTGTGATATTAGGGTGTCAATTTTGGATCTTTCCTGCTTTCTCTTGTGGGCATTTAATGCTATAAATTTCCCTCTACACACTGCTTTGAATGTGTCCCAGAGATTCTGGTATGTTGTGTCTTTGTTCTCATTGGTTTCAAAGAACATCTTTATTTCTGCCTTCATTTCATTATGTACCCAGTAGTCATTCAGGAGCAGGTTGTTCATTTTCCATGTAGTTGAGTGGTTTTGAGTGAGATTTTTAATCCCGAGTTCTAGTTTGATTGCACTGTGGTCTGAGAGATAGTTTGTTATAATTTCTGTTCTTTTACATTTGCTGAGGAGAGCTTTACTTCCAAGTATGTGGTCAATTTTGGAATAGGTGTGGTGTGGTGCTGAAAAAAATGTATATTCTGTTGATTTGGGGTGGAGAGTTCTGTAGATGTCTATTAGGTCCGCTTGGTGCAGAGCTGAGTTCAATTCCTGGGTATCCTTGTTGACTTTCTGTCTCGTTGATCTGTCTAATGTTGACAGTGGGGTTTTAAAGTCTCCCATTATTAATGTGTGGGAGTCTAAGTCTCTGAAAAGGCCTTTGACAAAATTCAACAACCCTTCAGGCTAAAAACTCTCAATAAATTATGTATTGATGGGACGTATCTCAAAATAATAAGAGCTATCTATGACAAACCCACAGCCAATATCATACTGAATGGGCAAAAACTGGAAGCATTCCCTTTGAAAACTGGAACAAGACAGGGATGCGCTCTCTCACCACTCCTATTCAACATAGTGTTGGAAGTTCTGGCAAGGGCAATCAGGCAGGAGAAGGAAATAAAGGATATTCAATTAGGAAAAGAGGAAGTCAAATTGTCCCTGTTTGCAGACGACATGATTGTCTATCGAGAAAACCCCATTGTCTCAGCCCAAAATCTCCTTAAGCTGATAAGCAACTTCAGCAAAGTCTCAGGATACAAAATCAATGTACAAAAATCACAAGCATTCTTATACACCAACAACAGACAAACAGAGCCAAATCATGAGTGAACTCCCATTCACAGTTGCTTCAAAGAGAATAAAATACCTAGGAATCCAACTTACAAGGGATGTGAAGGACCTCTTCAAGGAGAACTACAAACCACTGCTCAATGAAATAAAAGAGGATACAAATGAATGGAAGAACATTCCATGCTCATGGGCAGGAAGAATCAATATCGTGAAAATGGCCATACCGCCCAAGGTAATTTACAGATTCAATGCCATCCCCATCAAGCTACCAATGACTTTCTTCACAGAATTGGAAAAAACTACTTTAAAGTTCATATGGAACCAAAAAAGAGCCCGCATCGCCAAGTCAATCCTCAGCCAAAAGAACAAAGCTGGAGGCATGACGCTACCTGACTTCAAACTATACTACAAGGCTACAGTAACCAAAACAGCATGGTACTGGTACCAAAACAGAGATATAGATCAATGGAACAGAACAGAGCCCTCAGAAACAACGCCACATATCTACAACTATCTGACCTTTGACAAAGCTGAGAAAAACAAGCAATGGGGAAAGGATTCCCTATTTAATAAATGGTGCTGGGAAAACTGGCTAGCCATATGTAGAAAGCTGAAACTGGATCCCTTCCTTACACCTTATACAAAAATCAATTCAAGATGGATTAAAGACTTAAACGTTAGACCTAAAACCATAAAAACCGTAGAAGAAAACCTAGGCATTACCATTCAGGACATAGGCATGGGCAAGGACTTCATGTCTAAAACACCAAAAGCAATGGCAACAAAAGCCAAAATTGACAAATGGGATCTAATTAAACTAAAGAGCTTCTGCACAGCAAAAGAAACTACCATCAGAGTGAACAGGCAACCTACAAAATGGAAGAAAATTTTCGCAACCTACTCATCTGACAAAGGGCTAATATCCAGAATCTACAATGAACTCAAACAAATTTACAAGAAAAAAACAAACAACCCCATCAAAAAGTGGGCAAAGGACATGAACAGACACTTCTCAAAAGAAGACATTCATGCAGCCAAAAGACACATGAAAAAATGCTCACCATCACTGGCCATCAGAGAAATGCAAATCAAAACCACAATGAGATACCATCTCACACCAGTTAGAATGGCAGTCATTAAAAAGTCAGGAAACAACAGGTGCTAGAGAGGATGTGGAGAAAGAGGAACACTTTTGCACTGTTGGTGGGACTGTAAACTAGTTCAACCACTGTGGAAGTCAGTGTGGCGATTCCTCAGGGATCTAGAACTAGAAATACCATTTGACCCAGCCATCCCATTACTGGGTATATACCCAAAGGACTATAAATCATGCTGCTATAAAGACACATGCACACGTATGTTTATTGCGGCATTATTCACAATAGCAAAGACTTGCAACCAACCCAAATGTCCAACAATGATAGACTGGATTAAGAAAATGTGGCACATATACACCATGGAATACTATGCAGCCATAAAAAGTGATGAGTTCATGTCCTTTGTAGGGACATGGATGAAACTGGAAATCATCATTCTCAGTAAACTATCGCAAGAACAAAAAACCGAACACCGCATATTCTCACTCATAGGTGGGAATTGAACAATGAGAACACATGGACACAGGAAGGGGAACATCACACTCTGGGGACTGGTGTGGGGTTGGGGGAGGGGGGAGGAATAGCGTTGGGAGATATACCTAATGCTAGATGACGAGTTAGTGGGTGCAGTGCACCAGCATGGCACATATATACATATGTAACTAACCTGCACATTGTGCACATGTACCCTAAAACTTAAAGTATAATAATAATAATAATAATAAAAATAAACTCAATCAATCAACCAAACTCTAGGCTGAACACAGATAAAGAATTATAGAAACAGAAAAGAGTTCTGAGTGTTTCACTTTGAATGCAATAGAGAGAGGCAGATATCATGTATGAAAAAGCAGTTGAAAGATATAGAAAATAAATTGAGAACTTTCAACATAATGCCTGCTAGGATTTCTGAAGAGAATGAAGAGAGTTTTAGATAAATAAGATTTGAAGCACTAATGAAAGAACTGAAGACAGACACAAGGACTTAGGAAGAAACTCACTTGGTGGGCAGAGCAAGATGGTGGAATAGAGCACTCCGCTAGTCATCATCCTAGCAAGGATACCAATTTAACAACTAGTACAGAAAAAAAGCACCTTCAGAAGAACCAAAAATCAGGTGAACCCTCTTAATACCTGGTTTTAACATCATATCACTATAAGAAGCACTGAAGAAGAAATTAAAAGAAAAAACAGTCTTAAACTGCCAATGCCACCCCTCCTGCACCTCACAGCAGCTGTGGTAGGAAGAGCAGCTCTGGGCACTAGAAGAGGGAGAACACAGCAATTGTGAGGCATTGAACTCAGTGCTGTACTGTTAAAGCAGAAGGAAAAAATGGACCAAACTCAGCATATGCTCACCTGTGGAGGGAGCATTTAAGCCAGCCTTAGAATGAGGGGAACCATTAATCATAGCAGTCAGAACTAGAGTTCCTGCAAACCTCAGCACCATAGGCTAACTTTCTTTGGGTCTCTAAATAAACTTGAAAGGCAGTCTAGGACACAAGGATTGCAACTCTTAGATGAGTCCTAGTGCTAAACTGGGCCCAGAGACAGTGGACTGGGAGGATATGAAACCTACTGAGACACCACCTTGGGTGGCTTATTGAGCACTACCATCACCCCTTTCCTAACTCCAGGCTGCACAGCTTATGGCTGCACAAGAGATCCCTTCCTTCTGTTTGAGGAGAGTGGAAGGAAGAATGGGAAAGACTTTGTCTTGCATCTTGAACACCAGCTCAGCCACAGCAGGATAGAGCATTGGTTAGAGTCATGAGGCCCTTGTTCCAGGCCCTGTCTCCTGGACAACATTTCTAGATGCACCCTGGACCAGAAGTGAACCCACTGCCTTGAAGGGGAGGATCCAGTCCTGGCAACATTTATCACCTGCTAACCGAAAAGTCCTTGGGAGTACTTCAGTGAGAAAGAAAAGGACACTGTTGAGCAATAAGCAATCTCCTAAACATACAAAACTCATTGGTAATAGTGAGTACTCAGAAAAACACAGAATATCATAACACTATAACTGTGGTGTGTAAACTACTCTTATCCTAAGTAGAAAGACTAAATGATAAACCGGTAAAAGAAATAATAACTACAACAACTTTCCAAGACATAGTGCAATAAAATATAAGTAGAAATAATAAAAAGTTAAAAAGTAGGGGGGAACAAAGTTAAGGTGTAGACTTTTTATTAGTTTTCTTTTTGCATGTTTGTTTGTTTATACAAAAAGTCTTAAGTTGTTATCAGGTTAAAATGATGGGTTGAAAGATAGTATCTGCAAGCCTCGTAGTAATCTCGAACCAAAAAAAAATACAATGGATACATAAAAATTAAAAGCAAGATACTAAGTCATATCACCAGAGAAAATAACCCTCACTAAAGGAAGACAGGAAGGAAAGAAGGAAGAGAAGACCACAAAACAACCAGAAAACAAATAACAAAATGACAGAAGTCCTCACTTATCAATAATAACATTGAATGTAAATGGACTAAACTCTCCAATCAAAAGACATACAAGGCTGACTGGGTGAAAAAATAAGATCCCTTGATCTGTTGCCTATAAGAAATGCACTTCACCTATAAAGAAACCCACAGACTAAAAATAAAGGGATGGAACAAGATATTCCATGCCAGTGGAAACCAAAAAAGGAGCAGGAGTAGCTATACTTATATCAGACAAAATAGATTTTGAGACAAACACTAAGAAGAGACAAAGAAGGTCACTATATAATAATCAAGATGTCAATTCATTAAGAGGATATAACAATTATAAATAAATATATATGCACCGAACACCAGACACCAAGATATATAAAACAAATATTAAAACCCAAAGGAGAGAAATAAGTCCCAATACAATAATAGCTGGAGACTTCAACACGACTTTCAGCACTGGACAGATCTTTCAGACAGAAAATCAACAAAGAATCATTAGACTTAATCTAGACCTAATGGACCTAATAGATATTTACAGGACATTTCATCCAACGGCTGTAGAATACACACTCTTCTTGTCAGCACATGGATCACTCTCAAGGGTAAACCATATGTTAGGTCGCAGAACAAGTGTTAAAACATTCAAAAATTGAAACAATATCAAGCATCTTCTCTGACCACAATGGAATAAAATTAGCAATTAATAACAAGAGGAATTTAAGAAACTATACAAATGCATGGAAAGTAAACATGCTTCTGAATGACCAGTGACACAATGGAGACATTAGGAAAAAAATTGAAAAATTTCTTGAAAAAAATGTTAATGGAACACAGCATACCCAAACCTATGGGATACAGCAAAAGCAGTACTCAAAGGGAAGTTTATAGCTATAAATGCCTATGTTAAAAAAGAAGTAAAATTTCAAGTAAACAATCTAATGATGCATCTTAAAGAATTAGAAAAGCAAGAGCAAACCAAACCCAAAATTAGTAGAACATAGCAAATAATAAAGATCAGAACACAAATAAATGAAATTGAAGTGAAAAAATACAAACGATCAATGAGTTAAAAAGTTGTTTTTTTTTTTTTTGAAAAGTGAAACAAATTGACAAACCTTTATCCAGACTAAATAAGAAAAAAGAGGGAAGATCAAAAGAAAATCAGAAATGAAAAAGGAGACACTCCAGCTGATACTGCAGAATTTCAAAGGATCATTAGTGGCTACTATAAACAACTATATGTCAATAAATTGGAAAATCTAGCAGAAATGAACAAATTTCTAGACACATACAACCTACCAAGATTGAACCAGGAAGAAGTCCAAAACCCGAACAGACCAATGACAAATAGCAATAAAGAAGCCATAATAAAAATTCTCCCAGTAAAGAAAAGCCTAGGACTTGATGGCTTCACTGCTGAATTCTACCAAACATTTAAAGAACTAATACTAACCCTACTCACACTATTTCAAAATATAGAGGCAAAGGGAATACTTTGAAACTCTTTCTAGGAGGCCAGTCTTACCTTGATACCAAAACCACACAAAGGCACATTAAAAAAACACACAAAAACCAAAAACTACAGGCCAACATCTCTGATCAATATTGATGAAAAATTCTCAACAAAATACTAGCAAACTTAATTAGAAAATACATTAGAAAGATCATTTAACATGACCAAGTGGGATTTATCCCTAAGATGGAAGGATAATTCAGCATACACAAATCAATCAGTGTCATACATCATATCAGCAGCATGAAGGATAAAAACCATTTAATCATTTTGGATACTGAAAAAGCATTTGATAAAATTCAACACCCCTTCATGATAAAACCCCTAAAAAACTGTGTATAAAAGGAACATATCTCAACATAATAAAAGCCATATGTGACAGACCCACAGCTAGTATCCTAATGACTGGGGAGAAACTGAAACTCTTCCCTCCAAGGATGTCAAAGAAGACAAGAATGTCCACTGTCACCACTGTTATTCAACATAGTACTGGAAGTCCTAACTAGAGCAATCAGACAAGAGAAACAAATAAAGGCATCCAAATTGGAAAGGAAGAAGTCAAATTACCTGACTTCAGGTCATACTACAGAGCTATAGTAAACAAAACAGCATGGTACTTGCATAAACGTGACACATAGAACAATGGAACAACATAGAGAACCCAGAAACAAATCCACAAACCTAAAGTGAACTCATTTTCCACAAAGTTGCTGGGAACACACACTGGGGAAAAGATAGTCTCTTCAATAATGGTGCTGGGAAAACTGGATATCCATATGCTGAAGAATGAAACTACGCCCCTATCTCTTGCCATATACGAAAATCAAATAAAAATGGATTTAAGTCTTAAATCTAAGTCTTTTAAATTAAATGCTTTATTGATGCCAATATTAATCCAAGTTAATGATGTAAATCTTAAAAACTTTAACTAGTCTAGTCTTTATCTAACTTTACCGTAGTCTTAATTCTAACTTAGTCTTTAAGTCTTTCATAGTGTAAACCTCAAACTATGAAAATACTAGAAGAAAATATTGGGGAAAATCTCCAGGACATTGGTCTGGGCAAAAAATTTCTTAAGCAATACCTCACAAGCACCAGCAACCAAAGCAAAAATAGAAAAATGATATCACATCAAGTTAAAAAGCTTCTGTGCAGCAAAAGATAAACCAACAAAGTGAAGAGACAACCCACAGAATGGGAGAAAATATTTGCAAACTACAAAATGGCCTTGCTGCTTTGTGCAGGTGCCCTGCTTGGGTGCTGCTTGGGACTTGGTGCCCTGCATCCCAGCTATGACTGAAAGGGGCCATACAGCTCAGGCTGTTGCTTCGGAGGGTGAGAGCCTCAAGCCTTGGTGGCTTACACGTGGTGTAGGTGCACAGAAGTCAAGAATTGATATTTGGGAACCTCCACCTAGATTTCAGAAGATGTATGGAAATGCCTGGATGTCCAGGCAGAGGTTTGCTGCGGGAGTGGAGCCCTCATGGAGAACCTCTGCTAGGGCAGTGCAGAAATGTGGGGTTGAAGCCTGCACACAGAGTTGCCACTGGGGCACTGCCTAGTAGAGCTGTGAGAAGAGGACCACCATCCTCCAGCCCCCAGAATGATAGATCCACCAACAGCTTGCACTGCGTGTCTGGAAAAGCCAAAGACACTCAATGCCAGCCTGTGAAAGCAGCTGGGACAGGGGCTATACCCTGCAAAGTCACAGGGGCAGAGCTGCCCAAGACCATGGGAGCCTACCCTTTGTATCAGTGTGACCTGGATTTGAGACATGAAGTCAAAGGAGGTCATTTGGGGTTTTAAGATTTTATTGCCCTGCTGAATTCCAGATTTTCATGGGGCCTGTCGCCCTTTAATTTTGGCCAATATCTCCCATTTGGAACAGGGGTATTTGTCCATTGCCTGTACCCCCATTGTATCTAGGAAGTAACTAACTTGATTTTGATTTTACAGGCTCATAGGCAGAAGGGACTTGTCTTATTTTGGGTGAGACTTTGGACTTGGACTATGGATTATGCTAGAATGAATTAAGACTTTGGGGGACTATAGGGAAGGCATGATTGGTTTTGAAATGAAAAATGGACAGGAGATTTGGGAGGGGTTGGGGCAGAATGATATGGTTAGGCTTTGTGTCCCCACCCTAATCTCATCTTGAATTGTAATCCCCATTATTCCCATAGTCCCCAAGTGTCAAGGGAGAGACCAGATGTAAATAATTGTTTCATGGGGGCAGTTTCTCCCATGCCGTTTTCATGATAGTGAGGGAGTTCTCATGAGATCTGATGATTTTGTAAGGGGTCTTCTCACTTCACTCAACACTTCTCCTTCCTGCCAACTTGTGAAGAAGGTGGCTTGCTTCTCCTTCACCTTCTACCATGATTGTAAGTTTCCTGAGGCCTTCCCAGCCATGCTGAACTGTGAGTCAATTAAACCTCTTTCCCTTATAAATTACCCAGTCTCAGGTAGTTCTTTATAGCAGTATGAGAACAGACTAATATGCTACCCATCTGACAAGGGGGTAATAACCAGAATATATAAGGAGTACCAACAAATCTGTAGGAAATAAATCTAATAATACCATTTTAAATGGATAAAATATCTGAATAGGCATTTCTCAAAAGAAGACACACAAATGGGAAATAGACATATGAAAAGGTGTTCAACATCATCCAAAAAATGCAAATAAAAACCACAATGAGATATCATTATACCCTAATTAAAATGGCTTTTATCAAAAAAATCAGGCATTAACAAATGCTGGCAAGAATGTGCTAAAAAGGGAACAAACCTTTGTACATTGTTGGTGGGAATGTGAATTAGTAAAGTCATTGTGGAGAAAAGTTTGGAGATTCTTCAAAAAACTAAAAGTAGAGCTATCATATGATCCAGCCATCCCACTGCTGGGTATATAACCAAAAGAATGGAAATCATTATATCAAAGAGATACCTGTTCTTTTATGTTTGTGGCAGCACTGTTCATGACAGCTAAGATTTGGAAGGTACCTAAGTGTCTATCAACAGATGAATGGATAAAGAAAATGTGGTGTATTTATACAGCCATAAAAAGAATGAGATTCTGTCATTTGCAACAACATGGATGGAACAAGAGATCATTATGTTAAGTGAAATAAGCCAGGAAGAGAAAGACAAACATCACATATTCTCACTTATTTGTGGGATGTAAAGATCAAAACAATTGAATTCATGGACACAGAGAGTAGAAGGATGGCTACCACAGGCTGGGAAAGGTAGTGGCAGGCTTGGGGGAGGGTAGCGGGGATGGTTAATGTGTACCAAAAAATAGAAAGAATGAACAAGAACTACTATTTGATGGCACAACAGGGTGCTATAGTCAATAATAACTTAATTGTACATTTTAAAATAACTAAAAGAGTGTAACTGGATTGTTTGTATGCTTTAGGGTTTGGATACCACATTCTTTGTGATGCGATTATTTAATATTGCATGTCTATATCGAAATATCTCATGTACCCTATAAATATATATAACTACTATGTACCCACAGAAATTAAAAATAAAAAAGAAAGGAAAGACATGCTAAATTTTGGCCAGTTAAAAACCCCATACCAAATGCTTGGTAGTGGAACTGCAGAACATAAATAATTAAAAAGAATTTCTTAAAAGCTACCTCAGAGAATAGATGGACCACCTAGAATGTCAATTAATGAGACAACAGAACCATTATGAACAGGATTATGAACAAGAGATGTCAAAAACAATGATAAAATATCTTCAAATTAGTGAAGGAACATAACTTATGACTTAAATTTTTACCTCCATGTAGATTATCATGAAAGAGTGAAGAGAGGGTAGAAAAAGACATTTCTGACATACAAAGACTAATAGAGTTTACTAGGCATAGTTTTTCATTTAAAAAGATACAGTGGTCCCCATTTACCTGCAGTTTTGCTTTCCACTGTTTCAGTTACCCAAAGTCAACTGCAGTTGGAAAATAGCTGGGCACACAATAGTACAATAAAAGGTTTTGAGAGCAAAAGAGAGAGAAAAAGACCAGAATCAAATAACTTTTATTACAGAATATTATTATAATCGTTCTATTTTATTAGTAGTTATTGTTTTAAATCTGTTGCTATGCCCAATTTATAAATTAAATTCTAACATTGCTATGTACTTTCTGGGAAAAATATAGTATATATAGGGTTTGGTACCACCTATTGTTTTGAGCATTCACTGGGGGTCTTGAAGCATGTGCCTCACACATAAGGAGGGAGTACTGTATTGAATAGTTTATCAAGAAGAAAAATAAACACTAAGGGGCGTAAGCTACAAGGAATTGAATATTGATATGGTTTGACTAGTCCCCACACAAATCTTATCTTGAATTGTAGTTCCCATAATTCCCATGTGTCATGGGAGGGAGCTGGTGGGAGGTAATTGAAACATGGGTACAGTTTTCCCCATGCTATTCTTGTGATAGTAAGTTCTCACAAGATATGATGGTTTTATAAGGAGCTTCCCCCTTCACTCAGCTCTCATTATACTTTTTCTGCAGCCATGTGAAGAAGGATGTGTTTGCTTCCCCTTTCGCCATGATTTTAAGTTTCCTGAGGCCTCCCCAGCCATGCAGAACTGTAAGTCAATTAAACCTCGTTTCTTTATAAATGACCTTGTCTTGAGTAGGTCCTTCTAGCAGTGTGAGAATGGATTAATACAGTAAATTGGTACTGCAGGGACTGGGGTGCTGCTATGAGGATACCCAAAAATGTGGAAGTGACTTTGGAGCTGGGTAACAGGCAGATGTTGGAACAGTCTGGAGGGCTCAGAAGAAGATAGGAAAATGTGGGAAAATTTGGAACTTCCTAGAGATTTGGAGGGCTCAGAAGACAGGAAGATGTGGGAAAGTTTGGAACAAATGGCTTTGACTAAAATGCTGATAGCGATATGGACAATGAAGTCCAGGCTAAGTTGGTCTCAGATGGAGATGAGGAACTTGTTAGGAACTGGAATAAGGGTTATTTTTACTATGCTTTACCAAAGAGACTGGCAGCATTTTGCCCCTGCCCTGTAGAACTGTGGAATGTTGAACTTCAAAGAGATGATTTAAGGTATCTGGTGGGAGATATTTCTAAGTGCAAAGTATTCAACAGGAAGCAGAGCATAAAAGTTTGAAAATTTTGCAGGCTGACAATGTAATAGAAAATAAAAACCCGTTTTCTGGTGAGAGATTCAAGCTGGCTGCAGAAATTTGTATAAGTAAGGAGGAGCCCAAAGTTAATCACCAAGACAATGGGGAAAATGTCTCCCTTCCTAGATTTCACAGGATGTATGGAAATGCCTGGATGTCCAGGCAGAAGTTTGCTGCAGGGGCAGGGCCCTCATGGAGCACCTCTGCCAGGGCAGTGTGAAAGGGAAATGTGGGGCTGGAGTTCCCACATAGAGTCCCCAGTGGGGCACTGCCTAGTGGAGCTTTGAGAAGAGGGCCACTATCTTTCAGACCCCAGAATGGTAGATACGATAACAGCTTGCACTGTGCACCTGGAAAAGCCACAGACACTCAATGCCAACTCATGAAAGCAACTGGGAGGGAGGCTGTACTCTGCAAAGCCACAGGGGTGAAGCTGCCCAAGCCCGTGGAAGCCCACCTCTTACATCAGTGTGACCTGGGTGAGACATGGAGTCAAAGGAGTTCATTTCAGAGCTTTAAGATTTAATTACTGGCTCACTGGATTTTGAACTCGCATGGGACCTGCAGCCCTTGTTTTGGCCAACTTCTTCCATTTCAATGGGTGTATTTACCCAATGCCTGTACCCTCATTGTATTTGGGAAGTAACTAACTTGCTTTTGATTTTACAGGCTCACAGAAGAGACTTGCCTTGTCTCAAATCAGACTTTGGACTTGGACTTTTGGGTTAATGCTGGAATGAGTTAAGACTTTGGGGGACTGTTGGAAACACATGTTTGTGTTTTGACATGTGAAAATATGATATTTGGGAGGGGCCGGGGTGGAATGATATAATTTGACTGTGTCTCCACCCAAATCTCTTCTTGAATTGTAGTTCTCATAATCCTCACATGTGGTGGGAGGGACCCGGTGCAAGGTAATTGAATCATAGGTGCAGTTTCCCTCATGCTATTTTCGTGATAGTGAGTAAGTTTTCACCAGATATGATGGTTTTATAAGGGGTTTCCCCCTTTGCTAGGCTCTCATTCTTCTCTCTTCTGCTGCCATATGAAGACGGATGTGTTTGCTTTCCCTTCCATCATAATTGTAAGTTTCCTGAGGCCTTCTTAGCAATGCAGAACTGTGAGTCAATTAAACCTCTTTGCTTTATAAATTACCTAGTCTCAGGTATGCCCTTATAGCAGCATGAGAACAGACTAATACAGATATATATGGTGCAGAAACTAAATCTAAAAAAAAAAAGTTTTAATTAACTACTGGAAGTAAAAATAATGCAGAAGAAATATGTACGAATAAAGTGAAAAGACTAATATCATAGGTCACAGTGACACCGTGGGTACAACACAGGTCACAGTGACAACATGGGTACAATGTAGGTCCCAGTGACAACATGGGTACTTTGTTCTGTGGAGAGTTAACTGGTAATAAGGCCAGTGTCATTTTCAGGAGGAAGAAAGGAATCTTAAATTGCTTCAAACTTAGAAAAACAAAGACCTAAATAAGTATATTAGAAAATTTAAGAGTAACCCCTACTTTTCTCCAGTGGAAGGGCACAGGGAAAGGAAGTATCTTAAAGTTCATTAATCTAGCAAATTGCGGCACAAGAGAAAAATATGATGATAGAAATAAAAAGGTAGTTTACCACATGATACCTGCTGATTCCGCTTGTGGCAGCTTCAGTCCTTCCCAGTTTTATAAGATCAGGAGATTCCACATAGCATTATGTTCTTAACCTGGTAGTTCTTCCTGACTTCAGTTCCTGGCTAGGGAATGCTCTGGCATCTCCGTATAGTCCTACTAAGGGATTCACTGTCAGTTTTCACCTCTCAAATGAATATGAAATTAAGACTAGAGAACTTGGTGGAAGCCTTATATTGGTCTTCATCCACATTTTTTTTTACCATCTTCCACCTCTCTCACTGGGATATGCAATCAAGTTCCCAGGAAAGCTAATCCAATTTACATCCCTTAGGGGACACATGTTTTGAACCCCAAATCATATCACATGATCTGATGAGTGCTGATTTCTATATGGGACTATGAGATCAAGTATTTGTAGTAGAGGTGAGCACAGATCACTACTTAGACATATGGTCATTATAAATTACAGGAAGAAAATAAATAAAAGAACATTATGCTATTAATATGGAAGAAGGACAAAACATACCTGATCTGCAAGATGATCAATAAACTTGTTGAACCATTGGGAAACTGGTTATCCAGCCCACTGCACTACATATTATTGAAATATATTTTCTCACATGTATAACTTTCATCTCATCATAGTATTTACTGTTATATGACTTGATTGAAAAATGAATCTCCTTTTAAACTAGCAAATTTTAAATCATTGTGTTTTGGTAGAAAATATAGATAGATCAGAAAAGTTTAGTAAAAATACTACTCAAGACAATCACTATTAATTAACATTTTGGTATATTTTTATTTCAGTCTTTTAAGTATTTGAAAAAAATGTTGGCTCCCCTTTTCTTAAAACAAGTCCAATATGTAGTGGGTTTCTATATTATACTTGGTGTCCCTACTGGCAAGCATATGGCAATCACTCAGTGAATAATTGGATGGATGTATAAATGAATGAAGTGATGAATACATGAATAGATACATGAATCAAATTAATCAGGGAGAAAACCATGTATTCAAATTTAGGGCTAGTTACAGAGACCCTAATACACAAAGAATAAAGAGAATAAATTGTAAAGGTAGGTCATGGATAGAGAATCCAAATGTCAGGAAATAACAGATCCCATTTTACTCTAAATATGACAGCCATAAATCTCAAATACAGAATTCATGTTTTGGGGGGAAAAATGAGTGATTTTCATATAAGTAATAATGACATCTATTTCATCTTCCTGAATTTCAGCCTGTGGAATTACAGATAACATATGCCAGCAAATGTGTCTATAAATAGGGAGGCTCCTCATTTTGTGCTACTATGGTTCATTTTGTATTCTATAATGACATCATTATACATCACATAAAGGACATCTGGGCTTTTCAAATTTTTGTGCCTACAGCTTCAGACTGTAGGTAAAAGAAATTTCTGTACAAAATTTCTCCTGCTGGTCTTAATATTATTTGGTCAATGTTTTTCCTATAGATCTACAAATTATACGTATCAAAGCTTGGCTTCTTGTGCGTGAGATTAGTTTTGGAAATTCTTTTGCTTACCGATGAAATATCATCAGTTAGTTTTGAAAATATACAAATAGAAGGAAATTGCAAACACTTTAGTTTTAAGCTTTTTCTCTCTTTTAAACTAAACTTTTTTGCTGAAAAAACATGATTTAGGTATTTGTTTTATTTCCATTCTCATTATTCAGTTTTCAAATATTTCTGTACAATTGAATAATAAATATTAACATTTAGTAATAAACATCACCATTTATTGAGTCCTACTATGTGTCAGGCACTGTATTAGGCACTGAATACTTCATATTAAATTTTCACCATAACTTTTGAAGTTCATGACGATTAAGTAGATTGAAAGTTACTGGTTGTTTGAGTTGGAATTCAGAAATGGATCTGTCTCTATCTACAGATCCTTGCTACAGAAGCCTTGCTGCAAATAAAGATAAAACACAGAAACACATTTCCTGATATCTGCCCTTGATTTATAGGGTATTCAGCATTGATTCAGCATTCATAGACCACGTAAGAATTCAAGAGATAGCTCATTGGCTTCTCTCCTCAAAAGTCATTGTGTTATTATGAAAAAGCCTCTGAAACAGGATTGAGGAGAAAAGCATTCCAGCACTGACTCTCTGAAAAAATATTTAATAAGCATAATAATAATAGCCATAAGAGTAATGTTGCTAGTAGAGCTTTTAGTATGAATTAATTACATGGGATTGTTGGTGGTTGAATCCTTCAAGCTCAATGTGTATAGATTAGTGTACTTATGCTAAGGGCCTAGAACACTACTGTGAAATCGTAACATAAGTGATTTAATAAATGAGTATCTCTAGTCTCATGTCACAGCCGCAGTCCTATGTTCTTCTCCCTGTCATTACTGCTATTAGAAAGAAAATTAGATTAAGACATGTTTGGCCTCTAAACCAACATTGCTGATGATATAAATTGTGTGTAGGTACCATCAGTGTTGAATAAATCAAAAATTGAAATGATCACAAGATATTACACTATGGGCCAATGTGAACTACATGAAATTTAATTTTAAAACATTACCATTAGTGATTAAAACAAGTCATTATGTAATTTGATATGAAATTATTAAACATAAAAAATAACAAACAAGCCAAAAAAACCTTAACATTAGAGGAAACTATCAGCAGTATAATCCAAAGGTGGCCTAGGGTAGACTTGACAATTCATGTAAAAGACTTATGGGTTTTACAAATCACCTGGTCACTACAAGCTAATATTATGTTTTGACTGTGGAAAAGCTAACATGTTCTTAGGAAATAGAAATATTATGCCAAATCAGAAAGTATATATAGGACTTGCTTTATCTCAATCTAAAGAAAAACATCTGAATTGCTGGTGATGTCAGTTTGGAATGCAATAACACCTCTAGAGGCAGGGAGCTACCTGCTACTGGTGGGGTTCAAGGCAAGCCAGGAAGACCATATAAGAAGCATGAAGTTTACTTAGGACGAAGGTTGAATTAGGTGAACTGAAGGACTGTTTCAATTCTCAAATTATATATTTAAATGGAAATTCCTTGAGCTTCAGTTTATGTTATCTGTAAAATGAGGGGTTTTTTCAGAACATTTAAGGTATATGTACATAATATTTTGTAGAAAAACAGTGACCATGCTTAGGCAAGTTCAAAATGATAGAGCAAAATCCATAGTTTATCACAATGAACAATTTTCCAAATTATGCCATTATTTTGATTTTTTCTCTTTTAATTATTTCACTGTGTATAGAACTTTGTACAGAGTGACACAGAATTTGTCAGAACACTAATGGAGCTTTAGGGGTTCAGAAAAAATAAGGGCTACTCTGTTGTTTTGTTTTAGAAAAAAGAGAGCTAAATATGTCTTATTTGTCTTTTCTATATTTTGATAATATTCCTCATAGTGTCAGTCAAGTAGGGAACCCCAATTTCAGTCCTAAGCTAGATCCTACAAGGAAAGCTGAAACAGAAGACATTCAGCCCTTCTAAAGAGGCTATGGTTTTTTTTCCTTCTTCAGAGTGGTCCAACTAAATAGGGCTGCAATTCTCTAGAATAGCAATTCTCAAAATGTGGTTCATGGGTTCTTGGGGTACTCAAGACCCTTTTAGGACGTCTATTAAGTCATAACTATTTTTATAATATAATAATACTGAGGTGATATTTATCTTTTGCATTGTGTTTACGTTTGTTCTGATGGTGCGAAAGCTGTGGTGTGTAACACTTCTGGCACATGAATCAAGGCAGTTTCACTAACTCTATTAGTAGGTATGGTATTCCTTATTGCCACTGATATGGTTTGACTCTGTGTCACCAGCCAAATTTTACCTTGAATTGTAATAACCCCCCCATGTCATGGGAGGAATCTGGTGGGAGGTAATTTAATAATGGGGGCTGTTTCCCTTATACTGTTCTCCTGGTAGTGAATAAGACTTATGAGATCTGATGATTTTATTTTATTTTATTTTATTTTTTTGAGACAGAGTCTCACTCTGTCGCCCAGGCTGGAGTGCAGTGGCATGATCTCATCTCACTGCAACCTCCACCTCCCGGGTTCAAGCAGTTCTCCTCTCTCAGTCTCCTGAATAGCTGGGATTACAGGCATGCGCCACCACGCCTGGCTAATGTTTGTATTTTTAGTAGAGACAGAGTTTCACCATGTTGGTCAGGCTGTCTCGAACTCCTGACCTCGTAATCAGCCCACCTTGGCTTCCCAAAGTGCAGGGATTACAGGTGTGAGCCACAGCGCCCAATGATCTGATAGTTTTATAAATGGGAGTTCCCCTGCACAAGCTCACTTGCCTGCCACCATGTAAGATACGACTTTGCTCCTCATGCCTTTTGCCATGATTGTGAGGACTCCCCAGCCATGTGGAACTGTGAGTCAATTAAACCTCTTTTCTTTATAAATTAGCCAGTCTTGGATATGTCTTTATTATCAGTGTGAGAACAGACTAATACAACCACACATTTTCAAAAATGTCAGTTTTACATTCCTTATGAGTGTTCCTTATGAAGCAGTACAATTGCTAGTTTTATTAACTCATCCTACAGTATACCTTTTTAGATTCTTGGAGTAACAAAATGGGATGGAGTGATGTTTAAAGCATTTGTGTGTGCTTTGAGTTGAAAGCTATAGGTTGGTGTAAAAGTTATTGCAGTTTTTGCCATTACTTTTAATGCCATTACTTTTGCCATTAAAAGTAATGGCAAAAACCATAATTACTTTTGCAGGAACCTAGTAACATAGCCACTTTTTCATGAAATTTAAAATTTCCATTTTGAAAGATCAACTGACAAACTATGGTTCTTCAAACTTGGATATTTGACAGATATTTTCTCAAAAACAAATTAAATGAGTTGTCACTCAAGCTTTCAAGTGAAAATTAGAAGAATTTTTAAAAACTTGCATCAGTTATGTGATCTTGATTTTTCCAATACTTAATAGACTTTTATGATGAGATCAGTGGTGATATTTTTTGATATTATATAATAAAATCTGCCAACATTTTGAAGATCTGCATAACTCAGTGAAGCAGTGTTTTCCAAATGATCATCTCATGATGTTACAAAATCATTCATGTGTAAAAGATCCATTTAGAGTGCAAGAAAAGCCCAATGGATTTTAATGTTACAGAGTATGCAAAATTAATTGATATGTTTTCAGATTACTTATTGCAACTTAGCTTTATGAAACTACAATTTGAGTTTTGATGTGGTGTCAAAGGAAGAAATCCACAAATATATAAAAATGCTATTAAAATACTCCTGTCTTTCCTACTACGTATTTGTGTGAGCCCTGATTTTCTTCATATACTTCAACCAAAAAAACACATACCATTTGATTGAATGCAGAAGCCAATATGAGAATTCAGTGTCTCTTATTAAACTGGATGTTAAATGGATTTGCAAAAATGTAAAATGATACTACTTGTCTCTTTTTTTGGGGAAATATAGTTATTTCTATAAAATATGTTATTTATGCTAACATGCAATAAATATATTTTTAAATGAAAAATATTTTAAATATTTCTCAGTTTTAGTTTGTGCTACTGTAAATATGGATAGATATAACCTAAAAAAAGAAACTTTTTAGAATTTCCTCAATAATTTTAAGTGTAAAGAAGCCCGAGGCCAAAAAGTTTGAGAACTGCTGCTCAAGAATACCCTGGAGCTGCAAATAGACAATTCTATCAGCACCTTTTTTTTTTTTTTTAAGCATTGACTCTGCTTGCCCTGATGCAGCCTTTTCTTGACTTTGTTCCTGGCCTTAAAATGAGATGTTAAAGTTGAGGGTCTTGATCACCATTAAAGCTTCTCTAAGTTGCCTTCAAATCCATGAACTTTACTGCCTTGACTAAATCCCTCTTGGGAAATTACAGTTTGTGGGATTTGGAAAGTCCTTTCAGCTTCCCTTGGACTTGAAGTAGTTCACTTCAGCAGTTGCATTTCCATGTGGTGTGAAATGATCCCTACATTGGACCCCTACTGTGGGAGTCATTACCAACCTGGAGATGGAAAACAAAGCCAAAAATAGGGTACAAATGTGCTCTCAAAAAAAAAAAAAAAAATTACACAAAAACTCAAACCTGAATAAGCCATCTTTTAAAATGACTGTCTTCAGAAAGACCCAAACTTAAAATGAATATTCGGATTTTCAAAAGTCATAAACAATTAACGAGCCATTAGTAATGGTTTCAAGTTTTTGAAATTACAGTGTAAATCAAGGGGATAATATTGATTTATAGTAATTAGATTGATAGGTAACTTTCTTTGGAAATTTCTTTACTGCGCAAAGTGATCTACACGTAAAAGTGTAATACAAACTGTACTCAGTGTTTTTAGCCATTGACAGTGATTTAAACATGATGTTGCTGGAAATGAGTTATCTGGAAATCAAAATGATTCCACACATATTGGAAATTTCATTAGAGTATAAATTTTGGAGAAAATTTAATATCTTTCTTTTTTTATTTTATTATTATTATACTTTAAGTTTTAGGGTACATGTGCACAATGTGCAGGTTAGTTACATATGTATACATGTGCCATGCTGGTGTGCTGCACCCATTAACTCGTCATTTAGCATTAGGTATATCTCCTAATGCTATCCCTCCCCGCTTCCCCCACCCCACAACAGTCCCCAGAGTGTGATGTTCCCCTTCCTGTGTCCATGTGTTCTCATTGTTCAATTCCCACCTATGAGTGAGAACATGCAGTGTTTGGTTTTTTCTCCTTGTGATAGTTTACTGAGAATGATGATTTCCAGTTTCATCCATGTCCCTACAAAGGACATGGACTCATCATTTTTTATGGCTGCATAGTATTCCATGGTGTATATGTGCCACATTTTCTTAATCCAGTCTATCACTGTTGGACATTTGGGTTGGTTCCAAGACTTTGCTATTGTGAATAGTGCTGCAGTAAACATACGTGTGCATGTGTCTTTATAGCAGCATGATTTATAATCCTTTGGGTATATACGCAGTAATGGGATGGCTGGGTCAAATGGTATTTCTAGTTCTAGATCCCTGAGGAATCGCCACACTGACTTCCACAAAGGTTGAACTAGTTTACAGTCCCACCAACAGTGTAAAAGTGTTCCTATTCACATCCTCTCCAGCACTTGTTGTTTCCTGACTTTTTAATGATTGCCATTCTAACCGGTGTAAGATGGTATCTCATTGTGGTTTTGATTTGCATTTCTCTGATGGCCAGTGATGATGAGCATTTTTTCATGTGTTTTTTGGCTGCATAAATGTCTTCTTTTGAGAAGTGTCTGTTCATGTCCTTCACCCACTTTTTGATGGGGTTGTTCTCTTGAGAATTTATTTGAATGCTTATGAATATTAGTGCTAATGAGTAACTAAATGTCAAAGTAATGAACAAAGTTGTGGCAAAGTCCTATGCTTATCGTTAGCATACTATCAGATTTATTTTGAATTAATTCAGGTAGCACATATGGAGACATGCTTATTACTTGTGAGCTCCAGCTTTTGATTAAGATGTTATTGTACTGCTGCAAAATTAATAAAAATAGGTAGCATTGATTACTTGCTGTATATCAAATAGGTAATGTACTACTCTAAGCATTAAACAGATATTGTCTTATTTCATTCTTTCAGCAAACACTATGAAGCATGTACTACTGGTACATCCTTTTTAGAGACGAAAAAGCAGGAATTTTTTGTTTTTTTTGAGACGGAGTCTTGCTCTGTCATCAAGGCTGGAGTGCAGTGGTGTGACCTCAGTTCACTGCAATCTCTGTTTCCCAGGTTCAAGCAATTCTCCTACCTCAGCCTCCCGAGTAGCTGTGACTACAGGGGCCTGCCATCACGACTGGCTAATTTTTGCATTTTTAGTAGAGGCAGGGTTTCACCTTGTTGGTCAGGCTGGTCTCGAACTCCTGACCTCAAGTGATCCGCCCACCTTGGCCTCCCAAAGTGCTGGGGTTTCAGGTGTGAGCCACAGTGCCCGGCAGAAGCAGGATTTTAAAGGCCCAGACAAAACCAATAAATTACAAAGTCAGCATTAGGACATAAAACCAGTAAGTTATAAAGTCAGGATAGGACCCAAACAACCTACCTACCCAGTCAATACTTTTAATCTGTATTGAGTAAGTTGTCTATGTGGCAGGATATGAGGAGAGATATACAGGCATATCTCATTCTTATTTTATTGCACTTTATTGCACTTTGCTTTATTGTGCTTCACAGATATTGTTTTTTTGTTTGTTTTTTGTTTTTTTTTTTTACAAATTGGAGGTTTGCCGCAACTATGCATTGAGGAAGTCTGTCAGTGCCATTTTTCCAACAGCATTTGCTCATTTCGTGTGCCTTTGTCCCATCTTGGTAATTCTCACTGTATTTTGAACTTTTTTATTATTATTATGTTTATTATGGTAATTTGCAATCAGTGATCTTTGATGTTACTATTGGAATTATTTTGGGGTGTCATGAAGCATGACAATGATGGTGAATGTAACTGATAAAGGTTGTGTATGTTCTGACTGCTCCACTGATTGGCAGTTTGCTGATCTCTCTCCATCTCTTCAGGCCTTCCTATTCCCTGAGACATAACAATATTGAAAGTAGGCCAGTAAATAAACCTATGATGGGCTCCAGGTGTTCAAGTGAAATGAAGAGTCGCGTATCTCTCACTTTAAATCAAAAGCTAGAAATAATGAAGCTTAGTAAGGCATGTTGGAAGCCAAGATGGGTGGAAAGCTAGGCCTTTTGCACCAAACAGGTAGCCAAATTATGAACGTAAAATTAAAGTTCTTAAAAGAAATTAAAAGTGTTACTCCAGTGAACACATAAATGATGAGAAAGCACAATATCCCTATTGCTGATAGGGAGAAACATTTAGTGGTCTGGATAGAAGATTAAACAAGTCAAAACATTCCCTTAAACCAAAGCCTAATCCAGAATAAGTCCCTAACTCTCTTTAATTCAGTGAAGGCTCAGAGAGGTGAGAAAGTGGCAGAGGAAAAGTTGGAAGCTGGCAGAAGTTGGTTCATGAGGTTTAAAGAAAGAAGCTGTCTTCATAACATTAAAGCTCTAGGTGAAGCAGCAAGTGCTGATGGAGAAGCTGCAGCAAGTTATTCAGAAGATCTAGCTAAGCTCATTGATGGAGATGGCTAAACAACAGATATTCCCTGAAATGAAATGTCCTTCCATTGGGAAAAAATGCCAACTGAAACTTTCCTAACTAGAGAGGAGAAGTCAACGTCTGGCTTCAAAGCTTAAAAAGACAGGCTGACTCTTGTTAGGGGCTAATGTAACTGGTGACTTTAAATGGAAGCCAATGCTTATTTTCCATTCTGAAAATCCTGGAGCCCTTAAGAAGTATGCCAAATCCACTATGCCTATTCTCTATCAGCAGAACAATAAAACATGGGTGACAGCACATCTGTTTACAGTATGATTTACTGAATATTTTAAGCCCACTATTGATTCCTACTGCTCAGAAAAAAAGACTCCTTTCAAAATATTACTGTTCACTGACAATGAACATGGTCACCCAAGAGCTCTGATGGAGATGTACGTGGAGATTAATGTTGTTTTCATGCTTGCTAGCACAACATTCATTCTGCAGCTATGGATCAAGAAGTACGTTAGAATTTCAAGTCCTATTATTGAAGAAATATATTTTGTAAGGCTATAGCTGCTGTAGATAGTGAGTCCTCTGATGGATCTGGGCAAATTAAATGGAAAGTTTCTGGAAAAATTTCAGCATTCTAGAGGCCACTAAGCATACGTGTGATTCTTGGGAGGATGTCCAAACAGCAATTTTGGAAGAAGTTTATTCCAACCGACGGGGATGACTTTGAGGAGTTGAAGACTTCAGCAAAGGAAGTCACTGCAGATGACTTGGTGGAAATAGCAAGAGAACTACAATTAGAAGTAGAGCTCCAAGATGTGATTAAGTTTCTAAAATCTCATAGTAAAACTTTAACCTATGAGGAGTTGCTCCTTATGGATGAACATAGTGGTTTCTGGAGGTGAAATCTACTCCTGATGAAGGTGCTGTGAAAATTGGTAAAATGACAACAAAGGATTTGGAGTATTATTAAACTTAGTTTAAAAGGAAGTGGCAGGGTATGAGAGGATTGACTACAATTTGGAAAGAAGTTCTGCTGTGGATAAAATGCTATCAAACAGCATCACATGCTATAAAGAAATCTTTCATGAAAGGAATCAATCAGTGCAGCAAATTTCATTATTGTGTTTTTTAAAATTGATATATATCTTATTTGCACTTATTTTGGGAGAACGTGTGATATTCTGACATCTGTGTACCAAAATATTTTGACATATGTAGCAAAATCATGTGTAATGATAAAATCAGGGTAATTGGGAAATCCATCAACTCAAAGTTTTATGTTTTGTATGTGTGTGAGGAACATTACTAATCTAGCTATTTTGAAATATACAGTAAAATTTCCCTACTCTAATATAGAATACTAGAACTTTTTCCTTCTATTTTACTGTATTTTTGTACCTCTTAACCAACTTATGTTTATCCCCCAATCCTCATCCCTTTCCTTTCCCAGCCTCTGGTAAACATCGTTCTGCTATCTACCTCCATGAGGTCTACTTTCTAGTTCCCACATGTGAGAACATGCAGTATTTGTCTTTCTGTGGCTGGATTCTCTTAGCATAATAACCTCTAGTCTAGTTCCATCTCTGTTGCTAAAAATGGCAGGATTTTATTCACTTTGTGGCTGAATAGTCTTCCATTCTGTATATCTGTCACATTTTCTTTTTTCATAAAAGTTTTTAATTTTTAATTTTTGTGGATACATGGCGTATATATTTATGATGTACATGAGATGTTTTGATACAGGCATACAATGCATAATAATCACATCATGTAAAATGGGGTATCCATCCCTTCAAGCATTTATCCTTGTGTTACAAACAATCCAATTATTCTCTTTTAGTTATTTCAAAATATACCATTAAATTGATATTGACTATAGTCATCCTGTTGTTCTATCAAATAGTAGGTCTTACTCATTCTTTCTAATGATTTTTTTGGTACCCATTAACCATCCCCACCTGCTCCCTACGCCATTACCCTTCCCTGTCACATTTTCTTTGGCCCTTCATCCATTGATAGACGCTTGGTTGATTCCATATTTTGGCTATTGTGAATAGTGCTGCAATAAACATGGGAGTGCAGATATCTCTTCGATATACTGATTTTCTTTCTTTTGGATATACACTCCTCAGTGAGATTGCTTAATTATACGGTAGCTCTAATTTTAGTTTATCAAGGAACCTCCATACTGTTTTCCATAATGGCTGTAATATTTTACATCCCTGTCAACAATGTATGAGCCTTCCCCTTCGTCTGCATCCTTGCCAACATTTGTTATTTTTTGTATTTTTGATAATGGCCACTGTAACTGTAATGAGATGATATTGTGGTTTTGACTGGCATTTCCTTCATGATTAATGGTGTTGAACTTTTTTTTCATATACCTATTAGCCCTTCATATGTATTCTTTTGAGAAATGTCGATTGAAGCCTTTTGTCATTTTAAAATCAGATTATTTATTTATTTCTATTGAATTGTCTGAATTCCTTAAGTGTTCTGGTTATTAATCCCTTGTTGGATGGATAGTTTGCAAATATTTTCTGCCATTTGGTAGGTTGTCTCTTCAGTTTGCTGATTGTCTCTTTTGCTATGCGGAAGGTTTCTAGCTTAATGTAATTCTGTTTGTCTATTTTTGATTTTGTTGCCTGTGCTTTTGAGGTCTTTCCCAAAATATCTTTGCCCAGACCAATGTCCTATAGCATTTCCCCAATGTTTTCTTTTAGTAGCTTCATAGCTGTGAAGGTCTTACATTTATTTGTCTTTAATCCATTCTACATGTATTTTTGTATGTGGTGAAAGACAAGGATCTCCTTTCATTCTTTTGTGTATGGATATCTGGTTACCCAGCACCATTTATTAAAGAGACTGTCCTTTCCCCACTGTATGTTCTTGGCACCTTTGTGAAAAATGAGTTAGATGTAAGTGAGTAAATTTACTTTTGGGTTATTTATTCTGTTTCATTGGTCTGTCTGTTTTTTATGCCATTATGATGCTGTTTTGATTACTGTAGCTTTGTAGTATAATTTGAAATCAGGCAGTGTAATGGACACCTTCATGTTTTTTGGCTCAGGGTTGCTTTAGCTATTTGAGGTCTTTTGTGTTTCTATATAAATTTTAGGATATCTTTTCTATTTCTGTGAAGAATGTCATTGGTATTTTGATAAACATTGCATTGAATCTATGGATCACTTGTGGTAGTATAGACATTTAACAATATTAATTCATCCAATTCATGAAAATGATATATCTTTCTATTTTTTTTTGTTCCCCAATTTTCTTCAGCAGTGTTTTATAATTTTTCTTGTAGAGATCTTTTACTCCTTTGGTTAAATTAAGTCTTAATTTTTTTATTCTGTTTCTTCATAGCTATTATAAGTGGGCTTGCTTTCTTTTTTAAAAATATGTTTATTTTTAATTTTCATGGGTACATAGTAGGTATATATATTTATGGGATACATGAGATATTTTGGTACATGTATGCAATGCATAATAATCACATCATGGAAAATTGGATATCCATCTGGTCAAGTATTTATCCTTGCTGTTACAAATAATGCAATTATACCCTTTTAATTATTTTAAAATGTGCAATAGATTATTATTGATTATAGTCCCCCTGTGGTGCTGTCAAATACTAGATCTTATTCTTTCTTTTAACTATTATTTTTGTATCCATTAACTATCCCCACCTTCCCCCACCTCCCATTACCCTTCCCAGCCTCTGGTAACCATCCTTCTATTCTCTATCTCCATGAGTTCAATTGTTTTGATTTTTAGATCAAAGCAAGTGAGAGCATGTGATGTTTGTCTTTCTGTGCCTGGCTTATTTTGATTAACATAAAGACTTCCAGTTCTATCCATGTTTTTGTAAGTGACAGTATCTTATTCTTTTTATGACTGACTAGTACTCCACTGTGTATATGTAGCACATTTTCTTTATCCATTCATCTGTTTATGGACACTTAGTTGGCTTCCAAATCTTAGATATTGTGAACAGTGCTGCAACAAACAACAGTGCAGATATCTCTTCGATATAATGACTTCCTTTTTTTTTTTTGAGACAGAATCTCGCTCTGTTGCCAGGCTGGAGTGCAGTGGTGTGATCTCGGCTCACTTCAACCTCTGACTCCCTCAAGCCACTCTCCTGCTTCAGCCTCCCAAGTAGCTGGGATTACAGGCACGTGCCACCATGCCTAGCTAATTTTTGTATTTTTAGTACAGACAGGGTTTCACCATGTTGGCCAGCATGGTCTCAATCTCCTGATCTCGTGATCCAACCACCTCTGTCTCCCAAAGTGCTAGGATTACAGGTGTGAGCCGCCACACCCAGCCATGACTTCCTTTCTTTTGGGTATATACCTAGCAGTGGGATTACTAAATCATAGGGTGGCTTTATTTTTATGTTTTTGAGGAATCTCCAAATTGTTCTCCATAGTAGTGGTACTAATTTACATTCTCATCAACAGTGTACAAATTTTTCCTTTTCTTCACATCCTCACCAACATTCATTATTGCCTGACTTTTGGATGAAGGGCATTTTAACTGGAATAAGATGATATCTCATTGTAGTTTTGACTTGCATTTATTTCATGATCAGTGATGTTGAGCAACTTTTTATGTACCTGCTTCCCATTTATATGTCTTCTTTTGAGAAATATCTGTTCAAATCTTTTGCCCATTTTTATAATCAGATTATTAGACTTTTTTTCCTATACAGTTGTTTGAGCTCCTTATACATACTGATTATTAATCTCTTGGCAGATGGACAGTTTGCACATCTTTTCTCCCATTCTGTGGGTTGTTTCGTCAGTTCGTTGATTGTTTCCTTTGCTGTGCAGAAGCTTTTTAACTTGATGTGATCCCCTTTGTCCATTTTTGCTTTGGTGGCCTGTGCTTGTGGGACATGACTCAAAGAAATCTTTGTCTGGCCCAATGTTCTGCAGAGTTTCCCCAGTGTTTTCTTGTAGTAGTTTCATCGTTTTGGGTCTTAGTTTTAAGTCTTTAATCCATTTTGATTTTGATTTTACTATAGGGTGAGAGATAGGGATCTAGGTTCATTTTTCTGTGTATGGATATCCAGTTTTTCTGGCATCATTTATTTTAGACACTGCCTTTTCGCCAATGCATGTTCTTGGCACCTTTGTCAAAAATGAGTTCACTGTAGGTGAAATTACATTAATTGTAGGGCCCCCTCTGGATCTGCTTTGGAACAGAGATCAGCAAGCTCATTAGAGAGTCTCAGGTTCCAAGGCTGCAAGATACGGGTGAGTCTTCCTCTGGATTCTTGTGTGAGCAGCTCTGAGCTGGGACCCCAATTGAGGGGGTCTGGCTCCAAGCTATAGGGCAACTTTCAGGTTCACTGCTGAGACCCATGGTAGTGGGCAAATGAGCCTTTTTGCCAAAGTACTAGCGTGCACAGTTCTTTCTGGACCTCTTGGCAGATGGTTTTGGTTACAGGCTCAGGCCCAAACAGGGCTGTAACCAAGCCTCTTGTAGGACTAGGCCTTTTCTGGGCTTGAACTCAGGAGAAAGCTCAGTGAATTGGCCAACTAGGTTTCAGTTTGCACTCTCAAAATGACACTCCAAGGTCTTAGGCTTCACTGGAGTTTCACAAACTCCTACTTGAATCCTGAGGCTCTCAGAGAGACATTTTTGATGGTAGATGGGTGCAGAGTTCTTGTTTTTATAAAGGGATATGAACAGGTTACTTTCTATTCTGCTATTTTGGTGACGTGGCATTGTTGTCTTAATTTAAGAAATTGCCCCAGCAACTCTAACCTTCAGCAGCTACTCACCTTGATCAGTCAGCAGACATCAACATGGAAGCAAAACCCTCCTTAGTAATAAAGTATTTTTAATTAAGACATACATTGTTTTTTAGACATGATGCTATTTTACACTTAATAGACTATAGTGTAATATAAATATAACTTTTATGTGCACCAGGAAACCCAAAAACTTGTGTGACTTGTTTTATTGCAAAACTCATTTTATTGTAGTGGTCTGGAGTTAGACTGAAAATATCTCTGAGGCATGTCTCTAATATGACCCATATTTACTGTTTGTGTCTTTCTCTCTCTCTCTCTCTCTCTCCCTGTTTTTACAACAAGTTGAACTTTCATCCATTCTCTTATTTCAAATGCCGTATCTTCAGTCTTCAATGTTGTCTTTTTCTCTTCCTTGTCTTTCTATAATTGCTTTTTTATATCTTTTTAGTGAAAAACGTAATCTAGATGTGGGTTTACTTTGTGTGCCACTCTGTTTTCCTTTTAGGCTAACCTTAAGTAGTAGTTCTCCAGATTGCTTGGTTTCCTCTCTTGGCTCATCTCTTACTACCACAATGTAGGAATCATAAAGTAACATAACATTTAGTAACCATTTCATGGTCTGCTCTATAATACAAACCTTCACTGAAGTATGGGTATAATCCTGGAGCAGGGAGAGAAAATTACATTAATTGTATGTTAAGATATTATTCTACCACTCTGCATAGAGTACATGCTCAACATGTAATGTAATAGAATTTAATTTAATAGAATTTAATAGAGTTTAATTGATCTTATAAATATGTCTTTTAGAAATTTGGTCTGATCTAACATCGTACTGCCTGGGGAAAAGCTAAAGCCATTCCCTTTGAGAACTGGAAAAACACAAGGAAGGCTACTCTCAGCACTTCTATTCAACATAGTACTGGAAGTTGTAGCCAGAACAGTCAGCCAAGAGAAAGAAAAAAGGCATCAGGCATCCATATAGGAAAAGAAGTCAAACTATCTCTATTCGCTGATGATATAATTCTATACCTAGAAAATCCTCAAGACTATGCCAAAAGGCTCCTAGAACTGAGAAACTACGTCAGTAAAGTTTCAGGTTACAAAATCAATCTACAAAAATTAGTAGCATTTCTTTACACAAAAAGGTTCTGGCTGACAGCCAAATCAAGAACACAATCACATTTATAATAGCCACAAAAAATGAAGTACCTAAGAATGCAGCTAATCAAGAAGCTTGAAAGATCTCCACAAGGAAAACTACAAAACACTGCTGAAAGAAATCAGAGATTACACAAATAAATGGAAAAATATCCCATGCTCATGGATTGGAAGACTCAATATTGTTAAAATGGCCAGACTGTGCAAATCAATTTACAGATTCAACACTATTCCTATCAAACTACCAACATCATTTTTCACAGAACTAGAAAAAACTATTCTAAATTTTATATAAAACCAGAAAAGAATCTGAATAGCCGAAGTAATCCTAAGCAAAAACAATGAGGCCAGAGACATCATATTATTTCATATGAAATTATACTACAAGGCTACAGTAAGCAAAACAGCATAGTACTGGTACAAAAACAGACACATAGATCAATGGAACAGAATAGAGAACAGACAAAGCCACACACCTACAGTCATCTGATCTTTGACAAAGTCAACAAAAATAAGCAAATGGGAAAAGGTTCCCTAGTCAATAAATGGTGCTGGGATAACTGGCTAGTCATATGCAGAAAATGAAACTGGACCCCTATCTTTCACTATATACAAAAATTAACTCAGGATCAACTAACACTTTAAATGCAGGGTCTCAAACAAAAAAATCCTAGAAGAAAATCTGGGAAATACCCTCTTCAACATTGGCTTTGGCAAATATTTTCTGACTACGTCCCCAAAAGCAATTGCAACAAAAACAAAAATTGAGAATGGGACCTAATTAAATTAAAGAGCTTCTCCACAGCAAAAAAAATTGTAAACCAGTAAACAGACAACCTATAGAATGGAAAAAAATATTTGCAAGCTATGAATCTGACAAAGGTCTGATATCCAGAATATGTAAGATACTTAAATCAATAAGCAAAAACCAAATAATATACAATTAAAAATGGGCAAAGGACATGAGCAGACACTTTTAAAAATAAGACATACAAGTGGCCAACAAACATATGAAAAAGTGTTCATCATCACTAATCATTAGAGAAATGCAAATCAAAACCACAATCAGAGATAACATCTCACACTACTCAGAATGACAATCATTAAGAAGTCAAAAAATAACAGATGCTGGGGAGGATGCAGAGAAAAGGAAATGCTTGTACACTGTGAGTGGGAATGCAAATTAGTTCAGCCACTGTGGAAAGCAATCTGGAAACTTCTCAAAGAACTTAAAAAAGAACTACTATTCAACCCAGAAATCCCGTTACTGACTATATACCTAAAGGAATATAAATCATTCTACCCAAAAAGACACATGCTCTTGCATGTTCATCACAGCACTATTCACAATAGCAAAGACATAGAGTAAACCTAACTGCCCATCAACAGTGGTTTGGAATCAGAAAATGTGGTATCTATACACCACGGAGTACTACACAGCCATAAAAAAGAACAAAATCATGTCTTTTGCAGCAACATGGATGCAGCTGGAGGCGATTATCCTAAGAAAATTAACACAGAAACAGAAAACCAAATGCTTCATGTTCTCATTTATAAGTGGGAGCTAGAAACTGAGTACACATAGCAGTAAAGATGGCAACAATAGACACTGAGGTCTACCAGAGAAGAAAGAAAGGGAAGTGGGACTGGGCTGGAAAACTACCTATTGGGTATTATGCTCACTACCTGGGTTATGGGATCATCTGTGCTCTATGCCTCAGCAAACCATGTAACTCAATATAGTCATGTAAAAAACCTACACATGTACCCTCTGAATCCAAAATAAAGGTTGGAAAAAAATAAATTTGGTCTGAGATATAAATTTTAAAATTATTTTAATTTTAGTATGTAAGTAATGTGAATATGTCCTCACTATAAAAACTTAGGAAAAGGACCAATAACGTCCTATGATTATCTTTTCTATCCTTGTTCTTATTATTTCTTTTCTTGCCTTATTATATTAGGCAAAAACTCAACCACAATGTTGAATGGTAGCACTGATACTTGATATCTGACATCCTTTTATGGATGCCAACTTAATTAAGCATTGTCCTAAAATTTCATCAAGATGTTGAAGTAGCTTTTGATTGGATATATTCTTGATTAAATTTGTTAAAGTTATAATAAATGAGTGTTATATTTTAATTAAATGTACTTTTTCGTGTATTGCTATAATTAGTATTTTTTGGTTAATTTGTTAATATAGTAAATTATAATAAATATTCTAATTTATCCCTTCTTCACGTTTCTATGTGAAATCCTACCTTGACACAATGAATTATTCTATTATATACTTCTGAATTTAGCTGGAAAGTTGAAGAGTTAAAATTTTCCTGCTGTTACAAAGATGGGGAAAAAACAGGGCAGAAAAACTGGAAACTCTAAAAAGCAGAGTGCCTCTCCTCCTCCAAAGGAATGCAGTTCCTCACCAGCAACGGAACAAACCTGGATGGAGAATGACTTTGACGAGTTGAGAGAAGAAGGCTTCAGATGATCAAACTACTCTGAGCTACAGGAGGAAATTCAAACCAAAGGCAAAGAAGTTAAAAACTTTGAAAAAAATTTAGACGAATGTATAACTAGAATAACCAATACAGAGAAGTGCTTAAAGGAGCTGATGGAGCTGAAAGCCAAGGCTCGAGAACTACGTGAAGAATGCAGAAGCCTCAGGAGCCGTTGCGATCAACTGGAAGAAAGGGTATCAGCGATGGAAGATGAAATGAATGAAATGAAGCAAGAAGGGAAGTTTAGAGAAAAATGAATAAACAGAAATGAACAAAGCCTCCAAGAAATATGGGACTATGTGAGAAGACCAAATCTACGTCTGATTGGTGTACCTGAAAGTCACAAGGAGAATGGAACCAAGTTGGAAAACACTCTGCAGGATATTATCCAGAACTTCCCCAATCTAGCAAGGCAGGCCAACATTCAGATTCAGGAAATACAGAGAGTGCCACAAAGATACTCTTTGAGAAGAGCAACTCCAAGACACGTAATTGTCAGATTCACCAAAGTTGAAATGAAGGAAAAAATGTTAAGGGCAGCCAGAGAGAAAGGTCGGGTTGCCCACAAAGGGAAGCCCATCAGACTAACAGCAGATCTCTTGGCAGAAACTCTACAAGCCAGAAGAGAGTGGGGGCCAATATTCAACATTATTAAAGAAAAGAATTTTCAACCCAGAATTTCATATCCAGCCAAACTAAGCTTCATAAGTGAAGGATAAATAAAATCCTTTACAGACAAGCAAATGCTGAGAGATTTTGTCACCACCAGGCCTGCCCTAAAAGAGCTCCTGAAGGAAGCGCTAAATATGGAAAGGAACAACCGGTACCAGCTACTGCAAAATCATGCCAAATTGTAAAGATCATCGAGGCTAGGAAGAAACTGCATCAACTAACGAGCAAAATAACCAGCTAACATCATAATGACAGGATCAAATTCACACATAACAATATTAACTTTAAATGTAAATGGACTAAATGCTCCAATTAAAAGACACAAACTGGCAAATTGGATAAAGAGTCAAGACCCATCAGTGTGCTGTATTCAGGAAACCCATCTCACGTGCACACACACAAATAGGCTCAAAATAAAAGGATGGAGGAAGATCTACCAAGCAAATGGAAAACAAAAAAAGGCAGGGGTTGCAATCCTAGTCTCTGATAAAACAGACCTTAAACCAACAAAGATCAAAAGAGACAAAGAAGGCCATTACATAATGGTAAAGGGATCAATTCAACAAGAAGAGCTAACTATCCTAAATATATATGCACCCAATACGGGAGCACCCAGATTCATAAAGCAAGTCCTGAGTGACCTACAAAGAGACTTAGACTCCCACACAATAATAATGAGAGACTTTAACACCCCACTGTCAACATTAGACAGATCAACGAGACAGAAAGTCAACAAGGATACCCAGGAATTGAACTCAGCTCTGCACCAAGCGGACCTAATAGACATCTACAGAACTCTCCACCCCAAATCAACAGAATATACATTTTTTTGAGCACCACACCACACCTATTCCAAAATTGACCACATAGTTGGAAGTAAAGCTCTCCTCAGCAAATGTAAAAGAACAGAAATTATAACAAACTGTCTCTCAGACCACAGTGCAATCAAACTAGAACTCAGGATTAAGAAACTCACTCAAAACCGCTCAACTACATGGTAACTGAACAACCTGCTCCTGAATGACTTCTGGGTACATAACAAAATGAAGGCAGAAATAAAGATGTTCTTTGAAACCAACAAGAACAAAGACACAACATACCAGAATCTCTGGGACACATTCAAAGCAGTGTGTAGAGGGAAATTTATAGCATTAAATGCCCACAAGAGAAAGCAGGAAAGATCCAAAATTGACACCCTAATATCACAATTAAAAGAACTAGAAAAGCTAGAGCAAACACATTGAAAAGCTAGCAGAAGGCAAGAAATAACTAAAATCAGAGCAGAACTGAAGGAAATAGAGACACAAAAAACCCTTCAAAAAATTAACGAATCCAGGAGCTGGTTTTTTGAAGGATCAACAAAATTGATAGACCGCTAGCAAAACTAATAAAGAAGAAAAAAGAGAAGAATCAAATAGACGCAATAAAAAATGATAAAGGGGATATCACCACCGATCCCACAGAAATACAAACTACCATCAGAGAATACTACAAACACCTCTACACAAATAAACTAGAAAATCTAGAAGAAATGGATAAATTCCTCGACACATACACTCTCCCAAGACTAAACCAGGAAGAAGCTGACTCTCTGAATAGACCAATAACAGGCTCTGAAATTGTGGCAATAATCAATAGCTTACCAACCAAAAAGAGTCCAGGACCAGATGGATTCACAGCCGAATTCTACCAGAGGTACAAGGAGGAACTGGTACCATTCCTTCTGAAACTATTCCAATCAATAGAAAAAGAAGGAATCCTCCCTAACTCATTTTATGAGGCCAGCATCATCCTGATACCAAAGCCGGGCAGAGACACAACCAAAAATGAGAATTTTAGACCAATATCCTTGATGAACATTGATGCAAAAATCCTCAATAAAATATTGGCAAACCAAATCCAGCAGCACATCAAAAACGTTATCCACCATGATCAAGTGGGCTTCATCCCTGGGATGCAAGGCTGGTTCAATATATGCAAATCAATAAATGTAATCCAGCATATAAACAGAACCAAAGACAAAAACCACATGATTATCTCAATAGATGCAGAAAAGGCCTTTGACAAAATTCAACAACTCTTCATGCTAAAATCTCTCAATAAATTAGGTATTGATGGGACATATCACAAAATAATAAGAGCTATTTATGACGAACCCACAGCCAATATCATACTGAATGGGCAAAAACTGGAAGCATTCCCTTTGAAAACTGGCACAAGACAGGGATGCCCTCTCTCACCACTCCTATTCAACATAGTGTTGGAATTTCAGGCTAGGGCAATCAGGCAGGAGAAGGAAATAAAGGGTATTCAATTAGGAAAAGAGGAAGTCAAATTGTCCCTGTTTGCAGATGACATGATTGTATATCTAGAAAACCCCATTGTCTCAGCCCAAAATCTCCTTAAGCTGATAAGCAACTTCAGCAGTCTCAGGATACAAAATCAATGTGCAAAAATCACAAGCATTCTTATACACCAATAACAGACAAACAGAGAGCCAAATCATGAGTGAACTCCCATTCACAATTGCTTCAAAGAGAATAAAATACCTAGGAATCTAACTTACAAGGGACGTGAAGAACCTCTTCAAGGAGAACTACAAACCACTGCTTAATGAAATAAAAAGTATAGAAACAAATGGAAGAACATTCCATGCTCATGGGTAGGAAGAATCAATATCGTGAAAATGGCCATACTGCCCAAGGTAATTTATAGATTCAATGCCATCCCCATCAAGCTACCAATGACCTTCTTCACAGAATTGGAAAAAACTACTTTAAAGTTCATATGGAACCAAAAAAGAGCCTGCATCGCCAAGTCAATCCTCAGCCAAAAGAACAAAGCTGGAGGCATCACGCTACCTGACTTCAAACTATACTACAAGGCTACAGTAACCAAAATAGCATGATACTGGTACCAAAACAGAGATATAGATAAATGGAATAGAAAAGAGCTCTCAGAAATAACGCCGCATATCTACAACTATCTGATCTTTGACAAACCTGAGAAAAACAAGCAATGGGGAAAGGATTCCCTATTTAATAAATGGTGCTGGGAAAACTGGCTAGCCATATGGAGAAAGCTGAAACTGGATCCCTTCCTTACACCTTATACACAAATTAATTCAAGATGGATTAAAGACTTAAACGTTAGACCTAAAACCATAAAAACCGTAGAAGAAAACCTAGGCATTACCATTCAGGACATAGGCACGGGCAAGGACTTCATGTCTAAAACACCAAAAGCAATGGTGTTGGTGTTTTGGCACCAAATTGACAAATGGGATCTAATTAAACTAAAGAGCTTCTGCACAGCAAAAGAAACTACCATCAGAGTGAACAGGCAACCTGCAGAATGGGAGAAAATTTTCGCAACCTACTCATCTGACAAAGGGCTAATATCCAGAATCTACAATGAACTCAAACAAATTTACAAGAAAAAAACAAACAACCCCATCAAAAAGTGGGCGAAGGACATGAACAGACAGTTCTCCAAAGGAGACATTTATACAGCCAAAAAACACATGAAAAAATGCTCATTATCACTGGCCATCAGAGAAATGCAAATCAAAACCACAATGAGATACCATCTCACACCAGGTAGAATGGCAATCATTAAAAAGTCAGGAAACAACAGGTGCAGGAGAGGATGTGGAGAAATAGGAACACTTTTACACTGTTGGTGGGACCGTAAACTAGTTCAACCATTGTGGAAGTCAGTGTGGCGATTCCTCAGGGATCTAGAACTAGAAATACCATTTGACCCAGCCATCCCATTACTGGGTATATACCTAAAGGACTATAAATCATGCTGCTATAAAGACACATGCACATGTATGTTTATTGTGGCACTATTCACAATAGCAAAGACTTGGAACCAACCCAAATGTCCAACAGTGATAGACTGGATTAAGAAAATGTGGCACATATACACCATGGAATACTATGCAGCCATAAAAAATGGTGAGTTCATGTCCTTTGTAGGGACATGGATGAAATTGGAAATCATCATTCTCAGTAAACTATCGCAAGGAGAAAAAACCAAACACCACATGTTCTCACTCATAGGTGGGAATTGAACAATGAGAACACATGGACACAGGAAGGGGAACATCACACTCTGGGGACTGTTGTGGGGTGGGGTGGGGGGAGGGATAGCATTGGGAGATATGCCTAATGCTAAATGACGAGTTAATGGGTGCAGCACACCAGCATGGCACATGTATACATATGTAACTAACCTGCACATTGTGCACATGTACCCTAAAACTTAAAGTATAATAAAAAAAAAATTTCCTGCTGTTGCTTAACTAGCCCCATAATTGTGTAAGGTCAAATCTTTATAATAAATCTCTTATTATGTATGTCTGCTAGGAGGTCTGCTTCTCTGATTATTCTCTGAGTGATACAGTTATTCTCCATGTGTCTTTATAGAATACCCCATTAACGAAAGGAATGCAATCATTGTGCTCCATATCACTTGCAAAACAGTGATTTTGTTGGAATCACAGCCCTGGTAATTTATGTAGCTAGGACTCATGTCCACTATTTCTGAGTCTGTGTTCTTTCGGCAGGATTATGTTGTTTTCTTTAAGTTGTGGGAAATCAGAGCTGTCTCAGCTCATTAAAATGCCTTTCCTCAACATTTCCTTCCATGAAGTGCTAATGGGAATAACTGTTTTAGCAATGACATGGTTTCTGATTCAGCCACAAAGTATTTTTATTTTTCAGGTTGCCCAGATGACCTAACTGTTGTCTAGTGCCATCATAGGCATGCCAAAAATGGCCAATATGGAAGCAAAATGAACACTTTGTCCTGCCCCCATCATAAATAAAGATGAATATTATGTCTCAGAATGAGATAAACCAAAAATAACAGGGTCACCCTGTCTAATTCTGCTCCCTAAAATAAATAAATCCTTGGGCATGTCCTCTAAATTACTCAATCTCTAGCAGAATAAGTATAACCCGGACTTATGCAAAGTTGATTTCTAAAGATATGTAACATCCTTTGTGGATATGATAATTATGTGAGAAAGTTGTTGTTTATCTACTACAAATCGATTGGTGTAAACTGTGTAACCTTGGTAATTTCACAGTTTTTCCCCCTTACATTTATGTTGTGTTTTTTATTTGACAAGCTACTCTTTCTGAAGTCTGACTCCCCTGCCAACATTTTTGAAAGCAAGTCTCTTTTCTAAATGCTTTGATCTCTGAGTCTTCATCTCATACCAATAAATTTTTGTGTTTCCTAGGAGGGAAATGCTCATGATAGTGGGAGAAGTAAAAATGATAGTAGTGTTTTTCGTTTACGTTGAGTCCATATATCACAGAATGATATGCAAATTTGTCTACTGACAATATATAATCCATAAGCAGATGCAGACTAGGGAATTCATATTCTAACATGAATTTGGTGGGTGTATGAGGAGGCAAGATGGGACCAGGATGAAATGGAAATGTTTGGTTTATTGCATATCCCCTTACAGTGTTTAAATTGAGACCCACCTGGGCAACATGGCAAAATCCTGTCTCTACAAAACATACAACAATTAGCCCAGCGTCGTGGCACATGCCTGTAGTCTCAACTGCTCAGGGAGCTGAGGTGGGAGGATGACTTGAGCCCAGGTAGTCAAGGCTGCAGTGAGCCATGATTGTGCCACTGCAGTCCAGCCTTGGTGACAGAATAAGACCCTGTTTCAAAAAAAATGTTTTTATTGTCATATTGCCTGAGTTTAAATGTGAACTTTCCAACTTAGTATCTATAAGGTTTTAAACATTTTATATAATAAAAAGTTATTTAAATGTTCTATGATTCAGTTTCCTTACCTACCAACTAGGCAAAGTAACAGTACCTGCTTTCCAGTCTTGCAGTGAAGATTAAATGAAATAATGTAAACATTCAGGGTAGCACAGAGCCTGATAACATAATAAATGCTCATTCAATTTTATTTATAATTATTAAGTTTTCTGATATTTTGGAAATAATTTCAGGCTGGTTGGACTTATTCCTTGGAAAGGGGTGAAGATCATTCTAGTTAATAGACCAGAAGTGTTAACCACACAGCTACTGCCAGAGGTTAAAATTCAGGAGGCCAAATTAAGAACATCCTTAACTAATTTTGCCTTCAGGAAGAAGAGTTTGAGGATGTGTCAAATGACAAAAAAATCTTCAGGGATATTAGTAAGTAAAATGCTGTGGAAAACAACCATGAAATCCTAGTCCAATAGGCCAGAGGCAGGATCAAATTTGAGATGGCGAACAATCTAGTGAATCAGATAGTCATGGGTTCGAAAAGAGAGTTGATTGGGGAAAAAGCAAGGAGGGTGTGTAGAAAATATCTGAGATCAGTCTATCTTTTGCCTTTATTGGATGATGGTGTATAATTTGTGAATTGTCCAGCTGCTTTGTGAGGTAGAGGCAGTATAGTAGAGGCAATGTAGATTGAAACTAGTTTGGAGAAGTCTTTTTTTTTTTTCAACTTTTATTTTAGATTCAGGAGGTACACATGCAGGTTTATTGCCTGGGTATATTGCAAAATGCTGAGGTTTGGGATACAAATGATCTCATCACCCAGGTACTAAGAAGAGTACCCAGTAGTTAATTTTTAACCCTTGTCTCCCTCCCTCCTCCATCTAGTAGTCCCTCATGTCTACTGTTGCCATCTTTATGTCTATGAGTACCCAGTGTTTAGCTCTCATTTGTAAGTGAGAACACGTGAAATTTGGTTTTCTTTTTCTGTTCACTTAAGATAATGGTCTCCAGCTGCATTCATGTTGCTGCAAAGCACATGATTTTGTTCTTTTTAATAGCTGCATAGTATTCCATTGTGTATATGTACCACATTTTCTGTATCCAGTCCACCATTGATGGACACCTAGGTTGACTGCATGTCTTTTCTGTTTGAACAGTGCTGCAGTGAACATGCAAGTGCATGTGTCTTTTTGGTAGAAAGATTTCTTTTTCTTTTGGAAATATACCCAGTAGAGGAATTGCTGGGCTGAATAATATTTTTTTTAAGTTCTTTGAGAAATCTCCATCATTTGGAGAATTCCTGTATGGGTGATGGAAATCCTCACATTGATAGTACATAGTAAGAAATTATTACTGAGCAGCTGTACTTTACATAAAGTATTTCATCTTTATTACAAACTTATCTATTAAATATTTGTATTCTCAATTTCGCAGATGAAAAAAGCCATGGCTTAATGGAGGGAAATGTGTTAGTCATGGCTTTTTTGATTTATGTGACCAAAACACAGCTTGAACTTATTTAGGCAAGATGGGGAACTGGTTGCCATAACAATTGGTTTTCATGACAAACCATAATTGGTTTCCGTGACACCAAAGTCATGGAAAGGAAAGGGACACCTCTTGTATCAGGGGTTTCTGAAACAGAAGAGAGTAGTGATAACAGTCCCCATTCTCTTACTGGCTCTCCCTGCATTTTTGTGCATATCATCTTCATTCCTTTTCATGGCTTTTGCCATATGGCTGGAGACATGGTCCCTGGAAGCTCTTTCTCTCACAGTTTTGCAATCCAAGAGACATAGGCAATAACTCTGAGTAGTCTGGTATGGGCCATATGCCCACTCCTGGACCACTGAAAGGTAGGGAATTGGGTACTAACACTGGTTACCTCCACTATAGTAGCAGGTTTCAAGTGAGAAGAGAAAGGTTCTCCTCACTCCCCTTAATGATTTCAATTTGAAAAGGGTGGAAGGGCTGGGAAAACAAAACCCATACTTGATTAATCTGGTTAAATTATTCAAGGGCTCACACACTCTGTAAATGATAGAACTGGGATTAAAACCAGTTCTGCCTGTCACTGTTTACAAAGCCTTTGCTATTTTTTGATCTGCCTCCATTGATCTAGTTAATGCCCACCATATGCAAGGTGTTTCAGGATTCTGGGTGAGGTGTTGAGGGGACAGTAATAGAATATTCATACTATGGTTTTTACCATCAAAAATGATTTTCCCTCCCTCCAACTTCTGTAACAATGATGCTGCATCTGTGTTACTTCTGTAATACTTGTCACTTTTTACTCTGTTATTTATTTACAATGCAGTGTGCATTAATTGGTTGTGAGTCCTTCCTCTCTTTTTTATTGAATGGAAAGCTCCTTGAGGAGGGGGATTCTGTCACATAGCACCCAGCATAGCCCTCTGCTCTTATATAGTGCATCATAAATATTTTCTGTTAGATTAGTCTTCCCAAAACAGGTGGAATAGTGATTTCAGGTAGCTATCATTTACTTATTTGCTTTTACTGAAATATAATGTACATGCAGAAGAGTGCACAAATTATAACTATACAGCTCAATGTAGTCTCACAAATTGGAAAACATCCATGTAGCCAGCCCAGACTTAAAAGAAACATAGCTAGTACCTCCAGAAACCCCTTCATACCCTTTGCTATTATTATTCTCTCCAGGAGTAGTGATTATAAGATGCTTATTGTTTTAAATAACTTCTAACAAGGGTACCATGTCTTTTAAATATGTTCTCTAAAAAATATAAAATCCCTATGACAGTGCTCTCAAAAGACCCTCATCATGTACCCTTTTCATGCTTTGTCTCACAAGAATCTAAAACTGTTACAGGGTAGAATCTAGCAAGAAATAAAAACCTAATGAGATGTTCAGCCATAGATGCTCTTGTGAAAGGATTTTAAAGTTGTACAGATCATCTAACTCCTGAAATGGGCTTCCACACAGACAAAGCATTTTCTAGTCTGTTTCTGAGGTCAGTAGTGGCCCGAAGAAAAGCATTTGCCTGTGTTTTATCTGATCAGATAAAACTTTATCATTTTATTTTTTGGTGTCTTCCTATGATACCTGATTTTCTTTGTTTTAGCAAATACTTTTTTTTGGGTAAGATTGCTTATGGGGTATCTGGTACTTTCTGTACAAAATAGCATCTGGATCTCTTTATCTTCAGCTTTTCTCTCTTCAGCAAGCCACCCAGGCAGCTTACTTTCTCATGTAGCTATCCCTGAAAATCTTGATTTTTGTTTATACATTATACATATTTCTTTTGTCATTAGGTTGAGATTAGATAATTCTTAATCCATAGTTCCAGTGCAACCAGAAGGGCCAAATGTTATCTGATTTTTTTTGTATTTTATTTTATTTTGCCTTCAAGCTAATAGGACCCTCAGGTCTTACTTAATGTTTGCCTAGTATTTGGTTTTGAATATTGTTTTCTGGACAATTTAATTGTTATTTTATTTATTAATTAATTATTTATTTTATTATACTTTAAGTTTTAGGGTACATGTGCACAACGTGCAGGTTTGTTACATATATATACATCTGCCATGCTGGTGTGCTGCACCCATTAACTCATCATTTAACATTAGGTATATCTCCTAATGCTATCCCTCCCCGCTCCCCCCAGTCCACAGCAGGCCCCGGTGTGTGATATTCCCCTTCCTGTGTCCATGTGTTCTCATTGTTCAATTCCCACCTATGAGTGAGAACATGCAGTGTTTGGTTTTTTGTCCTTGGGATAGTTTGCTGAGAATGATGGTTTCCAATTTCATCCATGTCCCTACAAAGGACATGAACTCATCATTTTTTATGGCTGCATAGTATTCCATGGTGTATATGTGCCACATTTTCTTAATCCAGTCTATCACTGTTGGACATTTGGGTTGGTTCCAGGTCTTTGCTATTGTGAATAGTGCTGCAATAAACATACGTGTGCATGTGTCTTTATAGCAGCATGATTTATAATCCTTTGGGTATATACCCAGTAATGGGATGGCTGGGTCAAATGGTATTTCTAGTTCTAGATCCCTGAGGAATCGCCACACTGACTTCCACAATGGTTGAACTAGTTTGCAGTCCCACCAACAGTGTAAAAGTGTTCCTATTTCTCCACATCCTCTCCAGCACCTGTTGTTTCCTGACTTTTTAATGATTGCCATTCTACCTGGTGTGAGATGATATCTCATTGTGGTTTTGATTTGCATTTCTCTGATGGCCAGTGATGATGAGCATTTTTTCATGTGTCTTTTGGCTGCATAAATGTCTTCTTTTGAGAAGTGTCTGTTCATGTCTTTCACCTACTTTTTGATGGGGTTGTTTGTTTTTTTCTTGTAAATTTGTTTGAGTTCATTGTAGATTCTGGATATTAGCCCTTTGTCAGATGAGTAGATTGCAAAAATTTTCTCCCATTCTGTAGGTTGTCTGTTCACTCTGATGGTAGTTTCTTTTGCTGTGCAGAAGCTCTTTAGTTTAATTAGATCCCATTTGTCAATTTTGGCTTTTGTTGCCATTGCTTTTGGTGTTTTAGACATGAAGTCCTTGCCCATGCCTATGTCCTGAATGGTAATGCCTAGGTTTTCTTCTAGGGTTTTTATGGTTTTAGGTCTAACATTTAAGTCTTTAATCCATCTTGAATTAATTTTTATACAAGGTGTAAGGAAGGGATCCAGTTTCAGCTTTCTCCATATGGCTAGCCAGTTTTCCCAGCACCATTTATTAAATAGGGAATCCTTTCCCCATTTCTTGTTTTTGTCAGGTTTGTCAAAGATCAGACAGTTGTAGATAGGTAGCATTATTTCTGAGGGCTCTGTTCTGTTCCATTGGTCTATATCTCTGTTTTGGTACCAGTACCATGCTGTTTTGGTTACTGTAGCCTTGTATTATAGTTTGAAGTCAGGTAGCGTGATGCCTCCAGCTTTGTTCTTTTGACTTAGGATCGACTTGGCAACTCGGGCTCTTTTTCGGTTCCATATGAACTTTAAAGTAGTTTTTTCCAATTCTGTGAAGAAAGTCATTGGTAAGCTTGATGGGGATGGCATTGAATCTATAAATTACCTTGGCCAGTATGGCCATTTTCATCATATTGATTCTTCCTACGCATAAGCATGGAATGTTCTTCCATTTGTTTGTGTCCTCTTTTATTTTGTTGACCAGTGGTTTGTAGTTCTCCTTGAAGAGGTCCTTCACGTCCCTTGCAAGTTGGATTCCTAGGTATTTTCTTCTCTTTGAAGCAATTGTGAATGGGAGTTCACTCATGATTTGGCTCTCTGTTTGTTTGTTATTGGTGTATAAGAATGCTTGTGGTTTTTGTACATTGATTTTGTATCCTGAGACTTTGCTGAAGTTGCTTATCAGCTTAAGGAGATTTTGGGCTGAGACAATGGGGTTTTCTAGATAGACAATCATGCCGTCTGCAAACAGGGACAATTTGACTTCCTCTTTTCCTAATTGAATACCCTTTATTTCCTTCTCCTGCCTAATTGCCCTGGCCAGAACTTCCAACACTATGTTGAATAGGAGTGGTGAGAGAGGGCATCCCTGTCTTGTGCCAGTTTCCAAAGGGAATGCTTCCAGTTTTTGCCCATTCAGTATGATATTGGCTGTGGGTTCGTCATAAATAGCTCTTATTATTTTGAGATACGTCCCATCAATACCTAATTTATTGAGAGTTTTTAGCCTGAAGGGTTGTTGAATTTTGTCAAAGGCCTTTTCTGCATCTATTGAGATAATCATGTGGTTTTTGTCTTTGGTTCTGTTTATATGCTGGATTACATTTATTGATTTGCATATATTGAACCAGCCTTGCATCCCAGGGATGAAGCCCACTTATCATGGTGCATAAGCTTGTTGATGTGCTGCTGGATTCGGTTTGCCAGTATTTTATTGAGGATTTTTGCATTGATATTCATCAGAGATATTGGTCTAAAATTCTCTTTTTTTGTTGTGTCTCTGCCAGGCTTTGGTATCAGGATGATGCTGGCCTCATAAAATGAGTTAGGGAGGATTCCCTCTTTTTCTGTTGATTGGAATAGTTTCAGAAGGAATGGTACCAGTTCCTCCTTGCACCTCTGGTGGAATTCGGCTGTGAATCTATCTGGTCTGGACTCTTTTTCTTTGGTAAGCTATTGATTATTGCCACAATTTCAGCTCCTGTTATTGGTCTATTCAGAGATTCAACTTCTTCCTGGTTTAGTCTTGGGAGAGTATATGTGTCGAGGAATTTATCCATTTCTTCTAGATTTTCCAGTTTATTTGCATAGAGGTGTTTGTAGTATTCTCTGATGGTAGTTTGTATTTCTGTGGGATCGGTGGTGATATCCCCTTTATCATTTTTTATTGCGTCTATTTGATTCTCGTCTCATTTCTTCTTTATTAGTCTTGCTAGCGGTCTATCAATTTTGTTGATCTTTTAAAAAAACCAGCCCCTGGATTCATTGATTTTTTGAAGTGTTTTTTGTGTTTCTGTTTCCTTCAGTTCTGCTCTGATCTTAGTTATTTCTTGCCTTCTGCTAGCTTTTGAATGTGTTTGCTCTTGCTTCTCTAGTTCTTTTAATTGTGATTTTAGGGTGTCAATTTTAGATCTTTCCTGCTTTCTCTTGTGGGCATTTAGTGCTATAAATTTCCCTCTACACACTGCTTTGAATGTGTCCCAGAGATTCTGGTATGTTGTGTCTTTGTTCTCGTTGGTTTCAAAGAACATCTTTATTTCTGCCTTCATTTTGTTATGTACCCAGAAGTCATTCAGGAGCAGGTTGTTCAGTTTCCATATAGTTGAGCGGTTTTGAGTGAGTTTCTTAATCCTGAGTTCTAGTTTGATCGCACTATGGCCTGAGAGACGGTTTGTTATAATTTCTGTTCTTTTGCATTTGCTGAGGAGAGCTTTACTTCCAACTATGTGGTCAGTTTTGGAATAGGTGTGGTGTGGTGCTGAAAAGAATGTATATTCTGTTGATTTGGGGTGGAGAGTTCTGTAGATGACAGTTTGATTTTTAAAAAGTAGCCTTATTTTTATTTGGTTTGTGCATCACTGTTGCCTCATGCAAATTCACTAGTGAGGACCCCAAATGGTGGGAACCATGAACCTTAGAAAATGTGTTCCACATTCTGATGGCTTCAGAGATGAATGTGACGTTGTGTTACATTCTGACTTCCAGTAAATAGAAATCTAAAGACATTAGATATTTTGTGTTGAGTTATTTTTTATAGCTTACTTCTTGTGCAGTGGGCTTTACAATTGCTCCTATAAAACATCTTGAATGGAACTCTTTAATTTTTGCTTCAATTTGTCCCCAGATGTCTCCCCAGTTTTAGTAATGAATCTTTTACCTTAGCCATTGTGATGGTTAATTTTAGGTGTCAGCTTGACTGGATTAAGAAGTACCTAGAGAACTGAGGAAGCATTATTTTCTGTTGTGTCTGTGAGGATGTTTCCAGTGGAGATTCGCGTGTGAATCCGATTATACTAAGGGAGATTTTCTCTCATTGTGTGGGGGCACCATGTAATTGGGTGGGGGCTAGAATAAAAACAAAGGAAAGGTGAATTATTCTCTCTTTCTTTCTCTTGGAGCTGCGATACACTAGTTCTTACTTTCCATGTCTACGAATTGGTTATAATAGTAGCTACTAGGATCTTGCTCATATGAATCTGAGTTCAAGAGGCTGAGGTACACTTGCATCAACTTAGGCTCCCCATGTCTGCACTGATGTGTTCAATCCCAACTCATCTACTCATTTTCCCCTTTTCCATAGGACAACCATGATCACCTTTTTCTTTTCCTTAGTCCTGATTCATTTCACCAGAAATAAAATTTGGGTAGTTCCTTGGGTCTGTGATAATGTCTACGAAAATCAGTAGTTCTTGGTTATAAATAGTGGTGTGCTGGTAAACGTTCAATAGTTGATTCTGAAAAAAAATTTGATTTGTAGCATTTGCCAGTTTTCTTGGTGTAAATGCTTTCATCATAGTCAATTTCAAGCTACCAACTTCACTATACTGAGTATGAGGGTGGGAGAAATATGCGTAGTAGACTGTCCAAGCCAGTTATAGCCAGCTGCTGTCCTCTGTTCCTGGACTTGAACCATGCACCTCTCATTCTGTAGGCCATGTTCTATGTTCCTGATGGAGAACTCACTATTAAAGGAACTACATAGGAACTAAAGACAAATCAGTTCTAATGGCTCTTTGACCTGAATCCCTACTATTTCCTTGTAGGGTATATTCTTCAGGGTGGAGATATAACTCACTAGTGAACTGGAAGTCCAAGTGAGTAGATTTGAGTCTATAATTAACTCCGAATTTGGACTCTGTATAATCTTATCTTCTCTGTAGCATATGTCAGCCTTTGAGGCTTTGAATCCATAAAAATTGTATTAGTTACCTTTTGATGCATGACAACTTACCTGAAAACTGAGCAGCTTAAAACAACATTTATTATGTCACAGTTTCCAAGGTCTGGGAGTCAAGTGTAGCTTAGCTGGGTGCCTCTGACTAAGCATCTGCCTTTGAGCTGCAATCAGGTGTCAGCCAAGCTGCTGTCCTTAGGCTTAAGTGGAGGAAAATCTGTCTCCCAACCTTCTCACATGGCTATGGGCAGACCCCTGGTCTTCCCTGGATGTTGATTGGAGATAGGAATTCCTCATCATGTAGGACTCATCATAAAGCTGTTCATATAATGGCAGCCGGCTTCCCATAGACCAAGTGAACACAACAGTAGGAGAGGCTTCCGAAGATGGAAGCCATTGTCTTTTTGTAACCCAACTTCAAAATTGACACCACGTTACTTTGTCATATTCTATTCAGTAGAAGGGAGTCCCTAGGCTCAGTCCACACTCAAGGAGAGAACATTACACAAGGATACAAAGAAAGCAGGGATCATGGGCTTGTTATTGGCCCTATGACATTTTCTAACCATGCCTCAAAGTGTTTTTCTCTAATTTCTGGTAGACAGTAGACTGGATCTGTAATTCAAAGGTCTCCTTAATTGTAAATAAAAAACAAGTTCAAAATAGCAGGTCTTAGTATGCTCAGAAGGGTAAAAGATTGGATCCAGTCCCAGGATATCTGCACTTACTCCCTCAATTCTTCCAGAAAAACAAAACTAAACAAAAATCGTAAGAAATAGAGAGATCATTACATGTAGGTAAAAACCAGTTTCCAGGAGGTGATTTCATAAGCAAGTTTTTAGATTTCCTAAATTTAGAGGATTTATATAATGCTGCCTACATCTGATTTTCTGCCTAGAACATACAATTTATAATGGTATTTTTCCCCAACTTGTCCCTCTGGGTTTGCAATGATTTTCAAAGAACCACATTTGGTGCCTTGTGAGTCATTGACACCATTCTCCTAGGAGTTGAGTTGGCATGGAGAATGCAACACTACTGGGCTTGGATTTTTGTTATTGCGTTTCTTCACAGGGCAGACAAGCTCCATGCTTAAGTTCATACGACCTGCACAGTAGCCACCAATATATAACCAATATAATCCCAGCCACTTGATGATTCAAGTTTCATTCAAAAATACCTTTCCACTATTATATGCTTTAAAAAATATTGTCAATATTTATTGTAGGTTCAAGCGGCAGTATAGCATTTTTATCCAATACAGCAAGCATTCTATAAATGTATAATAAAAATTGAAAAAAAATACTCCATAGATGATTCTCTGTCCTTGTGTGTTTTTTCTGCTTATGGCAACAGGTGAAAATGTTTTACCTTTACTTTCGTTCTTATTGCCCTGTCAGCACCTCCCAGCATCCTACTGACTTCCTCTTCCCCAGTTGCATACCACATGCAACACAATCTCCCAGAATAGCTGTGCATGACCTTTGAGAAGATGGTCCTGTTCCCTGCTCTGTTGGCCTTTTTGAAATAATCAGGCACCAACTTGACCTTGGCATAGTAATTAATAAAATTCCCTATCACTATTTAAAGGGTGGTCATGAAGAAACTGAAGTTTGGATTTTGGTTTCTTTCTCCTTTGATTCCTTTCTCCCAAACTCAAATAAGAAGGAAGTGGCCAGTGTTAGGAGTTACAAAAGAACTTTGGAGATGTGATATTTATTCTAAGAACCAGCCTTAAATTCTTCATGTTGGAAGCTCTAAGTCGTTCTCCCCACTTCCCACCTCCTTCCATTGAATCATCAAATTTTAAAAAATCAACAATTTTTAATGTTTAAATCACATAAAGTTATGTTTAATATCATTTTTCCTTACTACCTATGTGATATGGTTTGGCTGTGTCCCCAGCGAAAATCTCATCTTGAATTATAATCCCCATAATCCTCACATATTGTGGGAGGCACCTAGTGGGAGGTAATTGAATCATGGAGCCGGGTTTCCCCCATGCCGTTGTCGTGATAGCGAGTGAGTTCTTATGAGATTTGATGGTTTTATTTTTGCCTGCTGGCACTCCTTCTCTCTTCTGCTGCCATGTGAAGAAGGACATGTTTGCTTCCCCTTCTACCATGATTGCAAGTTTCCTGATGCCTTCCCAGCCATGTGGAACTCTGAGTCAACTAAACCCTTTCCTTTATAAATTACCCAGTCTCTGGCAGTTCTTTATAGTAGCATGAGAACAGGCTAATACACTATGATTTTGTATTTGTGTTGCTTTTGAGTAAAGAAGCTTAATAGATGTTTTGGGCAAAATTTTGGCTATAACGTCAGTCACAGCTGAGTTTTCTGAAAAAAGAAGAAAGGCAATAAGAATGAACCCTTTAAAATGTTTTCATTCTATAGAAAGCATAGAGTGAAAATAAGAGAAAACAATACAGAAACTATCAGGATTATTTTTTTCTTCTCATCTGGGTCTGAGTACTTATAGAGACTTAGAGACTGGTTAGTAACCAAGTGTACTGCCCTTCAAATTTAAAAGCTATGATTTGTATCCCGTATTTAGGGATTGTGCATATTTGCTTTTAATTTAGTATGTTTAGCTTCCTCACTTGTTTTTGCCTTGCTTCCCTGCCTACATAGCAGCAGGTGTTTGGGTGATAACAACATTTAAAATAATTCTAGGAAAATGTGCAAATTGGCTGGAATGCAGTAGAAGCTATCATAATCTCCCCACCCCCATAATTTACTTAAACTAATCAAGTTGTAGCACCAATGCTGTTAAGTGCCTGGAACATGGAAGTCTTTTGTGCGAAATTGTGTGGGTGTTTTAACTGCAATGAGACCTATATAGAAAAGTTTTGAAGTTTGTGAGGGCTATTGTGTATTCTAGAGGTGCCCACTACCAAAGATGACCCCAGTATAATAAGAATTAAGATCGAAGAGCTTTTAATTCACAAAATTTGAACTATAAGATACATAACTAGTATTTATTAATATTCATATCAGTAAGGAATGTACTCAGCCATAAATAGATAAAAATTCAGTGATGCTGTGATGTCATTAAGATTCAGATTTCTTCCATTTTCCTACTCTACTATCCTTAGTGTGTGGGTCTCTGAATGGTTCTATACCTCCAAGCATCAGGTTCATATCCTAGCCTGAATGAAAATAGAAACAGGAAAGAGGAAGGGGCAGGAACTATTATAGGAGTGTGAAAAACTCATGGAGAAATTTCTATCAGATTCCCAATTATGTTTCCTTTGTCACAACTGGGTCACAGGATCATCTACAGCTACAAGAATGGCTGGAAAAGGAAGATTTTTAGTTGGACAAATTGGCACTCCACCAAAATCAAGGTTTTGGTTAATAAAGGAGAAGGGGAGATTTGACATTTAGTAGGTAATTAGAGAGCCATGCAAAATCCCTTTTCTAAGAATAATCTCTCTCTCGTCTGTGTATGTATATATGTATATGCAGAAACGTATGTTTGTGTGTGTGTATATATCTCCTGAGCATGTTTGAGACTGTGGCCTTTGGCATCTGACAGAACTGAGTTTCGATTCTTTCCTACTATTTACTAGATGTGAGACTTCAGGGAAGTTGTTTCACTAAGTCTCATATTCCTGAGATTACAATTGTATTTAATTTCATGAAATATTTTTGTGATCATTAAGTAAGAAAATATATGTGAAGCTCTTAGCACAGTGATTGGTATGGTACATAGTAAGCTTCCAATAACAGGTATTGCTTTTATTATAAGTATTGCTCTTACTGCTATTATTAACCTCCAGGTTTTCTGAACTGACAGGAATGAGAAGCTAGGTAGGAGCCTGGATAGGGACTGCCCACCCTCCTGTGAAGGACAGTCAGAAGTGTGTGGTTCGGTTGCCAGGAACATGAAGGTGTGGCAAATTCCTATCCAAGGGAGATGGAGTAGAACACACATTCCTTCTCCCTGTTGGCATTTATAAGGTATGCCCACTGCAAGTGATGGCAAATCAACGGAGGACACCTATATGCAATTTGTGGTAAGGCAGATTGTATGGTTCAAGAGGTACTTCCCTCACTATAGAAAAATAAAAATCCACGCAATACAGAACTGGTCTAGTCTAGAGCTCATTCTGCAGTCCCACTCTTCCCCCACCTGGAGCCATTTTTATACATTTGCAGGGTAGTTGTACTAACTCCTAAGGAGGGGCATTAGCATGTCTACCTGCTCCCCATCATGTTCAAAGCTTCTTCTATGAAATCTTACACTGCAGATCTCATGCTGGAATCATTACCCAAAATATCACACAAGTGACCCTCTATCACATCGATAAGCTCTTGCTGCTCAGCATCTACTGACCATGTTACCTCTCACTCATAGAGCTTTTGCTTGCGGATATACTGTCTCATTATTATTTAGAAGACCCATGCATTATTCTTGACTTCAGTTTTGCTGCCTACATTACCTATACCTGTCCACCTGTCTGCCCTGCAATAGAATCGTATCTCAGGCTGATACCCTGAACAAATGTTCTGTTTGTAAGATGAATGCCAATAAATTCCATAATTGAAGCTATAGAGCCCAAGATCTCACCAAGTCCCCATTTTCTGAAACTACATCTAAGTTCCCAAAATTCCACAGATTACAAACATACAAACATAATAACTAGAAGAATGATGGACTAAATATGTTGAGATTATGCCAGTCTCATCTCAATCATCATTCAAGAAATCTACTATCAAGCTTCCTGACAAACTTGGTGGAACAAATGACTTCATGAAGCTAGATCAGGAGTGTGACTAAAACCTTTTCTGTGTAGTCCAGTGACCCTGAATTAAAGAAGTTTCTTCCAAATGGAGACAAGCCTAGTCACGAAGTATTATTATTTTTGGCCTACACAGTGACTCCACCATCTCCCAGTGGGTAATGAATAAAGGAAATTAAGCACAACTGTCCTCCATATTGATAATATGCTCATGTACCTGATAAATGCAAACTAATGTAGATCTCTGGTTTGAGTATCTCTGTAGCAAATATGATAGAACTACCGGGGTATCAACCTTGAGAAATTAAATTTGGATGCCAAAAAATGAAATACCTAGGCCATGTTCAGTCTATTCAACTTGTCTGCATGATGCCAAAAAGGTATTGGAAGTTTTTGAGTGTTCTCTATTGCATACAGATGGTCCCTGGCTTATGATGGCTCGACTTATGACTTTTTGACTTTACGATGGTGTGAAAGTAATATATATTTAGTAGAAACTGTATTTCAAGCACCCCTACAACCATCCTGTTTATTACTTTCAGTATAATATTCAATAAATTACACAAGATAACTCAATACTTCATTATAAAATAAGCTTTGTGCTGGATGGTTTTGCCCAACTGTAGGAAATGCAAGTGTTCTGAGCATGTTTAAGGTAGGCAAGGCTGAATTATGATGTTTGGTAGGTTAGGCATATTAAATGCATTTTCAACTTACAGTATTTTCAATTTCCAATGAGTTTATCATGAATTACAATGAGTTTATCACAACTTAACTCCATTGTAAGTTGAGGAGGATCTGGATTTGATGGGTTCCTGAAATAAGCAGTTAGGTGTCTTGTTTCCCAGGCTGCATTATTTGGGAATGAGTAAGGCAGTCTTGCCCAGGAAGGTCTCTAGTGAGCATTCATCCAGGTGCTCATGAATACCAGTGCCTGACTAAGATTCAGAGCCACATAGAGATGGTCTTAGGAGACATGTATGTGGACAGGCTTCTTCCTTCATTGCTGTAGCTTTGTTGCTGCCACCCCAAAGGGGTATGTCTATCCATTCAACATTAATATAATCCACAGAAACTTTTGATGGTTCACAACCAACGTGATAGCTCTAGCATTTCTTGTATGACTCTTAACCATACATTACAGACAAACTCAGCAGGCCAGAGGGTGCTCTGAACTCGCGCTAGACTCCTTAATCTCATTGAAACAGTATCACAATAAATTTTATTTTATAGCCATGACATCATCCTGGAGACAGCAGACATTCACCAAGATTCTGTACACCATTCTCTGCTTTGCTTCCCCATTTGTATGAGCCACTTTCATCCTGTTTACATAAGGCATTTATCTCATTTTAATAATATAATTTTGACAGATTGTATTTGGATCTCCAGAAGGCATATGAGGAAATTTTGTCTCAGATTGAGTTCCAGTATTTGCCCTCATGGTCACCCCCACAATCTCCTTTATATTGGTTTGCATTGCCGGGATTCCGAATCCTGAGTTTGTTTTCATCTTCCTTTCTTTTTTATTTTGCTTCTGAATCTTTATCCATCTTTTATTTCTTATACTATCCCTGACAAATGAAACTCTCTCCTGGTTATAAGATGGATATAAAATATTGGGTTCATGTAGCAGCTTGAGAAAAAAATAATAAAATAAATGAAAATTCTACTCAATGACATGACAATCAATTTGGTATATACAGAAAATAATCCTGAAAGATAACTGCATTGTAACCTTTTAGACATTACGTACAGTCATGCTTGATTGCTCAGCCCTCATTCTTGCTGAAGCATTATCACTCTTTATCCCCATCCCTTTTGTTTTCCTAGCTGCTTTGAGCAATGACAGTCATATTGAAGGTAAAGAATAAAGAAAGGTAAATAAATGCTAAAAATATGACTATCTGTCTGAATGTCAATGACCATTTACAACCACTGGAGACACAGCCACCCTGACTGCATTTGAAATTTCAGACTTAATGTGGCCTCTGGCTAATGGAATTGGTGCTGCCAATCTTTCTGCACAGTAGAAGAGGCGCCTTGGAACTAAGTCTCTGATTTTTTCTAACACCTAATTATCTGCTAGGTCCCATAGCTGTGGAAACCACGTAAATGGCATAATACATTTCACTTAACCATGGCAGAGTTAACAGTTCCTGTGATTTCAGACCAGTGCGAAGTATTTTAAAATTGAGTTATATTTAATAGTAGAATACAAATTTGATGTCAGAATATTCCATATAATGTAGTATGTGTAAACCCAGTAGAAATGTTTATATAAATTTGGCTTAAACCATAATTAGTATTTGTATAAGTATCAGCTCAATTTATTTAATCAGGAGTGTTTTAATAATAATAGGCCTAGAAATTAATGTGGACACAGAGAATAATAATTGATTAAGCTGAAAATCACATGCTTTAGAAAACTGATCTTATATCAATTTATTCACTTACTACTCTACAACCATTTGCTTCTACAACCACTAAAATTTCAGTCTTATTAAATATGAGTCTAATGTAATGAAACTTTGGAAATGCAGGCAGAAAATAAAGAATACATGCCAAATAAAAATAAAACAGAAAATTGATAACTTTGAGGGTTTCTGTTATTATTACCTTTAGCTGGCACCAAAGCTATAAGTTAATACAGACTTCTACTTAATTTGGGTTGACTACCACCACTAATTCAATGACTGTGTGTGTGTGTGTGTGTGTGTGTGTGTGTGTGCATGAATGAATGCAGGGCATTATGAAATGTTGGCTCAGTTACTAAAAGTTACTTCATAATGATCATTGATGGCTATCTTAAACATTCCTACTAGATATTTGAAAGTAGAAATTATACCATTATGTTTGCTATTACTTCTTTTTAATTTGATTGATGTCTACAGAAAATTGTTCCTGACAATAATCTCTATTGGATGATGTCTAGAAAGATAGTTGAATTAGGAAAAGCACCAGTAGATTTTTCCCTTCTAATTTCTCAAGGAAAAGCATAGGCAATCATTTATCCAGAAAAAAATTACTTCACTGGTAAAAATATTTGTAATAGCTAACCTGCTGCTCTCCAGCCCCAAACTTGGTACTGCTTGACTAAAACATAGGTATGAGAAGGTTGCTGCTGGCTAAAGTTGAAGATCCTTACTTGGACTCTTGTTAATCTGATGTCCTCCTGTGCTGGATGTTGAATTATATCCTTTAAAAGGATGTTGAAATCCTAACATTTTGTACCTGTGAATATGACCTTACTTAGAAATAAGATCTTTGCAGATGATCAAGTTAAGATGAAGTCGTTAGGGTGGACTGTAGTCCAGTAGGACCGGTGTCCTAGTAAAAGGGGAAATTGAACACAGAGATAGACATGCAGACAGAATTCCAGGTGAATGTGAAAGCGGAGCTCAGGGTGATACATCTACAAGCAAAGGCGGTCAAAAATTTCTAGCAAACCACCAGGAGCTAAGGAAGAGGCACGGAACAGAGTTCTCCTTCACAGCTCTCAAAAGGAATCAATCCTGCTGATACTTGATCACCTTGATCTCAGATTTCTGGCCTCTAGAAGGGTGAGAAACAATTTTTTCTTGTTTAAGCCACCCAGTTTGTGGAACCTTTTATGTTAACCCTAGCAAACGAATACAACTCCAAACCTAACAGTGCTGGTCAGCTTTGCTCTGCTAACACACACCCCTAGATCTCAGTGGCTCCAGGCTGTTCTCTGCCCCTGGCTATAGTTCTGTTCCACATGTCTTCTTCTGGATTCCAGGCTGAAGGAGCAACATCTGTCTGGGATGTACCATTCGAATGGTGGAGACTTACAAGGCCTTTTACAACTTCTGCCCAGTCAGGGTGTATGTGAGTCACTGAGCACATTTCATTGACCAAAGTAAGTCACATGGCAATGGCAAGGATGTGGAAACTTCTTATAGGAAATATGGTGGGAGAGTGAATAATTGTGAAATATAAAACAAACACACTACTTCTTCCTCAATGGAGAAAGAATTGAGGGCAGGCCCATCAAAACTCTGGCTCTGAACTTCTGTGTATAAACCTAGTATTGCATGATGGGATGGGATAAATCATTCCAATGCCTAATCTGTAGATAAAATCTAGAAGTGGTTAGGACTTAGACTTGATTTTCAGCACTGAGAGTGTGCCTATCCTTCAGTGACATGCCCACTGAATTAAATTTAATTGAATTAAAAATAGTAACTTTATAATAATGCATACAAGATGTATACAAGAGAAAATGATCAGCCTCTTTGTTTGCTTATTTTCCTCTTTTCCTTTCTCATTTGTATTTACTTATGACTGGAACGAGATAATTGACTTTTTTTTGTTTCCTTGTACTTCCTGAGATAATTTTCCTAATATTCAGATAATAAGACTTGAAATGGATTTTGTGCAGGAGAGACTCATAATGGTTTTTAGAAAATAACAGCTATCTATTTTCATTGATAAAAGAGAATATGAGAGTTGTGGAAGAAAAAGGTAGAATTCTGCTGTTGACCAATTCACATAATTTCTGAAAACATTAGACAGCAAATTCAGTGCTGCAGAAAGTCAGACTGGTGGAACATGGTGGGACATAAGAAAAGAGCTGAAAGATGAAAGGGAATGTGAGAGATGTCAGAGCAGACATGGAAAATAGAAGTTTCTGAATAACAAAACAGACTGTTAATCAATGGCATACAAGATAAAGAAATACAGATGTTAATAGCTGAGGTAGGAGACAACAGTGTCTCACTTTATTTCAGATAAATAAAAGAAGCAAAAACACTCTATAAGATATACTCTGGCTATTTTATATATTTCATAGTATAGAAATTTTCTTTTGCTCTTCCCATCTCAAAATTAAAGATAAATTATCAGAGGAATTAAAATCTGGGTAACTCCTATTTCTTTATCATACTATCACAATCAAAAGATAGCAGAGCAGTATTTCAAATGTTTTCTAGGAAGAAGATGTGATGCAGGTATGTCACACCCAGTTGAAATGCTATTACTATGTGAAATACAGCCTAGTATATTTCAGATTTGTCTTCCAAAAACTTTACCTTTAATGATGATGATATTCAGATGTTCAATGATTAATTTTTTAAAAGGGTTGAATTTTGTAGCTATTGTGGAAAATACATACAAAGAATATTGAAATCACTTACCCAATTTACAAATAAGTAAATAATTCTGTGAATTCAATTATAAAATAAGAGTGGTACAATTAGGATTAAGGGTAGAAAGAAGACATTTGCTTTTTCTAATTATACTAAAAATACAAAAGACAATGGAAATAGAAAAAGAAAAAGGAAATGTACTTCTCCAAAAAAGGCATAAGACAGATGCAAGTAATATAAATATTTGATATTCATACATAAAACACACAGAATCTTAGACTGTTTTTTATTTAAAAGGCCTAGTGATTTGTTGCTCTGAGGATATCTGCTGAAAGTAGACCAAAAGTAAAATGAGTTAGCAAAAATGGCAGAGTAAAATTAAAAGAAAAGATAGTATGAGTGGAGAGGATCATGACAATATGATAAAATGTATAAATTATAATGAGTATATAACTGATAATCTTACGTGTACAAAATAACAGCAACAAAATGATGTGAAATACACAGAAAAGAAAAAATTAGAAGATTTTTAACTCACCTTAATTAATGTATTACACGCTTAATAGAAAAAATTAAATACATGGAAAAATAAACATTACATTAAGCAAAGTAAAAGATAATGCTATACAGATCATTTTGGGAACTCGAAGCTTCTAAAGATATATTTTCTATAGAGAAAATGTGCTATCAGGCTTTTAACCAGATAAATATCATGGTGCAGGAATTAAAAAGGGGGGCATGTAGAATTAATGGAAATACTTGAGAAAGTGACTAGAAAAATTTTATGTGAATGTACGTATAAATATACACACAGATATACATGTAAATACATTATATACACACAAAAATCAATTATGTTCAATAACAATGAAAACTAGATACCTTACAAAGTCACAATGAAAAACATGAATTTGTACATTACCTTGCTCTGATAAGCATTTAAAGTTCTTTTTTAAAAAATAACAAATATGTGAAATGGTAAAATAAAACAAAATTCAAATATGTAAATGAGTATTCAAAGAGGTAAATTTTGTAGAATCTTTGAAAAGGAAATAAAAAAACTTTTTTGATATATTTAAAAGATTTGAATAAAGAAATATAGCTGGTTCCTGGGACTCTCCTCTCCTTGATCTTTAACAACATATATTATGTATTTTTTGACTGTATGCAGTTTTAAGAATACAGAAAAGTGTGAAGAATGATGGTTAACACTCATATGCACAAAGCCAACATTTGTATGTGGGTGAAGTATAGACATTCTTTTTAAATTCAAGAACAAAATAATAATGATATATACTATCACTTTTCCTATTTACAACTGCATTTTATGCTAAAAACAGAGAAAAGGTCTGAAAAGTCTGCACCAAATTAGAAGCAACTAATTAGTTCTTTTTTTTTTCTTTTTTCTTCAGACGGAGCCTCGCTCTGTTGCCCAGGCTGGAGTGCCGTGGTGCGATCTCGGCTCACTGCAAGCTCCACCTCCCGGGTTCACGCCATTCTCCTGCCTCGGTCTCCCGAGTAGAGCCGAGATTGTACCACTGCACTCCAGCCTAGGTGACATAGCGAGACTCCGTCTCCAAAAAAAAAAAAAAAAAAAAAAAAAAAAAAGAAAGAAAAAAACCAACAAAAGCAATAAAAAAGAAATGAGCTATTAAGCCACTGAAATACATGAAGGAACGTTAAAAGCATATTGCAAAGTTAAAGAAACCAATCCAAAAAAGCTACATATTCATACTGTGTGAGCCAACTATATCACATTTTGGAAAAAGCAAGACTATAGAGACAATAAATAGATCAGTGGTTGCCAGGGGTTTGAGGAGACGGAGGGAGTGATAGATGTGTAGTGATAGTGATAGAGGGAGGGAGTGATATGCAGAGTACCACGGATTTTTTTTTTCTTTTTTTTTTTGATACGGAGTCTCAGAGTCTGGCTCTGTAGCCCAGGCTGGAGTGCAGTGGCACCATCTCGGCTCACTGCAAGCTCTGCCTCCAGGGTCTACACCATTCTCCTGCCTCCGCCTCCCAGTAGCTGGGACTACAGGCACCCGCCACCACGCCCGGCTAGTACTGGAGATTTTTAGGGCAGTGAAACTGAGAGGTGAAGCTGGCTGGGCTTCTGGGTGGGGTGGGGACTTGGAGAACTTTTCTGTCTAGCTTAAGGATTGTAAATGCACCAATCAACGCTCTGTGTCTAGCTAAAAGTTTGTAAACGCACCAATCAGCACTCTGTAACAACGGACCAATCAGCAGTCTGTAAAATGGATCAATCAGCGCTCTAAAAGTTTGTAAACGCACCAATCAGCACTCTGTAACAACGGACCAATCAGCAGTCTGTAAAATGGATCAATCAGCTCTCTGTAAAATGGACCAATCAGCAGGCTGTGATGGAGCCAAATATGGGAATAAAAACAGGCCATGGGGGCCAGCAGCAGCAACCTACTCGGGTCCCCTTCTGCACTGTAGAAGCTTTGTTTTTTCACTCTTAGCAATGAATCTTGTTGCTGCTCACTCTTTGGGTCTGCACCACGTTTATGAGCTGTAACACTCACCGGGAAGGTCTGCAGCTTCACTCCTGAAGCCAGCGAGGCCATGAACCCACCTGGAGGAACGAACAACTGCGGTGCTGCCTTCATGAGCTGTAACACTGACCGGAAGGTCTGCAGCTTCACTCTTAAAGTCAGCGAGACCACGAACGCACCAGAAGGAAGAAACACTGGACACATCTGAATATCTGAAGGAACAAACTGTGGACACACCATCTTTAAGAACTTTAACACTCATCACGAGGGTCTGTGACTTCATTCTTGAAGTCAGCCAGTCCAAGAACCCACCGGAAAGAACCAATTCCGGACGCAAAATCATTTTGTATTAAACTGTATTGGTAGATACATGACATTATGCGTTTCTGAAAATCTATAGAACTGTATAATACAAACAGTGAGCCCTGATATAAATGATGGACTTTAATTATATTGGTTCATTAATTGTACCAAATGTGCCGCACCAATGCAAGATGTTAGTAATAGGGGAAACTAGTATGTTGGGAGAGAGAAGAAGGGAAAGAGTACATGAAAATTCCCTGTACTTTATATTCGCTTTTGTGTCAAACTAAAATTGCACTGATAAATAAAGTCCATTAACTTAAAAATCAGAAAAGGAATGATATAGGAAAAGAATAACTGACATATAATTACTTGTAAAAAAGTATTTTTAAATTTCTCAATTTTTTGTATATAGTATTCTATATGATGCTGTAATTTTTGTAATGACAGTTAAATTTTTTTAATAAATTAGATTTATTCCTACAGATTTTATTATCTTGTTTACTCCCCATTTTCTGGTTAGGAGCTGATTATTTAAATATTTTAATATAGTTATATTGTCTAGCTTTTCTAAATGAAGCACAATAGTCAGTTTTGCATGGTAACTCAATGTGCTGTATGAATTGTAAGTTCTCCAAGTTTAAACTTATTTTTAATTGACAAAAATTTTATGTATTTATCGTACATGTTGTTTTGAAATATTCATACATTGTGGCATCCAAGTTTTAAAAAAGTATATTTGAAGGTATTTCTATCAAAATCTCAAAAGAAATTTTAAGAATTTTGATAAAAAAACTTCTAAATCACTGGAAAAGTGAACAGGTAAAAATCAAGACAAATACATTAAAGAACAGCAATAGAGAGAAAAATACCTGCTATATATTGAAACCTATAATAAAGCAATAATATTTAAGAAATTTTGATATTGGTAAAAAATAAAAATATAAAATAATGGGGTAGCATCAAGTAGGTATAAATACATCTCACAAAGATGGATACATTTACTAAACATGGGAGGGAAGAGAAAAGATTATTAAATATATCACATTGGAATAATTGGTTAGCATTTTGAAATATTAAAAAATCACGTTATACTAATCACCAAAATATACTCCATTTGAATAAGGGCAGTGTATTAGTCTGTTCTTGGGTTGCTATAAAAAAATACCAGAGACTAAGGAATTTATAAAGAAAAGCAGTTTAATTGGCTCACGGTTCTGCAGGTTGTACAGGAAACATGGTACCGTCATCTGCCTGGCTTCTGGGGAGGCCTCAGGAAGTTTACAATCATGGCAGAAGGCAAACAGGGAGCAAGCATGTCACATGACTAGGGCAGGAGCAAGAAGGAAGGCCAGGAGGTGGGTGCTTCACATTTTTAAACAACCAGATCTCCTAAGCACTCATTCACTATCGTGAGAACAGCACCAACAGGATGGGGCTAAACCACTCATGAGAAATCCACTCCCATGATCCAACCACCTTTCAGCAAGTCCCACTTCCAAAGGTGGAGATTGCAATTCAAGATGAGATTTGGGCAGGGACACAGACCCAAACCATATCAGGCAGTGATTGCCATTTGGGTGGAGGTGGGTGGGAGAGTGGGTGGTGAGGTGTGGAGTAATAATAAGTGTTGTTTGCAGAATGATGCTGCATTTTTCACTAGGTGTAAGAAAAAGGAGTAGCTTTATAGCTATTATACCATTGAGAGTGGGAATTATAATTTATCTGTTTCTGCTTATGTGCTGAGAAGGAGAATGAAATGTCTAGATCACATCAAATTGGAGGGTTAATTATAAAATCTCAAATTATAGAAGAACTGGCAGAAGACAAAATAGTTTATGGAGAAATAACTTTTTCAACATCTAAGTAATAATAAGAAGAATGAAAATATGTTCATATATACAAGTTTAAAATATCCTTATGATGAAAATAGTAATAAGATCAACCACAAGATGTTTACATCAAGTATGATATTTTGATATTTATAAAATATTAAGGATGCACTCAAGTTATGAGAAAAATATTGAGACTGCAAAAGATAAGCAGGCAAGTGACATGAGCTGACAATTCAATAGGGGAAATGCAATTGGAAAATGATAATATATGAAATTGTTCATACCATCTAGTGATAAAAATTCAAAATAGAGCAATATTAAGGAGAAAATTAAAAAAATTGATAGCTTCCTGTGCTGATAAAGTTGGAGTAAAATTGCTACATATATTTTAATTTGAAACAGTTTAATTTAAAAGTAAAGTAATTGGGTGGACAATAGGTGCTCCTTACATCTCAAAAATACTTGCCTTTTCTGAGAGTTTAATTACTGAAAAATAAATTTGTAAATGGACAACAAATATATCAGTATTTTTAATTTACCTGAGAGAGTGGGTTATAGCTTTATTTGAAGTCTTTATTAGTATGTATAAAGCTGCCACAGAGCAAATAATTCTTTGTATGATCAAACAGAGAATATAACAAAGGAAGGTAGTCATGGCAGCAGGTAAGAATGGTCTTGTCTATTTGGAATATTTGCATCTTTATAGCTGGGTACGTTTGTGCAAATTATTTAATTTCTCAAAAAATGCAGATAAAGGTTTCTGTCATTACAGGAACCAGCATAATGATCAGGGAAAGATTGCAACAAACCCCAGGATCTGATGTCTCTTATTTGTGGTTGGAATTGTCCCTGAAGTCAGCTGAGGTTAAATTTTAAGGTTGTGCCTCCACCTGTGATGTTTTAACACCCCTCTTCTTGACTCCACTATTGCTCTAAATTAGAATTCCTAGGATAATTAATCCTTCCATGAACTGACAAAGGGGTTCATATGGTTGGTGCTGATTTTTAAAGCCTTGGGTGGATATTTTAACAGGATTTCTAGCTAGAGAATCAGTAGAACAAAACTTTATTTCCTGAGTTACCAAAGGTAACTCAGGTGAAAGCTAATCAAGGATTTTTCATTTCTGGTGTAGCTTTCTATCCTCTGTGTGCCTAGAAAAACCTGAGCAGTCCTCTCAAGCTGTTATAGCTGCTGAAGATGTTTGTTGTCTGGAACATAGCATATATTTTTAATTCTGAACATTTATAAAAGCTGTTTCTTGGATAATTGGACAGTTGGAAGTGGCATCTTTTTTTAGTGAGTTGTAAAAAGTTCCCTGTATTATTGCCTTTGTTTCAGATTAGACTACTCTAATGAATCTCTTTTGTTACTAATAACTTGGAAGACGAGTGTGCCATTATAACTGGCTTATCAATCATTTGAGAAAAAACTCCCACCTAAACAACTTCTGCTACATCACTTTTTCTCACTTATTTGCTAGTGGAGTGAGAAACATTTTTAAAGTGATTAACTGGAAAGTTTAGGAAATGCGGGTGACCGACTTTAATGGGTTTCAGCATTGCTGTAGTCCTAGAAAATATCTGTACCTCAAACTTCACATATTTTTTGAAATTCTGTTGCTCTTCTCTTTGAAGTAAAATGATACTAACTTGGAAGTATAGGTTGCCTCTTCCTCTTCCTAGCACATTCTTGGTGACATTTTTTCAATAAAAATTTTTTCAAGATAGATTAATCATAAATCTTTTCAACAACCATATGACTCTTTCCATAGAGTGACATTAAATACCCACCCATGATAAACAATTAAGCCTCTCATTTAATGAACAAATTTGATGAAACAATTTTATATGCCAATAGGATACCATAATGTTGTTATGTATAAAATATATTCTTGTACATAACCTTCTAAGAAGAAAAAAATTACAGTGCTCATATTTGACACTTGCATCTTGCACTCTCTTTTGAATAAATAGAAAAGGGTTTGGTATAATTCCTTATGGGGTGTGTCTTGTTTTTCATGCCACAATTTGTGAATTGTAATTGTGGTTTCCCATTTCATTGTCATAACTGGGCAGAAATTTTTTAAAAAATCAATAAAAATACAAAGAAATGTTTAAGCAAAAAAATGAGTATGTGTACTTGGTTGAGAATATTTGTAGAAGTAAAATCTTTATCAGATTGTATTTGTATGCATTTTAAAATTTGCCAGATGTTGCCAAATTGCCCTTTAAGAAGGTGATACCAATTTAACATAGACTGACAGATGTTTATTAGCTACGTGAACTACTTTCCTTGGTCTTTGTCAATTTTTCCATAGAATAACTTATCTCTTAATTTAATTAATATTTATATTTTTTCATATATTAAGGAAATTAGCACTTTGTCCTTGGTTGCACATATTCTCCGGACTGTTGACTTTGTTAATGGTATTATTTTTAGTTAAAAAATTTTCATTCTTATGAATCTCTTTATGGTTTCAATCTTTTTTAATTTTTAAGGTATTAGGTTTTGGTTCTCATTGGAATAAAATTCTTGGGCCAGATGTGTTGGCTCATACTTGAAATCCCAGCCCTTTGGGAGGCCGAGGCAGGTGGATCATTTGAGGCCGGGAATTCAAGAGCAGCCTGGGCAACATGGCAAAACTCCATCTCTACAAAAAAATACAAAAAAATTAGCTGAGTATGGAGGTACATGCCTGTAATTCCACCTACTCAGGAGGCTGAGACATGAGACTTGTGTCAACCTGGGAGGCAGAGGTTGCAGTGAGCTGAGATTGCGCCACTGCACTCCAGCCTGGGTGACAGAGTGACACTCTGTCTCAAAAAAAAAAAATTATTTACTCAAGGATTTTATGAGAGAGAGAGAAAGAGAGAGAGAGAGAGAGAGAGAGTGTGTGTGTGTGTGTGTGTGTGTGTGTGTGTGTGTGTTTCACATCTAAATCTTTGATTCTTCTGGGATTTGTATCTTGGTTGAAGAGGTGAGTTAGAATCCAGCTTACTTTTTAAAAGCTGGTTGTTTTTGTATTGTTTATTGTCCATTGATACAAAACACTAGCTTATAATATACCTAATTTTCACCCATATTTGTTTATAAATCTAGCTTATTTTATATCATCAAGCTGTATATTCCATCTGTAGTACCAAGCTGCTTTAATGGCTATAATGTGCTTTCATACCTGGCAGAGCTCATTCTCATTCATTATTGATAATATGCATGTATATGAGAGATGAGGTGGGGCCTTAGTAAAATCTGAGGAGAGTTTTGTAGTACAATAAACTGTAAATCCTAAAACCTAGTTTTCATTTTGAAAAGGGCTGCTTTTGGTAACTATTCCCTGAACATCTTTTGTGATGGCACACCTCAGATGTTGTTTTGGCTCTTCATTTTTTCTTATAACATTGTGTGACTATTAACCCTTTTAGAAAATGGGCTTCTGGGATATTGGGACTGCTCTCAACTAGATAACCTCAGATCCCTGCTAAGAGACACAAATTTAAAAAGCTAGAGTCAAGATAAGCTATATTTTTAGAATTCATATGAGTATCAATTTTCCTGTAGAGGAAGGGACACTAACGAATGCCCATGGCTATGTTGGGATATAAGAACAGCACCCATATTAGAGGCTTTTTACACTGACTGAGCGTGGTTCTGTGATTTCATGGTGCATTATACGAACTATAAGCTAGCTGTATTCATGATATCAAGAGTCCCAAATAAGCTTTATAGTGAATAAATTTGTACAGGTGACTCTCAGATATATTCAGGTATCCTGTCACATTTTGTTGAAGTCTTATCAGTCTTTCAAGGCCAAATTTGAAGCCAGCTCTTTCCCGAAGGATTCACTGATCCTTTGCTCAGATAATATCACCTTTCCCTCCTCCCACTTTTCTCATCACCACTGTAGCTTCTCTGTTATCAGATAGTTCCGATCTCTTCTGCCCTGTGTTCCAGCATCTGCTTCCTTCCTTTGAGTATGAATGACTTAAGCTAGGTTTTCCCCATGGTCTTGTTCATAATACTAACTCAAAAAATCTTTGATTGAGTGGAATTTATAAAATTTTAAATGTTTGGGATTTAATTAAAACTATCGTACTAGTGTCTGTGACTACTATAATAAATTACCACAAACTTGGTGACTTAAAGGAAGAGAAATTTATTCCTTCACAGTTCTGGAAGCCAAAAGTCCAAAATCAGTATCAGTGGCCCCAAATCAAGCTGGGCTGCACTCTTTCTGGAAGTCCTAGGGGAGAATCCTTTTCTTACTGCTTCCAGCTTCTGTGGCTGCCAGCATTCCTTGGCATGTGGCTTCATCACTCCAATCTCTGTCTGCCTCTGCCTTCGCATTTTCTGTGTGTAATCTCCTTTTTCCTCTTTCTTATAAGGACTCTTATTGCATTTTAGGTCCCACCTGAATAGTCCAGGATAAGACCCTTAATCACAACTGCAAATATCCTTTTTCCATTTGCAACTTCCTGGGATTAGATGTGGTATGTTTGAGGATATTATCCTACCAACTATAGGTAACTAGCGTCTATCTGAGGAACCATATACTAGGGAACTTCACAATTTTTTTTTTAACATTGAATCTGTTTCCCTATTTGAAAAAGTCCAGGGTAAAAGATAGTCTCTGTGTTGACAGGATTCAGTAGTAAGAAATGAAGAATATATATATATATAAAACACATAGTATATATTTAAAGTAATATATATTATTTTAAAAATCATATTTATTGAGATATAATTTATATACAATAAAGTATAATCCTTTTAAGTGTTTTGATAAATTTTGGTAAATTTATTCCCATATAAACACCATTGCGATTAATATACAGAACATTTTATCATGCCACAAAAGTCCCTTGTGTTTGTCCCTAGTCAGTCCTCTCCTCTCTTTACCTTGGTTCCAGGCAATCACTGATCTGCTTTTTGTCTTTATAGATTAGATTTGTTTTTTTCTAGAGTTCTATATACATGTCATCACATAGTATGCTTCTTCCGCTCAGCATAATGCTTTTGAGATCCATCTATGTTGTTGCGTATATTAATAGATTATTTCTTTTATTGCTGAACAGTATTTTGTTCATCCATTCCTCTGTTGATGGGCATGTGGGATGTTTCCAGTTTGAGACTGTGATGAATAAAGCTATGATGAGCATTTGTATACAGTTTTTATGTGTGGATATATTTTTTGTTTGACATATGTTCCTTCTTTAGAATCCATCTCCCCATTTAATTTTCCATGACTTTAGAGAGCCATCCCTTAAAATGTACAGACATGAACAAACTTGGCAATAAATGTGGTGACAGTTTTTGTAGGACTTCCTGCCTTTCCTGTTTCTATAATAGAGACAGAGCAGCCACTTCAAAGACTCCTACTTTTCTTTCAGTTAGGATTTAATCCTTTCAACTAACCAAGCAGACAGTAATTCCATTGAGAAAACAAAAGAAATTGGAAGGGATATGAGAGCTTGGAAGTATAAGCAAGTAATTATTTGATTCAATCAGAGGAAGAACCAATCTTAATGGGGATATTGCTGGCTAAATTAAACTGCAGGGAATCAAACATGAATCTAACTTGAAATGTAACCGACTTTGTAAGCCACAGAAAGTTCACGCTCCATTAGTGTACTTTGTTCTCTCTTGCCATAGAACTCTTAGAAGAGCCCCTAGACAGATGGTGTTAATATGGAACCATTGATCAATCATATGATTGTTTCTTTTTCTCATGACACAGGTGATTTTACAATGATTTGGAATATCAACAGTCAATGAATTCACACATACGCTGTATCTCAGTGGTTGTGAGAATATCTGAGGTTAATTCTAACCTAGCTCCTAACTTTTGTTCTAACCCAGAGAAAGGTACTGAATACATTAAGGTTCCTTTGAGAAGAGAAAGGTAGAACTGAATATTTTAGCTGCTGTGGCAACAGGTGCCATTTACATCTGGTAGTTTTATTCTCAGAGAAAAGAAAACTGAGCAGAACTAAAACTGAGAAATGAAACTCGGTCACAGAAATGGGAACAAGATAGAAGGAGGGAAGTAAAATATGTGGTCCCAAGACCTCTGGCTCAACCTCTGTGCAGAGGATTTAATAGCAATAAAGCCAGAATTCCCAGTGTGGGGAATTTTCATTTCCACCATTAATTATATCTGCATACTGAGTTACAGCTAAGAAATTTTGAGGTATTCTAAAACAGTGTTCTCATTCAATTTCCCCTGACAGATAAAAGATAGAAACTTATATTAAATATAAACAACAGGTATCTTTCTATGTTCCCAATAGTAACATATTGGACTGTGAGAGTTAATACAACTGTCTAAATAGATCACTATTAAAAACACAGACTTTGAGAAACGGGCTATAATTCTTTGGTAATTGTGTAAATATATAACTAATTATTTTTCTTCTTTCAAGTGGCTATGTCAAAAAATTAGTGCTTTCTTCTATTGCCTTTCTCCTTTCATTTCCCACCACTTTCTGCATTTACTTTTTTCCTTTGTATTCAAGTATGGCTGAACGCTGGGTCCAAAACTGCTTTCAGGTTTTGGGGAAACTTTGATTCTATGTACATCATTTCAAGCTCTTTAAGAAGCCTAGAAGTTCTGGATATTGATAATGGTCCTTTAGTCCATTCTGCTGAGTCAGAACCTGGAGAGTCAGAGGAAACTAGAGATTAGATCTCCTTTACCTAGAATGGCAGGTCCATACAGATTTCAGATGGCCTTGCAGAATACAAAGTTAACCCTGAGTTCTACTGGAAGATATATTATCTTACAAAGTAGTAAATATGGCAAATATAGAGAACATAATTTAGAGATTGGTTTGGTGTCAACAACATTTCTGAATCTTGACACGGTTCCTATGATACAAAACATCTGATCCCAGCTTTTTATTCATTGATGCATTCATTCCCTCATTTATTCACTTGTTTAACTACACAAATATTTAGTAATTTCTGTGTTCTTTATGGATATAATAGTGAGAAAAATAGACAAAGTGCCTGCTCTCAAAGAGTTTACAGTGTGATGAAAAAAGAAACATTGATTGATAAAATACGTAGTTACATTTTTAATTTAAATCCTTTGAAAAAAGCTCACGGTGTTATAAGAGTATAAATCTTAAATGGTGACATTTGGCCTGGGACCTGAAGGCTGAATTGCCAGATGTATCTTATTAAAATTTCCAGTTTCATATTGAAATTGTAGTAGAATCTAGTCTGCACCCAGGTTGTGAAAAACAATAATTTTATGCAGAAGAGAATAAAGAAGGATTATAGTACCTGCCTTTTGATATCTAAACTTAAGAGGGCATCCCAGCAGTTCTTACATCTTTTAAGATTCGATGCCATCCCCATCAAGCTACCAATGACTTTCTTCACAGAATTGGAAAAAACGACTTTAAAGTTCATATGGAACTGAAAAAGAGCCCGCATCACCAAGTCAATCCTAAGCCAAAAGAACAAAGCTGGAGGCATCATGCTACCTGACTTCAAACTATACTACAAGGCTACAGTAATCAAAACAGCATGGTACTGGTACCAAAACAGAGATATAGACCAATGGAACAGAACAGAGCCCTCAGAAATAATGCCACATGTCTACAACCCTCTGATCTTCGACAAACCTGACAAAAACAAGAAATGGGGAAAGGATTCCCTATTTAACAAATGGTGCTGGGAAAACTGGCTAGCCAATATGGAGAAAGCTTAAACTGTATTCCTTCCTTACACCTTATACACACATTAATTCAAGATGGAGTAAAGACTTAAATGTTAGACCTAAAACCATAAAAACCCTAGAAGAAAACCTAGGCAATACCATTCAGGACATAGGCATGGGCAAGGACTTCATGTCTAAAACACCAAAAGCAATGGCAACAAAAGCCAAAATTGACAGATGGGATGTAATTAAACTAAAGAGCTTCTGCACAGCAAAAGAAACTACCATCAGAGTGAACAAGCAACCTACAGAATGGGAGAAAATTTTTGCAATCTACTTATCTGACAAAGGGCTAATATCCGGAATCTATAATGAAGTCAAACAAATTTACAAGAAAAAAACAACCCCATCAAAAAGTAGGCAAAGGATATGAACAGACACTTCTCAAAAGAATACATTTATGCAGCCAAAAAACACATGAAAAAATGCTCACCATCACTGGCCATCAGAGAAATGCAAATCAAAACCACAATGAGATACCATCTCACACCAGTTAGAATGGCAATCATTAAAAAGTCAGGAAACAACAGGTGCTGGAGAAGATGTGGAGAAATAGGAACACTTTTACACTGTTGGTGGGACTGTAAACTAGTTCAACCATTGTGGAAGTCGGTGTGGCGATTCCTCAGGGATCTAGAACTAGAAATACCATTTGACCCAGCCATCCCATTACTGGGTATATATCCAAAGGATTATAAAACATGCTGCTATAAAGTCACATGCACACGTATGTTTATTGCGGCACTATTCACAATAGCAAAGACCTGGAACCAACCCAAATGTCCACCAATGATAGATTGGATTAAGAAAATGTGGCACATATACACCATGGAACACTATGCAGCCATAAAAAAGGATGAGTTCATGTCCTTTGTAGGGCCATGGATGAAGCTGGAAATCATCATTGTCAGCAAACTATCGCAAGGACAAAAAACCAAACACCGCATGTTCTCACTCACAGGTGGGAATTGAACAATGAGAACACATGGACATGGGAAGGGGAACATCACACACCAGGGCCTCTTGTGGGGTCGGGGGAGAGGGGAGGGATAGCATTAGGAGATATACCTAATGTTAAATGACTAGTTAATGGGTGCAGCACACCAACATGGCACATTATACATATGTAACAAACCTGCACATTGTGCACATGTACCCTAAAACTTAAAGTATAATAATAAAAAAAAAAGAAAATTACTTACTGGGTACAACGCTCACTACTCAGGTGATGGGTGCACTAAAAGCCCAGATTTCAACCAAAAAAGAAAAGAAAAGCATTAAAACTTAAAACTTTGTACTTCATATAAGAAATAAATCTTTGCCACCTGGGTATGAAATCATTGAGAAGAGTTCAGGAGATCTTGAAGATAAGGATGAAAATTTGTCCTAGGTAGGGTTATGAAGCTGTCTGTAAGGTAGTAAATCACCAACAGGCTTCTTACTAGGCTCCTCTCTGGTTTTCAAGTAAGCCCGGCACCTGTTAAGTGTCCCAGCCCACAGGCATTAATACAGTGAAAAGATATTTGAACCTTTTAAATTCTTTTGGAGACAGGGTCTTGTTCTGTTGCCCAGGCTGGAGTGTAGTGGCATGATCATAGCTCACTGCAGCCTCAATCTCCTGGGCTCGACTGATCCTTCTGTCTCAGTCTCTCAAGTAGCTGGACTGCAGGAACATAACACCATGATTGGCTAAATTTTAATTTTTTTGGTAAAGATAGGGTCTTGCTATGTTGCCCAGGCTGTCTTGAACTCCTGTGCTCAAGCAATCCTCTCACCTCATCCTCCCAAAATGCTGGGATTACAGTTGTTAGCTCCCACTCCCAGCCAAGATGTTTGAACTTTAGATAAGAACACAGTTTCATATAAAATCTAGAAGCTATTTTTCTCTAGTACAGAAAAAAAATCAGGAACTAATAAGAAAAACAAGTAAAGACAGTCAAGGACAATTTGTTTCTTTTTGGAAATAAACATAGATTTATTATCACATGGCCTGAGGTGGAAAGACTGGTATCAGAGCAGGCCTGGGAAGAGTCTTTCTGATTCTATACAACATGAAATCTCAGCAAGGAGGAATGAACTCAGAAGAGGGCACACATCAAGAAATAAATTTTGTCACAGAACATCTGATTCATGATCATCTTTGGACATAATTTTGGGATGTTTTCAGGGGATGCAGCACTTCCTAAAGGCAGAAGAGCTCATGGAATGGATAGCAGATCACATGAGGGCCAATGTTCACATTAACTTGGGATTTAATATCACCATCACCAATTGTCCCACTGCCACAACAGCCATGAAATAGCTAATATCTAACGTGTGTAGTGTTATTTAATGATGATGCTAAATGATACTGTAACACTAACAAAGAAACAAGACAAGAGAAATCAACTTCCAGAAGGAATTTATAGGTTTTAAGCATTTAAAAAACATACCTGGGACAGAGCAAGATGGTGGAATAGAAGCCGATATTATTTGTCGCCCCCTCAGGAGCAACAAATTTTAACAACAATCTACACACAGAAAAGCACTCTCATAAGAACCAAAAAATCAGTTGAGCAATCACAGTACCTGGTTTTAACTTACAGGCAATGGCTGAGTGGCACGGAGAGTCTGTGGACTTGGAGGAGGGAATGCTCGGTGACTGGGGGATTTTATATCGAATTCAGTGCTGCCTTGTCATAGAGAGAACAAAAGCCATACTGGGCTCAGTCAGCTCATGCACACAGAGGGAGAATTTGGACTAGCTCTAGCCAAAGGGGAATAGACCATGCCAGTAGTTGGAACTTGAGTTTCTTAGCAAGCCTCACCACCATGGGCCAAAGTGCTTTGGGGGCCTAGGTAAACTTGAAAGTTTGTCTAGGACACATGGACTACAATTTCTGGACAACTCCTAGTGCTGGGTTGGGCTTACAGCCCATGGACTAGGGTGGCACATGACCTAGAGAAACACCAGCTGGGGTGGCTAAGGTAGTGCTTGTACCATTCCTTCCCCCAACTCCATGCAGTGCAGCTTACAGCAATGAAAGTGACTCCTTCCTTCTGCTTGAGGGGAGGAGAATAAAGAGTAGAGAGAACTTTGTCTTGCATCATGGATACCAGCTCAGCCACAGTAGGATAGGGCATTGGGTAGAGTTGTGAGGCCTCATTCCAGGCCATAGCTCCTAGATGACGGATGACATATCTAGACACATCCTGGGCTGAAACAGAACCCACTGCCTTGAAGGGAAGGACCTAGGATTCATCACCCACTGTCTAAAGAACCCTTGGGCTCTGAATAACTAGCAGTGATATGCAGGTAGTATGCCATGAGCCTTGAACTCTGAGATGTGCTGGCATCAGGTGTGACCCAGCACATTCTCAGCTACAGTGGCTATGGTGAAAGACTCCTTCTGTTTGAGAAAAGCAGAGGCAAAAGTAAAGAGGACTTTGTTTTGCACCTTAGGTATCAGCATGGCCACAGTAGGGGTAGAACAACAAGCAGACAGTTGGGGTCCCTGAGTACAGGCCTAGGCTTTTGGACAGCATTTGTGGACCTGCCTGCCCTGGGCCAGAGTGGAGCCTGCTGCCCTGAAGGATGAGTCCCAGGCCTGGGAGCATTCACAACAAGCTGATGGAAGAGACCTTAGGCTTTAAGGGAACATCACTGGTGGCCTAGCAGAACTCTTCATAGGCTGGTGGTGGTGGTGGCTACAGGGAGAGGTTCCTCTGCCTGTGGAAAGGAGAGGGAAGAGTAGGAATGACTTTATGTTGTGGTTTGAGTGCCGGCATAGCCACAGCAGAATAGAATAGAATAGCATCTATGGACTTCCCTGGGGCTTGAGGAAAATTGCTACCCCAAAGAGAAGAATGCAAACCTGGCTGGCCTTGCCACCTGCCAATTGTAGAGCCTTAGGTCCTTGAGTGAACATAGTGGGTATCTAGGTAGTGGTTACAGTGGGCCTTGGGCAAGACTCACTGTTGTGCTGGCTTTAGGTCTGATCCAGCACAATCCCAGTGGTGGTGGCCACAGGGGTCCTTGCATCACCACACCACCAGTTTCAGGCAGCTCAGTAAAGAGATAGAGACTCAGTTTGTTTGGGGTAAAGTAAGTTAAAAAGAAAAAGTGTCTCTGCGTGGTAATCCACAGAATTCTTCTGGATCTTATCCAAGACCACCAAAGCAGCACTTCTACAAATCTGCACAAACCAAAGAACTATTGGGCCTGTGGCCCAACTTCTTGCGAATACTAGGAAAACCTTCCCAAAAAGGATGAGCACAATCAAGCCCAGATTATGAAGGCTACAACAAGGACCTAACTCTTCTGTGCCCAGACACCAATGAACATCTATGACCATCAAGACCATCCAAAAACAAAACAAAATAAAACGAAACAACAAAAAAAATGACTTTGCCAAATGAACTAAGTAAGGCACTAGGGACCAATCCTGGAGAAACAGAGATATGTGACCCTTCAGACACAGAAAACTGAAAGCAATTCAAGATAACATAGAAAAAGAATTCTGAATTCAATCAGATAAATTTAACAAAAATATTGCAATAATTTAAAAGAATCAACCAGAAATTCTAGAGCTGAAAAGTGCAATTGACATACTGAAGAATTCATCAGAGTCTCCTGATAGCAGAATTGAACAAATGGGCCTTGGGCAAGACCCAGTGTTGTGCTGGCTTTAGGTCTGATCCACTGAAAGAATTAATGAGCTTGAAGACAGCTATTTGAAAATACATGATCAGAGGAGACAAAAGAAAAAAAAAAGGAAGCACACCACAATATCTAGAGAATAGTCTTAAAAGGACAAATCTAAGAGTCATTGGCTATAAGAAGAAGATAGAAAAAGAGATAGAAGTTGAAAGTTTATTCAAAGGGATAATATCAGAGAACTTTCCAAGCCTAGAGAAGGACATCAACATTCAAGTACAAGAAGGTTACAGAACGTAAAGCAGATTTAACCCAAAGAAGACTACCTCAAGGCATTTAATAATGAAACTCCCAAAGTCAAGGATAAAGAAAGGATCCTAAAAGCAGCAAGAAAACCACAACAAATAACATACAATGAAGCTCCAATACATTTGGCAGCAGAGTTGTCAGTGGAAATCATACAGGCCAGAAGAGAATGGAATGACATAAAGTACATGAGATGTTTAACAAGCCAAAGGGGGAAAAAAACACCTTTTACTCTAGAACAGTGTATTTGGTGAAAATATTCCTCAAGCACAAAGGGGAAATAAAGACATTCCCAGACAAACAAAAGCTGAAGGATTTTATTAACAATAGACCTATCCTAAAAGAAATGCAAAACAGAGTTCTTCAATTTGAAAGAAAAGGATGTTGGCCAGGTACGGTGGCTCATGCCTGTAATCCTAGCACTTTGGGGGGCCGAGGCAGGTAGATTGCCTGAGGTCAGGAGTTCAAGACCAGCCTGACCAACATGGAGAAACCCTGACTCTACTAAAAATACAAAATTAGCCGGGCGTGATGGTGCATGCTTGTAATCCCAGCTACTTGGGAGGCTGAGGCAGGAGAATCACTTGAATCCAGGAGGCGGAGGTTGTGGTGAGCCAAGATTGTGCCATTGTACTCCAGCTTGGGCAACAAGAGTGAGCCTCTGTCTCAAAAAAAAGAAAAAAAAAGTTTGTTAATGAGCCTGAAGAAACCATCTGAAGGTACAAAATTCCATCGTAATAGTAAGTACACAGAAAAACACAAAATTTTATAACACTGTAATTGTGGTATATACAGTACTTTTATCTTCAGTAGAATGACTAAATGATGAACCAATCAAACATATAATAATAACTACAAAAACTTTTCAAGACGTAGAGAGTAAAATAAGATGTGAAGAGAAACAACAAAAAGTTAAAAAGCAAGGGGACAAAGTGAAAGTGTAGAGTTTTTGTTTTCTTTTTGCATATTTGTTTGTTTATGTAATAAGTTTTAAGTGTCATCAACTTAAAATAATAGGTTATAGGATAGTATTTTCAAGGCCTCAAATCAAAAAGCATACAATGGATACACAATAAAAAGCAAGAAATTAAAGCATACCAGCAGAGAAAACCACTTTCACTAAAAGGAAGATAGGAAGAAAGGAAAGAAGAGAGAGAAGACTGCAAAACAACCAGAAAACAAATGGCAAGAGGCAGGAGTAAGTCCCTACTTATCAATAATAACATTGAATTTAAATGGAATAAATTCACTAATCAAAAGACATAGAGTAGCTGAATGGATGAAAAAATAAGACTCAGTGACCTGTTGCCTACAAGAAACACACTTTACCTATAAAGATACACATAGACTGAAAATAAAGGTATTAAAAAAGATATTCCATGGGCCAATGGAAACAAAAAAAGAGCAGGAGTAAGACAAAAACTGTAAGAAGAGACAAAGAAATTTATTTTATAATGATAAAGGGGTCAGCTTAACAAGAGGCTATAATGATTGTAAATCTATGTGTACCCAACATTGAAGCACCCAGATATGTAAAGGAAATATCATTAAAGCTAAAGAAAGAGACAGACCTCAATACAATAATAGCTGGAGACTTCAAGATTCCACTTTCACATTGGATACATCTCCCAGATAGAAAATCAACAAAGAAACATCAGACTTAATGTGTACTATAGACCAAATGGACCTAATCAATATTTACAGAACATTTCATCCAGTGGCTGCAAAATACACATTTTTTCTCAGCACAAGGATCATTCTCAAGGATAGACCATATGTTAGGTCACAAAACAAGTCTTAAAACATTCAAAAAAATTGAAATAATATGAAACATCTTCTCTGACCACAATGGAATAAGACTAGAAATCAATAACGAGGAATTTTGGAAACTATAGAAACACCTAGAAATTAAACATTATGTCTGAATGATTAGCGGGTTATTGAAGAAAATAAGAAGGAAATTGAAAAATTTCTTGAAACAAATGATAATGGAAACACAACATACCAAAACCTATGGGATGCAGCAAAAACAGTACTCAGAAGTTTATAGCTATAAGCGCCTATGTTTAAAAAGAGGAAAAACAGCAAGTAAACAATTTAATGATGCATCTTAAAGAATTAGAAAAGCAAGAGCTAACTAAACCCAAAATTAGTAGAAAAAAAGAAATAATAAGGATCAGAGTGTAAATAAATGAATTTGAAATGAAGAAAAATAAGCAAAAGATCAATGAAACCAAAAACTGTTTTTTTGAAAAGACAAGCAAAATTGACAAATCTTTAGCCAGACAGATGAAGAAAAAAAGGGAGAAGACTCAGATAAAAATGAATAAAGAGACATTACAACTGATATCACAGAAATTCAAAGGATCTTAAGTGAGCAACTGTATGACAATAAATTGGAAAATCTAGGGGAAATAAATTCCTAGACACAACCTACCAAGTTTAAACCATGAAGAGATCCAAAACCTTAACAGACCAATAACAAGTAACAAGATCAAAATTGTCATGTAAAGTGTCCCAGTAAATAAATACCTGGGACCCAATTGCCCCACTGCTGAATTCTACCAAACCTTTAAATAACTCACCTGTAATCCCCAAAATTTGGGAAGCTGAAGCAGGAGAATCACTTGAGTCCAGGAGTTCGAGACCAGTCTGGGCAACATGGCAAGACCCCATCTCTACAAAAAGTACAAAAATTAGCCAGGCTTGGTGGTACATGCCTGTTGTCCTAGCTACTGGGGAGGCTGGGGTAGGGAGATTGCTTGAGACAGGGAGTTTGAGATTGCAGTGAGCCATGATTGTACCACTGCACTCCAGCTTGGATGAAAGAGTAAGACCCTATCTCAAAAAAATGAATAAATAAAAATATCTAATACAAATCCTACTCAAACTATTCTGAGAAATAGAGGAGGGAGTACTTCTGAACACATTTTATGAGGTCAGTATTACCCTGATACCAAAACCGGACAAAAACACATCACAAAAGGAAACTACAGGCCAACATCTTTGATTAATATTCATGAAAAATCCTCAACAAAATAGTAGGAAACTGCATGAAACAATACATTAAACAGATCATTCATCATGACCAAATGGGATTTATCCCAGGGACACAAAGATGTTTCAAAATATGTGAATATTTCAATGTTATACATCATATCAACAGAATGGAGGACAAAATCCTATGATCATTTCAATGGAGGCTGAAAAGCATTTGATAAAATGCAACATCCTTCATGATTAAAAAAAAAAACCCTTTGAAAAACTGAGTATAGAAGAAACATAATACCACATAATAAAAGTCGTATATGGCAGACCCACAGCTAGTGTCATACTGAATCATAGAACCAGAATTGGAACCCAGGTATGTTAGACTTCAAAATTCATGCCTTTCTAAGCTTTAAAAAAAGGCAAGAAAGAATGTTTGGGAAAGATTCTCAGGTACTGGATTCTGAGATTTTAACATGCTAGGGTAAAAGATCAGAAGGAATTTCTGAGGGTTCAGGGACCATAAACCCAAGAAGATAAGAGATTAGTATTAAGTACAAGATGTTAGTGCAGAAATTGGTAGAAACAGGAGCTATGAACACAATTCAATGTATGTCTTGAAATTTATTTTATATTTCTACAAAGAATTGAGAAGGAATGGTATTGAGAAGTTGAATGATCCAAGGGAAGATCCTTTGATACTAGATTCTATTATTGGTTCTTCCACTTGTATGTAATATGACCTCTCTCAGACTTCCTTATGAATAAAGTGGAGCTAATAATACTGTAGTTACTGGGGTAAAAATGAGATGGAAACTATGAGATCAGTGTAAGATGGACAGTGGAACCATTTGCCAAGAGGCTTGGAAACCAAGCAAACCAATCAGCATGGTTGAAGGGTTGCAGGTACTGAGATAACTATGGGAAATAGAAACCTAGTCAATTATATTGTAATAGGATGGTCTGGCTGAAAGGGGCAAAAAAAAATCAGAAAAGTTTTCCAGTCCTGTGCATCAGAGGGAACATTGCTTTTTAGTCTTTTCTTAGACTAAGAGCTGTTCAACTCTGGATGACATATCTATTAAGCTGCTGTATTCCTTTTTACCTATGTCATGCTCACCAAGCAATCCTATGCCCATAACGTTTTTTTCCTTTTTTCTTGTTTTTTGTTTTGTGCTACTTTTATGCTGAGAAGGGATGTTTTGGTTTCTGCTCAATTTAAGGGCATATCCCCGCCATTCTTATTGTATTAGCTATCTACTTGCTGTGTAACAAATTATACTGAAATTTAGCAGTATAAAACAACACATATTTATTATTTTACAGATTGTGCGGGTCTGGAATTTGAGCACAGCTTGACTAGATCCTCTGTCAGGGTTTCACAGGCTGCCATTAAGATATAAGCAGGGACTTTATTGCACAGTTTGTGACTATAGTTAATAACAATGTATTATAATCTTGAAATTTGTTAATAGAGTAGATTTCAAGTATCCTCACCACAAATAAAATATAAGTATTTGAGATAATACATATGTTAATTAGTCATTCTACAATGTGTACATATTTCAAAACATCATGTTGTATACCACAAATATGTATAGCTTTTGTGTATCAACTTTAAAAATTAAAAAAAAATATAGTCAGTGGCTTCAAGGTTGAACTCAAGGGCCAACTGGAGAAGGATCAGCCCCAGGCTCACTCAGTGGTTGTTGATAAGATTCAATTCTCTTCCATCTACTGGGATGAAGGCCTCAGTTCCTTACTGGATGTTGGCCAGAGGCTGTCCTCAGTCCTTTGCCTTGTGATACTTTCTATCACAGTAACTGAGAAGAACCTGAGAGAGAAAATACCAGCAAGAGAGAAGTCACAGTCTTTTGTTACCTAATAATGGAAGTGATATCACATTATATTTGCTGTATTCTATATGTTAGAAGAAAGTCATTAGGTTCAGCCTACACTCAAGGGGAGAGGATTTCACAAGTGTGCACACCAGGAAGTAAGGATCATTGGGGCTATGCCAGAAGCTGCTTTTCGCACTTAGCTATCTACAACTGTTGTAGTGAAGGGAGGAGTCATGACTATTGAAACTAATGCAGATGCTTACTTAGAAAAAAATCTGAAGCCCCCTTTATTCTGTCAAATATCCTCTCTGTAAATGAAAAGTTGAGCTGTGTGTTTCTCAATAAATGTATCACAGCAAGTGAATCACCCCTTCTGATTTGATTCAGAGCAATAAAAAAGCAATCACACTATACCTTTGCTTTTACGGTGGTGTCTGATATAGCCCTCTCTGAGTAGCCTACTTCTGAGCAGACCCAAGTGAATAATGTAAGCCAAGGTCCCCTGACATATGGTTTTTAGAGTATATTTACACTCCATGTGAGTCAACAACCTTGATATTTGGCAGAAGTCTCTTGAGCAGATGATGGAAATATTTTATCTCACATTTAAGCCAACTTCCTTGTGTTGATATTTCAAGTATAGGCATGAATTGAAGAGAGAAAGGGAAGAGGGCAACAAGGAAGGAATGGGAGGAGGGGTGGCAAAGAAGGGCAGAGAAATTTTCTGTTTAGTCTCAAGCTTTATAAATAACAAGGGTTTGGTTCTAAAAGAAAGCTTCAGTGGCAAACCTAAGAATCTGGGACCTCCATAAAAAATTTATGTTTAAACAAGAAATAGTTCAAGTGGGGACAACAAGAGTCACTTTAACCTGTGCCTGCTTTAATGAGAGACTGAGGAGAAAGGGGTCTGCCTGTCTTGAATGTTTGTCTGTGAATGCCTTGCCATTTTGGCTTAGACAGAGGAATAGAGCCTTTTGTGTGTTTTTTTTTTTTTTCTATTTACCACCAGCAGTCAATAGTCAGAGCTATTGACTTTAAGCATTCAGAGACCTTAAGCCTTAAGAAAAGATGCCATTTCCTTTGACTTCATTTTTTTTTAAAATAAGGATAGTAATGCTATGTACTCAGGTTATTTATTTGCTAGATGATTCACACTCTAAGGTACACAAATGCTCAGAAGCTTCTTCAAAGAGGGCTATGTTAAGGAAAGGGGTTCATAATGGTTAAAGAGATGCTAAGTAGAGATTCTGCTTGTCTCTGGGTACCAGTTTGAAACACAGATATTGCACAGATTTTCATTCTACCTTTGCTGCGTAGTTGGTGGAAGATCTGGAAGCACAAAAGTAGACCTTTTGGAGTGGTTAATTTGAGTTCCATTTTAGTTACTTAGTTTAAATGCTTATTGTGTTATGGGAAGCTTTACAGTGGCAAGTTTTTTATTAATCCCCATATAGGTCTAGATTTTATGGCCTGTCAGTCACATTTTCTCAGTAGCCATTTTGCATCAGCCTCTGTCCTGGTTGTTGTGTGGGGATTAGAAATCTATTGAAAGACTTTGGCCATCTTGGAAAGCCTTATAACCTAAAGAGGCACATGAGCAATAGATAAGCACAAAACTAGAATACAGTACAAGGCTAAGAGCAAGAGTTCTGAAACAGATATCATTGGGTTGGAATTCTAACTCAGCTACTTACTAGGAGTATGGGTTTGGATATATTATTTAACTTATTTTATCCTCGGTTTCCTCAGCTATGAAATGAATATAATAGCAGTAACTACCTGACAGGATTATTGTTAGAACAAAATGAATTGATATCTAAAGCTTCAAGTATAGTGCCTGTTACTTTATAAGTACCCATTAAATATCAACTATTTTCATGTCTTTCCAGTTTAGACTCTTTGTTTAATCTTACCTCAATATCCTCCTCTATAGAATAAGCCTCATTTTATATTTTATGCTCTGATAGTACTACAGGTGTATCAGGAGACAAATAAAAACACTCATATTTTAAGGTGCTTTGCAGATGTATGTGCTTTTTCAAGATTTGTTTACCAAGTTTGGGTTCAGGGCAGGGTAGACTATGTACTTACAAACATCCAGGAGAGTCTGAGAGAGATCTAGTGACACCGTGGAGTTGTGCTGAGTATGGTTTTTGGAATCTAAAGGCACTGTGCTTCCTATTTGCTGCAGAAAATTGCATAGTTTCTCAGCCTCTGCTTTCTCATTCATGACAGAGCAATAACAAAGCATATTTTATGGAGTTGTTGGGAAGATTAAATGAGACCGCATATCTAAAGTACCTGGCATATAGTAGACAGTCAATAAACATCCTCCTATTTTGATATGAAAAGAGGAAAAGGTAAAATATGGAAGACCATGGAGGAAGATCATTGAACCCCAATATAGAGGCCCATTCCCACAAACCCTGATGGTTCGGCTCACATCTTCCCAGAGCTGTGGGCATCCTGGGTGCATGAGGTGGGCATACTTCTCAAGTATACTACTTTTCATTTCTATTTACCTTTTATCTGCCTGCTGTCTCTTCCACAGCCCTTCTGTTTAACACCAGAAAGAGTCAGGTGAAGTAACTGATCCGGAATCAGTCCTAGTATCAGAAGGATATAGGGATTCAACTTTTCTCTTTGTTAGTTCTAGATGCTGGGTTTGTTTTAGCTTCGAGAGTTGGGGCATGAGCTACTTGACTATTTACTATCCAAATGGTTTCTCACTTTTGTGACCAGATAGTCACCTTCTCTGCTCGTATGGACGATGAGTTTTAATTTTGGTTACATCTGAGTAGAGTCCAAGTCATACATGAAAGTTTTTCTTAGACTTGCCTCTCTCCTTTCCCCAATGATTGGAGCATCTCAAGCCAGAAAACATTTCAGAAATCACCTGGCCGAATGTAATTCATCCCATTCATTACCTCCACAATGAACTTGACCAATGTTTATCTAGCCATCTTTGACCATTTTGTTACAGTTCCCTTTAAAATGCCAATTACTTTGACATGTACACAACTCTCAAAACAGAAATTGTGTTTCTATCCATGCTTACCTCTTGTCTTTTTGTTTCTGTGCCTGTCTCTTATGCTGTACTATTACATCCCTTTGATAGCCTTTAAAACTTCACGAAATAAAGAGAAGGGAGAACAAAGGATGTTCTGACCTATCGGCAGACCTGACGACAGATTGGTTTTCTATTTCTAAGAGTTATAAGTGACTATGAACATCATTGGTAACTGAAAGGAAACAATAAATTAATAGCCAGAAGCACATTGATGGGTCAAGAGATTAATTCATTTAGAGGAAAGGTTAATTGGATAGGTATGTGATAAAGACCTCTCAAGGAGATATTTTAATTGACATATCACTAGTGAGGAGAATAAGAAAGAAGAGTGTGATAAATTAGAGGATTTCAATTCAATTTTTTTTTTGTAATTCCCCAAACAATTTTTTTTATTATTATACTTTAAGTTCTAGGGTACATGTGCCCAATGCGCAGGTTTGTTACATAGGTATACATGTGCCATGTTCGTTTGCTGCACCCGTTAACTCGTCATTTACATTAGGTATTTCTCCTAATGCTATCCCTCCCCCAGCCCCCAACTCCCAGACAGGCCCCAGTGTGTGATGTTCCCCGCCCCGTGTCCATGTATTCTCGTTGTTCATCTCCCACCTATGAGAGAGAACATGTGGTGTTTGGTTTTCTGTCCTTGTGATAGTTTGCTTAGAATGGGGGTTTCCAGCTTCATAATGTTTTTTTTTTTTTTTTTTTTTTTTTTTTGCACTGATCTGACTCTGTGCTAACTAGGGTGAAAGAAAAAGATGCGGTTTCCTGAAGAGTTTTGAGGGAGAGAAGCAAGGACAGTCTAACTGCCCAGTAATAGCTTTTTCATTTTGTACATAGACCATTTTCCTCACTTTTTCCATTGTCTATCAAAATTTTCTGTAAAAGAAATAAAAATATGCTAGAGCCTTTGTATTCTGTGGATTAAAATAAATATATTGCACTTATCAGTAACTGTAGAAGAAAGACTTGATCCCCATTAAAGGAATTTTAGGCCATGAAAAATGTGTATGGACATGGGAGTCAATTTATGACATTTTTACAGAGAAGAAAACCTTGTTTAAAAGACCATATGCTAAAGATAGCTTTAAAAATATAATAAATCAACCATGTTAGTGAAAAACATAGTTTTATTATAAATAGTAATTCTGATGATGTTTTTGCATACAAGCACTCATTTTAAAAATACTATTAGGTTAGTGCAAAAGTAATTGAGTTTTTTTTTTACATTAAAAGTAATGTCTTTTAAAACTGCAATTACTTTCACACCAAGTATATCAAGAATGCTATGGTTTGGATATGGCTTGAGTTTGTCCCCCCTAAAACTGATGTTGAAATTGTTGGTTCCCAGTGTGGAGGCATTGGAGGTGGGGCTTAGTGGGAAGTGTTTGGGTCACAGTGGTGGATCCCTCATAAATGGTTTGGTGAGTTCTCACTCAGGCAAGATGAGATTCGGATTCGTTCTCATGGGAATGCCTTAGTTCCTGCAGAGTGGGTTGTTATAAAGCCAGGATGTGCCGGCCCTCAGGTTATGAATCTTTGCTTCTCTGCTTCCCCTCTGACCTTCTCCCATGTTATGAGGCAGCAGGAAAACCTCCACCAGAAACTGAGAGAATGCCACTGCCATGCTTCTTGTATTTTCCCACTTGCAAAATCACAAGATAGACTTATTTTCTTTACAAATTACCCAGCTTCAGATATTCTGTCACAGAAACACTAAACAGATTAACACAGAGAACTTTACTGTTTAAAAAGTAATTTTAATACGTTATTCCATTTACTTCATATCGAATGATCTTATGTAAATAGTATTTCCTTGTGTCAGTGGTCAGAATCTACCCTTCATTGCTCTGCTTGTGATACTACTGCTTGTGATACTGAACTGGATCTTGTAAATATTTCCTCTTTGTCAGTAGAGGGTGCTGGAGAGACACTGCAGAGGAAAGGGCTTTTTTCGTGGGTTCTGTGTCCTGCTTCTTTGATTGGCTCCTGTGGTACAGAGTGACCAGTGGTGTGTTGAACACCAGAGCCATTTCTCACACCAACCTTGGTCCACTTGAACCTCTGGGTGGATTTGCTGTTTGCCCAGCATGCATTTCCCTCTGGCCTCAGTCCAGTGACAATGGACCACTTCTTATCCAGGCAACCCAGCAAACCTCTTATTGGGCTATGTCTACCCCTTTTTCAGAAAGTCTGTATCCTAGCCTTGGAAACTTTCCAAATTTATTCCTTCCTTGGGTACCCTTTCTCCACCACAGGATGTTCTTTCATCTTTTCTTAGAAACCTATGTTCCATAATAATAATTATTTATTTTAAGCACTTCCTGTTCAAGTTACTGTGTGGTTTCTGTCTTTTGACTGGACCTGATACATACATACCTCATGTAGCAGATGCTTTTTGTGCTCTTCTCATACACACTCACGGTTCCAGGCTCTGCCTAAGACATTTTACTGCAAATTCCTGGGACTCTCTGCTAATGTTTTGTCTTTATATTTGCATAAGGACAGGCCAGATGTATGGTTAACATCTCTGGGTGCAGCCTTTAGCCATTGGGACAGATGGGACTTGGAGGATGAATAATCCAGCTTCTTCTTTGTTAGGTTGTGCAACTCATAAGTCATGTTCTGTAATGTCGTCTGGAGCTCCTTAGAGTGATTGAACCTCAGTTGCTCACAATGGTTACCTGCTCAATAATACATCACTTTCTAGCTTCCTTTTTTCAGTCTCATCTTGCCATTCCCTAATCAGTGTTTCCTGAATTTGTCCTCCAAATAAACTATTTCACCAAAATTTTTATATCAGGATATGCTTCTAGGAGAAGTCATATGGAAATATTCCAGTCTCAGAGAAAAGGGAATGAAGAGTCTGAGAATTTGTTTTGTTCAAAGCCAGATAGTTAAGCAGTGAAGTAAAGAACTCAGTTTATCTCAGCCCAAGTCTCACTCTTTATATTTACTTCAGAAAGTGTCTTTATAAAGACAGTGTTAACTACGTGTTAGATAAATGCAGACCTATTATTGTAGTCTAAATACATAAACCCTAGAGTATAGGTGTTGTACATATAACTCTGTAAAGTATTGCCCCATCAGCCACCTAGGCAGCAGCATTAAGATATAGAAACAGTTTCTAATAACAGAAAACTTTCTTTTTTCATTATTTCATATACGATATTTTATTGTCAGTAGGTACCACCTCTCCACAGTCAGATAGTAGATTATCAGTTGTTTTTTATAAATGTGGTTAAAACAGCACAGTGCTGCTCTTATGGCTTATATATGGAGCTGGTTTTGTGTTGCAGTATAAAGCTCTGATTTCTGAACACAACAACCATGTTTAAGCAAAATGAGGAAAAACATTAGGTAGTTTTTCCATGGGACACATTGTCTGTAGTCTTGAGGGAGGAACTTCTGTCTCAGCTCATGGTTCACAAGACCTACAATTGTGATCTGCTCTTGTAACCAACAATTATTCTTTTCCCAAGCTCAGACTCATGAAACTGAGATATGCCAATGATATCTGAGGAATAAAATCCTTCACAATGATATCTCTAAGCTAAACTAGAAATGATAGAATAGACGGCATTTTGGGGAGCCTATTCTAATCAGAAAGTGATATGTCCATCAACTAGTATGGTTTTAAAACATAGAGGAGTATTTGAAGTGGAAAGAAGATGATGAGTCTCCAGGAGGAAGGTTGATATTGATACACATCTTGTTATACACCTATACATAACTATATGCACATTCCTTCTTGCTTAAACCCTACTTCAGCCAATGCTGGGTCCTTTGTCGACTAGACTAGAGCAGTAGTTCTCGAACTTTAGCTGGTATCAGAAGCACCACAGGTTGCTGGGCCCTACCCCCAGAGTTTCTGATTCTGTATGTGTGCTACCCACACAAACTAAATCAAACTCTTTGTGGTTAGAGCCAGGAATCTGTTTTTTAAAAGCAACATAGGTAATTCTAATGGGTAGCCAGAGTCAAGAACCAGTGTTTGGGTATTTCTTTTTTTCTTTTTCTTTTCTTTTTTCTTTCTTTCTTTCTTTTTTTTTTCAGACAGAGTCTTGCCCTGTCTCCAGGCTGGAGTGCAGTGGCGTGATCTCTGCTCACTGCAATCTCTGCCTCCTGGGTTTAAGCGATTCTCCTGACTCAGCCTCCCAAGTAGCTGGGACTACAGGCGCCCGCCACCATGCGTGGTTAATTTTTGTATTTTTAGTAGAGACGGGGTTTCAGCATGTTAGCCAGGATGGTCTCCATCTCTTGACCTCGTGATACACCCACCTCAGCCTCCCAAAGTGCTGGGATTACAGGTGTGAGCCACCGCACCCGGCCTTGTTCAGGTATTTCTAAGCCTTTAACATGTGCACAAATTACCTGAGAATCTTGTCAAAATGTAGATTCTGATTCACTGCTCTGAGATGGGGGTCCAGGATTTTGCATTTTTAACAAGCTTCCAGATGAAGCTGCTGCTGTTGTCCCGCAAACCACACCCTGCGAACCAAGTGTGAGAAATGTTGTCTTCTTTACCCCTTTTCTGTAGACGTGGTTTTTGTGTAAGTTAACAAGAGATATGCTAAGTGATCTAGGCCCAGGGCTCAAATACCTTTGGGGTACTGGAAGCCAGAGTTGACAATTAGATTTGGTTCCACAGGTTGTCTGATTATAGCAGGAGGAACTCTTATGACTCATTTTGGTCAATAAGTTATCATGGCAACTTTCGGAAATCTGTGTTTCCATCTGAGGGCTTCTGGACATCACTGCCAATCATAGCAAGGGGCCCCAAAGATGCTGAGTGTTGGCCATGTGGCTGCAGCTACCCAGAGGGCTCTGTGTTCCCCAAAAGATGTGGCTGAGTTTGAGCCCCTTCCTTATTAGCATTTAATACTGACCCCCATGCAGAGTTCAGAAATAATTCTCTCTCAGGACAAATAAACCATAGTGAAGAATAAAGCTACAGGAGTAGCATAAAGTTCAGAGTCAGCACTGGTTAAAAAAAATTACCATGGCAAGTAAAAGTGCCAAAGCAAAAGGGTACTCTTTACCCTGGAGGAAATTCTTAAATGAAAGTGGTCCCTTCAACTTAGTATATTAGTTCTTTACAAAAATAAAAAGCACAGACACACTTTTAAGTCTCACTTCCTCTTATTTTATTCTTTGTTGTACTCAAATATATCACATATGTATGTTCTATTTTTATCAAGCCAACTGTGAAAAAAAACCCAGAAGCTTAGCTTCAGCGTCAAATTCCATCCCATTTCCAGCTTCTTATCTCCATAAAGGAAAAACCCAAGTTAAAAGGAAATAGCTTAAGAAGGCATAGTTTTGCCCTTTGGACACATTTTCCCACCAGCTGTTTTTTTTCTGGAATGAACAGCTTATTTAATTACCTGCAATGACAGGTATGTAAGTGCTGGTCTATCTCTGCCTCACTGTGCTGTCCTCATGTCTTTTATACTGTTTATTCAGGGCTTGGTGAATGACACAACTCAAGGAATAGGTTCTTTCAGGACACAAGCTGCAGGGAGTAACATTTAGCTTATTCCCTCTGATGAGACCTACTCACACGGTGGGCTACTAAGGGAAGCTTTGAAGGCATCTGTGTGAAGTGGCAGACATTTCATAAGCTCTGCTTCTAGCCAGAGGAACTGTGGGTAAGAGGGCAACAACATTTGCCACAGAGAAAGCTCTGAGGCTTCTGGCTGATAGTGCTCAGGTCTTCTGTGGCCAGGGATGGTGGTTGTGACATATATGTGTGTGATTTCTAAAGCAACAGCAAATCTCTATAGAAAAACTTTATGGGGAAAAATGGTATGTGTTTGTAGAATATATTTGTGTTAGTGAATAAACTTCCTGTATCTTTCTGTAATTAAAGAGTTCAAAATAAAACTTCACTGAAATTCAGATAGACATATTAGAAGCCACACGGGTTGGGGATAAGGTGGCTGGGGGCAGAAACAGCATGTTTTTCTGCCCTGGTGGCTCTTCAACAACTTTTTTTAAAAAGGTAAATGTTGACTTGATTGTTAACACTGTGATGAATAGACTGTAGGGGACATATTATGAAAGCTACTTTGTGACCTAAGCAGAGAAAATGTCAAAGAGAGGACTCATTTTCCAGAAGGTGGCCTGGAACACTGAGTGAGAGGGAAAAGGAGGAAGCATGAGGAAGGGCCAAGGGGAGAGGAGGGAGCGGGAAAGAGAGAATGGAGAGGATGTAAGTGGGAGGAGGCTGGAGATAAAGGGAGAGCCAGGAAGAAGTTGGGGAAGAGGAGAGGGGGGGCAAGGAAAGGTGAAAAAATCAGGAAGGAGAGGTAAGAAGGAGATGAGGGGAGGAGGGGGAAATAGGAAAGGAACCAGGGGATGAAAGGTCAGGAAGATAAACTGACATTTGTTTAGCGTTTATTGTACGTCGGGTAGTGTGCCTTCACAAAAATTACTTCATTAATTCTCACGAAGACTCTGAAAATTGGATATATTTTATTCTTCAAGTTTTAGATGAAGGAATTGAGGCTCAGATGTCTTAAATAACTTGTCCATATCACAGAGCAAGAAAAAAATGGTTGGAGGCAAACACTCCTTTGTGTTCTTCCAAAACTTCTGCTCCTTTCTCAGCTTAATATTTATTTGGACCATTTGCCTTTCTATAAAGTGAAATAAATAGGCAAAGGAAAGCCTTTTGGAAGAGCCCTTAATAGAGCCTATGCCTGCACTTGTACCCAAGCTCTATTTTCGGTGATGATGGTATCTAAGAGAAGACTACATTTGAAGTACTATATACTTAAAAAAGAAGACATAAAAGCAATGTCTTAAAAAGATGACCTTAGAAAATGAGCTATATATGCCATGAGAATAAGTAGCTTTAGCAAGAACTATTTGGTGCAGGCTGTTTTCATTGTTATGAATAAAATCACAATCTTAACATTAGCAATTCCATTTCACATAGGGGACATCCACAGCAACTGTCATCTGCTGACCAAATAGTTATCTTGCCTCACATACAAATATGATTCCTATCAGATAACTGACCAATTTTTGAAACTTCAGAAGGTATTTTCACTTTTCTTTTTTCTTCTAGAAAATCTAAATGAAACAAGAAAACAAAGATCTATAACAAATCAAGAGGTATAAGTGGTGTAAGACACATAGTAGACAATCATTTTTCATTGAAGTAATTGATGGGTGTTCAAAGCTCTCTTGGAGAAAAGATATCAGTTACTTTGATAAAAAAAGGTCATTGATGTATTTGGAACTGTACAGAAAGAAACTTGTCAGTTTTAATTGGTTTGATTCTAGTTGGTCCATCTTCCCACAGAACCAGCTCATTATAAAACGAAAGGTTGTACTTCTTAGGACAATGTTTTCAGAGTTTATTTCTTGGAACATACATATTAGAATCACTTGGGGACCTAGCTCATGTCTAAGGAGCTGGAGCCCTGAAATCTCTCTTTTAATAAGATCTCCCAGAAGTACATTATTTGAACTAAAGTTGGAGGACTACTGATTTAGGAGTTAATCAGCCTTCTTTATTATACAATTACAGACTCTGGGCTGTCCTTAATAGAATTTCAGTGGTTGTCTACTTACATACAGATTAGCTAGGACTCAGACTTGTACTTCTATAGATTCTAGACCAATACTTCTCAGCCTTTAGTGTATTTGAGTCACCCAGGAAGTTTACCAAATGGTAGATTTTCAGGTCCCATTCAAAGCAGCTGGCTTGAAGCTAGATTATCTGCGTTTCAAATATATACCCCATGTGGTTGTGATGTAGGCATTCTGCTAACTTCAGATCCAATGCACAGCCCTTCTGGAAAAACTATTCCTGTCAAATACTCACACAGCCTCTGAGAGGACACTTTGTCTATTGGGGATAAACAATAAACTCCATTTGTAAGTAGCTGGAATTATTAGGAATTTCTTCTTATATTGAATTAACATGAAGTTTTGCATAATCTGTCTGGTTTTAATTAGAATTGCATAGAAAATATTTATTCTCAATATAATTTTAAAGAAAATTACCTTGACCAAGAAAATAACTGCTTTTGTTGCCTCTGGGTTCCTGGGGCTTTCCTTCAGCAGAGGGTGAGTAGGTGAAGAAAATGTAGGGGCTCAAAAATGCATCCCTGATAAGAAGACAAGGGCCTTTGCTATTTGTGTAGCTACAGTGCTTAGACAATTAAACATCTAGGAAAACTTGAAATTCTCACTTTCTAGAATATTATTAGCACATACTTAAATAAAATAGAACTAAACTGTATCATCCTGAGCTGCCCTGGATATGGGAGAGTCCTATTTGTCAGAGTAGATGGGGGAAAGGTTCGATAAGGAATAAAATGGGATTGATTTGGATGAGGTGGAGGTCCTCATGGAAGAAATGCATGGGAGCCCTCCCTCCTTCCAGGTGCTTGCTCACTTTTGTCCAGCTGCAGCTCCATGCAGGTCAGGGAGCTTGTTCTCATGCCTGTTAAAGTCAGATGTTGAGTAAATACAGAGAAGGGGACTGGGTAGAAAATACGGGCTTGTTTCCAGCCAATTCGCGGGAACATCCCCAAATCCCAAGAACTTAGCTAATTCATCCTATTTGTTTACTTGCATTGCAAAAATAACTCAGTTTATTCACTGATTTTGAAAAAAGTTGTAGTTGACCCTTCAACAACATGGGTTTGAAACTGCACGATCCACTCATATGCAGATTTTCTTCAGCTTCTGCCACCCCTGAGACAGCAAGACTCCTCCTCTTCCTCCTTCTCTTCAGCCTATTCAATGTGAAGACTATAACAATGAACACCTTTATGATGATCCACTTCCAGTTAATGAATAGTAAATGTATTTTCTCTTCATGATTTTCTTAATACAATTTTCTTTTCTCTAGCTTTTTTTATTGTGAGAATACAGTATATAATACATATAATATATAAAATATATGTAAATCAACTGTTTATGTTATCAGTAAGGCTTCCAGTCAACAATAGGCTATTAGAAGTTAAATTTTTGGAGAGTCAAAAGTTACATATGAATATTTAATTGTGTGTGGGGCCAGCCCCCTTGCCCCTCATTGTTCAGTGGTCAATTGTAATTATTAGTAAAGAAGTTCCAAAGATCAACAAGCATGCGTGTGAACATGAAGGGAGGGGTACTTAGAGCAGCCATGGGTCTATCAATCATTTAAAATAATGTGACTGGGGAAGTTAAAAAAAATCTGTGTCTCAATTAGTTATTCACTTGTAAAATAGGGATAATAATAACAAATAACTCAAGTAACTGTTAGCACTGTTTGATTAATACATAAGGAAGTATAATGTATATTAATTCCTAAAAATTGGCTGGTACAAAGTCAGTACTCAAGAAACAGAATGCCAGTTATTCTTGTTAGCATTAGTAATAGCAGTGTAATTTGCCAGAAGGACACTTGTGAGCCAACACCAGTTAGCTCTTTTTGAACTGCATTTAAAATGATTACATAGGTCAAGAAGAGCAAAAGGGAGAATGCAAATGAATACATGAAATCTAGAATGTTGCCTTTGTCTCAGTTTTCCCTTTAACTTAGGGAGAGACCGAATTTTGGAGAGGGGGAAAGTAGAAGGCATTGAGTTCTGAGTGACCTGCCTTATAAACATGTCCTGTGTTTGTTTTTCTTAGAAAAAATATCTTTTCTCTCTGCTGCTCTAGCCAGTTTTAAGGTGCAAGATTCATACAACATCAGAAGTCTTGGTGTGTTTAGATACTTTTAATGATACAATTCTCAGATTATTTTTTGTGGTGGAAAATAAAGAGAACTCCAGAATGTGAACCCAATATATCTTCCCAAAATGTCCAAGACAATTAGACTGTAACTGTTCTAAAACATAAAATAAGACTTTAGTGAAGGTGCTTAAATCATTGCCAATCCCAGCATCTGAATTTGCCTGTTAGTGTGAGATGTAGGGAGCATTATGGATTCTAGACTGTGTCAGCATCCTAACTGTGTAATCTCTGAGGCTTCCCCTGAGATTTATTAAAAATAGGAATGGAAACAACTGCGCTGTATAGCATTGTTGGGAGCCTTAAAGAAAAAAGGTAAAGTGCTGACCCATTGCAAGCTGGTATTACTCCCACAAGTTATAGCTCAGAAGTCTTGGCTCCATTTGGGGATTTCCACTAGTCTACTACCTCTTGTAAAAGAAAAGCACTGGGAAAGGACACACCCAGGTTTTCTCCCTCACTTTGAGCCCCAAATTGCCCTATGTCCACAGACCCATTTTGGATTCTTGAGCAACAAAATACGATACCTAGAGGAGAGACATTTCTGCTGGCACAACGACCTTAAATCATGTCATTGACATGAGTTGGCAGAGCCTAGATGGAGCCTCTCTATCCCCATGCCAAAGCTCATGTAGTTGACACTCAGTCCATGTTTTTATTTCATTAACAAAATATGACTTCACTTTTCTTTTATAATCCAGAAGCATGAGAATACATTTGTTGCAAACTGCATGCAGAAAAAATGGGGGATTCCTTTGGAAACTACATCCTCTTAGTAATAAATAATTTTTGATCTACTATACACAACAGTAGTGCATTTCTTGTTAAAACAGCAAGCTTTTTTTTTACCAAAATGAAAAGAAAACATTCATTTCTTTATAAATATTTAAATAGTTTAAATACATATTTCATACCAAGGATATAAAAATAGCCTCTGTGTTTTTTTGATAAATAAAGACGTTTTCATTTACATGGCAAATAACGTGCGAATAGCTAACCACTGGCCACCAGCTCTATTTGACTGATTGTCTAGGAGATGACATGCAGTGATAATTGTCCCTTTGCCTTCACAAAAAGAAAAATACATCAGCAGGAGCTGTGCACTCCTGAGGCCAACAGTGCTATGGATATTGTTCAGGAATAACAATCAGGCACTCATGAAAAACCTTTGCCATACTTCACAAAAGCCACATGGGACAAAAGTCATCCACAAGTTCTTTGTCTAGGACTTCTAGCTGCTCAGACCCTCAGGGTCTTTGGATTGTTACCAAAGTCTGTCAAACAGACCAGTAGTTTAATACCTGTACAGAAAAATGTTTCTATTATGCTTCTAGTATCTAGAAATTGTTTGCTACAGCATGGAGGTGGTTCTGCCTTTCCCTGGCTCCTCACACTCTTTTCTGCAGGATTCCCAGCTTTGCTCAGTCTTCATGCCCACCAGAGGCAAAAAGGCAAACTAAAACTGTCATGCAGTGGTAGGTTTGAAATTAGCTGCTGCATCATGGGCACTAATATCATACATTTATGGCTTTGTTATCTTTCACTTCTGCTGTGCTTGTGACAACTTCCAGTGGAAGGTTCTCCAAAGGTTTTGTAGAAGCTGATGCCATTCCTTCCTGGTTCCAAGATCCTGGTAAGTTTTCCAGACTGAAGGAACTCACAGTTCCCTGACTGAAGCTGCCCTCCTCTGATCTGCTTGGGAGAACTAGGTGCAAAGATGTTTCCGAAGAGGAGCAGACAGAAGATGAGAGAGTTGCTGAAATGGACTGCAGAGGCGTCAACGTAGAATCTGAATGTGGAGAGATGCACCTTAAAAATTGCAAATGACCTTCTTGGACAACCTGGTAGTGGGAAGGTGAATAATCAAGGCTTGGAGAATGATAAAGTTCACTGTCTGCAGGATTTTGCTCATGAGCTCCAGTTCGTTGGGGGCTGCTCCCCACAGAGGAGGGATCCACACTCCAAATGTCTGAGGTGATATTACTGCTACAAAGTTGTGCTTGGGTATAAGCAGCCCCGCCTGTTTGCAAGTGTAGGCAAGGCTGGTGTGCACTCCAGCTCGTTCTGGTCTGTAAGCTCTCCCTGGAGGGACACACAGAGGTGCTGTGCAAAGAGCAAAACCGTGATGGCTGCTGAGGTGACAGAACGTTTTCCAGAAGCTGGATCACATTTCTCATGTCTTTACCCAACTGAGAAACTTCCTGAGTCAATGTTGTTACCTATGTGGATAGAGCAAAGTGAAAGACAATAGTTAGAGGTGCATAGTAGTGACCACATTTCAGAGAAATGAAGCAGGGAAGTGATATTTCTTTCGGTTTTCTTTTATTCCTACTTATTTATTCTTAAACATTTTAGCATTTGCTTGGTGAAAAAGAAATTTTTTTTTTCTTTTTCCTTTTTTTTTTTTTTTGAGACGGAGTCTCACACTGTTGCCCAGGCTGGAGTGCAGTGGCACGATCTCAGCTCACTGCAAGCTCCACCTCCCAGGTTCACGCCATGCTCCTGCCTCAGCCTACCGAGTAGCTGGGACTACAGGCGCCCACCACAACGTGCAGCTAATTTTTTGTATTTTTAGTAGAGACGGGGTTTCATCATGTTAGCCAGGATGGTCTCAATCTCCTGACCTCGTGATCCGCCCTCCTCGGCCTCCCAAAGTGCTGGGATTTCAGGCGTGAGCCATGAAAAAGAAATTTCTTAATAAGAAAGCCTGAAAGGCTGCTCCAACTCCAACCAAGCCCAAGGGGTGAATGGGTAGGTTAAGCATTTGAATGAACATACATCCTGATCTAAAGACATCCTCATTCTGAAAGAGCCTAGAGGGGCATAAGTAGTCTGGGAATCTTAATTAGTGATTTGGGATTCTTAAACAGAATGAGAGATACAGATCCATCATCTCTAAAGTACTGATGATATATTTCGCTTCCCCTGGATGAATGGGATGCATGATAGTGCACAAAAATCACTGGACACTTCAAAACAATGTGGAGTGGCAGATACTGCATGTAAAGCACTCAGCACACTAAGCACTACTACCTATTTGGAGTAGACACCTAGTGAATGGTAGGTCTCACTCTTGCCATTTCTGGTTGAAGCCTATGCTTATTATAGGCCAGAGACAAAGTGGCCTTCAGTAACGGTGAGGATGCTACAAAATAACTCATACCAGATTTGCTACAGAGAAAGTTTGCAGAAAAAGGGAAAGCTATGGAATGAGAGTTGGAAAGAAAGAAAAAGACCTGCAAGGTGCGTAAGTAGAGATAAGCACTGCAGGGCTTCTGAGAGTCCTGGAACGCATCAGTGAACCTGAAACCCCATGGAATTATAAAACAACAAATTGTGTTGTAGGTACTTTATTCAGTTTTCTAGGTGAGACATTTAGCTGTCATGGCCCAAACACTTAAGAACCATTGAAGAGTCTTCATTTTATACTTAAAATACATAATAACATTCATTAGAGAATTTATTTTCGTAACGACCACATCAGCATTTTAATCATGGAATACCACCAGAAAATTGAATTTCACTTAAACGTAGCTTTTCTAAAAGATTTGTATTCTTCAAATTGAGGAAAACATATTTCAGAAAGCAGGACACACACATGTATTTTCTAGTCTTTGGTTAGATTCATAATACTAACATAATGTAATGTTTTGCCTTCATTGCTATAATACTTTGTATTTTTATAAAGGACTTTCTATGACTTTATTTTACTATCGTGAACCACAAAATGCTAATAGAAGCAGCTGAACCTATGGGCTAAATATAATCAGGAAACAAAAAGAGGTAGTTCAACTTCATTGAACTGAAGATTCATTCAAGACTGCTGTTTTGGGCAGACATTCTTCAACATTTAAGTACATATTCCTAATTCATCCAGCAACTTAATTCAGTCTACTTACTGTGAGTGCATTCTGAAACTAATTCTCCCTGGCAGGTCCATCGGGAGGTGACACTGCTCAAAGTCAGGCATTTAAAAAGGCCAGAAGGAGGTTTTTCCATGGTTTGGGCAACCAACTGGTAACACCTGCCTTGAAATTGCCAGGCCAAAACTATTTCTGCCCTACTGCTGGCATGAAACTCAAGGGATTCAACTGAATACTTGTCCAGGCTTTTCAGCAGATCTAAAACTTCTGAAGACAACAACATCTCTCAGCCTCACATTTAAGAACTGAAACAATGAATATGAGAAAAATTCAATATGCTTTGAAATCTTCACTATGGGTTGTCAATTTCATTACCTGCCAAGCTTCAATTCTAAAGCACATGAATCACACTTAAATCATTACCCCAGGATCTTTGCACTACCTACATTCACAAGGGTTCCATCTTAAAGTGATTAATTCTTGTGTCATAATTTCAGAAGACAAGGCTGCCACTAAATGAGATGGTTAAAGAGGCACATTAGCCATCCGTTCATATAGGTTGTCCAAGCTAAATTCCTGTATGAAACTCACTAGGGCTACATTAGTTCATTTCCCAATAAAAATGCTTTGAATTGACCTTTTATTGAGAATTAAATAAAGGCACAGTCTCTGAAGAATAAGTTTGAATTTTAGGCACATCAGCAATTATGTTATTCAATAAATGTTTGTATGTTTGTAAATTTATACAATGTGCTTTCAGGTACACTTTCCCTATTGGATCTACAAACAATGCTGAGAAAGGCAGGGATGTACTATCATTTCTCAACTTGTAAAATGGGAGCAATAAGACTCAGAGGTGAAAGGACATTTTTAAGGTCACTTATTTCATGAATGACAGTCTTCAGTCTAGAATTTAGGACTTCTAAGTTTGGTATTCATTCTGCTATAGAATATTATCATGTAGAAAAAGAAATATTGCTTAAGAAAGCATTGAGAGATTTTTCCTAATGTAGTCAGAACGTAAAGAGCACAATGACACAGAAAGGTAGCCTCATGAGTAAAAAGCTGGGTGAAATGTTAATTCAACATTAAGTAAATAGCGTCATCTCTAAAAATGTAGGAGACTGATTAAACACAGTAAAATATCTTCATAGCAAACTATATGAATGCAAAAATAGTTTGCCTCAGGGTAAGAACTGGAAACAGATATGTTAATAGACATATTTCTGATGAACTATTTTTCTAGTTTTCAAAATAAACAGATATTTTTCCATGATTGAAATACCTTTGCATAGACACATTCTTTTTTTACTGATATATAATAATTATACATATTTATAGGATGCATGTGATATTTTATATATGAATACAGTGTATAATGATCAAATCAGGATAATTAGTATAACCACTATCTCAAACATTTATCATTTACTTGTGTTGGGAATATTTCAGATCTTCTAGATATTTTGAAAGATACAGTAAGTGATTGTTAATTATATCACCTTACTATGCTGTCAAACAGTGGCACTTACTCCTTTAATCTAACTGTACTTCTGTGCCCATTAACCAACCTGTCTTCATCCTAACCTCTCCCTTCCCAGCCTCTGGTAATCATCATTCTACTCTCTACCTCCATGAGATACATTTTTCTAGCTCCCACATATGAGTGAGGACGTGGAATATTTGTCTTTCTGTGCCTGGCTTACCATGCATTTGCCACAACTTTGAGACCGTGAACTTAGAATGGGAATCCAGAGTCTTGACAGGATCCAGGAACATAAACAAGCACTGACATTTTCAGAAAACAAATTACTATCCTAGCTTGAACTAAAAGGAGCAAGTAACTCAAGGAAACAGAGGTTTCTTTAACTCTAGAGGGAAATAATCAATTTATGTTAGGGAAGATTCCTGTCACTGTGTCTCTGGGGATACACCCCTGAACCTTATTAAAGTTGCATGAGGGAATTAATTGTGTTAAGTAAGGGATCTCTCTTTTTACCATGGCAAAGCCAGCTGTCACAAGGAGAGATGGCATTTCCTAGAAGTAGAGACTGTGGTGATAGTAAAGGTGACAACATACTGCCACAGAAAATGCCATCAAGTTTTACTGCATTTTTGTTTACTGCTTCCTGCTGTGCTTGCTATCAAAATTTATTCTAAAACAGGAAGGACCTCAGTCTTCATCAAATGTTGAAGGCAAAGAATGCAGTGTTTCCACTATCTAAGGGTGGTGGCTCAAGTGCTTCTTCATAGCATGGTAAGAAGACATGCATTTGCTAAAAAAGGATTGTTGGGGCTACTTCGTGAACAAAGCTCTGTCCACTCAAGAAGACATGTGTACATATGTAACAAACCTGCACGTTGTGCACATGTACTCTAGAACTTAAAAGTATAATTAAAAGAAAAAAGAAGATACATCTTCAAAATACAACTTAACTGCAAAGAGATACGTCAATTAAAACAAACAAAATCGTTCTGATCAAATGAGCCAAAGTTTTCCCACTTACCTCAACAGCAGCATAAAATATTTAAATGTTTCTGACACTCATATTAGAAAATACAATCTTTTTGAGCAGGTAATACAAAGCCCTTCACAAACCCTACTTTATTTTTTAATGGCTCCATGTCCTGCATTTTCTCCCTTGCACACCATCAGATACAGTGAGCTTTACCCTTCACTGCCCTGGTGCATGCTATTCCTTCTGACTGCGGGCTCTTCTCCTCTGCCCTTCTCTGTCTGGCAAGAAAATCTTCTCCTTCAAACTTCTTTTAATACTTAATTTTCTCAGCAGAGCCTTTCCTTGGCTTATTGACACTCACATAGCAGTTTTAACCCTGACCACTTTGCATCACATGAGACTGTACCAACTAGTCGTTGAGTTCCTTGAGGGTAGAAACTGTTATCTCAGTATCTCCTGGTCTCAAGGCAATGCCTAGAATACAACATGCACTCAGCAAATCTTCAATGTAAAAATAAATACAATACCTCCATTTTGAAGGACTTTTGGTTGTTATATTGCCTTTGATTCTGATATTATTTTATATCATGATTTTACCATAAATATTTTAGGGGAAAGTTGCCTGATACAAAATTGTATTGGAAAAGCTGTAACTGGCCATCTTCATTCCAAGTATATATACTAAAAGTAGGTATGACTGTTAGAATTCACATATACAACTTTCCTAAACCAAAGCCTTGACTATCCCTTCATTTTAAGTGCAGGTGGTATTTCTACTGTTAAGAATCCCTTTTCCCTTATTGTGTTTCCTTCATAATTGTAGAAATATGTCTCCGTTGGCCAAGGTTTCTGCTGGATTTCACTTGTCTTATTGCTTTGTCATCTGTCCCAGCATAAACTTGATTTCCATGGGTAGTTTTAATTCTCTGGGAAATTTCCCCCAATGACTGATTCCTAGATCTCATAACTACATTATGAATGCCAAGTGATGAATTCAATTAAGTTATTAAGAGTTGTTTATCAACTGAAATTTGGCTAACATTTTGCATCCCTGATTGCTTCTCTGGATAGCTATTTCTTCAGATTCTATTTATAAAGACAGTGCATAAAGGAAACATAACAATATACATTCTTATTTGTTTATTAATATACATTTTCTTTATCCACTTTCCCCTCTTCCTCTTTTTTTCTTCTTCCCCCTTCTCCTTCTTATTCTTCCATGGATAAGAATCCATCAGCCTGGAATTTAAAACTGTTGGCCAAACCAGTTTATCATCACCATCTGCATAACCAATTGTTCACATCCAAGATTTCTCTATCTCTTCCAGAATCCCAACTGTTAAAAAAAAGAAGTGATGAAAACACCATCTGTGCTTCCAAGTGGTACAGTTTTGTATCCAAAAACTTTGAAGCACCTAAAGATTCTTCCCTTGTCTATTCTCCCAGCATCATGCATTAACCACACAAATCATTAGATGTTTTGCAGGCAACGCATTTGCTCTTGTTAAACAACATCCCCTGTCATGAATAAAAACCTATGTGACAACTGACTTGCCAACTGGCCATGATAATCCACACACTGATCCTTCCATACCCCTAAGAAGGGAATCACTGACTACCACAGCTTTTCTATTTCTGCTGTATCCAGGTTTCCTCAGAACTTCTGTTGGTTTAGAAATAGTTATTGTTGCCCTACATTTCCGGAGTATCTGGTTTACTCCTCTCATGTTTAATCAGCTTTATTGGTGTAATGCTACTTCTCACCCTCCTCTGTGTCATATTTCCATAAGGGCCTTGTTGTGAGGATTAAATAATATAACAGATATAAAACTTTAGTCCCCATGTAACTGGTATCTTGTCAGAATTCCAGGTGGCTCAATTTGATAGTGGATTTGTGACACAGGCACTAAGCTTGGTAGAGAACTTCTGCAAGGCAGGGAATCCTAATCCAGAAAGTATTTAGCTTAAAGAAAATAGAAACTACCGTTATCTCTATAACTATTCTTCTGCCTTAGCATGGAGAGATAAGCCATTCCCAGTAACAATTTTACTTAACTAATATCAGAAGAAAAAGTCTCGAATTTTTAGTATTGCTTTGCCTGGATCTTCGCAGTAGCAAGTAGAAACAGCAATAATTGATGCCATTGGAAAATGTAGATTAAGGTCCTGTATTTCAAGTCCAAAGTTTGAGCAGCTGCATTCAGATGGATTAAAAATTCTCTATAAAGGATGTGTGAGCCAAAATGTAGGGATGTGCAGCCTGGTTTTGATCAGAATTGAATAAGGACCAATGTGGAGCTGGGGGGCAGGTAGGGCAGCTACTACATGTATTTATTGCTCTTTACAGTAGTCAAGCTCCTGTAAAAATCCTGCCACATAATAGAACTCTACAAATCTTTGTTGATTCATTCAATGAATAGTGAATTGCATGGTGAATTTCTTATGACTTTTTGTTATTTTCAATTGAACTTAAGTAACTCACTTTCATCAATTGCCCCTAAATATCACTGAAAGATAAAGAAGTGTCAGTATATCTCTAGCAGGTAAGAATGTTTCATATAATATCCACGTCTCATGGAAGTCCCCAGCACTTCAAAATGGGAGCTTTCAAAACATTGTGTTACTAAATGGCTTAAATAATCTATCTGCGATACTGGTGACCTATTATTCCAATAACACCATGCGTTGTCAGTGTCCACAGTTAGATTGTGTGTTTTTTGGTGTAAACACAGATTTACTGTTCTGGTGTGTGGTTAGATTGTGCCTTTTGGGAACAGAAGTATGAGTTTCTAATGCAGACCAGAGAAAAATTATCTTTGACAATACCTTTCATTTCACATAAAATGACATATAGTATCATATAAAATAGCTTTACTTCATTTTACATACGTTTTATATTTCTCCATCTTGGCTATTGGCATGATTGGTGTAAAATTCTTGTGCTTTGAGTATAACTGGAACTTCCGTTGATAGGCAGAGAAAAAATGTGGTTTCCATTTTTGTGCATTCAGTGAGCAGATGGGGAATGCATCTGTTGACATAATCTTCTTAGCTTGAAGAGTTCTTGACCTGTCACTCAATTTTTGCCAAACATGTACACATTTTCCTGCTAGACACAATTTTCCTAAGGGGTACTAATTATACCAATCCTCCCCTGCCCCACTACTAATACATATACATTTTTACAAGCTATGATTCGGTAAATTAAATGGTTTTTCATTTAATCCTTTGTTATGTTGCATATTTATCATAAGATTCAGACATGTTCAAACAAACTCCATAAGCAGGCAAAACAAAAAAGACGATTGGCATAATTTCATTCTTGTGTCTTTTGCTTTACAAAGCATTCAGAACAAGTGATAGTCTTTTTATCTGTCAGCTAAAATAATAATCATACTCAGCACTTGCATACATTTCATCCATATGAGGACCTCAATCCCATTACTAATAAAAGTTGTAAATCTTTGTCTACAGCTGGAGAGACTAGAATGTTGGAAGGTAAAATGGCTTGTTCTAGGTCACACAGGACTACTAACCAGGGTTTTACTTTTGCAGGTGCAGCCGACGTCTCTTAAATTATAATTAGGGAAGAATTACAAGTCTAGCATTACCAATACAAAATGACCAATTATAGTCTTGAAAGTGATTCAATAGCTTCGTTGAGTTTCTGCAAGCTCAGGCCTTTGGACATTACTTCAGCTGTACCATGGTAATCTATTATTTATCAACCCTTTGACTGCTTTTGTCATCTGTTTTCCTGGTTTCTGTGACAAAGTTTGATTAGTATTCAAATTGCTGTCTGGCTAAGGGATCTTTACTGCTATCAGTAAACATCAAATGAAAGTTTGTCTGCTCTCAGAATACTGGTTGTATAGAACAGTGCTTGTCAAACTTTAATGTGTATAGGAATCATCTGGGGATTTAGACAAAGAATATACTCAGATGCGATAGGTCTTGGGCGGGGCCTGAGATTCTGCATTTCTAATAAGCTCAAGTTGATGCCAGTGCTGCTAGTTCATGTTCTACAGACAGATCCTTAGCCCCAATATATTTTGAAATTTCTTTTTTTATTTTGATTTTTTAAATTGACAAAAATAATATATATTTATGTTATATTACTTGATGTTTTGATATATGTATACATTGTGGAATGACTAAGTTGAGCTTATTAGCATATCTGTTACCTCACATCCTTACCACTTTTTCTGTGGTAAGATCTACTCTTTTAGCAATTTTCAGATATACAATACATTGTTATTAACTGTAGTCACTATGTCACTACAAAACAAAAGAGCACAGCTTCTGACAACCGACCTTTTCCACCCAGCCTTCTCTAACTCATGTTTCTGTAACTGCTCTCTACTCTGGCCCCTTCTGACCTAGGAGTTGTGGTGAACTTCTGCTGTTATTATCAAGAGGGGTGGTTCTACCCCTTGTGGTTTGCCTATACTCTACTAACTTCTTTGTAAATAACCTTTTAATTCAACATGCTAAAATTGCCCATTTGGAATGCAACATTGGTTTTTACTTGGGCCCTTACTGATATATCCATTTAGTCCTTCTATTCAAAGATGAGAAGAGTCCTATCTATAAGCAATCATAAGCAAAGAGGACGAAAACAACCAGTCTCCAAAAGTTACATGCATTTTAAATCCACCCCTCACAGGAGAAGCTTTCTGAATGACATACGTTTTTTTTTCTTTTGAGAGATCCACATTGTTGTTTAGAATTTTTTAAAGTCAGTAAAATTCTCATGAGAGTTATAAATCTGCCTATTTATACAGGCTTAAGAACTGGAAAATAACCAAAAGGAGTTCTACAAAACATAAATTAGTTGGAAACATTCCAGGTTAAAAGCCTATGTCCACAAAACGTAGTATTAACATCAATAACACATATCTAAAAATTAAAAGAAAAACCGTTGGTTTTGCCAGCAGTTAATTGAATTTTGTCGTTCTAGGTCAAAAAGTGAATGTACAGTCTTTGTTTATGTTTTGCTTTGAAAATTGATGATCAAGAACTATATATGATCAGGATGAAGAAGAAAAAAGCCTATATAGACAAATCTTGGAATGACCTGACAATTCTGTCAGTGTGTTTCAGTTGACTCAATTGTCAATGAAAAGATATAATGGCAACACTAATTCAGAGGACTAAGGAATCAACTTTACCTTAAGATATTACTCATGCAGGTTTCCTTATGTGAAATATTAGTAGTATCCTGTTTCTTCTGTAGGCATTTAGAAAAGTAGTAAAGCAACTCTTAAATAAAAAACAGCCTCTCTTATTATTCCATCTCTTTGACTCAGGGAGATTTCATTAATCTATTAGCTTTGTCAAGTATAACCTAGACAACAACTCAGATTCTTTCTCTGTTTTCCAGTGGAAGGCCTTTCATTGCTGGTATTTTTTTACTTTGATAATATATAATACATTAAATTGGGGGATATTTGGAATTGAATTTTGAGCAAAATTAAATGAGAAACAAAATTTTCCTAATAGCTTTTAGGTGCTATGGTAGATATTATTAGCGTTTGCCAGTATCCAGTTTTCTATTTCTTTTAGGATATACAAAAGCTTACACTTTCTTTTCCAATTGAAATTAACTGTGCCCATGGAATTAGTTCTGGTTAATAAAATACCGACAGAAATGATGTTTTTATCTTTCAAACCGAACAACTGTGCTCCACGCTTCAAATGGAAAACAGCCAAGCAGTGACATTCCAGATGGTGCAGCCCCTTCTGCTGACCTGTGTTAGGCATTTTGCTTGAACGAGAAATAAATTTTAATCAATTTGGAGTTTGTTACCTCAGTATAATTTATCTTATAACAGTGCTTATCTGATAATGGCAGGACTCTTCAATATGTTAGAAACAGTAACTGGACTTTTTGAGGAGTTGAAAATGAGAAAATAAAGCTAAAAGATCCTGATATTACAAAATTAAATTTGAAATCTAACTTTTAGGTCATAGTGATGATATAAAATAATTTTCTCTAAAGCCTTAGGATAATAGTGCATATAAGGACATTTCTGTAATATCTATTTTTAAAGGACATGACTGACCTATTATCCAATTATGAAATGTAATGCAAACACAGTCATTCCTAAAAAAAGAGGCCTTTCTTTTGGACTCAATAGCAATAAGAGCTTGGTCTCTAAAATGCTAGAGCCCAAGTTGATACGAATGGTCTTCTCATATCACTTAAAGTTAACAACGTGCTAATGTGTTATAGGAAACAACCCCATATCACTCCGATTCCCAGCAAAGTAGTGAGCCTCAGTAATTGAACTCAGCTCTCTCAAATATTGGTTCTTATCACACATATACATATATATGTGTAACTTACACTATACCAAGTTGTAAAGGGTAAAACTGAAATACTTTCTAAATTCTGGAGTTTGAGAAAGTGTTTAATTTATCTCACAAAGAAAACCATGACATCTTTTGCTATGGGAAAATTTAAAAAAAATTTTAGATCCAATCAGAGCCTAAGAAGAATTATTATATCGCTAAAGGGGAAAATAATTATTCCCATCAAAGCAGTTTAGACATTGAAACAGGCCAATGACTTCAACTGTAGAGGAAGCCACTGGACTGACAAACAGAAGACATTTGTTGGATGTGATAGTAAATTTTGTATGCCAGCTTGACTGGGTCATGGGGTGCCCAGATGTTTGGTAGATTATTCTGGGTGTGTCTTTTGAGTGTGTTTCTGGATGAGATTAGCATTTGAATCAGTAGACTGAATATAGCATACTGCCCTCCCTAATGTGGGTGGGCCTCATCCAATCAGTTGAAGGTCTGAATAGAACAAAAAGTCTAGGTAAATGGAAACTCCTCCTGCCTGACTGTTTGAGCTAAAACATTGGTCTTTCCCTAGCTTTGGACTTGAACTGAAAAAAAAAAAGTCAGCTCTTTTTGAGTCCCAAGCCTTTTGGCTTTCGAAATGGAACTGACACCACTGGCTCTCCTGGTTTTTAGGACTTCGGAATTAGAATGGAACTACACCATCAGATCTCCTGGTTCTCCAGTTTGCCAACTGCAGATCATGAGACCTCTCAGCCTCAATAATCAATTAATACAAGTTGCTATGTTTCTACAAAGCTCATTTTTTTTTTGTTTAGGCATGTTACACATTTTATTCTCCATAGTATGTTTAAGATTCAAGATGGATTAAAATCACCTAATATTAACTCTGACCCCTTTACATATACACAAAATAAAATGATAAAATACAGCAAGTAGAGTATTTAAACCAAAGCACGCTTGGGTGAGTAAGGATGAAATAACAAGCTACCTGTTTTCTCTCACTTTATAAATGCAGATATGGTTATGCTTACCTTTCTGTTAAGCTTGGCAGGTTATTTTCCATCTGGTTTTTATTATCATTTTGCCAATTATATGTTTATTGTAATATCAGGTAATGGTTAAACATTGTTAAACTAGTATATGCATCTATTTGCTACTCAATCCATAAGTCTTACAGAATAAATGTTTTTTAAAAATAATACAGTAGCACAATTACAATCAAACTAGTTAAGATAAGATGCTTTGAAATATCATTAATCTGCCATTTTGTTTTCTATTCTAATTTCATATGGAGTATGTTTATAGCAAAAAGTCTCTTAGGTGAAAATAGTGATTTTCATAACCAAATATGTTCTTCTTAGGTCCATTCATTTTCATTTTATTCTAAAAACATTGATCCTCTCTCACTTATTACTCTACTGGGCACTGTTAGGTAGAAGGAGGGTGCTTATATGAGAGTCACCGTTTGTTGAATCAAAGCATAACCTTGTATGAGGATGGAATCAACATTTATTGACCACTTATTAAGGGAAGATACTGTGCTCAGTGCTTTACATATGATATTAACTTCTCACAACAATCCTTGATTACAGGTTCTATTATTATCATTTAATAGAGGACAAATCTAAGCTTAGGGAAAGTAAACACCTTGTTGAAATCACAGAATAGGAATCTAAATATTTGTCTCTTTCCAAAGTGAATTCTCTTTCTTCCATAGTGTGTTTTATGCCTTCTGCCTGCTGTGCCAGAGCACACAGTCTCCCTTGGTAAGCTTTGCCTCTGTATCTTTCTGGGTCAGCCAGATTTCAGAAATGAGAATGCACTCTAACCTTCACCTACAAACCTTTTCAGAAGTGGAGCATTTGACTTACACAGCCCATGGCCCTATTGTGACATTTTTGTAATTTTCAAAGAGTTTCCTTAGAGTCGCACTATTTCATACTATGCTGTAAAGCAATGGCAATGTGGTCAAAGCGTTCTAATATTAGCAGCTGCCCCACATCTTTTAAACTCTCCTAACTATTCTGTGAATGTAGGTAATTACCAATATTATTACTTTTCAGATTTTAGTTCTGTATTTAGCTTGCAGATTATGATTATGAAATGTACACACTGATGAACACTTTCTTTATGTCTTAAATCTTTAAACAAATATCAGAATAGAGATTCTGCAGCGCTCTGACACCTCACACAAAGGCCCACAGTCTGTGTGGCATGTATCACACATATTTTCGGTTGTCCTTTTGGTGGTAGAGTTTTTTTCATGCAGTGCATCCCACATTTATTATCAATTCTTCTCTTGCTTGCTATTAACCAGATAATAGCAAAAACAAAGAATAAAGCAATCAAATGATGACACATGTTACTAGTAGAAAATAGGCAAAATGGTAAAATTAGGCTTGGACTTTTAAAAAGTTTTTTTTCTATATAAACTCTTTACAGAAAGATGAGGAAGAGAAAAATAGGTTAGAAGAGGGATAATTTTACAGTTTGAAGTCCATTTGTATTTTTATTCTGCCCATCTTAGTGGGTTTTTATGCACTATCCAAAGGGTCAAAACTGTGTATAAATTAAATTATGTGTGAAGGATCAGATTTTTCTACTTAATCTTCGACGAAGAATAAATCAGATATTTTCCTTTATGGAAAACCTAATTCTTTGGGAAAGAATAGTTGGACCTTGATATTTTATCTTTCCCTTTTTATTTAAATGTTTGACAAGATAAAAAGATGTGTGTCATCTCGGGGGGCTAGGGGAGGGATAGCATTAGGAGAAATACCTAATGTAGATGACGGGTTGATAGGTACAGCAAACCACCATAGCACGTGTATACCTATGTAACAAACCTGCACATTCTGCACATGTACCACAGAACTTAAAGTATAATTTAAAAAAAAAGAAAAGAAATCGTGAATACAGGATCATACTGGGAAGATATTTTGTTTTTAAAATGGTAATTTTTTTTTTTTGTTAATGGATCTACCCGATTCACATTGTCAAAGGAAAATAACAAACTGTGTGGATTTACAGCCCTAACTTGGAAAAATTATCTACATTCCTAAAGGTGAACATATAGATATTTTTTCTCAGAAGAATCACTAACTCTAATATTTGAACTAAGATATAGGTCAGTCAGTTTTTAAAATTATTAAATGCCCTTCTCAAATATGAGAGGAAAGAATTCAAATGGTATTGATGGGTGGTTTTAGCTAAGAGCAGTATCTGAAAAGAAACTGTTGAACAGAAGGTTAACATCCAGTTCTCCAACGGGGAGTTGCATTAGTTTTGTTTTGGGTTTCGGTGTTTTTTTTGTTTTGTTTTTTTGTTTTAACAAGAGGTTATTTGGGTGATCCAGTGCATGGCTGAGTCTTTGTGATTTAAGTATTTTCAAACCAGTTAGTGGACCATCTAGTATTCCTTTTCTGCCTTGTTAGTCGGTCCTTCGGCTCTCTTACTTCTTATTAGCAACAATCTCAGCTCCAGAGAGGGCAGGTGCAGAAGGGAGATGGTAGTAAAACATAAATCTCCACGAAGCTGAAGAAACACAGGTTTAAGAGAAACCTGCAGAGTTTATGACAAGCTACTCAGTCTGCCCTTATTACAGATAACTGGAAGTTATGTGAACTTCATTTTTCATAAATCTCATCAATACCATCACGTGATTACATTTTCCCCAAAGTGTCATCAAATCAACTATTACTAAGACTTTACTCCTAGAAAAGGATTCTGTTGCACTGTCTGTCCCTGCCCACATGCCCTTGCCTGGGTCTACCCTGGACACCAAAGATAGGCACAGGTTTTGCTGCATATTCTCGCCTGAGCAATTTTTTTTCTTCAGGCCTGCCTGAAGAGCCTCAACTCCACTTTTCCTTGCTCCTTGGTTGAATAATTTTGAGTTGTCCTACATAGTCTCTCAGAGGTCTCCAGTGGGATTGAGCCCCAGTTGTTTACAAGTTTAACTGTCTCACTAACATATCCTTCTGTTTTGCTTTCCTTCCTTTTCTGTCTTACTTCTCTGTTCTTTAATTATACTTCCTGTATCACTTTTCAAATAAACTTTTGCACCCATATAGTCTCAGAACTTGTTTTATTTTATTTTAATGAGAGAGACCCCAATTAAGACAGTAATCAAGAAAGTATCTTATTTTTGTATTTATTTCTATAAAATTGCCAGAAAAGGCAGATTTATAGAAATAAAAAGTAGATAAGTGGTTGTCTAAGGCTGGACATAAGAATAGAGATTAACTGTAAAATGAGTATAAGAGATCTTACTGGGGGAAGAAAATATATCCTAAAACTGATTTATAGATGATGGATTCAATAAAGTTACTAAAACTCACTGGATTGTATTGGTGAAATGGACAAATTTTATGATATATAAATATACCTCAATAAAACTGTTAAAAATGAATAGATAGTAAGATTTAGAGAGGTAAAGTACCCAAGGTGACACAAGCAAATACAAGTCAGAGGAAAGAACAGAGTTCAGGCCATTTGACTACACTGAGAAACAGCATTCTTCTGTGAACTTACGACCTTGCTTTAGCTCATTAAAAATGGAAGGTCACAAAAAAGTTTAAAATGTACCAATTAAACCAAATATGCATATATCTAAGACACTTCATGCTAAATGATTGACCTAGATTATTTTATTTAATTTCACAAGGGGCCATAAGGCAGGCATTATTATTCTTCCCTTCTTACACATGGGGAAGTGGAGCTTGAGAGAAGGTAAGTGACTTGTCAGAGATCACACAACTTACATGAGGCAGAGCAGAGATTCACCCATGGTGGTCTCATTCTGGAATGCATGCTTGTAACTACTATATTACACTGCTTCTGCGAGTAACTAGGATTTATATCTCCTCTTACCATTTAGGCATGACCAAAGAAAGAGCTCCATACCTCACTGTTGAGTTTGTTTATCTGCTGCTTGGTCTCCTCTGCTTTGATGAAGAGAACAGCAGCTCCAATCTCTGGATCTGAAAAGTGACACACATACAGAATGAGTCCTTTAGGAATAAACCTTATATTTGAGGATCGAGGCAATTAGAATATGAAAGAAAGTCCACGCTATCACTTTTAACCTTTTCTGATGTCTGTGCACTGTACTGTCTTTTAGGGATCAGGCAAGCTTTTTGTATTCCTCTGGATGGCACCAGATATACTCTCTGGACACACATCATGGTGGTGATTGCACCCACAGTGACTGGATGTGTCCATTGCAAACACCCCATTTCCCCGAGTACAGTCACCACCACGTTCCAAGATGGCACATTTTCTTTTCTTTGACCATTGTTTAAAACTGTATCATAGTCAGTGCTCAAGCCATAGAAAAGGGATATTATTTTTCTTCTCTCGTTCCATTCTAAACATTGATTCATGTGCCCATGAGCATATTTTCCTCCCACATATATATCAGATACTGATATCCACTGCAGGTTGCCTTTCTCTTCCTGCATCACTCTAAAGGGTAATTTCTCCCAGTTTTTAGTTCTTCTTCTCCACTTTTTCTCTACTTTGCTCTTCCAAATATATTTATTTCTGTCAGGGACAAGAGTACAGGTGAGTCAGTGCCAGCTTGAGTGGAAAAGATTTGACAGATAAGACCATCCTAATTCTGGTCAATTATGAGGAGAAAACTTGTTGGTGGGGGAAGAAAAGTAATTCAAAACAGTCTGAAATAGAGTAATAAGAAATTGTTTTGCAGATATATCTTGCAGAGGTAATCCATTCATTCAACGAATGATTGAAGGTCATATACAATAGGCCAGCCCTCTTTTAGAGTAGATAGCAACCAATAAAGAAAATATAGTTGACACTCATGGAGCTTAGAATTGAGCAGGAAAAATAAACATTTAAAAAGTAGGCCAGGCATGGTGGCTCATGCTTGTAATCCCAGCATTTTGTGAGGTTGAGACAGGAGGATTCCTTGAGCCCAGGAGTTCAAGACTAGCCTGGGCAACATAGGGAGATCCCATCTCTACTAAAAAAGTAAAATAACTTATATAAAGTAATTATGCAATAGGTTTGAATTTCACACTAAGGGCAATAGAAAGCCATTTTAGGGTTTTAAGCATAGGAATAGAGTAATACAAATAAATTTGAATTAATAAAATTCCCTTTGCATGGAAAACAGTGTGAGGTCAAAGAAAAGACTTTGGTAGCAATGCAAGCAAGAGATAGATATAGCTAGAGAAAGAGTGGTAGCAGTAATGGTAGAAAGTCTTAGAGGGAACTAAGAGATATTTTGGAAGTTGCTTCTAGAAAACTTGATGCTTGAATGTGTAAGCGTAGGGGTAGGTGATAGGTTAAGGAAGAGGAGGAAGCTAAGAGAGTGGTAGGACTAGAAATATGTGGATGAAATGGTGAGTTTCTGTGCACTGTCTCTAGTTGAACCAAAAAGGTAAACATCCAATTGAGGTGTCAATAGGCTTTTATTGCAAATATACCAGTTTGATGATAACTATGATTTCTTTGCTCCTTGGTCCAAGCACAGTAATATCAACATATGTAAGTCAGTTAAATCAATAAATCAAGACTGTACTCCTTATCCTTTTGCATTTTCCTCACTTCACACTCCCAATCAAGGAATTTCACAAGTATCCCTTAGTTTCCCAAGAAGATGATGAGTGCTGGAAAGAATTACTGATTCAGATGAAATGCTGGTATTCTACCAGAGAAACATCTCCAGAACTGTATATTCAAATGTCTTTCTTGGGCTTGGCTTTGTTCATAAAGGGATTTGCTAATTACCAAGACATTCTAATACAAGGATTTTAGAACTTGGTGGGAAGGGAAGGGGAGGTTGGGTGAGGATTGCTGGCCTTGCATTAGGTAGTTTGCTGGTAATTGTTTTGGATTGTCTCTGCCTATTCAACACATGTTCACTATTCTCTTTTTATCAAATACAGGTGTGTCTTCTTTAGAGTTTATTTGTCATTTTATTTGTCTTGTTGACAGAATCATTCTTACGAGCAACAAACTCAAGATTGAAAAGTAAAGAGAGGGATTTGGGCTAGAGTTGGAGGTACCTTCACATTAATTCACCATCACTAAAGGTTAACACATCACATAGTTCTCCGTCATTTCCAACATGCTTATACCTTTCCGAAGTTATTTATCATCTGGAAAACTTCAAGTATATAACCTCACACTGAATAAACTGGTTAAATATAACCAATGTTCCTTCAGTGCACAATCAACATGGCATTTCCTCTAGATAATGTTTTTATGGATTAATCTAAATTTATAATAGTAAAACATGGCCATCCTCTAATGAATAGCAGAAATTTGAGTCTCCTGGCATATCAATTACCTTCGCTGCTAAATGGTAGCTCATCCAATCTGGACAGAGAAATGATCACAAATGACATCTTAACTTGGAAATGGCATAAACTCATGTCAAATTATTCAATGGTATTGGTAAGGTTCTATGACAGGGAGAATATTCTAAGGACAGGAAAGCAAAAAAAAAAAAATGCCCATAACAAACATTACAAGTTAATAAGAAATATTTTACCTTAGGAGAAGACTAAATATAGATCTTACCTCCAAGAGGAGGAGAAATTCTGGGCTCTGATCTGATTCGTTCAGAGCCAAAATCAAAAGTCTGACTTTCTTCACTGCTGTTTCCATCTTCAATTCCATCAACAATCCTACTTAAAATAAAGGAAATTGGCTGGCTGTGGATTCATATTCATGGATTCCAGTATTTTTAAAGAGTTAAAAGATATTATGTTAAATTTCTAAATTCTAGATGCTCTAGAGCTGAGCTATTCAATATAGTAACCATTAGCCTTATATTGCTATTGAGTACTTGAAATGTGGTTTGTGCAAATTGAGATGTGCCGTAAGAATTAAATACACACTGGATTTTGAAGAATATGGTTAAAAAATGTAAATTATTTCACTGAGTATTTTTATATTGTTCAAATTTAAAATAATATTTGGAACATATTCAGTCAAATAAAATATATTATTAAAATTAATTTCACTTTTATCACGCTTAAAAATGTAGCTGTTTGTTAGATAATTTAAAAGTATATATGTAGCTCACAATTTTATATCACATTATATTTTTTATCACACACTACTGTTGTAGACAGAGGCTCTTTTACTTATTCTCAGATTCAAAACTTTAAGGTATGGTACAAAAGTCCTCTGACCTAAATTCATGTTAAATCACTACTCTCCAGGTTTTAACCCTTAGCATCACAGAAAATAAATTTGATTACACCTCTACTCTAGACTTAGAGAAAACTCTAAATGTCAGAGTTAAATAATTATATTTAAATCAGTATTTAGTCTTCTTTTCATGGTAAATAGTATCTAACCCACTCATTATTTAAAAAAAAAAAGTCTATTGTAGAAAATTTAAACATAAAGGTAACAAAAAAACAAAATAAAAATCACCTGTAATCTACTACTATAGTCAAGATTTTGATGTATGTCCTCAAAATATTATTTTCTCTATAAAGAACATATATTCTTTTTATAAATGTAAGATTATGTTGTATATAAACCTTTCTCAGCTCCAATACAGTCTCTTCCTATTTATAATTTATTATGTTTAATTTTAGTATAAACTTAGGAAGAAGAGTTAAGCAATATTTTCAAATTACCATCTCCAACTGAATTCTTGAAAATATATCATCCGCCTACTTTTTGCTAAACCTATTTTATCTTTTCCTTAATATTTTATCTTAATGAATAAGAATGTTGTTCAAATAAATAATAAAAATATAGTATTTGAGAAAGACCACTTGCTTTATAAGTAGAAAAACAAACTTTGAATCCACCTTTCAATACTTAATATCTCTGAGATCTTCGACAAAATATTTACCCTTCGAGTTTCACTTCTTGCAACTTTATAATAGAGATAACACAAACTACTTTATAGGGTTCTGAGAAGATTAAATGCAATTGTGAATGTGAAATTATCTCGCAAAATACATGAAACATAAAAAGTAATACATATTTTTTTCATGCTTTTATTTATTATTATTCAGCTGTTATGTGATTTTGATGATGGCTATTGCTTTTCTACACCATGGCCTACCCCTGAACATCTTCGGAATCAGGATTTTTCACGCTTTCAATCACCTTTAGTGGATTCTAAAGTGATTTTTAAGAAATGAAAAATGGAACCATGCTGTGTTACTTATTGAAGAGACCAGAAATAAAACTAAGTTTTAGCCGTCCTTGATAATAAGGCAAGAATAGTATGAAAAATAAAAATCTGCATTTCATTTTCTTCCTAATTTCAACTCATTGCTTATGAAACTTTTGGTAAGATCAAGCATTGAGGGGATAACATTGATGGAGTTTGTTCCATTTCTTTTATTTTCACTATAAATCATAAAATCACAAGGTAGGAATATACATTTAACATAATAGGTAGTGCAAAATGAATAAAAGGAGTAAAGAAGGATTTCTGAACATTTAGTATTTTGAGAACATATTTTGCCCATCCTGCATGCACACACACACTTGCACATAAACTCAAAAAATTGCCCACAAAACTCAGAAAAGCTGAGGATTCCAGGCTAGGAATCTGTGGAGTAGAAAGGCTCAGAAGGCTGAAGGCAGGTACTACTCTGTATAAAAGGCAGCCACGTTCACGTGAGAAAGTTATATGATATGAACTCTTACCTTGGACTGAGGTCTGGGGGTCCAGCATTATTCAAAGTTGAAAGTTGCAATTTCAAGTTCTTCTCTTTCCTTTTATTATGGTTGGGGGGGTCAATTTCCTGCTTGGTTTTGGGGGAATTTGACCTGGAGACTCTGATAGGCGAGTGAAAGGGCACCGTTCCCGAGGCCAGTTGCTTTAAGCTTAAGCCCAGGTAGGCTTTATTGCTTCCAACCTTCTTGTTGCGCGAAGAAGATCCCCTTGTGCAGATGGGAGAGAGGGAGACTGCCTCCTCTTCCTCCCCCTCCTCCTCCTCTTCCTCATCTTCCACAATGGATGGGAGTCGCTTGTTGATGTTGCCATTTCCCTTGGGCTCTGACTAAATCAGTGGATAATATAAATTAGTACAGACTGCAAAAACCGCAGAAAAGGTATATCATTAATGCTGGAGGTCTCATTAGAACAAAGTCAAATCTCTTAGAGACTTACTTTTCATTAAAACTGAAGTCTTTGCAGATTTTGTTATTATTTTATCAGGTGTTAAAGGTCTTCCCACTTCTGCTCTTCTCCAGGTTTACTCTCTATGCTTTCTTGATTTTTAGCCCCTGATTTTAACCTTTCTCTTGGTCTTTTAAACTGTCTTCATGGGGAGCCACGTGAAAGGTGCATTATACCAGGTTTGCAACTAGATTTTAATCAGCCTGTCATTTGTAATAGTATATGATGGCATGCTCTTAGAAATAAAGACATTTTCCATTTTAATGGAGGGTCTTAGGCCTTGTTATTTAAAATTACAGGGTCTTTACTGGAACTTTACATGGAGATTAACCAGCAAAATTGCATTATTCTTGAGAATAAAAAGCTTTCCTATTTTGGATCACATGAATGGAAGAAGATCAGAAGTATTCTCAGCTACTCTACTTCCTGCTCTCCTTGTTCTTTCCAGTCACTAGCAAGAAAAGAAGCAAACCACCTGGTCTGCTTCCTTTGAAAAGCCTTGGAAAAGGAAGGAAAAATAGTCTTGCCAAAACCCATCCTGTAACTACTGGACTCTTGACTGGGATCATTCAACTGTGTAGACTAAGAAGAGGAAAGAAAGAGTGTGGGAAAAGACAATTGAGGTGATGATGGAAGGGCCAGGGCAGTGAACGCAGCAAAGGCTAACTAGTGGCCCTCAACAGAGTCACTGTAATAGTGTGTGCTTCTGGCTTTGCCCCAGACATGGCTTCTCTGCTCACTTTTCTGTGCTTCTGTCTTTTTTGAAAATTGAATCCCTTATATCTGATCATCAATAATTTATAATAAAAATAAGGCAAAGAACTGAAAATCCCTAAGATTACTATTCAGACTCTGGGCTGTCATGGTTATTGACTTAAATGAATAGTTGTTTTTTTTGGTGTATATGGATTTTGGTGTATACGGATTTTTTGGTGTATATGGTGTATATATTACAGGTATAATAACAGATCTAACATTGCAGTGACTTATAGGCAATAGCCCGTTCAGTTTAGGCCATAGGTGCTGAGTGAAATGCATAGTTTACTTATGAAGTTCTTGTACTTTAATCTTATTGGCTCAAAATTTCTTGAAGAAATGGCATTCTTAGACTCATCTTTCCAAATACGTATGGTTATTTTAATTAATGACGAGGGCATACTTTTTTTTTGCTGGGATAGTCATGATGTTACTCTTGTTTGTTTTTCACAGCGTTTAAAACTCTGTGTTTTTAACAAAAATTGGGCCTACACGGAATTACAGGGGAACATTTGTATACTAGCATCGTTGGATAGAAAAATCAGTTTACCCAGCTAAAGACACAACAGGGCAAACTTAATCTAAGAAATGAGAAACAATGAGCGCATTCTCTAATTAGAATTCTGTTTACATTTGCATTGGCAAGTTAATCATTCCTTTGTTTCAAGAAGCCTCTATTGGCTCTAATTGAATTCTCTAATAACCTGTCAAGTATTTGTACTTCTACAAGTTTGTGGAAATTTCATACTTCCATTTTGTCATGGAGACTTGGTGTCTTGGACAAGTTGCTTAGATATTGACTCACAATCAGGGCAGCCGACATTACAAACTATCACAATCAGAAAACCAAACACCACATGTTCTCACTCATACATGCGAGTTGAACAATGAGAACACATGGACACAGGGAGGGGAACATCACACACTGGTGCCTGTGGGGGGTGGGGGGCTAGGGGAGGGATAACATTAGGAGAAATACCTAATGTAGGTGACAGGTTGATGGGTGCAGCAAACCACCAGGGCACATGTATACCTATGTAACAAAACTGAACATTCTGCACATGTAACCCAGAACTTAAAGTATAATTAAAATAAAAAGTAAACCCTATTTGACCCTTCTCCACCATCATCTTCAGTAAATTCTTAATGTCTTCATAATGCATTAGGTAATTTAATCTATTTGCGTGCCTCTGTGTCACAGGATTATTGGTAATAAAAGTCCAGCTAATAATCTTAACAAATTAGTTTTTTCGGGAAACTTTTCTTGAAATTAATTAGAGAGTTCTTAAAAGTTGAAACTGTTTTAAGAGCTGACTGAATCATAAAACATGGTTCCAGAATATCTCTCAACCATATTTTTAGCATTATGGACACTTACAAGAAAAAATTTGACTGCCAATTTTAAATGCAATGAAAGTACTTTTAAGATTAACACCTTAGGACTTTACATTTGGCATGTTTTGGTAACAAACTGCTTTATAACAATAACTATAAAATGCTCCCATAGAACTATGAGTTTCAATTCTCCTCTATACTCAAACTCAAGCAAGTCAGTTGCCACATCTCTTATTGGGAAGTCAAGTAGGGAAAGTAAAAGATAAATACATGAAATTCTGAAGAGAAAGACAAGACAGATTTATTGGTAATCCTCCAGATTTTAGATAAATATTTTGCTGTGTAGCAAAAGCCATACCTGTGAGACCATAGATTTGTTTGATAGTCTTGATATCACCTGAAAGAACAAACAGAAGTATTAATCATTTTACATATCCTGGTGGTTTGGGACTGGGTGAAATGCAGCAGGCAGAGGAAAGAGAAGTATGTACAGAGTTTGTGGGAGGGAAGGAGCACAGGAAGGGGTGTGGATCTACCTGTGCAGGCCAGAGAAGAGAAAACACCTTCTACAATGTGCCAAAAACAACTGCCTCATCCTATCCTCTAGGACCACTACTGATCAGTGTGTGTAATGAGAAAAGGAGCACCAAGTTGAATGTCTACCACAGGATACCACACCTAAAAAATAATGATCACAATAGTGGGCTTATTGGCTGTATTTTCCATCTTGATGCTTCATTCTCTCTCCTTTTTTTTTTCCTCTATCTCCCTATTCTTCTTTCTTGCTATTTTGCTAAATTTGCTCATCTTCCTCGATTTTTCTTTCTGGCTCTGTGGAAATAGAAATCTATGAAATCATTTCTTATTTAATCTCATTACTTCTATTTATTCACTTCTCTTTTTGCCTGAACGCTCATAGGCATGAGCTATCCTTTCTGTTCCACTTGTTTTCCACTATCTCACTGTGGTAATCCCTGTGGACAAGGTTTCAGTTTACTGGGAATCCTAATCCCCTAATTGAATCAAATATTCCACTGATCACAAAAAAAGAAGAAAAACTGCTGCCAATCAGTGTTGATATACCATCAATTGTAAGACAGATTTAAATTTCAGAGATACTAAAATGTGGGGAAAAATATATATCTTATTCACTTAGGCTTGAATCTCAGGACACATTTTGTATAAAATCAAACTATGGCACTATAGAGGAATATCTTAAAAACATGCACCTACCATGATTATAAAGAAGCTCTGGAAATTATGACATGTCCTGGAAACATGCTTCTGATATTATCTACATTGTTTTTTGCTCAAATACACTTCTTTCATTTTAATGTGGTAATAGATGCTGTTAATTAACATGATTTTATTCACATGAAAAAAAATTTGTACTTGAAAATGATCTGCCTAGTAAGCCAGACAAATTTGGTAATTCTGTCACCCTTTCCTCATTTTTTTCCCTAGATGATTAGGGAAATAGATCTGTTATATTTATACAAATGCCAGGATCATTATTGCTGTGCAAATATATGTTTCATCAGTGTTTAATTTTATGATAGCAGTCAACCGATTCTACATCTGCTTAGCCGCCTTAATATGCCTTAACCAGATGCATTTTAGACATAAGTTTTGTAATAATTCCCTAAATGGTGACAAATAAAACAGCTGAATAATTAAAAATGTGAAAAATAAAACAAAATTATGGTGTTCTTGCTACTGTGGTAGACATGAAAACATGTTTGTAAAAAGCCTTTCATTTATAGCTTGGATTACAGAAGAACATGACAATGGGATTCAGGAAGGCTGAACACCTCCAATCACAGATACCGTTAGAGATATAAGAGAAAGATGCTGGCCTTAGCATCTTCTGATTTGAGTATGCTTCTAGTTGTGTGGTTTACCACTAGATGAGTTCTGTCAAGTTGCTGAATCCCAGAGTCATTTTTCTATACTAGTGCTTTTCAAACATGTATGTGCACATGAATTACTTAGGGATCTCATTAAAATGCAGATTCTGACATGGGAGGTCTGAGGTGGGGCCTGAAATTCCTAATTTCTAGTTAGCTCCCAGGTAATACTGGTGCTGCTGGCCCTGGAGACACATTTTGAGTAGTAAGAGCTCATGACCAACATCACAGTTATTATCATCCTATTTCCTATCAATTATTTATCCATCATGTGATAAGCACCCTGATAAGTGTTTCCCAGACATTATGCCCATTAATTCCCACTGTGATCCTATAATATAGGTATTTTTAGTCTCTATTCTGCAGAAGAGGAAACAAAAGGACCAAATTAGAGTTAAGTGATTTGGTGATGGCTGCAAAGTAATAACTGACTAAGCAGAGAAATGAACACCAGATTGGCTGTTATTAAGGTTAAATGCAATACTATATTTAAGTGTTTGGCATGCAATATATTTTTCTTCCTCCTACTTTTTGATACCTTTGATTACCTAAGGTAACCTTATCTCATCTTTTACCAAATGTACTGACGGTCAAGAGTCAAGCAGAATAAGCCTAGTACCAAAATCTGGCATAGACACAGTGAAAACAGAAAACTTCAGGCCAATATCCCTGATGAATATAGACATAAAAATCCTCAACAAAATACTAGCAAAATGAATCCAGCAGCACATCAAAAAGTTCATACAGCATGATCAAGTAGGCTTTATTCCTGGGATGCAAGGCTGGTTTGACATACAAAATTCAAAAAATGTGATTCACCACATAAACAGAATTAAAAGCAAAACCCGAATGATCATCTCAATAGATGCAAATAAAATCAACTTCCCTTCATGATAATAACCCAGATTAGTCATCAGAGGAATATACCCGAAAATAGTAAGAGCCATCTTTTGGGAAGGTAGCAGCTCCGTGTTTTCCTGGGACAGTGCTCCCACAGAGGCAAGCCGCCATTTTTGCTGTCTTGCAGCCCTTGCCCCTCCCTGTTGCCTTCAGGCTTCCAGAAGGTACGTGGTGACAAGGGACTGGTGCAGATCCCCAGCACAATGCAGCTGCCCTGTGGAAAAAGCAGCCAGACCTTTTTCCACCCAGGTCTCCGATCCTGTTTCTCCTTACTGGGAGGCCCTTGTGACCTGGGACTCCAACACAACTACCCTGTCCCCACCTGAACATGTCAGTTGGAGGTGGCTCTGCAGTTCTCTGAGCAGGAACTCCCAGAGAAAACCCACAATCCCTCTGCCATTGCAGCTGCAATGGTACTGCCCTAATCGCTGTGGGGCTGGGGATGGAACAAAGGGCCTAGTCACTATGCTGGCACCTTCAGCACACTACACACCATAAGGAGAGGAATCCAGACCCTCTTCCCTGTGAGCCCAGGCCCCCCACTCTTCATGAGGCAGGGCTTCTGGCTCCGGACCACAGATCAGCCTCCTCATCATAGCTGAGCACACCCACTGATACTGGCTCTGAGGTTCCCTGGTGGGGGCTCCCAGAGGCAATCAACAGCCTCTCCGTCATTGCCACAGCAGTGGTTCTGCTCCTGCTGCCCTTGCTATAGGGAAGAAACAGTCTAAGGGCTTCACCTGTGCTCCAAGCACACCACAGCCACCATACAGAGAGGAGCTCAGTCTCTCCTCCCTGTAAGCTCTTGAACCTCCATTCTTCACCAAGCAGGGCCCCCAGCTCAGGCCAGCAGTGCGTTTGTCTCATCCCCTGGCTGAACATTTCCAGTGGCAGGGGCGCTGTGTTTCTCTGAGGCAGAGGTCCCAGAGACAATTGAAGGCCCACTCCCATGGCCACTGCAGAGTGGTACTGCTCTTGCTGCCCTCGGACTGGGGAAGGCAAAAAGACCATGAGTGCTTTAACCACACTTCTAGGAAGCTGCAGTTGCCCTAAGGAAAGAGGCCAGTCTGTCTACTCTGTGACCTATGTACCCTCCCTGCTTGTTATCAGGTAGGGTGCCCCCAGCTTGGGTCCCCAGTGCAGCCACCCCAACCTTGGCTGATTATACTGATTGGTAGCAACTCTGCATTTCTCTGGAGTGGAGCCCCCAGAGACGAGAGAAAGGCCCTCTGTCACAGTCACTGCTAAGGTCCCTGGCCTTGCTGTCTCCAAGCTAAGGAGGCCACATAAAGCCTGAGCTCACTCCAGAATTGCAGTGTGCAGCCCAGGAGAGCCAAACCGAGATCTGCAGCCAGCCCTCAAGTGGGAGAGGAGCCCACACTGTCAGAGCACTGAGAGGGAGCATAGCTGCAATCATGAGGAAATACAGAGGAGCCACATGGTCAAGCAAGTGCCTACCTACTGGCCATTTCACTTAAGCACCACCTATTGAATCACAGCACAAACTTCAACAGCAAAAATACTTTTGGTAATATACTCCTCTGTGAAACCAAAGACAAGAGCTCAGCTAAAAATAAAGGCCCTGCACAAAGCCTTGGCCCTCTGAAAACATCCAGAAATGAAACCTACTGATTATACCCAAATTACACCACAGTTAAAGGAACACCAGCCCACACAGATGAGAAAGAACCAGCGTAAGAACTCTGGGAGCTCAAAAAGCCAGAGTGGCCTCTTTCCTCCAAACAACCACACTAGTTCCCCAGCAAGGGTTCCTAACTGGGTTGAAATCGCTGAAATGCCAGAAATAGAATTCAGAATATGGATGGGAACATAGACAATCGAGATTCAGGAGAAAGTCAGTACCCAGTACAAGGAATCTAATGAGTACCATAAAATGATTCAGGAGCTGATGGATGAAATAGCCATTATAAAACAGAAGCAAATAGCTGAAAAACACACTACAAGAATTTTACAATGCAACCTCAATTATTAAGAGCAGAATAAACCAAGCTGAGGAAAGAATCTCAGAGTTCGAAAACTGGCTCACTGAAATAACTCAGTAAAACAGAAAATACATAAAAAAGAATAAAAAAGAATGAACAAAACCTCTGAGAAATATGAGGTTATGTAAACAGACCAAAATCTATGAATCACTGGGGTCCCTGAAAGAGCTAGGGAGAAAGCAAGCAACCTGGAAAATATATCTCAGAATATCATCCATGCAAACCTTCCCATCCTCTCTAGACAGGCCAACATTCAAGTTCAGAAAATGCAGAGAACTCCAGTGAAATACTAAAGAGAAAGACATCCCCAAGACACATAATCATCAGATTTTCCAAGGTTGAAATGTAAGAAAAAATGTTAAAGGCAGCTAGAGAGAAGGGATAGGTCACCTACAAAGGGAACCCCATGAGGTTAACAGCAGACCTTTCAGTAGAAACTCGACAAGCCAGGAGAAATTGTGGGCCTATATCAACATTCTTTTTTAAAAAAAACTTTATCTTAAGTTCAGGGGTACATGTGCACGTTTATTATGTAGGTAAACTTGTGTCACGGGGGTTTGATGTACAGATTATTTCATTCCCCATGTACTAAGCCTAGTACCTATTATATTTTCTGATCCTCTCCCTCCTCCAACCCTTCACCCTCTGGTAGGTCTCAGTATCTGTTGTTCCCCTCTTGGTGTCCATGTGTTTTCATCATTTAGTTCCCACTTATAAGTGAGAAAATGTGGCATTTGGTTTTCTGTTCCTACATTAGTTTGCTTAGGATAATGGCCTCCAGCTCCATCCATGTTCATTTAGAGAACATGATCTCATTCTCTTTTACAGCGGTGTAGTATTCCATGGTGTGTGTGTGTGTGTGTGTATCTATATATACATATATAGAGATTGTGTGTGTATATATATAGTGTATATATATACACATACATATATATTATATGAATGTGAGAGAGATATATATATGTGTATATATATATATATATCTCACATTTTCTTTTATCTAGTCTATTATCAGTGGGCTTGTAGATTGATTCCATGTCTTTGCTATTGTGAATAGTGCTGTAATGAACATATGTGTGCATGTGTCTTTATGGTAGAACAATGTATATTCATTTGGGTATATACCCAATAATGTGATTGTTGAGTTGAATGGTAGTTCTGTTTTTAGCTCTTTGAGGAATTGACACACTGCTTTCCACAACAGTTGAACTAATTTACACTCCCACCAACAGTGCATTCTTCCTTTTTCTCTGCAATCTTTCCAGCATCTGTTATTTTCTGACTTTTTAATAATAGACATTCTAACTGGTGTGAGATGGTATCTCATGGTTTTGATTTGCATTTCTCTAATGATCAGTGATATTGAGCTTTTTTTCATATGACTGTTGGCCACTTGTAGGTCTTTTTTTGAAAAGTGTCTGTTCATGGCCTTTACCCACTTTTTAGTGGAGTTGTTTGTGTTTTGCTTGTAAATGTGTTTAAGTTCTTTATGGATGCTGAATATTAGACCTTTGTTAGATGCAAGGTTTGCAAAAATTTTCTACCACTCTGTAGGCTGTTTGTTGATAGTGTCTTTTGTTGTGCAGAAGCTTTTTACTTTAATTAGATCCCACTCATTAATTTTTGCTTTTGTTGCAATTGCTTTCAGCATCTTTGTCATGAAATCTTTGCCAGGTCCTATGTCCAGAATGGTATTTGCCAAGGTTGTCTTCCAGGGTTTTTACACTTGTGGGTTTTACATGTCTTTAATCCATCTTGAGTTGACTTTTATATATGGTGAAAGAAAGGGGTCCAGTTCCAATCTTCTGCATATGGCTAGCCAGTTATCCCAGAACTATTTATTGAATAAGGAGTCCTTTCCCCATTGCTGGTTTTTGTCAGCTTTGTTGAAGATCAGATGGTTGTAGATGTGTGGCCTTATTTCTGGACTCTCAATTCTGTTCCATTGACTTATGTGTCTCTTTTTGTACAGTATCCCAGCATTCTTAAAGAAAGTAATTTTCTTTATTATTATTATTATTATTATACTTTAAGTTTTAGGGTACCTGTGCACAATGTGCAGGTTAGTTACATATGTATACGTGTGCCATGCTGGTGCGCTGCACCCACTAACTCGTCATCTAGCATTAGGTATATCTCCTAATGCTATCCCTCCCCCCTCCCCCTACCCCACAATAGTCCCCAGAGTGTGATGTTCCCCTTCCTGTGTCCATGTGTTCTCATTGTTCAATTCCCACCTATGAGTGAGAATATGCGGTGTTTGGTTTTTTGTTCTTGAGATAGTTTACTGAGAATGATGATTTCCAATTTAATCCATGTCCCTACAAAGGACGTGAACTCATCATTTTTTATGGCTGCATAGTATTCCATGGTGTATATGTGCCACATTTTCTTAATCCAGTCTATCATTGGTGGATATTTGGGTTGGTTCCAAGTCTTTGCTATTGTGGATAATGCTGCAATAAACATACGTGTGCATGTGTCTTTATAGCAGCATGATTTATAGTCCTTTGGGTATATATCCAGTAATGGGATGGCTGGGTCAAATGGTATTTCTAGTTCTAGACCCCTGAGGAATCGCCACACTGACTTCCACAATGGTTGAACTAGGTTGCAGTCCCACCAACAGTGTAAAAGTGTTCCTATTTCTCCACATCCTCTCCAGCACCTGTTGTTTCCTGACTTTTTAATGATTGCCATTCTAACTGGTGTGAAATGGTATCTCATTGTGGTTTTGATTTGCATTTCTCTGATGGCCAGTGATGGTGAGCATTTTTTCATGTGTTTTTTGGCTGCATAAATGTCTTCTTTTGAGAAGTGTCTGTTCATGTCCTTTGCCCACTTTTTGATGGGGTTGTTTGTTTTTTTCTTGTAAATTTGTTTGAGTTCATTGTAGATTCTGGATATTAGCCCTTTGTCAGATGAGTACGTTGCGAAAATTTTCTCCCATTTTGTAGGTTGCCTGTTCACTCTGATGGTAGTTTCTTTTGCTGTGCAGAAGCTCTTTAGTTTAGTTAGATCCCATTTGTCAATTCTGGCTTTTGTTGCCATTGCTTTTGGTGTTTTAGACATGAAGTCCTTGCCCATGCCTATGTCCTGAATGGTAATGCCTAGGTTTTCTTCTAGGGTTTTTATGGTTTTAGGTCTAACGTTTAAGTCTTTAATCCATCTTGAATTGATTTTTGTATAAGGTGTAAGGAAGGGATCCAGTTTCAGCTTTCTACATATGGCTAGCCAGTTTTCCCAGCACCATTTATTAAATAGGGAATCCTTTCCCCATTGCTTGTTTTTCTGAGGTTTGTCAAAGATCAGATAGTTGTAGATATGTGGCGTTATTTCTGAGGGCTCTGTTCTGTTCCATTGATCTATATCTATCTCTGTTTTGGTACCAGTATCATGCTATTTTGGTTACTGTAGCCTTGTAGTATAGTTTGAAGTCAGGTAGTGTGATGCCTCCAGCTTTGTTCTTTTGGCTCAGGATTGACTTGGCGATGCGGGCTCTTTTTCGGTTCCATATGAACTTTAAAGTAGTTTTTTCCAATTCTGTGAAGAAAGTCATTGGTAGCTTGATGGGGATGGCATTGAATCTGTAAATTACCTTGGGCAGTATGGCCATTTTCACAATATTGATTCTTCCTACCCATGAGCATGGAATGTTCTTCCATTTGTTTGTATCCTCTTTTATTTCATTGAGCAGTGGTTTGTAGTTCTCCTTGAAGAGGCCCTTCACATCCCTTGTAAGTTGGATTCCTAGGTATTTTATTCTCTTTGAAGCAATTGTGAATGGGAGTTCACTCATGATTTGGCTCTCTGTTTGTCTGTTGTTGGTGTATAAGAATGCTTGTGATTTTTGTACATTGATTTTGTATCCTGAGACTTTGCTGAAGTTGCTTATCAGCTTAAGGAGATTTTGGGCTGAGACAATGGGGTTTTCTAGATATACAATCATGTCATCTGCAAACAGAGACAATTTGACTTCCTCTTTTCCTAATTGAATACCCTTTATTTCCTTCTCCTAATTGCCCTGGCCAGAACTTCCAACACTATATTGAATAGGAGTGGTGAGAGAGGGCATCCCTGTCTTGTGCCAGTTTTCAAAGGGAATGCTTCCAGTTTTTGCCCATTCAGTATGATATTGGCTGTGGGTTTGTCATAGATAGCTCTTATTATTTTGAGATACGTCACATCAATACCTAATTTATTGAGAGTTTTTAGCATGAAGGTTGTTGAATTTTGTCAAGGGCCTTTTCTGCATCTATTGAGATAATCATGTGGTTTTTGTCTTTGGTTCTGTTTATATGCTGGATTACATTTATTGATTTGCGTATGTTGAACCAGCCTTGCATCCCAGGGATGAAGCCCACTTGATCATGGTGGATAACGTTTTTGATGTGCTGCTGGATTCGGTTTGCCAGTATTTTATTGAGGATTTTTGCATCAGTGTTAATCAGGGATATTGGTCTAAAATTCTCTTTTTTGGTTGTGTCTCTGCCCGGCTTTGGTATCAGGATGATGCTGGCCTCATAAAATGAGTTAGGGAGGATTCCCTCTTTTTCTGTTGATTGGAATAGTTTCAGAAGGAATGGTACCAGTTCCTCCTTGCACCTCTGGTAGAATTCGGCTGTGAATCCATCTGGTCTGGACTCTTTTTCGTTGGTAAGCTATTGATTATTGCCACAATTTCAGCTCCTGTTATTGGTCTATTCAGAGATTCAACTTCTTCCTGGTTTAGTCTTGGGAGAGTGTATGTGTCGAGGAATTTATCCATTTTTTCTAGATTTTGCAGTTTATTTGCATAGAGGTGTTTGTAGTATTCTCTGATGGTAGTTTGTATTTCTGTGGGATCGGTGGTGATATCCCCTTTATCATTTTTTATTGTGTCTATTTGATTCTTCTCTCTTTTTTTCTTTATTAGTCTTGCTAGTGGTCTGTCAATTTTGTTGATCCTTTCAAAAAACCAGCTCCTGGATTTGTTAAATTTTTGAAGGGTTTTTTGTGTCTCTATTTCCTTCAGTTCTGCTCTGATCTTAGTTATTTCTTGCCTTCTGCTAGCTTTTGAATGTGTTTGCTCTTTTCTAGATCTTTTAATTGTCATGTTAGGGTGTCAATTTTGGATCTTTCCTGCTTTCTCTTGTGGGCATTTAGTGCTATAAATTTCCCTCTACACACAACTTTGAATGTGTCCCAGAGATTCTGGTATGTTGTGTCTTTGTTCTCGTTGGTTTCAAAGAACATCTTTATTTGTGTCTTCATTTCGTTATGTACCCAGTAGTCATTGAGGAGCAGGTTGTTCAGTTCCATGTAGTTGAGCGGTTTTGAGTGAGATTCTTAATCCTGAATTCTAGTTTGATTGCACTATGGTCTGAGAGATAGTTTGTTATAATTTCTGTTCTTTTACATTTGCTGAGGAAAGCTTTACTTCCAAGTACGTGGTCAATTTTGGAATAGGTGTGGTGCTGAAAAAAATGTATATTCTGTTGATTTGGGGTGGAGAGTTCTGTAGATGTCTATTAGGTCCGCTTGGTGCAGAGCTGAGTTCAATTCCTGGGTATCCTTGTTGATTTTCTGTCTCATTGATCTGTCTAATGTTGACAGTGGGGTGTTAAAGTCTCCCATTATTACTGTGTGGGAGTCTAAGTCTCTTTGTAGGTCACTCAGGACTTGCTTTATGATTCTGGGTGCTCTTGTATTGGGTGCATATATATTTAGGATAGTTAGCTCTTGTTGAATTGATCCCTTTACCATTAAGTAATGGCGTTCTTTGTCTCTTTTGATCTTTGTTGGTTTAAAGTCTGTTTTATCAGAGACTAGGATTGCAACCCCTGCCTTTTTTTGTTTTCCATTTGCTTAGTAGATCTTCCTCCGTCCTTTAATTTGAGCCTATGTGTGTCTCTGCCTGTGAGATGGGTTTCCTGAATACAGCACACTGATGGGTCTTGACTCTTCATCCAATTTGCCAGTCTGTGTCTTTTAATTGGAGCATTTAGTCCATTTACATTTAAAGTTAATATTGTTATGTGTGAATTTGATCCTGTCATTATGATGTTAGCTGGTTATTTTGCTCGTTAGTTGATGCAGTTTCTTCCTAGTCTTGATGGTCTTTACTTTTTGGCATGATTTTGCAGCGGCTGGTACCGGTTGTTTCTTTCCATGTTTAGCGCTTCCTTCAGGAGCTCTTTTAGGGCAGGCCTGGTGGTGACAAAAATCTCTGAGCATTTGCTTGTCTGTAAAGGATTTTATTTATCCTTCACTTATGAAGCTTAGTTTGGCTGGATATGAAATTCTGGGTTGAAAATTCTTTTCCTTAAGAATGTTGAATATTGGCCCCCACTCTCTTCTGGCCTGTAGAGTTTCTGCCGAGAGATCTGCTGTTAGTCTGCTGTTACCCTTTGAGGGTAACCCGACCTTTCTGTCTGGCTGCCCTTAACATTTTTTCCTTCATTTCAACTTTGGTGAATCTGACAATTATGTGTCTTGGAGTTGCTCTTCTCAAGGAGTATCTTTGTGGTGTTCTCTGTATTTCCTGAATCTGAATGTTGGCCTGCCTTGCTAGATTGGGGAAGTTCTCCTGGATAATATCCTGCAGAGTGTTTTCCAACTTGGTTCCATTCTCCTTGTGACTTTCAGGTACATCAATCAGACGTAGATTTGGTCTTTTCACAGAGTCCCATATTTCTTGGAGGCTTTGCTCGTTTCTTTTTATTCTTTTTTCTCTAAACTTCCCTTCTCGCTTCATTTCATTCATTTCATCTTCTATCGCTGATACCCTTTCTTCCAGTTGATCGCATTGGCTCCTGAGGCTTCTGCATTCCTCACGTAGTTCTCGAGCCTTGGTTTTCAGCTCCATCAGCTCCTTTAAGCACTTCTCTGTATTGGTTATTCTAGTTATACATTCTTCTAAATTTTTTTCAAAGTTCTCAACTTCTTTTCCTTTGATTTGAATGTCCTCCCATAGCCATCTGAGGTTTGAAGAGAGCAGTGGTTCTCCCAGCACGCAGCTGGAGATCTGAGAACGGGCAGACTGCCTCCTCAAGTGGGTCCCTGACCCCTGACCCCCAAGCAGCCTAACTGGGAGGCACCCCCCAACAGGGGCAGACTGACACCTCATACGGCCGGGTACTCCAGCAGACCTGCAGCTGAGGGTCCTGTCTGTTAGAAGGAAAACTAACAAACAGAAAGGACATCCACACCAAAAAACCCATCTGTACATCACCATCATCAAAGACCAAAAGTAGATAAAACCACAAAGATGGGGAAAAAACAGAGCAGAAAAACTGGAAACTCTAAAAAGCAGAGCACCTCTCGTCCTCCAAAGGAACGCAGTTCCTCACCAGCAACAGAAGAAAGCTGGATGGAGAATGACTTTGACGAGTTGAGAGAAGAAGGCTTCAGACGATCAAAGAAAATAATTTTCCACCAAGAATTTTATATCCAGCCAAACTAAGCTTCATAAGTGGAGGAGAAATAAGATCCTTTTGAGACAAGTCAGCGCTGAGGGAATTCATTACCACCATGCCTGCCTTACAAGAGGTCCTGCAAGGAGCACTAAACATGGAAAGAAAAACAAACAAACAAACATACCAGCCACTACAAAAACACACTTAAGTACACAGACCAGTGACACTATAAAGCAGCCATACAAAGAAATCTATATAATAGCCAGCTAACAACATAAAAGGATCAAATCCACACATATAAATGTTAACTTGGAATGTAAATGCGCTAAATGCTCCATTTAAAAGTAACAGAGTGGCAACACGGAGAAAGAAGCAATACACCCTGGTATGCCATCTTCAAGAGATGCATCTCACAAGCAGTGACAATCACAGGCTCAAAATAGAGGGATAAAGAAAAATCTACCAAGCAAATGGAAAACAGGAAAAGGCAGTGGTTGCTGTCATAATTTCAGACAAAACAGACTTTAAACCAACAAAGACCAAAAAAGATAGAGTAGGACATTACATAATGGTAAAGAGTTTAATTCAACAAGAAGACCTAACTATCCTAAATATATATGCCTTCAAGGGAGGAGCACCCAGATTCATAAAGAAGTTTTTGGAGACCTACACAGAGACTTTGATTCCCACATAATAGTAGTGGGAGACTTCAATACCCCATTGAGAGTATTAGACAAATTGTTCAGGCAGAAAATTAACGAAGATATTGAAGACCTGAATTCAATACTTGAATAAATGGATCTGTCAAGTATCTACAAAACTCTCCACCCAAAACAACAGAATATACATCCTTCTGATTGCCACATGGCACATATTCTAAAATCAACCACAAAATCAGACATAAAATAACCCTCAGCAAATTCAAAGAAATTGAAATCATACCAACCACACTCTTGGACCACAGTGCATAAAAACAGAAATCAACATTAAGAAAATCTCTCAAAACCATACAGTTACATGGAAATTAAACAACCTGCTCCTGAGTGAGTTTTACGTAAATAAACTAAGGCAGAAATCAAAAAGTTATTTGAAACTAATAAGAACAAAGACACAACATACCAGAATCTTTGGGACACAGCTAAGGCGGTGTTAAGAGGAAGTTTATGGCACTAAACACCCACATCAAAAAGTTAAAAATATCTCAGATTAACAACCTAACATCACAACTAGAGGAACTAGAGAAGCAAGAGCAAACCAACCCCAAAGATAGCAGGAGATAAGAAATAACCAAAATTAGAGCTAAACTGAAGGATATTAAGACATGAAAAATCATACAAAAGATCAATTAATCCAAGAGTTGGTTTTTAAAAAATTAATACGACAGACCATTAGCTAGACTAACAAAGGAAAGAAGAGAGAAGAGCCAAATAAACACAATTAGAAATAACAAAGGGGATGTTACCACTGACCTACAGGAATATAAAAAACCCTCAGAGACTACTACAAACACCTCTATGCACACAAACTAGAAAATCTAGAAGAAACTGATAAATTCCTGGACACATATACCTCTATGCACACAAACTAGAAAATCTAGAAGAACCTGATAAATTCCTGGACACATATAACCTCCTAAAACTGAACCAGGAGGAAATTAAATCCCTGAACAGACCAATAATGAGTTCCAAAATTGAAACAGTAATAAAAAGCCAACCAACCAAAAACAGGTGGAGAAGTAGACGGATTCACAGCCAAATTCTGCCAGATGTATAAAGAAAAGCTGATATCATTCCTATTGAAACTATTTCAAAAATTTGAGGAGGATAGACTCCTTCCTAACTCATTTTATGAGGCCAGTATCATCCTGATACCAAAACCTGGCAGAGACACAACAAAAAAAGAAAACTTCAGGTCAATATCCTTGATGAACACAGACAAAAATCCTCAACAAAATACTAGCAAACTGAATCCAGCAGCACATCATAAAGGTAATTCACCAAGATCAAGTAGGCTTTATCCCTGGGATGCAAAGTTGGTTCAACATACACAAATAAATAAATATGATTCATCACGTAAAGAGAACTGAAATAAAAAACCCATGATTATCTCAATAGATGCAGAAAAGTCTTTTGATAAAATTCAACATCACTTCATGTTAAAAACCTTCAATAAACTAGTCATTGAAGGAATATACTTTAAAATAATAAGAGCCATCTATAACAAATCCACAGCCAACATAATACTAAATGGGCAAAAGCTAGAAGCATTCTGTTGAAAACCAGAGCAAGACAGGGATGCCCTCTATCATGACTCCTATTCAACATAGTACTGGAAGTCTTGGCCAGGGTACTAAGGCAAGAGAAAGAAATAAAAGGCATCCAAATAAGAGAGAAAGTCAAAATATCCCTGTGTGCAGACAATATAATTTTATATCTAGAAAACCCCATAGTCTCTGCCCAAAAGCTCTGTGATCTGATAAACAATTTCAGCAAAGTTTCAGGTACAAAATCAATGTAGAAAATCAGTAGCCTTCCTGTATACGAACAATATCCAATCTAAGAGCCAAATCAAGAATGTAATCTCATTTGCAATTGCCACAAAAAGGGTAAAATACTGAGGAATACAGCTAACCAGAGTGGTGAAAGATCTCTACAATGAGAATTATAAAACACCGCTCAAGGAAATCATAGATGACACAAACACATGGAAAAACACTCCATGCTCATGATTAGGAAGAATCAATGTCATTAAAATGGCCACACTGCATAGAGTAATTTACAGATGCTATGCCTATGAAACTGCCAGTGACATTCTTCATGCAATTTAAAAAAAAAAAAATTTAAATTTGTACAAAACTAAAAAAGAGCCTGAATAGCAAAGGCAATCCTAAGCAAAAAGACAAAGCTGAGGTATCATGTTACCTGACTTCAAGCTATATTACAAGGCTACAGTAACCAAAATAGCAGGGTCCTTGTACAAAACCAGACATATAGACCAATGGAACAGAATAGAGATCTCAGAAATAAGGCTGCACACCTACAACTATCTGATCTTCAACAAAGCCAACAAAAACCAGCAATGGGGAAAGGACTCCCTCCTCAATAAGTGGTGTAAATGGTGCTGGGATAGCTGGCTAGCCATATGAAGAAGATTGATACTGGACCCTTTCCTTATACCATAAACAAAAGTTAACTCAAGATGAATTCAAGACTTAAATGTGAAACCCAAAAGTATAAAAACTCTGGAAGACAACCTAGGCAATACCATTCTGGACATAGGACCTGGCAAAGATTTCACGAAAAAGATGCCAAAAGCAATTGCAACAAAGGCAAAAATTGACAAATGGGAACTAATTAAAGTATGGAGCTTATAGCAAAAGAAATTATCAGCAGAGTGAAAAGACAACCTACGGAATGGGAGAAAATATTTGCAAACTATGCATCCAACAAAGGTCTAATATCCAGAATCTATAAGGAACTTACACAAATTTACAAGCAAAGACGAAACAACCCCATAAAAAAGTGGGCAAAGGATAGGAACAGCCACTTTTCAGAAGAATACATACAAGTGGCTAGAAAACATATGAAAAAATGCTCATCATCACTAACCATTAGAGAAATGCAAATCAAATCCACAATGAAATAGTATTTCACAGCAGTCAGAATGGCCATTATTAAAAGTTGAAAAATAAATGCTAGCAAGGTTACGGGGGAAAAGGAACACTTATATACTGTTGGTAAGAGTATAAATTAGTTCAACTATTATGGAAAGAAGTGCGGTGACTCCTCAAAGACCTAAAAACAGAACTACCATTTGATCCAGCAATCCCATTACCAGGTATATAGCCAAAGGAATATACATTATTTTACCATAAAGACACATGGATGCATATGTTCACTGCAGCACTGTTCACAATAGCAAAGACATGGAGTCAACCTAAATGGCCATAAATAGAAGACTGAATGTATTAGTTCATTTTCATGCTGTTGATAAAGATATACCCAAGACTAGGCAATTTACAAAAGAAAGAGGTTTATTGGACCTACAGTTCCACATGGCTGAAGAGGACTCACAATCATGGCAGAAGGCAAGGAGGAGCAAGTCACATCTTATATGGATGACAGCAGGCAAAGAGAGAGCTTGTGTAGGGAAACTCCTGTTTTCAAAATCATTGGCCATCATGAGACCCATTTACCATCATGAGAACAGCAAGGGAAAGGCCCACTCCCATGATTCAATCATCTCTCACTGGGTCCCTCCCACCAACACATGGGAATTATGGGAGCTACAAGACGAGATTTGTGTGGGGATACCTATCACTGGATAAAGTAAATGTGGTACATGTACACTGTGGAATACTATGCAGCCACAAAAGAGAATGAGCTCCTGCCCTTTGCAGCAACGTGGGTGGAGCTGGAGGCAATTATCCTAAGCAAACTAACACACGAACAGAAAATCACATACTGCATGTTCTCACTTATAAGTGGCACTAAACAATGAAAACAAAGAGAACAACAGACACTGGGGCCTACTTGAGGGTGAAGAGTGAGAGTAGGCAAAGCATCAGAAAAAATATCTATTGGATACTAGGCTTAGTACATGGCTGATGAAATAATCTACATACCAAAACTGTGGGAGACACAGTTTATGCATATAGCAAACCTGCACATGTACCCCTGAACCTAAAATAAAAGTTATAATAAAACAATCTATATTAATGGTTCATCATGTACTAATGTAATTTGTAATATAAATGACATAAGGAGAATAATGTTGTGTAGGGCAGGAAAAATAATAATAATAATAAGACTCATCAATAATAAAGCCACAGCCAATATCATATGGAATGAGCAAAAGCTAAAAAACCCTTCCCCTTGAAAACTGGAACAAGAGAAAGATGCTGTATTTGCCAATTTTCTCACTGCTATAAAGATACTACCTAAGACTGGGTAATTTATAAAGAAAAGGGGTATAATTGACTCACAGTTCTGCTTGGCTGGGGAGGCCTCAGAAAACCTACAATCATGGCAGAAGGGGAAGCAGGCACATCTTGCATGGTGGCAGGGATGAGAGAGAAGCAAGTGTGTGAGAGCACAGGAAAAACTGCCATTTATAAAACAATCAGATCTAATTCACTCACTATCACGAGAGCAGCATGGAGAAAACTGCCCCATAATCCAATCACTTCCCACCAGTTCTCCCCATGAACACCTGGGGATTACAATTTAAGATGAGATTTGGGTGGGGACACAAAGCCTAACCATGTAAGATGCCCACTCTCCCCGTTCCTGTTCAACATAGTACTGAAAGTCCTAGCCAGAAGTTAAGCAAGAGAAAGAAACAAAAGGCATCCAAATAGGAAGACAAGAGGCCAAACTGTCTCTCTTTGTGATATTATTGTATATCTAGAAACCCCTAAAGACTCTGCCAAGAGGCTACTAGAACTGATAAACAATTTTAGTAAGGTTTTAGGATACAAAAATCAATGTACAAAAATCAATAGCATTTCTATACACCAATAATGTCCAGGCTGAAAGTCAAATCAAGAACACAATCTCATTTACAATAGTCACAAAGAAAATGAAGTACCTAGAAAAACAGCTAATCAAAGAGGTGGAGGATCTCTACATGGAAAATTACGAAAGTCTTGTGAAAGAAGTCAGAAATCACACACACACACACACACACACACACACACACACACACACACACACACACACACGAAAAAACATTCCATGCTCAAGGACTAGAAGAATCAGTGTCATGAAAATGACCATGCTGGCCAAAGCAACTTACAGATTCAGTGCTACTCCTATTGAACTACCAATATCATTCTTCAAAAAATGAGAAGAAACTATTTTAAAATTCATATGGAACCAAAAAAAGAGCCCAAACAGCAAAAGCAATTCTAAGCAACAACAACAACAAAAATGAAGCTGGAGGCATCACACTACCTGACTTGTAACTACACCATAAGGCTATAATGACCAAACAGCATGGTACTGTTACAAAAACAGACACACAGACCAATGGAACAGAATAGAAAACTCAGAAATGAAGCCACATGTTTAAAACCTCTCACCTTCCATAAGATCGACAAACATAAGTAATGGGAAAGGACTTCCTGTTCAATAAACGGTGCTGGGATAACTGGATAGCCATATGCATAAGAATGAAACTAGACTCCTATCTGTCACCACATACAAAAATTAACTCAAGATGGATGAAAGATAGAAGTATAAGACCTAAAATTATAAATATCTTAGACGAAAACCTAGGAAGTACTCTTCTTGACATTAGTGTTGGCAAAGAATTTTTTGCCAAGTCCCCAAAAGCAATTGCAGTGAAAACAAAAAATGACAAGTCCGATCTAATTAAACTAAAGAGCTTCTGCATAACAAAAGAAACTATCAAGAGAGTAAACAGACAACTGACAAAATGGGATAAAATATTTATGAACTATACATCTGAAAAAGGTCTGATTATCCAGAATCTATAAGAAACTTAAACAAATTTACAAGCAAAAACCAAACAACTCCATTAAAAAGTGAGCAAAAGACATGAACAGATTCCTCTCAAAAGAAGACACACAAGTGGCCAACAAACATATGAAAAAAAGCTATCATCACTAATCATCAGAGAAATGCAAATCAAAATCACAATGAGATACCATTTCACACTAGTCAGAATGGCTGTTATTAAAAAGTCAAAAAACAGATGCTGGCAAAGCTGTGGAGAAAAGGAAAAGCTGTTGCTGGGAATGTAAATTAGGTCGGCCACTGCAAAAAGCAGTTTGGAGATTTCGCAAAAAACGAAGAACTATTATTTGACCCAGCAATTCCATTACTGGGCGCATACCCAAAGGAAAATAGATCACTACATCAAAAAGAAATGCTCACTCATATGTTCATTGCTGCACTACTCACTATAGCAAAGACATAGAATCAGCATAGGTGACCGTCAGTGGTGGATTGGATAAAGAAAATGTGGTACATATCCACCACAGTGATAAATTACCATAGTAATACAGTCATAAAATAGAATGAAATCATGTCTTTCACAGCAACATGGATGAATCTGGAGGCAAGAATCCTCAGCAAACTAATGGGGGACAGAAAACTAAATACCACATGTTCTCATTTACAAATGGTAGCTAAACAATGAGTACACATGTACATAAACATAGGAATAATAAACACTGGGGACTGCTAGAGAGAGCGGGGAAGGGGGCCTGGGTTGAAAATCTACTTGTTGGGTACTATGCTCACTACCTTGGTGCAATATCCCCATGTAATAAACCTGCCCATGTACCCCATCTATCTAAAATAAAGGCTGAACATTTTTTTAAAAGCGTGAGGCATAATCAAGTGTACTCCATTCACACACACACTCACACATATATATATGTATATAATTAGTAACTTCCCAGCAATCTGATGGGCTATCTGAATAATTTCATTTACATGTAGTATTAATCACTTATGCTTAAAAAAGAGCACTATATTTATTCAGATGATTAACACTTCATACCAATCCAGATTCTGCCCAGAGTATTTTTTTTATTGGAAACTCAGCATTTTAAAGCTAGAAGTGACCACAGACTGTCTGCTGAAATGATTTCTCTACTTGTCAAAGAACAGAATGTCTTGAGTAGCTTTCTTTAAAAAAAATCCATTGTGCTAACTACAGTGAGTCTCTTATAGCTGGTGGTGGATGGAACCCAGTGATCCAGAGTTTTCCAAAAGTCTCCAGGTTAGATGTGAAACCATTGAATTAGTCCAACTCTCTCACTTTAGAAACAGTGTTTAGAAACACTATTGCCCAGGGAGATGAGATTATTTGCTCACTTTAAGGGGGGGAGACCACCCCTCATATTGTCTTATGCCCAATTTCTGCCTCCAAAGAAAGAAAAAGTAAAAACTGAAAGGCAGAAATGAAATCCACAGGCAGACAACCCGGTGCCACACCCTGGGGCCTGGTAGTTAAAGATCGACCCCTGACCTAATCGGTTATATTATCTATAGATTACAGACATTGTATGGAAAAGCACTGTGAAAATCCCTGTCCTGTTCTGTTCCATTCTGATTACCCGTGCAGGTGCATGCAGCCCCCAGTCACATACTCCCTGCTTGCTCAATCAATCCCGACCCTCTCACATGGACACCCTTAGAGTTGTAAGCCCTTAAAAGGGACAGTAATTGCTCACTCGGGGAGCTCGGTTTTTGGAGATGTGAGTCTGCAGATGCTCCCAGTTGAATAAAGCTCTTTCCTTCTACAATTCGGTGTCTGAGCGGTTCTTGTCTGCAGCTCATCCTGCTACATTTCGTGGTTTCCTGACCAGGAAGCAGGTGATTAAGGACGGACAGTTGAGTCAGCCCCTTAGTCAGCTTAGGCCTGCCCTGTGGAGCATCCCTGCGGGGGACTCCGGCCAGCTTGAGCGATGCAGATCCTGAGAGCACTCTCGGGTAGGCATTTGCCCTGGTGGAACGCCTCGTCAGAGCGGTGGACAGCAGGCCCTTGTGGATGATCAGTGCAGTGGCTGAACACCGGGAAGGAACTGGCACTTGGAGTCCGGACATCTGAAACTTGGTAAGACTGGTCTTTGGAACTTGCCCACTCCATTTGAGTGGAAGCATGGCCTGATCACCCACGACGTGCCTGTACTGGCACTTTGGTTTTTGTTTTTGGCTTGACTTGGATTGCTTGATACTTTGGTTTTGGTTTTGACCTGGCTTGGATTTGATACTCTGATTTTGGTTGTTTCTGGTTTGGTGTAAACTGTAAAAGTGTGTGTGTGCCCTCTTTACCTGTTCTTTGTTTTGTGGTGTGAGTGTGGTGTGAGTGTGGTGTTTTGTCTGGAGGAAACATGGGTGAGGCACAAAGTGAGCCCATCCCACTAGGAACTATGTTGAAAAATTTCAAAACAGGATTTAAGGGAGACTATGGAGTTATGACACCAAGAAAACTTAGAACTTTGTGTGAGATAGACTGGCCAGCATTACAGGTACGTTGGCCATCAGAAGGAAGCCTGGACAGGTCCCTTCTCTCAAAAGTGTGGCACAAGGTAACTTGTAAGCCAGGGCACCCAGATCAATTCCCGTATCAATTCCCGTATATACATATAGATTCTTGGTTACAGTTAGTTTTAGACCCCTCACAGTGGTTAAGAGGACAGGCAGCAGCAGTACTAGTAGCAAAGGGACAGTTAGTTAAGGAAGGTTCTCGCTCCACCCACCGAGGGAATTCAGCACCAAAAGTCCTGTCTGTCCCAACACCAGAAGAATCATGGCAGGAATTGGTACCAGGAATACCCCCTCCTTATTGAGAGGAAGGGCTCCCCACTCCAGAACCCACAGCACCTCCACCTCCACCAGATAGCCACACTCCTAGACCACCCAGCATAGACAAAAGAGGAAGTAAAGCTGAAGGAGAAACTCCTCCCTTGGCAGCTTGCTTACGGCCTAAGACTGGAATCCAAATGCCCCTGAGAGAACAGCAATATTACTGGGGTAAATGAGGATGGACACATGGTGGAAAGGCGTGCCTTTGTATCAACCTTTCACCTCTGCTGACCTCCTCAATTGGAAAAATAATACTCCACCTTATACCAAAAAGCCTCAAGCTTTAATTGACTTGCTCCAAACCGTTATACAGACTCATAATCCTACTTAGGCTGATTGCCACCAGCTGCTCATGTACCTCTTTAATACAAATAAAAGGCAAAGGGTGCTCCAGGCGGCAACTAAGTAGCTAGAGTAGCATGTCCCAGCCGATTACCAAAACCCCCAAGAATATATAAGGATTCAGCTGCAAGGAACAGACCCCCAATGGGACCTGAACGAGGGACCAGACACAGGGAGGCTAAGATGGTATCCTAAGGCATTGATAAAAGGTCTAAAGAAAGGGGCTCAAAAGGTTACAAATTTAAATAAGGTCTCTGAGGTCATCCAAGAAAAAGGGGAGAGTCCAGCACAATTCTATGAAAGACTGTGTGAGGCTTACCGTATGTACACTCCTTTTGATCCAAATAGCCCTGAAAATCAGCACATGATTAACATGGCCTTAGTTAGTCAAAGCACAGAAGATAACAGGAAAAAATTGCAAAAACAGGCAGGGTTTGTGGGTATGAATACCTCGCCATTACTGGAAATAGCCAATCAAGTGTTTGTTTGTGAACAAAGATGCAACAAGCCGCTGAGAAAGCCGAACACCAGGCCAGGCGGAAACGCCAACTTACTGGCCGCGGCCATTAAGGGAATTCCCCCAAAAGGGAAAGAAAAGGAGGGTTCTGGGAAGAATACCCAGTCTAATCGCCCACACTTTCAATGTAACCAATGCTCCTATTGTAAGGAAATAGGACATTAGAAAAATAAGTGTCCCCAACTGAAGGAAAAACAAGGTGATTCAGAACAAAAGACCTTAGATAAAGATGAGAGAGCTTTGTTCAATCTGGCTGAAGGGCTATTAGACTGAAGGGGACTGGGCTGAAGCGCCCCCAAGGAGCCTGCCGTCAGGATTACAATTGGAGGCAAGGACATTAAGTTTTTGGTCAATACTGGTGCTGAACATTCAGTAGTGACCACCCCGGTCACCCCCTTACCCGAGAAAACCATTGATATAATCGGAGCAACAGAAGTTTCCACTAAGCAGGCTTTCTGTCTACCACGGACCTGCTGGGTGGTGGGACATAAAATAGTTCACCAGTTCTTGTACATGCCTGACTGTCCCTTGCCTTTGCTGGGAAGAGACTTGCTTAGCAAGCTGAGAGCCACCATCTCCTTTACAAGACAGGGCTCTTTACAGCTAAAGTTACTGGGAACAGGAGTTATCATGGCCCTTACGGTCCCCCAGGAAAAAGAATAGAGACTTTTTCTAACCGAGCCAGGCCAAGAGATAAAACCAGTCTAGCTAAGCGATGGCCCCAAATATGGGCAGAGGATAATCCTCTGGGACTGGCAGTCAATCAAGCACCCGTACTCACAGAAGTTAAGCCTGGGGCCCAGCCAATTAGACAAAAGCAGTATCCGGTTCCCAGAGAAGCTCTTGAGGGAATCCAGGTTCATCTCAGGCGCTTAAAAGCACCTATAATTTAGAACTATAGTTCCTTGCCAGTCTCCATAGAACACCTACCTCCTGCCTGTCCCTAAGCCAGGGACAAAGGACTACCGGCCAGTGCAGGACTTGCGCTTGGTCAGCCAAGCTACAGTGACTCTGCACCCAACAGTTCCTAACCGTTACACATTGTTAGGGCTACTGCCTGCTAAGGACAGTTGGTTTACCTGTCTGGACTTAAAAGATGCCTTCTTTAGCATCAGACTAGCTCCTGAGAGCCAGAAGCTGTTTGCCTTTCAGTAGGAAGATCCGGAGTCAGGTGTGACTACTCAGTACACTTGGACCCGGCTTCCCCAAGGGTTCAAGAACTCCCCTACTATCTTCAGGGAGGCCCTGGCTCAAGACCTGCAAAAGTTTCCTGCTAAAGACCTAGGCTGCATCTTGCTTTTGTACATGAACGACCTTCTGCTGGGACACTCCTTGGCAGTCGGGTGCGCAAAAAGTACGGATGTCCTACTTCAGCACCTGGAGGACTGTAGGTAGAAAGTGTCCAAGAAGAAAGCTCAGATCTGCAGACAGCAGGTATGCTACCTGGGATTCACTATTCGGAAAGGGGAGCGCAGCCTGGAGTCAGGAAGAAAGCAGGTCATCTGCAGCCTACTGGAACCTAAAACCAGAAGGCAAGTAAGGGAATTCCTACGAGCTGTAAGGTTTTACAGATTATGGATTCCAAACTTTGCAGTACTAGCCCAACCTTTGTACGGGGCTACAAAGGGGGGCGACCGGTAACTTTTAAATGGGAGCCTCTACAAGAGCTAGTCTTTTGTAAGTTAAAGGAAAAACTTACGTTGGCCTGTGCCCTAGGACTACCAGATTTGACAAAGCCCTTTACACTCTATGTGTCAAAAAGAAAAAAAATGGCAGTTACAGTTTTAACCGACTGTGGGGCCCTGGCCAAGACCAGTGGCCTATCTCTCAAAACAACTAGATGGGGTTTCCAAAGGCCGGCCACCATGTCTAAGGGCCCTGGCAGCAACGGCCCTGTTAGCACAAGAAGCAGATAAACTAACCCTTGGGCAAAAGCTGAATATAAAAGCCCCCCATGCTGTGGTAACCTTGATGAATACCAAAGGACATCATTGGCTAACAAATGCTAAATTAACCAAGTACCAAAGCTTGCTTTGTGAAAATCCCCAGATAACAATTGAAGTCTGTAACAACCTAAATCCCACCACCCTGTTCCCATTATCAGAAAGGCTGGTTGAGCATAACTGTGTAGAGGTGTTGGGCTCAGTCTATTCTAGCAGACCTGACCTTCAGGACCAGCCATGGGCATCTCAGTAGACTGGGAGTTATATGTAGATGGGAGCAGCTTCATCAACCCACAAGATGAAAGATGTGCAGGATATGTGGTGGTAACTTTGGATGCTGTCATTGAAGCCAAACCATTGCCACAGGGCACTTCAGCCCAGAAGGCTGAGCTCATTGCTTTAACTCAGATTCTAGAACTCAGTAAAAGTAAGACTGTAAACATCTACACTGACTCTCGATATGCCTTTCTAATTCTCAAGTGCATGGAGCATTATACAAGAAAAAGGGCCTGTTAAACCCTGGGGGAAAGGACATAAAATATCAACAAGAAATTCTACAATTATTAGAGGCAGTGTAAAAACCTCAAAAGGTGGCAGTCATGCACTACAGGGGACACCAGCGAGCCTCCACCTCAGTGGCCCTAGGAAACTCTCGAGCTAATTCAGAAGCTCGAAAAGCAGCATCTACCCCTTACTGGGCATCGGTAGCAGCCCCATTACTCCCTCAAACACCTGACCTGGTACCTACCTATTCTAAGGAAGAAAAAGACTTTTTCCATGCAGAAAGGGGGCAAGTAATAAAAGGAGGATAGATCAGACTGCCAGATAGGAAGGTAGCTGTGCCACAGTTTCTGGGAGCCACAATCGTATTGGCCGTGCACAAAACTACTCATCTAAGGTCAAGAGTCACTTAAAAAGTTGTTAGGCCAGTACTTCTACATCTCACATTTGCCAGCCCTTGCCAAAGCAGTAGCACAACAGTGCGTTACTTGCCAACAGCACAATGTGAGGCAAAGCCCCACTGTTCCACCTGGCACACAAGCTTATGGAGCAGCTCCTTTTGAGGATCTTCAGGTAAATTTCACAGAAATGCCAAAATGTGGAGGTAACAAGTATTTGCTGGTTCTTGTGTGTACTTACTCTAGGTAGGTGGAGGCTGATCCAACACAAACTAAAAAGGCCTATGAAGTAACCCGTGTGCTTCTCTGAGATCTTATTCCTAGGTTTAGACTGCCCTTACGAATCGGCTCAGGTAACAGGTTTGTGAGCGACTTGGTACAGAAAACAGCAAAGGCATTAGGAATCACTTGGAAGCTACATGCCGCCTACCGACCTCAGAGTTCCGGAAAGGTGGAGTGAATGAATCGGACTATCAAAAATAGTTTTAAAAAAGTATGTCAGAAAACAGGATTAAAATAGATACAGGCCCTTCCTATGGTATTGTTTAAAATTAAATGCACTCCTTCTAAGAAAACAGAATACTCCCCTTATGAAATACTGTATCATAGGCCTCCTCCTATACTACAGAGACTTCCAGGCACTCCCCGAGAGTTAGGTGAAATTGAATTACAGTGACAGCTACAGGCTTTAAGAAAAATTACACAAACAATCTCAACTTAGGTAAATAAGAGGTGTCCCATCAGCTTATTCTCCCCAGTTCATCCTTTCTTTCCAGGTGATCGCGTGTGGATCAAGGACTGGAACGTAGCCCCTTTACAGCCACCGTGGAAAGGACCTCAAACCATCATCCTGACCACCCCCACGGCTGTAAAGGTAGAAGGAATCCCAGCCTGGATCCACAACAGCCATGTGAAACCTACAGCCACTGAAAACTAGGAGACAAAACCGAGCCTGGACAAGCCCTGCAAAGTGACTCTGAGGAGGACGACAAGCCCTGCTCCAGTCACATCCAGAAGCTGACTGGTCTACGCACGGCTGAAGCATGAGGAGAATCATCGTAAAACTCATTTTCCTTATAATTTGGACTTGTATAGTAAAAACTTCCACTGATTTTCCCCGCATGAAAGACTACTCTTAGTGTATACATCAGGTTACTGAGGTAAGACAAGAAAGTAAAACAATCTTTCTGTTCTATAGTTACTATGAATGCCTAGAAACTTTAAAAGGAGCATGTTTATATAATGACACTCAGTACAAGGTATGTAGCCCAGGAAACGACCAGCCAGATGTGTGTTATGACCCCTCTGGGCCTCCCATGTCCACAGTTTTTAAAATAAGATTAAGAACTAAAGACTGGTGAGGACTCATAAATAATACAAGTAAAGTATTAGCCAGAACAAAAGAAAGGGGGTGCCCAAATGCATAATCTTGAAATTTGATGCCTGTGCTGTCATTAATAGCAATAAGTTAGAAAGGAAATGTGACTCTCTTAATTAAAAAAAAGACTATATGACCAAAAGTAAGTAAATTTGTCATAAATTAGGACTATATAAATATAAATGTAAATACTGGTCTTGTGTCATTTAGGCCATTTGAATAAAAAATAAAAATGATCCAGTCCACCTTCAAAAAAGAAAAAAATGGCCCTTCCTGTACTAAGGGACAATGTAACTCCTTAGAGCTAGTAATAACCAATCCCCTTGATCCTCAGTGAAAAAAAGGGGAACGTGTGACCTTAGGAATCGATGGGGCCAGACTGGATCCTTGAGTAAATATCTTAGTTTCAGGAAAAGTTTACAAACGCTCTCCTGAGCCAGTGTTTTAAACTTTCTATGATGAACTAAATGTGCCAGTACCAGAAATTCCAAAAAAAACCCAAGAAATTTGTTTTTGCAATTAGCCGAGCATGTAGCCCAGTTTCTCAATGTCACTTCATGTTATGTATGTGGAGAAACTGTAACAGGAGATCAACAGCCATAGGAAGCATGAAAATTAGTACCTACAGACCCAGTTCCTGATGAATTCCCGGCTCAGAAAAATCACCCTGACAATTTCTAGTCCTAAAAGCCTCAATTATTGGACAGTATTGCATAGCTAGAAAAAAAAAATCCACTCACCCTGTAGGATGACTTAGTTGTCTAGGACAGAAACTGTATAGTGGTAACACGAAAACAGTCACTGGGTGGAGTTCAAATCACACAAAAAGGAATCCATTTAGTAAATTCCCAAAGTTGCAAACCGTGTGGACCTACCTGGAGTCCCACCAGGACTGGACAGCCCCCACTGGATTATACTGGATATGTGGGCATAGAGCTTATGCGAAATTACCTGACCAGTGGGCAGGTAGTTGTGTTATTGGCACTCTTAAACCATCTTTCTTCCTACTGCCCATAAAAACAGGCAAACTCCTAGCTTCCCTGTCTATGCTTCCCACAAAAAGAGAAGCATAGTTATAAAAAATTAAAAAAAAAATAGCCCCCTGAAAAAAAATCATACAATATCATAGGCCTGCTACTTAGACACAAGACAGCTCGTGGGGATACCAGACTCCCATTTACAGGATCAATCAAATCATACGGTTACAAGCTGTCTTAGAAATAATCACTAATAAAACCGGCAGAGCCTTGACTATTCTGCTCTGGCAAGAAACTCAGATGAGAAATACTATCTATCAAAATAGATTAGCTCTCTACTACTTGCTAGCAGCTGAAGGAGGGGTCTGTAGGAAATTTAACCTTACTAATTGCTGTCTACACATAGATGATCAAGGACAAGTAGTTGAAGACATAGTTAAAAATATGACAAAACTGACACATGTGCCTGTGCAAGTGTGGCATGGATTTAATCCTAAGGCCATGTTTAAAAAATGGCTCCCAGCGCTAGGAGAATTTAAAACTTTTATAATAAGAGTTATAATAGTAATAAGAACCTGCTTATTGCTTCCTTGTTTACTACCTGTACTTCTTCAAATGATAAAAAGCTTCACTGCTACCTTAGTTCACAAAAATGCTTTGGCACAAGTGTACTGTATGAATTACTATCGATCTGTCTTGCAAAAAGACATAGGTAGTAAAAATAAAAGTGAAAACTCCCACTAATGAGTGAGGTTCTCAAAGGGAGGGGAATAAAGAGGGAGACCACCCCTCATATTGTCTTATGCCCAATTTCTGCCTCCAAAGAAAGAATAAGTAAAAACTAAAAGGCAGAAATGAAATCCACAGGCAGACAGCCCGGCGCCACACCCTGGGGCCTGGTAGTTAAAGACTGACCCCTGACCTAATGGGTTACGTTATCTATAGATTATAGACATTGTATGGAAAAGCACTGTGGAAATCCCTGTCCTGTTCTCTTCCATTCTAATTACCGGTGCAGGTGCATGCAGCCCCCAGTCACGTACTGCCTGCTTGCTTGCTCAATCGATCACGACCCTCTCACATGGACACCCTTAGAGTTGTAAGCCTTTAAAAGGGACAAGAATTGCTCACTCGGGGAGCTCGGTTTTTGGAGACGTGAGTCTGCCGATGCTCCCAGGTGAATAAAGCCCTTTCCTTCTACAAATTGTTGTCTGAGGGGTTCTAGTCTGTGGCTCATCCTGCTGCAACTTCATCCATCAAGTTAAGAACAGAATGTCTGTCACAGGCCATGCATCCTGACTCTCAGTGTTCCTTACCCAACCATAAGTTTTCTCAGGTACTTTCTCCAGCAGTTAATGCTGTTACTTGAGCTGAAAGAATAAATGCCTGATGTACTGTAGAATTTAATCCAGCACAGGGTTTTGATGATTCCCATAAAGCCGACCCAAATAGCTCATGATGCAAGGTTGCTCAAGCACTGCTTTAACCTTTTCTGTGTCATAGATTTTTCTGGAAATGTGATACATTACAGACATTCTCTCCTTAAGAAAAAAATGCATGAAACTTTGAACAGAAAACCTTTATTGACCCCAATTTTCTTGTTCTAACATCTAGAAGAGGACTCAGAAGTTTTAAATGTTTTGAAGAGGGCAGTCTTATCCAATTTTGAGTCCCTTCTACATAAAATTTTTATATCCTTTACACAACATGAAGAACTTCTAGTCATCTCTAATCTCTACTGGGGATAACTTTTTTAAAAAAAAGACTAGACTTTTGGAGGTTGGAGAAACAAAAAGGAAGTAAATTAGACAAAAGAGAGAAATGGAGCTCATTGCAATGAAGCCTTTGGGGAGGATAAGATATTACTTATGAGTATAATATATATTATTTAGGTGATAAATACATTAAAAGCAGTGATTCCCCCTAGTCAGTATATCTATGTAACAAAATTAAACTTCTACCCCATAAATTTATATAAATAAACAACAAAATCAATGAAGTCTTGAGAGAGATAAAGAAGATTGAGGGCTAGCCTACTGAGACCTTAGAATTGTGCCCTTCCATCTATTAGGATGGAAGAAGCCAAACATGGGAAAGAAAGATTTGTCTTGGCACAATGTTATTTTGAACAGCAGGAAGGCTTTATAACCTTATAGAGTGGGAAAGAAAGATAATCTCAGCCACAGTCAGTTGATTTAAGAAGTTTCCCCATAGCTTTTCTTCTCCTTTCTCTCCCAATCCTAACCACCTAAATTGCTCTATCACTTTGTGAATACAGTGGGAACTGAGAGGGAGGACTCTTAAATTGGAAAGATAATTGTTTTTTTGGCATGAAGAACCAGACAGAGAAAATATAGTTTCTTAGTACTCATACTATCTGTAACAAAAAAAGCAAAACAAATTCACAACTCTTTTTTTCTCAAACTGTGGAGAGAAGGCCTCAACATTCTACTATTGAGCTTGAATTGCAAATGAAAGCAAGCATACCAGGCACATGGATAGCAATTTTAGAAGTGAAAAGTGCTATTGTATTCTCTAATGTTGTCTTTATTCTACTGAATGAAGACATTTCTATAAGAGCTCTCATAGGCTCATACCTGACTTTGGCTATTCAACCTATAATTGCCTTAAATTCTTAAATTCCTCAATGGTAAAAGTTCCTAATATTAGAATTTCCACTAATTATTGTAGTTGGGAAGGTAGTCCTTTGATTTATTTCATCTATTTCTCTAACTCATTAAATGCCTCTGAATCCTGACAGAAGATACTATAGTAACAATGTTTGGGACCCAGCCTTTTATGGGATGCTAATGCTTCACCTTTGGAAGGATTTTGAGTGGTTTTTCAGTCCTGTTGAGGCAGAAGGAAGCTTACTCTCAAGCTTCTTTCAAGAGGCTGAACCACCAGGGAGTTGACTACTGCGAAGCAGGAAAGAAGCAAACATCGCAGAACCCACAGCCTGGACCTATGAAACCTAAACTGTAATCTAGTACAACAGTGGCCCAGGGAAGATAGGAAATCTATTTGCATTGTTTACGTGGTGCATAGGTCAGAATTTACAAGCCCGTGTTTGAGTCTGAGAATGTCCTCTCAATAAGGAATCTCATAAGACACTAAATGCTCCAGCAGGAACATTATCTACAGCTGAATGCTCAATTGGGAAGTGAGACGTGTATTATAAGACTCTTCTTTCTGACTGATTCATGGTATCTTCTGCCTCAATCATAATGACACTGATTAAGTCACAAAGCAGATTGGAGGAACATGTGTTCCCATTCAGAGAAAGAGATCATTCCATATTTTATCTTATTCACTGGACAGCAACATAACCAGTATTGGTGACTGTTTGGGATAAAGAGAATATGAATGAAGCGTACTCACAAATAAACCCACGACTCTCATAGTTAAAATGTCTACTCCTGCAAAATCATAATAAGTATCATATAATAGAGACACAGCAAATCAGCAGGTCTCTTTCTCATTTCTGATCTGTTTCTTCCTCTTGTAGACTCATCTGGAGGTGCCCATAAATAGTAAATAACACCCATGGCAGGTGGTAATGGGAACAGTAAATGGAAACCTCTGGAGAAAGGATAGGCTTTGAATAAGGGAGCACTAATGTTTAAGTAAACAAATCTGACATTTCACCACCATCTAATCTAAAGAAGAGATTTTTTGAGGATGGCCTGAAACCCTAAATGAGTAACAGAGTCTCTACTATATTTCCTTTGCTTGTTGTGTAACTTAGAAATGACATTTTTAATGAAAGAACTGATGATATTTTAACATTTTCCAATTTCATCCTGAGTTTTGAGATCAAGACTAACTATTAAGACTTAGAGGATAATTCTTTTCCACTAGGTAAATGGTATCACTTCTGATACAGAAGTACAAGTTAAGTAATTGAGCTCTGAATTTAGAGTTTCTGGACGAGAGCCGGAGAATCAGCTACTGAGTTCATATTGTAGGAGGCACCCCGCAAACTCTCCATTGCTGTATGTTAGAGTAAAAGGTCTGTGCGCCAGGGGATGGAACCCACTTAGGAGGTTGGGTAGCATAGTGATTAATATTTTCCTAGTCCTGCCAATTATTAGCTATGTAACCTTAAGAAACATATTAATTCTGATAGAGGAGGTAATGCTGGGTTAACAATAATGTTCTAAATTTTACACAAAAGAACTTTATTTCTCAGTCATTTACAGTGTTATATGTCCAGCAGTTCTCCGCTAACATAATCCCTAGGTGATTCAGGGACCTAGGCTGCTTCTGTTTTGTGGTCTCAGGATTTTTCTGGTATTATCCAATAGGTAGCTCAGGAGACAGTATGGGGAAGGCATACTGGGCACATGACTACCCCAGCCTAGGGTGACACATGACTTCTATTTACATTTTAGTGGCTAGAACTAGTCTTACAGTCAAATTTTGGGAACGTTCATTTCCTCTTCTCAAAAGTGATGGCAATAACTGGAGTTGTTTCGAGAATTAAATGAGATATATATGTGAAAACTGAATGGAGATCCAGTTGGCCACATTTGGCTTGTGTTACATTTAAGAGAAATGCAGTATAGAAACCAAATGTAATTAAAATGTAATTCTAATTTTTGTTTGTGTGTGTCTTTCAAGACCCTTAAAAGGGGTGCATTTCAAATTAAAACCACAATGAGATACCATCTTACATTAGTGAGAATGGCTATTATTAAAAGTCAAAGAACAACAGATGTTGTTGAGGATGTGGAGAAAAAGGAATGCTTATACATTGTTGGTGGGTAAACTAGTACAAGCTTTATGAAAAAGAGTATGGAGATTTCTCAAAAACTAAAAATAGTACCACCATTCAATCCAGCAATCCCACTACTGGGTATACACCGAGAGGGCAGGAAATCATTACATCAAAATGATACCTGCATTCATAAGTTTATTGCAGCACTAGTCACAATAGCAAAGATATGGAATCAATCTAGAATTCATAGGCCCATCAGTGGAGGATCAGATGAAGAAAATGGGCCTATGAATCCTAAACTGTGTATATAAACCATGGAATACTACTAGGCCATAAAAAATAAAATTATGTTTTCTGCAGTAACATGGGTGTAACTGGAGGCCATTATCCTAACTGAAGTGACTCAGAAACAGAAAGTCAAATACTTGCATGTTCTCACTTGGGAGCTAAACAATGGGTATACATGGACATACAGAGTGGAATAATAGATATTGGAGATGAAAAAAGGGTGCCAGGGGGTCAGGGTTGAAAAATTACTTATTGAGTACAATGTTCACTGTTCAGGTGATGGCTACACGAATAGCCCAGAATTCACCACTATGCAATATATGAATGTAAGGAATCTGTACTTGTATTTCCTAAATGTAAATAATAAATAAATAGATTTAAAGAAGAAGATGTATTTGATAACTCATAGTAAGACATCTTAAGATTAACCTTCCTTTTTAATTTTATTAGCAATAATAATCATGCATCTCTCTTAATTCTCTCACTGAAACTCTTTCTGGATTCCTTGTTTGTTGCTTCCACCTGGCCATAATTCCAAGCATTCCTGTTAGAGGTCTTAGTGTCATGCTAGAGGTGATAGTGTCATGCCTTCCAGGTCTCTCATTTCTCCAGAGAGAAAGCATTTGGAGCCTGTTGGGCAGTGTAAGCCTCATATCCCTTCAACTTCAGGGTCCCCTTCCACACGGAATTCTCACATAGAAATTACAGTTAAAAAAAAAAAAAGAAAACCAAAAAAATCCTCACATTCATTGTTAAGTTCTCGGTCCAATGTCTGGCATCAAGAGTAATTCTTGTTTATAAATATTAATTATACTTTATTGATATATTGATTATGAATAAAAGTTTTCTTTGAATTGAATTCATGTTGGGAATGGAGCATTATGATATTTTACATCAGTCATTTAGCTGGGTGATGATTATCTCAACATTCACATGCATGGGTCCGTCCCACTTGCTCAATAAATATGTACAATGTCTTAATAAATAGGCCATATACTTAAATAACAGTTTTCCTAAAATTCTTCTCCCAGCAAAAGGGCTATCATGCCATGCCACAAAACACACTTTTCTTTGCACAACACTAGGAAGAATACTTTATATAAAGAAATGGCCAGGCATTCCATATTTTTCTTTCTCAGTCCCTTCATATGCTTTACTTAAATAAAGTAAAACTGTTCATGGGTGTGAATACAGTCAATAAGACATTGACAATATATACAAATCAACTCAAGAATGGTTATCTTTGGATGCAATTACCTAAACTACAAGGCTTTGAAATTGAAAGAAAATCCAAAGAAGTTTCTTGATACCTATTTAAAAGCTTGGAAAATGCAGGATGATTTTGAGGGAAAGAGGGTTATTTACTAATACGTGGCTCATATCATTCTAGAAGGAAAAAGGAGAAAAATACACACTATTATGTGAAGAAAACTGACTACAAATCTCTCAGCAATGATGTAAGAGTTTTAAAGATTTCAAGCTTAAGAAGCTATGCCCCAAATCAATGATTTGGGAATTCAGCAGGGTAATCTGTGTGAAAAGAATTTACACTGTTTAAATTCATTATATTAAGCTGAGATCCCATGCCCCCCAGTGACCCGCTTCTGATTAGGGTACAATGGCTCCTACTTAGCTTGTAAAGTCAGCTACTGTGTAATTGTAAAGAAACACAATAGACGGTTTCATAAGATTTTCAGGATACCCACCGAGTATTTAGGTTTCAAACCAGGTCGGTTAAGAAAGATGCTCACTTTAGTGCAAGAAGTTTGCGCATCACAACTCCCTGTGGCACTTTAGCGTTAATGCGAAATGCCTAATTTGCTGCCTAGGAAGCCCATTGTCAATTATACACTGCAACAAAAAAGTTGAACCTCCTTGTCTGTTGAAGATAGTGTTTGAACCAGCAAACTGAAATAAACTACTTTGCTGATTTGAAATATATTGCCTCGGTTAAGCTCAATTAGCCACAAAAGAAGAAGAGGGCTAATAGAGGGTCATGATAGTGGGGTGATATGCATCCTCCACATGACTAAATGCATAATTGTTTTACTTAAAGAAATCTTCGAAACTTAAGATTGAAGAATTATTCATCATAGAATTAGCACTTTTACCAAATAGTCATTTTCAGGTGAGGAAGATATTCTCACAGGTAGTAGACGTATGGCCAATCTTCTTATACTACAGTATTGTACTCAAAATTGGTGCGTGGAGCATCAGAAGGAAGATGTTACTGGCTAGTTATATATTGACTAAAAACAAGTCTTTGAGAGAATTCGTAATGGGATTACAAGCCACTGAAATTTAGAATGAAACACATCTGATTTGACATTTTTGCTCCCTCAATAATAGTTCTCCTAAAGAAGGAATTTCCCAGAACAAGAATTATGTCATAAATAAAATATGCCTGATAAATCTCTAGTTTCCTTCCCTCGGTCTCTTTCTCAAGAATGTTTCCTTGTGGAGCATGTTTTCCATGGGGGAGAAATTATTCTCCAGTTATTTACACAGTCTCGTGTATTTTATATTAATTTTTAAAGTGAGTTTATATTTTGAGCCTGAGCTTTCATCATAGGATAGACATTTTCTTAACCTTTTGAAATAAACAGTGAGGAAATTAGGGACAAGATTTGTGGGAAGAAGGGTGAATCAATGGTTCTTTTCCTGAAATTGTACTATTTGGACAAGCATTTAGAGTTATCACATGGCAACCTGGTTACAAAGTCAGCATTTCCAAATTTGGGAAAAATCACAGGGATATGAGGAGCTTCTCTTTGTAAAAACGTGAACAGTGAACAAGGCAAATTCACTTAGAATGGGCATAACTTCTGAATAGACAGAACTACTTAATTTAGTTATTTATAGATTCTGTACAAAGTCATCATTCAGTTATACACATGAAGCCTCTTTTCAGGACAAGCTTTTCTCTCCCTTAAGACTATTATTTTCATTTAGCAAAATATAGACAAGTGACCCCATTGGAAGGATGATGCCTCAATGAATATTTACAAAAATTTGTGCAATTCTGGCCCTTTAAGCTTCCAATCTTTTGGATCAAACTGTGCTTGTTTAGTTGTTTCTTTGGGGGTTGCAGGAAACTCAAAGCTTTAGATTCTTTGGAGGAACAATTCTGGCCTTAGTTGTATGTGTATTGAGTCTAATAGTCAGGATTTCTGGATCCTCTTCATTGCTCTTTTTGATAGAATCCTATTTCGTTGTTCTCTATATATGATGCTAACATTTTGTACTATCAAGATGGAAGACTGAATATTAGCCTCAAAGGAAAATGTAAACTGTATAACCTAGGATATAAATATGCTTCATTAGCAATAATCAGACTCGGGACTGTTTATGAATGCTGGCAAAATGCAGTCACACGAATCAGTCATCATATGTTCCGCTTTCAAAGACATTAATCTTAACAGTGGAAAATACAAGTGGAATTACATCATTAAATGTTTAGTATGTTGTATACATTCATATCAGAATTTTCCTTAATTATTTTCTTCAATGACCTGGAAACCAAACCCTTTGAATCCCAATTCATTTGACAGAAATGCATCTTCCTGGGTCCCCTGACCCTTACAGAGTTGTCATCACCACATGCTGGCCTTCACATTCATAATTTCGAGGTACTTCAGTTTTCCCCTTAATTTGAAATTTAGCTTGCTTTGTATTTCTAATGACTTGGCTGCTGTTTCCTCCACTCAAAGCTGCCGCTCTTTTGGCATCCTGGCATGCTGGGTTTAAATGGTGAGCAAATAGATGCCTTGAATCTGATCAAACTGGAGGCCTCCAGATCTGCCTGCTGAGCACAGTCTGTGCTGCGCTGTAAGCAGACTGCCTCCACCATATGTCATCCTCTCTGCTGTCTACACCCTTTTGGGGAATTTTGTGGGAAAAGCACTATTAAATATGTTTATCCTGGGATTTTGCAATTTGTTTTAAATTTAAATTTAATTTCCATCAACTTAGCTCATGTAGACAGTTTTAATCATACCATGCACTAAATCTAACAGTTGAGTTTGAGAACTGGGATTAAAGGGATAACTGGTTTGGGATTTAGAGGGCCAACAGAAGAAATGCCCCACATGCCTAAGGATGACCTGTGAAATGTTATTATCCTGGCACAGCCTCAAACAGTGAAATATTTACCATGATAAAACCTTCAGGATTATTCTTAAAATCCTGGACAAAAAGCATAATTCTTGGACAGAAAGCATAATAGAATTACGTTTTAAAAAGTCCTAACATATCCATATCCACAGGTAAAATATTTGCAGGTTGACGGAAAAATGTGAATGAAAATCTAAATTAAAGACATTGCTTCTTTCACTTATGTTCTCAATCCCTCTACATAAATGTATGTGTGTGCATCAGTTTGTGTGTGTATACAAGAAGTTCTCAGAATGTGTTACTGGTTGGCAAATATGATACATTCACACTCCAAAGAGATTTTCATTTATTTCCACTAATAAGAAGACCTGCATCTTCTTACAAGAATGAAACAGTCTGGGAAGAAAGTAAAATACTGTTTTTTACATTTGAAATGATAGTGGAGTGGTGATTTCACAAATTTACTCTTAAAGATGGAGCAAGGGAAGGATGAAGAACAATAATGTAAATAGCAGACTGAAAAACATATACTTGAGTTGGAAGAAATTCTCCCAGAGCCAGTCTGTGACCATAGGGTTATTTAATAAATGGATGGATTTACAAGCAAATAAGAGCACAAATACAAGGGGAGCAGGCAAGTCAAATGGCCAAGGTATGGATATTTTGTCACCTTACTTGTCCTCTTGTTAATCAGATGTCTTTCCTAAAATGTTTAGTTCCAGTCGGTTTCTGATGAGATATGACAAGCAATAGAATTAAGTTAAAGAAAATTAAACTGAATGTTATTCCAGAAATTCAGTATAGCTTATGCTATAAATCAGAAGAAGACTAACCCATTTCTCTCTGATTTGTGGCAGATTATGTTAGTGGACAAATGTATTAGGCTTGTATGCAGAAGACCATGAGTTTGACTTGATTTTATTCTGTTTGATTCTTTCACTAATTTTGTAATCTCAGGCAGTAAACTACTTGGATATTCAGTTCCCTTGTTTGGGAAGCCAAAAAATAATCCGAACTCCCAGAAACAATGCAAGGATTAAAAGTTAAATTAAATAAGGTAATATAAACAAATTACCTTGCTCATAATACTTAATAACATTGACATTCTTACCTCTATGTAGCAAGTAGGTATGCTACTAAATATTCAGTTGACAATAGAAAGTAAAAAAAGATGAGATGTATTTTGTTTATTTGACTAAATCTTATTTGAAACACATGCTTGATGCCCATGGGAGATTTACCCAAATGTGAATGTCCTCTCTGCAAAGGAGATATTCTGATTAACGTAGGTATGTAATTCACTTATATTATATATCTAATCAGTGACTGAATTTTTATGCCACTTGTTATCCAATTGTATTAGTCCATTTTCATGCTGCTGAAAAAGACATACCTGAGACTGGGCAACTTACAAAAGAAAGAGGTTTAACGGACTTACAGTCCCACATGGCTGGGGAGGCCTCACAATCATGGTGGAAGGCAAGGAGGAGCAAGTCACATCTTACATGGATGGCAGCAGGTAAAAAGAGCTTGTGCAGGAAACTCCTTATAAAACAATCAGGTCTCATGAGACTAATTCACTATCATAAGAACAGCACAGGAAAGACCTGCCCACATGATTCATTATCTCCCACTTGGTCCCTCCCACAACAGTGGGAATTATGAGAACTACAAGATGAGATTTGGGTGGAGACACAGAGCCAGACCATATCACCAAAGAAAAAGCTTTACTGGATGGTATATAAAGTGCCTTTGTGTTCTAACATTCTGTTATTCTGTGGACATTAACACACACACACACACACACACACACACACACACACACACACACACACACACGAATGAAGTGATTAAATTCCAATAAGCTTTCATCAAGCACATACTTTGTACCAGCAATCCCATTAAAAAAAGAATTGCAAAAATGAATTAAAATACAGTAACTGTTCTCAAGGAAATCATATGTGCACAACTGAATTATTCACTTGTAACTTGGTAGAATTCTTATAATTCATTTTTAAAAAACTTTCTAATTGAAGTATAGCATACAGAAAAAAGTGCATAAGTCAAAAGTGTACAGCTTAATAAATTATCAAAAAGTGCTGTGCTTCATTTTTTACTTACGTATTTGGCTCATGAAGCTGATTCTCCCATGGAAACATGTTTCCTATGAATGCTCCATTAACTTAGCTGGCATTCAGTAATCACAGGATTAGGCAACTGACCATGAATCAATAACTTTGTTTTGATGGATAAACTTATACTAAGTTTCAACTGGGTTTTGAAGTCAGGTGGTTTGGGACTTAAATTCCAGTAATTGATCTCCCTTGCTTACTTGCTAAAGGATTCTGGACCAGTTTTTCTTTCCTCTTTCATCCTTAATTAGTCTCCTTATCTAGAGCATAAACTTATACAACTTATTTCTAAAGTTGTTGTGAGAATAAGTTAATGTTTGTAAAGTGCTTAGCATGCAGCTTGGCTCCTAGGAGCTACTATACTATCAACAGTATGTACATCATCCTCTTTTCATGGAGCCTTTGTCGTGAGTGTGTGGCTTTGTTAACCCAGCCTGCAGAAGAACTCTACAGAGGGCAAACACTGCACTTCATAGGCCTAAACAACTATCCAGAATGTAGCATGGAATGGACGACCCTTGCTCCACATCCCCCTCTTCCTGCCAAGTAACCGTAGAGCAGGTATGCGGATTCCTGGTGGATATAGCAGTAGGTTGTTTTTCATTCTCAAGGAATACATGTAAATGGAGCCATGCCTGTTTGTGGGTATGTGTGTGCATATGCAAATTTAACACTTTATTTAAGGCTGAACATCTGCTGTTCTCTTCAGGATGGAAGCAACCAAGGAAGAAAAGAAAGAAAAACTTTTTTGTCTTGTTCATGGTATGGCAGGTGGCCTTTTCTTTCTCTCCCTTTCCCAGCCCAACTAAACTCCCCTTCCCCATAAACAAACTTAAAAATCTAACTGCTTACTGTTCAACTTGCAAACGTAAGTTGAAATATCCAGATGCCACTAAAAATGTGGTTGATCTCTTTGCAGGGTATATGTCGTGCTCTTTGACTAACAAGAGGCCACACAGGAGAGAACCCAGAAAAGATGAAGCATGAGCCACTGCAGCATATTTTAAAGCTTTTTATGTGCTCCCTATTTAATATGTTTTTATTTTAATATATTTTTTATAAGGGATTGGGTTTCTGTGAAAATGTTGCTGAGATATGATTGCATGGAGACAAACTATAATGCCACAGCACAAAGGAGACCCACAATTCATACAATTTCTATCTTTGCTTTATGTGTCCAGCAGCTACCTCTGCCTACCCACCCTCTTTCTCGTTCTTGTCTCTTATCTCAACTCTTCAGCCCTCAGGGATTCCATGGAAACCACCATGCTACTACAGGGTGATCTCTCTTCATCCTTGAAGCCCCCGATCACTCTGCCATTCACAATAATTAGTGAAAGCTGGATGGGCATGTGACTTAAATCTGAACCACTCAGAGTCTTTACACAAGAATCTAGAATCAACTAAGAAAGTCCACCTTACTCTGCTCCTATTTAAATTGAAGAGCTGATGTCTGAGACCATATTTCTGCCATTTGGATGCAGGAAATAAGATGGCAAGTCTACTGAAGGAGAGAAGAATGAAGAGGAAATGCAGAGAAAAGGAAAAGTAAGAAACAGAGAGATAATGTTTAGAGTTTGAGAGCCTGACTGTAAGAGTTCCTGAGATCCAGCGGGTACTTGTGGTATGTGTGCATGTGTTTTATTTGATCCCATTAGATACTTGGAATTCTTACATTAAATCTCCCCTTCTTTTAATGCTATATTTGAGTTGAATGTCTATTGTTTACAATCAATGTCCTCATTCTGAATTACCTCCAAACTTAACAGGATTCCCAGGATGGCCCTTTTGCAATGTCCCACACTAGTTCTATCCTAAAATAAGAATTAAAAAAAAATTAAATATAATTTGAGAAAGGGTGAAAGTAACTACTTTCCTTTGATTTATGGAGTATCAAGCTTTCATTTTTCTGAGGTAGGAGTCTAGAACTTCAGGGTTACAAGGGAACATGACCTTGGACTCCAGTGGAGTCCAGTAGAGTCCAGTCCTCACTGAGAAAACAATGAAGATGGGAAGAAGGTGGATAATAATAAAGGGAATGAAGCTGTCATCTTAGGCAATCACTAAGAAGAGAAGGGGCACTGAGAGTCATTTTGCTGCAGTCAGGAACTAGGATGTATTAACAGGTGCAAGAAGTCCAAATTGATCTTTATTTCCTCAATACCATGAACATAAACACAAAACTAGGCTCGGGAGATGCTAATCAAAACACGATCTCTTCCTTCAAGATACTATGTTTGCCACAATCACTTCTGAATCTACTGAAAGACATCAGTAGGAGGAAAGTTTCAGAATATAAAAAACATACTGTGACGGGTGCCTGTAATCCCAGCTACTTGGGAGGCTGAGGCAGGAGAATCACTTGAACCCCGGAGGCAGAGGTTGCAGTGAGCCGAGATCGCGCCACTGCATTCCAGCCCGGGTGATGCTGCGAGACTCCATCTCAAAAACAAAAAACAAAAAACAACAACAGCAACAACAAAAAAAACATACTGGATCCAAGTACAATTCCCAGGCCATTATTTAATGAGCTTTTCCTATCTAACATTTTCTTAAGCAGCATAAAAGTGTAAAACAGTTCACTGCAAGATATTTCATGGAAGTGTTTTTGCTTCCTGAGGGAGAGTATTTTAAAGTACACAACTGACAAAACACTTGTTGGGCCTGAGATAACAAGGAAAGCTGACATGGTAAAATGACATGTGAGTCCTTTAGTATGCAATTTTCTAAGAACAATTATCTCAGAAAAGTGAAGAATTAATTATGTTCTGTTATTATGCAGGACTCGGCTAGCAGATGCACACCTACACACAGGCTACTTTTGAAGAATTAAGTATCTGGGCTGTCAGATATGATTTAAAAAATTATTAATATTCAATAAATCATTTTCAAGAAAATTGCTTCTAAGCAGCCCAATTTTATTTCAGACTGAAATGGGGACTAAATTTAAAATAAGTCTCTTCTTGGAATAGCTCCCTTTTCAGTACATTCTTGAATTGAATTAAATCGTAATATAGTCACATAGGCATCAAGAGATGTTTGCAAATCAAAAACTTCATTCGAAAGATCTAGTCAGGCTTGTTTTTATCTAAGGAAGGAATCATGAAGTCGAATCTCATGGATATAGCACAGCTTAATTACACAAGAAATTGCCCAGTGCCAAGAGGTTCAAGTAGACGTAACTCAATAGTTCATGGAAATTAGATGTAGAAAATGGGCACATTAGCTGAGATTTGAAGGCAGATCTTTTATTTTAACCCTACTTACTATATCAAACCACCTGGAGAAATATTACTCAGATTGCAATCTTTATTTTTCCCCTATTATTCAGCTTAAATTCCTCATGTTGCTTTTGAAAATCTCTTTTCCTGAACTTAGGGGAAGTGAAAAATGTTGTTATTCAATTTAGCCGTTCTTTCAATTTGTTCTTTCAAATCCTAGTATTGATACTTTTTTTGGCTTTGCTATGTCTAACAGATATAATCCTAAATTGTTTTTTGCTTCTCATTTTAGACTCTACTTACTGGCCATAGAGGCCGCTGTCTTCAGGACTTTCTTCATTTTCTTAAAACTTAACATTAGTTCCAGGCACCAAAGTAAACTTATTGACATTTGTTCATTCATTCATTGAATATATATTAAATGTTGACTCTGCATTAGGCTCTGACCTAGGCACTGGGGCTATAGTATAGAACAAGACAAAGGTTTCATAAAATAGGTTTTGGTAGGAGAAACTAATCATGAGCAAGAAAATATACAAATTAAAATAATATTAGATCCTGCTAAATGCCATGAAAAAAGACAAACAAGGTGATATAACAGAGGATAACTGGGAGAGGGCAAACTCCAGAGCAGACTGTCAGGTAAGGGCAGAGGAGTAGCACAACAGGAAGAAAGAAGATCAAATGCAAAGGCCCTGAGGCAGCAGAGGTGGGGAGGAGGGGAGGGAGGGAGTGAGGTGGGTGGAGCCTGCCTCCCTAAGGAAGGGAAAGCAGGCCAGTTTGCTGGAGTGTAATGCTGGAGGCAAGATGGCATCAGATGACTTTGAAAGGCAGGCTGGGAAAGGAAGGCTTAGAACCTTGAAAGTTATGATAAAAAGTCTGGATGTTACTACCAGCCCATGGGGATCTATTTCAAGCAGCAAAATGAGACAGTTTGATTTATATTTTACAAAGATTACTCCTGTAGCCTTGAGGTCATAAGAGGATACAAGTGGAGGCAGGGAGAATCACTATATTGAATCTCATTTGTCATGGTCAGGTAGGTATGTTTCAGCTCCTACTCCCACCATGCCCCCCGTGCTCCCACAAACACATTCTTCCCTGCCCCCATGGGCTACTGAAGGCAAGTTGACTCATACATTAGAGTTCAGCTTATTCCTGACAAAGGAAACACATACTTTGTACAGCTGGTGAATATAACTGTACCCAAGTTGCATGACTGTCAAAGATTTCACCAGATAATGCATACACAGTGTCTATCACAGAGAAAGCAATCAGAAATGGCAGCTGTTAATGATGTTTATCCCATGCCTTCTTTGCAGGTTGCTTGGTTATATATTTGTGTGTGTGCACATGTGTGTGTGTGTGTGTGTGTGTGTGTCTACTTATACATGAATCTGCGAAAGGAGACAAGGGCCACTATATTTCCCTCAGGATATTTTAACATGTATATTTTTAATTGGAATTTTATGGACTCTCTATACGATATTGAAAGGGTCAATGAATCCCCTGAAACTGAGTTATGATACAGGCATACCTCAGACCACTTCCAAACCACTACAATAAAGTTACTATCTCAGTAAAGTGAGTCATATGAAATTTTTGTTTTCCAGTGGATATAAAAGTCATGTTTACATTATACTGTAGTCTATTAAGTGTGCATTAATAGACTTATGTATGTCTAAAAACAACATACATATCTTAATTAAAAATATTTTATTGGCCGGGCGCAGTGGCTCACGCCTGTAATCCCAGTACTTTGGGAAGCTGAGGCAGGCAGATCACCTGAGGTAGGGAGTTCGAGACCAGCCTGACCAACATGGAGAAACCCCATCTCTACTAAAAATACAAAATTAGCCAGGCAGGGTGGCACATGCCTGTAATCCCAGCTACTCGGGAGGCTGAGGCAGGAGAATCGCTTGAACCAGGGAGATGGATCTCAGTAAGCTGAGATCGTGTCATTGCACTCCAGCCTGGGCGGCAAGAGCGAGACTTCATCTAAAAAAAAAAAAAAAAAAAAAAAAAAAAAAAATGTATTGCTACAAAATGTTAACAATCATCTGAGTCTGCAGTATGTTATAATCTCTTTGTTGGTGAAGGGTTTTGCTTTGATGTTGATGGCTGCTGACTAATCAGGGTGGTGGCTGCTGAAGGCTGGGGTGGCTGCAGCAATTTCTGAAAATAAAACAACAATGAAGTTTGTGACATCAATTGGACTATTCCTTTCATGAGTGATTTCTTTGTACCATACGGTACAGTTTGATAGCATTTTACCCACAGTAGAACTTCTTTTGAAATTGGAGTCAAGCCTTTCAAACCCTGCCACTGCTTTATAAACTAAGTTCATGTAATATTCTAAATCCTTTGTTGTCATTTCAACAATGTTCACAACATCTTCACCATGAGTAGATTCCATCTCAAGAAACCACTTCACTCATTCATAAGAAGCAACTCCTGGCTGGGTATGGTGGCTAACACCTGTAATCCCAACACTTTGGGAGGCTGAGGCAGGAGGATTGCTTGAGCCCAGGAGTTTGAGACCAGCCTAAGCAATATAGCGAGACCTCATCTCTACAAATATAAAAAAGAATTAGCCGGGTGTGGTGGTGCATGCCCGTGCATGGGAGGCTGAGGTTGGAGGATCTCTTGGGCCCAGGAGGTCAAGGCTCCAATGAGCTGTGATCATGCCACCGCACTCCAGCCTGTGCAACAGAGTGAGGCCCTATCTCAATAAATAAATAAATAAAATAAAATAAAGAAGCAACTTCTTATATGTTAAAGTTTTATCATAAAATTGCAGCAATTCAGTCACATCTTCAGGCTCCACTTCTAATTCTAATTCTTTTGCTATCTCCACCAGATCTGCACTGACTTCCTTCATTTAAGTTTGGAACCCCTCAGTCATCCATGAGGATTAAAGTCAACTTCTTCCAAACTCCTGTTAATGTTGATATTTGGACCTCCTCCCAGGAATCACACATATTCTTAATGGCATCTAGAATGCCAAAATTTTTCCAGAGTGTTTTCAACTTAATTCATCCAGGTCCATCAAAGAAATCACTATCTATGGCAGCTATAGCTTTACAAAATATATTTCTTCAATAATAAGACTTGAAAGTTGAAATTACACCTCATCTATGGGCTACAGAATAGATGTTGTGTTAGCAGGCATGAGAACTGCATTAATATCCTTGCATATCTCCATCAGAGCTCTTGGGTAACAAGGTATACTGTCAATGAATGAGCAGTAATATTTTGAAAGGAATCTTTTATTCTGAGCACTAGGTCTCAACAGTGGGCTTAAAATATTCAGTAAACCATACTGTAAACAGATGTACTACATCTAGGCTTTGTTGTTCCATTTATAGAGTACAGGCAGAAAAGATTTAGCATACTTCTTAAGGGCCCTAGGATTTTTGGAATGACAAATGAGCATTAGCCTCAACTTAAAGTCACCAGCTACATTAGCTCCTAATGAGAATCAGTCTGTCCTTTGAAGATTTGAAGCCAGGCACTGACTTCTCTAGCTATGAAATTCCTAGATGGCATCTTCTTCCTTAAGTTGACAAGTAAAACTTATGAATTGCTAAAGATTTCTCCAGCATTATTGAAATATAGAGAAGCAGAATAAAAGAAAAGAAAATCTTCTAAGTAATGCCTTCAAAACTTTTCTTGAGTTACCTATTCATATTTCCTTTTAATTATTTTGGCATCTTGGGTGCTATTTCTGCTAATCTCAATTACTTATCTTGATACTAATCATATCATTCTCACTATAATTTATTAAATTATTTTACTATGAGCAATAGAGTAGATGATGATGTCATTTACTAACTTAGATAAAAGACTGAGGAGGGAAGAGGTGTACAAGAAGTAAATGATCAAACTGTTGGCCATTTGGATATGCCATTTGGATAATGGCAAGTGGCCATTTGGATATCAGCCACTTGAAAAGTGCCTGATCGTTTTCCTCATTTTAAAAACTGAAGTATATGTCTTTTTCTTACTTATTTTTAGGAGTTTTAATACATTCGGGATATTCTTTCTTTTTCAAATATATGTGATGCAAATATCTTCTCCCATTCTTCAGCTTCCCTTTTTATTCTGTTACTGCTGTCTTTTGATGAATAAAAGTTCCTCATTTTAGTAAATTTCTCTTTCCTTTATTGTTATTACAGTCCATGTCCTCCTCAAGAAATATTTGCTATTCCAAGGTCATAATGATATTCTGCAATGTTTTCTTCTAGAAACTTTATTGTTTTTTCTTTCGTTTAGGTCTGCAATCCATCTGGAATTGAGTTTTAAGTATCTCATGGGCCAACTTTTAGGCCACGGTTTATTTTCTTCCATGTAAGCTTTAAGTTAATACATCATCATTAATTGATAGTCTAAACTGCCATTTTTTTCACTATAGCAACTTGTGATAAATCAGGTGACCATAAAGTGTGGGCCTGTTTGTGGAACCTGTTCTATTGAAATTGTACAGCCTTGCATTCATACCTCTTTGGTTGAATTACTGTAGGTTTAGTTTCTAAAGTTTTGTTAGTGTGACAGCATAAATCCTCAAATTTTGTTCTTCTTCTGGACTGTCTTAGGTATTGACAGTCTTTGGTATTTCAATGTACAGAAAGTCCTCTGGTATTTTAGTTTATAATTAGCTTAGGAAATTGTACACTGATTTGAGTACATTTTAATTTACGCAAGCGGTATTGTTTCAGATATCATTCTGTTTCTTATCTTGTCAATAAATCCTACATTTTACATACTTACATATACTGTCACTGCTATACAGAATTCTGTTATGCACCATATTTTATTGAACCTGGTCTTCCAGTGATGAATACCCAGGTTGCTTTTAACTCTTGTCCACAATAAGCAGAGCTACAATGAACATCCCCATACAATCCCCGTTATAGACCTGTATGTAAAATTTTTGGATACACTTTGAAATTGAGAGGTCATAGGCTGTATATATATTTAAATGGACTAAGTAGTGACATATTTTTCTGCAAAATGGATACACAAGACTATATTCTCCACCAATAACTGCATAAGTTCCTATACACTTTTATTAATCTTCTCCATAAGGTTGGTATTCTAAGAATTTAAAAGTTTACGCCTTTGTTTTTTATTTTCATTTTTATATTTCTAATGTTTTTGAGCATATTTTTTATCTGCTTGTTGTCTTTTGTGTTTCTTCATCTACACATTGCCTGTACATATATTTTGCCCATTTTTCTAACAGTAATACTTTTTACTTTTTGACCAAACCCTTATGGGTTTAGACATTATGGATATATTCTTCCATTTTGTCCTCTATTAACTTTATGCATACTACTAGTATGAAACTTTTGCATTCAATTATGTTTATTTATATTTGTGTTAACTTAATGCATAGGACTACTCTGAAACTTTTGCAATGAATTATCATTATATAGGTACAGTGGTCCCTTAGTATCTGAGAGACTGGTTCCAGGACGTCCTGCAGATATGAAAATCCTCAGATGCTCTAAGCCCTGATATAAAATGGCATAGTATAACCTATGCACATCCTCCTGTATACTCTAAATCATCTCTAGATTACTTATAATACCTAATACAATGTAAATTCTATGTAAATAGTTGTTATACTGTATTGTTTAGGGAGTTATGATAAGAAAAAACGTGTGTACATATTTAGTACAGACACCACTTTTTGATGATTTTGATTGGTGGTTGGTTGAATCTCACACATCTATCTTTGACAAACCTGATCTTTGACAAACCTGACAAAAACAAATGGGGAAAGGATTCCCTATTTAATAAATGGTGCTGGGAAAACTGGCTAGCCATATGAGAAACTGGATCCCTTCCTTACACCTTATACAAAAATTAATTCAAGATGGATTAAAGACTTAAATGTTAGACCTAAAACCATAAAACCCCTAGAAGAAAACCTAGGGAATACCATTCAGGACATAAGCATGGGCAAAGCCTTCATGACTAAAAGACCAAAAGCAATGGCAACAAAAGCCAAAATTGACAAATGGGATCTAATTAAACTAGAGAGCTTCTGCACAGCAAAAGAAACTACCATCAGAGTGAACAGGCAACCTACAGAATGGGAGAACATTTCTGCCATCTACCCACCTGACAAAGGGCTAATACCCGGAATCTACAAAGAACTTAAACAAATTTACAAGAAAAAAACAAACAACCCCATCAAAAAGTGGGTGAAGAATATGAACAGACACTTCTGAAAAGAAGACACTTATGCAGCCAACAGACACATGAAGAAATGCTCATCATCACTGGTCATCAGAGAAAGCAAATCAAAACCACAATGAGATACCATCTCACACCAGTTAGAATGGCAATCATTAAAAAGTCAGGAAACAACAGATGTTGGAGAGGATATGGAGAAATAGGAACACTTTTACACTGTTGGTGTGACTGTAAACTAGTTCAACCATTGTGGAAGACAGTGTGGCAATTCCTCAAGGATCTAAAACCAGAAATACCATTTGACCCAGTGATCCCATTATTGGGTATATATCCAAAGGATTATAAGTCATACTGCCATAAAGACACATGCACACATATGTTTATTGTGGCACTATTCACAATAGCAAAGACTTGGAACCAACCCAAATGTCCAACAATGATAGACTGGATTAAGAAAATGTGGCACATATACACCATGGAATACTATGCAGCCATAAAAAAGGATGAGTTAATGTCCTTTGTAGGGACATGGATGAAGCTGGAAACCATCATTCTGAGCAAACTATCACAAGGACACTCATAGGTAGGAATTGAACAATGAGAACACTTGGACACAGGGCGGGGAACATCACACCCTGGGGCCTGTTGTGGGGTGGTTGGGAGGGGGAGGGATGACATTAGGAGAAATACCTAATGTAAATGACAAGTTAATGGGTGCGGCAAACCAACATGGCACATGTATACCTATGTAACAAACCTGCACGTTGTGCACATGTACCCTAGAACTTAAAGTATAATAACAAAGAAACAAAAAACATGGCAGAGTGGCCACATGACTTTTAAAAATAAGGATGTATAGATAAGTTACATTTATGTTGTGTACATTTCCATTTTGCAAATGTTCCTCCTCCCACAACCCATCACTTAAATTTCCACAAAGCCTTTAACCACAGAAAATCCTGTGTGACTGGATATTTTTGGTTTTGTCTGTGAAAATCAAGGAAAGGGGCTTGCTTCTACAGTTAGTCTGACACCAGGGTAGAGAACAGGAATCCATAATGTAATCATCAGAATACAAGTTCCCCTGAAAGTCACAGTATGCTTGGGGAGTGCACAAGACTTTTCCCCTAGGTACAAACTTATAGAAACAGAGGTCCAAACTTATCTAGCCCTTAGAGGGCATAGTATCCCCTAGACTCTCAGTTATATATAAATAGAAGTTTTGAGGGATAAAACATCAGGAAGTATAAAACAATGAAGGTCCCATCTGCCTTTAAAATGTAACTCATAAGGAGTCCTCTTTGAAAAGAAGCAATACTTTTGGTTCCAGCCATAATGAAGTAACTTATATTGAACTAACCCTCCAATCAAAAGTAATTATCAAACTGGACAAAATTAGTAAAATAACTGGGCATTAGTCTGTTCTCATGCCGCTAATAAAAACATACCTGAGACTGGGTAATTTATAAAGGAATTAAGTTTAATTAAGTCACAGTTCAGCATGGCTGGGGAGGTCTCAGAAAACTTACAATCATGGCAGAAGGGGAAGCAAACACGTCCTTCTTTACATGGCAGCAGGGAGAGGAAGAATGAGTGTCCAGTGAAAGGGGAAGCCCCTTATGAAACCATCAGATCTTATGAGAATTAACTCACTATCACAAGAACAGGATGAGCGAAACTGCCCCCATGATTCAATTATCTCCACCTGGTCCTTCCCATGATATGTGGGGATTATGGGAACTACAATTCAAGATGAGATACACAGTCAAACCATATGAAACTTCTTGAAGGAATTTGAGAGAAATCAACTTTAAGACTTGAAGGACGTGATCCCTAAGAAAAGAGAAGTGCACCAATGAGAGCATCACATTTGGCTAGGAGTTTTTCTGCAGGCACTTGCTATTTCATTGTAAGATAGAATAGAAGAGATGAGAAAGGACCATCCTTACCAACTAAGGAGACAGAGAAGTTCAGGTAAACCAAAGCATAAGGGATTTGAGGAATATAATACCAGAGAGAAGTAAACTGCATTGATGTTCCCTTTAAGGCATTAGCCAACTCCTAACTTGAACAGCAAGGGGTAGTACTCTAAGAAACAGATTAAAATAGCACCTAGAAGGCTAAATTACAGGATAGAGATTTCAGCAGTCACGTGGTGTTGGGGAGATGGAGGCTGGAGCTCAGGCTCTGCTAAATAGGAAGAGCCTTGGTAAACATACTATGGTTTGAGCTGAGACTCCAGAAAAGCTGTTTTAGGAATAAAGGCTAGACCTCAGGATTGAGGGCAAAATTGAAATATGCCACCTTAACAAAGCCTAAAATAAACTATGGTCAGCATTAAGTTGGTTTGCTGATACTGTTTGCCTGTGAAAAGAAAATCTTATTTTGAGGAAAATGACATGAACAATCTTTAATAAGCAACATCTATATTTAAACAAAATTCTGACACCCGCTTTTCCTTTTTTAAAATGAGAACTAAATGACCAAAAAAGAACAAATGACAGAGAGAGAGAGAGAGAGACAGAAAAAGAGAAAAATAACAGACAATGGAAATAATTCCAGAGATAATTCAGGTATACAGGGATTTTTAAATTACTATAATTAATGTTCTAGAAGATAGAAAAAGAATCATGAAAATTTTATCAAAGATAAAAATTCCTTTTCCACATGCAGAAGAATAAAATTAGATCTTTATGTTACACCATATACAAACAAATTCAAAATGAATAAAGACTTAAATGTAAGAACTGAAATTATGTAACTCTAAAAGAAAACATAGGGGAAAGCTCCATGACATTGGTCTGGACAATGATGTTTTTGGATATGACTCCAAAGCACAGGCAACAAAAGCAAAAACAGATAAATTGAATTATATCAAATTTAAAAGCTCTGCACAGAAAAGGAACAATCAACAGAATCAAGAGACAATCTACAGAATGGGAGAAAATATTTGCAAATCATACATCTGATAAGGAGTTAATATGCAAAATACATAAACTCAACTCAGTAACAACAATAAATACATAAACAACTCAATAACAAGAAATTAAATAACCTGATTTTTAAAACAGATGACCAGAATGAACTTTTCTCAGGAAAAGACATACAAAAGGCCAACAGTTATATGAAAATATGCTCAATATTGCTAATCATTAGGAAAATGCAAATTAAAACCACACCTATTAGAAGGGCTATTTTAAAAAAAACAACAACAAAGAAATTTTGGCAAGGATGTGAAAAAAAAGGAACCCCTGCACACTGTTGGTGCAAATGTAAATCATTATAGCCACTATGGAAAACAGTAGGGAAGTTCTTTAAAAAAATTAAAAATAGAAGTACCATATGATCTGGAAGTCCTAATACTGGGTATATATCCAAAGGAATGAAATCAGTATCTTAAAGAGATATATGCACTCCCATTTTCATTGCAGCATTATTCATAATAGCCAAGATACAGAATTAACCTAAGTGTCCAACAACAGACAAATGAATAAAGAAAATGTGGTATACATACACAATGAAATACTATTCAGCCTTAAAAAAGAAGATAATCCTGTCATTTGCCACAACATGGATGAAACTGGAGGTCATTATGCTTAGTGAAATATGCCACGTATAGAAAGACAAATACTACATGATCTCATTTATATACTGAATCTAAAATACCTTGAACTCAAAGAAGCAGAGAGTACAATGATGGTTACCATGAGCTGGGGCTGCAGGTCCAGAAGAGATTAGAAAGACGTTGCTTAAAGGATACAGAGTTTAAGCTAGGAGAAATAAGTTCAAGAGATCTGTTGTACAACATGGTGACTCTAGTTAATAACGATGTATTGTACACTTGAAAATTGCTAAGGGAGGAGATTTTAAGTGTTCTCACCACAAATAAATGATAAACGTGAGGAAATGCATACATTAATTAGCGTGATTTAGCCATTCCAAAATGTATACATATTTGAAAACATCATTTTGTATGCCACGAATTTTTTAAAAAGATAAGGATCCTTAATAAGTCAAATGAAATAAAATAGAGATTGAGATCCAATATTTCCCACTTTCTATGCTGAGGAATATTAGCGATTTTTCTCTCTTTGCTAATTTCTTCTTCTCTTTGATTACTTCCACCCCCTAACTCACCTTTGATTTTCAAAACAATTGTCATTTTATGCTGTCATGGTGAGCACAAAAGACACCTGTAGTTTTAAAATTCAATCTACTGATTTTTTTTAAAAGACATGAAAAGGATTTCAAGATGAGGCAACATATTTAACAGAAACAATATATGTTTTAAACTCTGATACCTATGTTGAAACTCTGACCCAGCCACCTGCAAGTATGTGTGAACATACACACGTGATTTAACCATTCTGAATTTGTTTTCTCTTCCATAAAAATAGATCAAGACTTACCTTAAAGATTTGTCTTAAGCAATAAATGAGATGCTTTACATAGGTAGAGTGCTTAACACATAAAACATAGCCAGTAAATGTTGGTACCTACTCTGCTGTTTGCTATCAACAATGGAGAGAAGCATATATGCAAAACTGGTCATCTTGAACCTCATAATGGGATATTATCTACATACTTACTGTCATTAGATAGCCCCAACCAAGATAAAATAATACACAATTTAAGTTTTCTTTCTACCTTTCAAAGCAGAGAATACTAATGATTGACATGAATATCTGCACAATATGGGTTGGTCCAAACCATAGCTTCTTAAGTACATAGGAAAAAAATCAAGAGTTACAAATATCTGGGACAAAGCTCAAGACAGCATATAAAGGCTTGTTGTTACACAATGCTATGCATGCCTTGGCTTGCCTTTCAACAATCATTCCTATTAAATCATGTCTCTCTCTGAGACATCTAATGAAGTCATGTTCACGATCAGCTTAATCACAGGATGCAGTATAGTACATATTTTGACAGGAAAGCTGTTTGTCTAATACGAAACTTGCAGCAAATATATAATTGCATAAAATGTTCATTATGCTTTCAGTGTGACAATCCTTCGCTTGAATCCTTTTATGCATATTTACTCACTTTAAGATAGACTGTTTTGTGTACCATTAAATAAAAGATTATTTTTAAGCAAAATCTATGTCAAGCAATTGGAGTAGTGAACAATTACAAACACAGCAAACTGAACCATATACTTCATCTGGAAATCTTTAAATTCTGGAGAAATCACACATCTCTACCTAATGTTATATATAACTGAAATGGATTGTAGTTTTAAGCATATGAAAAGAAACAAGAAAGAAACTGAGTTGAGAAGTCATTCATGAAAAATATTTTCCTAGAATGTTAATAACAAACTCTAGGTTTGGCTTCTCGCTAATTATTTAATTGCTTAACTGGTGGCTGAATATTCACGTCTTAGATATTCAGAGACTTTTTAAGGTGAGGTCATGACATCTGCCTTTACTGTTACAAATGATCTCCAGGCCCAATGTTATTAGGTCTTAGCACTAATTAGAAATGGGACTTACATCACTCTCATGACCTTCTCGGAGGTTGTATGTGAGGTCATGCTGAATGTCTTCCACGAATTTGTGAGCATATTCTGGGTAAAGGTCTAGCACTTCAAAGAGTCCTTTGAGGATGATACACTGGAGATCACAGTAGGTTAAAGCCTTTACATCTGCATTGGTCTTGATCACTTGGTCCTTAATTGATAGATTTGCTCCAATTAAATCCCCTTTCCCTAGAAAGAGAGAGAGAGATCATTTTCAAAAAAAAAAAGCAAGCTTAGGACTGATAACCTCATTTGACTTACAGGCTTCATTTTTCAGTGAGATTACACTGAAAAGAGAAGAATGTTTACCTTGGGGCAGGGCTTTTCAACTTTGGCATACAATAGCATCATACCTGGGCTTTAGCTTTTATTTGTTTTATGGCCATTATGCTCAATTTCATAAAGAACCAACAACTAACAAATTTTAACTAACAACAACAAGCAGCAAGCAAGCTATATCTTTGGAATGTTATTATGACAAATGGCCTCTACTTCCCATTCAACAATTTTTTTAACTTTTAAATTTTTTATTGTACCCAGCATTGTTTAAAATTTTTATTTTTTATTGTGCCCAGCATTTGTGGAAGCAAAGTCCCTGGTATGTAGCAGGCTTCAATACAAGTCTGTTTTATCAGATTTGACAGTAAAAGAAAACATGTCAAATTGACTATGAATATCTGAGTTTTTCATAAATATGTATGTCAAATAAAAAATAGAGTTTTAAAATTATTAGATTACAACTAGGTATTATCTTCAAGTTAGTACTGGACTTAAACCTTGAAATTTAGCCTATTTTGGTAGAAGAAAAAGTAGACTAAAATCTATATTTATAGACACTAGGAATAATACATAGCCACATGGTGTGGAAGAATTTAAGTCTGATTTATTGTTGTCAATATTGCTAAACTTGGAAATTTTGTTTCTTGTATATTTCATTAGAAATCTAACTTGCTGCTCAAAACTCAAAGTTGGATACTGATGCAGGATGTAAATATAGCCAAAATGTTTTGAATACAGCAAATTTTTAAATTTTGTATATTTGAGGAGAATTTATCATGATGCAGTCTCTTGCACAATAAGCATTCACATTCTCTGCTAAGCAACTAGTGTCTGCAATAACTTTCGGGTCATCATACTTTTCATACTTTGGGTTGCCATGGTATGGCTATTTCAGTCACAATGACATTAGCTATAAAAACAGCACCAACATCCTGCCAATCTTGGCATCCTAGAAAGAATTCCACTTCATTTATTCGTTCAATGAATATTTATGGAGAACTGACCACGCGTGCTGGACCTTGTATTGAGTCCTGGCAAGCAGGTACTGGTGAATACCATGTTGGTATTCACCTCATTACCTAAAACTACCTCACTAATTTTACAGTCTTGTGGCCTTCTTACTGTCTAGATTTAGGACCTTTAGTTAAGTTTTTAAGTAACTTTGGGTCTCAGTATCCTTATTTCTAAAAGATGAGAAAGATTTCCTTGTGGGCTCCATTTTTCAGCATTATACTATTGATCTTTGCTAATCAGTTACTCTTTCATTGAAAAACATAAGGTGATGGGATGCATCTGCAAACCACCCAGGTTAGAGCTATAACTTACGTTTAGTTATAATTAGGCAGACTAATGTTCTGTGGAGAGTACATTTATTCAGGCTTTGCCATTTTCTTTTAAAACAATGAAGAAATTGGTGGGGGAAACACTATTACCTGGACATGAAATCAAGGTGTACAAGGCAAACACATTCTAGCCCCATAACAAATTCCTGCCCCTACCCTTTCCAGGTATCAGATTAAGAAATGTCTGCACATCTTGACTGGACAAGAAAGTTGCTAGAACAAGTTTATGGTTGGACAGCTGTTGTGAGGAAGAAGAACATTAGCTTTTTTTCATTGGCAGAGTGAACATGTGCTAAATATCTACAGGTCAAGTATAATGTCATGTACTTGCTAAGTTTATCAAAGTATTATTGATTTGAATTAGCCCTATAAGGCAATATTGCTATAGGGAAAGTAAAATAATCAATCTTTATTGAAGTAATGTTAATCACAGAAAGTAAATATTAATCATTTATTGTCTTTGTTGAGTTTAGTCCCAGTACCACATACCAGTGTTTAGAATGGTCATGCAGCAATTTGCACTTTTGATGTATACATGGTAGAAGCAAAGATGTGAAAATATTACCCATGTTAATCACAATTTATGGAGAAACTTGGGGCCAGGAGCAAAAGATAATGAATTAAGTCTTTCAGCCGTAAGTAGTTTTTAAAAAAACATAACAAGAAATATCCAATTGAATCATATTTGACTAGCAATGGAAGTTACATAGAAGCCACTAAATCTGTACTTATTGTGCTCTAGTGTCATGGATGATGCCTTCATATTCTATTCCTAAAACTGTTGCTAGCCACCTAAATTTAAAATACACCACAATTATAGAAAAATACACATTATGTCTGTTTAGAATGCTGCATTGTATTTGCTAACATGAATATCAAAACCATAAGATGCTAAAGAGAAAGTCTAGATGCCCTCTTAAAAACAGGCTGAATCATTAGGCAGGCTATAAAACGTTTAGTGGTACTAAGGAAAATCAATAAAAAATATTTTATGATTAAGGTTAAGTTTTTGAAACAAATTAAGAATAATTATTAATTCTAATTTAGAATCACAAGATGATAGGGTGACTGGCCTTTAACTTCCCAAACTTGAGAAGAGGCCAGGAAGAGTGTTAAATTCTCCCCTTAAGAAAGAAAACACACACACACACACACACACACACACACACACACACACACACACACACACAGAAGCCTTACTCTAATATTGAGTTACTCTATTATTGAGCCTTACTTTAATATTGATAAAGAAATGACCACATTAATAGTAAACTCTGAGTTGCTATTTCATGCCTTTCTATTGAGGAGAAAAACATAAGAGGATGAGACAAGAACTGAGTCACAAATTTGAAAGACAAACCCTACCTTTACTCTAAGTGGTAGACAAGTCAACATGAAGCTGTGAAAAGCATATGGGTCTTTCATCATTCACTAGTGTCTATCTCTTCACCTTTAATTTTGAAAATAATCATACTGTCTTAGTCTATTCAGGTTGCCATACTGTAAACTGGGTAGCTTATAAACAAAAAAATTATTTCTCATAGTTCTGCAGGCTGGTGTTTGGTAAGGGCTCATTTTGTGATTCACAAATGGCACCTTTCCGTTGTGTCCGCACATGGGAGAAAGGGCAAGGTAGCTCTCTTGAGCCTCTACTATAAAGACACGAATCCCATTCACGAGGGCTGTGCCCTCATCACCTATTCACCTCTTCAAGGCCCCACCCCTAATGCCATCATATTGGGGATTAGGTTTTGACATATCAATTTTGGGGGGACGCAGACATTCAGATCATAACCCACAAATAATAAATTGCATGATTTAAATTCAATAATGGGCATAAAACACCCAGCTCATATGAGGGATTCAATACATATTAGTTCTCTTTTTCTCTTCCAAAATATAATCTATTTTGAAGCTTAGTAGCCAGAATCCATTGATAGAAGGCCTACAATGATTATATAGAATAATGGTTTTTTAAAATTTGCATAAATTTAAAGGATACAAGTGCAGTTTTGTTACATAGATATATTGCCTAGTGGTGAAGTCTGGACTTTCAGTGTAACCATCACTTGAATGGTGTACATTGTATATTAATTTATTTTCATCCCTCACGCCCCTCCTCCAGTCTTCCACTTTTCCTGGTCTCCCGTGTCTATTATTCCACACTCTATGTCCATCTGTACACTTTATTTACCTCCCAATTATAAGTGAGAACATGTAGTATTTCACTTTCTTTTTCTGAGTTATTTTACTTAAGATAATGGCCTCCAGTTCAATCCATATTGCTGCAAAATATATGATTTCATTCTTCTTTATGGCTGAATAGTATTCCATTGCATATATGTACCACATTTTTAATCCATTCATCCAATGATGAACACTTAGGTTGATTCCATATTGTTGATATCATAAATAGTGCTGTGATAAACATATGAGTGCAGGGTTTTTTTAAAATTAGAAAAATAGATATTGTTTAGACATGGAAGGAATGCTGAATACAGAGTCCAAAGTCTTAGGTTAGCTTTGACTTTAGAAAAATCAGAGAAAATACCTTCACCATCTGTCTCTCTGTGTTGTAAAGGCTTAAATGAGACCTTGTGTGTGAGCACACTTTGCAAATAATTGTTTACAAATACAAGGTTCTTAAAAATTGAAAATAAAGTACTGAATTCACCCCCTTTTATTAGCACAAACTCTAAATATTGTGTTTTATATTGGTGTTTGAAATACATCCTGAATTCACCTGCCTCTCACCATCATTACTACCACCTTGGCTGGTCTCAGACCCCATTATATCTTCCACTTCAGTTTAATTTTCATGCAGGCAAGGATTTTGGCCATTTCTTTTTTGCTGCATTATCACTGTTTAGACCAGTACTGAATTCATTCATAAGTCCTCAATAAACGTTAGGTGAATAAACAAACAAAAATTAGAGTGATTTTTTTTGAGACTCTGTCTCTCTCTCTCTGCACTCAGGCTGGAGTTCAGTGGCACTATCTTGGCTTACTGCACCCTCCACCTCTGGGACTCAAGCGATCCTCCCATCTCAGCCTCCCAGGTAGCTGGAACTACAGGCTCCTGCCACCATGGCCAGCTAATTATTTGTATTTTTAGTAGAGACAGGGTCTGTCCATGTTGCCCAGGCTGGTCTTGAACTCATGGGCTCAAGCAATCCACCTGCCTCGTCTGCAAAAGCGCTAGGATTACAGGCATGAGCCACCGTGCCCAGCCTAGAGTGGTTTTTAAAAGAGCCCTACATAAAATTGTAAATAAGATTTTCAATACATTAACTCTGCATGCCATTTTTGTCAACTGCCTTTTATATTTCAATGAAGACCAATTATGTATTAATATTGAGAGTCAATTCTGTGGCACAAAATTTTCACAATATATCTTGTAAGTTTTCTTTAAGGAAGTAAAAAGAGCCTATAGTCACCTTGACAGTATTAGGTTAATGACTGCTATGAGAGCTTTTTCTTGAAACATAGTCACCTTTGCTCTATTTCTAGTACAGGTACAATTTAATTTTTGTGTTCTCTGAATTAATTTTCCACAAAAATAAATGCCCTCTTAAAACTGAGCAGCTATTTCACCAGAAGGCAGTATATATCATGATTAATAATTTGGCTTTAGGAATAAAAAATAACTGAGTTTATTTTCTTACTAGGTGATCTGGGCTAGTTAACTAAAGTACTATTTATTCATGTCTAAAATGGAGATAATATTTATACTACTGGATTTTTTTGCAAGAATTAAATAATATGTTGGATATAACACATAGGCACACTAAACTCATATGAGGAATACTCCTGAGTTCATGTCTTCATCTGTTCTTTTCCTACTCTCAATAGCAGTTTTTTCCCCCATTTCATCTTCTTAATTTATGCTCCAGAGTCAAATTTCATACAAGTTTTTCAATTCAGACCTACCAAGAATAGCCAGCACCATGCTGTCTTTAAGAACTTCCATGGAGCCCGAGCATACAAAGTAGATGGCCTGCAAAGCATCCCCTTGACGCAGCAGATACTCCCCCGGAGCACAGAAAGAGGTTTTGATGTGTAGAGACAGAGACCTGAGGCAGCCCCGGCTGGCACATTCAAAAAGGGACAACTGTAAGATCTCCTTGTTCAAGTGCATAGTGATGTCAGAACGCAGTTCATCTGGAAAGTCTTTCAAAAGCTGTCAGAGAAGATGAAGGAGGAAATCAAATTGGGGTAAGTGTAGTCTAACTGATTTACTTTGCAAGACAGCAGGGATGCTCTTCCTACTGTCTCCTGCTGTTTGGCCATCCAGCATACAGAAGAGGAAATCTAAGTATGTATAATCCTGGAGAGATTTTTCAGTGACTGTGAATTATGTGCTACTGAATAATCAGCTGATAAGAAGTCTGGAGAAACAGAACAAATTAAAAAAGCCTCTAGCAGGAAAACATATAACTCATTGTGACTTCCTTCTCACAGAGAGTCCTAGTCAGGACAGAAGATATGGAATTTGGACCCACTGGTGATTATGCGAAGAGAGGAGAAACCAATTAATCACTACTAAAATGTTGGTTACAGGTTTGGCTGGTGGGTTGATGAAATGGTTCGTTGATTTATATAATACTGTTTTTATAGTGGCAGTCTGGGGTGTTTCTGGAAGTATAAAGATAACCCCTTTGATGGAATTTTTTAACTTTATTGATGTTAAGGGAAACAGAAACTTGATTAATATAATTATCCCAGATTACACTGTTAAATTATCGTAAGAATTGATTCCTTTGAAAAGAGACAATAAGAAGGAAAATAAATCCACCTGATCGAATAAGCAGCAAGTTAATATAAAACTTCGGTCAATCCAAATTGGCATTGTGAAAACACAAGCCAAAGCAAGTGAAAGAAGATGGATTGGGATTCATGAATAATTAAAAATGTAAAGGAATAAAGAAGTTGGTATGCTTTTCACTTCTGATACCTGCATTAGAACATCTTGCGTTTACCTTAGAATATGTGCTTTCTGCCTGAAAACAACATGAGAAATGAACATTACCTCATTTGAATCTATTCCATTGTTGACTGACCAGGTTGTTTGAAAATATTCGAGCATCCTCTGCTTGAGTTGTTGGGGCAAGTGATGGACACGGATGAAATCTTTCAGATCCTTAGTTCTAGTGTGATAGAGGGACCATCTGGAGTACATCCTCTGTATGATTGCTGTCACGTTTCCAAACACCAAGGCGTGCATCAAGGCTAGAAAGAACAACACAGTATATAATGGAAGAGAAATGTGACATGAGGCCCACCACGTAAATCTAAATTTACAGTTTATCCTGGATCAGAGCAGAGCAGAGCATGGTTACATGGCCATGTTGATACAGCTATTTTGGTACAAGCATTTTGGTACAGACAGTGTGTCACAGGGTACATCCTGAAGCAGTCACTTTGATTCCATATGGCTTGATCAGAGTAAAAATATCTTTAAAAATACTCAATCATATGCAAAATAGGCCCCTTTGATTTACGTTTAACCTGCTAGCTGCCATTCTGGTTATGATAAACTTTTATTTGAACTCAATTTACATCTATATTATTTTAATAGTTATGTATAGTTTGATAGTTACAATAAAATAGTCTTCATTGTTTGATAGAAAAGCTATAAAGTTATAGTTTAATAATTACTTTTATAATAGTAATGAATGAAATAAATTTTTGAAATAAGTCTATTTTAATTAGTTAGCCTTTGTGGGAATTTTAGTCTCACCCCCTCAAAAAGCCATCATTTAAAATTCGTTTTAGAATATTAAATATGATACATTTATATTAATGCAGATATGGAGGAAGTTGTTAAAAATGTAACTGAGGATTTCTTGAGCAGTGTGAAGCTCCAATACCCAGCCCAACCCCAGCTCTGCAGTTATTTTAATTTTGAGGGAGATATTGGAAAATTTGAGACCATTCAAGAAACAAATGAATTCACAGAGAAAAAGAGGTATTCTGCTTAGAGTCCTTGTTGCCACCATGAGATGCACCAGCAGGGTATATATATATATATATATATATATATGGGACTCTTGTTTCAATGAGGTTTGTCAACCAGATAGTATTTAACCTCCAGTTTCTTGCTAAGCCTGCCCTTTGAGCCTGTCCCAAACCTACCATCAAAGTGTAATGACATGAACAATTTTGTTCACCAGAATTTGAGGGCATATGGAGATTTAGGGTGGGTATTTCTTCTGGAGAACAGTAGAGTGAAAGGATGGACCTCACTTTCCAGGAATTACCCACTTTGGGAAGCATCTAGGTATCATCAAGTCAGAGAAGGTATGACAGGATTTTGCACTCACTAGTCATTAGCAGAATGAAACCGAAATGGTTTCTAAACCAGCAGATAATCCAAGAAGGCCTTGGACACACCTGGAACTGTGAAACTGAGAGAAAGATGAGGGTCAAGCACGTTCATATTTATGGATAATTCAACTCTAAGTAATATTCAGATTTTATCCCTGATCCTTATTCTGGGACAGGATTAGGAATGAAGTATGAAGCTTATGTGTTGGGTAAAATCATCTGTTTCAGTAATTTGGGGCTTAAAAAAAGACTAAACATTTAGTAGCTTGTCTATTAGGATCTATCAAAATGTACATGTACAAAACCTTAGTGCCCAAGAAGCTATGTTAAAAATTTCTTAGCATCATAATGGATACATTGGTGCAAATATGTCAACATATTATTACTTCTATCTTCCTGAGTATTTCAGGACCTCCCCAATTCAAATCTTGTTCTCCCCCTACATTTATCAGAAATTACCAAACACTGGCATACTAACTTAATTCTAATCTTACATTGGAATTAAAATTATTTCCTAGGTAATACATAATTTCTCTATGGAATAATGGTCACTATGTCTATAAAATCACTCCCTTCATAACAAGACCTCAGTATTTTAGAAAAGCTACTAGAATAGGGTTAAACTTAGGGTCTATATACAAGAAGCAATATAATGTTGCAGAGAGAAGATGAACTTCAGAATCAGACAGATCTGGATTTGAATACTGATTTTGCTACTTCCTAATTGTGTGAACTTGGTAGGTTACATAATTCCTTTAAACAGATTCATGTTAAATGGGCATACTCATTATGTTAAATAGCCCTTACTCATAGGGCTATTTCAAGATTTAAAGACAAATGTATTTTTTAAAAAGTGCCTAGTATATGTATCAAAAACAGTATTTGCTCAGTTTATGTAATTTTCCTTATGAAAGTGAAACATGTTATGAATTTTCAGCATGCTCAATGCAATTAAATTTGGGGAAAATGACTCAGATTTAAGGTTTTCCTGCAACCTCTTAAATAGTAAAGAGCGGCTCTTGGTAGACATAACTTATTGATGAAATAAATTCAAAATATACTCAATAAATGCTTGATACACGCAAGAATGTATAAGTATGTATTATTCCTAAATGTTCAAAAATTAAATGTTTCCCAACAGGTCAAAAATATTCCACGAAAAATATATATCGTGTAACAACTAAATGTTGGATTTGTTCTTTGTAGATTCTAAATAGAGGTTCATTCTTCTGTATTGTTTTAGAAGCACAGCAGTTCTGATGCTTAAGTCTTTTATTTGGAAGATAAGAGCTCTACTTATGATAAACACTCACCAAAGAAAAGAACTGATTCTGCTCCAAGTCAAAGAAATTAAACATCGACTTCAGGCACCCTTAATATACTTATGGGCTAAGTGTTTGGAAGCCCTACCATCTTTAACACTATGTAATAGTCTTTCCATGGAGATTAAATCGAGTACAGAGAACAATTCTGTTTCATTTATTTTAACACTGCTTTCCTTAATTATGTGTATGATTTTAACTTTGCTTTGCTAATTATAATGTGTAAAGCACTTAAAGTAAGAGAAGTAATATGTTCAGATTATTTAGCATCCTAGTTGTATTTTATTAGTAAAATGAATTACTGGATTAATTGTAGCATTCATAAGTGTTGTTGAAAAGTACTAGTCTATGTCTGAGTCACCACAATTTCAAAGTCTCATTTCAGCATAGATAACTACTTCTAATTTAAGTAGTTAAAAAAATAAAATTCTGGTCCTCATAGCCTTTCATTTTCCAAAGTTATTATGACCATTCTGTCACTGGTTATCATTTCACCCTGGCAAAGAGTGTGTGTAACTGTCAGGAAACATCATTCCATCTGTTATCAAAGTTTGACTCAAGAACTTCTATATCCAGGTCAGTTTGGAAATTATCACTTACTTTTCCTTTATTTCTAGCAAATTTGATGTATATAATTCTTGAGTGTTAGACCTGCTGAGTGTGTGGGCGTCTCTTTTTTTGTGTGTTGGAGTTTTGCATAAAATGCATTTTGTAAAATCTCATCTCAGTATCAGGTCTTGGAAGGAACCTCAACAATTGGCATCTAAGAAGAAAGTAAGCAGTTCTCAAATGAAAGAAGTGCTTCTATAGAACTGCCTGGCTTTTTCTTTCTCTTTCTCTTTCTCTTTCCCTTTGTCTTTTCCTTTCTCTTTTCATTTCCTTTCTCCTTTTTCTTCCCCCTTCTCTTTCTTTTCCTGAATTTTGGACAACACTTATCTCCTGGAGTATAACATCATTGCTAATTACTTTAGCCAACTATTTTGCAATGGCTTTGGAGGCTAAGTAGGGGGTGTTTTCTACTGATATAAAAGGAGGCCAGAGCTCAGGTTTTGGGTAATCTTAGCTGCCCTCCTTCTCTTTCCCACCTCCTCATTGCCCTGGAAATTTCCATTCTTGGTTATAAGTACACTGGCTTGTGGATGGCAGATGGCAGAAAGAATAGAGATGAGAAAAATTTCTTAAATAATGAATTTAAATGGCAGTGCAAAGACATCTTGAGAACAGCCTGAATTTGTGAACACAATAGCTCATCATATGGGTCCAATAAAACTATGTCAGGGTAGTGTGTGTGTATTCAGTGGGGGGACCCGAGGGAAGCCTTGATTACTTTGTGATAATAATGCTTCATTGAAACTGAATATGTTATCAGTGATGAACGATCTTTACTAGGAAGCTTTATCCAACCTCCAAGGCTGTGCTGATGACTCTATCAACTGGGGCAAACTCATTAGGTGACTATAAGCAGTCACTGCTTAGTATGAAAGAATTTTTAAAGACATGAGAAAATCTTTTCTGTATATTTTGTCTGGTTGTGAAAAATATGAATAGTTATACATACATATTTCAAAAAATAGTTATATATGTATGGAAATTCTGGAAAACTATTTTTTGATAATGAGACTGTGTAATTTTATTTTTCTCTTTGTTTTCCAGTCTTTTCTAAATGTGCATTATAATAGAAAAAAATAGAAATAACAAAGGACATCATCTGCTTAAGTACCTATTTCCATTATTAAACTGTGAACTCCTTGAAATAAAGTATCATATCTTAGTCATCTTTGTTTTCCCTGCATCTAGCACAGCTCTTGGCATAATTTAAGTATGCCATAAATATTTATGGAACTGCAATGTGCCTCTGGTAGTTTGATACTTTCTTTAAAAAGTTTTATAATTGTAAGCAAATGGTTTAGAAAATCTATGATAAATAGTCCAGCCCCAAACCCATCCCTTCATCCCCATCTCACTCGCTAAAGTCAACCTTTTAAAATGATTTTTTTGGGTATTTTTGCAGTTATCACCAAAATTTTGGACAACATAATTGTACTCCATTGCTTGACTCATTATTGTTAAGACAAACCTAAAAACAATCTGATATGAAAGGCAAGAACTTAGCTCACTATTAGCTAGCTTCTTAACTCATGCTTGATATATTATTTTTAGCTCATCTATTAAAATTTTACAAGGTAAAATTAAAATCAAAGATACATACAGAACAAGTTACACATTTGCTAAATGTGAAGCTCATTGAGATTTTTCAAAGTAAACATAGCTATAGAATCACTACCTCCCACCACCCGAGATAAATAAACCAAATATTAGTATCCTGGAGGCTTCCCTGTGTCCCCTTCACAATCACTAACCAATCCCTTCACCAAAGGTAACCACAGTTACCAATTATATTACAATTAATAAGCTTTGCCTATCTATAAACTTTCTCTAAACAAAATCATAAAATATGTACTTTTTTTCGTCTGGCTTCTCTGTTGAGCATTGAGTTTGTACGATTTATCCATAAGGTTCCATGACATAGTAGTTCATTTACTCTTATTAGTGTATAATGTTCTCTTGAATAGGTATTTCACAATTTACTTATTTATTCTCCTATTAATGGACATTCCCAGTTTGAGATTCTTACAAAAATGCTTTTATAGACATCTGTGTATATAACCTGAAGTATATATGTATGCATTTCCATTGGTTATATATTCAGAAGTGGAATTGTTGAATCACAGAGTAGAGGTATATTCAGATATGGTAGATGTTGACAAAGTTGTATCGACTGACATGCCCATCAACAGTATAGGAGAGGAGGTCAAGGTGTTTCATTATCCTCTCAAACACTTAGGGTTGCAGTGTTTTTAAACATATCATTTTGGTGAACAAAAATGGTATCTAATTTTGGTTTTAATTTGCATGTTACTGATTAATGACATTGAGCACCTTTGTATATGTTTGTCATCTACTCAGGTATTGGAAATCTACTTCTGAGGTGTTTTTTTCAAGCTTTTGCCCATTTCAGGGCGTTGATTGATTTTTTTCTTATTGATTTAACAGTTCTTTATATATAGTAGATGAGAGTCCTTTGTCAGATAAACATTTGAAAATATCTTCTCCTATCCTGTAGCTTCTCTCTTCACATTTATAATAAGGTCTTTTGATAAAAAAGAAGTTCTGCAGTTCAATTTATCATTCTTTTCCTTTAAGGCTAGGGCGTTTTGTGTCATGATTAGGAAACCTTTGCCAAATCAGACGTCATAAAAAATATTCTCCTATATTACCTTTTAGAAGTTTCATTGTTTTCCCTCCTAAATTTAGGTCAAAATCCACCTGGAATTAATTTTTATGTACAGTTTTAAGAGGGACCAAGGTTGTCTTCCAACAGGTAGATATACATTTGGCCCAACAACATTTACTGAAAGTAGCATCCGTATCACAAATGAAGTGACAACATGTGTGAGTCTGTTTCTGAACTCTCTTCTATTTCATTGGCCTATTGGTCTGTTATTGAACAAACACCATACACTCTTAATTACTGTAACTTTGAAATACATTTTGATATCTGTAGCACAAATCTTCCAATTTTGTTCTTTTTCATGATAGCTTTGACTGGTTTTAGCTCTTCTCCACTGATTTTTAGAAACAACTTGTCAATTTTCAAACACACCCACACACAAACACACATCTACTGGAATTTTTATTGGGATTGCATTGAGTCTTTAGGTTACTTTGAATACAACTGATATTTTTGCAACGTGAGTCCATTGTTAGCAACCATCACCATTGTACATCCTTCCATTATTTTCTCACTAATGTTTTGTAATTTTCTGTATAGAAGTCTTACAAATTTTTAGTTATAATTATTCATACATATTTAATTATTTGTAATCATTTTTTATATTTTATTTCTAATTTGTTACTAGTATATAGAAATGCAATTGATTTTTTGCATATTGATCTTGTGTCCATAAACATTATTGAATTCGCTCATTAATTCTGATATTCATCTGAAGCTATTAGAATTACTTATTTGTTTTGGGTGTTCTCAAAGTTCACATGGTTTTGTCTATGTATAATTTTTAGAAACTATTTTTGCTTTAAATCTCTCTGATTTATAGTTTTAAATATTCCTCCCATATATTAGTGGTTTGTACACTCCATAATTACAGATGCCTATATGGAAGTTTATATGGCATCTTAAATGAAAACTTTATATATACACATATATATAAAGTTTATGTTTATATACATATACACACACATATGTGTATATATATGTGTGTGTGTGTATATATGTATATTTATATATATATATAAAATAAAACCTGTACAACTCCTGTGGAAATTCTGGTGGGTTCCCAGAGGACTCCTAGGTGGATCCATTCAGCATTTTTTCACCCATTTCTTCTCACTGAGCAATATTATCTCTGTCCTTGATAATTATCTGGAGTTTTGCCAGTCCCCTTTCTCATTTAATATTGCTACTGCCGATTTTTCTAGTATATTGCATCCTTGCCATTAGCAATTTCATCAGCCTTGTGTGGGGGATTCCTAGTGAGATACCCTAGACTTAAGTCTATGGTAACACAAATTTTAGATTTTTCTTTTTAAAAATAAATTATTTGTTTATATTTATAAAAATTAAGTAAACAAAATAAATTTATAGTACATAATAAAATGAATATTTTAGAAGAAGTTTGCCAGGTCTTAGTGAGTCCTGGATTTAAACTCACTAAATCTCTTCTGCCTTATGTCTAAATTGGGGTATTAATAATCTCTATCTCACAGTATTATGAGAATTAAATGAACAAAGTGCTCAATAGTGTGAGCTCTTATGATTAGTTCTCAACATTTTACAATTAATTAGTTAATTAGGAAATATTAAAATGCAGGCATCATTTTTCCTAGCCAGGGTAATTTTCACAATAATATAAAATTATTTCCCCACAAACACAAATATGAAAAGCTTTAACTAATAAATTCAAGTCACTTAGATGGCATTTGACTTTCAAATGAATAGTTTCCTAAGTGCTGCTCGGGTCACCTAAATTTTTTAATGCCACTTACCAATGAGCACTGATTTTGCACCAGGACATTTGCTCAATAAACATTCAACAAACAAGAAACAAAGTGACATTATCAGATTATTTCCCACATCTTTTGGCCTTGTGATCAGTGTCGCACCTACCTACAGAGAACAGCAGGGAATAGTTTGTGCATTAACAATTTTTGATTCAGTACTACTCACAATACAGTAAGTGGATCAATAGATAATAAGCTCAATTATCTTATGGATTTTTTGAAATGTCAAATTAGTAGAATTAGGCTTTGAGCATTTCCCAAAATTATCATCAGGAGTAGAAGAAACATGGGCAAGTATTAAATAAGTATAGACTGTGTTTATCTGCAAAATGCTTGTGATTTTGCTTGGCTGAAATATGGGATATCACAGAGAATGGAAATTATAAAAGTCATAACGCTGGATATAAAACAGTCACCACAGGGCCTGGCACATTGTAGCTCTTCAGAAAATGAGAATTCCTGTTCTCTGCTCCCTAGGCTGTCACTGCTCTACATCAGCCAAGAGCTTGTTACAGTTGCTGCAGCCCCAGCATGCTACTTGAACAACTGTGCCATGGCACTGTCTTTCCAAGAAACTCTCACTGCTTCTGAACTTCCTAACTGATGTGGCACTTAGCATTTACTGCCTGGTATCATTAAAACTCTTTCCACATGTTTAAGCCCATCTCCTCCAAACTGGATCATAAGCTCTTTGAGGGAAGGTTTGTTTTTATACTTCTTTGATTTCACTGTATGCTGCGTGATCCATTGCTTAAGACCCACACACTCATATCACATCTCTCATGCAAGGAAGCCTGTAGGAGCCATCTCCTATTATAAGGTTCAAAACTCAAAGTGATATCTTGAATTAAGGTCATTAAGAGGACATGCTAAAACAGGCTTTGAGGGGAATATTGTGGGGCAGAAAATATTAACAGAACTTTAGCCTAAGAAGAATGCTTACTTGATCAAGGTAGACTTCAACATCTCCTAATACTCCATCACAGCAGTCTTATAGTTCAGTAAAGTTTCCCTTTACATATTTAAGGAGAGAAGTAAGTATGCACCTGGGTTCAAACCTTGCATCTTTACTAACTGGTTGTGTGGCATTGGGAAAGTTACTTTAATTCTCCATACTTTAGATCTGTCATCTGAAAAATGTGGATAATATCAATCTGCATCAGTTGGAAGATTTAGAAGAAAGAAATTACACTAAATATTTCAACAGCAGTAATTCAGTATAGAGAACTGGTTTTCCTGGGGTTGGAAGGCTGAATAAATAAAAAGGGAGCATAGAGGTAACATGGACATAGCAAATGTAGAAGGCTTAACCCTTAGGGCTGGATACACAAAGGGAAGAAGTGCAGTTATCAGAACATAGAAACACAGAGCAGGAGCTGTGTGGAGTGTCAGGGAGCCAGGGTTCTCTTTGGACAAGATAGTGCCCCTGACTGATGCAAGATTGTCTGAGGAGGTCCAATCAGTTTGGTTCTGAGAATGAAGGCTGAAACCACCTGCTGCTGCTGAGGTGCCCGCCTCCACTGAGGGAACAGCATGCACACCAGAGCAGGCAGTCCCTCCTCCCCTCCTCCTGCCTGCCAGTCTTCCCTTGGTTCCTCCCATAAGAGAAAGCAACTGAGGTCAGCTAGCGAAGAAGAATGAGTTTTGCAGAGTACAAACCCCAGCATTACAAAGCAAATAAATAAAGGTGGGTTTGGAGTCCAGAGAAAATAGTATAATAAATTGTCTGTTTGTTATATGAAATAATAATAGTGCCAACCCCAAAGATTTGCTTTAAAAATTATGGTATTATGTCAGAACACTTAGAACAGAGAATGGAACATAAAAACAACTAATAAATGTTCACTATTTATTATTGTATTGGTGTTGGCATATAATAGACATTCAGTAAGTATTTGGTTATACACTTGATATGGTTTGGCTGTGTCCCCAACCAAAATCTCACCTTGAATTGTAGCTCCCATAATCCCCACGTGTTGTGGGGAGGGACCCAGTGGGAGGTAGTTGAATCATGGTGGCAGGCTTTTCCTGTGCTGTTCTCCTGATAGTAAATAAGCCTTACAAGATCTTATGGTTTTATAAAGGGCAGTTCCCCTGCACGTGCTCTCTTGCCTGCCACCATGTGAAATGTGCTTGTGCTCTTCCATTGTCTTCCACCACTATTGTGAGGCCTCCCCAGCCATGTGGAACCGTGAATCCATTAAACCTCTTTTTCTTTATAAATTGCCCAGTCTTGGATATGTCTTCATTAGCAGTGTGAGAATTAACTAATACAATATTTGAATACATAAATGGTTGAATCAAGCCTGTTATTTTCCTTCCTTTCTATTGTGCCTCTATCTAGCTAGTTCTCTTCTTCTTGCTTAAAAAAATTACATGCAATAATTCATGTTATCAAAATTTTTTTAAAAAATTATGTAAAATGCTATATAGTGAAAAGTCTTCCCTTGAATCTGCTGACTCTTATTAAAATTTATTTATGTATTAACAAGCAATATACATATGTTGGTTCTCCTTAGCCTGCTTTCTACTGTTAGGGATTTCTCTACTCTTTTTAAGTTTGTTTCTTTCTGTCTTTGTCACTCACTCTTTTTCTTTCTTTCTTTTGCCTGCCTGCCTGCCTTCCATCCTTTATCTCTCTCCCTCTCCTCCCTCTGTCTCTTTTTGTTTTTTCTCTCCACTTTTTCTTCCTTCCCTTCAGTTCCTTTTGCTTTCCTTCTTTTTATCCTTTATGACTCATTATATTCTTTGCAATATCTATTCCCTTTTTTCTCTTCAATTTTATCTTTGTGCATAAGATGGCTTTGCTTTTTTCTTTTACGTCTTTGCTTAGCTATTTTAGCTTATCTTTAACCTCTGTTATTATATCTTTTCTAAGATACTTTTTGTTTGTGGTCTTCTTTAATAACAGCAATAACTTTATTAATATATTTTGAATTATTGTCTGTTGTTAGCATGATCTCTGCAAATATGAATGGTCCGTGTGATTCTTTGTGAGTTGAGCCTTCTCTACTTCTCCACCAAACTTGCTCACTTGGTGCTCTTACTTGCAATAAAGGAGGGTGATAGCTTTTGCACTTTGGATCATGAACCTCATACTTAGGAAGTGTATTTTTGTTGATGCTTTCTGAGATTTGACATGCTAGACCCTCTTGTCAAGTCTTCCCATCTCTCCTCACGTTTGCCATCTATGAGTCTCAGTTTTTGCAGACTTTATGTATATTTATGAATCATAGCTGTCTCTTAGTTAAACAGAATATTGAACTTACTGGCTTTAAAAAATATGCTTAATGCTTTAAAAATTTGATTTCTTTGAAGAGAAATATAAAATGCAGATTATTTCATTATGTTCATATAAGAAATATTTGTTCCTGTTTTTGATTGTCATAAAATTCTCTAGAGAGCATTTTGGGCAAATTTCCTAATTTTTTAATGTTTTGAGCTTTCCAAAGTAAGTGTATTTGGGGCTTTCATTCCAGGAGTGGGGATAGATGTTTGCTGAATCAACCACCCTCTTTCATTGAGTCTTATAAAATGAGTTGCCTAGGGAGAGAAGTGCGAAGACTGAAAATACAATTCACATCTAAATGAAATTTGTTTTGTTATTGGGAGAAGTACTGCTGGATCTTACTAATACCCTTGCTTTATAGAAAGCAATGATATTTATGGTCATATAACATTACATCAGAGATAGAAAGAACCACAGTTGCATCTTGCCTAATACCTCATTTGAAAGATGAAGAAACTGAGTGAAGAGTCTGAAACAGACTTGATCCATAGTTTCAAGGCCACAATGTGGACCAGAAAGAGGGCATATGTAAAAGTAAGTTGGAGGATCTAGGAAAATTCAGGTTCTAAGCCACTGTCCAGAGTACATATCCTAGTGGGCAGGGCAAATGTGTATTATAAGTTTGCCTACATAGCCACCTCTTACTTCATCTTACCTTTGCAGGATAAAACAGTAAGCTGGATGAGGTAATGATTCTACATAAGAGGAGCCCCACGTGTTAATCTTGCTCCATTCTTCTTAAATGCATGCTCTTGTGTGTTAATCTCTCAAGTCCTTTTTTACATGGAACCACAGAGACAACTACAGCTTTGCATCTAGACTGTCTAATTAGTGCTTTTAGAATCTTCCAGTGTTAATCAGTTTATCTGTTTTGTATTTCAGGACAGAACAAACAGGCAGTGACAGTTAGGTAGGCATAGTTCCTCTTCTTAGTATAAAAGAAGATGCTCTCTTACCACCAATCAGCATGGTGCAGATGGAGAAGATCTTTTCTGCATCTGTATTAGCAGAGACGTTCCCAAAACCCACGCTGGTGAGGCTGCTCAGCGTGAAGTACAGAGCGGCAATATAGGCACTTCGGATCGACGGGCCCCCCAAGGTATTGTTGCCATAGTATGGAGATTCCAGTCTCTTTCCCAACTCATGAAGCCAACCTGCAAAGGAGGAAATAAAGCAAATGAGAGAAGAAAAAGTAAAGTCTCAGTATTAACACATGGGAGTAATGATAAATGAACATTTGGGGAGGTAATAATTTGCTCAGAGGAAGAAGAAGGTAAAAAGGAAATTAAAGGCAAGCTATTAGATTTCATTCTTTAAAAGTGAAAATATAATTTTACTCATGCTGTTCTCTATAATACACACAGCATATAAATATGAATTCCAGAGTGGATTGATGGTCAAAGCTAAACAAGTTACTCTAATGCAAGAAACAAACTGCAGGGATGGCTACTCTCAGAAACAGTGTTGTTTATTTCACTTGCCCTGTTAAGCTCATCTCATTTGGAATTATAAGAAGAAACAAAGAAATTGAGTAAATATTTCAAAACCCAATGTGATGATAAGTTACAACAGCCATAAGTCTAGATGTCAGAGGTGAGAAGTCTAGAAGTCTGGGTGAGATAGACTTTATTTCCATTCTGTAAAACTCTTCCCCTTTGTATTCACTTGGGCAGGTATCCAGTTGTTTTACAAATCTCAGCTCATGTTACTTTACTCAGGAAGCCTTCTTTGCAGTCCCACTTCGAAATTAGGGTTGGAAGGGGGAAAACTTGCACAAGTAATGAATACTTGTAATCTATTAGAATTGAAAGCCCCTCTACAAACTGTTTTATGATACTATGTATATATGTGTCAAAATTTATCAAATTAAATGCTTTATAAATATGTATAGTTAATTGTATATTAATTGTGCTGTCAGAAAGCTGTAAACAACCTATATTAATAAACATGAGAAGATAGCAAGTATAAGCTTAATAATATTATCTAGAATTTAAACACAACACAAAAATCACTTTAAAATTCTTTATTGAAAATATTTGTCCCTTAAGATTTTATATTTTATAATTCTTTCTCTATGTGTGTGTTGCAACAAGCAATAACAATGCAGCTCAACTCATAAGATTCATAAGGATTTTTGTAATGGATACTAACTACTACTTTCTAATAAACACTTGATTGAATGACTGCTCAAGAAGAGATGAAAAACCATTACACTCTTAAGCAGTAATAATATTATCATTATCAACTAAGCTTATATATGATAAAACTGTGCTAGGTAATTAAAATGCAAATTTGAAGCAGCTGGGAATTCCTTGAGACCAAGGAGAAGTGCTTAAGGGCAAGTACTGTGCCTTATTCCTTCTGTGTTGCTACAGAGTGTTTTTCAACCTTTAGCTTGCATCAGAAACACCTAGAGGGCTTGCTAAAGAGGGTCCGAACCAAGAATTTATTTGGTTGTTTTGGTCCTGTATTCTCTGAATGAAATCACTTTGCATATCATTTACTTTCCTTAATAAAATAGGATAAAAATTTGTATTGGAATGCACAGGTGATATGCTTACTCAATGTCTGTTCATTTACACATGTGTGAGATGGTGTGTCTCTGAAGTGTTTCAGGGAGCAACACACAGACAAACAACTGACCTAATTTTGTTGATATCTCTTTTCTGTCTGGCCAACTGTTTTGTCTATTTTGAGAAACATCTCATTCTTTAAAAGGATTGCCCTAAACTGTGTTACAGCTGATGAAGCAGAAGCAATAATGATGATGAAAAAAACTGGTAACACAGAAAGGAGGTAACATCCACAAATCCGAGGATTGGCTATGTGGGCCAAATAAAACTTTTTCACAGAATGGCTCTTCTGAAATGACAGTACATGTTCCACGGTAACAAGACAACATGTGACTGTACTGTTACAGAAGATGCTATTTAACCAATTTGGAATCCAATCATTTTTTTATGCTGGAGAAACTCATGTCTCTAAAGGAAAGGATGTCCTAGGACAGCCTGTTTCTGCTCAAATTTTTTTTTTCCTAAAGAACATTTTGAATGAAAAAACATACACAACATAAAGTAGAATCTAAATATACTGAGGACACTGACTTATGATAAAAACAAAAGGTATCATAAAATAATCTCATAATTAGTAAAATAGATTCCATGAATACAATAGGTTTATGAAATAAATAATCAATTTCAAAGACAGAATGACTTCACAGTCATTCCTAGAAGAGTTTATCATTAGCATGATAATTCAGTTGATGTATTTTTCGATTGCATAGTTACCATGGACCCAGTATTTTGCTTAATTACATACTTTTAACTCTAAATAGGAGTTTATTATTTTACTCTTTAGATTTCCTACAATAATATACTTTGGTTTACTATTTATATGTGTGCATTAACAATGTGTACAGGTGTGATCTGTTTTATACAACAGATGTGTTCCTAAAAACTTTGATTTATGTTAGCATTTGGTAAATTAACATGTTTTAGGTTCAATATAAGGAATGCGAGCAAGTTATTTAATGAAAAACTATGGAGAATCTCTGTGGTTATATAAAACACTTCAGTAATATGAAAAACCACCTAGTAAAAGATAAGCTTGTTAAATCAGATTTAGATGTTTGCTAAACGATATGTGTGTGGAGAGAAAGGGTAGAAATAATCAGCAAGTACTTAATCACACCTATAATTCAAAATGGTGTTCTACTTAATATGGTATGAATGAGCCATGTTGTAAAAGAAGTTAGCTAGCAGCAAGAATGGAGCCCATGTGAGGGCTTCCTTGTTAGCAGGTTAGCACATGGTCAACATTTTATTAAGTGCTACCTGTGCTCTAGATACTCTGCGAAAATGGTACATCCCATCTCATTTACGTGTACTAACCCTATGGAATAGGTACAATTACAGCCCACATTTTGGTTCGTTATTTCATTAATAATCACAAAGACTTAGGAATTGTTATCTCTACTTTAAAGATGTGAAAAATAAGGCTCAGGGACATTAAGTAACTTGTTCAAAGTGGCATTATCAGAATTTTAACCCAGAAGTAATCATTTTGTTGTATTTTTTTCCTCCAGTGGTCTTTTGGGCATATTTTGATTCTTTTTTTCTTCAGTTTTATTGGGGTATAATTGATAAACAAAAATTGTATATATTTATGGTATACAACATGATGTTTCGATATACATATACGTTATGAAATGATTACCACAATCAAGCCCAGTAACATATCCATGAACTCACATTGTTGTCTTTTTGTGTGTGTGTGTGGTGAGAACATTTAAGATTTATTCTTAGCAGTTTTCAAGTTTTAAATACATTATTAACCATACAAGAGTTCATTTGTATAGTTATCTCGTGATGCTGTACAAAAGATCATTTCCAATTATCATTTTAAATTGTGCTGTGTTGAGATCATTATTAAATAGGTTTGCACTTCCCACTTTAGTGGGAAAATGTGTCCCAAAAGCATAACATCATACCAGAGAAAATAGAATTATCCAAACACAATCTACAATATAAACATAGTATGCCTTGATATTTAGAATCTGGATATTACTTTAACAGTAATTAAGAAGTGTCAAATGCAAATTCCAAGCATAAAAAAATACTCTTACTAACATTTGTTTCCCCCCTCTCCACAATTCTGAAGGTCCACTTAATCATCCTCGTGGACTTCATTAGGATGAGAGGTGGAAAAGCACTGTGATTTTTGTGATGCAAAAGGTGGCAAGCAGTTTGCTGGGAGAGGCAGAGCACTGGAAGAAAATGATTATGATGGGGCATAACATGGGAGCTTCTCCACCCCCTTCAGCCTCCTAGGCAAGGGCCTGAAGCATGGGACTACTCAGCTGCAGAAGTGACTGAGAGATATCAGGATAAGTTTCAGAAGTCTGAGTGTCTTTATGTCTGTGTAAGGGAGATGAGGGTGGGGTGGTTATTGGTGAAGTATTTGTTACTGCTACAAATACTTAATAAGAGCAAATATCAGAGAAAAGCTTGAGATTTCATCTCTATTGCTCTTAAAATATCTATACTTCATAGCATTGATTACAAACATCATTGATAAGAAACATACTTACATATCTGTCTCTGTGCTTCAAGGTTAATCTAGTGCCCATGACTATAATTTTTGGGGTGTTTTTGTTGTTGTTTTGCTTTAAAAACACTTTTTGTTTTGAGATAAGTTTAGATTTACACAAAAGTTCAAAGTGTACAGAGAGCACCTGTGTACCCCACATCTTTCACCTAGTTTCCTCCAGTGGTGATATCTTATGTTATCAAGCACATTTGTAAAAACTATAAAATTAACATTGGTACATTACTATTAACTAAACTATAAATTTTTCACATTTTAATTTAAGAAATAGAGCCAAAGAGGTTAGAGACTTAGTTCCCAAAGCTCACTCTCAACCCTTCACCCCTTTTCCATTTTATGAGATGTGATCAAGGATAAGGCTAGAATGGCACAAAGCCGTAACGGCATTTAGTGTTATTTGTTGATTTACTCAGAAGGCATCAGTAAATTTAGGTCCCAGTTTGACAGGAAAGCAGTTACGACTTGGAATTCCCACTAATGTCAGTCTGATTCTCACAAAATAAGAAGTGTCTTACATTTCTGAATTAGTACAATCTACTTTTGAGATAAACACCTGAAACAAAAGTAATTAATCATAAAATAGTAAAGACTGGACTTTGAGTCAGGAAATTGGGGTCCTATGCTTGGTCTTGCTACTAATTGAGTAGCTCTGTGATCCTTCATAGAATTCAGTTTTTTAAACTTAAATATGAAGTGATTGGATTGAATAATCTCTAGGTTCGCTTTCACATCTAAGATTTTGTGAAATAATATTCTGTAATGCTTCTTCACAAATGATTGACATTTTTTAAAAGCAAAACTCTGTGTAAAAAGTATGACTTTTTGAATTTATCTTTCATTTGTTTTAATTCTTTGAGGGAAGATCCATCAGCAAATATTGATGGGATAAAGATGGCAGATTTTCACATTCTCATGTATGTATCACTTGTGCTCTATTTCCATTGCTATACAACCTTCCAGGGCAAGCAATATTATATACTGTTAGTACTGTCACAAAAATGTGCCACTTGTATTAAACTAGTCCAGAGGTTGCCAGTTCATAATAGTCTACATAAAAGTTGAAAAGTTTGTACGATAGGAAGTTTTTGAACATTGATTACTAAAGTATAGCATTTCACTTAAGCAATGATGAATTGAAAGATTGTACAGTATCGTAAATTGCCAAAATAGGGCATCATCATGTGTACAAAAAAACCCCCCAAAAAAAACAAAAGACAAGCAAACAAAAAAACCCTAAACAATCTGAAGCCACAGTTGAGCAGCTACTGTAGAGCTCTCTGGTTGATTCTAAGAAGAGAAAGAACAGGCCATCTGTTTCCAGCTAACTGGGGCACTTCCAAATGCCTCTTAAATCTCAGCTAATAATAGAAAAAAGCATAACAAAGATTAGGCTCATGGTTAAGTTGGCAGAACATAAAACTATGAACTGTTGCATTTAACTTTCCTACATAAAATACTTACAATTCACAATGCTTTCAGATCTGTTCCCCAACATGGGCATTTATTTCATGGGTAGTTGCTCTAGTGTTTCTCGTGGCTTAAATAGGTTTGTGGGACATACATTTGTGTCTGAGCTCAGAGTATCATTTACAAATGAAACTGTTTACTAAATAAGAATTTTTTAACTGAAAGTACTCATCACTTGCATTACATCAGGACAAAAACATGTTTTAGGAAGACAATTTGGGATAAAAATAATTAAGTCCAGGCAAATTATTTTATTATTGATATGCTAAAGTTCACATTAATAATCTGCCCCAAATTTCCTTATTGTCCTCTCTTTTTTCTCAAAGTTTCAGGCTGGTGAAAAGCTAGAGAGGAAAAATGAAGTGACAGGTCTCGTCTCAAATTTGCACATCATTTCTCAACTGTTTTTGGTAGTTTCCTGGCAGCCATTTAACTTAAAAGGATAGGGTGTTGTCATCTATTGAAAAGGAATCTCAAGTTTCCCTGGTTTGCAAAACTTCAAAAGAAAATTCTAATCACGTTTTTTTCCAAAAATATTGGAGGGGGATGCATTTTCTAACATCTGAATCATAAAAGTACATGTAAAATAAATTAGACCATATAATATGCTTGAATATTGTATACAAATAACCTGTTAAAGAGTTCACTGGGTTTTGTTTACCTTAGCTTTGTATTGAAACTGTTCTACCAAGAGCAAACAAATCCCAAAACTAGCAGTTAAAAAATAACAAAAATCAGAGGCGAACTGAAGGAGTAGAGACACGAAAAACCCTTCAAAAGATCAACAAATCCCAGAGCTGGTTTTTTGAAAAAATTAATAAAATAGACCACTAGCTAGATTAATAAAGAAGAAAAGAGAGAAGATTCAAATAAACATAATCAGAAATTATAAGGGTGATATTACCACTGACCCCACGAAAAAACAAAGAACCATGAGAGAATGTTATAAACACCTCTGTGCACATAAACTAGAATATCTAGAAGAAATGGATAAATTCCTGGGTACATACACCTTCCCAAGGTTGAGCCAGAAAGAAATTGAATCCCTGAACAGGTGAATAACTGGCTTTGAAATTGAGGCAGCAATAAATAGCCTGCCAAACAAAAAACAAAACAAAACAAACAAACAAACCCATGACCACACAGATTTCTGGCTGAAGTCTACCAGATGTACAAAGAAGAGCTGGTACCATTACTACTGAACTATTCCAAAAAACCAAAAAGGAGGGAAGAAGGGACTACTTCCTAAGGAGGCCAGCATTATCCTGATTCCAAAACCTGGCAGAGGTAAAACAAAGAGGAAACTTCAAGTCAATATCCTTGATGAACATCGATGCAAAAACTCTCAACAAAATACTAGCAGACTGCATCCAGCAGCACATCAAAAAGCTTATCCATCACAATCAAGTAGGCTTCACGCCAGAAATGCAAGGTTGGTTCAACATACACAAATCAATAAATGTGATGCATCACGTAAACAGAACTAAAGACAAAAACCAGACGATTATCTCAATAGATGCAGAGAAGTCTTTTGATAAATATCATCATCCTTTCATGTTAAAAACTCTGAATAAACTAAGTATTGAAGGAACATACCTCAAAATAATAAGAGCCATATGTGAAAAACCCACAGCCAACATCAGGCTGAATGGGCAAAAGCTGGAACCATTCCCCTTGAAAACTGCAAAAGACAAGGATGCCCTCTCTCACCACTCCTATTCAACATATTATTGGAAGTTCTGGCCAGGGCAATCAGGCAAGAGAAAGAAATGAAGCGTATTCAAATAGAAAGAGAGGAAGTCAAACTGTCTGTGTTTGCAGATGATATGATTCTATATCTAGAAAACCCCATTGTCTCAGGCCAAAAGCTTCTTAAGCTGATACACAACTTCAGCAAAGCCTCAGGATACAAAATCAATGTGCAAAAGTCCCTAGCATTTCTATATATCAACAATGGTCAAGCAGAGAGTCAAATCGCAAGCAAACTCCCATTCACAGTTGCCAAAAAAAGCAATAAAATACCTAGGAATACAGCTAACTAGAGAGATGAAAGAGTTCTATTAAGAGAACTACAAAACACTGCTCAAGAAAATCAGAGATGACGGAAACAAATGGAAAACATTCTATGCTCATGCATAGAAGGAATTAATATTATTAAAATGGCCATATTGCCCAAAACAATTTATAGATTCAATGCTATTCCTATTAAACTACCATTGGCATTCTTCACAAAACTAGAAGAAAACTATTTTTAAATTCATATGGAACCAAAAAAGGGCCTGAATAGCCAAGACAATCCTAAGCAAAACAAATAAAAACAAAAACAAAAAAAAACAAAGCTGGAGGCATCATGCTACCCAACTTATACTACCAGGCTACAGTAACCAAAAGAGCACGGCACTAGTACAAGAATAGGCACACAGACAAATGGAACAGAATAGGGAATCCAGAAATAAGACCACACACCTACAACTATCTAATCTTTGACAAACAAGACAAAAACAAGCAATGGGGAAAGGATTCCTTATTTAATAAATGGTGCTGGGATAACAGACTAGCCATATACACAAGATTGAAATGGTACCGCTTCCTTACACCATATACAAAGTGAACTCAAGATGGATTAAAGACAGAAATACCATTGGACCCAACAATCCCATTACTGGGTATATACCCAGAGGAATATAAGTAATTCTATTATAAAGACACATGCATGCATACATTCATTGCAGCACTATTCACAAGAGCAAAGACATGGAATCAACCTAAATGTCCATTAATGACAGACTGGATAACGAAAATGTAGTAGATATACACCATTAAATACTATGCAGCCATAAAAAAACAAGATCAAGTCTTGTGGGAACACGGATGGAGCTGGAGGCTATTATCTTTAGCAAACTAACGCAGGAAAAGAAAACCAAATGCTGCATGTTCTCACAACTGGGAGCTAAATGATGAGAACACATGGACACAGGAGAACACCACACACTGGGGCCTTTCAGAGGGCAGAGGGTAGGAGGAGGGAGAGGATCAGAAAAATCAACTAATGGGTACTAGGCTTAATACCTGGGTGATGAAATAATCTGTACAAAAACTCGCATGAAACAAGTTTACCTATGTAACAAACCTGGGTTTGTACCTCCAAACTTAAAAGTTAAAAAAAAGAAACTGTTCTAAAGGAGTTTTCTTCATGTTTCTAGGAAATGTCCAAGTCTCAAAAGGAAACACCAATTTTGAGGTGTCAGCCTTTGTTAGAAGAGTGGATTCCGGCCGGGCGCGGTGGCTCACGCCTGTAATCCCAGCACTTTGGGAGGCCGAGGCGGGCGGATCACGAGGTCAGGAGATGGAGACCATCATGGCTAACATGGTGAAACCCTGTCTCTACTAAAAATACAAAAAAATTAGCCGGATGTAGTGGCGGGCACCTGTAGTCCCAGCTACTCCGGAGGCTGAGGCAGGAGAATGCCGTGAACCCGGAAGGCGGAGCTTGCAGTGAGCCGAGATCGCGCCACTGCACTCCAGGCTTGGTGACAGAGCGAGGACTCTTGTCTCCAAAAAAAAAAAAAAAAAAAAAAAAAAGAGTGGATTCTGACTCATATGCATTTAAAAACATATAAGTAACTTTGTTTCATGGCTTGATAGGTGTGAAAAACAATAAGTAGTGGGAGTTTGCCTGAACATTCCAAAATAAGTTTTCAGCCAGCGTCTGGTGAAGCGATTGGCCTTGAAGTAAACACAGGGCAATGACGTTGTCTGAGAGAGACCTAAAGGGGGGCACAGTCATTTTGAAAAATAAGAAGTAGATAGAATGCAGAGAGACAACACACAGGAGAACAAGAAACACAGCGAAATGCAGAAGAGAAACATGAGTAGAGAGAAATGTGTCAGATGCCGGTGATGGAGTAAACCTTGATAACCCAGAAGGCAAGCAATGCAGCATATAAAAGTGCATACGCGATCTTGTCTTGGAATTATGTTGCCTCACTTTTTTATGTCTTAGTTCTGCCTCTTAGTGGTTATGTAATGTAAGTTTACTTATTCTTTTTCTGTCAGTCTTCTTCTCACTAAAATGGAGAACACAATAGTAACTCACTTCATAGGCTGTTGTGAGGTTAAGTGACATGATTCACGTAAAGCGCTTAGCAGAATGCAGTATTACATGTAGCAAGCATTCAATATAAGGCTTTTACTATTGCTGGTGCTGTTTTTTTAAATATGGGATTTCTGTTTTACTGAAAATTATGCAGACTTCAAAAATCCTTCATTATTGAAAACCTATATATTAATTCAGCATCCCAGTTCCGTAAGTAGAAAATAATGTACACAATTGCATCATTCTCAGAAATCAAAGATCTTGCAACATTCTTATTTACAAATGACACTTTCCATTATGAGGTACCGAAGTCATTAAATGGTTAAGACACAGACTCAGAATATTTTCTGGCATTGATTTGTTTTGTTGTTACTTGATTCCCTATGATAAAAATAGTATGTTGTAATGATCTTTTTTCTGTGTTTGTCTAGGAGACCATGGTCTGATGTGCTAAGTACTTTATATACTATCTAATTTAATCCTACTATGTATTACAATCTGAAATGTTGATATTAAAATATTGGTACTTAAGAAGGTTAAAGCAAAACAACAAAGGGTGGACATCTGTTAGGGAGAAGGACCAGGTTTTGAATCTGGGTTTGTCTGAATTGAAAGTCATTACACTTTTTAATATGCTTCTATCTCCTGATCCTTCTTGTTAGTCAAGGTTTTGATATTAATGAACTTCTGACTGACTTCATCTCTTTCATAGAAATAGCTACCCCAGTAGATTTTTCTCTGTAAGTGCTCTCTCCTTCCACCTGCAAATAGGAATTTCTCAGGTTGTCTACTGTCTACTTACTGTCTCCATCATCTAGGACGTGTGGTCTGCAGACCTTGCATTATTTTTATATTGATCATGAAAACTTTTCTGAACACTTCCCCAGCCCTTCTCCCAGAAACCCTAGCTATTACTCCAAAGGCAGTTGGTGGGAGGGGTTTTAATGTTCTGTGTATGCAAAGATTTTGGTAACATAAGACCTTTTTGGAACCACAGACTGAACTCTCAGCAACATCCCAATGACTCATTTTCTAGGAATAGAACTCTTTGGTTACTGTCTTGTGAACTTTGCAAGATATTGATATAGGTCATACCTATGCTGTGAAGAAATTTATAACCTCATAGCTTTTGTTTATAAGAACCCATTTTTCTATGTAATTTCTTGGAACTTATAAAAAATATTGAATAAACTAAGAACTTCAAATCACATTTTAACCATACCATTCATTGGCATTTGACTTCTAATTTCACTTACAGACACCAACTATCTGTTTAGAAATCCATTATTTGGCAACTATAATGCCTTTTCAATGGATTTGAAACAGTGGAAAGAAGGACAAAAAGTGGTTTAGCCTCCAGCATGGCACACAAAAGCTGGTTTAATTCACATTATAACCAAACTACAGTATCTAGTTTTAAATAGATAAACCTAACTAGAATTGACAGTGGTTTTTTTAAAAGCACTGTCAGAACAATGGGCCAATATCCTTTAAACATTGAAGGATATGACTAGTCGATATCTAGATCTAACTCCCCATCTTCTTTTGAAGATAGAGGCTGCTTACCCCTTTTGCATTAATTTTTATGTTTCTGTTCCTGGCCATGTCCATTGGTACCCTTTGGTGCTTTGCCCTGTGACACTTATGATATTATATGAGATGAGACATTTTATTAATCAAAACCATGGATAAATCTGAATCACCAACTCAACACAAAAGGGAAAGGAAAGGAGGTTTGAGAAAGGAGAAAGATACACATTGCATGAAGAAGGAAATATTTATTGACTAAAGAGCAAACGTATAGAATGAAAGGGACAAATGCCAAAGGATAAAGAACAATGATATTTTTGATTCAAAAGTAGGCAAAAGTGGAAAGAAGAACAGGACTAAAGTGGCTGATTGCTAAGAAGCAAAGTCACAGTTTTGGGTGTTCAACCTCTCCTATTGTTTAAGACCGTATCATATCACTTGGTCATGAGGCTAACAGCAAACTCAGCGGCTATCCACTCTAATATTTAAACTCACAACATTCAGTCAAATGACACCTAGCCCCTGGCCATCTATGGCAAAACAAAATTTACTTCATATCTTGTATGCCACATCAATTTTAGGACAATTCTGATTATCAGAAAGTTATTTCTAGTGCAGAGCACATCAGGGGCCCCAATATGCATATCTATCTGAGTGGTTTGGGGATATCAAAACCATACAAGCCAACAGAAATTTAATTTACACACTTGCCTAAGTCTTGACCTACTAATTTGGAAAAATGTCTTCATTATATGTCATTGGGTGGTATTTTCAAGAAACTCCAATTTTGAGAAGCATGTTTTAATTTCCATGTGGCAAGTTTTACAGGTGTCCTTCAGGGACAGAGCTCTCCACCTTTGGCCAGGTACCAGAAGTGGCAAGAGGCATAGCAACAATGGGAAAAGGGAAGTCCAAGAACACCAGAGCACAGCAGGAGCATAGCCCAGCAGGACCAAGGGAGTAGCATCAGGGATTCTCAGGGAGATGCTAAAAAGCCAGGGCTCTGGCTATCCCAGGCCTTGGTGGAAGGCAGAGTTTGGCTCCAGTTTCCACAAGAGCTAAGAATCCAGGAACACATGATTCTCTGCGTTGTCACAGCCCTGACACATTTAAAGTCTAGTGTTGAGTCCAAATCTGCCTCTGTTGCTTCTCCACTCTCTGGCCCTATTTCTATTCTCTTAAGTAATATTACAGCAATTTTCAATGTTTAAAAATACAATTGTCAACACCTCAGCTCCAACCTCTTCCCTCTATGTGGTAGTCTTTTTCAAGGTCATATGACACCACTTCCTGTGCCTGCTTTTCCTTTTCTGAACATTCTGCAGATTGTCAAAGTCTATCTTCGATATTTTGTACTAGAACTGAACTGAATACAGTTAATGTTTTTTCTTCGTTCGTTTTGTTTTTGCCAGCAATTGCCCCTTCATGACAAGATTTGATTCCTAAATGTTCTGTTCTCACATCCTGTTCCCAGTCAAGTTTACCTTCAGACCAGTTCCCTTTGCATTTCCTTCCACTACTACTGAAGGGGAGACTTTCCTTGAACCAGGGGACTAAAACATTACCTTCATTGAGTCCATCTCTCCGACAGTCTCTAGCCCTTAATTAGCTAATTAAAAATTCTCTCAATTAAAAAATATTTAGTGAACATGCACAATGTTCAGGTTGTTGTGTGAAATATAAAAATAAGGGAGAAAGGTCTTTATTATCTTGCAGTCTATTGGGGAAACTCTAATACAAGTGTAAATAAGGTGATACTAAGTCCTCCTAGTTGGAGCAACCAGAAAGAGTTTAAAGAAGGAGGAAAATATTCAAACTGTACTGTACAGGATGAGTAGAGTTGGATGAACAGAGATGGAGAAAAAGTACATTTAGGACAGTTCAAAGCACATGAATAATAATTACTAGGCCAGGTAAATATAAGGCATTTATGGAGAAAAATTCATGTGAATTGGCTCAAGTTAAGGGTACAGAACGGGAAGTCATGTGAAGTATATTTAACTTACAAGTTTTCAAACTTTAAATGTTTTCCTTTTCTTTCAAGGTATCAAAATCAGAAACAAAAGAAAAGCTGGGTTTGGACTGATATTTAATATAATGGCTAACTCATTCTCTTCCTCTGTGTGTGTGTGTGTAACAGGGAAACCACAAATGACGTGGGGATGGGTTTTGTATAATTCTTCCTAGAATCAGGGAGTTCGTTCAACTTTATTTTGAAATACTCATAATGCAAAAATTAATGCACATTTAAAATTTTAGAAATAATTTTAAGAGACTTTTTTATATGTTTGTTGGCCATTTGTATATCTTCTTTTGAGAACGGTCTATTCATGTCCTTTGCCCACTTTTTTATAGGATTATTTTTTCTTGCTGATTTGCCTGAGTTCCTTGTAGATTCTGAATATTAGTCCTTTGTCAGATGCATAGTTAGAGAATGTTTTCTCTCACTCTGTGGGTCATCGGTTTACTCTTCTGATCATTTCCTCCTTTTTAGTTTAATGAGGTCTAATCTATTTATTTTTTGTTTTGTTGTGTTTGCTTTTGAGTTCTTGGTCATGAACTCTTTGCCTAAGCCAATGTCTAGACGAGTTTTTCTGATGTTATATTATAGAATTTTTATGGTTTCAGGTCTTAGATTTAAGTCTTTGATCCATCTTGAGTTGATTTTTGTATAAGGTGAGAGATGAGGATCCAGTTTCCTTCTTCCACATGTGGCTTGCCAATTATCCCAGCACCATTTGTTGAATAGGTTGTTCTTTCCCCACTTTGTATTTTTGTTTGCTTTGTTGAAGATCAGTTGGTTGTAAGTATTTGGGTTTATTTCTGGGATCTCAATTCTGTTCCATGGTCTGTGTGCCTATTTTTATACCAGTACCATGCTGTTTTGGTATCTATAGCCTGTTGTATAGCCTTGTAGTATATCAGGTAATGTGATACCTTCAGATTTGTTCTTTTTGCTCAGTCTTGTGTTGGCTATGGAAACTTTTTGGTTCCATATGAATTTTAGAATTGTTTTTTCTAGTTCTTTGAAGAATAATGATGGTATGTTGATGGGAACTGCACTGAATCTGTAGACTGCCTTTGGCAATATGGTCATTTTCCTAATATTGATTTTATAATGAGATACCACCTTACTCCTGCAAAAATGGCCATAATTAAAAAATCAAAAATTAATAGATGCTGGCACAAATGTCATGAAAAGGGACTACTTTTACACTGCTGGTGGGAATGTAAACTAGTAAAACCACTATGGAAAACAGTATGGAGATTCCTTAAAGAACTAAAAGTAGAACTACCATTTGATCCAGGAATCCCACTACTGCGTATCTACTCAGAGGAAAAGAAGTCATTATACGAAAAAGACACTTGCACACAAATGTTTACAGCAGCACAATTCGCAATTGAAAAATATGAAACCAGCCTAAATGCCCATTAACCAATGCGTGGATACAGAAAATGTGACACACACACACACACACACAATGGAATATTACTTAACCACACAAAGCAATGAAATAATGGCATTTGCAGCAACCTGGATGGAATTGGAGACCACTACTCTAAATGAAGTAACTCAGGAATGGAAAATGAAATACTGTATGTTCTCACTTATAAGTGAGAGCTGAGCTATGAGGATGCAAAGGCATAAGAATGATATAATGGACTCAGGGGGAAGGGTGGAAGGAGGGTGAGGGATAAAAGACTACACAATAGGTATGCTGTACACTTCTTGGTGACAGATGCCCCCAAATCTCAGAAATCACTACTAAAGAACTTATTCATGCAACCAAAATTCAACTTTCCCCCAGAAACTATTGAAATACAATAAAAATATAAATAAAAAGAAATAATTTTAAGAGAAATAATAAGGCAAAAGATACCGAGGCTTTGAGAAACTGCAGTAGAAACCTCTTGGAATTTATTTTAGGATTTATCTTAGGGTCATGCAGTCTGACCCAACAAATGTACAATCATGAGAGAAGCTTTTCAGTCTTTAGAAAAGATTATACTCAAGATTTCAGGTTGCTGGCATTCAATCCTTATGCTGGTGTTGAGATAATAATTTCTAATCATTGTGGATCATCATCACTATGATGTAACAATTATAAATATTGTTAAGGATCTTTCAGAATATTGCAAAATTCTTTCACCTGCAGTGATTTCATTTAGAGTATTTTTATCCCCTTTCACTTTTCAGTAAACTAGGTTATCCGTTTTTCATTTCAATTACTTAAACTGATCAATCTCTTGGCCCTATCTTCCTTAGACTTCCCACCCCACTGGAGGTCTCAACACACTTTAATTTCTGGTTATCTGCCTATAGGTAATACTAGGCCGACTGCTTTGTGAACATAGGGATTATGGTCTTTCTTATATACTTGATTCCCAAGCCTAGCTCAGGATGAGGCACCTAATATGCACTCAATTAATATTTGTTAAATGATAAAAAATGTCTTTCTAAATTGTAAATACCACAGAATAGCTACCCATGCTTTGCATATAAAACAGGATTTGGGTTTGCAGAATGGTTTGAACTGCAGCCCCCACCACTACTTAATAATTTATCTGTAGGTAAGCTAACTCTCTAAGTTTCAGCTTTTTCAGCTAAAATATGGAACTAAAAATCCCTTCTTGTTTGCTGAGGGCATTTAAGAAAATAATTTTGTAAAACATCTGGCACAGTGCCTGGTGTATTGTTCCTGCTTAAAATGACAGTTCTTTTTTCACCTTTTCTGCAGTCTTCTATTACTTTGTCACAAAAAACTGTATTATTTAAATATAAATTAGCTTTCTGATTTGGAAGATTAGTTGACAATTTTCATTATAAAATATGTATTTATCTACAAATAAACATGTGCCAGTTGGGAAATTCAAATGTTAAAATACCATGATCTGTACATGTAGATAGAAACTAAGATATAATGACTATTTGCAAGACATCAGTATCATATAGCAAAACCATATACTTTCTTATTTGTTCCACTGAGGTGTCTAATATCTGAAGGAGGATATTTTGACCCAACCGTTTTGATTGCAATGCCATTTGACCTCCATCTCCACCTAGTTACCATCATTTGTACTATCTCATGTTCTTTGCATCTTGACCAAATAAACACATATTTTAATTATTATATCCAATTAGTAAACACAAGTGGCAGCAAAGAGGCAAATACAGTTGAATATGTTTAAAACAGAGCATGGTAAAATTGATTAGTCCTCCAAACAAAACAAAACAAAAAGACCTGATTGAGATTATACATTCTTTAGGAACATTAAAGACAGCAAACATTGATTTTTAAAAAATTAGACTTAGTAGAAATAATAAAAAATAAAATTAACAATGGCTAAAAATGCACAGATTAAAATTTGTAACTGACTCAAAATTGATGAAAGAATAACATTTTCTTGATGGAAATGAGCTCACTAAAACTTAAATTGACAAAAATTGGGCATTGTAGAAATGTTACTAAAAAAAAGCTCAGTGTATCTGATATGAACTTTTAAAAACTGATTAGTGAATTAAATCTTTGGTAGTAAAGTTTATACCAAAAGAACTTAATAAAAAATAATTTCAATAAAATCAAAAAGGAAATGTAAAGGAATTGTTTAACTCTGTTGTATAAGAATTTGATTAAAAAATTAAATTAGTTTAATGAAATTGTAGAAAGTACCCTTTACCTAACAGTCATACAGGTTGCTATCATTCTAATGAGAATGACTGTATTAAGAAACACACAATAGAAATGTCCTTAGGGATCAAGACAGTGAAGACAAAAACATCTTAAAATGGGAGGTTCAAAATGGTAGATCAAAATATCTTATACTTTGTAAAACATACTGAGTATTTGGTCAAACAAAGATTTTTTTAAATTATCCAGTTTATACCTCTGAAAGTAATTACTGACTTACATGAAATAGAGCATTTTATTAAAATATTCCTATTTATCTTGTTACCCAAAGATGTAATATGTCCTTTCTAAAGAATAAAAAGTAGTTGTTTCACCAATTTTTTAAAAAGTAGTTGTTTCACCAATTTTTTAAAAAGTGTCAAATTCTACCAATTCTATAACTTGGCAGTGACAATGAATTGCAGTTCTTTCTTCTTTCTTTTCTCCCTCCTTCTCTCTTAACACACGTATGCATGTGTACACACACACACACAGTCAACATAGTCATATTTGTAAAGAATGACTACCATAAGATGGCTTGCTTATACCATTCACTAAGCATGTTGTTGATGGAGAAATCACAGTCACATATCCTCAGTTGCCAATAAAATAATACCAGATTTTCATTTAAGTATCTCTAACTCTCTGAATCCTGATGTATCATGGTATTATTTTTTGGATTTTGGAGGATATATTTGTATTACTATGCCCATTTTTGTATGAAACATATAAAGCACTGCATTGGAGACTAGAATGTGCTATAATCATGTGCTGTCACTTGTAAATCAGACACTAATCAACTCTTTGAAATCATTTTTATGGATTACTCCTGAGTGGGTCACAGAGTCACGACATATTCCAAAATATACCATTTCAGTCACAAAATAGCTTTTCAACCTGTAAACCTAAGCCAGCATATTTTAAAAATTAATGAAATTAGCTAGCACTAAAACATGATTTTATGGGCAGATGATAAAATTAGAAATACCGCCCTCCCTCTGTGCGTCACAGTCAAAAAAGCCAACCTTGACAGAATTCCATTTCAGGCTAGAAAGATTGCTAAAAATAAGCCTTTAATCCCTGACCATCAGCAGCAGGTTTTTGGTAGAGACTGCAAGCAGTTCAGTCACTGGCTTCAATATAGCAAAAAAGTTACATAAAGTTTATCGGGAACAAAATAAGCTACCATAGTCATTTAAATAAAATGTCATCATGTTAAGAATAGCAATGATAGTTAAAACAACCACAGCAGCAGTGGCAGCCGTAGCAATGAACATATATTGAGCATTTAATCACTCTACATCACTTAATCCTCATAACAACCATGTAATGTAGCTAATGCTGTTGCTATTTTACAGGCGGTACTTTAGACAGCCTGTAAAATTTAAGTATCTCATAAATTTTCAATGATAGTAAGTACAGGGTCTAGGCTTTGAAGTCTGAACTTAGAACACACATTCTTAAAAATTGTCATATGACATTTTATCCTATGAGACTAAACACAGGTTCATTGAGAGCTGTCAAGCCAAAGGCAAATTTTAAGTATCATTATAATAGAAAATGAATTTAGAGATGTTGAAAGCTACAGAAAGCTAAATAGGAGTTAATTTTTATTTTTGCCTTTAGTACTTCAATTGACTGAACCTTCTGGTATCCCATTTCTGCTTGAGTTTGGTGTAAAGGATAGGAGTATGGATAAATATAGTAGGATGTGAATCCACCATTTTTTAAAATGGGGGCCTTCGTAAATATTTTCTATCTTGAATAAGTTTCTGGGCTCTGAGTTTCTGAGAAATTAAAATTGGGTTTTGTTTCTATCTTTCCTGACTAATCTCAATGAAAAAATAACAAAAAATCCAAAGACTCTCACATTCAAGTAAAGGCCATGTCAGCATAGACATTTTGGCAGTAACTTCTTTAGGGCTGAAGGCCACATAAAACATTTTAATTGGCCGGGCGCGGTGGCTCACGCCTGTAATCCCAGCACTTTGGGAGGCCGAGGCGGGCGGATCACGAGGTCAGGAGATCGAGACCATCCTGGCTAACACGGTGAAACCCCGTCTCTACTAAAAATACAAAAAAATTAGCCGGGCGTGGTGGCGGGCGCCTGTAGTCCCAGCTACTCGGGAGGCTGAGGCAGGAGAATGGCGTGAACCCGGGAGGCAGAGCTTGCAGTGAGCCGAGATCGCGCCACTGCACTCCAGCCTGGGCGACAGAGCGAGACTCCGTCTCAAAAAAAAAAAAAAAAAAAAAACCAAAACCATTTTAATTACTTCTTTTTGTGACTAGATGGAAAAATCCTAAATACAAAGCAAACAGCCACATACACATGCATGATGAGAAAGGAGAGAAGAGGTATTAAAATTTTATTCCAGATGTGTAACTAGTTTAGATAAAATGTTTATCTTTCATTTCCTATCATGTATCTATGAGTTATGTCCATGTTTGTTAACATCTCATATGGGGAATGTATTCCGGTGGAAATTCTTTATAAATGCCAAAACCCTGTTATGGAAATATTCCCACCATTAGTATAACAGAGAATACCTTTTCATTAGTGCAAGTATAAAGAGCATGAGACCTTTACCTAAAAACAGCATTGGTATTTGTTTTCATAAGAATGTGCAGCTGGATGAAAACTGTTTGACAAAGATTGTGAAGAAAATCACTTTCAGTGTTTCTCTCAAGTTTGCATTAAACTTTCTAAATTATTATATCAATCAAGAAACCTAGTTACATCTTCTCTTGTTCTCTGTCTTGGTATGTCTTAGGGGTCATACTCAGACACCTCAGCTAAAAGGCCAACCCATCATTTTGGTATTATCCATTTTTTTCACTTACTTTGTGTCCAGGATGGCAAATTAGTGACTAATGGGCTTGATCAGATCCACAGATATTTTGTTTGGGCTTTATACGATGTTTTCAAGTTCTGAAGTATTTGCCAATGTTTAAATATTAGAGATTTATCAAAAAATCCTGATTCTCAAATTCTCTAGAAAACTCAGATGTGGCCAAACTTAAGCTATATTGGTGCTGGAGTTAGGTCATGATTAGTTCTTTCAGATGAGACTTGCATTCTCCACCTTTTTCAGAACTTAATTTCATTAACCTTTAGTTTAATATCTGACCTGCTTCATCCATGTACACCATGTCTCTTTCTCCTTTAGGTTTATTTATCTTGCAAATTCAGCTATTCATTAAATTTCTGCTATAAGCCAACTGATCCACTCACAATTCCTCAAATACACTGTGAGATTTCCTTCTTTTATGCATTTATTCACACTGAGCCTCTCACCTGAAATGTTCTCTGATGAATCCCCCAAATAATACTCACCTTTTGAAGCCCAGTTCAAATGCCACCTTCAGAGAGATTCAGAGTTATTTCTGTGTCTTTCTGAACTTTTAAGGAAATTTCTACTTGTGCAAACATACATCAAACTAACATTTTTGTCTTTTTACATTTTATTTTACTTTTTACAATATTTTTGTGTCCACCTTGATTTTCTAATGAGAATACATTTAAAGGAGGCAGGCTTTATTTGTCAGTTCTTAGTATTATTCACAACAGTATGTCTCTCTTAGGTAATCATTAATGATTTATTTTATAGTAAATACTGAAAACCTTATAGGATTTAACTGCAACAGTCTCAGAGCCTTGGTTCTTTTTCTGTTTTGTCTTTCTTCATATCTATAGTCTCTTAGACACATAATCTGCAGTATATTAACTTGTCATGCATTCCAAAGGAATTACTATGATTAAAGTAGCAGTTAGAAAAAAATAATTGTATATTAAGCATATTTTATGATCTCTTCTCAATTCAGAAGCATAATTTATATTCCTGGTAACCGAAAAATTCTGTTTGAAGGATTGAAGATTTGAGGTCTTACATTTAAATGATTTTCCCACATAAAGGGAAATCTTTATGTGGGAAATCTTACTTATAAGATTACTTATAAGTATAATAATCTTGTAATAATCTTACTTATTCCGAGCAAGAATAAGGTCCAGAGTAATTAAACCTTATTCAGTTGGCCTTTTATGGGTAGATAACTACCATTATTATATTTCAAACAAAATATATAACAAAATCGCACTGGAATTTAGGCTCTATTATTTCAGCAGAAATTAATACTGTGGTTCTGGCAAGATCATAAACTTAGTTAATGTGCAAGCCCTTCTGATATAAATACCTATAAATACTGGAAATATATATATATATACACACACATATACATATATGAATATATATATATTCTTCCAAAATATCTAATTTAATATATATTAGATTATATATATATCTTCCAAATATATATAATATTTGGAAGTGAAATTTCCATATTAAAAATAAAGAGTAGGAAGTTAGTTAGCTGACACTATGGTGGTGGTGCTGACAGGGGAAGAGGTGGGAAGCTAATCAGTGGTAATGATGTCAGTGGGCCTGAGTTTCATGCGGTTGCAAGGCACAGGCTATAACTCTTAAATCCTACAAACACTGGAACTACACCTTTTATAAAACTGGGTTAGTGAAAGGGTGAAACATGCAGGGAGAAAGACAGAAGTAATTTACCTACCAGCTTATGGGAATAACAAAGAAACTTAAGCTTTAAAAAGTAGTCTCTTTTAAGCAAATTTAAAAATTCAGCCATGTGCATTGCAAGCACACTATCTATGAGGCACAGGAATTTTGATGCTAAGAAGTTTTTAAAAATTTGATCCCAGGGCAGGTGATAATATTGGTGTCATTGAGAGAAGCAAAGACATAAACAATCACCACCAAAATTCTGTATATTTTCACAGCTCAGTGTGCACAGGATTTCTACAGAAAGAGCGCTATTGAAGATGAGCTCAGAATAAGAATTTTTTAAAAATTACAAAACACATGAGGGAATAATTTATCATTCACAAGGTTAGCAGAACAGAAACTTAGAACACAATGAATTTGAACTAATGAAACAAAAATGGGGAATACAGGAAGGTAGTATGTTTTAAATATTTAACTTCAATTCAGAAGCTTGACCTAATAAAAATATTTGAACTATAAAACACAAACTGAACACTGTAGAAAGTGAATCGAAATCTGAAAAAGCACCAAATAAAATTTCTTTATTTATTTGATTAGAAAATAATAAGGTCTTATAATATGTGTATAATTAAATTCAAAAGCTTGATCTAATGGAAATATATAAAACACTAAGAATTAATGCATAGTCTGTCCAAGTACACAAAGAATATGTACAAACTGAGCCTCAATAAATACTGAAAAATCAGTATCATGTAAACCAAATTCTGTGGTGACCAATGCACATAATTAGAAATCAGTAATAAGAATCAACTTCAAAAGTCCCACATAATTTAGATGATAATTTAAAAATTTTTACACTTAAAATATATAGCTTTAAATAGATTACGTAGGAAAGAAGATAACCTGCAAGTTAATGAGCTAAGTGTCTAATTCATCAAAGAGAAACAGTACTGGTCAAAAAATATATGAAAAAATATTCCACCTTACCTATTCAGGGAAATGGAAATTAAAATAAGAATTAAGCACTATTTCATACCACCCAGATTTTTACAAATTGAAAAACACTGGTAACAATTGCTAATGAAGATCTGGGGAAAGAATATATAAAACTACCAAACAATAAATTGGCACAACTACTTCAGACAAGAATTTAGCAATATATTAGTTTGGTGCAAAAGTAATTGTTGTTTTTACATTGCATTAAAGAAATGGCAAAATTACTTTTGCACCAACCTAATATGTTAACTTTGCAGATGCACGAGCATTTGGACTGAGCAAGTACACTTGTACATATCTTACCTGGAGGAATTCGTGCATATATACAAGGGAACTCATAATTGATTGCTCATTGCTCTCTACTTTTATTAATAAGTACAAAACAAGTAATTGTGCCTCAGTAAGGAGACAGATAAATCAACCCAAATGAATAAATCAACAGCTGATTGTAGAATAATAAACATAAATAAATATGTAAGATTTATATCTATTACCATGGATAAATCTTAAAAAAAAAAAAAAAAAAGCTCATTGAGAAAGTAAAAATCCCAAAAGGAAGACAGAAATCCCAGCTCTCATGTATACTATCTGTGTGATTGTGATTTAGGACAAGTTATTTAGTCTATGGTGTGTTTTCTTACCTGTAAATGGGAATAATAATAGTATTGGGCTCATAGAATTGTGACAATATTAAATGAGTTAACCCATGTAGGTACCTAGAACACTGCTTGGCACTGAGGAAGCTTCATGTATGTCTGCTATTATTATTATTACCATCATTTCTTTCATTTGTGATTATTCACATAGAAGTTAATGAGACAAAATAATGCCAAATATTGGTTTACTAACACATTTGTGTAGTAAAAATAGTATCTAAAAATCTTATGCACCAAGTTTATAATAGTAGAGGAGAGAAAGAGGGAGCAAGTGAGAACTGAAGGGCTTTATCTGTAACATTTTATTAAATTTAAAAATAGAAATTAAGCAATTATGGCAAAATGTTAAGACAATAATTTCTGGCAGGTTTCTATTATATTAATCATAAACTTTTTCAAGTTAAGATATTTGCTAATTTTAAAGCATCTCCAGGAAATCTCAAGCTTTTCAAGTTTTAGTTTCTTTCTTATAAAATGGGCTTGAAATTATCTGCCTCATGGACTGCAATAAAGATCAGATGAAAAAATGTACAAGAATGTATTAAGCACTCTTCCATGCAATAGTTTGTGATCAATAAGTGTAAGCATAATATTAATTTGATATAAATCAATTATTTTGTAATGATTAAAAAGAAAAACTTCCAAATAATTTTACTACTCATTGGGTTTATTTTCAATCCTTTTGTGTGTGTATTTCCTTTTTTATCCCAAATAAGAATCATGTAATATGTAAAAATCTGTTTCCTGAGTTCTTCACATGAAATAACCTGAGCTGTTTCCTATGCTTTAAACATTTTTTAAAATCATGGTGTTTATGACCTACTATTTCTTACATTTGTATTTTCTTGATATTTCCTTTTTTTCAATGTTTTTCCATATGTTTCATGATTTGTTTGATTTGTATGTTTTCTATTTTAAATTTTATTTAGTGGTGACTTTTAATTTTTCAAAATCCCATTATAACTATATTTTCCTACTTATCAGTAAATATTGACACTTTAACATTTGAGTATCTCCTTTCCCTGCTCCAAACTCTAGTTGAGAAATTTTGTAAACTTTAATGTTTCTTTTACTTTTGAATCGAACAACAAAGCTACTGGGCCTAGCAGAGTGACTGTTACGTTTTAAAGCAATGTCTAAGCTGTAGAGGGACGATTGTCCCATTTTCTTGGAGACCTCAGCTCTCTGAATCAGAGGGCAGAGTGTGAGTATGGGGTGAAGGATTTCCCATTAGAATAAGTATCTTAAAAAACTCAAGCTATCTGCTGTTTATATTTTTAAAATCCAATCCTATTTACTTGGCTTTTAGTGAAAATTCCTCTGCTTTCTTACAACATATCAATGGTTGACACTTAACTTTTACTGATGATTAAAATGTCATATTATGTCTTCATCCTGGCCTTCATATTAATTTTAAAGGGAAAATGTGAAAGGCTGCAACAAGAGTTGTTTTTCAGATGAACTCTTTTGTTTTTAAAACAGAGGAGGGCATTTTATTAGTTTTCTAGGGCTTCTGTAACAAATACCACAGACTGACTGGCTCAAAAAACAAATTATTTCCCCCAAGTGCTAGAGGCTGGAAGTCCGAGATCAAAGTGTCAGCAGGATTGGTTTCCTCTAAAGCCTCTCTCCTTGGCTTGTCAATGGCTATTTTCTCGTTGTGTCTTCACAAGGTCTTCTAGCCATGTATATTGTCTCTGTTCTAATCTCTTGTTTTCTTTTTCAACTTTTATTTTAGATTCAGGAGGTACATGTACAGGTTTGTTACATGGGTTAAAAAATGTTACCCATGACTCCGAGGTTTGAGGTATGAATAATCCCATCACCCACGTAGTGAGCATAGTACCCAACAGTTAGTTTTTCAACTCTTGCCCTTCTCCCTCCTTCCCTCCCTTCTCTAGTAGTCCCCAGTTGCTGCTGTTTCCATATTTATGTCCATGAGCACCTGATGTCTAGCTCCTACTTATGAGAACATGTAGTATTTGGTTTTCTGTCCCTGCACTAATTTAATTAGAATAATGGCCTGCAGCTCCATCCATGTTGCTACAAGGGGCATGATTTCATTCTTTTTTTTTTTTTTCTTTTTGGCTATGTGATATTCCATGGTGCTTATTTACTACATTTTCTTTATCCAATCCACCGCTGATAGGCACCCATATTGAATCTATGTCTTTGCTATTGCATTTGAATAGTGCTGCAATGAACATGCGAGTGCATATGTATTTCGGATAGAAATGATTTGTTTTCTTTTGGATATATATCCAGTAATGAGATTGCTGGGTCAAATGGTAGTTCTGTTTTAAATTCTTTGAGAAATTTCCAAACTGCTTTCCACAGTGGCTAAGCTAGTTTACATTGCCACCAACGTGTTCCTTTTTCTCCACAGCCTCACCAACACCTATTATTTTTTATATTATAATAATAGCCATTCTGACTGGTGTGAGATGACATCTCACGGTTTTAACTTGCATTTCTCTTATGATTAGTGATATTGAGCATTTTTTATGTTTGTTGGCCATGTGTATGTCTTCTCTTCACAAGTGCCTATTCATGTCTTTTGCTCATTTTTTTTAAATTGTCTTTTGCTTGTTGAATTGTTTAACTTTCTTACATATCTTCGACATTAGACTTTGTTGGATGCATAGTTTGCCAATATTTTCTCCCATTCGGTAGGTTGTCTTTTTATTCTGTTGGTAGTTTCTTTTGCTGTGCAGAAGCCCTTTATAGGGTCCCACTTGTCAATTTTTGTTTTTGTTGTGATTGCTTTTGACTATTTAGTTATAAATTCTTTCCCAAGGCCCATGTCCAGAATGGTGTGTTCTAGGTTTTCTTCTAGAATTATTATAGTTTGAGGTCTTACATTTAACTCTTTAATCCACCTTGAGTTTTTGTATATGGTGAAAAGTAGTAGGTCCAGTTTCATTCTTCTGCATATGGCTATCTAGGCATCCCAGCACCATTTTACTGAATAGGGAGTCTTTTCCCCCATTGCTTATTTCTGCTGACTTCATCAAAGATTAGATGGCTGTAGGTGTATGGCTTTATTTCTGGGTTCTCTACTCTTTCCCATTGGTTTATGTGTCTGTTTTTATATCAGTATCATGATGTTTTGGCTATGGTAGCCTTATAGTATGCTTTGAAGTCAGGTAATGTGATGCCTTCAGCTTTGTTCTTTTTGCTTAAGATTGTTTCAGCTGTTTGTACTCTTTTTTGGTTCCATATACATTTTAGAATTTTTTTTCTAATTCTATTTTTTTTAAATAATTCTTAAAGAAGATGTTGGTAGTTTAATATAAATAGTGCTGAGTCTGTAGATTGTGTTGGGCAGTATGAACATTTTAATGGTATTGATTCTTCTAATCCATGAGCATAGAATGTCTTTCCATTTGTGTGTGTCATCTATGGTTTCATTTCATAGTGTTTTGTAATTCTCCTTGCAGATATCTTTCATCTCCTTGGTTTGATGTATTCGTAGTCTGTGTGTGTGTGTGTGTGTGTCTGTGTGTGTGTGGCTACGGTTAATGGGATTGTGTTCTTGATTTGGCTTTCAGCTTGAATATTACTGGTGTGTAGGCACACTACTGATTTTTGTACATTGATTTTCTATCCTGAAATTTGCTGAAGTTGTTTATCAGTTTCAGGAGTCTTTTGGCAGAGTCTTTAGGGTTTTCAAGGTGTAGAATCATATCTCCCCAAAAGAGAGTTTGACTTCTTCTTTTCCTGTTTGGATGACTCTTATTTCTTTCTCTCGACTGATTGCTCTCTAGGACTTCCAGTGCTATGCTGAATAGAAGGTGGGAGAATAGCTATCCTTGTCTTTTTCTAATTCTCAAGGGGAAAGTTTTCAGTTTATGCCTGTTAAGTATGATATTGGCTGGGGGTATGTCATAGATGGCTCTTACTGTTTCAAGATGTGTTCTTTTGATGCCTAGTTTCTTCAGAGTTTTTGTAACAAAAGGATGTTTGACTTTATCAAAATCTTTTTCTGTGTCTATTGAGATGATCATATGGTTTCTGCTTTTAATTCTGTCTATGCTGTAAACCACATTTATTGTTTTGTGCATGCGGAACGAACCTTGCATCCCAGGAATGAAGCCTACTTGATCATGGTGAATTAACTTTTTGATGTGCTGTTGCGTTTGGTTTGCTATATTTTGTTGAGAATTGTTGTTTCTATGTTCATCAGGGATATTGGCCTGTAGTTTGATTTTTTTCATTATATTGTTACCAGGTTTTGGTATTAGGGTGTGCTAGATTCATAGAATGAGTGAGGGAGAATCCCTTCGCCTCAATTTTTTGAAATTAGTTCTAGTGGAATTGGTACCTGGCTTTCTCTGTACTTCTGGTATTATTCAGTGGTAAACTCATCTGGTCCAGGGCTTTTTTTTTTTTTTTTGCTTGGTAGGCTTTTTATTACTGATTCAATTTTGGAACTCAATATTGGTGCGTTCAGTGTTCATTTTCTTCCTGATTCAATCTTAGGAAATTTTATCTTTCCAAGAATTTATTCATTTCCTCTAGATTTTTAGTTTGTGTCCACAGAGGTGTTCATAACACTCTCTGAGAATCTTTTGTTTGCTGTTTCTTATTGTACTTATTTGGATTTTCTCTCTTTTTTTCTTTGATAATCTTGTGGTCTATTGACCTTGTTTATTTCTTAAGAAACTAAATTTTGGTTTGGTTGATTTTTTAAATGGATTATTAGGTTTTAATTTTATTCAGTTCCACTCCGATTTTTGTTATTTATTTTCTCCTGCTAGCTTTAAGGTTACTTTGCTCTTGTTTCTCTAGTTCCTCTAGATGTTAGGTTAGATTGTTAAAATGAGATATTTTTAACTTTTTGAGGTAGGCGTTTAGTGCTATGAACTTTCCTCTTAACACTGCTTTGGCTACATCCCAGATATTTTGGTATGTTATGTTTCTGTTTTCATTTATTTCAAATAATTTTGAAATTTCTGCCTTGATTCTTTGTTCACCCAAAAGTCATTCAGGAGCAAGTTGTTTAATTTCCCTATAATTGTGTGGTTTTTGAGAGGCCTCCTTGTATTGATTTCTATTGTATTCCACTGTGGTCTGAGACTATAGTTTGTATGATTTTTAGTTTTTTAAAAAAATTTATTGAGACTTATTCAAGTATTTTTTAATTTATTGAGCACATGATTTCTTGGAGTATGTTCCATGTCCAGATGTCCAGATGAGAAGAGCATATATTCTATAGTTGATGGGTGGAGTATTCTATAGATGTTTATTAGGTCCAGTCGGTCAAGTGCTGAGTTTAAGTCCAGAATTTCTTGGTTGGTTTTCTGCCGTGATGAACTGTCTAATGCTGTTCGTGGGGTCTTGAATACCCCCACTATTATTGTGTGGCTGTCTAAGTCTTTTTGTAGTTCTAGAAGTTCTCATTTTATGAATTTGGGTGCTCCTGTGTTTGGTGTGTACATACTTATGATAGTCAAGTCTTCTTGTTGCTTGAACAATTTATCATTATGTAATGTTGTAATGTGCTTCTTGTCATTTTTTACTGTTGTTGCTTTAAAGTCTGTTTCATCTGATATGAGAATAGTAACTCCGACTCTTTGTTTTTTGTTTTCTGTTTGCATGGTATATCTTTCTCCAACCCTGTAAGCCTATGGGTGTCAGTACGTGTGAAACAGATCCCTAAAAGAGAGCAGATGAATGGGTCTTGTTTTCTTATCTAACTTACTACTCTGTGACTTTTAAGTGGATCATTTAGACCATTTACCTTCCAGGTTAATATTGATATGAGAGGTTTTGATCTTATCATGAAGTTGTTAGCTGTTCGCTGTGTAATTTCTATTGTATTTTTGCTTTATGGGGTCTGTGAGCTGTATACTTCAGTGTGTTTTTGTAGCGGCAGTTATCATTCTTTTGTTTCCATGTGTAGAACTCCCTTAAGAATCTCTTGTAAGGCAGGTGTAGTGGTAACAAATTCCCTTAGTGCTTGCTTGTCTGTAAAATATTTTATTTCTCCTTCATTTATGAGTTCAGCTTGGCAGGATATAAAACTCTTGATTGGAATTTCTTTTCTTTAACTGTTAAAGATAGGCTCCCAATCTCTCTTGGCTTGTAAGCCTTTTTCTGACAAGTCTGCTGTTAGCTTGATGGGGTTCCCTTTGTATGTAATTTTTCCTTTTCCTCTAGCTGCCTTTAAGTTTTTTTCTATAGTGCTGACCTTGGATAGTCTAGTGGTTATATGTCTTGGTGATATTTGTTTTGTACAGTGTTTCACAGGTGTTCTCTGAATTTCTTATATCTGAATTTCTACCTCTCTAGTAAGATTAGGGACATTTTCTTGAATGATTACCTCAAATATATTTTCCAGGTTATTCGCTTTTCCTCCTTCTCTCCAAGGAATGCCAGTAATTTGTAGGTTTGATCAGTTTACATAAGCTCATATTTCTCAAAGATTTTGATCATTTTTTAAAATTCTTTTTTTCTTCATTTTTGTCAGACTGGGTTAGTTGAAAAGACTGGCTTTCTGGCTCTGAGCTTCTTTCTTCTACTTCATCCAGTCTATTGATAAGATCTTCAACTGTATTTTGAGGTTCCTTAAGTGAGTTTTTCAATTCCAGAAGTTCTGACTGATTTTCTTTTTAGGGCATTTATCTCTTCCTTCATTTACTGGATTGCTTTAGAATTTTTTTTGTGTTGATTTTCCACCCTTTCTTGGGTCTCTCAGTGAACTTCCTTGCAATCCATACTTTGGATTCTTTATCTGTTATTTCTGAGTTTCTATTTTGGATAGTGACCATTGCAGGGGAGCTAGTGCAGTCCTTTGGTGGTGTCACTACATTCAGATTTTTCATGATGCCAGCATTCTTGTTTTGGTTCCTTCTCATCTGGAGATGCTGGCACTTCTAATTCTTATAATTATGTTCATGCAGGTAGGATTTTTTCTTTTTCTTTCTTTCCCTATAATGTTATTATTATTATTTTCTTTCCCTTTACCTTCCCCTTCCACCCTAGGGGCTGTGGCTATAGAGAATGATGAGGAGGGTCTTTTGGCTTTGCTTGTATAAATTCTATGTCTACGTACTTCTTTTAGCAGGTTTTAAATTGGGCTGTGCAGTTTGTCCTACAAGCCCATAGATGACACTTATAGGTAAGATTTGGTTGTGACCAATGGGGCTGGGTATATACTTGATCCTTGTTTACTGGCAGAAGCTCCCTGTTGCCTCAACCAATGCACTGACTCATGGAATGCACAGTGGTCTGAACTCTCTGCTCACTCTCCAAGGGGTGGGAGCCATGAAGGGTAGGGCTGGACCAAGCAAGTCTGCCAGCAGGTTCCCTGATGGCAGGCACAAGCACCAGTGCCAAAGGAGAATCCAGTGGGTGGTCACCATGTACCCAGAAGTGTGCCTACATGTGGAGCTGAGAAACCTTGGCTTCAAGATCTCTGCATGGTAATAGGGGCAGCTGAAGCTCAATCTAGGAGAGTGGGTGCTCTAGATACCTGGAGATCTTCCTAGGCATGGGGCAGAGACAGCACCCCTGCACCAAGATTTCTGCATGGAGGGGTGGTATGACTCAGGCTGCTGAACCAGGGAAACAGGTGCTCTGAATGCCTCAGGATCTGCCTGGACATGAAGCAGAGAGGGTCTCACTGCACCACTATCTATGTCTAGGAATGGTGGGGCAGGTCGGGCTGTTGAATCAGACAAGTGGGCACTCCAAATACCTGGATATCTGCCTGACCATGGAGAAGAAAGGATCACCTCAAGATCTCTTCACAGGAGGGGTGGGGCAACTCAGGCTGCTGACCCAAGTGAACAGATGTTCCAACTTACTGGAGATCTGCGTAGGTGTGGAGCAGAGGGATTCCCTCTGTACTACAATCTATGTCTAGGCAGGGTGGGGCAGCTCAGGTTGCTGAACCAGGCAATTGGGGGCTCCAAATCCCTCTAGCAGATAAATTCTTGTCTGAATACAACATTTGTAAATTTAGCAGAAACAGGCATAGAAAGATAGGGAAGATATGAACTTAAGAAAAAAACTACACTTAGATTATATTTCCATTAATATCACACCTTATTTTCTATTACTTGTTGTAAATATTATCTTTAATTTCCAATGCTGTAAATTAAAAAATACTATGTTTGGGCTTCAGAATAGAAGCATATAGACTACAAAGTAATTTTTAAAAAGACATATATCAGGTCAGACTTACTCCTTCTTTGGAACAAGGGTCAGAAGTCATAAAAGCCATTTATTTCATGGATGTTTGGAAGTAGAAAAATATATTTCGATCTTCAGAAATATTCTGGAGTAGAATAATTCTACTAAAAGAGCTGTTGTTCCCCTCTTCTTCTCATACAAATAAGAGAAGTTGATGTTTTAAAGATTTTGGAGATCATTTGATCTGACTAGCTCATTTTACAGAGAAGAAATCTGAGGTGTAGGGCCAGGATAGACTCTTAATTTTATAACACTCAATCTATGTTCTCCCCACTACATTATGAGGCCTTATCAAAGGAAACAATCAAGTAAAATTAGGGATTTAGAATATATTATCTCTAAAGTCCTTTCTTATGCTAACATCCTGTGCATCTATGGGCTACAGTGGCTTAAATAAAAGAGTAACTCACCTGGAGCCAACTCAGTTGCATAAGGTTATTGAGCATGGGGGTTGAAAAAAATACAGCAATTAAAGACTATGTTGTGAAGAATCTCACAACATCTGGGCTAATTAGAACATTGCCCAAATGACAGAAGTCTTAAAATACTAGGAATCTCCCTTGCTTCTTACTGTCCTTTAGAAATTAAACCAGAAATGAAATTTTGAACATTTTAAAACAGGTTATTTTTATATCCAACCTGGAGAGTGGTTGGTTTCTCTCAATTTAAGAAACTACTACATTTCTGAAAAGTTGCATGTAAAGTGAAAATTTTTATTAAGCTTGTTTCAATAGCAAAATTGAAAGTTCATGGCTATAGCTAAAAGTCTCCGAAGGTTAAGAACTTTAGGAAGAAATGGATTAAATGAGAGGGATTTCACAGAAGCATATTACTATACAGAATACAATTATACTTTAATGGTATAAAACCTGAAAGAATATAAAGACTAAAATGTTTTACTAGTGAGTTATGGCAGCTGTTATGTAGTTTTCATTTACCACTAAAGATATGTCAACAGACCAAGGCATTAGTTGTTCAACAGACCTAAAATTCATATGCAAGACACATTTCTTAAAGGTAATGTAACCAAATATTCCTTAAGTTAAAAATTTTAGAGATCAACTAGCTCTCAGATGTTTTTGTGTGTTTTGTTTACCAGGATCCTATGAAATAATCTAATGAAACATAAAACTATACTTTAATGCAAATATCATTTATATATGACATATTAATTTATCATTGGATATCTACAGCTTCCATTCATTTTCCCAAAGGGTTTATGATGCAAGAAGGATTGAAACTCAGTAAGAATCAGTCAATTATCTCATTTTGAGAGAAATAATTGAGACAAATATGGTTTGATAAAATGTCCTAGGTCAAACGGCTAATTAATGGCAGGGCTTGATTAGGATAAAGTATTCCCAACCTCCAGGTTAAGAATTGTTCTATTATGTCATGTTCTTTTATGAAATACACTTTTGAGAACCACAATATAAAGTTCTGTGGTATATCACAGAACTTTATCAAGCATCAATGTATATCAAGCGTCGATGATAATGCCTGTCAGTGATTTATAAAACATCTTTTCAGCAAAATCTGTTAGTGAAGTTACAGCACATATTTAATAAAATACATCATTTTCTCAAGCTAGTAGCTAAAAAGACTATGGATATTAGAAGTCAGGGAGAAATTTATTAGTATGTATATATTATATGATTGTCTTTCTAAAAAACTCAGAAAATATAAAACTTATCAAACATTATTAGATACATATTATTTGATATTTCTATAAAATAATTTAAAGTCACTAGATTTTCTTATACAGTAGTGACTGAAACAAAAATCAATGAAAAATAGATCCCATTCACAGAAGCACAAAAATGCATAATACTTAAAAATATACTTAAGAAATACGTGCAACCTGTGTAAAGAAAATTACACAATTTCACTTAATTATACAGAATAATATTTTAAATAAATGGAGATTAAATGCCATGAACTGGACAAAAAGTCTCAATGTTCTCAAAGCATTCCTTTCCCTAATTTAATTTCTAAAATTAACTCCAATTAAAATGCCAGTTAGATTTTTTGGGGCAGGGATGTTTTTCCTAATATTTATCTAAATAAGTAAATGAGCTAAAATGTCCTCTATTCTACCTGCTATACCCCAAATTTTAAAGTACAATAATCAAAACTATGTAATATTTTTGTAAAATTATACTGTCAACAGAAGAAAAATGAAGCCTAGTAAGAGCCATAAGTATGCATAATTAAGCATGATTAAAATGCTATATTTAATTAGTGGAAATAAATCGATTATTTGATAAATGATACTAGGAAACTGAGTAGGTGTTTAGAAAATTAATTAATTAATTAGGATAGATCCAAACCTCAAGTCAGTAGATCACATTGCTCCCATTATCAAAAATAAATCTCTTTTCATTTTATTCTTTGAATGTTCATATTACCTTTTAGGCCACCCTAAGATCAGTAGTTCTTGTGTGAGACATGTCTTCAACACTGAACTCATTTAAATATAGAAGTCCATGACACTCCCAGAGCCAGAAGCATATTACTTGTCCATGATCTTAACAACTACACAACTCAGGAAAATCCAGTAGAATAGAAAAACAGTGATTGAAGTCATAGATCCTTTCAGAGAAGCAGTGGAACCAATGAATGGTCAGCAAACTATCACCTTAAAACAAAGACTCCTTGGAGAAAATACTCAAAAAAGACCCACTCTTCTAAAATCTAGGTCCAAGGCACAGCCTAAGATGTTTAAGAGCCAAGAGTATTCCTTGAAAGCTGAGAAACCAAAATGAGACTAGGAAGATGAGACTAGAAAGCAACAGCTCTTTGGAGGGATTCTGTATCCAACAAGAGCTGTAAGCAGTGCCAATCTAAATTTATCTCCAGCTAGAAGATGGAAGCATGCTTGAGCCATTTACTGAGACAGGAAATACAGAAAAAGCAACAGGATAGAGAGTGAAGAGCAGGTGAAATGATTAGTTTTCTCTTGTAACTTGGTGAAATTAAAGTTCTATAAAACTGAAATCATTGCTTATCATTTCCTTTACTGATGCTATCACATAGTAAGAAATTGAAAATACATTTACAATTGACTGATGCACTGCCTCCTCACACAAATTTCAGGACATCTGATGAGGAATAGGGCCTCTAAAATCTACATATTAAAATGTCATATGGGGCATAATGTAAAACATACTACACAGGTTTCAATAAAATATATACTAGGTGCTTTAACAAAGTCCAGATAATGAAAATTGCATAGTGATTAGCATCATCACTACAGAATGACAATTAACCTCAGTCACAAAGTATTAGCTGCTTAACACTTTTTTATCCTTAGGAATATGATGACACTGTGGTTATGATTTTTATTTTCATCATCAAAGCTAATTTGTCTGTTTTGGTTAAAAATATATCAGTGTGAGTGGTTCAAAACCTGCGCTTTTCTATAAGCACATTGAAATTTCACACTTTACATTTCAAATCAGTGACTCAGACTTAGTCAGTATTTAATTCTTATACCTGTATAAGGTATACCTTATACCTTATACCTGTATGGGTAGTCAGTACCCATAGACTTATTAATCTAGTAATTATTTTTCACAATAAAATTATAAATATTTAGAGTTTGCAATATGTTCTTCCATGATGGGGGTAATAGTTAAAGATTGTTCTTTAGTAATACCATAAACAGAAGGATTTTATATATATATATATATATATATATATATATATATATATTCTTTACATATGTATTTCATGGGGGGGAACAGAAGAAAGTGAGTAATTGTTTGTATGAGATTGTCAGTAGATGTGAGGACTATGTAGAGTACAGATTGCAAGTTAATTATCGTATAAAAGGTCAAAGATTTTCAAAAAAGAGCAAGGACAATGTAGGGGCAAGGTACACTTGGATACTGTTTTATAAATCAGAAAACCAAACCCCAAGTGGATTAATTTGTGATATTTATAAATGCTTAATAAAACTTATATTAATAATTGTCAGGTATTATAAGATCTTTTGAGAGAAAACCAAAACAGTTTCTCCTCAAGTGTAATCTGAATACTAAGGGACTTCAGTATTTGGGTAGCCAAAATATCCAAAAGAATAGACTATTGAATAGAAATAGAATCCTGACTTTTGGTTTCCTATAACTTTATTGTCTATATTTTAGGCAAATCAGTTTTAACCAAATGACTAACGAGAATGTGGCCTATAATCGTACAGTATAAATGATGAGATACTATAAGGAAGTACGGAACAAGCATAACTTCCAAACACTGAAGGAAGACTGATTTCAGAATGTCTTTCTCGTTTAAGCTAAAGGGTGACCTAGTAATAAGGTACAGAATCCCTATTTGTTGTTCACCCACTTATTCCTGCATCCATTCACTCAAATACATGTATTGTGCATGTCCTCTCTACATCCATGCTAGGATCAGTATCGTGGAGAACACGAAGACAGGAATTTGTGGTATAGCATATACACATTCCTGTCTTTCTTTCTTATACATGCATAAATATACATATACACATGTATGTATATGTGTGTATACTGTTAACTATGACCCAAAAATAACACATCATAATTCTATAGCACTTTTCAATTTGCAAACTGCTTTCACATATACTCTTATTTACGCTCACCAGTGATTTTCTAAGTAGGCATTTTTATCTCCATTTTGTAGCGAGAATAATCTTGCTCTCTATTTTTGTAGATTTACTGTAGGATGATACATGTGATGTCCTATATTTTTAAAAGATTAAAACCATGATTATTCTTCCTATTATGATATTGGTTTTAGTAACTTTTCCTAAGGTGTGTTTTTAAAACTTCAAATTCATAGGATAGGATGTTAATAGAGTATTAACAATATGTACAAAAAAGAAAAAGATTATGATAGAAAATAAATTTATGCAACATTTCTTTTAAATAAAGTTTAATCAATTTCTTCAGAATTTCTCTGAGCTTATTATATGCTGCTAATATACCTTCTCAGTCTTTACGAACAGGGATGCAGTGTGCTACATTTCTCAAACTTACATGATAACAGAATCTTTGTTGCTTGGAGTGTTTGGTAGGAAGTGTGAACACATTTGGAAACTGTGGTGCAAAGATACTGAGTATATTGTAGGTTCATTCCTTTCTAGGTATAAGTATTTTCTCCTCTTAAGCAACCGTGGCAACTTGAAATCATATTAACTCCCTGTCTGCTACCTGAAACCCAGAAATTCCCTTTCAAAGGACTGAGAATATTATGCAATTAAATGCAAATTTTTGTATTTCTTACTATCTAAATGCCCCAATAATCTTTAAATACGAGATCAGACTGCAGAGATAATGCAACTTCATAATTGGACATTGCTATATATACTTTACTTCCTCTATTTTTATAAGAAGCAAAGTTTATTGCTATACTTAAAATATAAAAAAATTGAGTCTTTAAAATATACCATTTGCTCCTTACGACAAAAGAGTAAAATCTTACTTCTAAAACGTGGAAATATTTTCTGTTTTCTAGAAGCCCTTATGAAAATAGAATAGAGCATTGACAAAACTTTTAAAATGGATGGTATTTGATTTGCGTCTTCTGGAACTAACAGTAATATAAATTGTTTGTGATGACATTTTAAGTACTGTGTTGTACTACTTCAGTATTGAGGTTAACTGCTTTTAGATAGACCTCCTTTGTCCATCAGAAATAAACTATGTCCAAATAAATTTGCAGATGTGTTGGGGATTGAAAAAGTATAGGACGGTGGAAAAGGATAGAAAGGACTGAATTGTTACTGGTTAGTGTTGTTTACAACTGGGAGTATTAACTTCCTCAAAAGTCTCAAGACATTTTAAAAACCTTGCCACCCACAGTCCGGTGTGCAGGACCAGTGACACCAGCATCACTGTGGAGTTTGTTTAAAAAAGGAGGGTCTTGACTCCACCTCAGACTTCCTGAATTAGAATTTATATTAAAGGAGATCCTTGGTTCATTCCAGTGCACATTAAGGCTTAAGGTACTGGTTTATGTTTTAAAAAAATAAATCCAGGAGTCCTTCACTAGTGTCCACTTTAATGGCTGGAAAACTTCATTTTAGATTTTTTCCTCTTTTCTTTATCTCATGCATTCTTAAGAATGCGAATCTACAAGTAAGGGTTAGCTTTAAAAGTTTTTATAATTCTTTATGTAAACCCTGAAAAAGTAGGGTTAGTAAATTCAACCTTCTTTAGGAAAACCGATGCAGTTACTGAAGTAATCAGCCTACAACATCATAAGCCTGGTCATTTTTTTTTCTTACAAAAGGCTTGTAAATGCTAAGTAGTTAATAACTAGAGAGCCGTTCAAATCAATCAGCATTTATGAGGTTTTATCCAACGAGGATCAGGAGATTTAGGATTAAAATTGTCAATGAAAATTTGAAAATGATGTCTGACTTAATCCCTTTTTTCCCATTCTAGATTCTTGGCCTTCCCACCCTACCCCGCATGATACAGATACACTTTTAGGCATCTGCAATGGATACGCTTGCTCCAGCCAAAGGGTAAGAGATAAAAGAGCTTCCTCTCTATTACAAAATACTCTTTGACCTTTGAAGTAGATTATTTATTTTAAAATTCAGATTGTCATTGTCTTAGAGGTAATTTTGAAAAAGAACATAAGGTAACATTTTAGCTATAAAATGGGAGCTACTGACCAAGACACAATCTATTATAGCTGAGGAAACACAGATTGGTAAGTAGGATTCCACCGTTAGACTCACATAAGGAACACAGATTTGTTACAGTGAGCAAGATGCATCAAAAATACCACTTCTCCATATTTCAGCTAATTCTGTCTGACATTATGATGCTTTTTTTTTTTTTTTTTTTTTTTTGCTGGCTAACATCGTATCTGGTAGGGGTATGGGTGGGTTCTTCATTGTATATAGTAATGGAGAGACACAGGGCTCCACTTTCCATCATGGAAGGGTAAGATGGAAAGAGTCTTCTTGTCCTGGCAGTCTGTGTCTGAGCATGTGATTTTAGCTTGGCCAATTGAATTCTTCCCTCAGGCACTGTGAATCAGAGGTGCAGGGGAAGTTAGGACTCCCGCACAGGATCTACAGACAGAAACATGTTCAGGCCATCCTTGTGAAATGTCACAATTGAACTTCTTGCATTGGCAATCTGGGGCTACCTTAGCTCATGTTCTTTTCCTAGTCTTGTTTTGTATCCTTCTAATTCTGAGTCTACACATCCTGCTAATGAATTCCTTTTTTGTTTTTACTTGCAATCAAGAATCATGACTGATACAAAAATATCACCTCTTCACTAGACTTTAAGAGTATTGCTATTTCAGTTCTACATTGCTCATCGATATAAGTTTGAACAGGTGGCTGGAGTTTCAGAGGGCTTCAATTAACAATAAGAGCAGAGGTGGTGGTGATAATGCTGGCAGTTACCAACTGCAAGCACACACTATGTACCAGATACTATGTGAAGTGAGTACTCATGAGAGTCAGTATTGCCACACTCATAGACAACAAATCTGAGATTGTTTAATGAAAAACCACACATTGAGGTCATTTTGGTCAAAATCACATGCCTGATTCAAAATCACATTCCTGAAGCAGGATTCAGACCTGAAGCTTTTGAGCTGCAAATCAGAACTCACATTAGGATGCTAATGGAGTTCTTCAGAGACTAATTCAATATCATTGATTAAACCTTAGAAGTGATAGTAGCTAAAATAATATATACATATATTAACTGAGATATAAGAAAACATGCAAGGTCTACTTGTACATTTTTAGATATTTATTGACGTCCTCTTGTAAACAAATAAAGCATCCTCCACTCCCTGCAAAGAGATCCTTCTGAAACATTTCTTTGCAGCCTCCCAAAAATTAAACTGTAAAAAGCACTCTCTGATTCAGTTGTGACATGTCTCTTTAATACAGTGTTTAATCTTACCCTTGAAGCACTATATCTAAATTCCATAAAAATTTGATATATCCTAACAAGGTTACAAGGTTGATATAGGACTTGCCTCCTAAATGAACCTGAAATAAAAATTTCCTACGTATGTGCAATTGTGAGCCTATGTAAACATTTTTCAGAGGCTGACTTTCCAATTGAAAGGTGGTACAGATAAATTACTTTGAAGATATGCAAAAGCATATAATTTTTGTCCAGCACCAAACTAAACCGCAAAGGCAATACTTTTAAAGCTATTTCTTAGTAACTTTCGTACATAAAATGATAAGTATTCACTAGTCATAGTTCATGGTCTTTCCTTCATTAGAAGTAATTGTCATAATACAATGATAATGAGAATTATACTAGCTGTTACTTACTGAGCAGTTACTACATACCAATATAAATGCTTTATATATGTTGCCTAATTTAATACTGGTAACCCCACTGAGGTTGGCACTATTATTATTGTCAGTTTACAGTCCTTGAAAATGAAGCAGAGTGAAACATCTCCCACTGTTTGGTGGCGCTCTATGTTCAAAGGATCACTGTTCAAAAGGGAACTTTATCCCTCACTGTATCTTATGATGAAGTCTACACTCTAAAGCTTAGCACAGTCTTTAAAGATCTGGTATCTACCTACCTACCTCTTTGGCCTCATTGCCTTTCTACCACACCTCCATTCACCTTCTGTGAGAGTGAATTGCTTAATATATTAATAACCCTGCTGTCACAAATGCCTTTTCCTCAGCATCTATACAGACAAGGCCTATTCACCCTTTAAAACTCAGGTCATCTCTGAGAAGCCTTTGATGATATTCTAGTTAGATTTAGTGCCACCCCTCTATACCTATTCCTTTTATAAAATATATTGCACTGTAATATGCCCATTAAATCTTTGTCTACTTTTCCCACCAGATTTTAAGCTCTATTATTTGTTTTGGTATCCCCAGTGCCTAACACAGAACCAAGTATGTAATGGGCACTTAAATATCTCATTTTATGGAATTAACAATAATTAGAAAGAAATTTTATCCTTTGGGAAACTGAATCTATTTTTATACATCTAATGTTAAACACAAACATAAGGAACAACATGCTCTCTCATCAAATATTTGTATGATAAATTTTTGGATTCATGATAATTGGACCCAAAAAGGTAAAATTTACCATTAGTGCACAGATTACAGGGTAAAAATTAAAGTAGCGTAGACTCTAAGCTACTTCATTATAAAGTTAGGTAGGGAAGGTCATGATTATTTAATCTGTGTTCAAATCTCAGCTGGGGAATGTTTTAAATGAACATTTAAATGATGCAAGTAATTTTAGGAGAAGGGAAAGTCTTTGTAGACAAGCCTGTAAACCCAATATTTACACACTTAATTAGCATACTCTCTTGCTAGTCATATCCCAGTAGGTGCTTGGACAGGAAATCTAATTCTCTAAAGATAAATTTTCGGTCATTTTTATCATAAATGAGTAAGATTATCAATTATTTGACATGCCATGATCATAGGATGTACTTTCTAATATATCCTCTGATGGTTTATGTGGACACTGACCCATAATAAGAAAAATATATATATGTATATATACACACATATATATATATGTGTGTATATATACACACGTATATATATGTGTGTGTGTATATATAGATATATGAAGCACATTTTGGGGTTTGTTTATTCTTGATAATCATTACTCATGAAACCAGAAATAGACTTTCAAATTATATGGTGAGCTTTTTCACATTGTAGACGAGGACACTGAGGCCCAAACAGGTGAAAAAAAATATTGCAAATCTGACAGCTGATTAGCAATGGAACCATGATGACAGGAGAGGTCTATTGCCCCCAGCCCAGTGCTCTTCTTGCCACTACTTCATGACAATGCTCTCTCTGCGAGATTGGTTTCTGGCTTACAACCTGCTACTCATTACATTGAACCATAATACAAGGACCAAGAATACAAGTAAGGGGGTAAATATAGAAGCAATTCAGATTGTTTTTTTTTAATTGACAAATAAATACCTCTATATGTTGTGGGAAGAAAAACAACAGCTAGATTTTAAGTCTGCAGCAAGCCTGGCATGTTGGAAATGAAACAAAAGGCTTTGTTCATATAACTAAATTTGAGAGTGTGAATAAGCTAAATTTCCCCATCTGGAGACTCTCAGACCAGACGAGACTTACAAATTAATATGAGTGTATAGGTCTGGGGCCTGAGGAAAATTAGGTCAGGTCTAAAAAGGAATCAGGTGCTGACCACAAGTCAGAATTTTAATATGAATTCAAAACAAAGGGCAGAGATCTAATGCTGTAATTTACTGAACACCATTAGGATGATGACATATGATGTGATGAGGAAGCCTTCAAGACAAAGTTATGGAGAAGAAAACAATATCGAAAGATAGAAAATGTTTTAATCCACATACAATTCAGACCCTGATCCTCCTTTTAACCAACTCTTCTCTCTCTCTTTCTCCTTCTCTTTCTTATTGGATCTTATTTTTATCTAAGATATGTTTGCTTTCACTTGGTAGTTTTATTTCCCCATTTTCTTTGTTTCCTAGAATTGAGGACCCACAGCAAGACATTTAAAAAGTGCTTTGATAAAGAAGATAAGAAAAACATTCTAAGATAAAAATTATAAGAACACATCAGTTGTTTTGTGTAGCTCAGAAATAAAATTGGGATGTGAAGAGGTATTTTTAAGAACTTGGAGAGGAGCTTATTCCCTTCCACCTGCTTTCCTAAGGTCTCCAGCTCTTCCTCCAGTGCTGCCTTTGAAGGCTTTGTATATGTCCTATGCTGAGAGATTGCCATTTATGAGGGCCAACACAGGGATGTTCCAAATATGTCCAGCCATTAAGTGCTGGTATGAAAAGTCTGGGCATTTTTCTTTCTTGGCAGTCTCCTATGCAAAGGTCTGAGCTTCTTCCAAAAGTTCAAGATTGATTTTTGATAGAGAAGATAAGTGAAGGATTTTCTAGCCAACTGAGAAGCAGATTCTTTTGATTAAATCTCAGATTAATAAAAAAAAATTCTACATAAGGTACTGTGACAATTCTCTAAAGGGTATGACTGTGAGAAAAATGCAGATTTTTGGGATAGAGAGTTATAGTTTTGAGAATTTTCATTTTCTATAAATTTACTGTGGTTGACATAAGTTTAAAAATGTGTTCATGTGCATAGTGTTTCCGATTCATTTATGCAGATTATGTAACATTCAAAAAATCTCCCTTAAACTCCTATGTATTATGGGGACTCAAAACTATAAATTATGTTTGTAAATGTCCAGTCCGTTCTACCATCACAAATTCTCAAAGTGTGCTAAATGTGGAGAATGTGTTATTTTGTTTACTTTCGCTCTCACACACTCTCTCTCTCCTTGTAAAGGGAAGGATGGTAGGATATCTTCTCTATTAATACGCCACCTCAAATATAAGTGATCATTTTCTTATTAGTTAAGTTATCGTAGTGATAGACCATAGGCCAGTTTCCCAGTGATTTACTATTACTAGCCCTGCATCGGAACATTTCAAGATAAGATTGAACATTATTTATCTAAACACTTCTACAGCCAAACTGGTCATTTTGATTATATATAAAATTTCTCAGTTTAACCCATTAATTTTTGAAAAAAATGTAACGTTGTTCCAGAAAACCTTATTGAAATAAATTACTTGTGTCATGGATTCAAAAATAGAAATTAATTAGACAAATTGATAGTAAGAATAAATATATTTATAGACTTATCTTTCACTTCCTCCAAGTTCTTGATACTCTTTTTTTTTAAATTAAAAAATGGAAAATGTGACAAATGTAAGCCCTTACCAACTTCCCACTTCAGAAGGCTGTTGTCTTCCCTCTCCATTTTTCCAATGACGTACCAGATACACGCCATCCAGTGTGCAAGGAGTGCAAACATGGACATGAGCAGAGTCAGGACGATAGTACTGTGTTGGGAATAGCGGTCTAACTTCTGCAGCAGACGCAAAAGACGCAAGAGGCGCACTGTCTTTAGAAGATGCACGAGAGACACCTGTGGTAAGAGACAGAGCAGCACAACTTGGTGCATGTGTTAAATTCATACCACAACATTAACTTGGAGCCATTCTAAAAATTCTGGAAATGAAGTATAATTATTTTCATATTATTATTTTTATGAATTCTTTGTTCTTGACATATTATATCAGAAAGTGATAGAATTAAAGAGGCTGGAATAAAGGATAGGATAGGAAGGATAATTTAATTTATTTGAGTAAACACCTTTCTTAATTAGGGGTTATCTTTTTTTCACTTCCTGTCTGATTTCATACTGCAGTTTACATTCTGATACACAACTGAAACACATTATGGTATCAGAATTGTACATATCTCAAATCCCCTACACATATTTTCTTTCAACCCTACATTCCCTTCCCTGTGTAATGAAATTGCTTTATAATAATAATTCAGACAAATTGAAGTAAAGGCACAGAAAGTGATAATAAAAATACCTTAGAGATTATTTTTTAAAATAGGTAGACCCATAAAACTTGAGTAAGTTCTGCCCACAAGTACCAGTAGCATCTTCTGCCTCATGTACTATACTTCCAACGTTATCAATGGACAGAGGAAACATTTGCCTGAAGCTCGCTCTCTCTCTCTCTCTCTCTTTCTCTCTCTCAGCGCTCTCTCAGACATGCTTAGGGAATTAAAATGAAATGGACAGGAATTTCTGAAGAGTCTCCTAGTGCCTTTGCATCCACTATAGCAGTAGACTTGTAGCTGAGGGGTTATTTTATTGACTTCAGGGTCCAATTGAAAAATATGTATCATTGGTGTGGACCAGAATAGTCAATATCACCATTAATAAGGGGTGCACATAACACACCTTCTTTTCATACCTTCAAAGAACATTCTAAGATAGAAACAACAAATAAAACATTAAATCATATGGAAATGCAGTTTGACAAACTTCTTGATGTCACCTTTAATTTCTTTGGGGAAAGCACAAGTAGAGAAGGAGTAACTTTATGGCTTTAACTAACCTCACTCTTTCCTTTACAAAACTGAACAGACACAAGGTCAGCACTGGGAGTTTGCTTTTGTATTTATCTAAAGTCAGTTGACTTCCAATTCTTTCCTCTGCTAGCCATATTCTCTTATCTCTAAGAAAAACATACCTAGAACAGTACCTGACACATAGAAAATGCTCAATAAATATTTATTAGATGAGTGAATGAATAAATTATCAAGTTAAGATGCAAACACTCCAAGCTCAGCGTAGAAATTGATATCCAACAAAATTATATTCAGTTGTAATCTTGTGAATTATTCTATATCAAATACAGTAAACTCTTAAGGGCGCTTGAAGAACTTGACAGCTAGCTGTGCTCTTTTATTTCTTTTTGTCATTCTCCTGTGTCAAGTTTTACTTTCTTCTCCTTTATAGCTAAGTTCTCATCTATGATTTCTCAAGCTGGTGGTTAGCTAGATGGTCAGATGCCAAGATTTGTAATCTCTATTCTGTTATTTAAAGATATTACTGGGGATGGAGTTTATTTTACAGGTAGATGAATTTGATGGTTAGGTGACAATTTTGTAAGTGAAATGAAAACTGGAACGGAAGTCCCAAATGGAGGAGGGCATCTGCACACATAATTTTGATACAGTCTCCCCATTTTCTCTGACCGGAAAGGGGATGTTTGAGCAAAGAATGTAGAGCTGCTTGTACATGAGAACAATAGTCATCTGCAAATATTAGGAACTTGAACCTAGGTGTCCAGATGACCCACATAGTTCTTTGTTCATTCTTAAGTCAATAAAAACTGGCATTAAAGAAATTATGTTTGCTCCCATCGGAGTCAGTAGCTTCTTGCTACAGTTTTAATGTTTTCTCTTGAAGAATGACAGGAGAAAGAAGCATATTTGACTTAGATGGAAATATGTATCTGAAAAAGGGACAGGATTCTTTTGACTCTTTGGATGCTGTTTCAAATCTGTCACTGATGAGAATTATAAGCTACTCATAGACAGGTGCATTCATCAAACCCCCCTATAAAATGGGAGTTTCCCCTTTTACCAATGGACATGGTCATCTCCTAGCTATTACCCAGAAGGGAGAAAGAGAGAGAGAGGTGGCTAACTAATATGTTGTGAGGTCTTCTTAGGTTTTAGACATTTAGCAAAGCATTGTATAGATATGTTGCATTTTCAGTCTGGTCAAAAACTCTGTAGGAATTATATTATGCCCATTTTATGGATATTTTAATGTTAACTTCCCCAAATAAGTTACTCAGATGGTAAATGATAGAACTTGGATTCATACTTCTGCCCTTTCTACTCTATCAACATTCCTATGTCTTATTCATAATTGTATCTCTTATAAGTGCCTTCTACAGTGATATACATACTAGTTTTCAAAAAGCATGTGATCCGTACTTAAAAGAACTGCCATGAGCAATTGTGAGCAGAGCCAAAGCCAAAGCTTATGCAGTTCTGAATGTCACCTATGGAGATGCATTAACTGGACATATTTTAGATTTGGGAGACAAACATCTTTGGTTATTTGTTTCTTTTTCTAAGTCTTTGTTGTAAAAGAGCATAACTCATAAGTTATTCCTCATAACTTATGTTTTCCTGAGAAGAAAACATAATACCTTGAACAAGCTTTTCTGTTCAAATATTATAGGATATTTGATCCTGACTAACTTGTTTAAGAGGGATAACGAATTTAGGTGCCAGCTTTTTAAATTCTCATATGCTCACTCCTGTGAAAAGCAGAACAAGTATCACTGGTAACAGATTCCTTCCCCTTTTTCTTTTCTTTTTTTTTTTTTTTTGACACAGATGTTGCCCTATACCTTGTATTATTTATGAAGCATTTGTGTTAGATTACATAAGATTGACGAAAAGAGAGCAGGAGTGTAGTGAAAGTATATAAATATTTAAAATTCATCAAACATGCGAATTAGACTTTAAGGCATTTCTTCATCCATGTTAATTCTGGGGAATGAGAATGTTAATGATATAAAAATGTATGTTATATATACCTATAATATAATTGTATATTATATATACATATTTAAAATATTCGCTCAGTACTCAAATAAAAATGGAACATAAAAAAGTATTCGCTTTTAGTAGCAAAGCAGCAAATTAATTTAAAATGGAATTGTATTAAATAATTAATGAACAATTTAAAACAATTTGCCAGGGGAATTTGGAAATTTTTTTAACCTTTTGTGAATTATATACTTATTCTGCAGTCTTGCAAAAACATGGTTTTAAGCCATTATAGTTTCATGATGGTACACTTATCTAGTCAAATTCAATCTTAAAAAGCACTGTAGAAAGCCTAGATAACAATTCAATGTAGCAGTGATTGATATGTACTAGATTTTTCCTGGGAGCTTTCCTTTCAGTTGAGTCATAAACGTTTTAAAGATGTTGGCACTGTCAACCTCCCAACTTAAAAAGAAAAAGAATAAAAAGAAACTATTGTACAGGCAATTAACAAATGCACAAGTCTGCACTAACAAGTCAGGATCACAATTCCATATTCATTCTGAAGTTAATGATAATTGTATTTGAAACTGTGATTATTGTGTTTAATATTTAAAACTATGCCTTTAAATTTTTGAAAGAGAATATGATTTCTATAAAGCACTGTCAATTGACTAGAATATCTGATTAATTTGAACTAATGTTTAATAAAGTTTTACACGCCGTAATTGGTTACTCTAGCAGAAAATTGCATTACTGCTTCACAAATGGCCTCCCTAAAAGTTTCTTTATAAGGGAGCATTTAATACTTTTAAGAATACCAATCATTAAATTATAAAAATGGCTGCTACTACAAGTGATATGCTTTCTGTCCTGGGAGGCTACATGAGGGTAAGGGATTTAGAGCAAGAAAAAGAAGGTACCAAGATTCATGCAAATTCAAGAGAACTCTCAAGTTTTACATTAGTCATATGATTTAGATTTTTGCTACATCCAACAGTTTTACAAGGACTTCTAAGAAGCGGTTGAATTTTCTCATTTAAATTCAATAGTCCTCTCTATCTTGATCAGTCTTCAGTTGGTTTTGCCAATGAATAACAAAATACTAAAGAAATAGAGAGTTAAGGGTCATACAAGCAGAAAAAAAAATCTTCAAACTCTCTAGCAAATTCTTGACACATGTATCTGCCTAGGTAATATAAAGTGATGCTTAAATTCCTACAGATGATTTCCTTATTAAAGAATTTGTTTAGTGGGTCAGTATTTATGATAAATTCAGCATTTCTGTGTTTCCTGGCTCCAGGTATTGAAAAAAGCATGAACAGCTAATATGAATGTCAAAAGGAAGTAACTTCATCAACTGAAGAATCTGGCCTGCATATCACTGGGCATCAGGGCATCTTTATTGAAGAAGGCACAAAACCCTGGAAGCATAAATCGCCACAAGCATTTAAAACCTGAACATGCGATAAATAAATCAACCTTAAAGGCCATGTGGCGGGGAGCTCTTTACTCACCACTGTGACGTTGAAAGCATACAGAAGATCAAAAGGCAGGGCAGCGATTAAATCAATGATGAACCAGGTTGTGACATAGTGGATGCAAATTGATCTTGCTTCAAAGATAACTTGGCCAGACTTGCTGACATAAGTTGTTCGGAAATTTAAAATAATATCTGCTTGGGAAAAAAAAGGTTGAGAAATAAAAGGAAGAGACAGAGAAGAATAAAGAAGGTAGGAAGGACAATGAAAGAAAGAAGAAAGGAAGGGAGACAGGCAGGCAAACAAGCAGGAAGGAAGGGAGGAAGAAAATCGTAGAAAATTAAATAAAATTAGGCAAATGGCAACCACTTAGCCTAGTTCAGATTGATAATATCCAAAATATTCTCCTCTACAGATCCAGTTCAACTAAACAGATACTGAAGAAGGGTGAAAGTAATATTTTCTGAGCACATAATGTTCCAGACATGAAGCTACATGTTAAGATTATTAAAATAAATAATCGTAGCAATAGCAACAATAGTCATCACTTACTAAGTGTTCACTATGTACCCAATATTGTTCTAAGAGCTTGGCATAGGATATTTCACTTAATCCTCAGTACATCTCCTGAAGTAGACAGTGTTACTCTGATTAAAGAGTCAGAAATCAAGTCCCAGGAAGAAAAAGTAATTCATCCAAGATCATATTGCCAAGAGTGGCAGAGTCAAGTTTTAATACAGATACAAGCCGGGCATGGTGGCTCATGCCTGTAATCCCAGCACTTTGGAAGGACGAAGCAAAAGAATTGCCCGAGCTCAGAAGTTCAGGATGAGTCTGGGCAACAAAACGAGAACTCATCTCTATTAAAATTCAAAAAAAATTAGCTGGGCATACTGGCACATGTCTGTAGTCCCAGTTACTCCAGAGACTGAGGTGGAAGAATCACTTGAGCCCAGGAAGTTGAGGCTTCAGTGAGCCATGATTGCACCATGCACTCCAGCCTGGGCAACAGAGTGAGACCCTGTTTCAAAAACAAAAACAAAAAACCCACTAAATATAATCTGAAATCTATATTCCTTATTTTATATAATATTACTTATTTCCATGTATAAAAGTTTTACTAATCTCTGTGTCGATATGGAATTCAGCCCTGCCCTGAAGGCACTCCTATTAACAAAGTACTGGTAGTTTCTTGTGTGAATTTCTGGGTTAAATTCTATTTTAATGAAAGATGTAATTGTTTTCAATCTTTCCCTGCATCATTATTTAGTTATATATTATCGAGCGTTTTACAATATATGAGGTCCTCCTGAGTGCTGATCAAATGACATCCGTGTGAGTTTCCAACAGCCCTATGAGCTTGAAAGAAGACCCTGAGCAGGAGAAAGGAACACAACTCAGCTGATATTTTGATGTCAGCCTTTTGAATTCCTGATCGGAGGATCCAACTAAGCCATCCCTGGACTTTTGACATATAGCAACTGTAAGACAGTAAATGGATGTTGTTTTAAGTTGATAAGTTTGCTATGCAGCAATAAAAACTGAAACAATACTTATTATGTCATTTGATTCTCAGTATAGCCTTGTGAAGTGAAAAGCACAGGAGCTATGACAAGGAAGATTAGTATTATTGTAGATAACACACAGGTTCTTCGTATGAGCCCAGTACAGTTCTAAGTCCTTTATCATCATAATCTCATTGATGCCTTACAACAATGCTAAGAGGTAATCATTTCTATTATCTCCTTTTACAGATGAGGAAATTGAGGCATAAAGGAAGTCAAGTGACTTGCCCTGGGTGATACATCTGATAAAACTGAAGCACAGGATTACATCTTCCACCAAGTTAGTGAAAGAGCAAGACCCAAATTCAAGTCTCCTGAATTCCAGTTCAGGACTTTGGGTTTGGTACCTTCACAGAGACTAGTCTTATCACAGATCTAGAGGCAAGTCCTGGGTGACCCAAAAAGAAAACAATTGTTGTTCTAGTCTATTGTGAATGATATAACTTTTAAAAACTGAATTATTGAAAGTGATATTTTTGTCAAAAAATAAAAATATCTAGGTAATTTTATTGTTAATATTGAGAATATGAGAAAGAATGAAGCTAATTAATAAAGCACTCACATAGGATAAGAACAATCCCAGGTGAATTACACTGCACAGTTAAAATGCTATCGTGGCAAAGATGGACCACGGAAGCATGGCCACCGTGAGGGAGACAGGTCAATGTAATGCCATCAGACTGTAAGAGTAGCATGTGAACATTCATTCTTCCTCTTTATTTTTCTAGGCTCAGGTACTTCCGCATTAGCAATGCAATTTAGTACCTCAGACCACCCACTTTGAAATAAAGCAAAGATTTCAATTTCATGTTTTCTAAAAGGAAGCACAGGTGAATCACTTAAATTCTCATGAGTAAGAAAACCCAGAGTTGTTTACTAAGCTCATTAGTGATGTTTGGTTTCCGCAATATAGGCTAAGGTAAGCCCATAAGTTCTTTATAAAATTAAAGGGGATAAATTCCTTGAATAAGTGACCATGGAATCTACCACAGTTTTCATGGAAAACCCATTACCATCATCCATATACATTCCAGCAGCACTCCCATGAATGGAAGAATGAATGAAGTGAATGACCTATGGTTGACTGATACAGCAACATTTTTAAAGCTGTGTGGTTAGTTACGTGGTTCACTAAAGAACAAAATAGTGGTTCAGACTTCTGAAAAAAAAAAACAACAGGTATTTTCTTGGGTAAGTCATTAGAGAATATTCGTTTAAAGAGCTTTTTAAAAAACAATTTATTATTCAATTGAGTTAAAGGAATGAAAAGAAATATGCTAAATTTAGGTTTAAAAAGAAGTAATTATAAGACTTTTATACACAAAGAGATAATAGTAAAAGAATAAAAGATTTTAAAACATCTATACAAATCTATTTTTGAAATACCTGAAAATTTTTTGGTTTATTTTCAGGGGAAAAACCTAGATATATATTATTTTCTAAGATTTCTAGGTCTATGATACACTTATAAAGTGTATGGTACACTTGCAAAGACTGTATGTTTATCCAATCAATATTATTTATTCAGTAACTGATTTCAAAGCGAACAACTACTTTTGTCGTACTTATAAGAACAGACATAGTTCTGGTATATTTACGAAACACTTTTTCACACTCATTGATTTGAATATTTCCCATGCCATCCTCTCAGGTGGACTACTATCACTTGCATTTTAACAATGACACAGGAGATTTAAGTAAAGTGTTTGAAGTCATACAGACAGTAAGCAACAGAGACAGAGGATGTTTTCTGACATTCAATCCCATTTTCTTTCCATTATCTAAATGATTACTGCACTTCTAAATATATTTTAGAGGAAATAACAATAGGTCAGTGCAAGGAAATGCATTTCTGATTGTAGTCCTTCGATCAAATTCAGCATCAGCAGTACCCAGGTAAAATAATATTAAATTAGGGTCACAGAATTAAATGTGGTGAGATGAACTGTCTTTGATTCTGGAAGTACAAGAGCTAAGCTTTTGTTCAGGGATAACAGAGAAGTTACTCTGTTTTCTATCCAGTGGTGAGGATGTGGTGGTGGTGTTCACGAACCAGGATAACTCAATGTTTATAAATATTTCCTTCCATTTAAGAGAACTGTAGAGATGGCAAGTACAAGTTCTTTGAAAGTGAAGGAAGCACAGCATAAAAAGATTGTGTTGAGGAAGAAAAGAGCTTTCTAGATCTGGTGTCCCTCATGACAGAATCACAGAAACAGAGTGGAACTTCGCAAACACTGAATGTAGCTGCTCCTCCCCCTGTAGCTGTCCCACTCCCTTTAAATTAGATCAGAATTTATTTAAATATTACAATAAGAATATGATCTCCAGACAATCCATAATCCATCTGAAAAGCAGCAGTATAACTTTCATTTTTAGAAGCATGTTTTTCAGCCTTACGTTGAAAAATATATAAAGTATATTCATTAATATCTAGTTTTATATGTAATTTTCTTGTTAATATCATTAATGAGCAATTTGCACAACTGTCCATAAGTACAAAACACACACATATACACACAGTTTAAATTTTTAAGAAATTTCAAAATCCATAACAAATTAACTCAAAAGGATTTTTCACCTAGAAAGCTTAATGTCTCCATGTGCTTATATATGCATAAGCAATCCTTTATGGCACATGGTATTGGTATCATAATGAGTAAATAAGCAGGCTAATACAGAATTACCATACATACTCTATGTGGTTTATAGAATTGCCAAAAAACTAATCATAATATACCCACCCAAAAGAAGCAGAATATAATTGAATTATCTAATGCTTCAGATGACAATTATTTTGCAGAGTAATCAGTTTGCCTTATTGTATTTGAGTTTTACATAGAATGATTAATAAAAGACAAATAATCAAGAGAAAAATGTGTACATATTCTATTTCCAAACTGTTAAGGCAGCCAAAAGTGAGTATTTCACTTATCTCCCACACTAAGTGTCTATTTATGCGGACTAAAAAGCAGAAAGGTTAAATCCATTTTTTCTAGTTTGATTTCCTCAAGAACTATGTAACTAGAAAGCACAAAAAAAGAGGTTAAATTTAATATGGCAAAAATTAGTAGATTTCTTTTCTTTATTAGCATCCATGACAAATGGGAAATAATTTTAAAATCATATTGGCTTACTTGTTAAAAAGTAAATTAAAATACAATAGTGTGCATGAAAGCATATGCACCACATACAAATAATTAATGTCTTCATTTAGCCATTTCTTTAAAAAGTAATCAATGTAGTACAGTGTGGGCGGAGAGATATTTAATTAAACCAGCTGTTGACTAATATTTAAAGATACTCTGTTTTTTTCATTGCTTATGAGGCACTCTTTCAAACACATTATGATACCACAGCAAATTTGAGCTAGAAGGTGTGAGACGAATGAATAGAGAGCTGATCAATGAAGAGAGGCTTGAGGGACTAATAATCCTAAGAATAATTGCAATTGATTGCCAATATTAGTGGATAAGAGTTTCATATCACTTGACCCTTGCTTATCTTGTCAGAATTGTCCCTCTTGCTTACCTGAAGTGAAAGATTAATGGAATAGAAAGAGCAGTAGGCCCAGTGAGAAACAGCATTTAAGAAAAACTGCATTTAGAAGAAAAAATGAAGCTGACAAAGGGCAATCAGGTAGATTGAGGCATAGTTGATGCTGGTATTGGCTTTTGCTTTGTATCTGTAGGGTCAATTATTCATAGTTGCATTAGTTGGCTATGTTCATCATTAGGTAGTTATTTTTTCATGTTTTAGAAAAATTTTCTTTTTTCTATTGATACATGACCAATGTACATCTTTTGGGGGTGCATATAGTTTAATACATTCATATAATTTATAAAGATCAAATCAATGTAAGTGGAGTGTTCATCATTTTCTTACTTTTCTCAAGTCAGAGGAAATGCCTTCTTTCTCATAACTTCCTTTCCTTTATTCTAGTTTTGTTCTCAGCAGCAGCACAGAATACATTGTCCTCTCCCAGCCCAAAGCTCTTTCTATAAATATCTGAGATCAGTCGTCAAGTTCATCTCTCAGTTCTCAGGTTGAATATCTTCATTTCTTTCAACCATCTCTTACTGATATGGTTTCCTCTTCATAGGCCCGATGATACTCTCTAGTTTGGTGGTTTTCACAAAAGCCTCATCGAAGAAAGGAAGGATTTGGGTTCTACCTCCACCCACCCAGCCTTTCCAATTTTCAGGCTGAGCTTTTATTCATTTTACATAGTAAGCCTCCTTATCAATTTTGATTTTGAAAAGGAATTTTCAAGTCTTTAATACAATAAAGAAAATAAAAAGAAAACCGCTCTTGTAAGGTACTTGGAATTAAATTTACCATCCCAGAAGTGGTCTGGCCAGTGTGGGAGACAGGAGCAAATATGCACAATTCCCACCAGCATTGTTTTCAGAGTTCTTGTTACTCCACAGCCTTGCTAACACTTGATGTTATAAAATTTAAAATTTTTTTGCCTATTGGGTGGGATAATAATAATTCTAATGTGTTTAGAATTATTTTAATACTTCTAGTAATGCAGCCTTATTAAATTGTCACAGTTAAAAAAACCCTTTTATTACTAAATACTGAAGTGAACTTTTGCCAACTTAAAGTCCCAAATGTTATTGTTTTTCATACATATTGGTCCTAATAGACTGCTTGGGTTCTTATTGGAAGAGCTAAAGCATAGCTATACCTTTCAGCTTTTCAATATACTTAAGTATCACAAAATACTGCTATTGAGGACTTGTGTTCTTTGCCTTGTGCAGAGCCCCTGGCACTCAAAGATGAACAAGGCATCCAAGAGAAGCATGCCTTTTTCTGGTAACCATGGGATTTCATAATTTTATTAATCTGCAATCATTCCAGCTGTAGATACAAAAATACACACTATCTGTGATCTTGCTTGCAGGTCAGAGGAGACAGTGCACACTACCAGTGGATCTTTAATATTCCCCACTTATTGTCTACAACTAATTATTTGTGTTATATTGGTCTTGTGCATTGCTTTTATTTTATTATATAAGTTTACCATATCAAAAGACTTCCATGTAACATGTCCATTGGCATGTGTACAGACTATCTATTTTGACTCCCTATATTCACTTTTTCAGTGATGTGTGACTCCAAATTAGATATTGAACTTTGGAAAAATTTAATCATTTTTAATAAAAATAATTTAATGATTAAACATAAACATACTGAAAAAACCTTATTTAATCAGTCTTAATTATATAAAGTTTTGACACATTTATTCTGTTTATAGGTGTAGTTATTAGGTGGTAAAGTTTCCAAGTTTAAGTAAAAATAGAAAATATAAGAACTATCTAATCTATAATATTCAATCATGCAATTAAAAAATTCACAATGGGGGTTATTAATTTCATTTGAAGTAAATATTAATTATTCAAGTTACAAAGCTTGGAACTAATGAACACTTGGCTGGGTGCATTGGCTCACACCTGTAATCCCAGCTCTTTAAGAGGCCAAGGCGGGTGGATCACATGAGGGCAGGAGTTTGACACCAGCCTGACCAACATGGTGAAACCCCGTCTCTATTAAAAAATACATAAATCATCAGGATGTAGTGGCGGGCGCCTGTAGTCCCAGCTACTTGGGAGGCTGAGGCAGAAGAATCGCTTGGAGGCGAAGGCTGCAGTGAGCCCTGGGATTGTGCCACTGCACTCCAGCCTGGGAGACAGAGTGAGATTCCAGTCTCAAAAAAAAAAAAATTAACGAACACTGAGATGAGTAATAAAAAAAGTGTTAATATAATTGATGTTTGTCCCAAAATGAAATCCCACATGTATGCTCAATAGAGACAAAAATAAATTTAGGTTAAATAATATCTCTTATAATTACATAGCTCTTTGCATTTTAATTATAACTATTATGTTCATTTTCACATTTGAGGAAAATAATATTCTTAGCATTTGTGGTAGCTTTTTAGTGCTGTTTACCAAATATTATGGCTCCTTATCTCCTGGAAAGATTATATTTCCTTACCATCTGAAGAGATTAAGTGCATCCCTATGATTTGCTTTGGCCAAAATTGTGAGAACAGGGGTAACCTGGAACACTTTTATGCAAAAGTTTTGAGGACCGGGGCATAATTTCTCACATTTTCTTCTCCTTGCCTTGATAATTATGGAAGCATATGACAAGATGTGGATCTTCTGTCAGCCTAGGTGCCTGAGAGGTTCTGCCCTCTGTACAAAGGCTCTGCCCATTGTACATAGCATGAGTGAGACATAAAACTTTACACTATATCCCACTGAGACATTGAGATTGCTTGTTACTGTAGCACACCCTAGCCCATCCTGACTGATAGGTGTTTTTGTAAAGCCATAGAGCAGAGGGGCTAACAGTGTAGAATTTCGAGTCCAACTCCCTAGGTTGTGGATCACTGGGTAGGTGTTGTCATTATTATTATTATTACTATTACTACTGCTGTTACTACTACTCTATAGGCTTCAAAACTGACGAACAGGGTCAATGAATGACTTAATCTAAGACTGCGTCACATATTAATAGTATTATTTTCATTGTTACTTTACAGACCTAATATAGTGGTGTTAAAGTGACAACAAAATAATGATCATCAAAGTAATACAGTTAACGTATTAAATTTTTACTTTGTGAGAGGAATTGTTTAAGTACTTTCTATGTATTAACTATTTTGGTCATCATGTAGTCACTTTAAAGTAAGTAATACGTCTATTTAATGATACATTAAACACTCAGACAATTAACTTGCTGAAGGTTACCCAACTAGGCAGTGGAAGAGCTAAAAGTTACACTTTAAGAGTCTGTCTGTATACGGCCACCAAAACATGATTTACTATAATTCTTACCCTGCTTCCAGCTCAGGAAAGAGGTTCTTTTAGTAATATCTATGAATTGTTTTTTGAAACTTAGTTAATTTTTAGAATCATATAAAGATAATATTTAGCATTTAAACTATAGGTTTCTATGTACTAAATTGCTCAACATTTTTTTAAATGTTGCATTTCAAGAATAGCATATATACTGTAAAATGCATTGATCTTAAGGGGATAAAGAATTTGCCAAAGCTAACCATCTTTGTAGCCAACAATGGATAGAGATATAACTGGAACCAGAACTCCAGAAGCCTCCTTTATGATCCTGTCTAGCCATTAACTTTCAAAATATAACCACTGTCCTGGTTCTCATTGATTAATTTCATTTAAATCAGTATGGTATGTATGTCCATTGATTCTATTAATCCAATTGCTGGAGCAAGTTATGTATATATTCTAGTTTAATAGACACTGGCAAAGAGTTTAATAGAGAGACTATACGAATTCACTTTCTTATATGCAGTGTATGAAATTTCATGTTGCTCTGTATATTCCTCCAATCCTTGGTAATTTCTGATTTTTTTCTCTTTTTTTTCCCTTTTAGCAATTCTCGTGGTAGTGAAGTTATTTTCATTTTCCTTATGATTAATAACATTCAGCACAAACTACTTGCACATTTATATACTGGTTTTTGTGAATATCAATTCAGAACTTTTGTCTAAGGAAAATCTCCCCCACCCGCCAGCATTTTTTCTCATTTGCAGGAATTGTGCTATATTTTCACATAAATTGTGTCATGTTCAGGTAATTTCTGCCTACCCCAAGGTCATTAAGATACTCCACTGTGATGTCTTCTAAAAGCTTTATTTTTTAACTTTTATAATTTGTCTACAATCCAACTACAATTGATTTTGTATATTTTGTGATGCAAGAGTCAAGATTTACATTTTCCAGATGGATATCCAATTGATCCAGCACTATTTTTGAAGACATGATTTCCCCAAAACATTGCAGTGGCACCTTTGACATAAATCAGGTGTTCATGATCATATATGTGCAGATTCATTTATGATCTCTGTATTTTGTTCCAATGGCTTATTTGTCAGATGCTAGTTTTCCCACATTTCCAGCACAGTCAGAAATAGAAGTGTTCACAAACTATTTTTAAGGACTCTTAAGAACACTCAAAACATAACTAATATATTTGACTTTAAACGTAAAATTTAAAGATGATTTAGTTATAAATACGAGGTGTTCTATTAAAAGTGAAATAGAAGAAAATGTTCTATATTTGAAATAACAGAACTATGCTCAATTAAGAGAAAAATAGATTCTCACTTAAGCACATTATGATTTCATAGTTATTTTTATGAATGCCATCAGTAGAAATTGCTCATATTTTTGTGTTTTGCTAGAATTTTATTTCTACTTGTGGTTACAATAATTCAGTCTATTTTTAGTAATTGTGAACAGTAAAATCACAAAAAGATCAATAGTATCAAGCCACACCCACGTGATTTCGGTAATGTATGAGCTCAAGCAATAATGCCAAACTTGGCACTGAGTGCTCTTCACTCTAGCTATGTTATAATCCAGGTCACTGAAACCAAAAGGCAAGTTGGGAAGCAAAATAGGGTTTACGTTTTATTAATTCTCCCCCAGAGTTACTTGAGTAGAGGGTACAGCCTAATGATCAGTCAAGTCAATATCACTAGGTATTTAAGAGCCAAGAATTTCACTGTGGTAGTTTGATCACCAAAGCCAAGAAGAGAAACAACAAGACAAACAGAATTCAAAATCCAAATAGCCACAGGAACTCAATAAGAAATAACAAGAATTGAGTGGGCCAGGAGGAATTAAAGAGCCTGTTAGTGCCGAAGTACACCTGGCCTATAGTCAGAATTAGGGTTGAAAATGTGCCTCAGGAAGTAAGATTCATGGGTTGGAAATATACACTATCAAAAGAGTCACCAATTAGAGCCAGAATCTCCAAAAATGTGAAGTTGCCAGTCATTTTTATTTGTTCATATTTCATGTTTAAAGTTTTGTTTTTAGGTTCTTACATAGTTTATCCTCTTATTCTATATAATTTCAGGAGGGAAGGAAAGACATTGTTCCTGTATCTGTTTAGATAAATAAATTATAGTATCTAGAGTTTCTCAGTGATATTCCAGAGGCAGCAAAATATAACTCTCAAAACTTACCAATGCTGTGTGTCTCTGTACTTATTCTTCACAGGGTATAGGTTGTTGATATAAGGATTAATAAGCAAAACTTTATATAAACACAGCTATTTGTTAGAAATGATCTACTCATATACTCAGGAAAGGTCTTATCCTCAAAATAACCTTTTATTACATAGAGATAGTTTTACTGTTTTTTTGTTTCTCCTAGCAATATGGATGAAACCAAATTTTCTTTATTGGGGTTAGAGTCAGAAAGTGCTACAATACTTAGGTTACTCAGGACTGAACACTGCCACAAACTATAAGCCTAAGCTTTTATTCCAAGGAATTGTTTTCTGAGGCATAGCTCCAAAAATTGAGTAATGCAAATGTGATATTTGGCTGTCACTAGCATGTTGCTTGACTTGGGGTGGTTTTGATGAATTCTGTTACCAAGATAATGTTATTTTCTTTTTTCTTTTTTTTTTGAGACAGAGTGTTGCTCTGTCACCAGGCTGGAGTGCAGTGGCACAATCTCAGCTCACTGCAACCTCCACCTCCCAGGTTCAAGCAGTTCTCCTGCCTCAGCCTCCCAAGCAGCTGGGACTATAGGTGCATGCCACCACGCCTGAGTAATTTTTTGTATTTTAGTAGAGACGGGGTTTCACCATGTTGGCCAGGATGGTCTCGATCTCCTGGCCTCGTGATCTGCCCACCATGGCCTCCCAAAGTGCTGGGATTACAGGCATGAGCCACTGGGCCCGGCCTTCTTATTTAGCATTTGAATGCTTGTCAGTACTAATGCTATGCTAAATACTTATTTAAATACAGGCAAGAATATCTCCCTTGCCATACAAGAGATTCAAACATAACTTCCTCTTAATTTGTTTAAGGATTGCCACTGGTCATGTACTTTGTATATTTAAACTGTAATGAGGCTTTTCATGTGTATGGTCAATTCAGATTTTCAATCTGTTACGAAATAACTTCTCCGTGATTAGTAAAGATTAATTTGTATTATTTTAATAAAGTTGCCCAAGATAGTACCTGATCTGATCAAATACACACTCCAAAGCTGCTTACTATTTTTCTTCTTACTTTTATGTGGTACCTTTAATGAACATGTAAATTACTTGCCCTTGTGTACCTATAGACCTCACTACTTGGGAACAACTGTCTTGGTGTCTGTGATGCATGAGACTTGAAATACATTTAAAACATGCAACAGCTAAACTCTAGGGACTGTGAAGAAATAGCATATATTTATTTGTTTTGCAAGGAGAATTTTTTACGTTGATATTAGGCTCTGAAGTTTGTGAGTAAAGGATAATTCATGTAGAGTCAAAACTGTGCCCCAAAGAACTTGTCACCATAAAGTATATCATCATAACATATCATTTCTCATGAAATCCAATATATCACCTTTTTCTTCAGTGTTAAAATAGATTGTGGTACCTGCAGTTAAATAACAGATGAAGTGATTGACTTATATCCAGTGGTCATATTGTTATGTTCCTTAAAATACTAAAATCACATTCAAATCATAACATTCCCACTCTGTGGGAGAAACAAAGAAACGAAGAACAAATACAGAGCATGGCAGAGGGTGCTCACCTATCTCATATTTTACTTCATATTTTCTTTGAGTCAAAATGATGGGAAAAATTGCTTCTAATACTTAAAACAGTCCCTTGCTTTCCTTGTCTACCTTTCCTTCTATCTAAAAGTCCTGTAATGCAACTCTATTGTACAATGAAAAACACAGTGGCAAAAAATAACTGACCATCAAAATTCACTTCTGCTTTCTCCAGAGCAATAGGATTGTAGCTGGAATGACATTTCCCAGCCATCTTTGCAACTAATTATGGTCACATGACTGAGCTCTTCTAATGAAAGTGATATGTACAAATTTTATGGTTTGCCCATAAAATTGTGCACATTTGCTTTTCCACGCGCTTTTGCTGGCTGGAATGAAGAAAAACAGAGTGACATTACAAGCCACCCATTAAAGATGGTAGAACCACTGTCTGTCTCAGTCCCTAAATGATTATCTAAGAGAACCGCCCCCAACACGCACAACTCCCCTCAACACATATACCTCTCCCTACTAGCCTTCAATAGACTACCCAGAACATTAGGTAAGAAATAAAATAAAGAGAAATAAATTTTCATATCCCATAATGCACTGAATTATTGTTGAGCACTTCTTCAAACAGCGTATTAACACTAACAAACAAAGCAAAAACCACTGCTCTCTTCCTTCCACTAACTTAGCATTTTAATGGCTCTCAGCCTTTTGAGAATAGTCTTTTGATGGTTGGTCTTGAAAATCCAATCAAAATGTGACCTTTTATCATTATGAACAAGGCATTCACACAGTTCTCCACCATCTACCATGGATGGCAGCACTCATAAATAAGTTTTTCTTTTTCAATGCCCAGTCAAATGTTGATCAGCATCATCTCAATATATACCACTCTTGCAGCTCCTCCTGGGCATTGAACCTCTTAGTGTTGTTTGCTAAAACCAAGGCATTAATATGATCCGTTGAGGTCACCTCTGTATACTTGCCAGATTTAGCTAATAAAATATAGGACAGCTGTGGAACTTTGAACTTCAGGAAAAACCAGATGATTCTTTAGCATAAATATATTGGATAAAAAGAAATTGTCCCTACGTCTGATTTAAATGGCTATAACCACCCTTGGACTCTTAATCATCTCAGAATACATCCAGATTACCTGAAATTGACCATGTGTTCTCACCTCTCCAACAAATGTGCACAAATCCACTCAATGCCCTGATCAGGAACCTTAAAAAAGTGTGTGTTAATCACTAGATGGATCCTGATGTGGATCCTGTACAGCAGAAATGTGTTTCAGCAACTAACAGAAAATACCGTCTTTTCATTTGTCTCCTTGCCACTAATATCTTTTATTTTAGTTTTTTGAAAACAATATTTTTGTTGGCTGCTACAGCTGTTAACCTCCCTGCTATTTCTTCCAGGATTCATCATTGCCTAGCATAGCAGATGTATCCAACTTACATTCTAGATTCCCATTGTATTCTAGACATTTGTTCTATTGACAACTTATACACAATAAAGGACATTCTGTCTACCCTCTTCCATGTATGTTTATGGTTGTGCCATCTCATTCTCTGCCTTACCTGTGCACAGCATTGCTGTGTACCCATCGAATGACCTTTTTATGTCTTCATATTTTTTTAAGTCAGTAATTTTGGACATCTCTTTGTTCACTATTGGTCTCCCAAAAAGGGGAATGAGAGTTGCTTCTTGTTTAGTATCCCAAACTTTTGTTCCACTCCAGTGTATTTTGAGTCTCTTCACACTTCCCATTGCACTTTTTGGATTATCCAATGTAAATAAAAATGTTCAAAGCTTCCTCCAAAGAAATAGCACCAAAATTACTGATTTCCATGGAAACCACAATAATAATCAGGCTGTGGGCAATACATTAGTAAATTTAAAATATGTATACAGGGAGAGGAGCCAAGATGGCCGAATAGGAACAGCTCCGGTCTACAGCTCCCAGCGTGAGCGACACAGAAGACGGGTGATTTCTGCATTTCCATCTGAGGTACCGGGTTCATCTCACTTGGGAGTGCCAGACAGTGGGCACAGGTCAGTGGGTGCGCGCACCGTGCATGAGCCGAAGCAGGGAGAGGCATTGCCTCACTCGGGAAGCGCAAGGGGTCAGGGAGTTCCCTTTCCCAGTCAAAGAAAGGGGTGACAGACGCACCTGGAAAATCGGGTCACTCCTACCCGAATACTGCGCTTTTCCGACCGGCTTCAAAAATGGCGCACCACGAGATTATATCCTGCACCTGGCTCAGAGGGTCCTACGCCCACAGAGTCTCGCTGATTGCTAGCACAGCACTCTGAGATCAAACTGCAAGGCGGCAGCGAGGCTGGGGGAGGGGCGCCCGCCATTGCCCAGGCTTGCTTAGGTAAACAAAGCAGCCTGGACGCTCGAACTGGGTGGAGCCCACCACAGCTCAAGGAGGCCTGCCTGCCTCTGTAGGCTCCACCTCTGGGGGCAGGGCACAGACAAACAAAAAGACAGCAGTAACCTCTGCAGACTTAAATGTCCCTGTCTGACAGCTTTGAAGAGAGCAGTGGTTCTCCCAGCACACAGCTGGAGATCTGAGAACGGGCAGACTGCCTCCTCAAGTGGGTCCCTGACCCCCGAGCAGCCTAACTGGGAGGCACCCCCCAGCAAGGGCACACTGACACCTCACACAGTAGGGTACTCCAACAGACCTGCAGCTGAGGGCCCTGTCTGTTAGAAGGAAAACTAACAAACAGAAAGGACATCCACACCAAAAACCCATCTGTACATCACCATCATCAAAGACCAAAAGTAGATAAAACCACAAAGATGGGGAAAAAACAGAACAGAAAAACTGGAAACTCTAAAAACCAGAGTGCCTCTCCTCCTCCAAAGGAACGGAGTTCCTCACCAGCAACGGAACAAAGCTGGATGGAGAATGACTTTGACGAGCTGAGAGAAGAAGGCTTCAGACGATCAAATTACTCTGAGCTACGGGAGGACATTCAAACCAAAGGCAAAGAAGTTGAAAACTTTGAAAAAAATTTAGAAGAATGTATAACTAGAATAACCAATACAGAGAAGTGCTTAAAGGAGCTGATGGAGCTGAAAACCAAGGCTTGAGAACTACGTGAAGAATGCAGAAGCCTCAGGAGCCGATGCAATCAACTGGAAGAAAGGGTATCAGCAATGGAAGATGAAATGAATGAAATGAAGCGAGAAGGGAAGTTTAGAGAAAAAAGAATAAAAACAAATGAGCAAAGCCTCCAAGAAATATGGGACTATGTGAAAAGACCAAATCTACGTCTGATTGGTGTACCTGAAAGTGATGGGGAGAATGGAACCAACCTGGAAAACACCCTGCAGGATATTATCCAGGAGAACTTCCCCAATCTAGCAAGGCAGGCCAACGTTCAGATTCAGGAAATACAGAGAACGCCACAAAGATACTCCTTGAGAAGAGCAACTCCAAGACACATAATTGTCAGATTCACCAAAGTTGAAATGAAGGAAAAAATGTTAAGGGCAGCCAGAGAGAAAGGTCAGGTTACCCTCAAAGGGAAGCCCATCAGACTAACAGCGGATCTCTCGGCAGAAACCCTACAAGCCAGAAGAGAGTGGGGGCCAATATTCAACATTCTTAAGGAAAAGAATTTTCAACCCAGAATTTCATATCCAGCCAAACTAAGCTTCATAAGTGAAGGGAGAAATAAAATACTTTACAGACAAGCAAATGCTCAGAGATTTTGTCACCACCAGGCCTGCCTTACAAGAGCTCCTGAAGGAAGCACTAAACATGGAAAGGAACAACTAGTACCAGCCACTGCAAAATCATGCCAAAATGTAAAGACCATCGAGACTAGGAAGAAACTGCATCAACTAACCAGCAAAAGAACCAGCTGACATCATAATGACAGGATCGAATTCACACATAACAATATTAACCTTAAATGTAAATGGACTAAATGCTCCAATTAAAAGACACAGACTGGCAAACTGGATAAAGAGTCAACACCCATCAGTGTGCTGTATTCAGGAAACCCATCTCACGTGCAGAGACTAGGCTCAAAATAAAATGATGGAGGAAGATCTACCAAGCAAATGGAAAACAAAAAAAGGCAGGGGTTGCAATCCTAGTCTCTGATAAAACAGACTTTAAACCAACAAAGATCAAAAGAGACAAAGAAGGCCATTACATAATGGTAAAGGGATCAATTCAACAAGAAGAGCTAACTATCCTAAATAGATATGCACCCAATACAGGAGTACCCAGATTCATAAAGCCAGTCCTGAGTGACCTACAAAGAGACTTAGACTCCCACACATTAATAATGGGAGACTTTAACACCCCACTGTCAACATTAGACAGATCAACGAGACAGAAAGTCAACAAGGATACCCAGGAATTGAACTCAGCTCTGCACCAAGTGGACCTAATAGACATCTACAGAACTCTCCACCCCAAATCAACAGAATATACATTTTTTTGAGCACCACACCACACCTATTCCAAAATTGACCACGTACTTGGAAGTAAAGCACTCCTCAGCAAATGTAAAAGAACAGAGACTGTAACAAACTATCTCTCAGACCACAGTGCAATCAAACTAGAACTCAGGATTAAGAATCTCACTCAAAACCGCTCAACTACATGGAAACTGAACAACCTGCTCCTGAATGACTAATGGGTACATAACGAAATGAAGGCAGAAATAAAGAAGTTCTTTGAAACCAACGAGAACAAAGACACAACATACCAGAATCTCTGGGACGCATTCAAAGCAGTGTGTAGAGGGAAATTTATAGCACTAAATGCCCACAAGAGAAAGCAGGAAAGATCCAAAATTGACACCCTAACATCACAATTAAAAGAACTAGAAAAGCAAGAGCAAACACATTCAAAAGCTAGCAGAAGGCAAGAAATAACTAAGATCAGAGCAGAACTGAAGGAAATAGAGACACAAAAAACCCTTCAAAAAATTAATGAATCCAGGAGCTGGTTTTTGAAAGGATCAACAAAACTGATAGACCGCTAGCAAGACTAATAAAGAAAAAAAGAGAAGAATCAAATAGACGCAATAAAAAATGATAAACGGGACATAACCACCGATCCCACAAAAATACAAACTACCACCAGAGAATACTACAAACACCTCTACGCAAATAAACTAGAAAATCTAGAAGAAATGGATAAATTCCTTGACACATACACTCTCCCAACACTAAACCAGGAAGAAGCTGAATCTCTGAATAGACCAATAACAGGATCTGAAATTCTGGCAATAATCAATAGCTTACCAACCAAAAAGAGTCCAGGACCAGATGGATTCACAGCCGAATTCTACCAGAGGTACAAGGAGGAGCTGGTACCATTCCTTCTGAAACTATTCCAATCAACAGAAAAGGAGGGAATCCTCCCTAACTCATTTTATGAGGCCAGCATCATTCTGATACCAAAGCCGGGCACAGACACAACCAAAAAAGAGAATTTTAGACCAATATCCTTGATGAACATTGATGCAAAAATCCTCAATAAAATACTGGCAAAACGAATCCAGCAGCACATCAAAAAGCTTATCCACCATGATCAAGTGGGCTTCATCCCTGGGATGCAAGGCTGGTTCAATATACGCAAATCAATAAATGTAATCCAGCATATAAATGAGCCAAAGACAAAAACCACATGGTTCTCTCAATAGATGCAGAAAAAGCCTTTGACAAAATTCAACAACCCTTCATGCTAAAAACTCTCAATAAATTCGGTATTGATGGGACATATTTCAAAATAATAAGAGCTATCTATGACAAACCCACAGCCAATATCATACTGAATGGGCAAAAACTGGAAGCATTCCCTTTGAAAACGGGCAGAAGGCAGGGATGCCCTCTCTCACCACTCCTATTCAACATAGTGTTGGAAGTTCTGGCCAGGGCAATTAGGCAGGAGAAGGAAATAAACGGTATTCAATCAGGAAAAGAGGAAGTCAAATTGTCCTTGTTTGCAGACGACATGATTGTATTCTAGAAAACCCCATTGTCTCAGCCCAAAATCTCCTTAAGCTGATAAGCAACTTCAGCAAAGTCTCAGGATACAAAATCAATGTACAAAAATCACAAGCATTCTTATACACCAACAACAGACAAACAGAGAGCCAAATCATGAGTGAACTCCCATTCACAATTGCTTCAAAGAGAATAAAATACCTAGGAATCCAACTTACAAGGGATGTGAAGGACCTCTTCAAGGAGAACTACAAACCAGTGCTCAAGGAAATAAAAGAGGATACAAACAAATGGAAGAACATTCCATGCTCATGGGTAGGAAGAATCAATATCGTGAAAATGGCCATACTGCCCAAGGTAATTTATAGATTCAGTGCCATCCACATCAAGCTACCAATGACTTTCTTCACAGAATTGGAAAAAACTACTTTAAAGTTCATATGGAACCAAAAAAGAGCCCGCATCGCCAAGTCAATCCTCAGCCAAAAGAACAAACCTGGAGGCATCACACTATCTGACTTCAAACTATACTACAAGGCTACAGTAACCAAAACAGCATGGTACTGGTACCAAAACAGAGATATAGATCAATGGAACAGAACAGAGCCCTCAGAAATAACGCCACATATCTACAACTATCTGATCTTTGACAAACCTGAGAAAAACAAGCAATGGGGAAAGGATTCCCTATTTAATAAATGGTGCTGGGAAAACTGGCTAGCCATATGTAGAAAGCTGAAACTGGATCCCTTCCTTACATCTTATACAAAAATCAATTCAACATGGATTAAAGACTTTAAACGTTAGACCTAAAACCATAAAAACCCTAGAAGAAAACCTAGGCATTACCATTCAGGACATAGGCATGGGCAAGGACTTCATGTCTACAACACCAAAAGCAATGGCAACAAAAGCCAAAATTGACAAATGGGATCTAATTAAACTAAAGAGCTTCTGCACAGCAAAAGAAACTACCATCAGAGTGAACAGGCAACCTACAGAATGGGAGAAAATTTTCACAACCTACTCATCTGACAAAGGGCTAATATCCAGAATCTACAATGAACTCAAACAAATTTACAAGAAAAAAACAAACAACCCCATCAAAAAGTGGGCGAAGGACATGAACAGACACTTCTCAAAAGAAGACATTTATGCAGCCAAAAAACACATGAAAAAATGCTTATCATCACTGGCCATCAGAGAAATGCAAGTCAAAACCACAATGAGATACCATCTCACACCAGTTAGAATGGCAATCATTAAAAAGTCAGGAAACAACAGGTGCTGGAGAGGATGTGGAGAAATAGGAACACTTTTACACTGTTGGTGGGACTGTAAACTAGTTCAACCATTGTGGAAGTCAGTGTGGCGATTCCTCAGGGATCTAGAACTAGAAATACCATTTGACCCAGCCATCCCATTACTGGGTATATACCCAAAGGATTATAAATCATGCTGCTATAAAGACACATGCACACGTATGTTTATTGCGGCATTATTCACAATTGCAAAGACTTGGAACCAACCCAAATGTCCAACAGTAATAGACTGGATTAAGAAAATGTGGCACATATACACCATGGAATACTATGCAGCCATAAAAAATGATGAGTTCATGTCCTTTGTAGGGACATGGATGAAATTGGAAATCATCATTCTCAGTAAACTATCTCAAGAAGAAAAAACCAAACACCGCATATTCTCACTCATAGGTGGGAATTGAACAATGAGATCACATGGACACAGGAAGGGGAATATCACACTCTGGGGACTGTTGTTGGGTGGGGGGAGGTGGGAGGGATAGCATTGGGAGATATACCTAATGCTAGATGATGAGTTAGTGGGTGCAGTGCACCAGCATGGCACATGTATACATATGTAAATAACCTGCACAATGTGCATATGTACCCTAAAACTTAAAGTATAATTAAAAATAAAATAAAATATGTATACAGTCTTTGTATTTTATTCTTTAAAATTATCTTAGCTTAGTAATAATATATGATAAAATGTCATGAGATGAATATTGGCTTTAAAATAAAATATAAAATAAAACATTTACAAAATAAAATGTGTCCTAATGCAGCTCTCTCACTCAGTAGCAGTGTGTCCTATGGAAAGTTAATTACCTTTCTTAAGTTCCAATTTTCACTTAATTAAAACGAAACTAATAATGGTTACCCTTCAACTATTTACTCAACCAGTATTTATGAAGCACCTGATATGTACATGTTTAGCTGAATTCTGAGAGTACAAAAACTGTTTCTGTATTAAAAGAAATTGTAGTTTAGTAGAGGATACACACAAGCAAATAGGTAATTATAAAGTCATGAGATGAATGTTATGGGAATGCCAAGAAAAAACAGCTAACACAGACTTGGGAGGTGAAGCTTGAGGCAGGCAGGCGAGAGATAACAAGCGAACTATATCCTAAAGGATTAATAACAGTTATCAAGGCAAAGAGGAAGAAGGTGGAGGCAGCAAGTCTGCATTTATTTAAAGTTAAAGAGTAGCAAGTGATGGAAGGGATTTAAGCAGAGACATGACATGATCAGGCATACACTTTATTAAAACAGCAACAAAAACCTATTTATAGCATAGTAAATAAATCCCAAGACTAGGTAGAGAAGGAAGTTAGTCAAGGATTGTAGTAGTCTAGACAGAGCTGATGGTGACCAAAACTAAAGAAGCAGCGTCAAGAATAATAAGGGAGAGTGCAAAAATAGGTGGTTAGGAGGTGGAGCATACAGGGTTTCGAGTTTGATTTTATCAAGGGATGGAGGAAGAGACAGAAATCTGTAAAGGGCCCTAAACTTATGACTTACTAGATCATTCACAAATATGGGAAAATCCAGGAAGGAAACAGGTTGTGGTTTAGTGGGAAAAAATGATGAGTTCAATTTCCAACCTGTGGTATTTTAAGTAGCTATGTTTCATTGGAATGATATCCTATAGATAGCTGAATTCACTTGCATAAATTTAGTGAATGAATCAGGCTCAAGATACTGTTTTGGGGGCCACCAACATTGAAATGCTAGGTGGCGAAACAATCTCCCATGATGAGTGTGTGATACAGCGGAGAGAAAGGAGAGAATCAAGGTTAATATTTAGGGGAGGAGTATCATTTAGGATACAGGAAAAGGGACAGGAGCTCATGAAAGAGACTGAGTAGAAACATCCAGCAAGGAGAAGGAAAATCAAGAGAACACAGTAGTAGACAGTGGAAGCCAAGGAAGAGAGGAGGGGTCACCAGTATCAAATATGGAAAGAGGTCTAGTCAGATAAAGACTAACAAGCACTCTTTGACAAACAAGAGGCTACAGTCTACAAGTGACTGAACACTCTTCTGTATCCTTGTTACAACCATTAAGGGAAATAATAAATATAAAAATACTGTTACCTCCACTGTTCAAAATATGTTTATACCTAATTTCCAAACATATTTCCTTTAAAAAACAAAGTGATTTAAACTCTTTGAGCTTTAGTTTCTGTATCCATAAACTAAGACGAATATTATCATGCAATTTGGCTCTTAATTATACTATAGTAGGAAAGGTCAGTCTTACAAATATTAAGAGATAGAAAAACCAGAAGGGAGTCTTTTCAGAGTTTTTATATGTTTCAAATGAGAAAATATAAGTAACTAAACTTTAAATATTTTGAATTTTTGTGGCTATAAAGTAAAATAAATTTTTAAAATTAGACAGCATCTCACATTTTTCTTGACGAGACCATCTGTTTTATCTAGGCCAATATATGATCAGCCCAAGGGAATCAGGGTCTTATTTACTATTGCAGTCAATTCCAAGACACAATAACTTTCAAATACGCAGCATAAATTTACTGACCAGCTATTATATTGCAGATACTAGGTATCTAGCACGTTTATGCTCAGTCATGCTTCTAAGTATATAATCTTTATTCAATGGCCTTATTTGAGGACGGTCTCTTGAAACATTCCACTCCAGCCATGAATTTCCTTTAGTCTGTAGTAAGGCTAGTCTTAGGTATAATTATGAATGGGTAAATAATCAAAACTACAGCTGCTTTCTTGTTGCCACCTTGGTAAGCTCCTCCTCATTCCAGGTGCTCAGCACTCATGGTCTCTCATCACACTTTCTTACCCATTTCTCTTCTCTGATCATACCTTCAAATTCAGTGACTAGTATGGACCAGCCCTACATCAATTTCAAAATACACCACAGATATCTTTCCTACACTTATGGAATTATACTACACAACTTGAACAAAGTTTCCACTCTTCTTTTACTATTCACTGAGAGTTTTCCATGCTTAGACAAATTTCCCTAATCATTGTATGGGCTTCTTGAATACAGGGAGAGTGTCTTCAACTTCTTCAATATGCTTTTCATAACCCAAAGCATGGCATCAGATTTATATCAGGCCTGATATAATTAAAGTATTTAGCAATGATTAGATAATTTTTATTAGCTATTTGATAAGAAAGATTTTTAATTGCCTGGTGGCCAGTATGTCTAGTTGAGTTGAGACTGCAGCATCTCCTTGGTCCTCTGTATGGTCATAAGTCTCCCTTTTAGGGTTGTTATCCAGGAAAGGATGATATCCTAACACCTAGCATTTAGATTTGCTGGGCTAATCCCATGCTCTCTCTTGTAAGCCAACAGTAAAGGGGTCCTTGACAAGACCTTGATGTGTTTGCAAGGGTCTGGGCCCAGCGCCAAAACCTGTAGGATTTCCCAAGTTACCTGCTCTTTGTTTAATTATACATGACTTGTTAAGAATTAGCAACTCTAAAGTAGGCTGTGCTGTTTAAAAATTAAAAAACAAAATCAGTTACCTGTGAGGCCACATGAAACAAACAAACCTTTGGAAATAAGGCTGTTGTTCAACTCAATGAGCTACATGTTATATTTTGTTTATCTGAACTATGCTGGTAAGGAGACATATGTTTAGTGCTACATATGCATTATATGATGGAATATTATGCAAATATTAAATATGTTATTAAATACTATATTTGTTGGTGGAATTTGAAAAATAAATGTATTGCCTGGTCCATGTTCTCTGAGAGCTCAAAGTTTATTTCTGATATATATATATTATGATATATATATTTCTGATATATATATATTATGATATATATATTTCTGATATATATATAAATATATATATAGAGAGAGAGAGAGAGTGGGGGTACACAATTATAATACGGGGTTAAAGAATGGAGGAAGGAAATAAGTTAAATAGTGCATGATAGAAACCTAACCCAGACTCATGGTAATCGGGGTAACAAGGAATAAAGAAGGCTTTACAGAGAGTTCACAGATGATACTTCAAGGATAAGAAAAATTTAATTGCGTAAAGAGGAACTAAGGAGATGTCTTGCCATTTTTATTTTCTGGGAGTAGAAAGTGCAAAGATCATGAAACGAGGTGAAAAGAATGACACAGTTGAGGAAGTGCAAATGGTCAGTATGGCTGGAGCCACAAGAAGGAGGAGCAAGTGGTGATGGAGAAAAGGATAGAAATAAGGAGTCAAGACCCTGAAGGGTCTTCTATGCTTCTAAGTAATTGCCACATCAGCTCTCTTGGGTGACATCATTTTGGTCCTCAACAAATATTTAATACATTGACTACATAAAGACTTACATCCACACACAGGTAGCCAGAATGTTTTCTGTCATCTAAAAATATTTAAATAACTTTTCACTATATTCAATATATATTTGTTTTTATCATTTATTACTTATGTATTTACTGATCTTAAAACTATTGGAGTGACGGGAAGAGGAGGTTATTCCAATAGGAAATGCTAACACCATGGACTGAGATGGAAAATACAAACCATGTGAATAATGCCTTTTCTATTTTGAGAGTAGAATTTTATTTTATTTTTTTATACTTTAAGAAAACATACTTGAAAAGTGGAAAGAAGAGAGAATGACATAGCAGAACTCGTTTGGTAAGAGGGAAAAAAACCCTTTCATTACATTAAGTTTCTAAATCAAGAACTCACAATTTTCTCCTGGGTTTCTAAATTTAGTAACATTCCATTCTTAATATCCCTGCCTTGTTCAAAACAAGCACCACTATTTCATATTTTATGAGCACATGCTCTTCTCATAGTCTATTTACAGTAATATATGTCATAAGGCAGAATCATTCTCAGACACATGCTAAGACAATTTTCCTTCATATTTGCCATCTCAAATATTTCAAATTTAAACATTCAGGTACACTGTGAAATAAGTTTTGAATCCATCAGACAAATACAACTTCATTTTCCTTGTGGCATTAAACCTAAGGAAAAAATAGGAATAAGTAACAATAATGCAATATGAATATTATAGTATCTGAATTACTCCATCAAATTAAGCGACTTTAACTAGTATAAAAAATTCAGAAAGCAGCATACAACCTATAATATTTCACAGTAGCTATTACTATGGAAATATTAGCATGGACAAATGGCATTTCAACTAGAGCTTCACTGACCAAAAATGCTCGAAGGATAATGTAATTTTTTTAAAAAAAGATGTGTTATAAGCTGTATATATTAACATTCTTTGGCCCAATAATTCCACTGCTTCTTAAAAGAACTCCAAATGTGGGAGTAAAGCATCTGGCTGTCCCCTTTGCTTGGAATGTTCTTCATCAAGAGATACAGTTGATTGCTTCTTTATTTCTCTTCTGTCATTATTTAAATGTCATATTCTCAATTATACTTTGCGTGGCCACTGATTTAAAATTGCAGCCCATTCCTTCCCCCTTCTTTGCTTTATTTTTCTACGTGCAACCTGTCACTATCAAGCATGCCATTTAAATTAATTGTTTTGTTTACTGTTTGTCTCCTATCAGGATGTAAATCATATGAAGGCAAGAACCTGTGTCTATTTGCTTCACTGGCCTATCTCCAGCATCTAGAACAGTACATGGCAAATGATAGGCACTCAGTACGTATTTGCTTAGTTAGTAAATAAATATATTTTTCATAGAGATGTTCATTACGATTTTTATATTTAAGTGGCAAAAAATCAAAATCATCTTAAATGCGTAACAATTAAGATGCGGTTATATAAACTAAATAATCATTATATGATGGAATATTATGCAGATATTAAATATGTTTATAAATATTTATAAAACACAGAGAAATAATTATATTAAAATGTTATGAGAAAAAATATTCCCCAAGTTTGCATAGAATACCAGCACAACTACATTAAAACAAGTAGAGAAAACAACACACAGAAAGATTTAAAATGGAAGCAGACATTGTTTTGGAATGGCTGTAATTGACAGACATTTGTTTTTCTCCACTGCTTCTATTTTAAAGTTTAGATAATTAGCACAGTATATGCACAGAGGAACATTAAATCACAAGAAAATACCTTAAAATGTAATTTGTAGGTTTATCGAGAACATTGTCCTTGAGTATGATTTTGCTTACAGTAAAGAATGGTGGAATTATTTCCAAAAATCTGTAAGTCTGTCTAATAGAAAGTGATGGTGAATAAAGTAATTCTTATAATTAAACATAAGCCTATTACATCTTGCCTAAGGAAACATCCATTGCTATGTTTGAAACAATCAAATGAAAAATAGTCTGCTCTGCAGTTTCATATGGTTAAGGAAAATGTAGTGGTTACACATCCTGGGTATCCGTTCAATAGTTAATTTATGATAGCGTTTCATCTTCCCATAGTGAATTCTGAAAAGCCTAATGAAGCAATACGTGAACTGACAGTTGATTTGTAAAACAAATGCAATTTTAATCTTTGCTTAAGTGCTTAAGTAGGTACTTTAAAGTCACCTAATTTGAGAGCTCTTAATAAGAATGATGAAAACAGTACCTTACTTTTCAATGCACGGTCTTTTCCCACCAAGATATTCTGACATGTAAAATCCCTACATTTTTGAGATAAGACACTTACTACCTTACACCTCACTGGGAATCTGAAGTGGTAGTGTAGTTTTCTGTTTTTTGTATAATTATTGCTATATACGCAGGCTTAGATTTATTCACCAAAAAATAGCTGGCCAGTAACCAAGTCGGCAGTGATTCATTTCTAGTCAAAGATCAATGCTCAATATAATACATTCCATTTAATAAATGTTCCAAATATATTATCTTGGCATACAGACACTGTAAATATTCTCATAGCTGCATTATAAATAGCTTTGTGGGACAAAGGTCAAATCCGAGCCATGAATGCCGTATTGAGTCATTGTTAGTGAGAGACCCTATTACTCAATCCTAGATTAGCGTGAATGGCTAAACAGAATAACTGGAAGGAGTCTCCTCAACACGCTTAAGGCTTTGTGTTGTGGAGGCGTGGGCATGAAGACGTGGGGGTATATGGGTATACGGACCTCCATTGCCACCTTATATCTAAAAGGTGTACTAGGAATAGGTGGGAGAATCTGACTATGTTAGTAGTAGGGGAGGAGGAAAAATGAGATTTAAAGAGGAAGAGAGGAAGGGAGAGAGGGAGCCAAACACTAAGAGACGAATGGATGTTAACTAATCAAAGCTTAACTATGTAGTCAGGGTATACCAGAATGTCCAAGCAATTCAGGGGTAAAATTTAATTTAATTTTCTCCTCATCATAAAACTTCAACTTTATTTATTATTAGATGTCTTTGCCTTCAGTATCCAAGTCAGTATCTTTAATTTTAGCCATTTTACCTAAGGAGGAAATGACATCTTTGCAGTTTTCAGGAAAATGACTATACTATAAATTGGGATTTGCTTATACAATGAAATAACATTAAAAAGTCCATACCCTTTCAGGGCCCACTGATGTTTGTGTATTTACCCTGATAGAAAAAGACATCCAAGAATCCTAGAATTAAAGTACCTTTTTGGGGGCTACTAGTGTAACAAGCATTGATATGAGTAGAGTTCAATGGTACAAGAGCACTACCCCTTAGTTCCATTTAACACGAAACGGAGATTATATAGGTTATGCACAATAAAGAGGAGATTTGGAGAAAAGTTTTTTGAAGCAAGTATGTATTTGTAAATGATACTAAATATTGAACTCAGATCCAGCAAAATTATGAAGCTGTTGTTAAGAGACCTCTTGAATACTCAAGCTGGTGATTAAGCCTTTAGCTAATGACTTGCTTCTAGACTGTGTTACTGGAAGTCCCAGTTGTGCCTTTCAGGCCTCTTCAGAGCTGTTCAGGAAAAAAGGAGGGGGAGCTGAAATGCTGATCAGCTCTTTTCCTTGTTCTTAGAAGTGCTGATGGAAGATTGGAAGAGAGAAGATAACTGGAATGATTACTTCTAATGTTGTTTGACATCATTCAATGCATGTCAGTCCCTAGAGTACTGCAGATAAAGGATGCCTGACAGGTAGATACAAGATGATGGTCTTTAAGAGACCTTCTCTTGGCTTTTCAGAAAGATGCTGAGCCAAGTCTGCATAAGTACCTGAAAAAGCCTCCGCTCCTTTAAGTAGTAAATGAATCCTCAGACACTTGTGTTCCTGAAAGCTTTGAGTTGTGCAATGTTCTGGTGTATCTTAGTCCCAAGATTAGCTGGATTATTAAGTATGTTTCAAAGGATGCTAATTTTCTAAAAACAGTAGATATTAAAACAAACCAAGGAGGCTGGGCACAGTGGCTCATGCCTGTAATCCTGGCACTTTGGGAGGCTAAGGGGGGAGGATCACTTGAGCTCAGGAAACTAGCCTAGGCAAAATGGGGAAACCCCATCTACAAAAAAACAACAAAATTAGCCAGGCGTGATGGCACATGCCTGTAATCCCAGCTACTTGGGAGGCTGAGGTAGGAGCATCACCCTGGGAGATTGAGGCTGCAGTGAGCTGTGATTGTGCCACTGCACTCCAGCCTGCATGACAGAGTGAGACCTTGTCTCAAACAAACAAACAACAAACAAAAACAAAAACAAATACTGAGGAAATACAGGCTTGATGACCTTGAACATGCCACCTCAAGATACGCTGCTTTGTTATATTGATTATTTATAGCTGAAGGTATTTGAGAAACAGCAGGTGCAGGAAAGTTTCCCTGACCCTCTTCTAAATGCAAATCATAAAATTTCCCATGAGACAGGTGCTTTCCCCATATCAGAAAGAAAAGAACATTCTTATCACTGAAGACTGGGAGTTGAAGCTGAGATGAATCTGGACAAACCAATCTACTAAAACAACTCATCCTCCATTAATTTCCCCCATATATTTCCTAGTCACTGCCCCACAATTTACTTCCCCTGTCTTGTCACATCCTCACAATGTTTAACACATTTTTAAAAAAGCTATTTAAGCTTTGGGGCCTAACAGCTTATTTGGATTTTTATTTTCTTTATGAAGACTCCTGTGTGTATGGAAAAATATTTAATAAAATTTGTATGCTTTTTTGCCCTGTTAGTCTGTCTTACATTAGTTTAATTCTCAGCCACAGAATCTAAGAAGATAGAAGGAAGATTTTCCTCCCCTACATTATCGACAATAATCATCATTATTGATTGAACAGTGAGTGAGCTGATTTCTTGATATAATTACCTCACCAAATTCTCACAATAATGCTACTTCTTTGCCCATTTACAAATGAAACATTCAGGGTTTTAGCTCTAGCTTCGTCAGTAATTAACCAGATCTTGTATCAACTTCTTACTTTCCCTCCCTTTCTCCTTATGTATACAAATATATACCTGCCCTAATTATGTCACTAAAGTTAATACTAAAAATTAAATGATGTTCAGAAATAAAGATTCTGAGATAGAAAAATTTGGGTATTTGTAAGTTAATAGAAGTATTGGTTAATAAAGCATTTTAAGCAAAAGGAGAAAAAATAATTACAAACAATGAAAATGTGTATATATGCTTATAAGAAATGCTGCACCAATGGGAATTCTGCTCATTTGTTTAATTTTTACTCCATTTGCAAATATGTAAATTGGTATTACAAGCACAAATGCTATACCAAATAATAGTAATGCCGATTGGTGAGTTAAAGTCAAACCCATGTGTTTCTAAAGTATCTCCCATGGTTGGTATTGCTCCTCTGAGAATCGGCAAACTAGAACTACTCAAGTGGATGTAGGAAATAACCTCAAAATACAGCATTGAATATAAATGCCAAATATGTATGGAGTATTTTGAGTTATAATGATTGGGAACATTACTGGTGTGTAGTGGGCAAGGACGTGAGATGTTCTGGCCTGGACAGGATAATCTACCCAATGTGATAGCCCTTTACTCCACAAGACTTTCAACTGTTTGGGCAGAAAAATGTGGGATCTCCTTTATTTTAAATAATGAAGAAATACATGAGAGAAAAAAATCCATGATTCTATTGAAAAACCATTAGGAAAACTTAATTTCATGACTTCTTTTTCTTGTTGTTTTTCCCCACTCAAATGTTTCTCCTGTTATTATTTATTTATTTTGATTTCATCACTATCTCACTCCAGGTCTGAGCACAGGAATTGTTAGAATACTACATATAGGGATAAGGGCCAACAAATTTGCCAGAAGACTCAGTTTCCTCATTTTTTCTATTTTCATAGACTGAAATTTGTCTTAGCATGCTATCCTTACCTGAGTTAGCTATTTCCCAATTTCTGTTGTCATATATTAATGTCTGCTTAAATGAATACTCATCATAATACTAGTTCTTATTCTATGTCCACTTGTACCTCTACTCTTTTAATTTGCCTGTACTTCCTCAATGGAATTATTGTAAATCCAAGTTTGTTCATTATAACTAACTGCAAGTATTTATCTCATTATGCATTTTAGTATCCTAACGCTACAGCCCTTATGAATTGAAATACACAAGAAATTATTATAAATGATTTCTTTTATGTTGTCTCTGATATTACAGTATCAGAGATATATAAAATTGTATCAATTTTATTTTTAAGATGACTAGGTAGAGAATAAGAAGGCATTATAAAATATTTGTTATGGAAAAGGCAATGTTGGGTTAGAAAACATTGTCCTAGACCAGGGGTTGGCAAACTTTTTGTTTAAAGGACTGATTGTGAAGATTTTAGGCTCTGTTGGCCACAGTCTCTGTTGCAACCACTCAACTCTGCTGATATAGTGGGAATGCAACAATAAAACATATACAAAAGAATATGAGTAATTGTGTTAACGATAACTTTTATCTATAAAAACAGGGAGAAAGATTTGGCCTCTGACACTTGGTTTGCCAATCCCTGCTCTATATTCTTTTTTCTCTACTGTGTAGTTTTTCATTATATACATCCACCCATCCACCACACTTGATTTATACTCTACTATTCGGTGAATATAGACTTTGTTTCCATTATTTTGCTCCTGCAAACAATAACCCAGCAAACCTTTTGCACATGTCTGCAAGTGATTCTCCACCTAAAAAAGAATAAATGCTGAATCCTAGGGTATGTGCATTTCAAATTTGATTGAGTCTTGCCACATTGTTCTTATTTTCATTTGCTATCTAGGGTATAATTTCTGTCCTTATCTTTATGACCTCCTTTAGGCTTTTGCTCATGCTTTTTAAAAATTCTGGAGTAATCACTTAACTCTTATATGTATGTTTTTTACTCTAATTTTGTTTATTCTCTATTTGGCATTACAGTTATACTGCTCAAAACTCAAAAGTTCACAGAAGGTATCCAGTAAAATCTTCCCTTTTCTGTGCTCAGTACCTTGTGGTTCTCTCTGGAAGCAAAGAAGCTCAGCAATATCTTATTTAAATCTCCAAAGACAACCTAAGCATTGTCAAGTAAATATACACACACATACTCTTTCCCCACCCCTTTTGTATATAAACGTTAGCATACTATATATACACAACTAATCTTGCTTATTTCATTTCACAATATGTCTTGGAAATTATAATAAATGCATAAATTGGCAACATCTAGAGGCAATTTTGATTGTCACAACTGGGCAGTGGGTGCTACTGGCATTTAGTGGGTAGAGATCAGAGATGTTGCTAAACATCTTGCAATATACAGGGCAGCCTCCATAACTAACGATTATCCAGCCCCAAACTTCAGTCGTCCCACGGTTGAGGAATTCTACTTAAACGATATTGTATCAGGTGTCGATCACGTTTTTCAAATCTCCTATAGTCTAAAAATATTGATGTGCTAGTTTATCAGTTTCTGATACTGCGTGTTATTATAGCTATTTTTATTTTCTAAAATAAGTTTCTCTTTCTCTATGTATATACACATGCACACACAACACACATATATATATAAGTACATATATTTATTATGGTTATATCTTCTTAATAGTTTCTTTTATTAACATATAATATTACTTACTAGCCCTATTAGTATCTTCGTCTTAAATTTTATATCTCAGCTATTTATATTCTTGCACCTCTTTTCTTTTGGTTAGTATTTACATAACAGATCTTTTTTCCAATTCCTCTAGTAATTTTGTATTAGATTTAATTCTATAACTGGCATATTTTTGAATTTAAAAAATCCATTGACTATCACTTATTTTAGCATGTGAGTTACTACCCATTAAGTGTTTACATTTGAATATTTGTCATATATCTTGATTTACTGCTGTTATTTTTCATCTTCTAATCCCCATATTTGTCTTCCTCATTTGTTTTTCTCCTTTCCTTTTCCTTGTGGATTAGTAATATTTCATATTTCCTTAGGTTTTTTTTTCTGGTTGTTTTGAAATCACTGGGTCCATTAATATTTTTGTTTTATTTTTGCACAGTTCCTTTAAAAATTTTAATACACACAACTAATTACAAAGTTTTCTAACAATATTTCCTGGGTTCTAATGTATTTACTCTGGACATGTTAAAAGGTGACACACTGCTTTTTAGCCACCTACCATCACCTCCATATGGTCATCACTGTTTAGAATTTTGGTTTCTATGTATTTAAAAAACATAAAACACCTTAATATATTTTCAGTCAATAGTTAATTAAATTTATCAACATGTTTTAGCAGTATCTGTTATAACTTGTTTTTATTTAGTCCATTGAAACAATATTGTTTATTTTCACCCAATGGTTAATCTAATTTGTCAACATATTTTATCAATTTTCATTTCAAATTTTGTTTTATCTTGGATCCACTCCTTCCTTCTGGCTTCACTTTTCTTCCTGCTAAAGAACATATTTTAGTAGTTCTTTCAGTGAGAATCTGTGGGTGGTACAATAGTTTTATTTTTTGTGAAAATATCTTCATTGTGTACCCTTTCCTCAAGAAGAATGAACCAAGAGAAAGAAATGAAAGAAAAAAGAGAAAGAAAAGAAAGGAAGGGAGAGGAAGGAAGGGAGGAGAAAGAGAGAAGAAGGAAAAAAAGAGAGAGAGAAAGAAAGAAAGAATGAAAGAAAGAAAGAGAAGGAAAGAGAAAGAGAAAGAAAAAAGAAGGAAGGAAGGAAGGAAGGAAGAAAAGGAAGGAAGAAAGGAAGGAAGGAAGGCCGGCCAGTATTTTTTTCTAGTAAGCCAGATATTGTTCATTGCCTTTTGGCCTCTACTGTTGCTGAGAAATCTGACTTCAGTCTAATTATTATACCTTGGTAAGTAAATTTTCTCTTTCAGAAGGCTTTGAAGATTTTCTTTTTAATCCTTTATAATCTGCACAGTAACATGTTTAGGTATGGAGTATATGTATTTTTTATCCCATTCAGTTCCTAAAGTGCCCTTTTGGACTCAGGATTTATATATATATATTCCTTCTATTATGAAAGCTTCTCAGCTTTATCCCTTTATTTATATATTCCCCATTACGCTATCCTGTTTTTTCAGATGTCCTGTTAAATAACTCAGTGATTTTTTGACTAAGGTAAATATAAACAAAGCATACTTGCATATCATGTTACTTTTGACACTTAGCTTTCTGAAGAGTTCTTAGAGAGACCAAAGCAATCAGAGATACAACTTTATGGCATAATCTATGACTCTCAGTCTTTGTGGTTATAATAGTAGATAGTAAGAATGTGCAAATCACTTCTTAGTCTCACAGTAAAATGACAAGATGTAAAAAAGGACATTCTATTTCCTTTGAAAGAATATAACTTAGAGCCTTTGAAATGGCCCAGTAAAAGGGGCCGCAAACAATCAAGTGATTTTTTTTTTGTATTTTTAGAATGATATGATGATTAGTAACAAAATACTCAGTTAACAGTGGCTCCAATAATAGGAACATTTTATATCATCCAAAAAGGAGTCTGGAGATGCAATGTCTCAGCTTTCTGCTTGGCCATCCACATTTTCTTTGCCATATCTCTCTGAATGATAACAAGACAGCTGCAGTGGTTTCAAACACCATCTCCTTCTATCTACACATCCCAGTGGAAATGAAGGAATGGGGATGCAAATATTTTTCCCTTACATGTGTTTCTTTTTTTTTATCAGGGAAAAGAATTATTTCCAAGAAGCTCCCCTCTCCCCACCAAAACAATCTCTTTATATCCTGTTGGATAGACTTGGTCACATACTGATCTTCACACCAGGAAGTGAGATAAAGGGAATGAAATTAGCAATGGTTTAGAACAGTCATAATTTATTCCCTGAATCTGGGCATACTGCTGCCTACAAAAAATTGCTTTTTTTTAAATTTTTCAGTAAGAAAATGGGAGCGATAACTGTTGAACCTATGGATACACAGCAGTTTTCACCACCAAGATTACAAATTCAAATTATTAATTTCCATATTCGTGGAAGAAAGAAAAGGAGGTGGTCTTTCTTTTTCTCATTTTCTGCCTCATTGCCATAAATAAAGAAAAGCAAGTTGAGTGAAATTTTTTCAGAAAATAGAATCATATTAACTGTAAACTCAAGCAAAAAACCTGATCCAACAACCAGAAGGCCTGAGTCTGCCATCAGTTAGTTATAGGGCCTTGGGCAAATCACTAATGCACAGTTCTCCAACTGTGGTGTAAGAAAGATTGGATTCGATTAATGCTATTCAGTCACTTCTCATTTTAAGTTTCTATAAGGCTTTGAATCAGCAGCTTAATTAAATAGGATGATTTTCAAACTAAAGGTAACTATATAGCCAAACTTTGTAACTAACAGGCAACCTTGCACCATGTTGATCCCAAATAATTAATGTGGCTTACAAAAGAATTTAATTTAAGAGTAAGAGTACAGCCTAGTAGAGATTCACCATTCATATTTAAGTTTTGACTAGCATAATTACAATCAGACACTTTCTTTATGGTAAATCTACATGGGAAGAATGTTTTTGAGTCTATCTCCCCAAAAGAGCATTACTAAGTGGTCTGGGGAAGAATGAGTTCTGAGGTAAAAATAAATTTGAGAGATGCTGGATTAATCATATTTAAATAAATTTCTTTATCATTAAATTTCTCAGAAGACCTACAGTGCCAAAGTGTATTGTGACTCTCCAAAAGAGATATATCATCTCCCAAAATTGACTGTGGGTCCTTTCTTCATGAAACATTTATTTCTCAATTTAAAATAATCATATTGCCTTATACTTTTGTATGGAGTTTACGTGAATACCAAAATATTTTTTAAAACATCATCTTGTAGTTCTATGAACACCTATCCTTCCTAGACCCTTTTTGTACTACTTTTTAACAATTGTGCCCTAATTGATTATAAGATGCCAAATTAATACTACTACTCCAGAAATAGAAAATAAACAGTATGTTAAATATACATGTAAATTTTACCACACATATTGATTTAGTAAATATATATATATATTTTATTATACTTTAAGTTCTAGGGTACATGTGCATAATGTGCAGGTTTGTTACATATGTATACATGCGCCATGTTGGTGTGCTGCACCCATTAACTCATCATTTACATTAGGTATATCTCCTAATGCTATCCCTCTCACCTAACCCCACTGCACGACAGGCCCTGGTGTGTGATGTTCCCCACCCTGTGTCCAAGTATTCTCATTGTTCAATTGCCACCTACGAGTGAGAACATGGGATGTTTGGTTTTCTATCCTTGCAACAGTTTGCTCAGAATGATGGTTTCTAGCTTCATCCATGTCCCTACAAAGGACATGAACTCATCCTTTTTTATGGCTGCATACTATTCCATGTTGTATATGTGCCACATTTTCTTAATCCAGTCTATCATTGATGGACATTTGGGTTGGTTCCAAGTCTTTGCTATTGTGAATAGTGCTGCAATAAACATATGTGTGCATGTGTCTTTATAGCAGCATGATTTATAATCCTTTGGTTATATACCCAGTAATGGGATGGCTGGGTCAAATGGTATTTCTAGTTCTAGATCCTTGAGGAATCACCATACTGTCTTCCACAATGGGTGAACTAGTTTACAGTCCCACCAACAGTGTAAAAGTGTTCCTATTTCTCCACATCCTCTCTAGCACCTGTTGTTTCTTGACTTTTTAATGATCGCCATTCTAACTGGTGTGAGATGGTACCTCATTGTGGTTTTGATTTGCATTTCTCTGATGTCCAGTGATGATGAGCATTTTTTCATGTGTCTGTTGGCTGCATAAATGTCTTCTTTTGAGAAGTGTCTGTTCATATCCTTTGCCCACTTTTTGATGGGGTTGTTTGATTGTTTTCTTGTAAATTTGTTTGAGTTTCTTGTAGATTCTGGATATTAGCCCTTTGTCAGATGGGCAGATTGTAAAAACTTTCTCCCATTCTGTAGGTTGCCTATTCACTCTGATGGTAGTTTCTTTTGCAGTGCAGAAGCTCTTTAGTTTAATTAAATCCCATTTGTCAATTTTGGCTTTTGTTGCCATTGCTTTTGGTGTTTTAGACATGAAGTCCTTGCACATGCCTATGTCCTGAATGGTATTGCCTAGGTTTTCTTCTAGGGTTTTTATGGTTTTAGGTCTAACATTTAAATCTTTAATCCATCTTGAATTAATTTTTGTATAAGGTGTAAGGAAGGGATCCAGTTTCAGCTTTCTACATATTGCTAGCCAGTTTTCTCAGCACCATTTATTAAATAGGGAATCCTTTCCCCATTGCTTGTTTTTCTCAGGTTTGTCAAAGATCAGATGGTTGTACATGTGTGGTATTATTTCTGAGGGCTCTGTTCTGTTCCATTGGTCTATATCTCTGTTTTGGTACCAGTACCATGCTGTTTTGGTTACTGTAGCCTTGTAGTATAGTTTGAAGTCAGGTAGCGTGATACCTCCAGCTTTCTTCTTTTGGCTTAGGACTGACTTGGCAATGCGGGCTCTTTTTTGGTTCCATATGAACTTTAAAGTAGTTTTTTCCAATTCTGTGAAGAAAGTCACTGGTAGCTTGATGGGGATAGCATTGAGTCTATAAATTACCTTGGGCAGTATGGCCATTTTCACGATATTGATTCTTCCTATCCATGAGCATGGAATGTTCTTCCATTTGTTTGTGTCCTCTTTTACTTCGATGAGCAGTGGTTTGTAGTTCTCCTTGAAGAGGTCTTTCACATCCCTTGTAAGTTGGATTCCTAGGTATTTTACTGTCTTTGAAGCCATTGTGAATGGGAGTTCACTCATGATTTGGCTCTCTGTCTGTTATTGGTGTATAGGAATGCTTGTGATTTTTGCACATTGATTTTGTATTCTGAGACTTTGCTGAAGTTGCTTATCAGCTTAACGAGATTTTGGGCTGAGACAATGGGGTTTTCTAAGTATACAATCATGTCACCTGCAAACAGAGACAATTTGACTTTCTCTTTTCCTAACTGAATACCCTTTATTTCTTTCTCCTGCCTGATTGCCCTGGCCAGAACTTCCATCACTATGTTGAATAGGAGTGGTGAGAGAGGGCATCCTTGTCTTGTGCTAGTTTTCAAAGGGAATGCTTCCAGTGTTTGCCCATTCAGTATGATATTGGCTGTGGGTCTGTCATAAATAGCGCTTATTATTTTGAGATACGTCCCATCAATACCTAGTTTATTGAGAGTTGTTAGCATGGAGGGCTGCTGAATTTTGTCGAAGGCCTTTTCTGCATCTATTGAGATAATCATGTGGTTTTTGTCTTTGGTTCTGTTTCTATGATGGATTATGTTTCTTGATTTGCATATGTTGAACAAGCCTTGCATCCCAGAGATGAAGCCAACTTGATCGTGGTGGATAAGCTTTTTGATGTGCTGCTGGATTTGGTTTGCCAGTACTTTATTGAGGATTTTTGCATTGATGTGCATCAGGGATATTGATCTAAAATTCTCTTTTTTTGTTTTGTCTCTGCCAGGCTTTGATATCAGGATGATGCTGACCTCATAAAATGAGTAAGGGAGGATTCCCTCTTTTGCTGTTGATTTGAATAGTTTCAGAAGGAATGGTACCAGCTCCTCTTTGTACCTCTGGTAGAATTCGGCTGTGAATCCATCTGTCCTGGACTTTTTTTGGTTGATAGGCTATTAATTATTGCCTTAATTTCATAGCCTGTTATTGGTCTATTCAGGGATTCAACTTCTTCCTGGTTTAGCCTTGGGAGGGTGTATGTGTCGAGGAATTTATCCATTTCTTCTAGATTTTCTAGTTTATTTGAGTACAGGTGTTTATAGTATTCTCTGATGGTAGTTTGTATATCTGTGGGATTGGAGATGATATCCCCTTTATCATTTTTATTGCGACTATTCAATTCTTCTCTCTTTTCTTCTTTATTAGTCTTGCTAGTGGTCTATCAATTTTGTTGATCTTTTAAAAAAAAACAGCTCCTGGATTCATTGATTTTTTGAAGGTTTTTTTGTGTCTCTATCTCCTTTAGCTCTGCTCTGATTTTAGTTATTTCTTGCCATCTGCTAGCTTTTGAATGTGTTTGCTCTTGCTTCTCTAGTTCTTTTAATTTTGATGTTAGGGTGTCAATTTTAGATCTTTCCTGCTTTCTCTTGTGGGCATTTAGTGCTATAAATTTCCCTCTACACACTGCTTTAAATGTGTCCCAGAGATTCTGGTATGTTGTGTCTTTGTTCTCACTGGTTTCAAAGAACATCTTTATTTCTGCCTTCATTTCGTTATGTATCCAGTAGTCATTCAGGAGCACATTGTTCAGTTTCCATGTAGTCGAGTGGTTTTGAGTGAGGTTCTTAATCCTGAGTTCTAGTTTGATTGCACTGTGGTCTGAGAGACACTTTTTTATAATTTCTGTTCTTTTGCATTTGCTGAGGAGTGCTTTACTTCCAACTATGTGGTCAATTTTGGTATAATTGCGATGTGGTGCTGAGAAGAATGTATATTCTGTTGATTTGGGGTGGAGAGTTCTGTAGATGTCTATTAGGTCCGCTTGGTGCAGAGCTGAGTTCAATTCCTGGATATCCTTGTTAACTTTCTGTCTTGTTGATCTGTCTAATATTGACAGTGGGGTGTTAAAGTCTCCCATTATTATTCTGTGGGAGTCTAAGTCTCTTTGTATGTCTCTAAGGACTTGCTTTGTGAATCTGGATGCTCATGTATTGTGTGCATATATGTTTAGGATAATTAGCTCTTCTTGTTGAATTGATCCCTTTACCATTATGTAATGGCCTTGTCTCTTTTGATCTTTGTTGGTTTAAAGTCTGTTTTATCAGAGACTAGGATTCCAACCCCTGCTTTTTTTTGTTTTCCATTTGCTTGGTAGGTCTTCCTCCATCCCTTTATTTTGAGTCTATGTGTGTCTCTGAACATGAGATGGGTCTCCTGAATACAGCACACTGATGGGTCTTGACTCTTTATCCAATTTGCCAGTCTGTGTCTTTTAATTGGAGCATTTAGCCCATTTACATTTAAGGTTAATATTGTTATGTGTGAATTTGATCCTGTCATTATGATGTCAGCTGGTTATTTTGCTTGTTAGTTGACGCAGTTTCTTCCCAGCCTCGATGGTCTTTACAATCTGGCATATTTTTGCAGTGGCTGGTACCGGTTGTTCCTTTCCATGTTTAGTGCTTTCTTCAGGAGCTCTTGTAAGGCAGGCCTGGTGGTGACAAAAATCTCTCAGCATTTGCTTGTCTGTAAAGGATTTTATTTCTCCTTCACTTATGAAGCTTAGTTTGGCCGGATATAAAATTCTGGGTTGAAAATTCTTTTCCTTAAGAATGTTGAATATTGGTCCCCACTCTCTTCTGGCTTGTAGAGTTTCTGCCAAGAGATCCGCTGTTAGTCTGATGGGCTTCCCTTTGTGGGTAACCCGACCTTTCTCTCTGGTTGCCTTTAACATTTTTTCCTTCATTTCAACTTTGGTGAATCTGACAATTATGTGTCTTGGAGTTGCTCTTCTTGAGGTGTACGTCTGTGGCATTCTCTGTATTTCCTGAATTTGAATGTTGGCCTGCCTTGCTAGGTTGGGAAAGTTCTCCTGGATAATATCCTGAAGAGCATTTTACAACTTGGTTGCATTCTCCCTGTCACTTTGAGGTACACCAATCAGATGTAGATTTGGTCTTTTCACATAGTCCCATGTTTCTTGGAGGCTTTGTTCATTTCTTTTTAATCTTTTTTCTCTAAATTTCTCTTCTTGCTTCATTTCATTCATCTGATCTTCAGTCACTGATACCCCTTCTTCCACTTGATCGAATTGGCTACTGAAGCTTGTGCATGCGTCATATAGTTCTCATGCCATGGTTTTCAGCTCCATCAGGTCATTTAAGGTCTTCTCTATGCTGTTTATTCTAGTTAGCCATTCATCTAATCTTTTTTCAAGGTTTTTAGCTTCTTTGTGATGGGTTCAAACATCCTCCTTTAGCTTGGAGATGTTTGTTATTACCGATTGTCTGAAGCCGTCTTCTCTCAACTCGTCAAAGTCATTCTCCATCCAGCTTTGTTCCGTTGCTGGCAAGGAGGTGCGTTCCTTTGGAGGAGAAGAGGTGCTCTGATTTTTAGAATTTTCAGCTTTTCTGCTCTGGTTTCTCCCCATCTTTGTGTTTTTATCTACCTTTGGTCTCTGATGATGGTGACGTACAGATGGGGTTTTGGTGTGGATGTCCTTTCTGTTTGTTAGTTTTCCTTCTAACAGTCAGGACCCTCAGCTGCAGGTCTGTTGGAGTTTGCTGGAGGTCCACTCTAGACCCTGTTTGCCTAGGTATCACCAGCGGAGGCTGCAGAACAGCAAATATTGCAGAACAGCAAATGTTGCTGCCTGATCCTTCCTCTGGAAGCTTCGTCTCAGAGGGGCACCCAGCTGCATGAGGTGTCAGTTGGCCCCTACTGGGAAGTATCTCCCAGTTAGGCTACTCAGGGGTCAGGGACCCACTTGAGGAGGCAGTCTTTCCGTTCTCAGATCTCAAACTCCATGCTGGGAGAACCGCTCCTCTCTTCAAAGCTGTCAGACAGGGAAGTTTAAGTCTGCAGTAATTTAATAAATATTAAATGGTATGAACACTACCTTCACATTGTAAAGATACAATATTACAGGCAATATTACAGGCAACTATTTTGTCCCCAGTATTTTAACTTATTTCTCAATGATCACTTTTAGGCCACCTTTTTGAAATATTTTATAGAATAAAGGTTTAGGGAAACAGAGAAATATTAATTTAAGCCATTTTTCTAAATATGCTATAATAAATTGTAGATATGCTTAAACTCATTTAAAAGAAAGAGCAGGCAGATAACAGCAGGAAAGAATAGGAAAGTTTTTACTGCTTATAAAAATAAGTTGGTCAACAAGAGATTTCAGGCAGGAGTCACACTAGAACTGCTTGCAGACCAAAATTTCAAATCCTAAATCTTTGCAGAAAGTAAACACCAAAAAAATTGGAATGGGTTTTCATTCCTTTGCATGTAGCTAGTAAGGGATGGGTATTGCCTACTGGGAGAACCATCTTGCTGCTGAAGCACAGTCGAAATGACAGTAATAAAAAACACAGAAGAATTTAGGGGTTGCTATCAGGGGAGCAAATGAGTCTCCATTGGTTTAGTAGAGAAAAGCAGCCTTAAAACAAATAAACAAAAACTTTTAAAATATCTCCGTCAAAGGTATGAGTTTTTATGGGAGTAAGTCAGTCATCATCTGCTAATGAACATGTGGTAACAGAAGTGGCTTCTAAGGCCAAAGAATGTCAAATATCTAAGAACCAGGAAGAATGGAAAGGAAAGTTCAAGATATAACTTGACCTAATAACAAAGTTGTAAATAACAATAAGATGATGAAGTATTTGTTAAGCAGATACTTACATCTATTATTTCACAAAACCCTATGAAATCACTACTACAAAAAACGAAGGCTTAGCCATGTTGAGTGACTGCCCAAGTTCTTGAGAACTTTGACCAGGGCATGGGGAGTGTTTTTATGATGCTAATTTATGTGTGCATCATGGGTGGGTGGGAGGAGACTTCAAATGTTGGCAAAGTAAAAGGATACAAAACCACAGACACACCCAATCTGTCTACCATTTTCATTTTAAATTCTTGTTCAAACTGGAATGTTATTTTCCATTTAACCATTATTTAATAGATCCCTTTATGGTTACATCTTTCTAATAAAGGATAGCTATATTTTAAAATAAAAAAATTAAAAATAAAATTGCCGTCTGCCTAACTAGACAACATTGCCATCTAGTGGCCTAAACACACTATAGCTACCACTTCTGGGGTGACAGCAGAGGTCCTATCAAGGCTCTGAAGGGTGTGCCCAGTAGACACAATGTTAATAACGATGCCAAGCCATACCAAGAGCACACAAACTCATCCAAAGCAAACGTGCTGACATTCAACCAGAAAACGCACTCTAGCCTCAAAGATTTAACAGCTTCACTGAGAAAAAACCAAAAAAACACACAAAAAAACAACTACTACCACCATTGAACCAAGGTTTTGATGTGCCTCACTTAATTATTTATTTTTCTTTGAAATTTTAAGATCCATTTCTCACTCCTTTGTTCACCTACCTGCTTGAAAATGTTTCCAAACATCCTCTCATCTTTACAGTAAGAATATAGCCCTCTATCACCATGACCAAGGAAAGAAGCAGGTATCAGCTGCTAATGACAGTCAATAACTCAACAGGGAGTCAATCTGTGACTTACAGACCCGGAATCTGTCCTAGAATGAGCAAGCCAGAGCTAGGCTTTGGTCTAAACAAGATGAAGATTTAAGGGACAGGAAAATAGGAAAAGGCTTACAAGATTGGCACAGACGCAGCTTCAACTGAGGTACACAATATTCTAGTGATAAATTATCTTAACAAACATCCTTTGGGGCCTTTTCTTTAATTAAAATCAGATACTCACTGCTTCTCCAGATTTACTGCAAGGCTTATGTAACCCTTTGTTTCTGCAACCAGGTCATTTATTGAAACCATCAACATGCTGAAAGGGCACGGAAGGGCATGGAGAAAGAACACGTCAAGGAGTGGACCACTGTCACAACACCACTGGTGGGTTTTTGTCAAACCCATCTCTGACCCTACCAGTTTAAGATCATGAAGGATGTGAGAGTACAAACAAAACAGCTGTTAAATCTTTTTTAGCCCATTCTGGATGAAATAAGTATAGAAACACAGGAGATCAGTTTAGATCTGTTTGAATAAAGGGACAGGAAAAGTTGGAAGAGGCAATTTTCAGAAATCCAAATACAGTATGTGCTTCTCCAAAATTTGCAACAGAGGCTGAATCAAGCCCATGCAAATGGATCTTAGTTCAAATTCATGTCAGAAAAATCTGGAACACACTTCACTTCTCATATGCAAATATCGTAGGAAAGCAGCTGTTTGTTCTTACCTATAATAAAAAGAATCTCCACTGCAATGTCACTGACGGTTGTGCTCCGAGTTGTGGACAGGTCGTCATTGCCAATAAAGCAAACGTTGTAAGGTACAGTCACAGCAACATAAAACGTTGCCAACAAAATAAGCCAGTCCCAGCCAGCTTTAAAAGTGCTAAAATGCAGAAGTATGAATTTGGACTTTTTTGCATCAGAAACTTTATACTCCGGAAATGCTGGTTTATCTACAAAAACATTCTGTGGATGAAGACAAAAAGGAGAGAAAGGAGAAACACAACATTAGAAACAAGGATTACATAGCTTGAAACACACACTTTTGTGAGTAGGATCATTCACTACACAAAGCAGTATCTTACAAGTGACTTTTAAAAGTTGGTGACGCAAAGCATCTAAACATCTAAAACTGAGCAGAGATCTTTGTTATAAGGAACAGGAATATGCAGAGTTTAGTCATGAAGCTAAGTGAGTAACCCAGATTTTGTTCATTAAAAAATAAAAAAGACCATTACCTAAAATGTCATCAAAAAACATTCACAGTTACATGTAATTCTACACACATTATAAACACAAAGCTATATTTACATTCCTATTGTCATGAGAACATTCTGTATACTTGTAGATTTCTGATGACAGTCATTATCTAAAGACTATATTTGACCTGATATTTTACTGATGACAGCAATGGTGCTTTTCTTTCCAAAAAGAATAGATATATGACCAATATTATATTGTAAACAGTTTACATTTCTTTCCAAATATAGCCAAGTCGTGCTAACTACTTTCATTTTTTGCACTGTGGCTGTTGGTGAAGTTGGGAACCCAAATCTCGTTACCTTGACTGACACAGATGCACTCTGACATGGGCCAGACATTATTCAGATGGTAAAGTAAGAAACAGTTGCTTAAGAGTTATTAGTCAAGTCATGGGAGGAGAAAGCCAATGTTCACTGTGCAGCTGATTAAATGCAGAATAGCTGGAGTTTTTGATAACTGCAAAAGCACTTCACTTTGAATGCAGTTCAAATTGATGAACAATTCCCTTGTTGCTAGAAGACAAAGGGAGGCCCAACAATAGCATGTGTGGAAATTTGACAAGCCTGTGACCAGCTACTTGCAGACCTGGCTTTGACCTCAATTAATGGGAAATATAAGATAGGTAATGGAAACTTATATTTGAAAGTTTAGTTGAATTAACAGAGCAGTTATAAATTCCCGAATACATATTACTTGTAGGTCACAATGTTGTGTTCTTGTCTCACTCATTGAGGGAAGGGCAGATTAATGTGATGTGTTCAGGGATCCTGAAGTACCTGAGGATTCAAGAAAGGTTCAGAAAGATCAGGAACATTTAGCTCTAAGTGGTGACTGTCAGTGATTGAATAGTTCTGCTACCTTAATATTAACGCACCCCTGTCTGGCATTTCTCTTTGGTAGGTATTTTCAACCCATGTTTCTACTTCCTGTTAATATTCTCACTCAACCCACACAGGCATCTCATAATGTCAGTACTTCGTGGTGGGTCACTGTTAAACTACTTCCAGATGGTCCTTAAATGCCCATTTGCCACTGCATCTATGTTTCATACAATTCCCTCATATTTGTCCTGTCTCCTTTGTCTCATTCTCTGGTTTCAAGAAACCAGTTCCAAAGGTAGACTTTGGCATAAAACAGAGAAGGGGAGATGAAGTAGCCCCGTTGGGCTTCTCATAAAAATTCGGGCTGTTACATTGGAAGAGGGAATTAAGGTCTATAACCATTAATCTTCTCACCACTGATAAACACTTCAAGTTGTAATAACATGATTGGTTCTAATCCAAATTTTCCCTGAATATTTACTACAATAAAGAATTATCAGAAGCCATGGGAAATATCTCATTTTCTATCCACATAAGTTTTTTCTATCGTATTACAGAAATTAAAATTTTACATTGTTTGAGGGAACATCCATATCTAGGGTAATGATTTGGGAAAACTCAAAAGTGAAGTTTTTGTTTTTGTCTTTGATTATGCTGATTATATGAAGCATTAGTGATTCTGTCACAAAAGTTCAGCAATATATTAGTTTTCTGTACAAATCAGAAAATAAATCTCATGGTTTCATTTTGTAAGCTACTTAGAACATATTTTAAAAATATTTTAAAAAGATACTGAGAATTCAATACATTTGAGATTAGATTTAAATTTTGAAATGTTGTTAACTCAAATCCTGCAAACATCTTTACATAATCACCTGAGTGAAAAAAATAGATGCTTCTCTTCTTCCACCAGCTTTTGTAATGTTTTATCAAAATCCTTTTGAATGAAAAAAATTCTTAAAATTGTAAAAAAAAATGGTACACAATTGTAAAATTATGCTTTTTAGCAGGAAGTAGGGGGAAAGACATGTTATTTATAACTGTCAAACATGGAGTTTGCCTAGTCTAGACGTTAAGTTTATCTTATTTATTAATCTTCAAGCATATTTCTTTAGTACCAATGGTGTTTTAGATGTTTAACCTCCACCTATGAGTTATTGAAACATACTAGTTAACTCCAGTGCCTAATTAAGGTAATTGTTTCCTAAACTATTTTTGCAATAGTTCCTTTGAAACTATCATCTGAATGAGCAAGAGAATGTGAAAATGTTTCTACAGTCACTTCAGTGAGTAATCTAAACCCAGTGTATGCCTTTGCTGATCACCACTGTCCCCGCCAGAAAAATGCATTTGTAGCACTCTCCTTTCAAGTTTTCAAGGCTCTAGTGTGATCTTTAATATTTCTTTGTGTTGAAAACATTTGCATCATATCATTCTCATTTGATTGACAGAATAACAATCAAGGAAGGCAGAATTTGAAAACACCTTTTTCAAGGTATACCAGGCAAAGTTAGAGCCAGACTAAAATATGTTGCATCCTGATTCCCAAACCTGCTAATGACCTGACGAGTTCATTTGACTATGGCTGAAGCATATATTCCTGTTCCACAGAACTGTATCCGAGAAGCAGCAAGGTAAGAGTCAGAAGCACAGTGGCTTTGAATTAGAAGATTAAAGGTTGGGTACCACAACTGCTGCTTCTAATAAGTTGTGTTTTTTTCCATCATTAAAATGGGACTAATAAAAATCAGACCTAGTACTGGCTTGCTATAAGAATCAAATAATATGATGTAAGTAAAAGGAATTTGTAAATAGCAAAGGGCTATAAAATGTTAAGAATTATTTTTTGTGTGTGCAAATGTTATTACAGCCAGAATTTCCAGAAAATTTATTGTTTATTCAATAAACTATACAAGTCATTTCCTCTTCTCCCTTCTGCCTTCCTTCTATCTGCCATTTAGCCATTCTACTATGTTATCCTTGAAAGGAGATGGTGAACACGTGAACAGGGCAAGTCCTGATTCCATACTTTGCTTCAGGAATAAGATATTACCTGTAGTATTAGAGTCACTGGGCTGTTAGGCATCTTAAATTACTATGTATTATTTTAATGCTCTACTCTGATGTTTGTATTTCTTAAATGAATGGCAATTAAGCAAATTAGCTAAGTAGTGGGAGTTATAGTTTTTTTGAAATCAGATTTTTAAGTACTGCTTTGTACTTTGTTGAATCTAAAGGGAAAAATAGCATGCCCAGCAAATGCATTTTAAAGCTCACTAATACTTGCTATGTTTAAATTCTCCACTAAAAGCTAGACAGTGTCAGCTTTCAGCCTTACAGAATCTGTGGATAATATTTGTTTAGGTGCTTTGCTGGTTGATTTGCATGGAATCAAGCCCAGATGCGGTTACCTTTGTTTCTTCTTATAACTTGCTTATGTCACTAAGGCTGACTTGGTAACTGAAAGGGGATGTAAATAGGCACCAGTGGAAGGATCCATAGATCAAGTGGTGTGCACTGTTTCAAGCCTCTCCCTGGACTCCCAGGAAATCAATATAACACTAAGGCACAGGTATCCCTAGAGAAACTTTATATTGAATTAGGACCAAAAAAAAAAAAAATCAAAGCGTGACCACAGTGGTACATGGCACACCAGCACGGACATGGTTGATGGTCCTTGGAGGACAAATGATTCAAAACATCTTGTTTTGGCTTCCAGAAAGTTGCACTGAAGTACAGCCAGGTTTGCAGCACTTTCATGTCAGATCTCGTTCCTCACCCTGGGCTCATACATCTTTCTTTGTTCACTACAATCAGAAATGAATACTTCGTATGTCTGATGAATGGTCCTGTTTTATCAAAGCATGTGTATGTTGGATTAGGTAGTCCTTGAGCTTGCTATGTTAAAAATGAAATGCCAAAGGATCCCCTCTCTGTCCTTAACTCCCAGAACTTCTGGATCTTAAATCGATTCCAAAATAGATCTGGTTGTTTCATGTGACTTTTTCTTGTCATTGGCAAGTTAGATGCTGGTATTTAATCTGCCACCTATGGTCACACAACACCCCATACATGTTCTGATGATTCCATAAGGCAAATTAATGACATTAACATTATCTTAAAACTTTGAGTATCTACAACTAAAGAGACATTGTTCTAGGTTTCTCAGTGAAGTCTTAGTGCTAAGAACCAATTACAAAATTCAGTGTGAAATCCTGGAAGACATATGTCATGTAAAATAGGAAATAAACTCCTTATACAGGCATAGTTATTTGTTGTGGCTTTGACAGGTAAGACACCATATTTCAGAAAGCAACTCTATTGTAATTTACTAGAAGTGTGACTTTCCCAAATTATTTAACGTATGGTATGCAATTGTAAATCCAGTGTTTTACTGTGAAATTTTCAACTGTGTTTTATATAAAATGTAAGTTTTTTAATGGAGTAATGACTTTGATTTGGTCATGTTCCTCCTGGATAAAAGCATTTGTAGAACTAGATAATATGCAAAACAGATGGAACTAAAATTAAATTTGAGAAATTTTAACCAATAAACTATGAATGTGTAATACGACTTGCTGCATCATTTTTGTTTCATAAAATGTAACCAGTGCGTCCCCATTTGCAGTGTCCCTAGTACCATATTGTACTTCACTGCAATAATATTCTAATCTCTATGCTGTGATAACACTATGATTAAGTACTTTTATTATAGAAATGCCTCATGACTGCTGACCTTTTCCAGTTTGTTCTTTATAGAAAAGCACAAACCAAAGTGGAAAAAAAAATCTAGGCAAGCCAATAAATGGGTAATTGAGGCCTTTCTTTAGCGAGTCAAACATTGCCACCAGGGGAAACACTAGCATTCATCCTGTACACACATACCACCTACGTTATTTATTTTCAATTTGTTCTTTTCTCTTCTTTGCAGGTGCCCAGAGATGTGATAAAGGACTGCTCGACTCCGTCTCCGGGCTGAGTCAAAGTGGGTCCCTGCTCTTGATCTTCCTTTGACTTTGTCTGGGGGAAAATAAAACTCATTAGACACACATGCATGCATCATTTCACCTCAAGAATGTCATTTTGACAGTTCCCTTTCAAGAGCATATTGTACATGTTTTCCAATACCTACAATAATCTGCTGGATCCTAATGACATTTAATTTAATTTTAGTCCTTTATGATTTATATATTTTTATCATCATATTGACTGCATTAATTTTTAAAAATTAAAGTAAAACGTACATGAACACAGAAGAACTTTAAAATAGTTCAGGAAATCATTAATGGGTATTACTCCTTTCTTCCTGCTATTCTACACTGAAATCCCTAGTTCTACTCTCAACATTTAAAAACATTCTTTCCAGAAAAATTTCTAATATGTACCCTATATCCACATTTACAATTATTTTTTCTCTGCATAAATGTAAGTTTACAGTGAAAACTGTTTACTTATTACTTTTTTCACATTAAAATACTTGTAAATCATTCCATATTTGCATATTATAGTTCTCTATTTTTTAAATGGCTAATAGCATACTATGTTAAGATTATAACTAACCTTATTAATTTTACTATTTCACTGTCATGAAGATTCAGATTTATCTAAGATTTTTTGTCAAAATCTGTGTGGCCAATCCTGCAAAGAAAATTCTTAAATGCATACAGTTTTGAGTTTATTCAGTAAATAAATTACTGGCAGTGGTATGTACATTGTAAATTTTGGTATACATATTCCAAATTTCATTCTAGCAATTTACAGTACCAGCAAGTGAATAGATGTGCCTGCTTCACCACACACATGCCAAAACTATAAACTATCAAATGAATATTGGCCAATATTTGGATAATTGAAAAATGCCATATTAATTTATATTATAAAAATCATGAGTGTGGATGAGCATGCTTTAAATATTTATTGTTCATTTGTATTGATTTTTCTGGTCTATTCATTTTTGTCAATTTTAGAATCAAAGTAGTGTTTTTAAATTTATTTGCAATAGCTCTTTGTATACGAAAGTAATGGCCATTTTCTCATCATATGTGCCACCAAAAATGTTCCCAATTTGTTGCTTGACTTTGGAATTTGTTTATGCAGTTTACAAATTTTAAAGTATCTGTTGTCATGTTAGAGTAGGTAGTTAGTCAGACATGAACAGTGCAGGAGAGGACCACCTCCCCAGAAATGTCAAGCAAACATTAGTTGATGGTCTGGTGGTTGCTAAACTGTCTCTCTGAAATGATAATTGGCCACAGCCAGCGCTAGTGAAAGATAGTCTCCTGATAGATAGAAAACACCTGAGCTGGTGATCTTAGGCGTTGAAGGAGTGGGCTCAAGCATGCACACTAAGAGGCAAAATGGTGGAGTTTAACCAGTATATAACCTTCCTCTGGCAATGCACTACTGGTAAGGGAAAGCACCTCAAGTGAACATGTGCACAGCTTCAGTAAACACACTGTGCATGCAGCCCCTCCCTAGTGCTGTCAGGCCACTGTGCACGTGGACAGCCCACCTCAAAAGAAGAATCAAGAAAAGAGAACTGGAAACCCTAGAACCATTCCAATGTGTAAAACACCAAGTCAAGGGCCGAACAGGGAACTTGGATCTCTCAAGTCACATGCTTGGCCCACTTCCAAGTGTACATTGCTTCCTTTCATTCCTGCTCTAAAACATTTTAATAAACTCTCAATTTTAAAACTTGCCTTGGTCTCTCCCTCTGCCTTAAACCTACTTCTGCCCCTTGGCTGAATTATTTCCTCCAAGAAGGCAAGCACTGAGTTTGCTGCAGACCTGTATGGATTTGCCACTGGTTTTAGTCAGACATATCCTTCTATTTCTGGTGTCTAGACATTATGCCCTGCATAGCCAAACTGTTGTCACACAAAAATATATGCAAGTTTCTTCCAATATACTTTGCCCTTACTTTAAAAAGTTTTAACATTTAAATTTTTAATCCAATTGCACTATATTTTAGTAACAAAAAGTAAGGATCTAGCTATATTATTTTCTTTCTAAAAGGCTACTGTTCAAGAAAAATAAATAAAGTGGTTATGTTACATTAAGAAATATTTAGTCATTATTTGATCAAATGGTCAGCATACAATTTCATCCTAAATAAATTGAATCCTAATGCTAGATGACACGTTAGTGGGTGCAGCGCACCAGCATGGCACATGTATACATATGTAACTAACCTGCACAATGTGCACATGTACCCTAAAACTTAGAGTATAATAAAAAAAAAAAAAATTAAAAAAAAAATAAAAAAAATAAATTGAATCTATGTCACAATTATTGCAAAATACAAAAACATTAAAATCTGTTTATTTAAGCTTCATCATAAAATCTCTCTACTATTATAAAAGCTCTTTGATATCTCCCCTTCATAAAAATAATTTGGTTTAGTTGCTATGTCATGGAAGCCATATGACTGTTGCTGATGCCTACTGTGCGCCAGGCTCTGTTCTAGATCTTCCAAATTTATTATTAAAATTGATCCTCATAAATATCCTATGAAATAAGTATTATTATTCTCCATTTACAGACGAGAAAACTGAAGGTCTAATAACACATTAGATGGTCACACATCTAGTAACAGGAGTAGAGTCGTTATGTGAAGTCAGATAGGTCTTGAGTCCCTCTTCTTTCCACACACAGAACCAAGTCTCTTAGTGACTTCAATCAGTGTTCGGGACTGCTGCTTTTTATCGACTTTCACATAGAGTAACAGGTATTATAATTCCTGTCCATCTGAGACTTCACTCCAAGTCTTTCACGGACTTTAATTACCCCCACCTCCAAAATTCCCACACCACTCTGGGATGCTTTAATGACCAGCAAATGGGGTGTTTAATTCACCGCAAAAGTCTAACTGAATGTTACTTTTAAAAAAAGCATTCACCTTTGCTACATACTTGAAAGAATATTGAAAATAAAATTTGCTACATTATTATAGACTTGAATCACTAAAAGTAGATTTTAAAACACTCAGAATAATATCAAAAAGGACACTTTTTAAAAACTTGTGGCTGAACAAAGCACATTTCATTGTTACTGCGAAAAGTTAAGATCATATCTTCGTGTGTTAAATTTTTTGACTTACATAGAATCTTTGTAAACTACATTTGAAAATGTAATTACTACTCCAGCAAGGAGTAATTTTAAATATATTTAAACTTGAAAACAGCCAGAGTTTTCAGACAATCTCTACAGAAATTTCGTAGGTATGGCCAACAGGCTGCTTATACCATATCAATTGGCTTCAAAATGTCAAGTGGAATTACAATGCTAACTACAAAATGAACCGGTTTAGATATTTACAACAGTCAATAAGCCAATTCCCTTCTCAGTGAGATATCTAATTAATAACAGATTTTCCAAATCAAATAATTGCAATTTTATCATCTTAGAAAAGGTCCCCTCAAAGGGAAGTGTCAAAGAATAATCTGTGTTAGTCTTGACTCTAAATGGAAGAAAAAAAGTTTTCTGTGAAAATATTTAGTCACAATTGAACCCTCATGCAAGATTGGGTTGAAAATCATTCTACTTTACTGTAATATTCCTGACAGCAATATTTCTAATCTGCATATCTACATAAACCACAAACACATCAGTACGTACATATATACATAACATATGGGTGTCTGTGTATGTATAACTAGAAATAAGCCAAATGTCCACATATAAAACAATGCATACAGGCATAGTAATGACCTAGAATATCATAATTCCATTAAACTGAACTTACATAGGAAATAAATGGGAAATGAATGAAACAGTGTCTTCCTATTAACAGAAATATCTCAAAAACATAATATTGAGTACAAAAGCAAAAAATGAAAGATCACAGAAAACATGGCAACATTTTAACAATATTCACAGACATGTAAAACTAAATGATATATTGTTTAGAGAAATGTACAACTGCTGTAAAACTGTATGTAATCACATGACTACAACCAGCTGCACAAGAGGCTAGAAAATACAATATCCAGTTGACCACCGTGCCTTACTAAATGGTATTAGTACAGCTGTATTTCTTAAACTGGATTGGGGGTATATAATGATTTGTAATACTATTTTATACTTCATATATATTTTTAATGTAAAATTATTTCACCACAAAAAGGACAATAATAAAGTGATATCAAACCATTTAACAGTGAAACCTGATAAAATTATACAGAGTGGTGGTGGTAGTGGTGGTGGTGGTAGGGAACAAACTGCTTGATATGGATGACCGAGGGCTAAAATCTGAAGAATCAATAGTTGTTAATAAGATAGGGTCGAGGAGCAAAGACAAGGTGTGAGGATCTCAGACAGAAAGGAGTTCAGCATCTTTGAAGAACTGAAGAAAGTCCAGAAGAGTTAGTATATGATGAAAGGAAGGAAGAGAGGTAAAAAGGGAAACTAGAAGGTAGGCAGAAGTCAGACAGCTCATCCAGCGCCTTTGAAGCCACACTAGAATTTTTGCTCTTGACTATAAGTGCAGTGATAAAAGTATTAGGAAACAAACAAATAAAAAAGCCTAAATTATTTTTCAAAGCCTAGAATATATATTTGTAGCGACTTGAATAAGAAGAATAACTCCCTCTTTCTCCCCCCCCCGCCTCTCTCTCTCTGCGTGTGTGTGTGTGTTTATTTTTTTTTCTGTCTCCCTCACCCTCTTCTTGTTTCCTATAACAGAGCAGAGATTAGCAAGCTACGGTGCTGGAGCACATGAAGCAACAGCAAGATTTTAAACTTTCAAATGACATGAGAACATTTGAGTTTTCAAAAGAAGAAATTGACTTGTAATGTGTGATTTTATTAGAAAGAGACAACAGAAGTTGATAGGAGATTACTCAGGAGCCTGTTTTAGTAGATCAGTAAAAACATGGTAAGGCTTAGACTAAAGTGGTAGCTAGCAGTAGACATGGAGCAAAGCTGGCACATTTGAAATACGTACAGAGATAAAAGTTGCCTGGCTTTGTCACTTAGTTGATTATGAAATTATCTAGTAAGAGTGTTCGGAGTAAAAGGAGAAAATCTAGGCCCTCCCTTTTTCTTTCAGTGATGAAAAAGGTGAAGATTTCAATTGCCATCAGGTCAATGAAGGTAAATGAGTAAAATACAAGAGGAGGAGGTAGTGGTCAGTAAGCAGGATAATTTAATAAGCCATTTTAGTTACTAAGCAACACTGAGAGATGAAAATTTCCAGGAAAAAAATTAAAGTTATGATTAGACTCCACTGAGTTAGGACTTCTGAACAAAACATCATGTATTAGCAATATTCTCTTAACCTCCATCATGTTCTAGGCATTATGCCAGGAACTTTGTCTTGGTTCTTTTTTAATACTCACTTTGTTAGGCATTAGTTTTTCCACTAACTGAAAGGGAAAAAAAAGCATAAAACAAACCTAAAGATCATCAAAGTTGTGTACTTGTCCAAATTCACACAGTAAGTGGGAGGGCTGATATTTGAATTCTCAATGAACTTGCTTGAAATCACATGTTCTTTCCAACTCAACATAGTAAATAATAGATCATTGAGCTGTGAGCCTGTCCGATTTTTTTACTTATCTGTGTTATCATGTTGGGTCAAAATGGATCTCTCCTAGGCAGGAATTATTTTCTCTGCTAGAAAGGGTCTTCTATTATTTTGCTCTCTTTCTTGCACTAAAAAGGTCATACGCTGAAATATACTCTCTCTCCAGTTGTCATTTTAGGTTTTATTTCCTTTCCACTTTCTCTCATATCCCTACTTTTACATTGTAAACTACTTTTATAACATGCTTTTTAAAAAAACAGAGCACTTGTTCCCATTTAAATATCAATGCAGAAACTTCTAGTTCAAGATGCAAAGGAAAAGTCCTCTTTAAAAAATTACAATAAAGTTATAAATTTTTATGTTCTAAATTATATAGCATTGAAAAACGTTAAAAACACAGGAAATCTGAAAATCCAAAATCACAGTGAAGTAACTTCATCTGTCTCAGAAATTGATAGCTGTGGTGGCAAAAAATAAATAAAATTATAGGGAATGTTAATACATTGATTTACATGTTATTAATGTTAATACATTAATAATGTTAATGTTAATAATTATCTATAATTAATGAATATCTATGGTATCTACCAAAGAAAGAATTTCTCTTCTTTTCATATGCTCATGGAACATTCATAACAGTTGATTTTGTTCTGCAAAGGCAATTTCAAAAATATTCCAAAAAATAGAAGTCATGTGTATGAAAACAATTCTCCATATAATGGCTCAAACTCTATTTTGATTTACTAAATTTTTGTATAATTTTTTATATTAAGAGAAATTAGTAAATTTATAGACTTTTGGAAATAAAAGACTGTTTTTAAAAAGAAATAATGTTAATAGGCATATTTGATATCCAAACTCAATGGATGTAATCAGATGAATGAGAGAAAAATTAATACCTAAAATGTATCTATTACAAAATACATGATATAAAAATATCTAATACATGAAACAAACTATATATTTAAAATGTTAAATATGTAGAACTTTAAGATACCAAATAAATATAGTAATTTAATAGGAAAACAATAAAAAAGAGTAAACTAGGTTATAGAAACAAAAAAATAAATGAAGCAGAAAACAACATTTTTTTCTAAAAGGTGGCCAATTAAATGGAAAGAAGATAAGAGAATTAAACTTTTGGCAACTGTATCCAAGGAAAAAAAATAAGACCAACACAAATAATATTCAGAATGAAAACAAGATCATGAATTTGGAAGACTTTAAAAATTATAAAATTACTTTGTAGAAAATTGTATTTTCATAGTTCTATTTTTAGATTTAATGAATACTTTGAGGGCAGGAGTCAATTACCAAAATAGTTCCAAAAAGTAGTAAAAATTTTGAATAGACCAGTAATGTGGAAAGAAGCAGAGAAAAAGACCATCTCATGTCACTTACCACCCCTCTCTGAGGCCTATTTCAGAGGGTGTTAAAGTCAAGGTTATCAAGCTTTAAAGGAACAAATAATTCTTTTGACAACTTCAGAGAATAAAAGAGCCAAAAAATTTCTGAATACATCTACAACTCTGGAAAACTTGGTACCAAAACTAGATGAGTATAAAAAGTATATATATATATATATATATATATACACACACATATATATACACACACACACATATATATATACACACACACATATATATACACACACATATACTACTTTCACTTATAGATGCAAAAATCCTAAATAAAACATTAGTAAACTGAATATAGAAGTACACTAAAAGAAAAATATATCAATCTCATGTAGCATTTATGCTAAGGGTGGTTCCCTTTTAGGGAATCAATATAATTCAGCAGATCTGTAAATAAAAATAAAACACATGACCATCTCAGTAAATACCAAATTTTACATATAACTCAGTAAACATTTGTGTTTTTTAAAAAGGTCTTTATAATAAGCAATAGAAGGAATCTTCTTTAAAAATACTCAACAGTAACTAAGGAAACAGCCTTATTTAGAGGGGTGGCAGTTTTTGTAACTTATAAAAAGGCTAAAATCTAAAAATTATATATATTTCAGAGAGAGAGAATGAAGGTAATTTAAACTCATTATGGAAAATTGGGAAATACAGAAAAATAAAAAAGAAAGAATGCCTGATTAGCTTCAATACCAAGAATTTCATGCATTTCCTTCCAAATTTTTATTGCATTTATGTTTTATAAGCTTAACTACAATTAAATAGTATATACACATTTCTTCCTTGAATATGAAAAATAATACATATGCATTTTACTAAATTTAGAAGTGAAAAACAGTGTAAAGCAGGAAATGAATCTCTTTCATAATACCATCTTCCAGTAATAATTTAACATTTGGTGAATTTATTTTTTGGCTTTGTTCTAGGCTTTTTTTTTTTTTAACATCACTGACCTCATATAAACTAATCTTAAACATAATTAACACAGGAATAATTATAGATCCTAGATATAAAGAGGATTTAAGGGGAAAATATCTGCCAATGAACATGAGACTGGACTTTTAGTTTTGCTCAATTAAAAAAAAGCCTGTGACTCAGTTTATTCAATATAAATTTTGAATATATACATCATATATATATGTAATCATTATTAAAAGGTTTGAAATGCAAATGGCCACAAATTAAGCCCTGCTTTGTTCTGTTTTTTAAAGATGAGGTTTTGCTGTATGGCCCAGGCTGGAGTCCAGTGGCTATTCATAGGTGCAATCATCGCAAGCTATAGCCTCGACCTCCTGAAGCTTTGCTTTTGTGATGGGAAATAAAAAGACAGGTTCTGCTTGCTGAGTTGTAGCGCATGTTATGCTACACTGGCCAGATGCCTGCTCAGGACTAAAAGCCTGGAGTCTATAGCTGCTGCGAGTGTACCTGTCCAGAACCATCACCTCTTAGGCCTCAGTCCACTTATGAATTTCCCTCAGGTGAAGTGAGTGACTCTTCCCAGAATATCCTGCATTCAATGACGGTCCATACGGGACTGTAATGAGGGGCCTCTGCCCAATTCGAGACAACTCTGCAGAGCACCCAGTTTTAGCTGCTGGTGAACATGGAGTCAGCAAATATCTTATAACTGCATTGCAGCCCAGTATGTCCCTCTGCCCACTCTTCTTCCTTTTATTCCTTTACATAAACTTGTATCCCAAAAGTGCTGCTTAAAAAAAATTTCCTGTATGAACTGTGGGGGAAAAAGTGTGCCCCAGAAAAACTACTTGCTGATACACAAAAATGACTACAAGTGAAAGAGGAATCATGTAGAGAATTGATGAAGGGTGTTGTTTACACTGTGAACTGAAGAATCCTTCTGGATTAATATATAACTGGTCCAAATTTGTTAAGGAAAGACACAAATTTATATCTTCCACATTCTTAAGTTTACAATTTTGAATTGTTTCTGTTGGCTGGAATACATTGTCATTTTTTAAAGAAAAGTATATGGATTGTATATTTTATCATTTTCCACGTATTGAATTGTACAACAGTCTATTGTTAATTTTGTTACTATGAGAGTGTTACAAAAACCTGCTAATCTCTGGGTCTAGCAAGAGCAATAGCATACTGCCAGAGTCAGGGCAGGGGAAGCACTCCAAACCTGTGTAGGCAACAGGGGAAGTGTTGTCTGCAGAAATTTAAAAACAATAATAAATCCAACTACATTTGGTCAGCTTTGTATTCTTACCATGCATTTGCAATTCTAAACAAAAAATCTTTTGTTGATTTAGGTTCAAAACAATTGCACGGTTACTGTTAAATTTTAATAGTATATGGAAGCTTCAAATTAGCACATTTATAGTACAAATTACATACTGGGAAAAATATTTCTAAACCACTAATCTGACAAAGGACTTAGATGTAGAATATATAAAGAACTCTGAATACTCAACAATAAGAAAACCAAACAATCCAATTAGAAAATAAGCAAAAGACATTTCACTAGAGGATATAAGAATAGCAAATAACCACATGAAAAGATGTTTAAAAACACTAACCATTAGGGGCATGCAAATTGAGACTACAATGAGATATCAATAGACACCATATGAGATATCAATACACAACAGCTAAAATAAAAAATAGTTACAGTATCAAATTCTGGTGAAGATGTGCAGAAACTGGATCTCTCACACATTGCTGGTGGAAATGTGAAGTAAAACAGTCACTCTATGCCGGGCTCAATGGCTCACACTTGTAATCCCAGCACTTTGGGAGGCCAAGGCGGGCGGATCACTTGAGGTCAGGAGTTCAAGACCAGCCTGTTCAACATGATGAAACCCCGTCTCTACTGAAAATACAAAAATTAGCTGGGTGTGGTGGCGTGCACCTGTAATCCCAGCTACTCAGGAGCCTGAGGCATGAGAATCGCTTGAACCTGGAGGGCAGAAGTTGCAGTGAGCTGAGATCGTGCCACTGTCTCAGCCTAGGGGACAGAGGGAGACTCTGTCTCAAAACAAAAGAAAAAAAATAAAAAGAAAAACAGTCAATCTAAAAAATAGGTTGGGAATTTCTTGAAGAAAAAAGCCTTAAACGTATACTTAACATACAAGTGAGCAATTGCATTGTTGGGCAATTATCCCAGAGAAATGAAAGCATGTCCTCATGAAGCCCTGTGCACAATTGTTAAGTAAACTGGTCTATCTATACCATGAAATACAATTCAGACTTAAAAAAGAATAAACAATGGATGTAGGCAGCAACTTGAATTGATCTCCAGGGCATTATGTCCAGTGGAAAAAGTTAATCTCAAGAGGTTACACATTGCATTATTCCATTATAGCATTCTCTAAATGTTGTAGATGGAGAACAGACTAGCAGTAGTAGGGTTAGGGATGGTAGAGGGTGATGGGGTTGGTATGACTGTAATAAAAGAGTAGCAAAAGGGAGATTTTTGTAGTGATAGAATTTTTAACAAAAGCAAAGCAATGTTTATTGCTGGGCTGGAGAACTGTAAGTGAACCTGAAACTGCCCAATCTAAGGAAGTAGGCCTGAAATCTTGAGTCAGTTTAGTTCACACACGTGAAGTGTATGTGAAAAAAAAAAAAAAACTAACGTAATGCAAAAATAGGTGATATATACATCCTTAAAGTACTAATACTTAAAAAAATTTCTCCTACCAAATATTCTGATATTGGCCATTTTGAATATGGATCTTCACAAGTAAAACAGTTCAGAGACTGGGTATTTCATTGTATTTGACTTACAGTTACTTTCATCATGATAGAAGACTCACCGTGGTACACAAATATAGTTAGATAGAATAAATAGGAGCCAGTATTTGATAGCACAACAGAGTGATTACAATCAATAGTAATTTATTGTACATTTTACAATAACTTAAAAGGGTATAATTGGAATGTTTGTAACACAAAGAAATGATAAATGCTTGAGGGGATGGATACTCCATTTACCCTGATGTGACTATTATGCATTGTATGCCTGTACCAAAATATCTTATGCATCCCATAAATACCTACATCTATGATGTACCCATAAAAATTAAAAATAATTGGCCGGGAACGGTGGCTCACGCCTGTAATCCCAGCACTTTGGGAGGCCGAGGCGGGCAGATCATGAGGTCAAGAGATCAAGATCATCCTGGCCAAGATGGTGAAACCTCGTCTCTACTAAAAATACAAAAAATTAGCCAGGCGTGGTGACACACACCTGTAGGCCCAGCTACTCTGGAGGCTGAGGCAGGAGAATCACTTGAACCTGGGAGGCGGAGGTTGCAGTGAGCTGAGACTGCACCATTGCACTCCAGCCTGGCGACAGAGCAAGACTCCATCTCAAAATAATAATAATAATAACAACAATAAATAAATAAATAAATAAATAAATAAATAAATAAAAATAATTAAAGAAAGAAGTCCATCTCAAAATCTAAATCTTCTCAAAGTCAACATGTAGCTATTATTGTTACCAACGTCAGAAAGCCAGAAACTTAGATTATAAGAAAAAATCTCAAAAAAAACTTCCCCCCAGTATTAGAAAATGATACAAAGTATGAATTTTGATTTTTGAAAAACTTTATACTACCTTGTAAGAAATAGTCTGCCTACAGTGAACTGATTATTATTTGGTATCATTGGTTGGAGATTTATGTCTTTCTGGGAAGATGGCAGATACTGCAATTTTGAATCTTACTTCTTCAGTAGAGAACATGACATTTTAAGAAAAAATTGAGAAAATGTTTGATGGAATTTAGCTTTGAAAGGTAGTTCAAAAAACTAGGCATATCACAATACATGATTATCCTTTGCCTATAGGTGATCCTCTAAATTTAAATAAGTTATGAGGAAATGAGAATTTTCCTCCTTACAAAAATATCGTAAAATTTGCCTAGGAAGTCCTGACTATGGGAAGACCCTCCTATGTTTGTACTATATGATACCAAAACAAAACCAAAAATTACCCTATTAGTGGTTAAGAATAAAAGGAATATTTTGGTTTTCCTACTCCTTGCATTAACTTCCTGATAGTATTTCCCAAATCTTGTGTTTGTAATGCCCCCAAATGGCACAATTTCAGAATAACTTGATGCTCCCAATATTAAAATAACTTCAATTCAACTTAAATGTCAAAAATAAATATGACTCCCACAACAGTTTCACAATAGGTGCTGGAAATTCATTGTCTTTTTATAACCCAATCAGTTACAAGGAAGATACTGTGAGACATCAAGCTCATATGAACAATTTCTGACTTCGTCTAGATCATATATGGTTGGAAAAATAGACGTAATTGAGGATATGGTGGTACATATGAGCACTAAATGGAAGTATTTGTGGAATATAAGGAAGACATTTATAAGGGAGAATAAGAACAATGAAAAAATCAATAGAGAAACTGGCCTCTGGTCTGAGCCTAGAAAACATACTTTTGGCCAAGCTTATGGAAGAAAGAGAATTCTAGACTGAGAACGCTTGAACAAAAATGTTAGAATATCATTTGAGAAAAATATTACACACATTATGCGTGGTGGTGTGTAATGGATGCTGCGGGAGACAAAATTGAGAGTAAACTTTCAGCAAAATTTATTAGAGATCTTGCATAATAGGCTAAAGAATTCAATCCTTTTTTTTTTACTTTTAGAAAAAAACTTCATTAAATACTCAAAAGCATACTTCTCAAAATCACAGAAGAGTTTCCAAATACAAGTGTTAGAAGGAAAAAAAAAAAGCTAAAAGCCAATCAGAAACAGTTCGGGTGTGCAGAGGACTGGACGGGGGACAGGGACTGCACATGGGAAGGAGCCACTTGTGTATTCCATAATTTGATCTTGTTGTGCCAGAATGCATGCTTTTTTTCCCTCCAAATGAGGAATTCATTTCAAATCGGAATTTCTTTTATTCTCCTGGAATTGAAATGCTTAGTGCTATCCCTAACATCAACCATGGGATTTTTGAAGTTATCCCAAATTTGCAATGCAAAGCACTTTTATGTATCTTCCAGTTGTAGATCGGAATAGCAAAAGTGAATGCTAAGACCAAAGTTTTACCCTCCTAAAGAAAGACGTTCCCTTCTAGAGAGCAAATCTATCATAAAATGTCAAAACTAGAAGAGAATAAAATGAAAGGAAAAAAACCTAGAAAAATATCCTAAAATATCAAATGTGGTCATTTCTAAATATAAGCCATAATTATAGCTTTACCTATTGTTCTTATTGTTCCTATGCTGTTTCTACAATGTTGCATCAACTACACTTAGCTTTACTCTCCCAAAATCTTGGTGATGAAGCCTTCTGAGTGTGCTTTCCAAGCAAAGATAAAGTTATAGTAATATCAAAGATTAGGTGAGGTTTATAGAAAGATATATATCCAGGCTTACCAAAGTATTAAGTCAAGAATATAGTATGTGATCAGCTTTCAAAGCATTTACAAGAGCTGCAAGTTAGTGAAACAGCTGTCTCCATAAACAGAGGAAATGTGGGGAAGCCTCGGAATGCCCTTCTGGTTATGGCACATTGGAATCCTAACTCTTAAAAGAAATATTGGGGTTATCTAGATGAGGAAGATGTTATCTGACTTCTGCTTTTGGATTTGTAGTGATGTATTTATTAAAGAAAGCTTTTAGAAACAGAAAGACCAAACAAATGGTACTAGCTATAAAATCTCTAATGGATTGGTAAGAACTATCCTTTGGTTATTTACTTTTTAGAACATATTTCTGACAGTATTTATCAAGGACATAAATAAAGAAATCATCCAGCAACACCCACCAAAAGAAAAAAAGTCCCTGCATATTGTATCCATAGCAAGCATAATAATATGACAGAAATAGGATTCTTTTATTCACTATTTTGTTCTAATGCTTAGTCAAATATCGGTTAGGAGTTTCTTTTATGGAAATTCTAATCACACAAAATAATGTATGAATCAAGAAAGATAATGTGTTTTTCTCAATTTTTTCTTTTCAAAAATTGCAATCACTCACTTGTCCCTAATCATTGCTATTACTTTCTATTTATATATTTTTTTCCACAGAATTTATGAAGACATTGACTAACGCTGTCTCTGGAATCTTTCATAGAAAAAATGGCCCTAAAAGCAAATTTTTATTGCTCTTCTGGTTGTGCAATTCAACATGTTGTTATTGAAAAATTGCCAGTTGTTTAGTTCTATTTACAGTGTGTGAAATTTAAAATGTGTAGTGGGGGATACATGGTTTAAAAGACCCCCAAATTCATCATGGAGCATAAAACTGATGGAAACGGTTTGGAAACAAATAGATTAAAATACAAGGTTACAAATACTATTAATAACCATCAGAAACATTAGACAATGCTTCTGAAAAAGAAAAAATTTCATATGGATTTAGGAATGATAGTTTATTTGGCAAAAGGAAAGTATGAGCCAAGGCTTAGTAGTAGCAATAACATGGCAAACTCAGGAAAGAATAAGGCATCCAGCATAAGAGAACAGTAATTGTCAAAATGCTTAATACATCTTGAAGCATTTTTTGAACATTATCAGTAAGTTTACGACAAATATGTTTGTTATAAACAGTGGTTAGAAATTTTCAAAAATGTTTTTCTTCTAGGAAAAGTAATGGGACAGAAAAAAAATGAGACAGAGAGAGAGACATGTAGAAACAGGAAGAAATAAAGTAACACTTATTGAGCATCTCTTAAGTTTCAGTTAATCACTAGGCATAAACTATATTAATATAAATCTAATATTAACCCTTTGGGGTAAGTTTTGTCCCCTCTATTAGTTAGTAGAAGAGAAGACTTGAGGTAAAAGAGCTTACATATTTTGCTTAGTGTCATATTGCTAGAAATAAGTAGACCCGGCATTGATTTGGAGGTCTATATGTTTCTAAAACCTGTGTCTTTTCCACTAGGCATACTGAATTAGAAATAATGATGACAACACTCACTCCTTATAACCTGAGAAACCAGTGACATCACTGAAATTGTCAGGAGAGACGTGAAAAATAAACAAGGAAAGATAGGAGAAAAAGGTGGAAAGTGTAATAAAAGGTTAGATTGTCTATAATTATGGCCATGGGGCCAGGCATGGTGGCTCAGGCCTGTAATCCCAGCACTTTGGGAGGCTGAGACTGGCAGACTGCTTGAGGTCAGGAGTTCAAGACCAGACCAGCCAACATGGTGAAACCCCGTCTCTACTAAAACTACAAAAATTAGCCAGACATGGTTGTGTGTGCCTGTTATCCCAGCTACTTGGGAGGCTCAGACAGGAGAGTTGCTTGAACCTAGGAGACGAAGGCTGCAGTGAGCCTAGATCACACCACTGCACTCGTCTGGGTGACAGAGTGAGAACCTGTCTCAAAACTAAGTAACTAAGTAAGTAAATATGGCCAGCAATTAGCCATCACATTCTTATTCATATATGCTTTTCTTCCTACCAATAGATAGAGGTTGTTTTCTCTCCCCTTGAATTTGAGCTGGTCCTGTGACTTTCTTTGACCATTAAAGTATGGCAGAAAAGACTGTGTGTGACTTCTGGACTTACGCAGCTTCCATATGTGCCCTCTTGAGATCCAACCATTATGTAAAGTCTCAAAGCTCAACTAATGAATAAGAAGAGAAAGCAAGACAGAGAGAGAGAACTAGACATCTTAGACAATGGAATGACCCCCAGTGATTCTACCCTCCCCAGTTAAGGGCCCTGTTAAGACACCAGATATATCAATGAAGTCCTTCAGAATATTCTGTCCCCAGCCAAGTTCCAAGCTGATAGCAGCTACATGAATGAATCCAGCCAATACCATATGAAACATAAGAACCACGTAGCTAACCCACAGAATCATAAAATATAAAAACTATTTTTGTTTTCAATTTTTCAAGTTTTGGGGAAATTTGCTATGCAGCAAAGACTAATTGGTACAATGAGTTTGGGGATCTTGAAATGGAGAGAACAAGTCATCAGGAAAATACAGGCATAGCAGGAGGGTAGTGCCACCTTAGTCTCTATCTTTATTCAAAACTGGAGCCTATATCTGATATTAACAGCTACTTCTATTAAAATATAAATACTCTCTGGAAGAAATAGCTGCTTAGCAGGAATTAGTTGACAATCAATAGAATACCAACATTTGGCACAGAATGAAGGGAATGATTTTACCTAAGCCTGACTCAGAAAAAGGAGTTTAAAAAGTACCAGAGACACTTCATGATTTTGCAGAGCCTTGGCTCTGGTCATGTCTAGTTAATATCAACACCATTACCTCCAAAATAAATCATAATCATTTATTATATATATATATATATATATATATATTTAACTTTCATTGTAAGTTCAGGGGTACATGTGCAGGCTTGTTACATAGGTAAATGTGTCATGGCAGGCAGGGGCACGGGTTGTTGTGCAGATTATTTCATCATCCAGGTATTAAGCCTAGTATCCTTTAGTTATTTTTCTGGATCTTCTCTCTCCTCCCATCCTCTACCCTCCTATAGGCCCCAGTGTGTATTGTTCCACTCTATGTGTCTATGAGTTCTCATCATTTAGCTCCCACTTATGAGTAAGAACATGTGATATTTGGTTTTGTGTTCCTGCATTAGTTTGCTAAGAATAATGGCCTCCAGCCTCAACAATGTCCCTGCAAAAGGCATGATCTTGTTCTTTTTTATGGGTGCATAGTATTTTGTGATGTATATGTACATTTTCTTTGTCCATTCTATCATTGATGGACATTTAGGTTGATTCCATGTTTTTGCTATTGCGAATAATGCTTCAATGAACATACATGTGCATGTCTTTATAATATTATAGAATGATTTACAGTTCTTTGGGTATGTACTCAGTAAGGTGATTGCTGGGTCTAATGGTATTTCTATCTTTAGGTCTTTGAGGAATTGCCAAACTGTCTTCCACACTGGTTGAACTGATTTACACTCCCACCAAAAGTGTATTAGCATTCATTTTACTCCATAACATCACCAACATCTGTTACTTTTTGACATTTCACAGTGGCCATTCTGACTGTTGTGAGATGCTATCTCATTGTGGCTTTGATTTGCATTTCTCTAATGATAAGTGATGTTGAGCTTTTATTCATGACTGTTGGCAACATGTATGTCTTCTTTTGAGAAGTGTCTGTTCATGTCCCTTGCCCATTTTTTAATGGGGTTGTTTTTTTCTTGTCAGTATGTTTAAGTTCCTTATAGATGCTGGATATTAGACCTTTGTTAGATGCATAGTTTGCAAAAAATTTTCCACCATTCTTTGGGTTATCTTTCTACTCTATTGACAGTGTCTTTTGCTGTGTAGAGCTCTTTAGTTTAATTAGGTCCCATTTGTCATTGCTGCAATTTCTTTTCGTGTCTTCATCATGAAATCTTTGCCCATGCCTATGCCCTAAATGGTATTGCCTAGGATGTCTTCCAGGGTTTTTATGGTTTTGAGTTTTACATTTAAGTCTTTAATTCATCCTGAGTTAATTTTTTAATATGGTGTAAGGAAGACGTCCAGTTTCAATCTTCTGCATATGGCTAGCCAGTTATCCCAGCACCATTTATTGAATAGGGAGTGCTTTCCCTGTTGCTTGTTTTTGTCAGGTTTGTTGAAGATCACATAGCTTAGTGATCTTAAGTAAGCATGTGGTCTTATTTCTGAGTTGTCTATGCTGTTCCATTGGTCTATTTGTCTGTTCTTACATCAGTACCATGCTCTTCTGGTTACTGTACCCCCATAGTACAGTTTGAAATCAGGTAGCCTGATACCTCCAGCTTTGTTCTTTTTGCTTAAAATTGCCTTGGCTGTTTGGGCCCTTTTTTGGTTCCACATGAATTTTAAAACATTTTTTTTTTCTAGTTCTGTGAAGAATGTCAATTGTAGTTTAATGGGAATAGCACTGAATTTATAAATTGCTTTGGGCAGTATGGGCATTTTAATTACATTGATTGTTCCTATCCATGAGCATGGAATGTTTTTCCAATTGTGTGATCTCTGATTTCTTCATGTAGTAGTTTGTAGTACTCCCTATGGAGATCTTTCACCCCCCTAGCAAGCTGTATTCCTAGGTATTTTATTGTTTTGTAGCAACTGTGAGTGAGAATTCGTTCATGGTAAGGTTTGATTCTGTGTCCCCACCCAAATCTCATCTCCAGTTGTAATTCATATAATCCCCACATGTTGAGGAAGGGACCTGGTGGAAGGTGGCTGAATCATGGGAGTGGTTTTCCCCCTGCTGTTCCTGTGATAGTGAGTGAGTTCTCATGAGATCTGATGGTTTTGTAAGTGTTTGGAAGTCCCTCCTTTACTCTTCTTTCTTTCCTGCTTCCTTGTGAAGAAGGTACTTGCTTTCTTCTTTACCTTCTGCCATGATTGTAAGTTTCCCGAGGCCTCCCCAGCCATGTGGAACTGTGAGTCAATTAAGTCTCTTTCCTTTATAAATTGCCCAGTCTCTATAATAACTCCATTCGCCTGGAAACCACACTCCCATCAGCCACAGCAGCCACACCAAGACCTGCCCAAAGAAAGTATGAGCTCAGACACACCTAACCCTGCCCCATTGGATGGCCTTTCTCTACCCACCCTGGTAGCCGAAGACAAATGACATAATCTCTTGGGAGCTCTATGGATCCACCCACTGCCTGATCCTATACTACTACAGCTGATGTGCTCTCGAAAATGCCACCACCTGGCTGAAGGCCAACCAATATAAAACCAGTGCACTTAACAAAAATACAACCAAGAACCTTCACAGGGTCCACTTCAGTCCCCTGCTACCTCCACTGGAGCAAGTGATGGCATCCATGGCTGACAGACCTGAAGACGAATCACATCATAGGACTCTTTGCAGACACTCTCCAGTAACAACCTAGATCCCAGTTGCTCCACTGGGTGGCTAGATCCGGAAGAGAAATAACAATCATTGCAGTTCGGATCTCAGGAAGCCCCATCCTTAGGGGAAAGGGAAGAGCACCACATCAAGGGAGCATCCTGTGGGACAAAAAAATCTGAACAGCAATCAAGAGTCCCAGATCTTCCCTGTGACATAGTCTACCCAAATGAGAAGGAACCAGAAAATCAATTCTGGTAAATGACAAAACAAGGTTCTTTAACACCCGAAAAGATCACACTAGCTCACCAGCAATGAATCCAAACCAAGACAAAACCTCTGAATTGCCACAAAAAGAATTCAGAAGACAATTATTTTATTTTATTATTATTATTTTTTTTTGAGACACAGTCTTGCTCTGTCACCCAGGCTGGAGTGCAGTGGTGCGATCTCAGCTCACTGCAAGCTCTGCCTCCCGGGTTCACACCATTCTCCTGCCTCAGCCTCTTGAGTAGCTGGGACTACAGGTGCCCACCACCACGCCCAGCTAATTTTTTATATTTTTAGTAGAGACGGGGTTTCACTGTGTTAGCCAGGATGGTCTCGATCTCTTGACCTTGTGATCTGCCTGCCTCAGCCTCCCAAAGTGCCGGGATTACAGGCGTGAGCCACCGTGTGCGGCCCAGAAGCCAATTATTAAGCCAATCATGGACGCACCAAAGAAAGGTAAAATCCAATTAAATAAATAAAAAAAATACAGGATATGACTGGAAAAATCTCCAATGAAATAGCAAACGTAAAAAACAATCACAATTTCTGGAAATGAAAGACACACTTAGAGAATTGCAAAATGCACAGGAAAGTCTCAGCAACAGAATTGAACAAGTAGAAGAAAGAACTTCAGAGCTTGAAGACAAGGCATTTGAATTAACCCAAGCCAATAAAGACAAAGAAAAAAGAATAAAAAAATTAACAAAGCCCCCAAGAAGTTTGGGATTATGTCAAAAGACCAAACCTAAGAATAATTGGTGTTCCTGAAGAAGAGAAATCTAAAAGTTTGGAAAACATGTTAGAGGGGATAATCAAGGAAAGCTTCCCTGGCCTTGCTAGAGATCTAGATACCCAAATACAAGATTCTCAAAGAAAACCTAGGCAATTCATTGTAAAAAGATCATTGCCTGGGCACATAGTCATCAAGTTATCTAAAGTCAAGACAAGGGAAAGAATCTTAAGAGCTGTGAGGTAAAAGCTTCAGATAACCTATAAAAGAAAACCTATCAGATTAACAGCAAATCTCTCAACAGAAAGCTTACAAACAAGAAGGGATTGGGGTCCAATATTTAGCCTCCTAAAACAAAACAATTATCAGCTAAGAATTTTGTATGCAGTGAAACTAAGCTTCATAAATGAAGGAAAGATAAAGTCTTTTCCAGACACAGACAAAAGATGCTGAAAGAATTCACCACTGCAAAGCCAGCACTACAAGAACTCCTAAAAGGAGCTTTAAATTTCGAAACAAATCCTCGAAATACACCAAAATAGATTATTCTTAAAGCATAAATCTCACAGGACCTATAAAACAATAACAGAATGAAAAAAAAGGTATTCACGTAACAAATAGCACAATGAATAGAATAGTACCTCACATCTCAATACTAACATTTAAAGAAAATGGCCTAAATGCTCCAATTAAAAGATACAGAATGTCAGAATGGGTAAGAATTCATGAACTATGTATCTGCTGTCTTCAAGAGACTCACCTGATATGTCAGGACTCATGTAAACTTAGGGTAAAGGGGTGGAAAAAGATATTCTATGAAAATGGACACCAAAGATGAGTAGTAGTAGCTATTCTTATATCAGACAAAAAAACCCACAAACTTTAAAGAAACAGCAGTTAAAAAAGACAAAGAAGGACATTATATAATGATAAAAGGACCGATCCAATAGGAAAATATCACAATCCTAAATATATATGCACCTAACGCTGGAGCTCCCAAATTTATAAAACAATTGCTACTAGATCTAAGAAATGACATAGACAGCAACACAATAATAGTGGGGGACTTCAATACCCCACTGACAGCACTAGACAGGTCATCAGGACAGAAAGTCAACAAAGAAACCATGGACTTAAACTATACTCTAGAACAAATAGACTTAACAGTTATTTACAGAACATTCTACCCAACAACTGCATAATATACATTCTACTCATCAGCACACAAAACATTCTCCAAGATAGACCATATGATAGGTCACAAGAAGTCTCAATAAATTTAAGAAAATAGAAATTATATCAAGTACTGTCTCAGACCACAGTGGAATAAAATTGGAAATCAACTCCAATAGGAACCCTCAAAACCATGCAAATACATAGAAATTAAATAACCTGCTCTTGAATGATCATTAGGTCCACAATGAAATCAAGATGTAAATTCAAAAATTCTTTGAACTGAAAAATAGTGACACAATGTATCAATACCTCTGGGATACAGCAAAGACAGTGCTAAGAGAAAAGTTCATACCATTAAATGTTCACATCAAAAAGTCTGAAAGAGCAAAAATAGACAATCTAAGGTCGCACCTCGGAGAACTAGAGAAACAAAAACATACCAAACCCAAACCCAGCAGAAGAAAAGAAATAACAAAGATCAGGGCAGAACTAAATAAAATTAAAACAAAAACAAATACAAAAAATAAATGAACCAAAAACCTGGTTCTTTAAAAAGATAAATAAAACGCATAGACCATCAGCAAGATTAAGCCAAAAAGAAGAGAGAAGATCCAAATAAGCTCAATTAGAAACAAAATGGGAGATATTGCAACAGATATCACAGAAATTCAAAAGATCATTCAAGGCTACTATGAATACCTTTTTTACGTGCATAAACTAGAAAACCTGGAGGAGATGAATAAATTCCTGGAAATATGCAACCCTCGTAGATTAAACCAGGAAGAAATAGAAACTCTGAACACACCAGTAACAAGCAGAGAGACTGAAACGGTAATTTTAAAGTTACCAACAAAAAAAAAATTCCAGGACCAGATAGATTCACAGCTGAATCCTATTAGACATTCAAAGAAGAATTGGTACCAATCGTATTGACACTATCCCAAAAGACAGAGGAAGAGGGAATCCTCCCTAAATCATTCTATAAGGCCAATATCACCCTAACACCAAAACCAGGAAAGGGCATAACAAAAAAAGAAAGCTATAGACAGATATCCCTGATCAACACAGATGCAAAAATTCTCAAAAAAAATACTAGTGACCCAAACCCAACAGCATATCAAAACGATAATCCACCATGACCAAGTGGGTTTCATACCAGTAATGTAGGGATACATTCATAGGTATGTATACATTAAGGATACATAGGTAAATAGATATGATACACCACATAAACAGAATTAAAAACAAAAATCATATGATCATCTCAGTAGATGCAGAAAAAGGGTTCAACAAAATCCAGCATCCCTTTATGATTAAGACCCTCAGCAAAATCAGCACAGAAGGGTCATACCTTAAGGTAATAAAAGACACCTCTGAGAAACCCACAGCCAATATTATACTGAAAGTGTAAAAGTTGAAAGCACTCCCTCTGAGAACTGAATCAAGACAGGGATGCCCACTTTCACCACTTATATTCAACATAGTACTGGAAGTCCCAGCCAGAGCAATCAGACAAGAGAAAGAAATTAAGGGCATCCAAATCAGTAAAGAGCAAGTCAAGCTGTTGCTGTTTACTGATGACATGAACGTATACATAGAAAACCCCAAAGATTCATCCAAAAAACTCCCAGAACAGGTAAATGAATTCAGTAAAATTTCAGGATACAAAATTAATGTACACAAATCAGTATCTCTGCTATAAACTTGTGACCAGGCTGAGAATCAAATCAAGAACTCAACCCCTTTTACAATAGTTACAAAAAATTAAAATACTTAGGAATATACTTAACCAAAGAGGTGAAAGACCTCTACAAGAAAAACTACAAAACACTGCTGAAAGAAATCATAGACAACACAAACGGAAACATATCCCATGCTCATGAATGGGTAGAATCAATATTGTGAAAATGACCATACTGTCAAAAGCAATCTGCAAATTCAATGCAATTTCCATAAAAATTCCACCATCATTCTCCACAGAAGTAGAAAGAACAATCCTGAAATTGATATGGAACCAAGTAAAGAGCCTGCCTAGCCAAAGCAAGACTAAGCAAAAAGAACAAATCTGGAGACATTACATTACCCAACTTTAAACTACACTATAAGGCCACAGTCACCAAAATAGCTTGGTACTCATATAAAAATAGGCATATAGACCAATGGAAAAGAATTGAGAACCCAGAAATAAACCCAAATACTTACAGCCAACTGATCTTCAACAAAACAAACAAAAACATAAAGTGGGGAAAGGACACCCTATTCAACATATGGTGCTGGGATAATTGGCAAGCCACGTGTAGAAGAATGAAACTGGATGCTCTTCTGTTACCTTATACAAAAATCGACTCAAGATGGTGCAAATACTTAAATGTAAAACCTGAAACCATAAAGATTCTAGAAGATAACACCAGAAAAACTCTTCTAGACATTGGCTTAGGCAAAGACTTCATGACCAAGAACCCAAAAGCAAATGCAACAAAAACAAAGATAAATAGATGGGACTTAATGAAACTAAAAAGCTTCTGCAGAGCAAAAGAAATAAACAGCAGAGTTAACAGACAACCCACACAGTGGGAGAAAATCTTCACAATCTATACATCTGACAAAGTACTAATATCCAGAATCTACCAAGAAATCAAATAAATCAGCAAAATAAATAAATAAATAAACAAATAATCCCATCAAAAAGTGAGCTAAGGGCATGAATAGAAAAGTCTCAAAAGAAGATATACAAATGGCCAACATGCATATGGAAAAATGCTCAACATTACTATGTATCAGGGAAATGCAAGTCAAAACCACAATGCGACACCACCTCACTCCTGCAAGAATAGCCATAATAAAAAAATCATAAAGTAATAGACGTTGGCATAGATGAGGTGAAAAGGGAACACCTTTACACTGTTGGTGAGAATGTAAACTAGTACAACCACTATGGAAAACAGTGTGGAGACTCCTTAAAGAAATAAAAGTAGATCTACCGTATATGTGTGTGTGTGTGTGTGTGTGTGTACACACACACACACACACACACTTACCATGTAATACTACTCAGCCATAAAAAGGAACAAAATAATGGCATTTGCAGCAACCTGGATGGAATTGGAGACCATTATTCTTAGTGAAGTAACTCAGGAATGGAAAACTAATAATTGTATGTTTTTACTCATAAGTGGAAGCTAAGCTATGAGGATGCAAAGGCATAAGAATGATACAATAGACTTTGGGGACTTGAGGGACAGGGTGTGGGGGTGAAGGATAAAAGATTACACATTGGGTACAGTGTATACTACTCTGGTGACAGGTGCATCAAAATCTCAGAAATCACAACTAAAGAACTTATTTATGTAACCAAACACCACTTGTTTCTCCAAAACCTATTGAAATAAATAAAATAAAATAAAATAAATCAATTGCCCAGTCTCAGGTATTTCTTTATAGCAATGTGAAAATGGACTAATACAGCTTGTGATTTGGCTCTCTGCTTGTCTGTTGTTGGTGTACAGGAATGCTAGCAACTTTTGCACATTTGTTTTGTATCCTCAGATTTTGCTGAAGTTGCTTATCAGCTTAAGAAGCTTGGGGGTTGATATGATGGAAATTTCCAGATACAGGATCATGTCATCTGCAAACAGAGATAGTTTGACTTCCTCTATTCCTATTTGAATACGCTTTATTTCTCTTTCTTGCCTGATTGCCGTCATCAGAACTTCTAATACTGTGTTGAACAGGATTGGTGAGAGAGGGCATCCTTGTCTTGTGCCAGTTTTCAAGGGGAATGTGTTCAGCTTTTGCCCATTTAGTATGACATTGATTGTGGGTTTGTCATATATGGCTCTTATTATTTTGAGGTATGTTCCTCCAATACCTAGTTTATTGAGAGTTTTTAACATGAAAGGATGTTGAACTTTATCTTAAGCCTTTCCTGCATCTATTGAGATAATTATGTGCTTTTTGTCTTTAGTTCTGTTTATGTGATGAATCATATTTATTGATTTGCATATGTCATTTATTATGATTATGATTGACTTACAACTACCTACTTAATGCAACTGCTTTCTTGGATCATATTTAATTTATTTTTCTCTATTCTTATAGTTATACTCTGAGGTAGACACTGGCCCATTTTAAAGATAATAACATTGAAGTTCAGTAGGTTTAAATAGCATGTCCAAATTAATGTTTACAAGAGTACACATGACAATGAACACCTAGTTCTGCCCAGTTCTAAAGCATTTTCTCTTTGTCTTTATCATGCAGGTCTGAAAGAAAAGTATTGGTAACTGATTTTGAAAAGTAATTAAGTTCTATATAAAATTGGTCCATGTTTTGGAGTTATAAAACACATTAAAAATAATTAAGATGAAAAGCAAGTTTATAAGAATTCTAGTGTGAAAATTAATTTAAAAACGTTGTCAGCCTTAATAATTTGTAGCAGTAACAATTTTGTTACAGTGATGGTAGGTACTGAAATAATACAGTATTTTCCCACTAGTATTCTCCAATGTCTTACATTAAAACTCCTTAGTACTTTTTGGTTCTGGGACCCCCTTTTGCTTATAGAAGTTAAAGCAACAAAATCTTGGCCATATCTTGAGTGTGAAAGAATAGAACAGATTATCTATGAATAAATCAAGCCACCAAGAAGTAGTCAGGAATGAATACAGGACTACAGGAGGAAAAAAGAAGAACAGAAGATGAAAACATGCTGACTCTGTCTGTAAGATCAATGAATAGATTCCGCCTATTCATCCAATTTCAAAGCATCTATTTATCCTGTGCCAGAAATGGAGCTGGAAAGACAGAGATAAATACATCATATTTCTTGACCTTAAGGAAAAGTAGGCAATCTGATTTATCCAGACAAAAAGTGTGTTGAGAGACTTGGAGGTAACTCAGCTAATTCATAGGGTTCCCAAGATAAGGTCCAATTCATTTTCTATTCTCAGAAGTAACTCCACCATTGCTGCTCTGCATGCAATCTCTGGTTGAAGAGCAGAATCAATAATACAATCTTCCTATTACAACCTTAGCATGATATTGACAACATGATATGTAAGAGCTGGAGGAGCAGAGAGATAGCCCTTTTTGGAGGATTGCTTTATTTCTAAATGTTAGGTTTCCTTAGAAAGTCTTGAGTAATAATGCACCACTCAAAAATACTAAATAACACAAATAAATTCATTTCAACACCAAAATTCAATTTTTAAAGACTTGTATTATTAATAAGATCCTGCTTCTATTCCTTAATCTTGTATGTTATAGAGTTATGGCCTGGTTGTTGTATACCAGTGTATCTCAACCAGGGGAGATTTTACCACTAAGGGGATATCTGACAATGTCTGGAGATAGTTTTGGTTGTTTAAACTTGTGTGTGGGTATTACTGGCATTTAGTGGGTGGAGAACAGGGATGCTGCTAAAAATCCTACAATGCACAAGACAGTCCCCCACAACAAATAACTATCCAACTCAAAATGTCAATAGTGCCAATGTTAAGAAAACCTACTGAATACCAATTTTACACGAACTTAAAAACCTTTCCATAAAATTCAACCAAAAAATTATGCAATCAATAATTTTATTTTTTTCCAAAATAATGAAATGACTTGAAATTAATACATGACTTAATTTCTTTTAAATCTTTAGGTCACACACAATAAATGGAGTAACAATCAGACATAATTCAATTTAAGGACAGTTAACTTTCAATTGATTCATCTTTCTCCAGTCATGTTTGTCAAGTCACCAAATAGTGATCTAAGTTTCTAACATCTTTAGAGAATTTTTTGAAGCAATTCTTATATACGTGTGGCCAACTATAAAATATTCTCCTGATTTTTTTCCTTAAAAGAAAAATTATAGTGCCTCAACCACTTGCATCCAAATTATGAATCGATAATAATCTCAGTAATATCTAAGATAAAAATGCCCTGGTTGAACTAACTTTGATAGTTCATTTAGGTCAGGTGATGTATTTTAAGTGCACAAAAGAACTATTTTGAGGAATACTTAAGCATTCCAGATGGGCCAACATAGTAGCCAACTACTAATAGACTATTAACACATTTTTAAGGTCATCTAAATAGATCTACAAAGGATATCTGATCTACAAATGATGTCTGAAGGTCAATATTTATGGCTCTACCTCTATCTACTATGTGTTGGGTAGCAGGAAGTACCTAGGTGCCTTTAAGTTTTATGAAACAACAGCCAGCAAAAAAAGTCCCTCAGTTCATTGAAATAAATTCTTGGATAAGGCAAAAGCTGATCAGCATTTGTAGAGCTATCACAGAGAGTGCAGGCAACTTTTCCTTTCTCATTACCTTAGTTGTGTCCCCCAGCTTCTTGGGCTCCTAATACTTTGTCTTTTTGACTGTAGGGTATCCTTGGACCACCTGCATAGACTTGGATGCCCTGTGATCCTACCTCTTGGATCAGAAATAGAACCTTCATTTTCTTTACCAGTTCTGGCACTGACACTTCACTCCCCAGTTTCAAGTCTGCACAATCCTGGGCCATGTTTGTTATGATTCTAGAACATGATCACTTTTGTGATGAGAATGGAGGAGCTCTTTTCTTACCTCTTTCCCCTCCAGACCAGAAATATGGTCCAATTGATCAGAATCCTAACCTGATCTTCATTTAATGGTACAGAAGTTCCTGTGACCTGATATTAAAGTATTACACCAGATATAAAGCAATACCACAACAACAGTCTTATTAACTCATAGCTAATACAATTTAAGAACTGGATATGATGACTGAAATAAGCTCCATATCAATGAGAATTTCAATGGGATTATGTGCAGTCAATGTCCAGTAATTAGAAAAGCTATCCAGCTATTCAGTCCAATGCTATTTTCAATATGGAATGATCTGGGATTGGGAGAGGATTGAAGGAGAAATCACTTATTAATTGCCTAGATCAAGTATCTGTCAGCTTTTGCTCACCAATGGGCCACCTGTTTCAGCAAATAAAGTTGTACAGAACATAGCCACATGCATTTGTTTATAGATTGTCTATGGCAGCTGTCCTGCTGCAGCGGGTGAGTTAAGTACTGTGGGGTTTTTTGTTTGTTGTTTGTTTGTTTGTTTGTTTGTTTAGAGACAGGGTTTTGTTCTGTAGCACAGGCCAGACTGCAATGTCATGACCATGGCTCATTGTAGCATCAACGTTCTGGGCTCAAGTGATCCTACTGCCTTAGCCTCCTGAGGAGCTAAGACTATAGGTGCTCACCACCATGCCAGTCTAATTGTTTAATTTTTTGTAGAATCAGTGTCTGTCTATGCTGTCCATGCTTTCAATCTCCTGGGCCCAAGCTATCATCCCTACTTGGCCTCCCAAAGTGCTGAGATTACAGTGCTGGGCTTCTTTGTGCCTGGCCAAGTACTGTAGTATCAATAGACTTTATATGGTCCATAAAGCCCACAATATTTACTATCATATCTTTTACATAAAAAGTTTGCTATTTTCTAAACTTAAATTATAGAACAAACAAAAAAGAAAATATAAATAAACAATTTTTCTAAATATATTCCTATTTGAGAACCAAATTTTTGGAGGAGAAAGTATGATGACCCAGCTTTATTGAAACTTTCAGAAATTAAACTTCACATAATTGATTCTAGGTTTTTATATGTAGGTAGTTTAAAGGGGTGGGGGGAGAACGTTTGCAAGTACATTCGAAGTTCAAATATTTCTCATTTCTATTCATTTCACCATTATGTAACATCAAACACTCTATAATATATAGGGTTTATGAAAATCAAACCATTTAAGGACTGGCATTGAAATGCAAATTCCCACTTAATTCACCAAGAATACTAACATCTACTTTTATCTTTCTCCTGAATAGGACCTTAAGGTAACCAGGGACCCATGGTACTTTGTATGATCATCTATAATCTTATGCATGACACTTCTTAGAAAGTGTTTCTTCATTTACAGTTATTGAGTTGTTTTTTTTTTTTTTCCAAATGAATCTGAGGGAGTATCAGAAAAAAGAATGTATACTTCAATTTCAAGAACTTAGGCTAGAACAAGAGTGTTTTCTGGCTGGTAATACTGCATGTGACAAACACACTGAATGTTCACTGGCTCTGGTGAGTTCAGATGGGAGATTTGGAAAACAGGGTCATAGTTCCCAATCTGTAAGTATGGTTCTGTGTGGTCATGCTTTTGTGTCATATAGTGTGATTATAGAATTTTAGATCCTTACAGTAAAATAAGCCTTAGAAATGTTATATTCCAATTATTTTATACTGTAGCTGGAAAAATTGCAGTTAGGGAGGCAAAAATGCCTGGCCTAAGATCACAGTGCTAACTAGTGGGAGAGACAGGACTTGAAACTGTAACTCCTGGGATTTTTTTTTACTATACTGCAGAGCTAGCAAGCTGACTTGTCCCAAATAAAATGATGAAATAGAGAAATGCTGTCCTCAGACAACCATAAATAATCCTAAGCCCCCTTTTGAGTGCCTGCCTTGTCAGGACTCACACACCACATAATAAAGAATAAAGACCAAACTCCTTAGCACAACCCACAGTTGGAAGCCTGAATTACCTTTGTGTTCCCCATTCAATGCAACCACTCATATTTTTGGAATTCTAGAGCAACTCACAGGCCAAGACATCCCGTGAAAGCCAAAGCAGCCAATAGCAGTTATGGAGAAAACTAGTATCTTCAGAAAATCCTGGACACTAGAACTTATCCAATTCTGAAATCATAGGTATCCAGAACAACACGAAGTCATCCTTTTAAATGGGCCCATCTTGACTACACAAGGTACTCTCAAATTTATTCCAGGAAATGACCTGTGTCTTTTCACAAGATGGTGGTGCTGGAAGAAATCTTGTAGAACATCTAACCCAGTGATTTCCACAGTTTCAAAGTTATGATCCGTAAAAGCAGTGGAGCAAGCTCTTTAAGCAAATTTTAATTTTGTATAAGACCTAGGAAAAATATTTTATCCATCATAATACTAACAAGAGCCATATAGATCAAGATCATACTCTCTTAATCTAGATTTTATTTAGAATAATATTTACTAATATTACATGACGAGAAGCTGTGATTGGCCACTGAAGAGCTAAGAATTTCTGAGAAGTGACTGATGGTTCAGAAACATTCAGGTAGTCAGAGTTCCCATTCTTTTAAATGCCAAGAAGTAATATAATCCAATATATTCCGAGTATGTACGAGGAAACTCAAGCCCAAGACTGAGAGAGTATTAAAGGACTACCCAAGCTTATACGGCTTGCCAAGTTTCCCATTTCCAAGTTGGTGTCCCTTTCACTATAGTATACTATTTCACAGCATGGAAAGTTTTATAGCAAACTGATCACATAACCTTGTTTTCCTCATGTTCTGAAATGAAGAAAGAAATAATAAGGAAAAATAGAAGGGGTAAAGATAAAAGTAACTTAGTTCCTTCTTATGCCATTGATTGGCCCATACACATTTGCATTTTTAGAATTATAATTTCGAATGAAGTTTAAATCAAATTCACAACAAAGTTAAACTAAAGTCTGTATGTAAGCTGCAGTATACTTGGCATGAATTTTGGGTTAATATATTAATTCCACAGATTTTCAAAATGGATTCAATCAATATTACATAATATATAAGTGCAAAACACTGCGGAAGAAAGAGTTTGAGAAAGGCAATCCGTATGTCTAAAATTTTACCATTTAATCTGAGAGAATCTGTCAGCCTTATATCAATTAGGATACTTTATACAACAATTGACAGAAAATCTAGAAAATTCCAAACTGTTTGAAAAAGAGAAAACAGGAATTTTGGTCAAGACTCTGTGTTAACTCAGTTCTCAGAAAGGCTCCAAGGATGTGCATCATCTCAGTTTCAAATGTAGTCAACAGTATGTATGTCCGCATCTCATAATGTCTCTTTGGCTCTGATGGGGTTGTGTGTCTAACCTTGAACCAGTTTCTATGTCAGAGGAGTGTACAGCTCTGTTTGGCCTGGTCTGTATCAAATAACACTCCTGGAGTCTGTGAGGGATAAACTGCCCTCCACCAAAACTACAGACTGAGCGTGAGGAAATAGTGGATCCCTCCCTCTCAGATATGTTTCTGGGTGTAGGACAAATTAATACAAGACAGCCAAGAGGCAAAAAATGTCTATGACATACACACAGTAAAAATAATTAAATATATATTTAATTATTATTTAATATATATTGCAAAAAAGTCAAATAAAAGGCAAAGCTGCAGAGTAAATGGCTATAGTAGTTAATAGCTCTGCAACCGGGCTGTACAGGTTCAAGTTGTCACTCCAACACTTGCTAGCCACTAGGGCAAATTACTTAACCTCTTTTGGTTTCAGTTTATTCATCTTTAAAAATGGTGTTAATAAGAATACCTATTTCAAGGTATTTTGTGACAATTAAATGTGGTAAAAACCATAAAGTACTTAGAATAGTGCCTGACTCATGGTAACTACTCAATCAATGTTAGTTGTCATTATTATTATTATTATTAGACATGAGAGGCAAATATAAGGACTGTAAAAAATCAGAGAAAGAACTTATAAAGGGAGTTTGGGTAGGGCAATCTGTGGACCTGCACTAAATGGTGAAGAATGGGTAACTGTGATAAGCAGACGGGAAAGGAGGTGACCTTCTGGTTGCTAGGAACACTCTATGCTGAAGTGTAGCAGTATGAAAGAGCAAAAGTCACAGTAGAGCAATCAATCTGATGGAGTGAAGAGGAAAAATGTAACAGGGTTACAAGTGCTATCCTTTTTTCAAAAATACTGTGCATGGATAATTCTCCCAGGCTGTGATCCTGAAGTATTATTAGAAATTGTATTTTTTCACCTTATGTTTATCATCTTTTATTATGAATAGTTATAATCTCCTGTTTTATTTAATTCATTCACTAAAAATAGCTTTGTAGGCACCATTATACGATTTTACGATATATTCATAAAATTACTCTGTTAAGAAATAGATTGTAACACTCACCCCTTTGAACTCAAGAATAGCTATCTTGCCAACAAGAATGTTAATCTAAGGATTATTATTCTCATTTTAAAAGCCTCTTACCTTACTGATAGCTCTCACCTCCTCCAGATCTGCTAACTTCTTTCTCACAGTCTTTCCTCAGAGACTTCATAAAAACAATAATGTTATGATTCTCAAGTTATGAAAATCCATAAATAACACAAAAAGAAAATCACATCCTATATATTGACATTTCATGATATGTTATATCTGTCCCTGGATAGGATTCAGCAACATTTGCTAAAGGGTAAGAATTCTGCACCACATTGGGTAAATATTTTTGTAAGTTGCTATATATTAAATAAGGCATTATTCTTTAACAAGTAGTAAAAAAATCTTCAAAAAGATCTAATGAATACAATGAAAAAGTTTTCTATTAGTCACTTATGTAAGGCAACACTGAAATTTTACTTGGATAAAAAATAAAAGGAAAATTCTTCCATCTCAAATACCATGGTAATCAGTATGCTGATTGTTCACATATTCACACATTCAAAAACATGTTTTGTTTTCTTCTCCCCTTTTAAATAGACGTAACTACTATATTCAGGTACAATGCTAGGAGCAAGAATGCAAAGGCATAGCCCTGCCTCATAAATGTTTTAATATTTTTGGGATGCAGAGTTCCTATTTCTTTTCCTCCCAGGAGCTTCCTGCATGTACAAGATCCAAAAACCTGATTATCTAGCAACAAGCAAGGCCCAAGAAACACAGAGATGATGGGAGAGGTGAGACACTTGACCCACCAATGAATTGAGCCCTGTGCCAAAGCAAATTGTCCTGTTGCATCTCTATTTGGATGACAGATTTTCACATAGTTTCTGATTCAACTATTACGTTAAGTGGTTTCAAAAAGGACATGGCTGATGGTTGCAAGAATGGGATTTTTGGTTCATGTTTTGCTGTGGCTGTATCTATCTAAATGTTTTCCTTCTGAAACTATCAATTCCTTTGAAAATTCTTTCCTTCATTTCCCTCATCCTCCTCCATTACCACTCAGAAATAATCATCACTTTCTTGAAACACTTTTTTCGCAGCTCTATCTTACTATATAGAATAATATATGTTAGTTATCAGACACTATCACTCTCCAATTGACAGTGGTTTATGTAAAGGTAACAATTTTCCTTTTTCACCTTTCTGTGTCTAGATGTTTGGTGACTGCTGAATGAATGAGTGCAACAATGAATCTATGCATAACACTTCAGCTAAATTTTAACCTTTTAAATAGTATGCCTATGAAGATGTGCTTTCTGACTTTATGAAACACCATAAAACCTCCAAATAATTTTTCCAGAGTCAAGTTTGATATTCAGGCAGTTCTTCTCCATCCCTTGGTAACTTGCATAAAATGGAAGTTAACTAGCATTTTGAGGGAACATCCCTCTCTTCTTTTAGCTACAGGGAAACCCCAGTCTCTCTTAGACAATGGCAGCACTTGCTGTTGGGGTCTCTGGTAAAGAAAACAGGACACCAGTGGATTGAAAAGGAAAACCACTTAAGTTAATAATAATCAAAAGTCAACCAAGCATGCTAAATCTACAAAAAGAAAAATACCAGAAAATAAGCACTTGGCTGGTATAAAGTTTTAATCTTATTGTCACATTCTGATTCCACTTGAGCACTACAGAGTTGTGATTTGGTGTTATTTCCAGGCCTGAAGCTGTTGTTCTCCTTACTAATTGGTGTGTGTTAGCATCACTGGAATTTACATTAAGACAGTGTGGCCTGCTGCTCCCTTAAAAACAGATTAAATTTAATCCACAGTTTTCATGGTAATGAAAATAAAATTTGCTCTGAGAAAGAGGGAGAAGGAGGAGGGGAGAGAGAGAGAGAGAGGGAGAAAGGGAGAGAGAGAGAGGGAGAGAGAGAGAGGGAGGGAGAGAGGGAGAGAGGGAGAGAGGGAGAGAGGGAGAGAGGGAGAGAGGGGGAGAGAGAGAGAGAGAGAGAGAGAGAGAGAGAGAGAGAGAGAGAGAGAGAGAGAGAGAGAGAGAGAGACCCCAACATTCACAGGGTCTTTTCATGTGTGGGCTTGTTGGAATTTAAAAAAAAATTTGGTAACTTTTAGTATTTGAACACTTCTGCTGGGGTGGAATTGAATTTAGTGTGACATTCTGGATTTCACTCAAATATTATATGGAAGATTGTGGGGAATCATCAAAAGTTTTATTTTTTTGAATGGACAAACCTTGAAATATCCTTCTTCCCAAGGTAACTGATTAGGCTTCAGTCAGGAAATATAACTACTCAGGGCTTAGGTTAGGTAGAAGCTGTCAATTTAAAGGTACTATGCACAGATTAGTTTGAGGTCTACTGATAGTAGGCCATATGAATTCTAATCATCACCTTTTTTTTTTTTAATGAGGGAAAAATTCCCTGTTCCCTGTTTTATGTCATAGAAAATTTATAAACTTTAGCAGCTAGACCTTCTAATATATAAGTAGCAATTCTTTAAAATTTAGTTTATTGAAATTGACAATAATTGTACATATTCATAGAGTACCTAGTGCTGTTTCAATACATATAACATATAGCAATCAGATCAGAGTAGCATAATCATCATCTTACACATTTATCATTTTTCTGTGTTAGGAACATTCAATGTCGTCTTTCTAGCTATTTAAAACTACAAAATATACTATTGTTAACTATAGTCACCCTACAGTGGTACAGAACACTAGAACTTATTCCTCCTATCCAGTTAAAATTTTGTATTCTTTAGCAAATCTCTTCCTGTTCCTCCCTTTCACCTACCCTTACCAACATCTAGTATATTCTGTTCTACTTTTTACTTTTGTCAGATCAACTTTTTTTAGCTTCCATATATGAGTGAGAACACATACTGTTTATATTTCTGGCTTATTTCACTTAACATAATGTCTTTCAGTTCCAACCACGTTGCCATGAATGACGGGATTTCTTTCTTTGTAATGGCTGAATAGTATTCCATTATGTATATGTACCACGTTTTCTTCATTCATGCATCTGTTTTTAGACACCTAAGTTGATTCCATAGGTTGCCTACTGAATCCATATGAATACTACGGCAATAAACACAGGGGTGCAGATGTCTCTTTGATATAATGATTTCCTTATCTTTGGATAAATTCCCAGGAGTGGGATTGCTGGATTATAAGGTAGTTCTTTTTGCAGATTTTTGAAGAACTTCCGTACTGTCCTTTGTAGTGGCTGTACTAGTTTACATTCCCCTCAACAGTGTATAAGAGTTCCCTTTTCTCCACAGCTTTGCTTTTTTTGATAATAGCCATCCTAACTGGGGTAAAATGATATCTCATTGTGGTTTTGATTTGCATTTCCCTGATGATTAGTGATGCTGAGCATTTTTCATATATATATTTTTGGCCATTGGTTTGTTTTCTTTTGAAAAATGTCTGTTGAAATCATTTGCCCATTTATAAATTGGATTGCTTTTTTTTTCTTTTGTTTTGCTGTTGAGATGTTTGAGTTTCCAGCATATTCTATACATTAATCCCCTGTTATATGAGTAGCATCCTTTATTGAAGGAACTCCTCAGTGAGTATTCTAGGCACTTTTGTCAAAAATCAGTTGGCTGTAGATATGTGGATTCGTTTCTGGATTCTCTATTCTGTTCTTTTGGTCTATGTGTCTCTTTCTATGCCAGTACCATGCTGTTGTGGTTACTATAGCTTTTTAGTATACTTTGAGGTCTGCTAGTGTAATACTGCCAGGTTTCTTCTTTTTTTGCTCAGGATTGCTTTGGCTATTTGGGGTTTATGTGTCTGTGTGTATCCAGAAAAGACTTAGAAAATGGATCTTTTGTTGATAATTAAAGGATATAAATCTATACTATTTAATCCTTGATATGATATCACATTTCCTGATAGGTGAAAGGAATCAAATGAGCCACATATTCACATTTTGCATATTGCTTCATTTTATTGGCAAGGAAGATGGAACAATAATTCTGGCTCTGGGGCTCCTGCTCCCATGTTCTCTCCACCAATTTGCCTCTGTGCCAGCCCTGATTTTAATCATTCTTTAGAAAGAATTGTTTCCTTTCTCTTTTGAGTCAGCTTCAGATGGAAACTTAGGTACTTGCTAGCTGTATGACCTTAGGTCAGGCTTTAGGGAGAGATCACTGATGAGACTAACCAGCATATTGCCTGGCATGCAGTAAGAATTGAACATCGACTCTTTCTCTGCAGAGAACTCCTGGTCCTACCAAGACCATTGACCCTCTTCTCTCATTTGTTTTCTTTATATGAAGTCTACTTTAAATGTTATTTTCCCTTTTGAGTAATAGGTTGTTTTTTCCTAATATGATGAAGGGCTACCTCATCAATTTAAGTACCTGATAGAAAGGAGACATATTATTTGTATTTAGTTTAGTTTAGGTTTTTTGTAAGATTTTAGGAAATGTATTATCACTCACTAATACATTAGGACAAGTTTGATAATAGCCATCCTAATCGGTGAATTCTGAATGTGACTGGTGCTATTCATTTGACCTGAACATTTTTCTTTGATAAATAAAAGTTATACATGCATGCGGCATAACTTGTCCAATAGTTCATAGAAAACCAGAAGTTTCCAGATCCTCTCCTCCCATTTCTTTCACACCAGAAACAAAACTTTTCAAGAGTTTTGTCCATTTAATTTTAGTAATCACTTTCTTACAACTAACATACCTATGTTGCCATTTTTTTATTTTTTATTTTTTGATTTTCAAGGCATTACCAATTCGTTTCCCATATAACAAATGAGACTTTGGCTCACTTATATCCCATCCCCTAACCACACATACCCTCTTTCCATCTCTTCGTTTTGCAGCAAGGTAAGATTGTTACTTTGCTTAAATCAATATTCAGTGTTTACAATATTGTGACAACTGAGCCATTGGTGTCTGATAAATATTTGTTTTCTATACAAGTTTTTGTTTTCTTTGGAGTTAACAATTCTCTGGATTTTTTTAGTTTGCTTTGTTTTCTATATGTTTATTGCTACTAACACTACTCTAATATGTTTTTCATTATTACTAATAAAAATCCAAAGTCTTCTCCAATTGTGTGTGAATTTTCTCTCAATAGGTTTTGATACATCAAGTGGAATATTAACTAATCTTGAAAACTCCCAGAGCCTCTGCCTGCTCTGGGCAGGATGGCTGATGAACCTAGTTCGTAGCTCTCACCCTGAGCTGACCCTTGGTCATCATTCCAGCAGTACCATATAGTACTGTCTTGAATTCTGTCTTCACTTCCTTAATCTCATGTTTACATTTTCTTAGCTTATTGCCTCCTTTTGATGCACCACATCTTCTAGTAGATACCTAATACAAGGTACATGAAAGGGAAATACATTTTAGAGACGTTTCATGTCTGAAAATCTATTTTTTCTACCTTTGACTTTATTGGCAATTATGCTGGATATAGATTCTGGGTTGGAAGCCATACTCATTTAGAATTTTTAAGACATTGCTCTACTGTCTTCTAGCTCCCAGTACTCCTCTTGAGAAGTCCAATGTCATTCTGGTTCTTGATCCTTCGTATAGCACTTTTTTTTTTTCCTTTTTTCTGGAAGTCGAATTATCTTTTTGTTTGCAGTTAACAGTGTCATGATGCTTAAGTCTGGAAACTCATGTTTTTAGATCTGGGAACTTAGCTGGCATAATGGACTACTCCTTTCCAATCAGTTTCATTCTATTTTTTTTAATTTTTGGTACTCTTTTTAATTTAGTTGCTTAGCCCCCTAGATCTATGCTTTCCAATACAGTGGCGGCTAGCAACATGTGGCTTTTCACATTTGCCTTTAAATTGATAGATATAAAATAAATTTTTAAAACTAACTTTCTTAGTAACACTAGCCACGTCTCAAGTGCTCAATAGCCACATGCAGCTAGTGGTTACTGTACTGGACAGCACAAACACAGAACATCTCCGTCATCACTGAAAATTCTAGGGTAATATAGTCCTTGATAGTCCTCTAATTTTCTAATTACTTCTTTTTATTTTTCACATATTTGTCACTTTGCTCTAATTTCTGGAAGATTCCTCAACTTAATTTTCTAATCTCTCAACTGTTAAAAAATTCTATCATTATCTTTTAATCTTCACAAGTTTTTTAAAAATTTTATAGTTCGTGTGCTTCTTTACTTCATTATATCCTATATTTATTTCATGAATATCGTATTTATTCTTATCTATTTAGAGATATTAAATATTTAGCTTTGTTATTTTTTTGTTAGTTTCTTTTTATTTAATGTGATTTTTTCTCTTTGTTTATTTTGATTTTATACCTTTTCCATAAGAAGCTCCCTGTAGAAGTCTTGGCAGTTTTTCACATCTGCTCATATTTAAGACTGAAGCTAGATAAATCTGAATAGAAAGTCTGAGCACATGTGTGGAATGCGTCGTATTTGTTCTTTGCTATAGAGTGATGTGGATGGACAAGGTCTGATGTCAGTATATTGAGAATTTTTCTCATGGGCTGTCCAGGTTATTTTGAAAATCTTCTTCCAAAGCCTTATTGAAAGGGTATAGACTTCTTGGCTGCTAGAATTATAGGAGCCAAGTTGAGGAAGAGGACTGGGTGTCTTAACATTTGGGATATAAACTTTTGCTTATTTTCTCCTCTTTTAGTACTGCCTGATTTTCTTCAGTCCAGAGACTTTCTATTTTACCTTCACAAAAGAATAGGACTCAACCTTTCTGCAAAAAAGTGATGCATTGGATAGTCTGTGGTCCCCCTGTATCCACCCTCAAAATCAAGGGTCTATTTCCCCAGCTCTTGGGAGCACCCTTGGTTGAAGAGGATCACCTTGCCCATGATCATGCACCATTTGTAAGGTCAGCTTGCCTACAATGATTGTTCAGTGTGAGTGTTTACAAATTTCCAGGTCCTTCACTCATCTCAAGAGCATTCTGAAAGGTCATCCTGGCAGGGAGGCTTTTTTTGTGACTATATCAGAACCCAATGACTTCTGCTTAGCACTGCTTTCCTCCTTTCCCACACAGATACTGATCCCACTAATTTTGCTTTCCAGGGAACGTGATAGCTTTGGAAGGATTGTCTCAATGCACATATCAGGGGGGTAAATCTATAAATATAGACACTCCGTAAACATGCTTTCAACTTATCTTTCTGGTTTTAGTCTTACTGTCATAATCACTTCCAAAGGTACCAATTTTTGAACTTTTGGAGGGACCTATAGTGAAAATCGTGTTGCTTGTTAGCTCTTTCCACTGCCGCTTAGGATTTAGGTTTCTCAGATCTATTAAGTCAATTCACACTCATCTGTTTGCTTTTCAGCTTCTAAAATTTTGTTCTTACTGTCTTTTCTATTATTTTTAACCTGTGGGTTTATGTCTTTTTAAAAATTTCCTCATGGTTGTTTCAGTGATGTTTTGGAAATCCACGCATTTAATCTGCCAGTTTCCACAGATAAACTTCACTCTGCATTAAAACTTCTGACATTTTTATTTGCAGGCCATATTGTATAGTAAATAGAAATATTCATCATTCAAGCTTTCTGATTGCACTAATCCAAGAAAGAAAAGTGAGTAGAAAGGGGGTTGTATATCTTGAAATTTGATATATCCTTGAGGAAGTAAGTGGTCAGAAGCTAACAGATTGAGGTTCGGTATGGATGGAGTTATTACAGGTTTTGCAATCATAAGATGATATAAAAGACTGACTATAAACCATAAAGTGGACAGTATCCCAAGGATAATAGTGGCTTGTGACTTGAATGACAGTCATAATTATTTTTAAGAGTCATTCTGATGGGTAGAATATATAAAATGGAGACACTTAAAAGCTATTCTTTAATTAAACTCAGTAGTGACGAGACATAATATGCATTAGCATGTACTGTTCTAGACTCAAGAGAAATAGAATGAACTTCAAGAGGGCTTAAGGAAAATAACAAATATGATAAAGGGTTGGGGATGAAGAGAGTCTAAGTAGGAAGCAGAAAAGCCTGTAGTTTATTCAGAAGAGAAGAATTAGATGGCTTTCTAATGGCATTTCTAAGGATATGAAGAAATACTCATTCTTTTACACCTTCCTAAGTGCTTTTTCTGAGAAAATCTAATGGGATGATTGGTGAGGGAAAGTACCTTATTGATAGAAGGACGTTTAATGTTTTCTTCACAAAGAAGTCAAGCATGATGAAATGGTCTTTAATTTCAACATGAAGAAATAAAGCTTTAAAGAATTTCCTAGAAGCCAAGATTATTACAGAATGGGTTTATTGCCTTAAAATTTACTAAAATTTACAAAGAAAAAAATGGATGTGTGATATTTTAATAAGAAATATATATTTGGTCTTCCTCTCTGGTTCCTGGCATAGAGGTTCCTAGTATTTCTGGAATTTCCAAAGGGATGGAGTGAGAGGAGTATCTTTTGTTATTCACAGTAAGCCTCTTTCAATCATATTTATATTTATGCTAATGAGGTGACTCCTGAAAAATGGAATCTGGCTTCCAGAGGAACCAATCACTTGATTGGAGGGTTGGAACCTTCAGTCTCACACCCCAAAAGAAGAGGGATTAGAGACTGAGTTAATCACCAATGGCTGATGTTTTAATCAATCATAGTTACATAACGGAACCGCCATCAAAACCGTAAATGCAAGAGTTTGGAGACCTTCTGGGTTGCTGAATATATCCATGTGCCACGAGTCTGGTGCACCTTGTTCACAGTAACAGAAGCTCCTGTGCTCAGGACCCTTCTGGACCTTTTAATTTGTCTGTTCATTTGTATCCTTTAAAATATCTTTGTAATAAACTAGTAAATGTAAATAAAGTGTGCCCCTGAGTTCTCCGAGTAGCTATAGCAAATTATCAAACCTTCAGAGGGTGTTGGAGTAGTTGTAGTAACTCCATTTCTAGCCAAGTTGGACAGAAGGGTGTGTAACCTGAGACTTGCTACTTGTGGGTGGCATCTGAAATGGGCACAATTTTATGGGAGTAAGCCCTTAACCTGTGGGGTCTTCACTAACTTCAGATAGTTAGTGTCAGAATTGAATTAAATTACAGGACACCCACTTGGTGTCCACAGAGAATTGGAGAATTGCTTGATGTCGAAAAAACACACATTTGGTGTTAGAAGTGTTCTATGAGTAGAGACACAATATTTTCTTTTTTGGAAAGAAAAAATTATGTGAAAGATGGTTTTTCTTAAATAAGCCTATTAATGATGGATTTCCTTAGTTCTTCAATTTTTCTTTATATTTCTAATTTTATATTTATGTAAGCATAAAATTATATATATTTATATTCATGTAAATAAATGTTACATATTTATTTTATAAATATATATTATATATATTTGTATTTTCTTTATATTTCCCTAATTTTACATAGATGACCATGTAACATTTTAAAAATGGATACAAATTGTCACTATTTTTATTTTTAATTGCAACCTGATATTACATATATATTATTTTACACTGTGATACAGAGACCTTATAGGGTAGAGGTTGTAGGAGTCGAGACTCAAGCTTAATAGGGCTTGGGTTCAAGTCCTAGCTTTGCCACTTTTTAGCTTTGTGACCTTGGGAATGTTACTGAACCCTGGAAAACACTGATAATAATATTGCTCATACCACAGGGTTATTGAGAGGATTATATTAATAAATATATGAAAATACTTAGAAGAATATCTTGTAAGCACTCAATACATGTTAGATATTATTTTTTATCCCTAAAGCATTTCAGGTAGCTTAAAAAATATACTAGAAAGGCTTTAAAAAAATAAGAAAAAAGATTTAGGCAAAAGGTAGAAAATAATGAAATAAAACTAAAAGGAGTTAAAAATTTAATATTTTAAAAATTAATATTACTTAATAAATATAAAATCTCTAGCTCTCAATTGAAAAGAAGAAAATGTGGTTGGATATAACATCTAAATGCCTATAAATTTAAAAACCATCAACCAAAAGTCATATCCTGACCTAAATGTTTCCCCAGGACTCTCATAAAGGAGTCATTGGGATATATAACTTATTTATTAGAAACTGTAAACCGTTATGTAATCTCCGCTCTTAAATACCTTGAAAATTAAATTTCTAAATATTGAGCACCTAGGGGTCTAGGTTTCCTTAAGCATATTTTTTGTTTTCTAAACTACAGAGATCAAGCACAGTTATATGATAAAAATACTCCAAAGCAGGAGCTTATATATGCCCCACTGAGTTATAGGTAAACAGATCAACAGCTAGACAGAGCTCTAATGCTTTTGAAGTTAACTATGTTTCTCTGTCTTGTTTCGGTATTTATCAACTTGCCCCATGGTGAGTCTTCCTATAATTGACAAATGCTTCCCAAACTGGTCATTCAAATACTAGCTTCCTTATTTTGCCATACTTATATAACACCTGTTCATATTTTCTTTTCTTTCTTTCTTTTTTTTTTTTATAGACAGAGTCTTGCTATGTCACCCAGGCTGGAGGGCAGTGGTGCAATCTTGGCTCACTGCAACCTCTGCCTCCCAGGTTCAAGCGATTCTCCTGCCTCAGCCTCCCGAGTAGCCAAGCATACAGGCACATGCCACCATGCCTGGCTAATTTTTGTATTTTCAGTAGAGATGGGGTTTCGCCATGTTGGCCAGGCTGGTCTCGAACCCCTAACCTCAGGTGATCCACCCGCCTTGGCCACCCAAAGGGCTGGGATTACAGGCGTGAGCTACCATGCCTGGCCCATATTTTCTTTTATATATACTTCCAAATCACTCCTTTATTTTATTTAGATCATTTTAATAATATTCATGCACTAAAATATTAAAATAATACTAAAACATTAAAATAATAATGTTTTCTAATACATATTAAAATATATTAAAATAGGTTTTTAGCTTTATAAAGTTATTGATGTGTCATCCAAAATCACTACTGGTACACCACCAGCAATATTTATGACTTCTACTACTCTTTGGAAAATATTAGAATAGAAAAATTATACTTTGACATACATAGTCACATTAAAACTTTTTTATTTTTTATTTTTATTTTTGTTTTATTTTTTTTTAAGTTCAGGGATACAAGTGCAGGTGTGTTACATAGGTAAACTGTGTCATAGGGGTTTGTTGTAGAGATTTAAAAATGTGAATAATCATCTCTAATTTGGAAATGAAAATTATATTTCCTTGCTAAATGAAAAACAAGACGAGACACTTTTTGTTGCTGTTGTTTTCTTTTTTTCGGAGATGGGGGTCTCACTATGTTGCCCAATCCGTACTCGAACTTCCAGACTCAAGCAATCCTCCCACCTCACCCTCCTGGGTGGCTGGGATTACAGGCGGGAGCCACTGTTCCTGATTTAGAATGGACATTTTGAGGAGCACATCAGACACTGTGTCTGGCCAGAATCATTTTAAAATTTTCAGCTAAGATTACTCCATATTCCACATGCATTATGAATTCCAAACTTAAACGACTGTGAGATTGCGACTAGAAACTCTTAATGAAATTTTTCTTTTTATTTTCTCATGCACTACCCAGAACCAGGGTTTATTTAAATAAGCAAGTCTCTTTTGGGACATCCCTACATCCCTACACCAAGGGACACTGTCAGTGTCACCTTTCAGTTGTCCCAGATTTATGCTGGTGTCTTCAATTGGACCTCCCACTCTGCTCAAAACATAGGCTTTGTCTCTTCCTTCATCAACTCCAAAGCACCCCTCTTATTTATAACTTTTTTACCCCTCAAATCTAATTGTTTCTCTTTTTTTTTTTTTTTTTTTTTTGAGACGGAGTCTCGCTAGGTCGCCCAGGCCGGAGTGCAGTGGCGCGATCTCGGCTCACTGCAAGCTGCGCCTCCCGGGTTCACGCCATTCCCCTGCCTCAGCCTCCCGAGTAGCTGGGACTACAGGCACCCGCCACCAGGCCCGGCTAATTTTTTATATTTTTAGTAGAGACGGGGTTTCACCATGTTAGCCAGGATGGTCTCGATCTCCTGACCTCGTGATCCGCCCGCCTCGGACTCCCAAAGTGCTGGGATTACAGGCGTGAGCCACTCTGCCCAGCCTGTTTCTCTTACTTTACCATCAGCACAGCCATACTGTAAAATTTTTATTTTATGCAGCAACTTTAAGAATTCTGTATCAGTATGTCTTTTCTGCACCCCCAGCTCATCACATGATTTTTACTTTCACAATTGATTTCTTTATAATTACAGATTTTTGATAACTCAACTGTAACCCACAGTGGATGGATTATCTTCACTTCAAAACTATATGAAAGATATACTATTTTGTATTTATGAGTTAACCCCACAAGAGGAGGCTTGAGGTCTCCAGCATTCTACTTGTTATAAGAATGACACTGCTTTCCTTAACAGCAGGTATGGCAAATATCTGCTTTTACTATTACCCTCTATTCTTCCATCACCGTGACCTGGCAGACTTCAATAATTGATCATAACACCTTTCTCCTATGAGACAAGATGTTACCTTAGAAAGGTTTTCAATGTAAAATTCTAGGTAGCCATTACCAATCACATGACATTAGGTCATTTAGTAACTCTTTTTTGCCGTCCCTGTTTAGCTAATCAAATTCACTGTATTTTTCTTCTCAGCACTATTATTTATTATTCTCACCTATTAAAACTTTATATTTTGACTCCAATGGTGATGTACAATTGCATAAGAGTGATAGTCACCATGGAGAGACACCAAAAAACACCAGCAAAAGACACGCCACACTTTTATTTAACATAGGTGATTAATAAAACCCCTATCTACAAATCTAGAAATTGTTACACGGAATAAAATGGCTAGCCAGCGGTACTTCTGGAGAGCTTGATAAGCATCTGCAGCTTTCAAGTTCTCATACTGGCCCATTGCTGCCAATGAAATCACTTGACTGAAGACAGGCTTTGAGAAACTCCTTTCACCACTTCACCACTTCTCTGTTTTTGGTTATGTGTGAAGTTGTAGATACCTTCTAGCCCTTTTCCACTCACCAATAGCCAGCATACTTCTGAGAGGTTTGTAGGTACATTAGAAAATTGAAAATCAATTTTCCAGGTGTGCCATACCTTCAGTAGACTCAGGTTTGAGCTTACCTGAAGTCATATTCCTTTACAGAAGGCAATGACAGAACACTAATAGGAATATATGTCACTGTAACTTCAATTTAGCCAATCAATCCCTCTTTCAATAAAAAGCTGAACTATCTATTCAGGAAGTCATCATCTAGTGGCATAGCTTAATTTTCTGTACTTATCCTATAATTTATGTAAACAAACTGTTAAATAACTTATATTTTCATCAATGTATCATCTAGGTATTGCTGAATCTTATTGTAAGATGAAATATAGTTGTAGTACCATTTGGGCTTTATAATTTAACTACTTCCTTAAGCTCATATTATAGCACTCTAACCATGAGAGGGAACATGTACTTAAAAAATCAAATCGGGATTCTCAGCCGGTGGCTGCTTCTCAAAAATGTGTTCCAATGTGATAAGAGCTTTGCCCTATTCTTCCCTTCTATCTGGGTATCTCAGTATTTTTTTCCATGCTCTTGAGTACATTTCTGAATGCTCGCATTACTCTGAACCATTTTCTTGAGAGCTTGATACTCTCAAGTGTCTATCTCATACTGTACTCTAATGTGTTTGCTTTCATATTCCATCTGGATATGTATGTTTTTCCACCTTTGCACTAAGATGGAATTAATAAATAATATATATTGTATCTGATATAATTGGAATATTCTATTTCTAATTTTTAAAATAGACTCACTACTTTTCTTCACTTGTAGTTAGTAGAAGTTGTTCCTTTTCATGTCTTTTTTTTTTAAGAAAAAAATATATATTTAATTTCATAGGTTTTGGGTGAACAGGTGGTGTTTGGTTACATGAATAAGTTCTTTAGCGGCAATTTGTGAGATTTTGGTGCACCCATCACCTGAGCGGTATACACTGAACCCAATTTGTAGTCTTTTATCCCTCACTCTCTTCCCACCCTTTCCTTCAAGTCCCCAAAGTCCATCGTATCATTCTTATGCTTTTGCATCCTCATAGTTTATTACGAATAACCATAAGACTTCTGAATCTTTTAATGCCACTCAAGAGAGTCCTCACACTTTAGCCTAAATTACTGGGATCAAAAGTGAATCAGACATGGCATCTGTTTTCACAGAGCTCATAGTCTAGAAGAGGAAAGGAATGCATGAAAAAACTAGAGCACAAACCAGTGTGCTCATAAGCACCATTTGTAAGTTCTGAAGTTTTCATCAATGCAATCAGTCATTTTAGCAGCTTTCTAGTTAATATTTGTTCAGCTCACCTCCCACATTGCATAAGCATTCTTAATATGAGTGTCTGCTTTGAGAAATTAATACTTGGGCAAAATTTTCATCCTCCAAACTGGGGAGCAGTCCCCTAATTATGTTTGTAGGTATTTTTCTCATGAACTCAAAGATGTATTTTTGAAGTAGATCAAATAAAATTTAAATGCTATATAATATTACAAGACTGAAGCAACTATGTGAACATTTCAGTAGACATTTGCCTTTGAAACTTCTATATTGTCCATGAGTTAAATTGTTCCCCCACACAAAGTGTCAAATAAATATATATAAATCTATGTAAAGCATCATGGAATTTTGGGGAGGCTCACTGGGGAGATAAGCAGGATTGATACATAGTGACTCCTGGACACTTTTTTTCCTACTGTCTGAAAACAAGCTAGCTGGGATGCAAAGCTTATTTTTACTGAAGCATGGGGCAGAAACTAGACTCAAAATCCCCCAAAACTGGGGACCCTATCTTTCCCATTCAGGGTACTTAGTGTTTCCCAGACACTTCTCCAAATAATTGGCACCTATGCTCTTGGTACCAAATAGTCTGTTTTTTTCCCCACTGGCAAAGTCACTACCTCAGTAACCCCATATAAAAACTCAGGCAAAAAAGGGAAAAGCTCCACACTAGCCACACCACCCACTGAAGTACAAACCCACAGTATTTTCTGCCATTCCCCAGCATGCTTCCACAGAAAATGCCAGCAGGTCAAAGAAAAGTTACCTATAGACCTTTCTGTAGGTCTCCAGCCTGTCCTCAGTGACACTGTTATCATCCATGACAGTATCATAACAGCTGTAATCCCCAAACTGGGAATATTCTTTAATACCAATGTCTAGGTAAATATTGCTGGATATAGCGAACATCATCAAGAATGTATATCCATACAGGCGGTCAAGTTATATGGCTCTGGCTGTTTTAGCTCTCAGCCTGAACTTATTTATTTATTTATTTATTTATTTATTTATTTATTTATTTGAGACAGGGTCTCTCTATGTCACCCAGGCTGGAGCACAGTGGCATGCTATCAGCTCACTGCAGCCTCCACCTCCTGAACTCAAGCAATTATCCCACCTGAGCTCCCTGAGTAACTGGGACCACAGGTATGAACCGCCACACCAGGCTAAATTTTTTTTCAATGTTTTGTACAGACAGTGTCTCCCTGTGTTCCCCAGGCTAATCCTAGGCTCAAGCAGTCCTCCTGCCTCAGCCACCCAAATTGGGATTACACATGGAAGCCACTGCACCTGGCCTTAATCTTCTTAATACCATATTTGCCTGGTGTTTCAATGAATTGGTCATTTAATTGCAAAAAGTTTTTTAATATTAAATTCCAAAAAGGGGCAAAAATGATGTTTTAATCTTAAAGTAATAAAACTAGAAATATATTGTATAAAAAATAAGGCTAATGAGATAATAGCTTCAGAAAGTTTTGTCCGAGGATCACAAGCTACTCACCATCAGAACGAATGCAATCCACGAGAGTATTTTGACTGGCTGCAGATATTTTAAATTTTTCTTTCAAATGGAATGACTTGGTGAAGCATGCCATGACTATTATGCCTAGTACTTACCACAGCCTATGGCAACATCTTTCTCATTACATCATACTGTGGTCTCTAAAGGCAACTTAGTTTATGAACCCTAGTTTGCATTATTTGTCTTTAAAAGGTTTTGGGAGAAAAAGACATTAGCGAATATGTGTAGAAACTCCAAAGATCATTTTTTAAACATAGCTAATAAAATAAAATATAGATGTGCTTAAAATTTTTAAATCAGTTTAAGCATCTATATGAGCTCTTCAGTTCCAGTGCCATCACATATCTGACAAAGAGTTGGTATAGATGTCCCTGAAGCAGAAATCTATTTCCTGGGATAAAGTATCAATTTTTATAATAATTCTCTCATCAGGCAACTTCTCTTTACTAGAAATTTTGCATGTGTTTTTTTCCATTATGCAAACAAAAGAAAATCAGGCAGAATACTTCAGCAAGTGAAAGGAACATTACTACAATGTTCCACGTTGAAAATTAAAATATTCGAAGTACATATCAATCACCGTAGATTTAATTAACATCTGATCAGTCTCTTAATGTCTCTCCTTTTGGTGACTTTTTATTTTTTATAACAAATAACTTCAATTATCTTCAAAATTTTGACCAAATTGAGATTCTTGTAAACTTAACAACAGAAGAGTCAAAAAGAACAAAAAATTAACCAGCAACAGAGATTCTATTCAAAGCCAAAGGGCCATTCAATACCAGCAGTAAGAACACATTTAGAGAGGCTAAGACTAAGGTAAATACATGAAAAATCGTCTTTGAATTAAATCAAGCAGAACAAAGCCAAACAATACAGTTTTCAGAATGTGCACCTGAGAAATGCAGCTTTTATAATTTTGATCTGGTTACTTTGAAACAGCAAGAATGCTATGTGGTTATCTATCTCTGAAGAGCCAAGCATCCTAAATTAGACATCATTTATGCATTCATATACTCATCATCCATCTATCAAATATTTATTGAGCACTTACTATGTGTCAGACACTCTATCTGCAAGTGTTAGAGATAAGATCCTCAACAAAAGCAAAGTCTGTTCCCTGATGAAACATACATTTTAGTGGAACAGAAAACAATTACAATTAAAACCAACTTTTTAGTAATGTTGTTTCAGATAGGCATACATGCTATAAAACAATGAACAGGGTGATGTAACGGAATCGCTGAAGATGAATTAGCTTAATCTGGATGGTTGGGGAAGCCTTCTAAGAAATGTATATGTCACAGGGCTTCTCAAACTTGGATATGCATGTGAGTCACCTGAGCTCACTGAAATGCAGATTCTGATCGAAAGGTCTAATCTAGAGCCTGAGATTCTGCATTTCAAATGAGCTCCCAGGTGATGCTGAAGTGTCAGTCCCTCAGACCACACTTTGAATAGTAAGGATTTTAAATAACAAATGAGAATGGTAAAAATAATTGTGATAGGAGCTCTGTTTCAATAACAATTGCTTGTAGGGGTTTGGGGAAGAAACGGAGATAAGCCCACCTTTCTTTCCACATCATTTCCAGTTTCGTCTCACTTGTTTCCTTGGAGGTCCCCTTGTGGTATAGTGGAAATATATAAGCTCTGAGACCAGATGGCCCTGAACTTTACCCTGTCTCCATCTCTGCACAGCACCGAGGCATTGGGCAGTTCACTTTACACTCTAAGTCTCATTCTTCTACATTGTAGGATCCTGGGATAATATGTCTGGCATATAGAAAATAATCAATACATGATACCTTGACACACACTCTAGATTGCCTGACCCAATCTCATTCCAAGACTCTTTCTCTTTTGGCTATTTCTATTTTAGAGATATAAAAGCTTAGGGAAAAAACCCAAACCTTGATTTATTGGCATTCCTTGGAGCTAGAAATGGCCATGGCCACGTGACAAAGTTATGGTAAATGACATGTTGACAGAAATCTCTGGAAGGAGAAAGAGGCAAGGGGAAAGACATTCCTTCCTACAAACAAAGGAGAACCCTCATAGAAAGAGGCCCTTGGCTTTTGTCCTTCACTCTTTTTATTGTCTGCACCACAGACATGAGTTCTAAAGGTGCAGCATGCATCTTGCAACCATCAGGTGACAAGCAAGATGAAGAAAACCAACACATAAAGGACAGCAGAGCAGAAGGGCCAAAAGAGCCTGAGTGCCCACCAGTATTACAGAGCCACTGTTCCTAACCACGGGCTGCGCAGTCCCATGCTCTTTGAAATATGAGGAAAATAAGCCTTTACTGTTTAATCTTGTGTTAGTTAGGTTTGCAGGTTCTTGTAGCTAAAGGCAATGCACATATAATTGTTTAGAATAGCTGTTTATTATTTTATTTCTTCTGAAGTCACTTAGTAATAGGCAATGGTATCTGCAACACAAAACTTTTACCAGTGTAATTAACAATGCCAACCTGCTGCAGCTTGCCACTTAGACAACCAAGAAATGCCACTGCGTTGGAATCTTGATTTGTATTACCACTAAAGATAATGTGAAAAGCTTCACACATCAACCCCTAAATTCTCAAAACAAATTTGAAGTGCTCACTTTTTAGAAATTGTAATTGAAATCCCCTCATTCTATGATAACTGATGTTGTTATCACATAATGAATAAGCCAGCATCAACCAACATTCCAAAGCAAATCTGGGACACTCAACAAGAAATAAACAAAAATAATTTCATTGGGCTCTGTGCCTGGAAAAACAAGGCATGTATTATTATACTCAACTGGTTTGAATGGAAAACCAAATTAACATAATGAATGAACTGCTGTGAAAAATGTTTGGAAAATTGACACAAATGCAACTGAGTGCAGAGGAAAGGAACTTTTAAAAGACATTAACCACTATCACACAGGTGAGGGCAATTGAATACAATTAATTAATAAGAAAGTATTTACTCAGTTTCTATTATGTTTAAGGCAATGTAGGAAATGCAAAGAATGAAGCCCTATGCCGGTTTCAAGGCCCATAATGACTTGGGAATGACAAGATAACAGAATCAACGAGACAGAAAGTTAACAAGGATATCCAGGAATTGAACTCAGCTCTGCACCAAGCTGACCTAATAGACATCTACAGAACTCTCCACCCCAAATCAACAGAATATACATTCTTTTCAGCACCACACCACACCTATTCCAAAATTGACCACATACTTGGAAGTAAAGCTCTCCTCAGCAAGTGTAAAAGAACAGAAATTATAACAAACTGTCTCTCAGACCACAGTGCAATCAAACTAGAACTCAGGATTAAGAAACTCACTCAAAACCGCTCAACTACATGGAAACTGAACAACCTGCTCCTCAATGACTACTGGGTACATAACGAAATGAAGGCAGAAATAAAGATGTTCTTTGAAACCAATGAAAACAAAAACACAACATACCAGAGTCTTTGGGACACATTCAAAGCAGTGTGAAGAGGGAAATTTATAGCACTAAATGCCCACAAGAGAAAGCAGGAAAGATCTAAAATTGACACCCTAACATCACAATTAAAAGAACTAGAAAAGCAAGAGCAAACACATTCAAAAGCTAGCAGAAGGCAAGAAATAACTAAGATCAGAGTAGAACTGAAGGAAATAGAGACACAAAAAACCCTTCAAAAAATCAATGAATCCAGGAGCTGGTTTTTTGAAAAGATCAATAAAATTGATAGACTGCTAGCAAGACTAATAAAGAAGAAAAGAGAGAAGAATCAAATAGACGCAATAAAAAATGATAAAGGGGATATCACCACCAATCCCACAGAAATACAAACTACCATCAGAGAATACTATAAACACCTCTATGCAAATAAACTAGAAAATCTGGAAGAAATGGATAAATTCCTCGACACATACACTCTCCCAAAACTAAACCAGGAAGAAGTTGAATCTCTGAATAGACCAATAACAGGCGCTGAAATTCAGGCAATAATTAATAGCTTACCAACCAAAAAAAGTCCAGGACCAGATTCATAGCCGAATTCTACCACAGGTACAAAGAGGAGCTGGTACCATTCTTTCTGAAACTATTCCAATCAATAGAAAAAGAGGGAATCCTCCCTAACTCATTTTATGAGGCCAGCATCATCCTGATACCAAAGCCGGGCAGAGAAACAACCAAAAAAGAGAATTTTAGACCAATATCCCTGATTAACACTGATGCAAAAATCCTCAATAAAATACTGGCAAACCGAATCCAGCAGCACATCAAAAACGTTATCCAGCATGATCAAGTGGGCTTCAACCCTGGGATGCAAGGCTGGTTCAACATACGCAAATCAATAAATGTAATCCAGCATATAAACAGAACCAAAGACAAAAACCACATGATTATCTCAATAGATGCAGAAAAGGCCTTTGACAAAATTCAACAACTCTTCATGATAAAAACTTTCAATAAATTAGGTATTGATGGGACGTTATCTCAAAATAATAAGAGCTATATATGACAAACCCACAGCCAATATCACACTGAATGGGCAAAAACTGGAAGCATTCCCTTTGAAAACTGGCACAAGACAGGGATGCCCTCTCTCACCACTCCTATTCAACATAGTGTTGGAAGTTCAGGCCAGGGCAATTAGGCAGGAGAAGGAAATAAAGGGTATTCAATTAGGAAAAAGGGAGTCAAATTGTCCCTGTTTTTAGATGACATGATTGTATATCTAGAAAACCCCATTGTCTCAGCCCAAAATCTCCTTAAGCTGATAGGCAACTTCAGCAAAGTCTCAGGATACAAAATCAATGTACAAAAATCACAAGCATTCTTATACACCAATAACAGACAAACAGAGAGCCAAATCATGAGTGAACTCCCATTCACAATTGCTTCAAAGAGAACAAAATACCTAGGAATCCAACTTACAAGGGATGTGAAGGACCTCTTCAAGGAGAACTACAAACCACTGCTCAATGAAATAAAAGAGGATACAAACAAATGGAAGAATATTCCATGCTCATGGGTAGGAAGAATCAATATCGTGAAAATGGCCATACTGCCCAAGGTAATTTATAGATTCAGTGCCATCCACATCAAGATACCAATGACTTTCTTCACAGAATTGGAAAAAAATACTTTAAAATTCATATGGAACCAAAAAAGAGCCCGAGTTGCCAAGTCAATCCTAAGCCAAAAGATTTGGCTGGAATCCTCCAGCCAAAAGCTGGAGGCATGACGCTACCTGACTTCAAACTATACTACAAGGCTACGGTAACCAAAACAGCATGGTACTGGTACCAAAACAGAGATATAGACCAATGGAACAGAACAGAGCCCTCAGAAATAATGCTGCATATCTACAACTATCTGATCTTTGACAAACCTAACAAAAACAAGAAATGGGGAGAGGATTCCCTATTTAATAAATGGTGCTGGGAAAACTGGCTAGCCATATGGAGAAAGCTGAAATTGGATCCCTTCCTTACACCTTACACAAAAATTAATCAAGATAGATTAAAGACTTAAATGTTAGACCTAAAACCATAAAAACCCTAGAAGAAAACCTAGGCAATACCATTCAGGACATAGGCATGGGCAAGGGCTTCATGTCTAAAACACCAAAAGCAATGGCAACAAAAGCCAAAATTGACAAATGGGATCTAATTAAACTAAAGAGCTTCTGCACAGCAAAAGAAACTACCATCAGAGTGAACAGGCAACCTACAGAATGGGAGAAAATTTTTGCAATCTACTCATCTGACAAAGGGCTAATATCCAGAATCTACAATGAACTCAAACAAATTTACAAGAAAAAAACAACCCCATCAAAAAGTGGGCAAAGGATATGAACCCACACTTCTCAAAAGAAGACATTTATGCAGCCAAAAGACACGTGAAAAAATGCTCATCATCACTGGCCATCAGAGAAATGCAAATCAAAACCACAATGAGATACCATCTCACACCAGTTAGAATGGCAATCATTAAAAAGTCAGGAAACAACAGGTGCTGGAGAGGGTGTGGAGAAAGAGGAACACTTTTACACTGTTGGTGGGACTGCAAACTAGTTCAACCATTGTGGAAGTCAGTGTGGCAATTCTCAGGGATCTAGAACTAGAAATACCATTCGACCCAGCCATCCCATTACTGGGTATATAACCAAAGGATTATAAATCATGCTGCTATAAAGACACATGTACACGTATGTTTATTGCGGCACTATTCACAATAGCAAAGACTTGGAAACAACCCAAATGTCCAACAATGATAGACTGGATTAAGAAAATGTGGCACATATACACCATGGAATACTTTGCAGCCATAAAAAATGATGAGTTCATGTCCTTTGTAGGGACATGGATGAAGCTGGAAACCATCATTCTCAGCCAACTATCACAAGGACAAAAAACCAAACACCATATGTTCTCACTCATAGGTGGGAATTGAACAATGAGAACACATGGATACAGGAAGGGGAATATCACACACTGGGGCCTGTTGTGGGGTGTGGGGACGGGGGGAGGGATAGCATTAGGAGATATACCTAATGTTAAATGACGAGTTAATGGGTGCAGCACACCAACATGGCACATGTATACATATGTAACAAACCTGCATGTTGTGCACATGTACCCCAAAAGTTAAAGTATAATTAAAAAAATAAATAAACTAGCTTTAATACTAAAAAAAAAAAAAAAAAAAAAAAAAAAAAAGAAGTTTGATACACCGGTGCAAGAAGGTTTAGAAAGATGACTCCAGCAGCAAGGAATAGAGTGTTTTAAGGGAAGGACACTTACTATGAACTAAAGTAGATCAGGAAAATCTGACTATACAGAAAAGAAGTGGGATTTTCATGATGAATAGGTGACAAAGATATATTCCAAGTGAGGGAAAATTCTCCTGGGTAAGGAGAAAGAAGAGTGTGAGCTGAAAATGAACAGGGCAGCTTGACTTGTCCCAAAGTTTCAAAAAAGTTAGAAGGTGAAATGGTAGTTAGAAAGTCGAATGTGGGGCTGGGCATGGTGGCTTACGCCTGTAATCCTAACACTTCAGGAGGCCGAGGCAGGTGGATCACGAGGTCACAAGATCGAGACCATCCTGGCCAACATGATGAAACCCCGTCTCTACTAAAAATACAAAAATTAGCTGGGTGTGGTGGCACATCCCTGTAGTCCCAGCTACTCAGGAGGCTGAGGCAGGAGAATCACTTGAACCCGGGAGGTGGAGGTTGCAGTGAGCCGAGATTGTGCCACTGCACTCCAGCCTGGCAACAGAGCAAGACTCCAACTCAACAACAACAACAACAACAACAACAACAACAAAAAGTGGACTGTGGGGAGCTTATTAAGCTGATTCTTAAATAATTTGAACTTAAAATCTACTTACTTGAGCTAAGAGCATACAAGAAAGTGCTACAATTGTGTCTCCTTAATTTTAATAATGTGATGGCCCAAAGTGTTGGAAAGTTAGTAAGATTCTCATTATTGGCTTTCTCTCCCAGCACTCTCTTGAAACTGCTTTTAGCAGCAATCCTGTAATCTTTCAATTAAAAAACCCAATGGGCACATCTCTGTCCTCATCTGACTTAATTTCTCTATGATGTCTGGTTCCGTTTTTCTCTAATGTCTCACCATTATTAATCTATCTCCTTTAATGATACTCTCCTCCTGGTTCCTCAAACGTTAGTATGATCCAGGGTCCTACCCTTGACCTACTTCTTTCCTCCCTCCTCTTGAAGTTTTTCTTTAGTATTCCTAAAGAATCTCACCTATGACCTTTTTTTTTTTGCATTACCATCAATATATTGATGGCTGTCAAATCTATGCCTTCAGTCCATAACTCTCTCTTGATCACCTGACCCTCATGTCTATTTGCCTATAAGACATGAATAGAAACCTCAAACAGTAGACCCAATACTGAATTCATTAATGTTCCTCAGAAACTTATTTCTCTTCTGCATTTACCATCTGGATTAAAGTCATTAATTATGTTTGCTAGGGCTGCTATAACAAAATGCAGTCAGCCTTCTGTATCTGCGGGTTCCACATCCACGGATTCAACCAAGTGTGGATCAAAAATATTCAGAAAAATAGTGGATGGTTTCATTTCAACTAAACATGTATAGGCTTTTTTCTTGTCATTATTCCCTAAACAATACAACACAAAAATCATTTTCATAGCATTTACATTGCATTGGGCATTATAAGTAATCTAGAGATTTTTTTAAAGTATATGGGAGGATATACAAAATATTACATCATTTTATATGAGGAATTTAAACATCAGTGGATTATGGTATCCTCAGGATGTAGTGGAACCAATCCAATGACACCAAGGGAGACTGTACCTCAGACTGAGTGGCTTAAACAACAGAAATTTATTTTCTTACAGTTCTGGTGGTTAGAGATTCAAGATTAAGGTTGGTTTGGCAGGTTGGTTTCCTGAGGACTCTCCTTGGCTTGCATATGGCTGTTCTGTTCCCATGGTCAGCAGTCCCTCTGTGCATTCACACCGCTGGTGTCTCTTTGTTTGTTCTAATCTCTTCTCATAAGAGTCAGACTGGATTAGGGGCAACCCTAACAACTTCATTTTAACTTAATTATTCAAAGGCCTCAAATACCGTTACATTCTGAGATAACTGGGGGTTAAGGCTTCAATATATACATTTGGGAGTGACACGAATCAGTTCATAACAGCCCTTAAACCAGAAAGAGGGTCCCAAAAGATCTCGTTTTCCTTCATCTCTTATGTCAAGGCCAAGCTGTTCTAACTCTGAAATATATCTGCATACCACCTAAACTCCTTAGGGTTGAACTTCAACTTCATGACTTTTCTTATGAACAAAGGTCAACTACTTGCTGTTTCATCACCTAAAATTAACATTCTTTCCTTTCAGTCTTACTCCACACACAAATCATCTTTCACGATTTGCTTCAATATTATTTCTCCTGTGAAGTTCTCCTTGACTCTGCTCTACCTCTTGCTGACCCGCTCTATCTTGCTTCCTTGTCTGAGAAGAATTTATTATTTCTGTCATTCTACTGAACATACTGTATCGCAAAACTGGATCTGTGTCCACCATAAGATTACGAGCACTTTGCCGAGGGCAAGTGAGGGAGAAAAAACATAATGTAGGCTCTGAGGTTGGGCTGCATGAGTGTAAATCCTAGGTTACCATTTTTTTTTTTTTTTTACTATGTCAACTTTGTCAAGTCATTTAAATTCATCAATAAATGGGAATAGGAATAATACTTATTTCACAGAGTTATGAGAAGTAAATGAAGTCACCTATGTGAAGCACTTAGCATGAAGCAGAGACTCAATAAGAGCTAGCTATTTTTATAAAAACTTATAGAATATAACAAACATGACCACATCTTTTATTGAGCATATTCTATATGCCCTGTGCTACGTGAATTGCATATATTATCTCTTATAAACCTATAACAAATGTAGGAGATATGTATGAGTACCTCATTTTATAGATGAGGAAACTCAGTTCCTGAGACAGTAGCAGCTTCTAGAAGGACTAACAGCCAAAATTTAGTGGAAAGGATTTAAGCTGAGACTTAAGATGTCTCCAAGCATATTGTCTCCATTTTGACATCTCCAAATGCGAATGCAATGCTGGGGTCAGAGTGGCTGCTCAATAAATATTTTTTGAATTACTTAATATATTATTAATCCACTTTTAAACTTACATTAAATTTTAAATATAATTTTTAAAATGAATTTAATTAAATTAATTTAATTTTAATTAACTAAAAAAATTAAAGCCCCCTGCTGAGGCTATTTTCCTTCACTCAAAGGAAACAATTCCCTCTGAACCACTCCAACCAAAGGCCCTCCGTTCTCAGCCCTGTGAATGTTTTTCTTAATCCTTCCCCACCATCGAGGACCTGGTGTCCAAAAAAGACTTTGCCTACCCTGGCTTCTTGTACTAAGTAGACATTCCCTTCCTTTCTTTTTCTTTTCTTTTCTTTCTTTCCTTTTCTTTTCTTTCTTTCCTTTTCTTTTTTTTTTTTATAAAAAGGACATATTTAACTGCCAGCCAAGATTTCTGATCAGCAACAAAAGAACCTCAATTGCCAAGCTGATTGACATATAAATCCAAATTTTATATCAAAGTATTTCCTAACTGATACCGAAAGATATAAACAGGGCCTCGTATTAAATTCACTCCATAAGTAACACTTGACATGAACATAGAAGTAAGTGGTGTACACACTATTTTTGGAATAGAAGTAAACTATGTGCCAAAAAAGAAGGTAGTTTTAAAGGTGGTAAGAACCATCAGAATCCTGCTGAAGGCTGTCTCTCTCTTTCTCTCTCTCTCTCCCTCACACACACACACACACACACACACACACACACACACACACACACCAGCAGATCCACCAGCTGAAAGCTATTGTACATACAAATAGTAGTTTGAATTTTGTGCTCATCTTCCACCAATGCTGTCCATCGATAAAAGGCCTATATTATATCCCACACCTCATTAGCCACTTCTATAAAACAGGTTCTTCCTCATTTAAATAAACTCCCCCAAAACATAGAAAAATGATTAAAGTATTTTTAATAGAAGTCCATGCCATTTATATCTCTTAAATGAAGCCCATCATGTGAACCTCAGTATTAATTAATTTAATTAACATGAACCTTATTCCTACAACTTAGATGAACTTTAGTGATGCATTTGCAGAAGGTGCAACACTGGGTCATGTCATGCACTCATTTAGTTTTTTTTAATGTTATGACATAATACTGCTACAGTTACATGGTGACATTTTAATAATCAAACACTTATTTGGAAGCTTTAAAAATATCATATGTTAAGGTGTGTCTTTCCTGCAAGACATGCCATCAATTGGTAAATTTTAAGGTGTTTTTCTCCATTAAGGGCAGGTAAAAATATTTTTTTTTCTTTTTCTTTATTTCTTTTTTTTTTTTGAGACAGGGTCTCACTCTGTCACCCAGGCTAGAGTGCAGGAGTGAATCACCAGTCACTGCAGCATTCACCTCCTGGGCTGAAGTGATCCTCTCACCTCAGCCTCCCAAATAGCTGGGACTACAAGTGCGCACCACCATGACCTGGCTAATTTTTAATTTATTTTTTATTTTATTATTATATTTTTTTTGGTAAAGACAGAGTCTCCCTATGTTGCTCGAGTTGGTATCAAACTCTGGGCTCAAGCAGTTCTCCTGCCTTGGCCTCCTAGATTGTTGGCTATTTTTAATTATCATTTTATAACCATAGTGACTTACAACAGTTACTCTGTCTTTCTAAAAATACTACATACTTCTATGGGACATTTATAATAAGGTAGCAATAGAAAAAACTGTTCTTGAGTGTTCAGTATATATTAGAAGTAATATTTTTATATGAGATAATGTTGAGATAAATATATCTAGGGACTTACTAGCAAATATTTCAAAAAATTAAATCATATTTTGCACAATATAATTAATGTTAAAAGTGTTTTGTTGATATTTTTTATTTAAATCTTGCAAGAGATAGTCTTTACATTGTACATGTTCCCTAAGCAAAATGAAAATATTATTGAGCACAATTTAATACATGTATTGGAATACAAATGTTAACACCATTTTAAGATAGAATTTTGGATTACTTTGTTATTGGTTGCACAGTGTTCAAATTGATGTCCTTCACTTCCAAATGACAGGTGTAATCTTTCAAGTGCCAGCAGCTCTACTAGTGCGACATGCTAGCCTCTCTCTGCTCCTTAACTTAGCTATTTCCGGGAAAAGAAGAAGAATATAATTTGATTAAGTTTGGAAGGTGATATGGACATGTATAGGATGACCCCTTTGTCTTCTCTCTCTTTAGGGAGCAACTGTTCTGCTCTGGTTCTCCAGACATTAAGTTACACAGTGAGAGGCTCTGCTTTGTGACTGAGGGGCAACTTTGCCTAAAACTAGAGCTCACTAGAAGGAAGCCCACTTGGAGGTAGACATATTTCATGTTTTCCTTTATTAGTTTCATCAAAAATAAAGGTGATATTTTGGTCTCCAATCTACTCATTTTTCTTTTTCAGCTGATTCAGAACGTGGATGGCAAAAATGAGTATTTTTATTGAGCTCTCTCAAACTCTAAATGAAAAGGTATACTTCACCGCTGTTATTCACTGCAGTCCACCAAGATGGGGATTTCTCCCCTAACACGAGACATAAGGAACATGAGACAAAGATAATTAAGGAATTTGTATAAAACCATTAGGCATGGTCCTCATATTCCAAACAAGTCAGTTAAAGGTTAATCAAACTGCCTTCTTTCAAGCAAAAAAAAGTCATGTATTTCTTTCTAAGGATTGTGTTATATTTCTATTTATCCACACATATTTGTGAATGTACATAATATGAATATATACTTACATGTTTGAATAATTTTATTCAAAGGATCCTTACCTTTTGTGTTTCTATCTTACAAAGAAAATATTAAAAGCAAAAACTATACACACCAATTTTCATACTTATCTTTGTGGAACTTACATTGGACAGGTACTATGCTTGCTCTAAAATTCAAGCAACTTTAATTTTAATATGGCTCTTCCCTTGCATATGTAAAATACACTACATAATTTAGTCATGCCAATATACAGCAAAACAGACATGCATTTGCAAGGCTTTCAAATGCTAGAAGTGAGAGCACCAAACTATCATATCTGTTCATTTGGGTTGTCATTTCAAGAAACATAATGTATTGAAAACAATCACACACATTTTAAAAAAGAGCTGGAATAAAAGAGTCCATTCCTAAAAAGACATAGCTGTTGAAATGTCAAGTAGCTGATTCTAAAAAAGAACTTACTACATAGAAATCCACAAAGGATAATTGCTTTTTCTCTGGTGACTAGAATCCTACTTTGGTTTAAAACAAATAATATCAGCAGTTTTTCAGTGTTAACTTTTGTCAGCTTATACAAAATGCAAAGAATTTCTTAATAAATTATAACCAGAAGATACAAGGTAAACAACACAAATTCTCAGACTCCTTTAAAGATAACTGAAAAGCTTGTTTATGTCTTAAAACCAAGTATTATATTCTTATATACAATAAGGTACAGGATTCACATTTGTTTGCAACATTCTATTCTAACAACCACTAAGCTAGAGTTCTTAACTTTGTACATAACTACACTTCGCACATCTAAGTTTTGAGCTACAGCAATCTAGAGGAAATGGAGAGATGTATTTTAAATCACATCCTCCTAAAGACACTTATCCCATCCATTAATTTTTGCCTAATACAATGAAGTGGTGTTAATCCTTACATTGTGATAAACTGTTTTCTCATCCTCCTCATATTAGCATAGGAATATGAACTTCTAGTTCCTGTCAAGTGTGTCTTTATTATAAAGACGATAGAATGTAAATGCATGTGAGTCTGTGATTTGGAATATGCACCAAATGCTGACTGCTAACAGTTACGAATATTTATCAGTTGCTGTTATTAAAAATGCATGTTTTTCTCCAAGAGTTTTTAAGTAAACAATTTCAAAATGTTACTCCATCTGTCAATGTTTTCTGAAAACGGTACAAACCTTCTTTTTTATCTTCTGGAGTAATCTTCACTTTTGTATCTGTTATATCTTTGAACGAGGCCAGAAAAAGTACTACATCTCCTTTTTCATTCTTTATGGGAACAATATCCAGTAGGCACCAAAATGGAGACCCTGCAACAGTAAAGAAAAAAAAATACAAATCAACCATTGCCTTGTGTTATCTCTATGGAAATCTCAATCATCAATAAAAAATAAAGCCCTTAGTGTTTTCTTCAATCCCACAACTCCCTCCATCTTAAAAATGTCAGTTTTCAGGTTCCATAAATTTCTATCCTATATACATCTCTCTTCATTCCAAAGGAAATGCTTTTTCTGAAAATAAAGAAGTATTTTAAACAAAAACACTTGTCTGTGCTGAGACATTTCTGCTTACATTATTCAAACTGCATTTCCTCTTTGAACTCGTTGATGCTGAAGCATTCCACTTTATGAGAGATTGCCCCTTCCCACCCCCAGCACACACTCGTTCTTCAATAAAGACCTTTGTTTGGTATGAGTTTGCCAGAGGTTTATTTAGTCAATTTAAAAATCAAAGCTTGCCCAACAGAATGCTAAAATAAAAAAGGTGAAAAGTATCAAGTTTTGGGGAGCGTGCACAGCCACTTAAACTCTCATACATTGCTGGCTGATTCAAATTAATACATCTACTTTAAACACAGGTAGTATTAAAATTTAGTTTCACAATACAACATTATACATCAGCGTGAATGAGTGACTTACAATCATTTGAAACCAAATAGATGAATATCACTAATATAATGTAAGTAAAATACGTAAACACAAATAGAATGCAATAAGAATTTGTTTACATTAAATACAAAAACAGGCAGAACTAATCTATGATGTTAAAAGTCAGGTTAACGGTTACTTTGGGGAAATTGTGATTAGAAAGGCATTCAGGTCTGGGAGTTGTAGGATGCTGGTCAAGTTTTGTTACATGATCTTTATGCTGTTTACATAGGAGTGTTCAGTTCTTAAATGCTTACATGTATTTTTCAGTAAGCATGTCACATTTCAAAAAATATTTGAAGAAGAAATAATCAAATTCCATTCAATTTTTGAGCAAAAAACCATGAGAAATGTCATTAAGATTCAAATTCAAAATATAGTAGCCAAATGGTACTGCCTAAAGCTTATATTTTCAATGTTTAAATATATTTTAAAATATGTATTTTAGAAATATGTAAAAAAATCTTGCACTGTATTTCCTACTGAAAGGCATTCTGGACAGGAATATTTGAAAATGATGATAAAGTTGTTGTTGCTTAAAAACTAAACTATTAATCTATTCATACATAATTTTCCTTCATTTTCTTTTGATGAGGGGAAAAAGACTTCAATACTGTGAATTCTTGTCTTATTTGGGTGTTGATTTCAAAGTCAGGGTATAAGACAAAAATATGAGGGTCAGAAATATCCCTGATATTTTGAGTTGTCTTGCATACACTGTATTAGACCTCATAATTTCCAACACAGCTATGTATTCATCCAGCCTTGGGATCTATCATTTTTTTCTGCAGTTAAACACCAGGTGAAGCCACTAATTTATATTTAGGAGCCATCTGATATAAAAGTCTTATTTTATCGTAGCTGCTGCTGTATTTGTTTAAAAGAATGGTTGGATGATGTATGATGTGCTGCTCTCATAAGTTACACATGGAATATAAAATATGCTCGTTCCTCTGTATTCTCCCAATAGTTTTAGAGTCATGATTTCCTCCTTATTTTTTTTTTTTTTTTAGCCCTATGGCATCCCATTTCATTCATCTGCCCCAATATCTATGCCATGGCAATCTCATTTCAATAGCTCATTACCAGGCTCTAGAAGACCTGGGATCTAACCATGGTTCTAATACTAACTAGCCATGAAACGATAGGGAAGTCGATTAACCCATCTGGAACTTGGTTCCCTTCATTGTAACATTGTCACATCCTTCACTCCAGTAGTGAATACAGTGACCCCAAAAATGCTGAGACAATAAATCAACTCAAGTGTTTGTGATTCATGGAGAAGCCTCATAAATGAGCCATACCCATAGCCAAACACTGCTATCCTCGTCATCCCAGAATGGTTCTTAATTGAAATTTTATCTATGGTCACCATTTCAGACTGGGAGCCTTTTTCAATGCTGTAGCTATGATAGAAACAAAAAGAGCCATCAGGCTAAACTAATAATCAGACCTTAGAGAAAGTAATAGTGGGGACACAAAGAACGGTATGAAATCTGACATTTTGGTTGACATTTTAAAGCACCTCTCTGTCAATTACCTTGCAAGAACATCACCAAATCATAACCGAGGCTATTAATTTTCCTGAAAATCTTCTATCTGTGTACTCAGACAAGTATCATTACTGTCTCCAAAGAGCCTTTGCATAGGTGCACCAATATATTTTGGAAAGAGCCAAAACCACATGAGGTGAAAACCAAGGAAACAGCTGTTGATATGGCAATATTCACTGATCAGCCCTTGAGGCACAGCCATCATTTCACATTATATTCTGGAATAACTGAAAGTTTACTTTGAGATTTGTCTTTTAAGTTACAGTGATGTGATCACTAACATTTTATAAATTCAATAAAACTTCATTACTTTGGATCTTTCTAAATTCAAGCTTTGGAATGATTTTACATGAACTAGGCTGATGTCTACCTTCCTAGTGCCTATATGACAAAAAAGTTTATGAGAGAAACAGTGTAAAGGGCATAAAAACTATTTCCTTCCTTCCCTCCCTCCCTTCCTCCTCCCTCCCTCCCTCCCTTCCTCCCTTATTTCCCTCCTTCCTTTGTTCCTTCCCTCCCTCCCTCCCTTCCTCATTTCCCTCCTTCCTTCCTTCCCTTCCCTTTCCTTCCTTCCTGCCTGCCTTTCTCCCTCCATCTCTCCCTCCTTCCCTCCCTCCTTCCCTCCCTCCTTCCTTTTTTCCTTTCAACTGTCCCTCCAGATTTATCCACACCAATAATCTTACGAATATTCAGGTATATTTATGCTTTTCTTTCTCAATTTTAGAAGAACACAAAGCATATACCAACTGCATTATCTTCTAGAAAGATAATAGATGCCAAAAGCTACCAATCATGTTCAATGCAAGACTCTTTATACTTAGCATGCTCGCTTATCCTTTGCTTCTCTGCTTTCCTAAATCTTTCCAGCAAGCCCTCCACCCTGCATTTCTAATGACACCTTTCACCTCTTATGAATGCAATAATTCAAGACTATTCTCCAGGATCTGGCTCTTCCTCTCTTACCTGTGGGCACAATGATCAACTCTTTCAGTCAAGAGCAATTCAGGCCCAGTGCAACAAATCTCTCTTAGGGTTAAGGTGGGAGGCTGCAAGTCCCACAGCCTCAAATTCAGAGATGTGAATGATAAGAGCAGAGTCAGAGGGCAGACATTTCATGAGAATTTTAACTCCTTCTTTATATAGCAGCAGTAATTACCATGTGGGTTGGAGAGTGTCAACACAGATGAGGCTCTGACAGGATTTAGGTTAATGACACCTTTAATTTCTATGGATAAATACAATTGTGGAGAGAAAACAAGGTTTTTACCTTATATGGAAAAATCTATTTTTGGAATTGAATAGTTACACAAAAGCTTAAATCTGGTGGAATGTCCCTTGTCTCCATTTTGGTACTTTCTTTTTCTTGATTGGGAAACAAGGATGCAGGATAATTTGACTTGCTAATATTTTTGTGTATTTCTTTTTATTGAGGTAAAACATACATACATAGTTTACCACCTGTGCCTTTTTGTTTTTTAAGAGAAAGTCTTACTCTATCACACAGGTAGGAGTGCAGTGGCATGATCACAGCCTACTTTAGAGTCAAACAATCCTGCCACCTCAGCCTCCCAAGTAGCTAGGACTACAGACGTGCACCACCACGCCTGGCTAGTTTTAAATTTTTCTGTAGAGATGGGGATCTCCCTATGTTTCCCACGCTGGTCTCAAACTCCGGTGTTCAAGGGATCCTGCCACCTTGGCCTCTCAAAGCACTTGAATTACAGGCATAAGCCACCATGCACAGCCCATCTTTACCATTTTTAAATATACAGTTCAGTGGTAATAAATATCTTTATAGATATTTTTCCCTTCATCCCCCTGCCTCCCCTTCCTAGTCTAGGGTAACCAACAGTCTACCCTCTATCTTCATAAGAGCCACTTTTTTAGCTCTCAAATATGAATGAGAACATGCAATATTTGTCTTTCTGTGCTTGACTTCTGTCACTCAACATAAGGGCCTCCAGTTCTATCAATGTTTCTTCTGCAAATGACAGAACTTCATTTTTTATGGCCAAATAATATTCCATTATGTATATATATCACACTTTATCCATACCTTGATGGGCACTTAGGTTGATTCCATAACTTGGATATTGTGAATAGTGCTGCAATAAATACAGGAATGCAGATATCTCTTTAATATATTGATTTCCTTTCTTTGGGATATATACATGGTAATGGAATTGCTGGATTATATGGAAGTTTTATCTGTGGGTTTTTGAAGACCATTCCATACTTTTCTTCATAGTAGCTGTACTAATTTTTGCTAATATTTATAATTATTAGAGAACTCATATGCTTTCCAGACAGCACTAAAATATATTTGTCAATAGATAAAAACTCATAATAGCTAACTAATAATAATGTTTCTAGTATGGGTTCATGGTTTAATAACTTAATACAAGGAGGTGCAGGTATAAGGAAAACTGAGTTGTGAGTGGTCCCACTCTCTTTAATGACTGTGCTGTCATGATGGGAAATAGTGCATTGCTCAATATAACACAATAGGTCAAAGTGAGATATGGACACATTTGATGTTCTCTTGTTTCTAATATCAAGCAGGATTTTGAATAAATTTTTAATGATAAATACATAACATCTTTACTTTTTGAAATTATAGCAACAATAACATAATATCCCAAGGGTTAAGAGCATCAGGGTTATGTGACCTAAACATTTCCAGGTGTTCCTCCTAGTTCACATTAAGTCTGATGAGTCTTGTTCTCTACAACCATTGTCTCAGTGCTACTTAATGATAAAATAACAGGCTTGCCAGTTTTTAGAAATTAGTCCAGAGAAAATACATACATGTATACACACACACACACACACACACACACACACACACACATATACATATTGGGGTGGGAGTGGGGAAAGAGCTGCAGGTGAGTAAACAAGGCTGCTATGAATTGTGGCTGGGTGAAGGGACACTCATTTCTTCAGCAGAAAGAGTGGGGCAGTAATTCAGTCCTAACTGAATCTACCAGAAAGCTCCAAGTTACCCCTCCACTTTATTATATTTGCTACTGTTTTGTTCGGTTTCAGTCATCTCTTGCCCACTTTTCCAAAGTATTCTTCCTGCCTCTAGTCTTCCTCCCATGCTACTGCCAACAACCTTTGACAATACAGGATCCCGATTAAAAACACCTGACGGCTTTTCACTGTTTGCTCAAATCAGCACAACATTCCAGACTCTAATCAATATGGAAAGTGTCTTTCAAGGGACTAGAAAATACGGGAATGTGATGGACGTGCAAAGAGGTGAACTAAAAAAAGGTGTCATGTTAAAAAGGAGGGGAATGTTCCCTGGAATACCCAAAGCTGCTTGGCAAATAAGTCTCTACAGCATCGTCACCAGCCCTTCCTGATGTTTGTACTATACTAAGAGATGAAAGTAATGGTTCTTTAGAAAACATGAGGTAAAAGCTTCACCTTATCTGCAGTGAACATTTCTTCCAGGGACCATCTATCTACAATGCAGCTCATATAGGCTGCAAGTCTTTGCTCAGTCCTCACTGAATTTACGTCGGGTCAATACCCCTCCTCCAAATGCCCCAGGATACTAGTGAGCCAAAGTAAATGGCACTGGTTTCCTGACTCCCTGTGTAACAGTGGAGGGCAGCGTGGGGGGTAGACAGGAGATGAACTGACACAGCTGGAGAGCTCCCTGAACTGGGTGGTGGCTAAGGATACCCTTCATTTCAATGTTTAATGAAAAATAAAACACACTGTGTTTTAAACTTCTTTTTGCGTTAAAAACAGATGGGTAGAATACGCATACTATATTGAGTTGAAAAAACACTGGCAGAATAAACATAAAATCCACAATGGTGGATTGTAAATTATGGTTTAATTTCCTTTTCTTTTCAGCATCTTTATTTTCAGGTTTTCTAGAATAAGCATGAAGAAATATATAGTAGGATTCTGTCAACTCCAGTGATTTGAGGTAGAGATGTAAAGAGTTCAAGACTGGAGCAATAAGAATGATGAGATCATATTTCTGGGGAATAATTTTTTATATATTCTTGATAATTTAAAATATGTTCTAATGGATACTTCCATTTCAAACTTTTGAGAAAAGTGCTATGTTAAGTCAGAATATCTGACTGAGAGAGAGAGAGAGGGAAGGGAAGGGGAGGGGAGGGGTGGGGAGGGGAGGGGTGGGGAGGGGAGGGGAGGGGTGGGGAGGGGAGGGAAGGGAAGGGAAATCAAGTTATGATTAACTGATTGAAACGTGTCAAGTTTTTAATCCTCTTTTCATTTTGATCCAAGTTACCTTTCTCCTTAAATAAAAGTACTTTATTCATTTCCCAGGTGTATGTATAGCCACCTCTCAGAAATCTCTAATAATTAGGAACAAGAGGAGCCTGGAAACTTCAGGTGCAAAAATATCCCCAAGACATGATTTAGTCAATACATCCAACATCCTTGCTCAACAAATTAACTGGGGTTATTGACCAGTAGAACTAATACTTGCTTTAAGAAAACCAAATTGGTTCCCATGGTAAACACAGATAATTCTTACCTACAGTTGAAAGGAGTTTCCATGTACAGTTAAACACAAATTCAGCAGCGATAGTTTTATAGTAGGAAATGGAACAACTGAGTACAGTCCAATGAGAACTGGAGATAAAGAGGCCCTGAAAACAACACACACAGCAAGGACCTAGTGATTGCTGTATTCTATTAAGAGTGTATTATGTGCTAACATTGTACAACACGTCTTGCATGTATTATATTTAAATTTCCCACTGATCAACCTGATCAACATTTTACTGCACTGAACTATATTTTACAATTATGGAGATTGAGATGTGTAGTATTTTCTTCAGGTCACACAACAGTCCTGTGAAGAAATGGAATTTAAACACAAGTCTGAGTTTGATTTTCTAATTTTGCCTTACTATTAATGTAATATTCTGGGAATGATCCTCTTCTATGGACAATGTTTTAAACATTGAGTTTCAAGTCAATTTAATTCTCCTTTCTACACATACTATAGGACACGATTATATACATGCTCTAAAAAAATCCTATTTTAAATGAAAAAAGTGCAGTAAAGCCTTTTTATAATAAAAAGAATTTCACTCTCAAACCAGGAATAAGAGTAGAACCACTATTTAAAACAAGATTCAGCTATTTTAGTTTAAGACTGAAAAACATCCTTCATTAAGGTATATGTGGCGTTAATTTTTAAATTTGCTTGAGTATCCAATGAGACTGGGATCAGAAAAACACCACTGGTGCTGCTGCCAGTCCCAGGTTGAGACAAAGAGAATGTACTTATACAAGCTTTGTGATTACAGTATCTAAGTGTAGTTACCTAAGCTGCTAACATATGAGGCACCATATTCTGACCTCATTCACAAAGCTGCTGCATGCTTCTGCCTCCCGGTATGTTTTTGCTTCTTGCTCTCTTAGGAAGCTTCAGAAATGGTGATCTGTATACCATGGCAGCTCTGTGTAGGATGCAGAGTAACATTCCCTGGATTCATCTGCTAAGACTGAAAATAGCAAAGAGAACTAAGCCCCAATTAATGTCTGACTTATGGCTCTATCTTTTCAATGATCCTCTGGAGAAAAGAAGGCCACATGTGATGGACAATTGGTAGTGAGCAGACAAATGTCTGATCTGACAGGTTTGGTTTCATGATTGCTACTTCTAAGCACTTCTTTGTGAGAACAAGGCACTGAAACAAACCCACTCTCTTGATACTTTTCTTTAAGAAAAGCAATTTAAGATTTCTTCAAATTTGCAATTGTTTAGTGAGAAATAACTTGCTTTAAATGAGAATTTGAGGATTAAGTTAACCCTCTCTAATTGCACAAGGCTTTAGTTGGAGGAATCTATGGCCTTTGCAGAGCAATGAGAATAATTGTTGGTTCCAATAAACATAACGTCTGTATGAACTCAACATTGTTATGAGGATCTGGGACTCTGGGATTATCTAGTTTAGGATCCAAAAGAAAACATTTGGAAATTACATTGCAAGCAATTGGACATAAAGTTATTCATTCATTCAGTGGATATTTATTGAGTGCCTGCAATGGCAGGCACTATTGTTAACTGTTTGGATACATCAGTGAACAAAACAGAATAGATCTCTGTCTTATCCCTGAAAGGACGTATATTCTAATTGGAGTGAAAAACAATAAATTATAAATGCAATATATAAGCAAATTATATAGTTTATTAGAAGGTCTTAAATGCTATAGGAAAAAAGAAAAAGGAGAGCAGGGTAAAGGAGAAATGTAGGAAAGTGTGGGAGAAGAGGCTATAGGATTGTAGCATGACATTCTTAAAGAATTATTCATGAAAATGCCACTTAATGTTGCTTTTGAATATTAATGAACTATTTGTGTGTTATTCCAGGTCTTCTTAGAAGCAAACTATGAGAAGACCATGATGCAGTTTTGATGTCAAGTGAAGGAGAGAAGAAGGAAGAAAAACTGGATGAAAGGAAGTGTCTAGATTGCAGCACAGTTCTAAGCAGTTCCTCATTTCCTAGGAACAGACCTGTCTTAGCAACCCTGCCTCACTCAATCATTGGCTAGAAGCAGCCCATGAAAACTTTGGCTGATCCGGTGATGCGTTTCAGAGCACCGCAGCTGGGGCCATCAGCCAACTACTCTCCTGTAATCACAGACAGGACAGGCACATTCTGAGGTGACATAATTAGTATAGTTTACCTCTCATATTTTTGGCAGAATATCATCTATGCCCCCTTCTTCTTGTCATTGTACCTCAAAATTTTACTGGGAACCAAACCTCCTTTCTGCATGCAGCCTTGGTAGAACCATCTGGTGCTCTGCAAACCCTCACTGGAGGAATGGGCAAACCATCCAAAATGAAGCAATCAGTCTTTCTCTTCTGGTAATTTTAATCTTGATTTGATGAATCCAAGGTCAAAAACAAAGGAATTACGTTCATTCAATAATGAAGCCAGGAAAAACCTTTCCAATTATTCTTGCTACCTAGAACTTACAGAACCCTACTGCTTTTTGTCTTTTTCAAGGTTCAGATTCTCATTAATTTATTTGATTTGATAAGTTATGCCATATATTTTTCAGTGAATTATTATTTTTGCTTAAGATGATCAGAACAAATTTGTGTTACTTCCAAAGAACACTAAATACAAAACTGTATCTTTAGAAAAGAAGGGTCAAGATGTAACAGGAACATGCAGGATTTAGATGGCGTTGCATGTGGTCAAGTCCCTGGATTCATCTTCTGAGACTGGAAGTAACAGTCATTTACTTTGCCATTTACTTGCTGAATATTCTCAGGTATAATTTTACACCTGTTCATACCACATCTGCATACTGGTTATATGGCTAATTCTCATGGTTAAGAGCTTTGAGGAGGCCAGGGTTAAGAGCTGTGAAGTATTATATGCATTTTAAATAGTTATATAAAGTAAGGGCTTTACCTGTATATGTAATGCTTCATTTATTTAACCATAAAAACAATCATGGACAATTATGGTTTAGTTTTAATATATCTTAAAGTTAGGTGGTGGTGTAAAGTGGATATTTGTTCCAATAATTTCTCCTTTGTGTATGTATGAAACATTTCATTGTTAAATGAAGGAAACACATATCATACTCCACTTTAAAAATGGAGAATTCAGTGTTTCTTTGAACATCTAACATAATATTAAGTTGAAACATACAAAGGCATTTCAGATTGCTCGAGTTAAAAAAGATCTTAAAGATGATGAGATGGAACTGTTTATTGTAAAGATGAAAATCATGAGTTCAGAGTGGTTCAGTAAACTGAAGTCAAAAATGCTAATTGTTTTAAGAGTTGGGACTAGACCTCAAATCATATGACTCTCAGTTTCATGAGCTTTCTGCCAAAACACAGTGCATTTCAACACATGTTAAAAGAAATTACCAAAGGAATCATTATCACAGGAGTGAATGATCTATTTTTGATATATTAAAAAGGAAATATTATGGTTCTATATATTGCTATTATTTTTTTGATAACATAAGCTAGGACATGTAACAAATTCAACTTTGACCAAGTCCTTTTTAAGAAATTAGTTTCAGATTTAGAATTTGTGTCTAAAAGGTTAGACAAATGCAGTGAAATGAATGAAAAATACATCCTATGTAAGAAAGCAGAAATATTGAGACGAGAATTTGGAAATAAGAAAAGAAGTAAAAAGAAATGGTTAAGGATCTCATGACAATTCTCCAGTGTATAAATATATGATTACAGTTTTAGGTGGCAATTTAGCACTTTCCAAGAATATGCAGACAACAAACATACTGAACATTTCTTCCATTGTGCAAACTCAACTCTTAACGAAGACTTGTGAACACTGTGCCAGATTGCCCTGAGTCACAACTTGGCAGACATGTGAGGCAAAACAGACATCTTCCTCAACTTACTGCTTCTCTCCTAAAATAAAGTGGGCACCTCACTAGAACTTGAGGCCAAAACCTGGTGTCCAGGTAGGCATCACTGTACTCAGACTACTCAGGTGAGGTATCAGCACCAATAAGCTTATCCTTGCGTTACTCACCAGACACCTGCTCTAAGACAGAAATCGTTTTGTGAAAAATAAATTTGTGCAAAACATTTTCCCATATGATTACAGGCATTTTCCTACAACAGAAAAAAATACATTTTGAGACCATATGTGTCATTAAGAAATGAAAATTCAGAATCCTTCTAAACTGTGAGGGTTCCAATTGGGTATGCAATCTAACAGATTTGGTTATTCATCTTCAAAGGTCAGCAAACTTGTTCTACAAAGGACCAGAGACTAAATATTTTTGGCTTTACAGAGCATATGGTCTCTGTCTCAACTACTCAACTTTGCTTTTGGAGTAATAGACAATACATTAAAAAATGAGCATAGTAAAACTTCATTTAGAAAAACAGGCATCCTGCCAGATACAGGTCATAATTAGCCAACATTTGATGTAGAAGCCTAAAGATTACTGTACACTAGGAATTAATTCTTGATTCTTTGGAGATTTAAGAAGACTATATACTACCAAAGTATTTAAGAAGCACTATTTGTTAGTGTAAAAATCATATAGACAGTTTTCCTTGAGAAGGAGCCTAGACTATGTCATAGTGGTGTCTTGTAAAAGATCATCCAATCAGACAACACTGTTTTCCTAAATAAAGGCTAGACATTTTCTTTCCAGTTTGATATTGAGCATATAATTAACTCTCCTTCACTTGAAAAATAGGGTTGGCCACCAATGGCCTAGAGGGATCTCTGATAAGGCTTTTACTTTGAAATCCATGAGCGGAAGCTGCTTTGGGAATTATGGCACTGAGTAGGAGCTTTCTCAGCTGCATTACAAAGCGAAAGATATGTAAATCATGAGTCTAAAGAAGTGAAATGGAGATTGTGGTCTGAGTCTACACAGAGTCAGATCAAAGCAACTAGAAAGTTAAAAACGTGAGAAATGTCCACTCTGGCTGTCTCTTATATGCATGAAAAAGAATAGGTACCTTTAAAAAATCATTATAGACATTATACAGAGTGTAACAATCTTAGGTGGTCAGCGACTTTTTTAATCTCAAAACACATTCTGAGTTTAATGTTTCTCCTTTTAATAGTATATTATCTTAGTAGCATTTTTAACAAGATTTCTTTTACTGTTTCACTCCTAGTATAGTTCTGAAAAGGTATTTTTTTAAAAATAGTGGAACATGATGTTTCAAAAGATAATTTGGGGGACTCAAAATTGAGAAATTTTGGGAAAGTAAAGACTTAAAGAAAAATAGCTCTCCTTATCATAGAGGATATGAGCTCTCCAGTGATAACTTGCTTATATTGCCAATGGGTTGAGATGGTCCGAGTTATAAGTTATTTTTTTCATCTGAAGTCATTTTTTATAATGATGCTTCTTAGATCTCATCAACAGTGCTCTGTGGATTAGTACATGCTTAAACAAACAAACACACGTAAACCAAAATCCACACCCTAGTCCTTCATCTTCTCTAATCTCAAAACAGATATATCTATACACACAACGAAGTATAAAAAGTCAGATTAGGTGGTTTCTTTAGATGCACAATTTAGAGTCATCCTTGATGCTTCCTTCTTTCTCATTTCCCAAAGTAAAGATATTGCCAAATCTTGTCAATTCTAGCAGCTAACCTCTGAAATTGGTTTTAAATCCATTCACTCTTCAGTCTTCACTGGCTACATCCTGGACCAAGCCATGGCTTCTCAACCTTTAGTGAGCATCAGAATCACCTGGAGTGCTTGTGAAAACACTGAGTGCTGGGCCCCATCCCCAGATTTGATTTGTAGGTCTGGGTGGCACTCAATAAATCCCAGGGTATGCTGATGCTGCTGGTCTTCACATCACACTCTGAGTAGGACCTGCCTTAATGACCATCATCTCTTATGTGGATTACTCATATGGCAGCAAAAATGTTCTTTGTTAAATGAAATTTTCATCATGTGACTTTCCTGCTTAAAACACTTTGACTGCACTAAGTTGACTCTCAATAGCCTGAGAATAGTCGACAAAATCCCAAGTGATCTAACTTGGTTTACCTACCTTCTCCTATGTGATAAACAGCTATCTGCCCTCCAGCTAAACTGGCCTTCTCTCCGTGTCTCAAATAAGATAGTCTCTCCCAGGAACTTTGCATACGTGGCTCTCTTTGACTAGAATGCTTTCATTCTTTCCTCCATGTAGTCAATTTCTACTCATCCTTCAAAAGTCAACTCAAATATAATTTCCTTGATGAGGTTTTCCTTGAACTCCATATTTGGTCAGATCCCCCTGTTATTCTCTACCATAGGAGCCTGCAACTTGCCTTCAAACTTCCTAATATGTTTGTGTGATTATTTGATTAGTCATTCTCTCTTAATAGACCATAAGGTACAGGAGGGCAAGGTTTATGTTTTCCCTTTTCTTGTATTCTTACGTGCAAAACAGAAGGACTGACCCAAACATAACAGGTATTCTAAACTCTGTGCTCAGATAATGAACTAAATTATTGTAAGATGAATTCAAACTTTGTAATAGTAATACTATTGGTTACAAGAGTGACAGTTAACACTTACTGAGCACATATTATGTGTCAGACACTGTGCAAGGCACTTTACACTTCACTTAAGCCTATGAAACAGATGCTATTACTGTTATTGCCATATTACAGAAGAGAAAACTGAGGCTCGGGAAGTTGAAGTTAATTGCTCAAAATCACATAGTTCATAAGGGACAGAAGCCTTTTGGTCTGGTAGATATGAATGTAGACTCTGAGAGTCAATACAACAAGCATTTATGTGTTTCTTCATATTTTCTATAGCTTACTTTCTTTATCCGATTCTCTTAAATGCTTTTAAGAGCTAAATATTTCTGCTTGCTCTTACAGGCAAGATTAGATATTGTAGGGTTAATCAGCTTGGCTAAGATCACCTACAGCACCTTGGTGACTGTGCAAGGACTCAAACTCGAGCCTTCACACACAAAGGTCACATTTTTTTCCATTCTAACCCACTAGAAATGGTTAAAAATGCTTTCTATGATAAGATAATTTTTACTACATTTTTCTTCTCAAATATGCATCTGAAAATGTGAATTCCTTCGAACATCCTGCAAAGTTGCTAAAGGCCAACATTGAACTACTTCTTAGAGAGCTCTTTCAGCCTTCAGAGCTATTTACATGCCGGAGTTTCTAGGTAGAGTAAAATACGTATTCTTTTCACATTCAGAGTGGTCCCATTGTCTCCATCATCAGGCATGGGGATTTCTGAGTTGTGTGCAAGTTGCTGGCATCAGCTGCATTCTAGCGGCTGTCTTCTCAGGTGCTTTCCCCTGGCCTTTTCTTGCCAGCATGCTCAGGGGACACACTCACTTCTCTCAGCTGCCTTTTTTGTTTACCTCCTTTGTGCCTTTATTGGCCCAACCTCCCAGAGGCGGCTGTGACAGACAGGACTGAGGCAGAGCACAGAGATGTCAATGAACAATCCTTCAGACCCCAGTCCACATGCCTGAATTAAAATGCCTTAGAACAACCCGGTCACTTCCCATACAAACAGATGTTAATTTATCAACCCAGCAGAAAACTCCAGACCACCAATCCCTCTCTCTGTGTAAGACAGAGAATTGAAATATGTTCTCTAAGGAGAGAAAAATAAAATATTCCAGCAAAGGAATTAATGTCTAGAAATAGAAAGAAAAGTGAAGGATGAGGTCAGAGGTCTTTCTTGGGAGGAAAGGTAACCATAAAGTTGAAATAGAAAAGCAAAATGAGTTTATGTGAGAATATAGGGAGACGTATACAACATCTCAAGGCTATTCTAACATGGAAGCAATATAGGGCTTCAATTGAAACAGCAAGAAAAACTATTTATTCATTCGCCCATTCAGCAAATAGCATTTACTATATATCAGGAACTATTCTAGGCACTGTAGATAACAAGATTAATATGGTACCAATGTCACCCTCAAACATGCATAATGAAACAGAGATGCATAAAGAGAAAGTTATAACACAAGGTGGTGCCTACTGTGACACATGGAAACACTGTGTGAAACAGAAGGTCATAGTTGAAAGCCTCATAGATGAAATAGGCTTGAATTGAATCTCAATAGTTTTATTAGCTTAATATGAGGATGGAATTTGGAAGTGGGGAGTAGCATTCCTGGCAGGGGGAACACCGAGTACAAAGGCACAAGGCAAGTTAGAATATGGAAGATTTTTTAAAAAACAAAACTATAAAATAATTAGGCTGAAGTCTGGGATGTGCTGACATGGGAATGATGAGAAATGAAGGGAACAGGGAGGACAGAAACAGGGAAGGATGAGTTTAAAGAGATTGTAGGCTGGGACTAGCTCATGAATGGCTTTATATGCCAGAGTGAAGAGTTTTTATTTATCCTGAAAGGCAACGAGGCACCCCTGAAGGCTCTGTCATAAGACAGTAGCATGTGTTTTGTGGAGATGCACACTTGGGGATTGCAGGACACACTTCAGGAAGACAGCTTTGGAGACAGTGAGGAGAAAAGACTTGAGGGTGCAGAACTGGAGGTTGGTCTGCAGATTGAGATGAGTTATTGTAGCTCTGGACCAAAATTGTAAGGGTCTGACCTAAGACAGTGTCAGGAAGCATGAATTTCTGGTGCCAGTGATTGTGTAAATTTGATGGATGACATAGAGTAAAGGCTCATCACTGAAAAATAAAGCACTATTTTAATATAATTGTAGCCAGTCGATATTATAATTATTCATGTTGCTAGTATAGTTTAAGCATGTGTAAATGATGTAAATTTTGTGTTAATTTTATAATTCCTATCCAACTCAAGAGACATAGATCCTCTTAGCTAAGACCTCACAAAACTTTTGTGGGATCTCGTTGAAGATGGATAGATATTCATGGCTTTCTGATAAGGTAAGGGAAAACTAGAAACCAGCCCACAGGCCAGGGTTCAAAGTTAGTCCAGGGCCAAGCATTAGATTCCAGGCTCCTTAATGTGAGGTTCTGAGGATCCAACACTCTGGGAAATGGGAGTAGGCAGGTTCTTCTGGTGGGAAGAATATCAGGGGTGGAAAGAATATTCATTAAATGGTTATGATGTACAAGGCCACCCTCATGGGCATGCGGTCTGTGCAGTCACATAGACTGCATGCTTAGAAGGGCCCCATGCTTTCATTTAACGCTCTGCTGGTGCTGTCTTGAAATTTTTAGCAACTTTTTAACAAAGGCATCTGCACTTTCATTTGCACATTATGTGGCTGTTCCTGATAATGTGTGCTGAAAAGTGGTTATCTCATTTGGCCCTTCATAAGACACCTATAAGGATGATATTGGATCTCTATTTTAGGAAAGATCAAGCTGGGGCTCAAACAAGCAAAGTCACTGAACTAGAATACATACTTACTGAATGTAGAGAGCTGAGATTCTACTCCAAAACTTTCTGATTCTAGCTATTATTGAGCTACTCCTTCTTTGATAGTTTGTCAATCACTCACCCCAAGGGGTATGTATAGTGCCTGGCATGCCTACCATCCCCTGTCATAGACTAAGGGCAGGTGAGGGAGTGTCATGGGCTTCCTAGGTGGAAAGCTTAGGTTTGCCAGGTGCATGAGCATGACTTAGTATTTCAGAGTACAAGGGGTCAGGAGTCAGAATTGCCAGGACTTGGATCCCAGCCCTCCCACTTAACTTCTCTGTGAATCAGGATCTTTAACTGTGAAATATGATAGTAATAGGATATTCCTCAAAGGGTTGATGAAAGGATTAAATTGAAGCAACAACACAGGCAAAGAGCAGAGCACAGAGCTTGGCCCACAGTGAACGCTCAGTAAATGCTAGCTGCTTCTATTTTATGAAGTTGTCTGTGCAAAGTCAGGTAGTTGCTAAGGCTGACTTTGAAGAAGTGAAAGTATGGAGGAATCTAGTTAGGCAGTATCACTGAACACTAAATCTAAGCCGAAAAAGCTAAGCTAAGCAGTTTCTGATGAATGCACTGCGACCTGATCTCTACGTTTGTCTCACTTTCTTCTCATCATTCTGGCTGCAGAGCGTGGGTCAGTGAAGAGCACTTCAAAAACTGGACTTACGTAAAACTCCTGCTCATTGATTAAGCAATTCAACTTTAGTCATGACCATAGGAAAAGAATAGGCTCTCTCAGAGTAGCTTGTTCAGATAGACGAAAAGAAGAAAAGAAAGACTGCCTACATTTACAAATACAAAGCTTATGTGCAAATAGAAAGATAAACGGCAAGGCAGACTCTCCATACAGGCTGCATGTGCTACCTTCAGTGCACGTACTTTCTCAACCCTTTGCCTTTCTGCTACCATGACTTTGAAGTTGTCTTCCATAAATGCATTTGTGAGATTCACCTCTTGAATGCAAAAGACCTAAGAGGCAAATATAAAATATTAATCTCCTATCAAGACTGAAAATATATATTGGAGAATCTTCATAAAATCTTTTGCCAAAACATAAAGAACAATGCATGCTTTCTATTTGAGGGCATGCAAAGTCTCAGGTAAGGCTTCAGATGAATCAAGCTGGAGAAAGCAACTGAGAGTAGTCACAATAATCTGACCCAACATTCTCGAATACACTTAGTTGAAAGAAGCATGGTAACTGTTTGGTGGCCCTATAGACTTTATGAAAACTGCAAATTTTATAAGCTTCAGAACCAAATGCTCTCTTGCCTGTTGCGACACACACACTCGTCCCCAAATGTGTTTCTAGGAAACTAGATATTGAAGTTGTGCAACACAACTGCACATTCTTTGACACTCTTCTTATCAAGAGGTAGAATTTTGGTCTCCTTCCCATGAATCTGAGTGGACTTGTGGCTGCCCCACTAAATATGGTATGGCAGAAGTTATGCTATGTAATCTCCTAGATGAGTTCACAAAAATTCTTGCAGCTTCTGCCTGGTTCATGAAACACTAGACTACCAGACTAGCGACTACCCAAACCCACCATGCTGACGAGGCCTTGCGTAGGCACTTTGGTTCACTGTCTCAACTGATCTCAGCCTTTCAAGATGCCACACATGAGTGAAGCCATCTTATACCTGCCAAACAGGTGCATTTCCCCACTGAACACCATCAAATACCAACCTCTGCTAACTCCACATGGAAGAAGAATTAGTCACCCATGGCCAACTTAAATTCCTGACCCACAAAATTGTAAGATATAGTTATTGTTATTTTAAGTTGCTAGTTCCTAAAGTAGTTTGTCATAACTGGAACACTAGATAAACTGTTTTGAGTTTCCTTGACTCTACAACCCAGTGAGTAAAAATATGGTCATATATATTACACAGGAAAAATATTACAAGGTCTCATATTCAGGAAACCAAGTCTCCCTGGGGCTCTTCACAAGTACTCCTAACACTCAGAGGAAATGTCCCTATAATCTAGTCCTCTTGGCTTCCAAAGAAGTAAGAATCTAAGTTTTATGCTGTCCTCCAGGCTCACTTGGATGCTTTCAGTTGCTGCCAAGGCTACCATTTATATAAGCCTAATGCCCACGGTGCTAATGACTTTAACATTCTCAACAGCCTGAGGAGAACTTTATAAAAAAATATTGCATTTGCTGTTGTATTGCCTTTCTCTTGGCTTGGACTCTGGTTTGAATCAATGGGAGGGCTAGGTGAGAAGATAATTTTGTTTTGCTCAGAATGATCTTTCCTTTCTCCCCAGGTCTCACTCAATCTTAGAATAAACTATCTTTTTATTTTGTGTGATCTCAAGCCTGGTTTCACTAGCTCTTGATAAAATTAATCCTTGGTTCTTTAGACGTGGTGAAATTCTAAAGCAACTACAAGTGTCGTCCACGCTAGGAACTCTGGTATTCACAAAAACACTCATTTGGATACAACACATTCTATTTAAAAGTACATTCTTGCTGTTGTTCATTTATTAAATGGGTGGGCATGACATCTTTTGCTCTGAAATTTGTATGTTAAGTGAAGAACATTCCATATGCAATGCTATGAGCCCATTACCTAACAGCCAAATGGGGAAGTCACATGTGCTTCAAATTTAAAATTGTTATTTTGGGAATACTCTGAAATTTTACAACCCAAATCATTGTCTCTTTTCCTATTTTGAGTTCCAATTCTGAAATAACTAGATGACATAATCAAATATTCTAAAAATCTTCCAGAGTCATATTGAATAACTAAGTGTAAAAAAACTCATTAAGAATATCTTCTTAGTATTAGAAGCAAAATAATGGATGAGAAGGATATCTACACTGAAAGCTATACGACACTGATGAAAGACACTGAAGAGGAGACTAATAATGGAAAGATAGTCCATGCTCATGGATTGGAAGAATTAATATTGTTAAAATGTCCACACTACCCAACACAATATATAGATTCAATGCAATTCCTATTAAAATCTCAATGACATATCCACAGACAGAAAATAATCCTAAAATTCATATGGAACCACCAAAGACCCAAAATAGTCAAAATGATTCTGACTAAAGAAAAAAAAAGGTTAGAAGCATTTGACTTCCTGATTTAAAATTATATTATAAAGCTATAGTAATAAAAATGTAATAGTGCAGGCATTAAAAACAGACAAAGAACAGGGAAACAGAATAGAGAGCCCAGATATAAATCCAAACATATATGGTGAACTAATTTTGACAAGGACATCAAAAAGACACAAGAGGATAAGGAAAATCTCTTCAATAAATGATACTGGGAAAAAAAACTGGACTTCCACATTCCAAAGAATAAAATTGCATCCATATCATACACCATACACAAAATTCAACTGAAAATCAATAAAAAAAACCTAAATATAAGACCTGAAACCATAAAACACTTAGCAGAAAATATAGGGGAGGAAAAGCTCCTCTCCAAGACATTGGTCTTGGCAATGATTTCTTGAATCTTACACCAAAAATTCAGTCTACAAAAGCAAAAATTAAATAAACAGGACTACGTCAAACTAAAAACCTTCTGCATAGCAAGGGAAACAGTCAACAAAATGAAAAGGTAACCTACAAATTGAGAAAAAAAATTTCAAACCACACATCGAAGATGAGGTCAATATCCAAGATTGATAAAGAACATGTACAACTCAATGGCAAGGAAACATATAACACAAATAAAAAATAAGCAAAGGACTTGAATACTTCTCCAAAGATGACATAAAAATGACCAATAGACATATAAAATGGTGTTCCACATCACTAATCATCAGGGAAATGCAAATTAAAACTACTATGCAATATCATCTCACACCATTAGGATGGCTATTATCAAAAAGACATGAGATAACAAGTGTTGGCAGGGGTGCAGAGAAAAGGGAACCCTTCTAAACTGTTGGTAGGAATGTAGATTGGTGAAGCCATTATGAAAAACAGTATGGGGGTTCCTAAATAAATTAAAAATAGAACTACCATATGACCCAGAAATCTGTCTTCTGAGTATATATTAAAAGAAAAAGATATCTGCACTCCCATGTTCATTGCAGCACTAATCACAACAGCCAAGATATGGGACAAACTTAGGTGTCCATCAATATAAAAATTTGATAAATAAACTGATATATATATATATATATATATATATGAATATTATTCAGCCTTAAAAAAGGAGGAGATCCTGCCATTTGTCACAACATAGATGTGACTTGGAGAACATTATACTGAGTGAAATAAGCCAGACACAGAAAGAAAACTTGCATTATCTCACTTATATATGGAATCATAAGCTGAAAAACAGATCAAATATATAGAGACAAAGAACAAAACAGTGGTTAACATTGGGGTGGGGAGAAAAATTTGGGGGGATGCAGTTCAAAGGATACAAAACAGCAAATATGCAGCATGAACAAGTTGAAAGATCTAATGAACAAGAAGAAGACTATAGTTAATAATAGTGTGTTGTACTTGGGATTTTTGCTAAATGAGTAGCTTACAGCTGCTCTTGCCACAGGGGTGGAAGTGGGTAACTCTGTGAGATAATGGATATGTTAATTTGTTCCACCCAGTAACCATTTTACTATATATATATATATATATATATATATATATATATATATATATATATCCTATAGAGTAATACATATATTAAATATACACAATAAAAATGTTTTTAAGTAAGTAATGTTTCTTACTGTAATTATCTGTCATGAATAGCTCATTGTAAAAGAGGAAGGTCATGAAGAAATTTGCTTCCTTTTTATCAGGATCTGAAATCATAAGACTGAATATGAATATACCTGATTCAGACAGCTTATGTGTACACTTGCATGAACATAGCGTGTTGCCCAAATAGTGGTATGAATAATTCTAATGGTACACAAGATTATTTTAAGGGGAAAACATAAATATCTTACATTTGAATATGTACATATTAGTTAAAATGTGTATTTGAAGCTAAAATATGCAGCTAGCATTATCAAATTTACCTTTAGACATGTTGATGGCTAAAATACCACGAGATCACCACGTTTCCCCATTTGTTTCCTTTGCTCTCTCCCCTTTTCTCCTCTTTTCTTCCTATCTTTCACAGTTCTTCCTTCTTTTCCTCTACCCATCCCAATGCTAAAGAAGCCTCTTCAGCCCTCCCTATTTCCACACAACAGTTTTCATTTATTCAACAGCTTAGGTCAGTTTGAGATTTGCTTCATACATATCCAGCTTGTAAATAGAGGTTCCCCCTTTGGAGGCATTCTCCCTTAAAAAAGAAAGGCAGTTAATTATAAATAAATTATTTTTGCTGTAACAAGTGTGTGTGTGTGTGTATGTAAACACACATACATATATGCATATATATATATATGTACATATATATGTGTGTATGTATCCATATATCCATTTCACAAACAATTGAAAACCTAACATATTAAAAAGAATTGGGCTTTTTGGGGCATTTACTATGTCATCAGATAATTAAATTTTAAAATGTAAAAATAAATAAATTGAAGTGCATCAATCTGTAAATAAAATAAGGGACAATGACTGGGGCAACAAATTGGGACCTGTTCATGACATAACATTTAGACCTGTGTTTAAGTCATTTTTCTACATCACAGTTTCCTCATCTGTAAATAGGAGATAATCCATATTTATTTGAAGGGTTACTGGGAAAATTAAATAAAATAACATATATGCTGGTTGGCATAATAAAATTGATTAGGTCTATTATTACCCAGTATACTTTTTACTTTTCTAATTTAAAAAAAGCTTAAAACAAATGTTTTCATTTAATATTTATTTATGTTTGCCTTCTATTTGAAGTTAGTAATCCTGGTTTTGTATTCATGGTAGTGGCTTAGTTTTCTTTTGCTTACAATTTATTTAAGTAAAATGAAACAGTGAATCAGAATAAAGAAAAACATCAAGTAAGCAATAGCTCAGGAGGTATACACACAGAAATGGCAAACCTTGATGGCGACGTGAGAATGAATGCATTTGTGAGTACAGAGTTATCCACAACCTTATCAAAACTCAAGATTCTCTTTTAAAATAAATAGTTGTATTTCCTTTTTTACTATTTAGAAATAAAAATCATCATAACAAAACTTGCCTACTTATACACATTATTTCCAGATATATATATATATATATATATATATATATATATAGAGAGAGAGAGAGAGAGAGAGAGAGAGAGAGAGAGAGAGAGAAACAGAAAATAAAAATGAAGTTATTTACTCTGTAATATATATCTCAACAAGAAATGCTCAGGTATGACCAACTAGAGCAGAAGATATAATAAAACAGTTGCATAATTGGACCAGTATGTAGAATCACTGCAAATGCTACGCCTCTGAGTGCAGAACACCTGAATATGTGCTCCATCAGACCAACAAGTGCTGTGAGCCACTAATAAGATTTTCTTACATGGTGAAATTCTGAATGTGATAAAGTTCAATCTTCACTCACTTACACTATGGTTTTATTTTTGAAAATTCAGTGGGAAATAAATCCTTTCAAAAAGCACTCTGCATGTTAAGTTCAGGATTCAGGTAGTTAGAATCCAGTGTTTCACCTCCTGGAAAGTCTGACTGGGCATTAGAAAGTCATGCAAGAAACTGGACAATTCTTCAATTGCAAGATCATTCCACACATTACAGTATATTTAGCAACTCTGACTCTTGCCCAATAAATGACAAAAGCATTCTCCTAATTACTGAGTCAAAAACCTCCAGAGATTTGCAAACTTCCCTGGGAGATGGGAGCATCTCCACCTCCACAGAGAATCAGTGGCTTAAGAACAAGGACCTTGAAGTCAAGCAAGAATGTTTATGCATTCGGGGTTTTTTATTTACTAGTTTGTAATCTTGGGCAAATAACTTAACTCCTAATCTATTCAACATAAATGTAACTAGATGTTTTAGGTTGAATTTTATCTTCCCCAAAAGATATGTTGCAGTCTAATCCCCAGTACCTCAAAATGGGACCTTTTTTGAAGATAGGGTCTTTACAGAGGTAATCAAGTTAAAAGGAGGTCATTAGAGTAGGACCAAATCCAATGTGACTGATACCCTCATTTAAAAGGGAAAATTTGGACACAGACCATCACATAGGGAGACCTATATGTAAAGATGAAGGCAGAGATCTGGGTGACACTCTACAGGCCAAGGATCACCAAAGGTTTCCAGCAAACCACCAGCAGCAAAGTGAGAGGCACGGGAGAGATTCTTTCTCACATCCTTCAGAAGAAACCAACCCAGCTATCATCTAGAGGAACTACTAGCTTCCGGAACTATGAGATAACAGATTTCTGTTGTTTAAGCCACTCAGTTTGTGGTACTTTATAATGGTAACCCTAACAAACTAATACATCACAATAATATTTTTTGCAGAATTGGGAATATTATTCTAAGAACAACCTTAAATCTTTGTTCTCTACGTTTTTCTTTCCAGGAAACTGATGATATTGCACCTACTAATATGCAAATAGGTTTGAAAAATAAGCTTTCTGTAGAGAGGATAGACATGTTAAGATAAACATATAAAAGCTAAGGCTGGTACATCCAATCATGATGGTCTTTCATGCTATCAGAGAAGACACAACTTGTTGATATTAAAGTTGATATTAAAGTTGATATTAAAGCCAACAAGCTAGAGTGAGGAAGAAAACAAATAGGACATGACATCTCAGTGTGTCCATCTCAGCTTGAAGGATAACGAGAAAGAATAGGGAAAACCAGAGATGATCTCCCACTATGTGGTTTTATAGCTCTGAAGCATGGAGAAATTGTGTTGGATAGCTTTTTCCATATCACTTTTTCTGTAAGGTCAGGAGAGCAATCATAGCATTAAGGAACAAATAGGCAAAGCAGCACAATCACAGAATGTCAAAATGTATCTGGGGAGGATAAGATAAGCATCTGCTTTCTAAAGCATATTAAAAGAAAATGATCCTTGAAGAAAGGAAGGAGGACACTTGAAGTCATAAGCATATTTTTTAAAACCAGAAATCCAGACATATTTTTAAGTACCCATAGGCTAATAATCAATTTCAATTCCCTTCAGCAAGTATTTACTAAGAAACTACCATCTGATGAACACTGTTTGAGACCCCAGGCGTCAGGCACTGGGGATGTAGAAATGTGCCTTCAAAAGCTCACAACTGTATCTGCAGACAGATATTTATATAAATAGCTATAATGCAGTATGATTAGCCTAAGGTAGATGGCAATTTTCAGTCTTGTAACTGGATCAATTAGTTTTCTTAGAATGTCAGGCAATTCCCCATGGCGACTAACTTAAAGGGAACTGGTGCCTTTAATGATTTCTACCCAAGTGTGTCTAAGGCTGCAGAGACATCTGATTAAAAAACTGAGCTCAAGAAATTCTTGCTCCCAACCTGTACGCCATACTTTCTACCTATCAAGCCTATAAGTCTCCATTGTTTGGTCCTGACACCTAGATTCGGATATTGTGAAGAGGCTTAAAAAGAAAAATACTCATATAGATTTGGAGTGACCTACACAAGGTGCCTATCTTAAGAAGGACAAGTCTGCAGTCAGCGGATATTTCAGACAAAGGAAATCCTTTCCCCTTCGTTCCACCGGATGGCAGCTTTGTCACTCCCTGCCAGTCTGCATTCTCAGCAACATCCTGCATTTTCTTTTATCTCAGGCCTCCTTTCAATGATTATGGTATAATTACACAGAGCTGGAATCCTTTTGTTTTATCATATTTGCTATGTAGGCCTTATGTATTGACACTGGGAAGGACACAATGGTCTGAACTGTGTTTTGAGGTATCCTGTCCCAAAGAGATAGTCTCCAATACTTCATAACTACTATATATCCAAAATCCACATCATCAGGGAATATCCTCCAAGGAAAAATAACTTACAAAAGGGGATGACATTTCCATATGCAGCCTCTCCTTCTTGACATTGATCTCAATACCTCAAAGTAATGAGTAAGATATAGAAGCCAGGGATGCTGCTAAGCATCTACACTGCACAGGACAGCCTTCTACCACAAGAATTACTGACCCAAAATGTCAACAGTGGCAAGGTTGAGAAACCCTGTGTTAGAGTACAATTTAAATATTGTTACACAAGACCCCAAAATAAGTGACTCAAACAAGACAGAAATGCAACAAAACAAGATAGAAATTTTGTTGTCTGGAGTGGAAAGTGGATCTGTAAACATACCCAGGTTCCTTCTATCTTGTTGCTCTGCATTTCATTATGTTATTGTCCTTGTCAAATGGTTGAAACTGGTTTTCTAGCCTTGTCTTAACTTTTTCTTTTTAAGGGAAAGAATAAACATCATTGTAATATTGTTACAACAAATAAAACTGGAACTATCTTTTTTTTTTAGAGCCAGTAAATAAACTTTAGCAACATCTTAGCTATTATTGTTTCTATTTCAAATATACAATTCCTTTTCTTCTTTTAATTTAATTTTATTTCATTTTAACTTCCAGGATACATGTGCAGGATGTGCAGGTTTGTTACACAGGTAAACGTGTGCCATGGTGGTTTGCTGCACCTATCAACGAAGCATTTCCCCTTGAAAACCAGCACAAGACGAGGATGCTCTCTCTTACCACTCCTATTCAACATAATATTGGAAGTTCTGGCCAGGGCAATCAGGCAAGAGAAAGGAATACAGGGTATTCAAATAGGAAAAGAGGACATCAAACTGTCTCTGTTTGCACATGACATGATCTTATATCTAGAAAACCCCATTGTCTCAGCCCAGAAGCATCTTAAGCTGTCTTAACTTCTTAATATATGCGTATTAGTTTGCTTAGGCTGCCATAAGAAAATAACACGGACTAGGTAGCTTAAACGATAGAAATTTATTTTATCACAGCTCTGGAAGTTAGATGTCTAAGATCACGGTGCTGACAGGTTTGGTTTCTCCTGAGGCCTCTCTTCTTGACTTGCAGACAGCTGCCTTCCTGCTGTATTTTCATGTGGTCTTTCTTTTGTGTGTGCACACCCTCAGTGCCTCTTCTGCTTCCTATAAGGACTCTAGTCATATTGGATTAGGTCCCCACCCTTATGGCCTTATTTAACACTAATTATCTTTTCAAAGGCCCTATCTCCAAATACAATCATATTGGGGATTATGACGTCAATATACCTACTTTCTAGGGCACAGTTCTGTCCACACCATGGGAAAGGGAAAGGAGATAAATTAGAGAACAATTTCACTTTCAGTTATTTTACCCAGAGATTGCACAAAATACTCCTTCTCATATATCTTGGCCTAAAACTTAGTTACAAGCCCAACCTAATTACAAAGAATGCTGGGAAATATTTTTTTCTAGTTTGGTAGCCATGCACTAGCTAAAACTCAGGGGATTATGTTACTACAAGGGAAAAGGAAAGCTATTGAAGAAAAAATGAGAATTTTGGATACCAGGAAAATAATAGTTTGTTCTAATTTTTGATCTAGCATTTCTCCCATTTCTCCCTCTTAAATTTACCCTAAGTACCAGGGCCCATTTGCTAATGATATGTATTCCTACATAGAACTCAAGGACTGAGGACACCTTACACACCCCTAGATCCTCTTTGATTCAAAAGAGAGTCACAAAACTGCAGCCACAAGAAAAGACCTAGTATTTCCCCAGAGGCAGTTTGGAGCCCAAGAAAATTTACTCTAACATGAGATGCTAAGTGTCTCCTGTTTTGTGTTTAGAATTTAAGAGCATAGTGAGAAAGGCTCTGTGGCTAGGTAACCGGAAAAGAAAATGCATATGCCAATTTTTTTTTTTAACTGACTTCCTTTTTTGCAGGGAACACACAGATCTCTGTCTTTAATGACTGGAATTGAGATGTAGTTCTTTAAAGGCATAAAATTTGAGAAATACTCCTGGATAAAAGTTATTAATATACAAATAACTATTATACATAACGTATATTTTAAGAATTACCAAAATATAATAGTAACGTACTTTATTTTAACATATATTAACTCAGTTAATATATGTTAACTATTCATTGACATTGAATAGTTATAATTCTAATTCAAAATTTCTAGGCAGTTTATGCTGCTTATGGTTAAAACAAGGCTATCATCCAAGTCATTTGTGGAACTTCTGTAACAGCCTGCATGTATGTGAAATGCCATTAAGCCTTAATGGGAGTTGCGGAGCAATTACTAGGTTGAAAGAAGACGGCCTCTCACTACTCTCCAGTGAGCACGAAAGAAAGCCAACTCACCGTTTTTCTTGTAGAACATAATTTCTCCTTTGAATTCTGTTTTCTCCTCCAGTGACTTTTCTATTTGAAGCATCAGTTGCTCATTGGTTTCAACCCCAAATAAGAACTTGCAGCTACAACTCTTCTGCATGACTTCAGTTCGGGCAAATCCAGCAAGCTCGCAGAAGCCATCGGAACAGTAGACTATGGGGAAACCCTTAGCCACCTGGGCATTGGCAAGGATGAAGTTGCTATCTATAGAAAAACAAGGAGAAGATACTCAGCAACTAGATAAGTGTGAGAATTTATACACAATTCCTGTATAAATTATCAGCATATGTGTTTAGCTAGCTGCCAAAAGGCACATTCTGATGTGCTGCAGTGGAAAAGAGACACTCCAAAACATAAAATGGACTTGACCAGCAGAAGTATGCATTAAGTTCTGACTTAGGCTTGCATTTTGAAACACACTGTGGAAGAAACATACATGTTCACTGGTCTGCTTTGTGGCACCTACCATCTAGTTGGCAGTAAGGGATGATGCTTTTGATCATGGCTTCTGGTTTCATATACTGAATCTGCCATGTAATGTATAGGTGAATTTGAAAAAGTTACTCAAGAACTCTAAACCTCAATTTCCTTAAATCTGCTTTCCCCAAAAGCAAATTCTGAGACTAAGATTTGAGCATAATTAGTTTATTTGGGAGGTGATTCCAGGAAGAAAGCAAGTAGTAAATTGAGATAGGGAAGAGACAAAAGATAATAAAGGGTAAGTTAAAAAGGGGTTCACCACTGTGGGCAAAATACATGGGTCCTGAAATAATTGTGAGGAGTACAACTAAAGGTTGTCCCACAAAGGGGAGAGAAAGCAGAAGTATTTATCCACTAATGTCCACACATAATTGGTTAAAGTTCACTCCTGGGATGTCAATATGTTGACACTTCTGACCTACCCACTTAAGCTAAGTGCACTCTCCAGAGATCACTCTGGCAGCAAGATGCCAGAAAACAGTGGTATATAAGGAAATGGTCTGGATACGATCTCCAGGTGAGTCTAGGTGATATTGGCTGGGCAATGACAGGTATGCTACAATAATAATAATGTTATTTACTTCATAGGTGTGTTGTAGGAATTAATGAGATTATGCATATTATGTGCTTAGTGAAGTGTCTGGCACAAACAACTACTCAATAAAAAATTATTGTTAAGAGTGCTATTCAGGCTGGGTGTGGTGGCTCAGGCCTGTAATTACAGCACTTTGGGAGGCCAAGGTGGGTGGATCACGAGGTCAGGAGTTCAAAACCAGCCTGGCCAATATGGTGAAACCCCATCCCTACTGAAAATACAAAAATTAGCCCGGCATGGTGGTGGGCCCCTGTAATCCCAGCTACTCAGGAGGCTGAGACAGGAGAATCACTTGAAACTAGAAGGCGAAGGTTGCAGTGAGTCAAGATCGCACCACTGCACTCCAGCCTGGGCAACAAGAGCGAAACTCCGTCTCAAAAAGAAAAAAAAAAAGAGTGCTATTCACGTATTTATGGTTGTAATATTAACACAAAAGACTTAGAGGACAATCAAAATAGTAAATTATTAAGTAATTAGTAACATTAAACTATTATTAAGTGCTTAGAAATAACTCCTGGGGGAGAGACAGTCAATATTCAGAGAAGGTTTCCATGGGATAAATTTTTTGAGATTTAATTTGAATATAATGTCGACAGAGAGAAAAAAGATGCATGTTGGAGATGGGGTTTAAGATAAGGCATTCAAAAAATGTGTTGGTGGGTGACTTTTAGGTTCACTATGAATGAATTAGATACTACTATCAAATTAATCATTCATTCATACAAGAAACAAATGTTGGACACTTGGTATACCAACAGTGTTAGAGACTGGGATTTTAAAGATAAAGATAAAAATGAAAAAACTACAGGATAAGCTGTTAATTTGTTAAAAAGCAAGATTCAGTATAGTATGTTATTATATGAGCTATTTATCTGAAATAAATACATATATATGCACATGTGTATGCATACCAAACATGAAATGTTTTTGTATACCTAAAAATAAATGGAATCTGGTAATTGTGTTGTCTCTAGAGAGAGCAACTATAGGCAGAGGTGGGAAAACACTTATTTTTCCCATATACCCTACTATACCTTTTGAATTTTATCCCACATGCTTTATATATTGCCTATTCAAAAAACAGTAAGTTTAAATGAGGTTTGCAGCAGACAGACTATCTTTCCTGCCATGGGAAAGAAGGTACTCCAGCTACTTCTTGATGGCCAGCAGGAGAAGCACTGAAAATCTATTCCATGTGTTTCTCCATCTCCTTTTAAGCTTTTGTTGTTTGTTTCCAAACATAGTCCACCATCGGCTGGCAGAACAAAATCCACACTACTCAGCTTTGCTCCAATCAGCGCCTAACCCCAGAGTACCAAGTGTAATGTAAGCATCAGCACCCTGCCTCTGCCCAGCTGGCTCTTCTGCCTTCCCAGCCACTCTCCCCCTCTGAAAGCATGAGCTAGAGACACACACCGAGAAACTCCAATTATACATTGTTTTGAGGCCACAGGAGTGAGGTGCATTACCCTAGACTCATAATTAATTCTCTCACACTTTGCAGAATCACTTATTGACTACACATTGTATGTTGGACTTTGTTTCAGGTGTGGATGCAAAAAGTTCATTAGATGTGGTCCCAGTCCTTAACGATCGCATAGTCATAAACCTGTGGGAGTCTCCAGAGGGGGGCACCCTCCTACTGGGGTTGTGGTCTCAGTCTCATCAACTCGGCACAGCTTTGGGTCACTTTAACAATAGTGTGTGTCTCTCCCCAACTCCATTTTGTAATTTTGGCTGGAAGATTATTTAGAAAATGTAAATACATAGGATTGACAAAGTACTACACATCCTAAAAAAAGCTTTTAATGCACTTTCAGAAGCCATTTTTCAGTTGACTGCTGACATGTTTATTAACTTTCTATTATATGATAATGCCAGGTAACACAATTTTACCAGATGGCAAGTCCTAGAGTGAGGTGACAGGAGGTATTTAAAGAAGAATAAGCATGATCTCTAGCTCTAAGATATTGTAATTTAATTAAAGAAATACATGTACATAAATAACACTAAAACACATCATATAAGTACCAAATCAGTGGTCCACAAATAATAGGTACTACTAGAGCTGAGAGATCAAACATCTGGGCTTTGAAATGGTTAGGTTGGAATAAGACAAAAATAGATCGAGATGGTCTATCATAAGTCCTAGAATGTTAGAAGCAGATGCTTGGATGAAGTAGGCTCAGAAAATGAATACGGAAACAAGAATTGCAGGCAGAATAAACATTTCATTTTATCCTAAAGTCCAGTTCTTAAACTATATAGATACAATAGCTTTCTTTGTTAGTATTTGTCTAGCATATATTTTCCCATATTCCTACTTTCAGGGACTTATGTTTTAGTATTATCTTGCACATGGCATATATCAAGTTTTATTTTAAGTGTAATAGAAAAATACATTCTTCAACCTAAGATTGATATATTTACTTTTATTATTATAAGTATATTACATTGGGTTTTTTACCAACTTAATTTTTGCATTCTCTTCACTATGTTTTGTCATTTTGTCTTTTCTATTTTTTTTTCTTTTTTTGAAAGAAAGGCTGGAGTGCAGTGACACAATCACAGCTCGCTGCAGCCTCAACTTCTTGGGCTCAAGTGATCCTCCCACCTCAGCCACTAGAGTAGCTGGGATTAAAGGCACACACTACCACACAGATTTTTCTCTGTAGAGATTATACGTTAAAAATTCACACCTGGCTAATTTTTGTAGAGATGGGGTTTTGTCATGTTGCGTAGCCTGGTCTTGAATCCTGAACTGAAGTGGTTCACTCACCTTGGCCTTGCTGGGTTTACAGGCATGAGACACCATACCCAGCTTGCCTTTGCCATTTTTAAAAATTAGGAAATATAGGATACCCCATAAAGACTATATAATATTATTAAACAATAATAAATACCTGTAGATCATTCATGCAGTGAAAACCCCTGGGTATACCATACAAATTGTATTTCCTTCCTTTCCCAAAGAAGAAGCCCATAACTTGAATTTTTGTAATAATCACTCACATTTATGTAGTTTTCACCCCTTATGTATCCTCAAGCAACATAGTGCCTATTTTTAAATATTTAGGACATATTTAATGATGCTTCATTTGGTATATTTCTTAGTTACTTGCTTCATTTATTAATTTCCTTAGCATCTTTATAATTGTTTATGAATATAAGAAAAGACCAGTCCCTCAGAGCTACAATAAACTTTTGACAAAAGATGCTGAAGGATTCACTGAGTTGACTGATCTGTGTGTTTCAATTAAGGATTATAGTGTGTTTGAGGTGGTTAATTCTTTCTGCAAATATACTGCAAAAACAAAGGAAAAAATAAAGGCACGTATTTGGTCTTTTCTGTTTATATTTAGCACTTGTCCTCGATGTGTAATTGCATTTCAATTCTAAAGAGGATTTAGTGGCAGTCTGAGCTTCATAAAGCTCAGTGTACTAGCTACATGAATGGTCCCTGTATTTGGGAGAGTAGCCTCTCTTGCCCAGCTATCTACTTGGAAACACATGCTTTTCTGAATCCCAGTCCTGGAATCCCTAAAGAAGAAACATGACATTTACTTTAGAATTATGTAAAACAAAGCCACTGCCATAATACTTACGAAATCATCATGGGTATATCACTATCCATACATATGCTAAGGGTATTTAACCTTTTAAGAAATCAATTATGCATATGCAATATGCATCTAAATGCCACATGGCTTTTCTCTGCTTGTTTCTAGGTAATTTTTATATATATATTCAGTTTGAAAGTGAGAGTAAACAGTAAGATATAAATGTACTTATACACTAGGCAGCTGACTATTTCTCTAAATGCTTTCTTAGCAAGAAGCTTTCATGAATCTTCAGAGAGAATCTCATGATTGGTAAACACCCAGGTCACTGAGTCTGATCTCCTAATATGGAGCACCACTTTCCCCTTCAAATGAAGATGTACTGTTTATTGTTAACTTCTTAAGCCCAAAGAGAATGCGGGTAGGAATGGAAAGGTATAAAAGATGAAAATAAAAAAGAGAGAAGAGCATAAACATTGATCCACTATTAGCTTCTTTCATCTTTGTACTTGTCCCACTTTTCAGAGAACACAGACCTAGAGAACTTTAGTTTCCTGTCTAAGATCCAATGCTGGAGATTAAAACTCAGTCTATGTGACTTATTTTACTATACCACACATTCTGTAAAGAACTGACTTGCTCGCTACTAGCAGGAGAAATGGGTAAATTGTAGAAAAAATATTTTTACCTATTTCAGTCTCCAAAAAACCCAAAGACATGGATTTTTCTCTCTAGAGATTATACATTAAAAATTCATTGATGACATCTCCTAAGCCAGTCTGGATGTGTTAGCAAACTCTATGTCACTTTCTAATTTCATGCAGAAAATCAGTGTTTCAGAAATAGGACAGTAACTTCTGTGGTCTCAAAATGTTTTGCATACAGCCACTCTGGAGTCTCATAGGCAGCACAGAAATGTCGTTTCTACTCAAATAATCTGGTCTCTAATCTCACGTGCTTTTAATGTATTTTGCAATACTTAAAAGTTTCCCACTGAAATATCCTTCTACTGGCCAACAAATTTGTATTCCATGGGGCCTAGAAGCATATCCCTAAGCCTGATATTGTTTTCAAATCTTAGGTTTAACTTAAAAATTCATCAGAATTTTTCATTATACCCTTTCATATATTATTGCTTGTTGTAGTGTTATTTTGTTTTGATATGGGCCTGTAAAACTTTTAATTCAATTGAAACTTTGAAAGGTTGTGCTGTTTCTACTATGACTTGTGCATATCATTTAGTATACTACTACATAATTTAGGTTTGAGAATCACAACTCTAAGTAGAATAGTGTATGCTCAAGAAGATTAGGCAGATACAAACCATTCTCCCTTTGTAGCCTCAAATATTTAAAAATAACCATCTCAGCACCGAGTGTAATAATTCTCCATATGGCAGATCCCTGGAGCCATTCAAAGCAATGGGGTCACTGATACACACTGACTTGGCATCATACAGAAACCTGTATTCTCTTGGCTCTTCCTGCCAATTATGCAGAAATTGAGACATTTATAGTTCAAATCTTTATTTCTGAAGAGTATCTTTGATATTGGTTCTCTTTTTAAAAAGAATCCTTGCATTGGGTTAGCAAGTACTCATAGTAACATATGCTGTTGACAAGGAAGGTAGACAAATATAAGTCCTCCATCCTTCACTTTCCTGCACAGAGCAAGAAACAAACAGGAACTTTTGACATTGTTTTGTGAGTTGCCCCCCTATGCTTTCAGAATTACCTTTACATGCAGGTTCAACAAAGACAACGTTTGTATCCCTTGTGATATTGAACACAGTCATTTCTGGAAACTACTTTGTATAGGAAGATAGAATATTAATATTTATGACTTTAAAATATTTAAATGATCTTTGCACTTTATATTGATTTCAGGGAGCTTAACTGCATCATTTCCAAGTATGATAGCATCTTTATTAGATTAATAGTACTGGCTCCAAGCTAAAGTTTACAGCATGACTTCTGCCAAAATTTAGGAGGTTATCTTTATTTGGTAACTTTTCTAACCTTGTTTAAATAGCAGATTAAAAATTTGTAAAAAAGATTTCTCATAGTCCTTGTAATTTATACATCATCCAGTATCAGGCTTCATATTGCTAGGTTTCATTCTTCATTTATGGTTTGATTTTTTAAATACTGTATAGATTATCACTTAAGACAAAGATTAGAAGAAAGCTTTGTAACAGTGCAAAGCTCAAAGCTGGAACTCTAGTGCTGAGGTAGTAGTAGAAAGCAGAAAACCGCATCTGTTTATGAGACTATCTTGCTCCCTTCAGTCCAATAAACAAACAAACAGAGAGACAAATGGAAACAAATGTCCTTCACAACCTTGCCATTGGGTGCATAGTCGTGGGCCAGCAACATCACCCTCAGGTGGAAATTCATAATCTTAAGTTTCACTCCAGACCCAGTGAAACTTAACCCACATTTTAACAAGATTCATATACACATTAAAGTTTGAGATGATTCTTTAGAATAGCACTGGAAAGATCTACAAGAACCTAGTGACAGTAAATGATTGAAGGAGTATGCGGCTGAGGATAAAAAAATAAGAGAGACTTATTTTCATTGTATACCCATTTTAACTTTTGAATTTTCTGTTATATGCATGTAATACATACTCAAAAATATCTTCTTGGCTGGGCGTGGTGACTCACGCCTGTAATCCCAGCACTTTGGGAGGCCGAGTCAGGCGGATCATGAGGTCAAGAGATCGAGACCATCCTGGCCAACATGGTGAAACCCCATCTCTACTAAAAATACAAAAATTAGCTGGGCATGGTGGCACGTGCCTGTAGTCCCAGCTACTCGGGAGGCTGAGGCAGGAGAATCGCTTGAACCTGGGAGGCAGAGGGTGCAGTGAGCCGATATCGCACCACTGCACTCCAGCCTGGCGACAGAGCGAGACTCCATCAAAAAAAAAAAAAAAAAAAAAAACAACAACAACAAAAAAACTTCTTAAAGTTATTTAATCATTCATTTGAATGGTTTAATAAAAATAATTTAATTTTAAAAACAGCAATCTTATTGAAGGAAAAACCCTATATTAACAAATTTTAAAACTTTCATTAAACAAAGGTGAAAGCTCATTAAGATAAACAAACTTGAAGCAAATTTATATACTTTCATAATTTAGAATTAGCAAAATCATCAATAAATTTTGTAAATTTCACTTTTCCACCTATATGAGCTTTAGTGTTGAATTGTACTAATTCTTGTCAGGTTTATTGTCCCTTAGAGTTCAATAAATAAGTTTCATATTGAAAAATAATGCAAGAGAAAAATAAAAAGTTATTCAAATGGGAAAATAAGTCAAACTATCTCCTTTGCTAATGATATTACTCTATACCTAGAAAACCCTAAAGACTCTGCCAAAAGGCTGCTAGAACTGATAAACACTTTCAGTATGGTTTCTGGATACAAAATAGATGTACAAAAATGAATACCATTTCTATACACCAATGTCCAGGCTGACAGTCAAATCAAGAACATAATCCCATTTACAATAGCCACAAAGAAAATAAAATACCCATGAATACAACTAACTAAAGAGTTAAAAAAAATCTCTACCATAAAATTTGGCTGAAAGAAATCAGAGATGATATAAATAAATGTAAAAACAGTCCATGCTCATGGATTGAAAAATCAGTATCTGTCCATACCATCAAAAAGAATTTACAGATTCAACACTATTCTGATGAAAATACCAACATCATCCTTCACAGAATTAGAATAAAATATTCTAAAATTCGTATGGAAACAAAATATAGCTCAAATAGCCAAAATAATCTTAAGCATAAAGAACAAAGCCAGAGGCATCACATTACCCAACTTCAAAGTATGCTATAAGGCTATAGTAACCAAAACAGCGTGGTACTGGTACAAAAACAGACACATAGACCAATGGAACAGAATAGAAAACTCAGAAATAAAGCCACACATTTACAACCATATGATATTTTACAAGAACAACAAAAGCAAGCAATGGGGAAGGGACTCCCCTATTTAATAAATGGTGCTAAGATAACTGGTTAGCCATATGCAGAAGAAAGAAATTGTACCCCTACCAGTCACCATATACAAAAGTTAACTCAAGTTGGATTCAAGATTTAAATGTAAGACTTCAAACTATAAAAATCCTGAAGAAAACTTAGGGAATAGCCTTCTCAATATTGGCCTTGGCAAAGAATTTCTGGCTAAGTCCACAAAAGGAATTACAACAAAAATAAAAACTGACAAGTGGGATGTAATTAAACTAAAAAGCTTTTCCATAGCAAAATAAACTGTAAACAGACAACCTGCAGAATGAAAGAAGCTATTTGCAAACTATGCATCTGACAAAGATCTAATATCTAGAATCTATGTGAAACTTCAACAAACCAACAAACAAAAAAAAACCCTATTACAAATGGGCAAAGGACATGAACAGACACTTCTCAAAAGAAGACATGCAAGTGGCCAATAAAAATATGAAAAAATATTCATCATCACTAATCATCTGAGAAATGCAAATCAAAACCCACAACGAGATACCATCTCATACCGATCAGAATGGCTATTATTAAAAAGTCAAATAACAACAGATGCTGGTGAAGCTGTGAAGAAAAGGGAATGCTTATACATTGTTGGTTGGAATGTAGATTAGTTCAGCCACTGTGGAAAGCAGTTTGGAGATTTCTCAAAGAATATAAAACAGAACTACCATTCAACCCAGCAATCCCATTACTGGGTATATACACAAAGGAAAATAGATCATTATAACAACAACAACAACAACAAAAAACAAAAACAAAAACACGTGCACTCATATGTTCACCACAGTGCTATGCACAATAGCAAAGACATGGAATCAACCTAGGGGCCCATCTATGGTAGACTGCGTAAATAAAATGTGGTCAAACTTTTCTCCTGCCTTTGCAAAGCTTATTCTTTGCCATAGCTTCCCCCTTTCAACATACAGAAATGAATAGTAGATAAAAATTGTGACTTCCCATCCCAGAGGAAAAGGAAAGGTGAAGAGTTAAGGAGAAAGTGACAGGGCCTGGATTTTCTGGGACAATTTTCATTTAGTATAATTTTATTCTTTTAAATAAACATAAGTTTATGCAGCTAAGTGTGGTTTTAATTTTATACCTTTTAAAAAACTTCTTTTAGAAGTTTATTTAAAAACAAAGTAAGACCACAAGACAATATTTTTTATTCAAAAAACACAGTTATTTATCTTGACATCTTATTTGGCCTACTGAAAGGCAAGTTAAGTGGAATCTAGCAAATGAAACCAGCCATATTCTAAGAATACTAAGATTCCCAAAATATTTAATTTAACTTGTCCCCTGATTCTCCAGAAGCACAGTCTAGACTTTACTTGCAATTATATTTAATTCAAAGAATATTTCTTTTTAATTTCAAACTGACTGGAACAGCCTTTTTACTTCAAGCATACATGAAGATTTGAGGAAAAAAATGGTTAATTCAGTCATGTTTTAGTCGTTTTATTACCTTTACACTGATAGGTCTTTTAAATTTGAATTTTTGAAGACAACATATACAAATTAATATGCCCAATCCATCAGAGTGGACTGACCTTTCTCCATTTAAGTTTTGTTTATATTCTGCAAAAGCTAGTGGTATTCAAATGTTTTCCATAATTTGGTAGCATTTTCCAAAACCTCATCTGTCTCCTGAACTGTATTCTCTGCTTTGCAGTACTCATGTTAGATTAAACAGGAAAGATGAGTAGCTTTACAAGAGATAATTGTAAGTTAAGTAACAGGAAACATAAGACTAAACTAATTTGATGGTCACAGCTATTCCATGGCTGTAATATCGGAGTTTTCTTCTAGAGTCATTATAATAATGCAGAGATGGAAAAAACAAACTTTAATTAAGGTGATACTTGCTTAAGGCAAGTCTCTGGGAGTCTGCAAGAGAGGTCGAGGCAAGAAGAAGACAATAATTGAGAAACAAACCAACACAGGTGTATGCTGACTCTGCATTACAGAATGGAGATGAGTAGTAAGAAGGAAGCCAAATAAATTAGGCTGAAATAAAGCAGATAATAGCTTTTGTTTATTAAGCAGCTGTGATACGCCAGACGCTCAGGTCAGCATTCTGTATTTTGAATCTGTGGCCCTCACAATAGCATCTTACGGTAAGTGTCATTATAGATGAAGAAACTTTGGCTCAGAAAGGTTGCATAACCTAACAATGCTAAACAGCAAGTTAAACCATCCTTAGAGCTGTAATACTCCTGAGTTCAGTGGAGGATGGCTAGAGGTGAACTACAGCTAGGATCTAAATGGGTTTTGTTTTGTTTTTTCTTTTGTTGTCACCAAACCCACGGTTTCTCAAAGTACAGTCCTTGTTCACTTCATCCACCTCATCTATTGGAATCTCCTGGGTTGCTTATTACATTTGCAGTTTCATAAACCTTACCTCAGGTCTACTGAAGCAGAACCTCCAAGGTATAGGACCTGGTGACCTTCATTTTAAACAAGATTACTCAGTGAGAGATATCACACAAAAAATTAAGACCTTCTGCTCTAATGGAAGGGGGTTCAGATTATATTCCGCAGCTCCAGTGTGGGAAGGGGGATAACACCTTTCTAGATAAGTATATAATTGATTTCTATGGTTTAGGGGGAGAGGGGGAATTCCCTTCTGAATAATAACCCCTTTGATCTTATGGTTTTCTTTTATTCCTAAAGACATTTTCAATAATTAGCTTAGTTCATAGAACTATGGAAGCTTAAAGTTTGGAGAGGATCATAAAGGTCAATACATAACCTCATGCCCAACCTATAATCCTTTAATCCCCCTCTATCATATTCTCATAAAGTGGTTGCCCAGCCTCCTCTGCACCAGTACCCTAGTGATGGGGATCTCACTCTTTCATTAGTTAGTGATGTCAATGGTATGACCGTGGAATGGTGCTAACCTAATCCACATGTGGATTTAACACCTGCTTTTGGTTATACTACCTAGAAATCTTTGCAGAAAAATCACACTATCACCCTCCTGTTTTAAATTCTTTAAAGATTTTCCATTGCACTTGGAATGAGATCTAAACTACCTCTTTCATGGCCTGGAATACCCTGCCTAAAACTTCACTCACTCCTCACACCTGGTATTTTATACTCAAGAATGTTCTTCCCAGCTCTTTCCACTTTCAAGGCTTTTGCCCGTGTAGTTTCTTCTCCCTGTTTTACATATTTCAGGTCTTGGATTAAATGTACACTTCTCAGAGTCCTTCCCTGATCATCTTCTCTAAGTAGATCCCTCTCTCAACTATTCTCTATCATCATGGCCTATTTTTTAATTAAGACTATTACAACGTTCAATATTGTAGTTATTTGTGATTTGTTAGCCACACATACCTGAGCCCCTTATACACAAAATTATTAATGCACACTCAACTGTATACTTTCTCCATCAGGAATGGTTTCTCTTCTATCAAGCATGTGTGTGTGTGTGTGTGTGTGTGTGTGTCTGTGTGTGTATTTTTATAACTGAATATTACCTGAGACACACATACACACACACATTTTTCCAAGGCAATGTTGTCAATACATCTGAGTTATGTTGATATGACACCATGGAAGCCACCTAATCTGCAATTTACAAAATTGTCTTTTCATGAGAAAACTCATTTCTGTTGATGATTAGATTTTGGGTTGAGCACCTTTTAGACCTAAGTCATGAGGAGGTTTACATGTTAGATATACTATATCTAGTAGATATTTTCTACTTTGGAAAAACACTAGTCTACACATGAGGTATCTTAGAATTGGGTTTCAATTCAATCAATAAAAAACTGTATGATCATGCTCAAGTCACCTCTCCTCTCTGGACCTTACCTGTCTCATGTGTAAGGTGAAGTAGTTGAATCGTATGATCTCCAAGATCCTTTCTATCTCAGACAGGTGGTGAGTCAATGAATTATGGATACAGAAGTTATGTATGAACAGTGACTAGAACTTAATGACTATAATGAACAATGTAAAAACTGCATACAGTTTTAATCTTCAGAATGAAAGGAAGGAAGAAAAGAAGAGAGGGAGAGAGGAAAGAAAGAAAAAGACAAACGCAAACAGACAAAAGGAAAACAGCTTGAATATTAAGATACAGCAGAGGTATCTTAATTAGTGTGAAATATCTCAAACCCTAAATTTCTTCCACTTAACAAAATAGGATAGGCTATAGAAGAACAAGAGCCAGACTGGGAAGACTAGTAGAGGGTTATCATGACAGTCCATAAAAAAACATGAGGTGATTTTGGACCAGAGCGATACCAATGAAGGTGGTGAGAAGTGGTCATATCTGAGGCATTTTTAGAAGAGCTGAAAAATTTGCCTATGGATTCCACTGCAGTTGGAGAGGGAAAAAAAAGGAGTTCAAGAATGATGTCAATGCTTTTGCCTTAATAACTAGAAAGGCAGAGGTGTATCTTATGAGATGGAACAAAAACTCTGCAGGTCTGGGTGATTTTGACAGTTTGGTCTTATATATGCTGTTTAAGAAGTCTATTAAGCATCCAAGAGGAGATATAAAGTATGCAGTTGAATAGATTCCGAAGTTTTTTTTGTTTTTTTTTTTTTTTTAGACAGAGTTTCGCTCTTGTTGCCCAGGCTGGAGTACAGTGGCACGATCTCGGCTCACCGCAACCTCCGCCTCCCAGGTTCAAGCGATTCTCCTGCCTCAGCCTCTAGAGTACCTGGGATTACAGGCATGCGCCACCATGCCTGGCTAATTTTGTATTTTTAGTAGAGACAGGGTTTCTCCATGTTGGTCAGGCTCCTCTTGAACTCCCGACCTCAGGCGATCCGCTCACCTCGGCCTCCCAAAGTGATGGGATTACAGGCATGAGCCACTGCGCCTGGCCTAATTTCTGAAGTTTAAGGATGATAGCTATGCTTAGATAGAAATTTGGAGTTAGCAGAAATTGGATAATTTAGAAAGTAAGTAAAAACAGAGCAAAAATAAAGTCTGAATACTGAATCCAGAAAACTTAAACTGTCAAAGGTTGAAAAAAATCAGGAGAAACCATCAAATGAGCCTGAAAAGAGTAGCCAAGAAAGCGGAAAGTGAGTAAAGAGAGAGCTCATGAAATTAGATGAAACTAATCACAATGTTTCCACGCCAATACTAAGTATATTTTATGTTTAAATATGATCTGCAGTATAGATTTTTAAAGAAATCAATATAATCATGTTTTGAGTCCACGAACACTGGGGAAGGCATTGGTTGTGATACTGAATATGCTCTAGCTAAAAGGATGATCATAAAGATACCAGCATGGCTTCCCTGCTCCGTTCCCTGCTTTGGTTAAGTATAGCTGTGTGGATGTGATGTCAAATGAGATACTTGATAAACCAATGAATCTGTCAAGTAGAAGGCTAATATCTTTAAGGTTAAATAAATTTAATTTTATTATAAATGCATGATTTAGTTATCTAACTAAGGTAGCCACATTATAAAGCATTAGGAAACTAGATTAGATAGACAGCTTAGATAGATAGGTAGGTAGGTAGATAGATAGATAGATAGATAGATAGATAGATAGATAGATAGATAGATTCCATCATTCTACTTTCCTCAGCTACTGGTAATAATTCTAGACTAGTTTCTAAAATTTTTCTCCATTAATATTTTAAATAAATATTATCATAGCATAGCCATAATTGTGAAACTGATATTTTCACTTGCCATTATGTGGCCAAGTTAACAAGTCCTGTCCAATGAGATATTTGGATAAGTCAGTTTGAAAGTATCTAGGTTAAAAGATTTTCATTTCTATTAAAAGAGAGCTATGAGAAGAGAAATGTTCTCACCATCCGGGCCATTATGCTCTTCTACCTTTTCTGCCCCTCATCCATGCCTGGTAATGTGATTGTGGTGTCCAGGACTGTACTAGTTATCTTGTGACCTTGAGGTGACATGCCTGGATATGGCATAACTAAAGGATGGAAAAAATCCTGGATTTTTGATAATATCATTTAATAGTAAAATAGGCCAGCAAAAGCCTATAGCCAGATGTTTTATTAGGTGAAAAAAAAAGTCCTATTTGTTTAAACCACTGATACTTGGGTTCTCTTGTATTTTAGGCTGAAAGCATTCCTAACTGAAACACACAGTATCATCAGTATTTCCCTATTTATTCCTGTCTTTATAACTACAATTTGAATCGTGATGTAAGAATCAATATATCAAAAATTACTTAGTTAGTCCTGTATTCTAATAATTACATACGTTTTCTGGGAACTTTCTAGGTTTGCTCCTTTAAAATTTTAGTGTGAGTAAAAATTAAAGCTACTATTTTGGAACATCCTCTGGAATTAAAAAACTGTAAGATACGCTTCTCCTGCTCACTGCTAGACACTTGGTTCCAAATGATCTTGAAGACTTGTACCAAATTCTATAATTTTCAACAAAAGCTCATTGAGGAAAAAGACCCAAAATGTGTATTTTATGATATAAACATATGCCAACATATGCTAAGAAGTAACATCACAGTAAGCTTTATTTTTTTCGGTCTACTTTATATGAGACTACAATATTAGAAACAAGGAGGACAAGTAATTGGTTCTTTTGCCTTTGTAAAAGGTCTTCTGGCATTGTTATTCATCCACAATTTGGAAAGCAAAATGTATTTCCTCAGCATGCGGTTATTAAATCATAAAAAGTTATTATTCTATGCAAATAAATTCTCATAAAGGGGTGCAAGTGTCTGCAAAAACAAAGACTTGGAATAATCTCTCTACTTCCTGGATATTTTTTTCTTTTTCAGTTTGTTTTACCATTGTCTAGTCTACTATTTTCTCAGTCTTGAGACAGGGAAATTATACCATTTCATATATCTGCAGCATTGTCACATAGAAGAGAGAGCACTCTTATTCTAGGTTTGTCCAGGAAACAGAAGCAGAGCCCACTGATGGACATTACAAGGGAAAGATTTAATCTCAGCATGAACATAACTCTGTCTAGTAACTAAGGCTATCCAAAAGGTCACAAGCTACCTTAAATACGGTGATCTCGCTGTTACCAAAAGAACTAATACTAAGATGGATGACTTGCACAAGTGCAACAGAAAGCAGACTACCATGAGGTGCAGAAACAGCCTAGATGACTTCTGACGCCATTTGAAAAATCTAAGAAATTATCTTGCCATGCTTTTTGAATTGTGTCCCCCACAAGCCCTGAATTCTGAAGATCTTTATTTTGAAATATACTCCAAATCCAACTGCTAAATATCTTACCATAAAATTTATAGGACATATGTAAATTTTATATAAATATATTTATCCCTTATCCAATAGTTTCAAAATGGACCTTTAATCGCATTTTTTTCTTAAGCAATGGATATGTAATTTGGATAAAAATTGCTTTGAAACAAAAGACATACACACGTTTGTGCACATGTGTGCCCTGCATATACATTAGCCTTTGATTCTGTTCTGGGTCCCTCAGTGGTTCATGTACTTTAGTGAATCAGAGCTAATATACTAACTGCACAGATTTCTCAGTCTTGCTATTTTCACTTGCTCCAAGTTCAGTCTGTAAATTACAGGGTCTTCATTGTCTACATTTACATGACCCTAATTATTCATTTGTGTTTGCCTCTGTACAGATTACTGTAAATCACTGAACTCAAGGAACACACTAATATTCAATGCATGTGCCCACTGCAGTTGCCCTTTAATACTCAGGTATGTATTCCTTGTACTAATGTGAAGGAGAGGGTTTTATAAACCAGCACAGCTTTTGGAGAACAACCACCAGGGCTGCCACAAACATTTGAGTAGGTCATATTTTGAACAAGAGTGCCCAGCTAAAGGGCTCTATGAGGACTGAAATCCAGCCTGCATTCGTTCACCAAGCCATGAGCCCTAGCATTGGGCCATGTCCACTGGAGGAAAGATGCCTTTGTCTAATTCCCACAGAGGCCATGGGCAGCTCTGAGAACAACAGACTGACTGAATAATATCTGAAGACTCTTCCATTACTCAACAACGAAAACACCAATTAAAAACATCTACAGATGCTACCTGTGACCTCCTATCAAGTGGTTCTTCCTAGGGGATTTATAAATACTAAGTTCAAAAAGAAAACAAAGCAAAAAAGCTTATGCTGTTTGTTGCTGCATTAACATGTATTGCCATTTAATTTGGCCATAAGAACTGTATTTACCTCCCACAATCTCATACCATTTTATACTACAGATAAAACATTAACATATAAATAAACTAAGTGACTTCCAAAGGAATTAGGTCAAAACAGAATAATAAAGTCAAGTTCAACTGGGTTTTTAAACCAACTGATGTTTTTGACAATGGCATTAAAATATTTTAGCATAATATATGTATGGCACATAGGATGTTGAAACCTAGAGTATTACAGAAAGGTGTTAATAATTTCTGTGTTTAAAATCTACTCCTTTGGCTTTTTTTTTCCTTGTCTTAGATATCTTCATTTACACATGTTCTACATGGATGTCTATTAATGGAATCTATACCATTCTAAGGCTGCAACTTGAGTGAATAATTTTATGCTTTGTTTCATCTTAAACTTATACCACATCTTCCTTTACCAGATTCTGAGGAAAGGGCATATAAAATGGTTAGAGTGTCACAGTTCTACCTAATACTACAAGAATAACAAATTATAAGATTTTAACCAGTGCCCTCTTACTCCACCTTCAACTCTCAAAAGCATACACCACGCAGTGTACATACCAGGGTTTTCCTTCTTACTTCCCTCCCCGTGAAAGACACTGGAGTCCTTCATCTTAAGCATATTAACAGGCTGGAGAAGGGAGGCAGTACACGATGACGTAAGAAGAGAAGAGATAGTGTATAATTTATCTAGATAATGACTGTCCACATTTTTGTTGTCTCTGTTGTTAACCAAAAAGCTGCATGTACCCACCCCCACACGGAGGAAGACTCAGATGAAGACTTCTTCAAAGACTCAAATGAAGACTTCTTCCAGGATTCAAAGAGAGACTAACAACTTCAATGAAGTTTCTTTCAGCCCTGGTATTCTGCACTGCTTATTGGTACTGTGGAGCAATGGAGTTGCAAATCCCTCTAGGGAATCTGCAGAGCCTTTTATATACTATTTAAAGGTCTAAGACTATGCCACCAAGCTTTTGCCTGCCTTCCCCCATCTCATAAACTATATACACACAGTTACACAGAATTATACATAAAACTATCATTTATTCGATGACATTATGTAAAAATTATCTCTAACTACAAGGCCCTATGTTGAAATCTGTTTTATCAAACAAATGCACAATGGCTGTTTTCCAAGTAAGGATAATCAAATCTATGCTGAAAGTCAGTTTTCCTGATTTCAATTTTGGCCATTTTTCTAAAATAATTGCTTAAGAAAATCAAGTCATTTCAACTAGGATGTCTTTCACTCAGAACCTTAGATCGCTGTAACTCTGTGAATTTGAAGTGCCTGAGACCCTCTGATGGCATTAAAAAGATAACAGCATCTGCATTTTTTAAGAAAAATCCACTAATTTGTTAGTATTTAAATTTTCCACGTAAAACAGACTTACATAGATGATCATTGTTATATCGTTATTCTTAAGTATTCAGACATAAAAATTGAAGAGAGTAATGTGACCAAAATTCAGGGCCTATCGTCCAGAATTAAAAAATATTAACCATATTTCCGTATTTGTTTCTAATTTGATAATATTCCAGATGCAGCCAACATTGCTTCCTCAATTTTAGTCCCTCTCATCTTTCCCCAGAAGATACATATGTATGCCCCAGAGGCACACATAATTCTGGAGTGCACATGTAATCTAATCACCTTTGTTTTATACTTTCATCATATTTTTGTGTATATAAACAGCATTTAAAAATCTTTTATGTGCTTGTAAAATTTACATAAATTGTATCATTCTATATGGATTATTTTGAAGTTACCCCCTCCCGATGAACTTTGTTTTTGAAATCTATCACATTGATAACTATATAGTAAGTCTCACCTAATGTCATTGATAGGTTTTTGGAAGCTGTGACTTTAAGCAAAGCAAGGTATAATAAAACCAATTTTACCATAGGCTAATTGATACAAACAAGAGTTAAGTTCCTATGGCACATTTCTCCTAACGTCACCAAACTTCTAAATAAAAACCAAAACACTTCTAATACTAAACACTGAGATAAGCGCGAACTATACATACATTTAACAAAGTTTAATAAAAACAAGTAAGATAATTATTTACCCAGCTACTTCAGTTCAGTGTCACAGAGTGGCCAGAGCCTATCCCAGAAGTTCAGGGTGCAAGGCAGAAACCCACGCTGGACAGGACATCATTCTATTGCAGGGTGCATTCACACCCACCCACACTCACTCAGACTGGGATCATGTACGCAGGTCAAATTCAGCGGTGACAGCGTGCTGGCAGTGCTCACGGCCCTCTCTCGCTCTCCGCGCCTCCTCTGCCTGGGCTCCTACTTTGGCGGCACTTGAGGAGCCCTTCAGCCCGCCGCTGCACTGTGGAGCCCCTTTCTGGGCTGCCCAAGGCCGGGAGCCGGCTCCCTCAGCTTGCGGGAAGGTGTGGAGCTCGGAGAAGCGCGGGCGGGAACCGGGCCTGCGGACGGTGCTTGCGGGCCAGCGGGAGTTCCGCGTGGGCGAGGGCTCGCGGACCCCGCACTCGGATTGGCCGGCCAGCCCCACCCGCCTGGGGCAGTGAGGGGCTTAGCACCTGAGCCAGCAGCTGCTGTGCTCAATTTCTCGCAGGGCCTTAGCTGGCTTCTCGCGGGGCAGGGCTCGGGACCTGCAGCCTGCCATGCCTGAGCCTCCCCCCAACTCCGTGGGCTCCTGTGCGGCCGGAGCCTCCCCACGAGCGGCGCCCCCTGCTCAACGGCGCCCAGTCCCATGGACCACCCAAGGCCTGAGGAGTGCCGGCCCACAGCGCGGGACTGGCAGGCAGCTCCACCTGCAGCCCCGGTGCGGGATCCACTAAGTGAAGCCAGCTGGGCTCCTGAGTCTGGTAGGGACGTGGAGAACCTTTGTGTCTAGCGCAGGGATTGTGAACGCACCAAACAGCGCCCTGTCAAAACAGACCACTGGGCCCTACCAATCAGCAGGATGTGAGTGGGGCCAGATAAGAGAATAAAAGCAGGCTGCCGGTGCCAGCAGTGGCAACCTGCTGGGGTCCCCTTCCACACTGTGGAAGCTTTGTTCTTTTGCTCTTTGCAATAAATCTTGCTGCTGCTCACTCTTTGGCTCCACACTGCCTTTATGAGCTTTAACACTCACCGCGAAGGTCTGCAGCTTCACTCCTGAGCCAGTGAGACCACGAACCCACCAGAAAGCAGAAACTCCGAACACATCCGAACATCAGAAGGAACAAACTCCAGACACGCCGCCTTTAAGAACTGTAACACTCACCGCGAGGGTCCATGGCTTCATTCTTGAAGTCAGTGAGACCAAGAACCCACCAATTCCAGACACAAAATTACCTAGCGTGTACATCTTTGACACGTGAGAGGAAACCAGAGTACCCAGAGAAAATCCACACAAGAGAACAAGCCAACTCCACACAGACAGTGGCCCAGGCTGGGAACTGATGTTTTTTTCTCATCAATGTTATAATAAATGACTTGAATGAAACAATATTATTCAAGGATCTGCTGTACATCTATTTGCTCCAATTGAACTACTCAACTGTAGGATAAACTCTAACAGTTTATCCATTCATGAAAGAATATTTAACTTCTTTCCTTCCTTCCTATCTTCTTTTCTTTCCCTATAATAAACAAAGCAGCAAAGCACAGAAGCATAAGTTCTAGAGTTTCTTGAAGCTCACTGTAAGCATTATAACCTATAAAAACACTACATGCATTTTTGTAAAATATTTGTCCAGTAATTATTCCAATTGTTTCATGTTTCTAGGTAGATTTAACAAATAATACTAGTGACTCTTCTGCTACAAACTTTTCACTGATTAAAAAGTCCCTCACCTACTATTGTGTCCTGAAACTGGCACCCACTCAGTGTGCTGACAGTAGCAATAAGATCAAATCAAAGTTATTTTCAACAGTATCAAGAATTAACAGCTCCAGACAGAGATGGCTGCCATTTAAGATAACAGCTCAATTTATGTAGTGGGGTGGGGGGGGGGAGGAATATCAAGACATTGAGGTGTAGGGATAAGAGACAAGTAGCATTTTAATCAAAACATTAGAAAATGGCCAAGCACTACTAATAGGGGACTTATTTAGGTTGAATCATAGAAAATTGCCATTTTATGTGTCAAACATCAGCAATATATAAAAATCAGCTGTTCCTCATGCTTTGAATTTGGCAACAGCATGAATAGTATTCTCTGAAATGGCCAAGAACTATTTCTGAGACCTGTAGCTACACGTGACCCATGCCAATTGAGATTTGGATGTGTTCCCAGGTGCTACAGGGCATCTTTCATACCATACCTCTCAGATGCTTCATACAATTCTCATACACTCATCCTTTACCCAAGAGCTGCTATCCCAGGTTGGGCATTTGTGCATTTCACAAAGAATCTAAGCCAAACGGGAAACAGTGTGCCAGTGACTAACCTTGCACCCCAGGATCCACTCAAGGAGATTCTTTTTCCTAACTGATTTGTCCACCAGGAGTACCTTTTTCTAATTTTTACAAAAGCATCCTATAGGCTAATTCCTGATCACTTTTTGAATTCTATACAAGCTTGGACATTAAAGCATAAGATTAGCTAGGTAAGAAAACAGTGGGCTGAAGTTTCATAACACGTGCAAATAGAAACTCTCCTTTATTGTATTGGATCCTTGGTTTTCTTGTAGCTAAGATTTTCTACATCAAACATCCCTTTGATGAAAATGTTGAGGGATTTTCTCCAGATTCTCAGTGAAGGATATGGTTGAGGAAATAAAACCAAGAGTCAGATTATCTTCTTGGCAACCAAGCACAGATGACGTATTCAAGTTACATTAGGACATTTGCAATCTATTGATTGAAGTAAATAAATCTGGAAGGTGTGTCTTGTTTGCTAATCATGCAAGAGGCTTCCATGTGATCCTGAATTTTTCTTTGAAAAGGAAAAAAACACTAATTCCTGTCAATTATTTTCACACTAAAAAATACATTCCAATCAAGATACAGCAGCAAACATTTCAAATGCATAATTCAAAGATTGTGAAAGCAATTCAGCATAGTGACCTCTGAATTGAGCTAGAGGCTGTGTATTCTCTTTTGGTGTCAGGTCTCAAAACTCGCGGCAATTAATTTGATGTATTGATTTAATATTTCAGGAAGGAATGTATTTACCTGGCAAAGGCACTGTGAAAGATGTTTTGAAGAGAAAAGAAATGTTTGCAAATGAAGACAAGCTCCTTTGATGAAAGGAAAGCTGAGAGTGAGTAGCATTCACAGAATCAGACCCCAAACACTTATTACTTCAAGGCTCGATTTCCCAAATTAGAGCTAATAATGATTCAGCATTGCACTGTTGGATACTTCATTCTGTAAAAGAATACCATGGGGTAGAAAGGAAGCCATGCAACAGATATGATCTTGTAGGCTGGCCCATTAAGAGAGGGTTATTTAAACTAGAGCTAAATTAGAAAGAACCATTTCAACACTATATACCTAAGCCAGCAGTTTTGGAAAAAAGATGCCATCTCTCTTTTTCAATATATAAATTTACTATTACTTTTTAAATTGTCTGTTCTGATTATATAAATAAGAAAGTACTAAATAAAATATAAAATGTAAATGTAAAAAAAGTATAATTCCATTATACAAAGACCACCAGATTTTCTCTCATCTTTCTTATTTACTCAAAAGAAGTTACAGTTTATCTACAACATACCGAGCATTATGCACAATAAGGACACTACACTAGTGAATGACACAATCCTTTCCCTTGGATTTGTTTGGTGTAGTGGGGAACATGCATAAATAAAAAGGAAAACATAGTACATTTTAATCAGTGTTATCATAGAAGTATAGAGGTGTATATGCATATTATATATTAATAAATCAAATTTTTAAGAAAATAGTTCTTCTTTTTCAGTTAATGTAATATGTTCCCCCAAGATAGCAGATATACATTTTTAACATCATGTTATTGATTGCAAAATAGCCCACACCTTGGATATACTATAGTTACTATACTATAGTAACATAATTGGATATAGTATGTTAGCCATTTTCTTATACTTATTTGTTCAGATTTTTTAAAATTTTTCATTCATATCTAACATGATGATGAACGCATTTTACATCTTTCTTAAGGCAAATTCCTAGAAGTTAAAAGTTTTGATTCAAATGGTAAGGACATTTCCAAAACTCTTGGCACATATTGCAAATTTGCGTTCCGAAGAACGAAAGCATTGTGCCAAATTACATGCCCACCAGGAATGGAACCTTATGAAAGATATACAAGTACACACTCATAAATCACACTGTCCTTGTTTTCTTCAGTTTGTAAGTTTTTTAAGTGCAAACCATCTGTTTTTTCTTGAGCACAATAAATGTTTACAGTACATAAAGAGTTACTGATGATAACTGATTTTGTTTTAATGTAAAAAATACCTATTTCAAAGTTTTTTAAGGTACAGCTTTGGTATTATGCAACCGATGACACAGTATGCATTTTCCCTATAACCATTTATCACAAATATCTAAAACTATCTTTCAAGATAGCATAGTAGCAGATCTTTATCTTTTCTCATTATCAAGTCTGGTATTTATGCTATCTGGTTCTGAGTAAGATGAAAGAGTCTGCTGCTTATTTAGATTTTATTAAACTTCTATGTTTACTGTTTGCAACTGTAAAATTTAGATAACCACCAAAAAGTGAGTGGTTGGAAATTAAGAAAGTCATCTCTCCAACTTTTATACAAACTTGGAATAAGATTTATTGAAACCTTGAATTATTAAAACAAGTTCTTTCTGCTTAACATCTGATATGGTTTGGCTCTGTGTCCCCAACCAAATCTCATGTTGAACTGTACTCCTATAATTCCCACTCCCATAATTACCCTGAGATAATCTGAATCATGGGGCCAGTTTCCCCCATACTGTTATTGTGATAGTGAATAAGTCTCATGAGCTCTGATGGTTTTATCATGGGTTTCCCCTTTTGCAACTTCCTCATTTTCTCTTTCCGCCACCATGTAAGAAGAGCCTTTCACCTTCGCCATGATTCTGAGGCCTCCCCAGCTACGTGGAACTGTTAAGTCCAATTAAACCTCTTTTTCTTCCCAGTCTCAGGTATGTCTTTATCAGCAGCATGAAAATAGACTAATACAGTAAATTGGTACCAGTAGAGTGGGGCATTGCTGAAAAGATAACTGAAAACATGGAGGCAACTTTGGAACTGGGTTACAGGCAGAGGTTGGAACAGTTTGGAGGGCTCAGAAGAAGGCAGGAAAATGTGGGAAAATTTGGAACTTCCTAGAGACTTGTATTGCTTTGACAAAAATGCTGATAGTGATATGAACAATAAGGTCCAAGATAAGGTGGTCTCAGATGGAGATGAGGAGGGGAAAATGTCTCCAGGGCATGTCACAGCCCCTCCCATCACAGGCCCAGAGGCCTAGGAGAAAATGTTTCTTGGGCTGGGCCTGGGGTCTGCATGCTGTGCGCAGCCTACGGACTTGGTGCCCTGTGTCCAGCTGATCCAGCAGTGGCTGAAAGGAGCCAATGTAGATCTCAAGCCCTGGCTTCAGAGGGTGCAAGCCCCTAGCCTTGGCAGCTTCCATGTGATGTTGAGCTTGAAAGTGCACAGAAGTCAAGAATTGAGGTTTGGGAACCTCCACCTAGATTTCAGAAGGTATACGGAAATGCCTGGATGGCCAGGCAGAAGCTTGCTGCAGGGGTAGGGCACTCATGGAGAACCTCTGCTAGGGCATGGAAGGGAAATGTGGTGTTGGAGCACCCCACAGAGTCCCTACTGGGGCACCACCTAGTGGAGCTGTGAGAAGAGGGCATCTTCAACTATTTTGTGAGATATGAAGTAGTGGCAATATCATTTACATCTTCAGCTACTTTTGAACATCTAGTAAACTACAGACAGAAGTAATAAAGTCAAATAATGGGTAATACTTAGAACAACTAATAACAGACAGAAGTAATAGAGTCAAATAAATAGAAACAGAATCCATTGTCCAGCTGGATGAGTAATTCTAGACTAATGTACAACTTGAAATTATAAATGTCCTATAATGTTTTACAAAAAGATGCTGATTTGGAGTTCCAAGATCCGGCTTCGCTGCATGACTTGCAGTGGTTATTTTACTTCTGAGTCTTGAAGAGTAAAATGAGTTACCTCCTATAAAAGTGCACAGCACATAGTAGGTGTCTTAAATACAATTTTTTTCATAGGTAGACATATTTGTTTTTTCTCTGGCCTTATTAGCTAAACCATTAAGCATGTAGCTTTATTCATAAGTTTCCAGTGAATGTTCTACTTTTTATCTGCTTTGGAAAATAACCTGATGAATACAAATAAATAGAAATTAGCTAAATATATTGGTGACGTAACACACAAATAAACATCATTTTATTTGTCAACATAGATACATTTTTTAAATGAATCACAGAACTAGCAATGCTGTGAGTAAAACATTTATCATGCTTTCCCACAATACATTATAGAATCTATTTTATGGTTTTACTGAGCTGCCCCTAAAATTTCACATCTGTGCCACATTCATCCAAAATGTTTCAGATGTTTATTTTTATTTTAAAACTCTCATATGTTACAAAATAAGCCACAAATTATAAAAGTGCTCAATATAAGCCTGGCACGAGCTTGTGAAAAAAGAACAGCCCTGAGGCTAAGAATGTAGATTTTAGAGTAGGGATTAGCAAATTCTTCCGTAAAAGGCCAGCAACTAAATATTTTAGGCTCTGAAGGCCATATAGTCTGTCACAAATACTCAACATTCATAGTACGAAAACAGCCACAGAAAATATGTAAACAATTATTGTCATTAAATAATAATATCATTCTTTTGAACATTTATTAATATAACTATTGTTCTTAGCTCACCTGTTCAAAAAAACAGGAGGTGAGACAGGTAGGGCCCACAGGGTATGCACAGGGTACTGCCCTAGAGTCATACTGTTTGGATTCCAATTCTGGTTTATGCCTTTGTGGTCATGCGATCCTGAACAAATTAGCCTCCTCTCACAGCTCTGGAATCTAAGTAGGAATGATAACCTATACCTCGCTTACATGATTATTATGTGGTCTCAGTGAGGAATACATGAAAGTGCATAACATTATACATGAAGAGCACATGTATAACCACCAAAAGGGTGGTTCCTTTCCCCTGGAAACATCTTTTCACAGGCATCATGTATAGTGGAAACACAAGATCCTTGAAGTCAGACAGACTTGCAACCAAATCATGACCACCGACTTTGACCCTTGTTGCCGCTCACTGGGCCTACAACATTATCTATACTTCACAATTGCTGCGACCACATGGTGCATAACAGATACTGAGTGTTTCCCTGAATCTATAGCATAAACAAGATGTTCAAAAATTCTGGTTACTTTTGTTTTACATTAAACTCATTTTCTTATTCTTCATAGGCCATAGGTAGCTGATATGTCTTATATCTTTGTATCATTTGTAACCTATGTGTCCCTCTGCGTGTGTATACTCCTTCTCAAGCTCTGGACTGAGAACACTTTCACAGAAATAAAGCAATGATATTCAAATATAATCCATAGTGATGTTGGGAATTCTTGAGTTCTCTTGTATATGTTGATCTTCAATCTAGACAACGGGTCACCTCGAGGAATAAAAGTTCTCAATAGAGAAAAGTGTCATGTATACTATCTTACTCCCAATCATCCCCCTTCTCTGACATATCAGAATAGGATAAAATACTGGCTCATTAGATGTACAGATTAGTAACACTATGGAAAATAGCAACTTGGCCCCAGGTGGAAAGAAATGAGTGAAAGGAGGGATTAAGGACAACAGAGTTGCTAAAGAAGAAAGCACAGAGGGGAGCAGATGTCTTGTCTGGTTTTCAAGATTAGAAGGAAACCCAGACTGAGGTGCCCAAAGAGTAATGTTGGCTCTAGAGAGTAACAGTGATATTTCCCATATTTATGCCTGAGTATAAACAATAAATTCCAGTGATTGCAATGATTTGAAAGTGTCACTGGACCTATCCAGGCAAAAGGAGTCCAGTGAAGAATCCAGGTGAAGACTTGGGACACGGCTCCAAAAATAGACCCTAAGTCTTGAGGTCTAGTGGACAAGTCAGAGATAAGAGACTGGGAAATTGTGGATCTGCAGAATTGTATACAAATCATAGATCTAATGTATATGGGTGTTTTTTCCTGTTATTGAAAATCTTTTGGAAACATTTTAAGATATGTCCTGCTCTTGAAGGGCACTGCAGAGCCCCAGAAGGCACCATTCCAATTATAGGCACCATATCCTAGGGGGTCTTTTGTGAATGGCACCCAACTGAGCTTAGCAGAGCACAGCCTGAATAGCCTAAACATCAGTAAGTTAACAGCTGCCTTTCCTGCAGAGTGAATTTTCCCGTGTGTGTGTGTGTGTGTGTGCATGCATGTGTGTGTGTGTGACAGAGAGAGAGAGAGAGAAAGACTGAAAGAAACAGAGAGAGAGAGAGAGATGGTGGAGCAAACACTTTGATGCCAAAGAAGTATGATGCCTCCAAAATGTAACTCGGTCTCTTACTGTCAAGACCTTACCAAGACAAGGATTATAGAAACCACAGTTTCTTCTGATGACCTTGCTTATTATCCAGGAAATATCAAGCATGCCCTTGTAATGTTCAAGGCAGAGAGTCTCTGTTAACTACTACTACTAATGATCAAAACTACCTTTCATAGGGCTCAGAATGGAAAATTTTATCCACATGTATACACATACAAACATATATAATTATACCAAATATGTGTGGACAACATATAAAATAGCTAACTGTAGTAGACACTGCTTTTGCCTAAAGCTGTTTTGCCAATCCTGCTGGCAGTTGAAGCACTGCTCAACAAAATTTGTATTCTCAATATAAAGGCCTTAATATTTTTCAAATTATGCCTTACAAGACAAGCATTCAATATTTATTCCATTGGAACATACATCTAAGACTGGGGGAAGCCCCATATGGTCAAGAAGAATTTCATATCAAAAGAATTACTTCAAAATACATATTTTCAGTTCCTAACAATGTGCATTGCTAATGATATCACTTTTCATAAACATTGAATTCATAATAAACACCTATAAGACTTACTTCTGAAATCATTGGCATGTATACCTGACCTAGCACACCAGCCAAAATAGCTTATGGAGGAAAATATCACTCACAAGTATTCTAAATGAATACATTTAATTTTTGTGAATTTTAGGTCCATATTGTGGACATAAATATTATCCGAATCAGCCATCTATGAATGCGGGAAACCAAGAACTAAAATAACTCCCAGAGTAGATAGAAAAGCCAATTTCTAGAGAATAAATGTTACAAGAAACTGTCAAGTTCACATGAACAAAACGTACCACCTTCCACAAGTCATGGAGTGAGTCAACAATTTTCTAAAAAGGGAATTATAAGAATTTTTATATGAAGGGCAAATATATTAGCATACATACCACATTCATACGTCCAGAAGATTCTCATTCTTAGAAGCCCGTAGGAGAAGAACAGATACTAAAAAACAATGACAACTAGGCCTATATCAACATATTCAAGATGTAATAACTGCTGAGGACTTTGACCTTGAATAGCCCAATATAGCCTAATGTGATCGAAAGATTTCTAGGCTAGAAGTCAGCAGACTTGGGTTTTTGGTCCCTCTAAGCTACTGATATTGTATGCAACCTTTGGTAAGTCACTTCCAAAAGTCACTTCTGTGCCTCAGTTTCCTTATCTGTAAAATAATGGATTGGATTTTTATGGACCCTTCCATAATAGAGTTCTGATTTTTGTGGGTCCATAAAAATCCAATCCATATTAGAGTTTTGCTACTCTATTATATCTCTACAAGTGTTCCTTCATATTACCATTCGATTTCAGGTATTGAGAGTAAAGTCTAAATCCCTCAGGTTAGTATTCAATGTATTCCATGTTTTGACTACAGCCTTTGTCCTAATTTTTATCTCATTCTATTCCTGAAGCTGTATCAACGTCCCATTCATATCCTTTTTCTTTCTCAGTCTTCATCACGGTTGCCTCTGTTTTTCTTTCCTCTCCTTCAACTTAACTGTTTTACTTCATTCTAGCATTTGCCAAAGCCATCTCTGTGTTAGAATTCTGTATGTCTGTCGTTACTACAAGCCCCTACATGCTGGAGGCTGGGTTTTATGCAAGGTGTCATCTGTTTGTACAGTACTCATTAACACCTAGTCCAAAACATATCCTTGGGAATGACTGGTAATTCTAATCTTGGTAACAGAAAACAGCAAAATATCTGATTCCAGTTTAATCAATGACACATTTTGTCAAAAATCAAAACAGGCTGGGTGAGGTGGCTCATGCCTGTAATCCCAGTGCTTTGGGAGATCAAAGTGGGAAGATCATTTGAGCCCAGGAGTTTGAGGTTACAGTAAGCTATGATCATGCCACTGCACTCCAGCCTCTCTCAAAAAAAAAAAAAAAAAAAGTTCAAAACAAAGTACATCCTCCTTAATAAAAGTTAGTTCTTCTCAACCTCATAGGAATAAATTATTGGAAAGGAGGGAGAAAAAATTACACTTCAAATCATTAAAAATGGTTTGTTTCTCTTTAAACATAGACTATTTAGGTTTCATAATTTTCAAAACAAGTATGGTTTAGGTAAACAAATTAACCATCACTAGACTAATTTCCCACAGGCTTCATGGCAACTTTTAATAGATTACATTTTCAAGTGCTCCAAAAACATAATAATTGAAATAAGGTTAAATATTTTCTAAGTTGGAACATATAATGTACTCATTATTTAAAAATGTCAGAATTTGTCTTTATTTAATGTTCAAGAAATGTTGGTCTGTTTGAGTTAGGGTACTCTACTTATGCCAAAAATAGAAAAAAAAACTTTACTTTGAAGTTATTAAGAGAAAAACCACTCCATGTCAATTAATCTTAACAGAAATCTTGGCTCTGTCTTTTAAGATGCACACACATTCTCTTATAGGGAAGCACAAATCAGTATAAGATGTGTCACTATAGATCTTAATCTGTCTGTATTTATTCCTCTGTACATACCAAATATGATTTCAAATAACTTATTTTACATCTTTCCCTCCCTGACATTGAATACCTTTTTATCTCAGAAAAAAATATTAAAGATTAAAATCTTTGAGATAAAATTAGAAAATGAAATATCTATATAACCTTTAAAAAGGCAGCCATCACTTTTTAAATTTCCCCCCCAAAATAGAAGAAAATGGCAAGTGGTGTCAATGATAAAGCATTGAGGAACTGGCCTAGAAGTTAGAGGTTTTGCAGTCTCAAATGGTAAAATAAGAATAGGAGACAAAGATGATGTCACCGAAATGGTCCACTCTAGCAGTGTGATTTAGTAATGAATGGTTGAGAGAAACCTTCACCATTAGCAGTAAACCTAGAAAGCACAGTGGAATCCAGGCCCAAATAAGCACATTTAACTTACACAAACTTAATATACAAGCTCAGCATGAACACATAGATAAGTAAATAAATAAGCAAATAATTAAAAAGAGAGGAAAACCGTTGGAATGATATAAAGATAAACTTTATTTTAAAAAAATATGTAATATGTCCCCAAAACAAAAGGCAACTATTTTATTAGAGGCTGAACTCAAGAGTTAGTTACCTATTCAATACTGAGGAAAAATCTGACTACATTAGTTAAAGACAAAAATGTCAGTCTGCAATAGACTTACTTCATAAAGGAGAGAGGTAGGTAATTTTGACCATATGCAAATTTAATTTTACGTTGAGACCTTAGTACAGAGTTGTTGAATAATGCGTGACTCTGTTCTAATGCCCAGATTTGGAGTTGCTGACCTCAAGCCAGGATTATCCCCTCTAGTAACTCTTTCCCAAGTATTAAATAATAATTCAGTGGAATCCTAAGGGTTTCAGTGATATCTTCAATTCCCATAGCACTCTCTTATACCTAGAGTGCTAATTACTCTTCTACTCTATTATGGATCTGACCCACTTAATATATGAATAAAGACAAAACACCACAGAATATTTGTGCCGGAGCTCAAAACATATAAAATAAGGAAACTGAGCTCTAAAGGACTTAAAGGATTTGGTAAAGGTCTACACTTAGCATGGGGTTGTGCACCTTAAGAGTACTTGGTACATCTCTAAGGACAGGAAATGCAAATACTTCCTCACTAGTAAAGTAAAATGTAGAGGCTTTCTTTCATTTATCCTATAGCCTTCATCCTAAAAAATATCCTGAAATGAACCAGACATTAGTGATTTATCTGTGGTCAAAACAGAACTCCAAAGATTTCAAAGGCTCTACAACTGGCTTACACTAGATCTGGAAAGTTTTGAATTACTTTTATCAAAACTTATTATCACTCTATTTCTTGGTGGTACAATTTATTTAAAGGGTGAGCTTGTATTATTTGTCACACTACAGTTTTCAAAGCTTTACTGATATCTTCTAAATCCATTACTGCAGTTAGATTGATGACTGGAAATGCCAAACAAAATTATCCTCTGTATACAAATGCACATGCTTTGACCTGTTCTAATTAGTCAACTCTAGTTCAAGTAGAAATGCTTAAACACTTTATTACCATCTTTCCTCATAGAAAATTTCAGAATATTGTGGCTATCCAAAACATTCATTTTTCACCGAAGTATCTATTATATATGTAGAATAAAGGCATTCAGCAAAAATAACATTTAGGAATTCTCTCATATTATCTGCAAATAATTAGGAAAAAAAATATGTTTTATGTAGAAGGGCATAGCCCCATGTAGAAGGCAAAAAGACAAAAATGCTGGGTAATTCATAGAGCTTTTGAGCTATGAAAATCTACTCATATTGCCCAACTCCACTTATTCTATAAATATAGGATGCTAGGCCGGGCGCAGTGGCTCACGCCTGTAATCCCAGCACTTTGGGAGGCCGAGGCGGGAGGATCACGGGGTCAGGAGATCAAGACCATCCTGGCTAACATAGTGAAACCCCATCTCTACTAAAAATACAAAAAAAAGTAGCCTGGTGTGGTGGCACGTGCCTGTAGTCCCAGCTACTCAGGACGCTGAGGCAGGCGAATCGCTTGAACCTGGGAGGCAGAGGTTGCAGTGAGCCAACATCGTGCCATTGCACTCTAGCCTAGGCAACAGAATGAGACTCCGTCTCAAGAAGGAAAAAAAAAAAAAAGGAATGCTAGTGTTATTTTTTTCTTGCACTTAGAGACTTGATAAGGACTAGTTATCTAATATCTGTATGTTTTTAGAAGTTGTTGAGAGCAGTGAAATTACTAATAACAACCACCAAATGACATTAAACTTTATATGACATTTTCATACATTAGGACCAAGAGGACTTGTCAAAATTTAACAAATTAAAGAGAATTGATAAGGCTGTAGAAGGGACAATCCGTGTTTTGGAAGTCTTAATGTTTTTTAAAAATAGGAAAAATTCTGTAAGAAAAAAAAACAAATAAATTAGGAGTGAAGATGAACATTCATTTAAGATGAGAAAAAAAATCACCCAAGTGACAAATTACAAAAAGTTGACAAACACAAACATGAAATCCAGAAAAATAACATAATGGCTTTATTAATCACTGACTGCCGAATGTATCTCTTATAATACTTTTCCACAGATCTGTTTTTGGCTATTTCAAGCCTTCCTTCACCTTCCCCATTCACACAATTCTGGTGCAATGCACTGTAGGAGCTATCCAACCTGGGGCAAAATCTCAGGCCCTGCCCCTTAGCGTCCTAACACTCAGTGAGTCATGAAGCAGGTATCTCAAGTAATCTTGCAAGCCCATTTATTCCTACACCAGGATGACTAGCAACAGCTATACTTGGAAATTACTGCAAACTATTTAAGTATATACTGCTCAATCTAACCTAAATAAATGCATTCTCAACTTATCATTCCCTTTTAGCTAAACCTCAAAATTGCCTGCAGCCATATGAAGATAAGTGTGGCAGAAGGAAAATCAGAATGGTGAGAGACAGTACAACAAACCTATTGTGGTTAAAATATATTCCTTTTGAAAATTTTACAAACAAAAATGATTGCGGCACATGGTAAAGCTCCCACTAGGGGAAGTAAAAGGCCCCAAAGCTTAGGCTTCATTAGGTTCTTGATAAAGCTTTGTCTGCAGAAAGAAGCCATCCTCATCAAAAGGAACTACCTCTACACTAAAACATGCCTAGCATTTTCTTTTAAATGGACTTAATGTAGATAACACTGATAGGATGAGAAAAAAAAAAAAGTGCCATTGTTCAGGGAGTATATGATGGATGGCCAAATAAGGAATAAGATGGGTTTATTACCTGTGGATTGAGGGATCATATGTGCTGCTTTGGTCAATGATGCCTTTTGATACCATTCCTGTTTTATGGTTGGTCATGGATAATGTTGCCATCCATGAAAGAGCATGGCTGAAAAAAAAAATCAGTGTCATGTTTCCCACATCTGTGTAGGGAGTCCTTCCTCTTTGAAGACTCATTCATTTTAGATGCATTGTTGACAGGTTTCACCACCTGGGGCACATCAGAAACACCCTTTCAGACTCTCCTACACGTCACCAATCTTACCCCTGCAAGAAGAACTGCTTAAGCAGTGTTTCAGCATTTATTTTTGCAAGCCATTCATGAGTTTAAGGAGAAACTAAACCAAAGAACAAAGGCATGGACCATGCCACTATGATAAGTAACCCAGGTAGCTGGGTGGTGATGCAACCTGCATGAGCTTGTGTGGGCTGAGCTCTGAGACTGTACTTCAGCTGGGGTTTAAGAAGGATTTTCCAAGCATTTTCCATATATAGCATCTATGCTGGGCGCCAGAATGAAAAACAGCAATGGCCAAGACCTGCTTGCCCTCATCAGCCTCCACATTCTATGAGGTAGAGGCTGATAACAAATAGACAATTTTAATATAAAATGGTGGCTTGGCTAGCTCAGCAGTTCTGCTGGGAATCTCTCCTGACACATTGGCTACGAGAGAACCATGGGAGACCTTGATGTGATTATTAAGGCAAGTAGATGTAACGTCTGTGGCCCTTTAAACCGTGTCCTCTCCAGTGAAGCCAGAGAAATGTCTCTCAGAGTACTTTGTGGTTACTTTAGGAGCTTTTTGCTTTTGATGCTAGTAGGAAAAATCACAGCAAGTCATGATGCCTGAGTTCTTGACCTGAGTAATAGGTCCCTTCTAGAAGCCTCAGTGATTGCTTCTCCGCATGCTAAGTGATGTCAGACCAAGTCAGATGAGGCCTCTCTCATCTCTGGAAGAGCTTGGTTCCACTCTGTAGGAAGAGAATGCTTTGAGCTCTCAGAAGGGAGCCATGGCAAGCACCCATAAGAATTTGCAGTCATCATGAAGATGGCATTTAGCTAAAAGCCTCAAATGTATGGCATGGAAAAGCCATGTTGCAGTGTGCAAGAAACTTGTTTCAGATATGTTTTGCCGTTCTCCCACCTGCCTTACTCCAATATATTAAAGGGTTGCATCTCTCAAACTAAAGCAACAAAGAAAAATGGGAATGCTACACACATTTTTTGACCTGTTGTTAAGTCTCAAGTTCAGTTGTAGGTGCTTGGATTACAACAGAATAAAAAAAGACAAAGACCCCTCAGAGGGCTTACACTCCAGTGTCAGGGTCAGAAGACAAACAATAAACATTTTAGTTATAAGGTGATAAATACTATGGAAAAAAGAAAAGCAACAGACAAAAGAGTTTGAGGGGTATGAGGAGGAGTTGGGGTAAGATTTTAAATAGGGTGATCTGGGTAGGCATTACTGAGGAGGGCATATTTGAAGACATACTTAAAGAAGGGAGTTTATAATCCATGAGGACAGTGGTAGTGAGGATGAAAGTGTTCTAGGCAGAGGGAACAGACAAGGCAAAGACTTTAGGGCAGCAGCACATTCAAGTACTCAAAAAACCTCAAAGAGGGTAGTATGGCTGCCCCACAGTGGGTAGGAAGAAGCATAGTAGGTGTTACAGACTGAATTGTGTCCAAATTCATATGTTGAAGTCCCAACCCCTAGTACTGCAGAATGTGACCTGATTTGGAAATAGAGTAATTGCAGATGCCATTAGTTAAAATGAGGTTATACTGGAATAAGGTGGGCCCCTAATCCAATATAACTGTGTCCTTATAAAAAGAGGAAATTTGGACACAGAGATAGACATACTCACAAAGACAATGCCATATGAAGACTGGAGTTGTTCTGCCAGTCAAACAGCTATCAGAAGCTAGGAGAGGAGCTAGGAACAGGCCCTTCCCTAGCACCAACAGAGGGAGCAGGGCCTGCTGACACCTTGATCTCAGACTTCAGCTTCTGGAACCATGAGACAACTTTTTGTTGTTTAAACCATTTAAGTTTGTGGTACATTGTTCCAGCAGCCATAGCAAAGTAATGCAATAGGCAATCAGGCCAGAGAGAAAGTGAAGGACCAGATGATGAAGAGTCTTACCGCAGGGACTTTAAACAAGGAGTTATTACAGCATTTTGAGTGAAGGAGTGATATGATCTGACTAAAGCCTGAGTTCTGGAGCAGTTCGATTTTATGAAGTCACAGAACATAGGTGGACATGGCAAAGGAGCCACCAGTGATGTGGCAGGAAAACCAGGAGCATGTATAGCAAAGAAAGCTCATGGTGTTTTTCAAACTAAAAATATGGTCAGTTGGTATTATAAAAGCAGACCACTGCTGGTGGATCAGGGACAAGTACTAAGACGGAAATCCAACAAGTTCACTAACTTCTTCAAAACCAAACACAAACTAGTTGAAAAACTTTAAAAATTTCTTAAATTCATAGGGTTCATTATGATTAGTGGAGTTTTAAAATATTCTAAAATTGAGTTATTAGCAAGAAAATAAAAAAAAATCCTGGTCTCAGTACATAGGTCTTCTATTTGTGCTGAGTAGAATTACTTTGAATTACTAAGAAGGGATTCCTAAGATAATTTAAAATGACAGAAGTCTCAGAATCTAGTTTGGATTGAGAAAACAGTTTAAGTCAGTCAAATCCATGGCTCCTAGTTTATGTGACACAGGTTCTTTAGAGAAGTCCTTAACACCACTGCCTGGCATCCTCCTGCATCCCTAAACTCCCTACCTGTAGGACTTATGCAAAAGGGAAATTTACAGTTAGTACCATAGTCCCAAACAAACTAAATAAGGTAAGTCTAAGTTAACTCAGAAAGCCTAGACATACAGACACACAGAACAAGTTAAATAATCCCAAATCCAGTTATTCAAAAGCTGCGACCGTACAAATGGGCTAGATTGGTCTAGCCTGATACCTGTAAGTACAGACGCTGAAGCCAGCCTGCCTGGATTAGAATCCCAGCTGGACAGCTTAATACCTACGAGATTTTGAGCAACTTACTTAATTACTTTGTTCCTCAGTTTACATATCTGTAACACAGGAATAATAATAGAAGCAACTTCATAAGGATTATGTTAATTAATATTTATAATAGGCCTAGGAAATGCTTGGCACTCTGTAAATATTATGTAAGTATTTGTTAAATGCGTAATTATATATTTCCTAGGAAAGAGTATTGATGAACAAATAAAAAACATAAAAATGGCTAAAAAGGAAGAGACTTCATATATTAAAGCCAAACTTTTCAGGCTCTTAGAATGTTTGCCTCCAGAAAACAATATGTATGCTAATCATAACTACTCATAACTAGGCCTGTGTGTGCAACTTGCTCACAGAATGGGTCACCTACTTTGAAAGTTTGGACATAATAGATTTTTATAAACTATAGAAATGTAAGGTGAAATATCTTAAGCCATGTATCTAAATAAACTGAAATAGAACACTTTCCAAGCAAAGCAGACGGCTTTCTCCTCAACTTGAATTAGCAGTGATGATCAGTGTACCCAAACAAAAATGTTAGCCTTGCGCAAGGGACTGCGCTCAGACTTCACATGAATGCCTCCTTTAATCTTTACAATAACCTCACGAGGTGCATCTTGCTATCATCCTCTACAGAAAGATGAAGAAATGATCTCAAAGAGGTTAAATATCTTTTCTACCTTCACACCAGCTAAAATGTGTGCTGCTTCATTTGCACCAAAGTCCTGCTCTCATATTGCTCAACCTGATCTCTGAGATCCCTGGCTCCTTCCTCACCCTTCCTGGCAAGCATCGGCGTCCTGGATCTGGCCTGTTGCCATACTGCTGCAATCTCAGAGCCAAATGGAAAAACCAATCCTGTTGATAACTGTTTCCTTGAGAACAGTGCTCTAACTGCTACAAAACTGAAGAGAACATAAAAGGGGTTCCTGATGTATCAATGAGTGAGCAGCACATTGTATTTCCTTGAGGGACACACATTTCCACTGGGGAAAGGGAAGTTACACAAAAGGGACTAAAATCACATAAATAAAGGTGGCAAGGAAACTCTAACACATTTTAGTAGTATGAGGAATAATTATGATTATAAACATTTTGAAGCTGCTGGTGACACTTGCTTATTTTCCTGAGGTTAAAATCCATTTTGGTCAGAGGGGCAAGGACCATGATACTGGAGATCTATTAAGAAGAAGTATCAAGAATTACTAGTAGATATTGATAATAACTGAGAATTTCTATTGAGAATATCTGCCATTTCAAATAAATGTGGCACCACTTGAATTTCGTCCAAAGTTACCTGCAAAATACACATGAATTTCATCCAAAGTTACGTGTGTAACACAAACACTCTTCGTCCCTGATGGAGAAGTAGGCCAGCCTGCCTCTGCTAGCACTGTAAGTTGTTTCTATTTTTTTCTCTCTCCATTCCCTGCCTAGAATGGAGAGAATCAATTCCACAAACCAGCAAGCTAAGGGGAAAGGGTAAAATTTAATGGGAGAGTGATAATTCGAGTTGTTTGTGAATGATAGGTACATCCAGCAGGTTCACTTAATAGACAAACTTTGTTAGCAAAACTGCTTATTCAAATTACCAGAGGAACTAGGTTTCTTGAACCCATAAATGGTTCATTGCAAACATGCCCATTATTCTAAATTCCTATTAATTTTTCAATTCCCAGTTGGATCCAGCTGCCTTCAAAGGCACATTTCTATTTGCAGTTGCTGACACTCTGTAGAAATGGCTAATAATTTCATCTAACTGTGGGACACTAAAAATGTGACAGAATTAGCTACAGATGTACTTCATCCAGCCACAAAGAAAACATGGCTATGCCGAAGAGAGTGTAATCACCTTTCTGACGTGGGTAAATTGTCTCTCTGCAGAAAGGAGAGCCTACTAGCAAGAATACCAGTCTTTCATTTATTGGTTTGTTTGTTTTTTGAGAAAGGGAGAGAAAAAGTTGTGGGCTGTCAAGTAATTGGAGTCATATGGGAAATTTGGAGTCATACTCTAGTAAGTAGCATTGAGTAGGCTAAGAAATCCCCAAAGGGATCTGCATGCAATGGTCAAAAACAAACCACAAAATCAAAACATAAGCTGGGATCATGGAAAAGAGACAATTAGATCCAAGACCTGTTGACTTGTCTGCTGAATCTTTCACTGTGTTTTAGAGCATCTGAAAATAGAATCGGTTGAAAGAAGCTGTTCTCACATAGTGTTGGCCCAATTATCTTTCAATCTTTCAATCTCTCATAAATCTAGGTCCTCATGGTTCTCCCAGGTCTCTGAGCAACACTTCAATTGCCTCTACCCCGTTCCCCAATAAGTGCTAGTGTGTGGTGCCAGAAATTATAAATAAACTGTTATGGCCCCCACTCATAGATTATTTACCTAAAAGGCATTCAAGTGTCAAGATATCATCTTAGTTTCTGTACCTTAGTAAATGCCAGTGCACAATTCCCAGGAAATGGAGAACTACTCTACCCCAAATAAACCTGATGGGAGAATAGCAGTGTGATTTAGCTAGACATGCAGACTCACTTCAAGGAACTGGGAAGGTAGAGCTCCAATTAGAATGCTGGCCCACATTCTAGGGAAGAGATACAGGCCCAAGCCAGTAACAGCAGGGTATGTGTAAGCCTCCATGAAACAGATAATGGGCGTGCAGACCTATGGCAACAGTGGGCACAGGCCTTAGATATTGGTGCATCAATAATCACATATTTTAGTCTGATCTAATGGCAGACCTTTCTCCAGGCCAAGGTGGCTCAGCATGGAAGACATACTGGATTAGGGAGAACATGTTGAAGGTGAAAGAGTATCTTAACTATGAGACAATGCTGGTTAGAGAGCACGAGATTTGGAGTTAGAGAGATTTGGTATAATTACTAACTTCACTATCTTCTAGCACTGTGTCCTTGGTACATGTCTAATGTCAGGTTCCCCAGATGCAAAGCCTGAGGCAAAGGCTAGGATATACCCAGTTTATTGAGGGAATACTCTCAGGAAAGACACATAAGAGAATAAGGGAAGCAGGATTGAGAAGGAGAGAGAAAGCTGAGAAAAGACATGGTTTCTGGTAAAGTTTAGCCTTGGCCTGATCCACAGGGGAAGTTAGGAGGCAAAGTGTACCCACAGAATTGTCCTTGCCTTAAGTCAAAGGAGCTGGCTTTTATCGGTTAGTCATTGGATCTAGCCCATAGGTGGGAGAGGAGGAAAAGGTGGCTAACCTCCTGAGCTAGGCAGCACCCACTAATGAAGGGCAATTATCCAAGGAAAGGGACAGCTATGTGTTTTGTGGCCAATGCTCCTAGCAGCTATGGGATGGTCCTATAGCAATCTGGATCCAATCCGGATAAAGATGTCACATGGTAAATTAAACAGACAACATTTAATATAGAGAATTATTAACTCTGATAAAAGTGTAACTATATATTATCCTAGGGCTTAGGGAAAAAATCCAAGGAAGGGCAAACTTAGAGAAAGTGCAGTTCAGCTCCCAACGTCGTAGAGAATTACATAGGTATGGCCAGGCCAGAGGTGGTCTGGAGTTGCTGGGCCAGCAATAGGCCATCACCCTCTAGAGTGCTGAGTGCCAGCCCAGAGCAGATGATCAGCAACTAATCCCACGGGCAGGCGGGGGTGGTAGAAGCCCAGGTGCTGTCAGCAATAGGAGCACTTCAGTGGGTGCTAGCCATGCCTACCTCTGGTTTCTGTGTCAAGAAGGCTGAGGAGAGACTATGGCCATGCTGAAGCTGCAGGCTTGCAGAGGGACTGTGTTTTGACCTTGATACTGGAGTAGACTTCACTAGATGTCCTCCTACCCACATGGCCAATACCAGGACCATTCTGAAAAAGCCTGCAAAGCCTTTTCCTCCTCTATTGTCCCTCTAGCACCCTCTACTGAGAACGATTAACATTATGCTCTCTTTAAAGGGGAAGTACTTAAAGGAATTCCGTTATCACTGAGCATATGCTGAAGACTGCATTCTGAGCTGAGATGCAATAAACAGATGACTGAAATAGTACCCCAGGCCAGTAAAGACATATCAAGATGACTACTGGTTTTTGGCCCAAGCAACTAGAAAAAATAAAGTCTCAATTCAAGAGCTGAAGAAAACTGGGGGATTGGGGAAGCATTTTGGTGGGAAAGAGAAATCAAGGCTTTGTTTTTTGATATTAATCAGAAATGCCTACTAGACATCCTAGGGGGGAAATACCCAGTAAGCAGTTATACATGGGCCTCGAGTTCAAAAGAGAAGAGGCTGTTCCAGAGATACAAATTTCAAAGTCCTCAGTTTAGAGATGTATTTAAAGGCTTGAGACTGATGGGATCACAGAATGAGGTGCATATGGATGGAAAAGGGGACAAGTTCAAAAACAGAGTCCTAGAACACTCCTATTAAAAAAGATAGGATTGCAATGTTGTCTTAGGTTTCATAGAGGAAATATCCTCTTTAATTTAAGAGAAATAGATTACTCGTAAAGGCAATGAGTTCCTGTTCCATGTGCACAAGCAGCACTTGTTAACATCAGTAAAGGATGCTGTAGAGATTCCTACATTGGGTGCAAAGAAGGAGTCTATGATCTCCAAGCTCAAAGCCATCAATATAGAAGATAATTAATGAGAAATTGAGAGACTTTTAATTAAAGACCTGCCCTAAACTTGCTCTGTGGCTTTATCAAATCATGAAACTCCCTTAGTCTTCAGTTTTCTCATTGAAAAAATAAAGGAGTTGGATGAGATATTCTTTAAGATTCTCTTCTGAGACCCAAAAGTCTATAATTATTAGGCATCCATTTTTGTGCTACTTAACCCAGATGTTACAAAACCCAGCTACAGAAAAAATACAAAGTGATTTAACTGAAGAATTGCTGATATGCTCAAAATTAATTAATTAGATTCTTGGAGTCTGACAAAGGCAAATCCTTTCCAGGTAGTTCCTGAATTATCTTTGCCAGAGCTCCTGTTCCCACTTCCACTCTGAGGTGGTGCAGCTGTACTTCTGTACTTCTGTGATAAGCTAAGGCAAAAGAAGAAAATTTAGCTCAATTCAAACAGTATGAGCCCCAACCACGAGACAAGTACAGTGCTAGATGCCTTGAGACATGTGAACAGGCCTTTTCAGGATTTATAAACTAGTCAGTAAATGGCCAAGTAAATTCTAATGAAGATAAGAATAAATTACTACCCAGAAATACATAGTGCTGGCTGTGTGAAGGCCAAAGAGGACATCAACCATCTGTTGGAAAGTGGGGCTCACACAGATAAAGCTGGTATTCACGTTGGGGCTTGAAGATCAAGAGAGTTGCCAGGTATGTTGAAGAATAGAAGTTTTGGAGTCAAGTGGGTCTGGGTTTCAAACCCAGCTCTATTAGCTGTTAGCTGTGAGACCTTTGGTGAGAATATTCACTCTTAAAATCAAGGTAATACTTTTCTCTTAATGTAGTTGTGATGAAAGATGTAATAATTATATTTAAGATGCTTAATAAATATGTGAAATCTGAGAAGGAATCAATAAACCACAGCTATTACTATCTGGATAAAAGAGGTGATAATGTAATCCCAAGAGAAGGAACACCATGAATAAAGCTCATGAGTCTAGCATTCCCTGATCTTCTGACCTATTCACAACCAACCAGTCTTTCTAATCTTATTCTGGCTACTGTCCATCATGACTCTCCTTGTTATCACATGGAGCTACCTATCATCCTCAGTGTTCTCCCAAATTCAGTGATTAACATACCACCCAAACACATTTTGTCCTAACACTAGTACTATTATTTGTCTCTACTTTTCCTTAAGTTGCCTAAGGTTTTCCTTAAATACATTTATTTGATGAAAACATTTCATACCACAATTTTAAATGGAAATCCAGCATGACTTTCCATAAGATTAAGAGAACTAAAAAATAAATGCGATCTGAGATCAATTTTATTATAGTTACCGTTGTCTGACACAGTCTTGGAGCCTGAGGCCTGCTGGCTATGTGTTAAAGAATAGGGGGAATGAAGAGGAACTGGCTAGCTAGCAAGTAAAGCAAGGAGTTAAAATATCAGACTGAGGTCTATTTTTTCCTGAGTAAAAAAAATTTTGAAGAGAATTGGAAAGAGAAAACTTTCTCACTGATGGTTCAACATTATTTAATGTTACATCTGTCTACTGTGCATATCAGCAGTGGTACAGAGACTACGCCTTGAGAAATACTGCCTTTGTTCACACCATCCTGCCTTTTTAGTTTATCCCAATCCTTCACATCTTTCAATGCTTCCTCCAGCCCCACCTCTTCCATGAAGCCTGCCCTGACTATTCCAATCAACAGACAAGTAGGCTCTCCATCTTTTAAATCAAAATACTTGGTGTTAGCAAACCTATTTGGAAATAAATCATGCACTTCTACATGGCATCTGTTCTTTGACTGTCATACTCACATATTGCTCTTGCATTTTTATCATTGTATATGTTTTTCTTCTGCCTCCCCAGTGTAAGTCATTATGGGTGGAAACTATGTCTTTTCTTTTCACCCACAATACCTTTCTCTCATGTACTTTAAAAAATGAGAAGCATAAACGTATGTAGAAAACTAATGAAAATATGTGGTCAATGGGACATCATGTATTTATGACTGTATAGGAGAACTGAAACAACCTAGATGAAGGCTAAGGATAGTGGCATCAACTAGGCATTATTGAAATAAAAATATTTGAATATTGGATAGTATGCAAACATCTTCCTAATTTCAGGTTCATATGGATGTGAAGAAGGAAGCTGTCAGCACTAATGCAAAAAGCTCATCATACTTTCAGGGTCCAATATTAACAGGGCTCTGCCCAGATGGTGCTGTCAGAGGAACCTACTTTGTATTCTCACCATCATCCTTCATTTTTATCTCTCATTTGATTCACTGGGAAATATGAATGACTCCTATTTGAACATATGTGACAGCCCGGTTTTTCTAATCAAATTTTTTTTTTTTACTGATAGGTTTATGAAACTTAACCTTCTGTAACACTAAAGCAGCCATTTTACAATGTGTCAGAACCCTCCACAACAGAATTTCAGGAGTAAAAGGACAATCTTGATGAAAGCAATATATATTTTTTTAAATGGGCATTCAGGAAGTGTGATGCACAAGAAGATAAAATATGAAAATGAATTCTCTTACATCTTACACTTCAAATGAGATTGAAGCACCAAAAAGAAGGCTTTATTCACCCTGGTGGTAGGGGTTTTGTGTTATTTTCTTACTAAGTCCTATGTAACAATTAGGATGTTAATCATCCCACAGCTAAGTATACAATTGGAAGGATACAATTTCATTTTATGCATTTGGGTAATATCACTTTGGAGAGAATCACATAATTGAAAAAGAAAAAAGTAGAAGAAAGAAAAAAAACATCGAGAGCCTTGTGCTGCTGGTCCATCTCTGATCTTTCTCTCTTAATTTTAAAATGTGATGGCAAATCTCTTCACTCACAAAATGTTTCCTAGAAATAAATGGAAATTAAATGGCTTTCCGAGAAATAAATAAGAAATTCTAAATAACCTTTTATTAGAATGGGAAGAGATCTTGCAGACTGCCTAATTTAAACTTCACATTGTACAAAGAGAAGACCAGAAAAGAGTATATAAATTGTCTAAGGTCACTCAGTGACTTTTGGCAAAGGGAACTCTGAAATGCAGGCCTCTCAAGCCAAATATCTAGCCTTGGTTTATGCAGTATTTCCGCCCCCAAAAAAATCTCTTCCCAAAGCCCACTTGAGGGCTTACCTAGGGACTACACATTACACTGAGGAAGGATAACTCAAAAGGTACCTATAACTCTCCCAGGAATCGTCCTGCCAGATCTTTAAAAAGCACCTGAATCCTGTCTGAATTCTCTTCTTGGCAAATGGAGTGAACAGGCAGTGCCTCCCTGTTAAGTTTCATGCTACCATTGACAATACATACACCTCCCTATAAGCAAAGCTGATTTTTGTTCAGAATCTAGTAAACGGAGCTGTGCTGTGTATTCATAGCAGATGTGAAGGCACAATCATTTGCTTAATTCTGCAGGGGAGTTCAAATATCTTGGATAATTTAAGGTAGTCTACATGACTGGTTTGAATGCTTTACAATGTAATAGTCAATCTCTGAGTGAGTGTTAGAAACCCTACGAAAATCCCAAAGACTAAATTAGCTTTGTTTAGAAGAACCTACTTCATTTTAAAATGATCCAAGTATTTTCTTAAATTTATCAGCATTACTTTCTAGATAAACATAACTCCTTGGCCTCAGAAAGTAAAATAACATTTTCCTCAAGAAGTAGAAATCATTTTCCTACATGAGAAAAGCATGTTTTAGTGATTTATTTTCATTAGTAACTTCTAAGCACTAAAAAGACTTGGTTTGCATGTGAGGGCAATCATTGTGAATCCTTTTAAGTAAAAAATGCATAATGCTTTAAAAGCTATTGCCAAAGCAGTTAAGGGATGGGAACTGAGAAGGTGTAATATATATTTTACACATTTATTTACTCCTTTATGGCTATACATATATATTTATACTTTGCACACATATATTTGTGAATATTATAATATGAATATATATGTGAACTGTGTAGTCTATATTTATATACTATATATAGACAGGAGAGACAGGTATAGATATAGACATAAATATAGATAGATATAGATATACATATATCCTTGTGATTTTGTTTACTGAACAAGGAAAGTATGAAAAATATCCCTGGGATCCAGAAATATGAAAGACCTGACATCTCTTGATCCCTTGCTTTAACATTGAGCTCCTGTGAAAGGCAAATTCAACCCCCGTTTTCCCGTCTTTTCTACCCATAAAGAGGAAAAATTTCTCTTTGGAGTATTACCAACATCAACACAAATAGGAAGAACACCATATCTGCCATAAGTCTCTTTTGGCTTTCTTAATTCCCATGGATCTCTCCTTTCCTTAAATGCTTTCCACATTTGCACCGAACTTAATGGTGCTCAGCATTTTATTGTCCTCTTATTAATTTATATGGGGTTCCTTCTCACCAATGGGCTTGGAAATATCTGAGCATAAGGACTATAATTTATTATTTATGCCTTATGGTAGCCAGCGGTGTATTAATAGTATTTGATTAATAGTATCAAATCATAACATCTTGATTGAGAATCACACACCACTCTTTTCAATTTTTTAAAGTTGTTGAAAACATATATCCAAATGGAGTTAGGATGTTAATTTAATTACAAAGAGAGAGTGAATTTATTCTTTGGTAAGACTCAGACAACTTCTGAACAGATTACATATATTTTATCATATATTGAAGATGTGCAATAGGAATAAACATAACAACATTTGAAATGTTAAATGTGTACTTTCTGATAGTAAATACAAATAATAAATATCTTCTTATGAATAAAACATAATGCAATATTTTGCAAATTGCCAGCATTTTGCTTAGCTCCTTTTTCCCAACATTGACAAGAAGAGTACATGACTAATTTCTTTAAATTGTGCTTGAATCTTGGGAAATGAATTTCTGTAGTATTTAGCATCTGACACTCTCAACTTGTGGAATAAGCAGATAAACAGGCAAAGGCTGTAAGTGCTAGAGTTTTATTAATTCAACTGAAATTAACATCTTATTTTAATAATTCTTAGAATTGCCAGTTGATATTAACTAAACTGAGCACCCTGAAATACATTTTTTTTTAAATCTTGAAATCCATACCAATTACATTAAAATTTCACACAAGAAAACATTTTTTCCCTCTTTGATATCTAGAACACATTCTGCTGGTGATGAGTTGAATATCCACTTTTTATATTTTTGGTGAGAAAAGCCATTAACTATGAGACAGCTGTTCACAGTCTTCTAGACACAACTTGGCATATTTCAAGACACACAAATGATCATTTATAAATTAAATGAGTCCAATTACACATTGCACTTATTTTGTCACTGGCTTAATTCAGCTATCTACTTGTTCATACTGCTATGAAAAGGAACGTCATAAAAATATAGCCCTGGAATGTCTATTCGTGAGAGTCTCAAAAGACTTGATATATATTAACAGATTATTTTGTATTATCATAAAGTGATCAAAGAAGAAGCATTAATTATGTCCACTTTCTTAGGTATGGTATTGATATAATATTATAATCAAAGACTATTTGAATAATCTAGGCCCACAGATCCACTTTATTTTCTTAAAAGAGATCCTTTATTCAGTATAATTCATTATGATTCATTTATTGATTCTTTCATTCATCTGGCAAACATTTTTTGAATACACACTATGTGTCAGCCACCAAATCTACAAAAGAAAATAACAGTCTTCATATAGTATTGTATTTTCTGCTCAAACTGCTATCTCCAAAAATATATTTTATTTCCTATTTGAATGCCCCTTTCTTTACCATTGTTACTAAGACACTTCCTTCCCAAAAAGCTCTTTTTTTACCCCTGATGCTTCATTATCTTTGATAAGTTTCTCTCCTGCTGTATACTCTTCTATTTATGTTCCCAAAAGTTCAATTGCCGGCCCACTTGTTTTGCTTTTCTACACACCTCCTTCCTTATTTTTACTAACAACACCCAAATCTTTTTTTCAAGACCAAACTTCTTCATGGAGTTTCAGGTATGCATTTTCCACTGACTGCCAGACCCATTTGCCTGGAGGTAACTCAGGCACCCCAAATTTCAAGTTCAAAAACCAAACCCGTGATTTCCTCCAGTCTCCCTGTCTTTGTCTTGCTCTTTCTCTTCTTCCGATATTTTCCATCCCAGTATCTCTCAAATTATCTGCCATATCTGGCAGGCTTTTCTCTCTAAATTCTTTCTGCATTTGGTTCTGATTTCATCACCTGTCTTTCTTCCTTCAGTTCATCCCCTGGGTGATTCATCCAAAACACTGGTTCTCAACTTAGGGCAATTTTGCTCCTCAGGGGACACTGACAATGTCCAGAACATTTTTGAATGTCACAACTGGGTAATGCTACTCTTATCTACCGGGTATAGACTAGAAATATTGCTCAAAATCCTATAAGGTACAGGATAACACCCCAGCCCCCATAAGATGACAAATAATTATCTGGTTAATAGTGCTAAGGTTGAAAAACCTTATCTAGAATAAAAACTAACTATGTCATTATCATCCCCACCACTTAGAACCATTTTAATTGTCTTTCAAGCTTCCTGAAATTTCATAAAAGTCCTTGCATGACAGATCCCAGCCTTCCACTCCAGTTCATCTACTGCCCAGAATGCCTTTCCCCTTATGCTTTTGCAGGCCAGATACTTGCACACACGTTTATAGCAGCACAATTTGCAAATGCAAAATGTGGAACCAGCCCTAATGCCCATCAATCAACGAGTGGATAAAGAAACTGTGATGTATATAGATAGATATATATATATCTATATATATCAATCAGTTATATATATATATAACTGTGGTATGTATATATACATATATATATAACTGTGATATATATATATATATACACACACACCATTAATATATATATACCATTAATGACATTCACAGCAACCTGGATGGGACTGGAGACTGTTACTCTAAGTGAAGTAACTCAGGAATGGAAAACCAAACATCCTGTGTTCTCACTCCTAAATGGGAGCTAAGCTATGAGGATGCAAAGGCATAAGAATGATACAATGGACTATAGGGACTCAGAGGAAAGGGTGGAAAGGGCGTGAGAGATAAAAGACTACAAACTGGGTTCAGTGTATACTGCTCAGGTAATGGGTGCACTAAAAATCTCACAAATCACCACTAAAGAACTTAAGTAACCAAATACCCCCTGTTCCCCCAAAACCTATGGAAATAAAAAATAAATAATAATTTCCCACCACACTGTTTGTCACCTTTATGCCTCTGCTCATACTTTTTATGCTTCCTGGAATGCCCTTCCCTCCCTTCTTTTCTTTGGTTAATTTCATACATATTTTTAGACTTTTCACAGAGATCTTCCTTGATGCTATTACTGCTCCCCACCACCCCAGGTCAGGGTGGATGCCACTTCTATGTATTCCTGTAGTACACTGAGCATGTTTCTATCAGAAAATTAGTGGGGTGGCTTTCAACAAATCTATGTGTAACTATACCCCCTTGCTTGAGTGTAAGGGTGGTGTTTTATCAGTTTTCTCTGAACCCCAGTGCCTGGCTTATAAGTATTCAATAAATATTTGTTAAAATTAACTAGAATAGTTAAGTAGAGTTTGACTGACTATATACACCTGAAGATCAGAACTTTATTAGCATAAGAGTAACTCTAGGATATTTTCTAAATTCTCAGAAAAGAACTCATCTTGCCCAAAGCAGTGGAATATAAGCAGAAATCTAGCTATATTGAAATATAGTTTTTGGCATCAAATCTCTACATTAGACTATAAATAACTTAAGATCAGGGCCAGGTTCTCATTTTTTTTGCCATTGAAATATATTAAAAATATGCATTTATCAACTATTAGTTAGATATATGAAAGAGTGAGTGGATGGATAGGTAGATAGATAGTTGGGTAGGTGGATGGGTAGTTGAACAAACAGGTAAGTAGATGACTGGTTTGGTGGGTGGGTGGGTGGATGAATGAGCGAATAGACAGCATAAACACTGTATTCTTTTGATCTCTATTTTGGTTTCTTTTGTATGACCATATGCCCCCTAATAGGTATAGGAAACACTCTTTGTACTTCTTCATTTGACATCCTTGTCCATGTATTTGTCCTCCATGTTGACAAGACTCAGGAAGATCAAGCGCAAAGATTTCTGAGAGCATCTGAATGAAGAGTTCAATATTTAGAGTTCATTAAAAGCATCTTGATTTCATTTATAATGAATGGAGCTAAGATATCTTTAGGTCTTTCATTTACAATTCCATACCCTGACTGGGGAGTTGCTCTAGGCTGGTGTATAATAATTTTCTGCATTGTTTGGATTCCAATTATGGCTATCATAAAAATACTTCAGGCTAAAGAAAACATCTTTCAAGTGAGCGCATTATATTTTTTTACATTTACAATACATTATGCTTCCCTCCCCAACCTTGATATTTTTTTCTCCCAACTTGTTTAAAATGTTTTTGTTACATGCTTTTTAAAAACTATTTTGGCTAAAATATGAATCTTAGAAGGAAAGAAAAATTGATAACCACTTACCTGAAAGTAGGTCTGTTTATTTTTAAATCGCGTTCAGAACACACACACACAGACACTCTCTCTCTCTCTCTCTTCCCCCACTCCCAGCAAGAGAGAGTACCATAGTTTAAAGCTACTATTTTCAACTTCAAATCAATTAGCAGTAGACAGCTGTGTAGGGGTTCTTATCCAGCCACCTCTAAGAACTGTTCCATTATAGAGAAATGGGCTCTCACAGACACATTAGTTTATGTAATTCATTCCCAAGATCACACATGCTTATGACAGAGGAAAGACAGAGACAGAAAGTAGTAGCTTCAGTTGCCGGTAGAATCAAGTTCCTGGTCCTAGCCATTATGAGCAGGGAGGCCATGTGATTTATCATCCAAATCAGATGATATTTAACATGATATTTAACAGTGAATGGGAGCAATGCAAATAAATTATAATTTTTGAAATGATTAAAAATTGAAAATTTGGTTTTAAAATATATTGGTGAAGCAATAAAATGTACTATTCAATACCTATTCTCAAAATGAAATTCTTTCTAAAAATAAAATTGGCACTTATTTTACATAGTACATTAACATTAAAATATTTCTTAAATCTTATCTGAACAATAAACATAGCATAACAGTCACTTTCTGCTTCTAGTAATTGCATTGATTTTATCAAAGATGTTTTAGATTTTAAGAATGCTAAAATATTTAGAAAATATTAAAAAGCATTGTAAAACCTTTCAAAATATAGTGTAAGAAATTAGTCTAGAAAAAACATAAACAGAGGAAGCATTTTTGCACACCTTTATGTACTTTGAAGAGTTTCTTATCTATTTCTATCCCTACTACCATGTCACTAATATTATTTTGAAAATATGTTATTTCAATGTGGTGATATTATTTTTGCTTTTTTATAAAACTACCTGCAAACTTCCTCAAAGATGCATTTTTATGAATAACATATTAGAAATTGTGAACATTTTCAATTTACATTTTTTGTAAACCATAAAATTTTTAACTGCAAAATTTTCTCTGAGTTGTCTGGTAAGCAAAAAGCAAATTATGCTACATAAAATATGTTCTCAATTTTAATATTTCTATATTGAAATATGTAAACATTCTTATAGATTTTTTGCTTTTATTTAGAATATTTCCTTTGACAAATATTCTATAACAAAAAAGCATCAATAATTTGTCTCTATTCTGATTATTTTGAATCTTTAGCCAAATTTAAGTGCTTCAAATATATGAGTAACTCAAAGATGGGAGCTCTAACAAAACATCCTTCCCATTTCTCAAGATATTTTCAAGTGCAATTATAAACTTTCAAATTAAGTCTTCTACACAAGGGGGGCTCTCATTATTTAATTTGCTTAGTTTCTCCTTTTGTAATGATCCATTTTAATATGTTCCTGTTTGCATGCATTGTTCACAATAATTATAGCTTATTACGTATTCAAAATACAAATATATTGCTACTCCATTATTTGAATACTTTGGTTCTAAATTTCTAACTAATTTTGAACAAAATGCAAACAGTATTTGAAGTGGACACTGACACTTCTTCAGCAAATTTGTATCGTCGGGTGGTCAGGTGGTTAGTGATATGTGTGTAGTCCCCATAATGGGTGGTAAATGTCAACAAACTTTTTGTGCACATTACATGTTATCATCAACATTTTTTAATAACTATAAATTTAGTACCTAACATTTCAATAAACACATTTCTTTTTTTACTCTGTTATTGAAGCCAAAAGGGTTGATTCCAAAATAAAAAAGGTTTTCCAAACAATGCAATATAGTTATAGACATAAACATAAAAATAATAACAAAAAGTTACAGACTACTCTCTATAGAACAGGACTGTGCATCCTCTCTTTTCCATACATACTTCCCATACCAAAAGCATAATTTCTCATATTTCTTCCTAACTGCAATCATTGGTGGCTTGGCAGCTTTGTGCATCTGGCGCAGGAGTTAGCTGTTCTCAGCCCCTGAGGACTGAGAGGTCTTTGTATTATCGGCAAACACAATTCACATAGTCTTTGGAGGGAGACTGGAGTTGGAAAGGGTTGAGAATAGAGGGACAGGCTGGTCATTGACTATCAGATTTAACCACATGTTAAAATTAGAAATGACTTCATTGCACATGGGAATCACAAACTACTAGTTCAAATTATGGCAGGAGATGCAAACAAAGTAGAAATATATCAAACCCAACCCAGCTCATCTTAATAAAATAAATAATAATAACTTGTCCTTAAAAACTGAAAACTTCAAATACATGCTAAACCAGATAAAATGATGGGACAACAGGCATAAGCCAGGACCGGCCTAAGCAAAACAGGACATATGATTACCCTCCTCATGAAGTCCCTTTCCACTGCCAGCCCTAACTTAAGAGGGACATTTTTAAACCCAACTCTCCTAACTCAACGAATTTGGTGCTGCAAATACATTTATGAAGTGATACTGTTGGATTTTATCTCTAAAATTAGTGAGAAATCTGCCAAACTCAATCAATTGACCTTAAGTTTTACTTCTTAGTGTTATTCTGTTTTTAGAATGAAAAGGAAATTAGTACATTGTTTTCAGAGCAGTAGAAATTAACATCTAATGGTTTTGATCTGAAATGTGAAAGCCATCAACTTATCTCCCGAGTAATAACATAAGTATTAATAAAACATTTAAAGATATATTAGAATGGAACTTAGTGAAGCAAAAACTCATGTCTTCATGTGAGTGAGTTGAGATACCATGTACTTATTCTGTCTTGGACTGATAATTCAATGGATAATATCAGTATGGATAGTTCTTCAAGGTACCCAGGAGATTATTAAATAAAGGTGGGGGGCCCAGGTTAGTGACAGAAAAAATCAGATTTAAATAGGGCATTCATTAAGGTCATAGCTAAGGGCCATTGAGCTGTATAGCAGCTGGTGGAGTAGAATATAAAAAAAAGTCAAAAAAAGTATGTTCAAGTTCCCCCACTCTGTCACTATGATCCTTTCTCACTGTTAAACCACAGTTTTCTTATGTATAAAACGGACATACAGCATCCTTGGAGGAGAGAAGGCTGTGGGATTAAATGACACAATGGCACATAATTGACCTTTTAAAAACATTTGTTAAATTTTGAATGTTAGAAAACATCTAGATGACAATGAAAACTTGAAACTTGAAAAGGAACAAAATAAACATGTTGTGTTAAAAATGTTAGCAGCGTATATAAGTATTTACTATAATTTTCTTTTCTTTTTTTTTTTTTTTTTTTTTTTTTTTTTTTGAGGCAGAGTCTTGCTACTTCACCCAGGCTGGAGTGCAGTGGTGTGATCTCAGCTCACTGCAACCTCCACCTTCCAGGTTCAAACGATTCTCATGCCTCAGCCTTCCTAGTAGCTGGGATAACAGGTGCCCGCCCCCATGTCCAGCTAATTTTTGTATTTTTAGCAGAGACATGGTTTCACCATGTTGGCCAGGCTGGTCACTAACTCCTGACCTCAGGTGATCTGCCCATCTCAGCCTCCCAAAGTGCTGGGATTACAGGCATGAGCCACAGCGCCCGGCCGTATATACTACAATTTTAAGAGAATAACGGCTTATATATAATTTTTTTTACATACTTCAAAATATCCCAATGATTTAGTATGCTTATCCTGAGAATACATTCAAAATTAATAAAAAAGCAAAACTTTAAGGACAGAAATTTACTAATGAACTCTCACTATAAAAGTAACGGTTTGGGAGAACTTCGTGTATTAAAGTTTGATCAAAGTTTGATTTTGGGAGATTCATAGGTCAAAGCTACCATTGCTATAAACTGACAATAGTATATACCATAGGAAGACATCAAATCTTTAACAAAAATTAGTTAATAAAGATGAAGCTGAGCTAATGTTAATTTAAAAGTTTTTTTAAAAATAGGTAAAATTGAAAACCATGGTTAGCTAAAGATCACACTGATTATGCCCTGATAATAAAACATTCTTCCAGGAAAAAAAAAAAAGGTGGAAATCACAACTGTCTATGTAGTAAGAGCTTCACAATTTTGGTTGGGTGGCATAATATTCAGGGCTTTCAGTAAATTTTGAAGACATGCCAATTTTGTTTTAGAATATAAAATTTTATAAACTTTATTCATTTAATAGACTATTATTAGTTATCTCTTAATTCTCTTTAAAAACAGACACATAAAAACAAATAAACTACCAGTTATTTGTGCTTATGTTTCGGTCTGAATACATTTTCAGCCACATTTAGCAACTTCTCAAGATCATCTTTTATGTCAACATTATCTTGGAACTCATTTTATTTTTTAACTTTACTTTTTTCACCACTCTTACTTCCACCCATTTTTTCCTCTTGTTTTATTTTTTATGTAGAAAAAAATTTAATCACATAAAAATCAAATTTTATTTTAATCACTTAATAAAAGTAAATTTTATTTTTAATCACTTATTTGTCAGGCTTAGGAATTCATTGAACAAGATATTATATGCTTCAGTATCACAATAAAAACTTGTACCAAGATATTCACGTCACATAGGAATTTATAGCCGAGCAGTTTAAAAAGAAATCCTACTATGAACTTCTTCATAATGAACTGTGGCATTAGATCAGGAAATTTGCTGAATAAAACCCAGTTCATACGGATAGAAAGGACCACTCACTTTTTAAACTAAAACAGTAATATTTATGTCACATATTACCATGTTTCAGTAACACTATCTGCCATTTATCAATATAATTCTCAGTGATTTACATATTTTACTCAATATATCCAAAAGAAATATCTTGTTTATAAGGATAAGAGCTAGTCCCTTATAATTAGAAAATTTAGGTACTCATTGCTAAGACATTTAAAAACATATATCATTTTGTACATATATATTTATATGTACATAACATAAAAATATATAATACATCATATATTTTATTTATATAAAATTTAAATATATAGTTATTATATATGAATTGATTCTAGCAATGATCAAAGTACATTTCTGCTTCATGAATTACATGAATAGCAGTTTTTGTCCAGCAGTTTTTGTCACCACAAGAATTTTTGGTATTACAAGATGAAATACATATTTACAAATTGAGGGTAGTGTTCTTTTGTTACATGATTAAAAAGGATGCCTCTTAGGATGTGATGCCCTTTGTTTCTGATTACGATTTATGTAATATTAGTGAATAGCTTCTATAATGAAAGTTTATGCTCTGACATTTGTGGAACTTACTGTTCTAAAAGCACCCTGTCAGATGAAAAACAAAGGGTAGAATTAAGTTCAGTTCAACACATAACATGATTTATTTAAACGTGATTAGTCACAAATAACTATCAGACTTTATATATTTAGTAGGATGACACAGTACAATGAGTGTGATAATATGCAGCATGGTAAAAGTTAAATATTTGAGGGGAAGGTCTTCTTACAGCATATTTCCTATTTTATAATGTTCTTCCATAAATATGAAGCTACTATTGGCAGTTCTTGGTCAGCCAGTCAGTCTTTATCATCTGTTCACCTGACGCCTGCCACTGCTTGAGGTTCTGATTAGTTTGTGGCTCTTCCAGGCAGTGGCCTTGTTTGAAACCCCTCTTTTCTCATCCATTCTCTTTCTATATTTACTAACATGTACCTCGTTTCTGCAAATCCTGTTCTTAGTGAGACAGCTAATTCATCTCAAAAGCCATGGCATACTTAATGGAATTCAACATTCTAAGAAATACCCTAGAAACTAAATATAGTGCATTCCTTTGTGTTAAGAAAAATTTGAAAACATCAGTGGGGAGTGGGTATTGGCACTGGTTGTTATAATGGTTGTTTGGAAAATTTTTTTGTTCTTGGGGTAAGGAAGGGTCACTATCATATTAATTCTGTCCGTGCAAAATATATCCTTACTTCTATAATATTAAAATGAGGCAAAACAGAATCACAATAGTCTGAAAAAGTTATTGATGACTTATTTTAGAAACTCAAATCTGCACACATTCTCTATTGGCTGTAGGAAAGGGTCCAAATCTTTTTTTTAAACGGCAGGATGGACCTCTGTGACTTCTCCAGCTTTATTTTGTACCACAGCCAAACCTGAACCCACTGCGGTTGTCTTGCACTGCAATGTTGGTTCCGCCTTGTTTGCTCTACTTGCTTGGTTGGAATAATACCCCATTTTTACCACCCAACTCCTCCAGTTCAAGGCTTAAGCATTACTTCCTTCAAGAAACCACCACTATCTTACTCTCCCTCTGCATCCTGTCCCTATACATAAAGTTCAGCAATGGACTGCCCCTCTTTATTCATTTATTAATTTTTCTGTACTGGGTGTTAAATGCTCTGAAGATTGGAATGGTTATTTGTCCATTATGAATCAATAGGTTTTATCTCTATGTCAGGCACATGACGAATACTCAATAAATGTTTGCAATTGGAGACCTATAAAAAATTATAACATGCTAGAATTATTGCAGCAGTCCTTAATCCAACCTTTCCGAAAACCTTTCCCACACCTTGCTGCAAACTGTTTAAACACTGCCTTTGATACACAAAACCCTGCTCAAAAGCATTTGTCAATAGCTCCTCTTTACCCAGTGATTACGCATCAGATTTGTAAAAAATACTGCACAAATTTTAAAAAATTATTTCTTTCCACAAATAACTTAAAATTTAGTTGGAAAAAAGTAAGCCAAGAAATAGTAAAATAGAAATAATATCAACAATAACAGTAAAATTTTATACAACTTTGAAGCAAATATATCTGTAAGGACTCGACATGTATTAACTTATGTAATTCCAACAACAATCCAATTACATAGGAACTCTCACGGTCTTCCTAGAGATAAAGAAACCAAACCACCGAGAATTTAGATAACTTGCCCAAGGTTGTAGAGAAAGGAAGTGGCAAAGTTGGGATTTGAAGCCAGGAAGTCCAGCTCCAAAACCTGTATTCTTAACTACTGCACTAAATTGCCTTTAAGGACATGATGCACAAATGCTTACATACCCCAAAGACAACTGTTAATATTAACTGCTAAATGTCTAAACAGACACGTGCTAACTTTTAGAGGAGGCAACAATGGCTCCAATGCCAGATAGATTTGGGGAAACTTTATGGGAGAGATAAAAATTCACTGAAAATGATTTTTCAAGGTTTATTAGGTTCAGCAAAACAGAGTACAAGAAGGCCTCATAACAGAGAAAACTAAATCCGAGAAAACAAAGATGACTAAGAATAAGGTGTGTTGCTTGTGAGATAATATTGGAGGGTATAGAGGGCAAAATTGTTGGGGGTGGATTAAATTCTGGAGTCAACAGTTCAAAATATTTCTAACTGACCATGGAAGTCACTGAGGGGAAGGACAAAGAGAAATAAAGCATTTTTTTCAGAATAATAATCTTTCAGTAGCTTGTAAAGCAAAAATCAAAGGCAACAGATTGGAGAAAATGAGCTTACTTGAACACTAATGTACAGAGTTGGACAGAAGTAATAGGACCCCTGTTTTACCTATCACTTCTTTCCTCTGTAAATCTGAATTTGGGAAATTCTGAATTTGAAGTTGGAAAATCTGGATTTAAATTCCACCTCTGCTATTTATTAGCTATGTTTACATTACTGGATACTAAAAGTGTAATATTTCCTATTTGGTAAAATCAAGTTGTTAAAGGATAATTTTTTAAAAGATAAAATCCCTCAAACAAACATAAAGCATATAGGTATCAAACATTTTATTTAACTTATTAATTAACAAGATAATCAGTCAACTAGTTGGATTTTTTTGGATTCTCAAAGGAGAATCCAGAGAACCACACAAATAGACTAAAAACTGGGTTCTTCCACGGCGGAGAAAGGAAGTCAATTTAGCCTCCACCAAGCATGATGTATTCACACATCCACAGACAATAATCACATGCACTTCTATCCACTTTCCACAGTTTACAGAGTTGTAATTATTTTAAAGACAATAAACAGTACAGAGACCTCCATATAAACATAACCAGGAAGGATGTGCTAAAGGAAATCTAGGTTTCCAATGAAGCCAAGATCTTTTTTTTTTTCATTTCAGTCTTTCACTGAGTAAAAGTACCTATCTCATTACATTGGTGCTGAGCATTAAGTGATAATACCTATGATATTGGATTAGAGCAGAAATTTGAAACTTCCGAACACATGGGATTAGATGTCACTTTTCCTCTCCTCACCTCCTAAATAGTACCTAATCCTTTTATCAATATATATGTGAACTAGAAGATTCAGAAAAAGAGTAGAACTATTTCTTTTATGAGGTTTAGGCATATGCAAGTATCCTGGCCACTTTTGGAGTGGTAGAGGAAGACAATAACTGAACAAAGGAGAGGCTTGAGTCTCTTGAAGAGAATCTGGCACAAGAAAAGAAATGTCAGCCTGGCCCAATAAGCCAGACTTGGCAACAGGGTTTTGAGTTTCAGACAGAGTACTTTCTTATAAGAAAAATAAACTAACTTGGGCTATTTTAATTTTTTTAAAAAAGGAAATGAACAAAACATACTCAGGAAGTAGATAGACAGATATTAGATTTACAGAATCTGCAAGAAGGCTAGAAGAAGATGCAAACTGAAAAAAGACCAGGACACAGGAAAGATCTTAGCTGGAGGACCAAGGAACAGGAAAATCCAATTACAAGACTGATGATTCTGAAAGAAATGACGAGTACTGGAAACCACTGACATCGAAGCTACATCATTCACCACCAATAGTTCCTAACTGATCTTTCTTTCTTGAGTCACTTGCTCTAGAATCAGTTCCAGGTTGAAACATCTGATTGGCTGAGCTTGGGTCACAGGCCATGCTCTGACTCCTGGGTAATTATCAAGTAGATGGAGTATCTTCTCCTCTGCTTTTGTAGTGACAGGCGAAAAACTGCAGCACACCAATCCTATACACAGGGCCAAATTCTGCCAAAATATAAAGGGAGTAAAAGATGTTCCATTGTTAAATGATAAAGCAGATGTCCAGAACTGTCTGGGTGTTGAGACCCAAGAAGTTCTCTGTTGGGTATGAAGAGATGAGACATGAATTCCTCTCTGATTCATCTACCCTGTCAACATGAATATACTGTGAGGGAAAAAAGGGGTATGGGAATCGAGAAAATGAAAAGCCTATGATACCAGGGCCAAGAAGTTCTGCTGTGTGATCCCTTCTAAAAAGTCAGAATAGAATAGAGACAGGAAGAATCTGACAACCAGCAAGGGGAATTATTAACACACTGGCATCTTAGAACTTCAGGAAGCCCAGGCAAAGCTCATGACTGGAACAGGGGTTAGGGCACAGATGTAGATAATGACAGCAGAAAAATGGGGTTATGAGACTCCTGGCAAGCCTCAAGCTGGCAAAAGAGGTTTTTTTCAAGTGTTCCTATACTATAGCTGAGGGTCAGGGAAAAATTTGATTATAGAAGTTATTGGTATTCTCCCCTAAAACATATCATGTCTTATTAATCATTTTTTTCTATCACTTCAGTTATGATGGCCTTGCTCATAATGCTTTTAACCTACCCTGAAAGGGCCTTCTACTCCTTATCTAACTATATGTTATAACTTTTAGATAATTGGGCAATTCCACCTCTTAACAAACCATTCCTTGACCTAAACCAACTCATATTGTTTTCTCGATTGTCTAAATAATCAAAGCTTTTATCACACCACTTAGTATTTAAAATGAAACACTGTATTACGACCTTCTCTTGTTTTTTAGCTTATATTTTAGATTCAGATGATATATGTGTAGGTTTGTTACATGAATATATTGTATGATGCTGAGGTTTGGGGTATGATTGATCTCATCACCCAGGTAATGAACCTAGTACCCAATAAGTAGTTTTCAACCCCTACCCCCTCCTTATCTTTCCCCTCTAATAGTCCCCATTGTCTACTGTTTCTAACCCATAAGATTTATATCTCCAATTAACTTGTGCACCCTATGGAGAAACTGTACTATTTGACTTTGAAATGTCCTAGCCCTATAATAGGTCCATAATAAGCACTTCTTTCATTAGGGATTTAATCATGGTAGAGCAGAAAGAAAACAGAAGTAAGATAGTGTGGGTTAAGCCTGTCACTCATTAAAAATTGGATAAATAATTCATACAACTTGTGATCCTTACTTCCTCACCAATAAAAAAGGAAAAATATCTACTAACACTTGCTCAAATAAAGAAAAGGAATAAAGATGATGAAGATAACAATACCATCACCAACAGCTAGCACAAAATGTTATCAAGAGCCAATAAAAATACAGCAAAGCACTTTCAAAGGTGAAACTGCTGCATTTTAAAAAATACTATTTTTGAATGCATACTATTACCTACTATTAGCATCAAACAGAAGCAATTTCTCCAGCAGAATTTTAAATGCCATAACAAGTTGTAGACAGAAGATGTTTCTGGAAATGAAGTCCATTCGAGCATACTTCAAAATATATCATTTAGGTAGTTACAATTTTGCTTAAAATTTACTGTCTTTTCCTTTCCAAATATGCTCGGTTCTACACCTTATCAAAATTGTTCCATAGTCTCTCAATATCACCTCCCTTCACAATAATAGCAACTTATATTTATGAAGTACTTTACGGTTTACAAAAAAACATTCACACCTACTGTCTCTTTTATTTTTGCACACACACAAACAAAAACTACAAGAGAGAAGTGCTAATACTTAATAAGCTTCCGAAGATGTTTGAAGCTTTCAAGTTAAAAAGAAATTTCTTCAATGAAACAATGCTTGCTTTGAGGAGTCTCCTTCTGCAATATAGTTATCTCCAATTTAATACTCAGTACTTAAGACAACAATCTGAAAGTTTTTAAGCCTAATTTTATAGCATTTTCCCTCTATTCAAAATTTAAATTGATACTGTATATCTACCTGTACCTTTTACAACATCTTCTATTATAAGACAATTTTATAGAATGTTTTTATACCTTTCTCATCTGATCTTTGCACGGAAACAAAGGTCAAGATATGAGGTAAAAATCGTGTCTTATCTATTCATCATTGTATCTCTTGGGTCTAACACAGTGCCAGGCACATATAAAATACTGCATAAATGTTTGTTAAATTAAACATAAATGAACAAAATGAAGAGAAGCAGGGAGAAAAGGGAGAGAATGGCATGACTGAAAGACAAGGAAATATTAGTATCCATGGAGATAAGATTGTTCTTATTTTTATCTATGCAGAAACTTTGCTAATTTACATTCATAGTCAATTCTTACACATAACCTTTGTGTTGAGCACCAAATTACAGGTCTTGCAAAGAAAGAACTTATTAAATATCGGCATTAGAAAATGTTTACTTTAATATTTTTTAAACTATTAAATGGCATGTATTTGAAAATCTAAAACTTTAAGTATAATAAGAAATGAAAATAATTCTTGAATGGGATCAGTTTCAGCTTTCAAATTAAACTCTCTCATTACTAATGTTTTAAAATAAGAAAGTTTCAATGCATCTATAAATGAATCTTTCTAAAAATTTATGTAAAAATGTTAAATCACTGACAATCTTGCCCTTAAAAGAAGACTAATGCTTCTAACAATATTTGATTGGGTTAAATTTCCAGTAAGTTTGTAGACCTTTTCTAAATACACCTGCTACAAGAATTTCAAACTGAAGCAAGATAAGTAGTCATCTCTTTTATTGGAATCAGACTAAGTGAAAATAAATATAATGGGATCAAATTTAATCACAAATCCAAGCCAACTCCATAGGAAGTTTAAAAGGAATAACTTGAAAAAAATATAATCAGTTACTCGAAATGACAATACCATTTGTTTAACTAGAGACATTTTATGTCAATAATAAAAGAACTGTGGTCTTCTTAGTTCAAATAGAAGATTACTGACTGAGCAAATCTCCTCGTTTCCCAAATACCTTTGAAAAGGACAAGTATAAAAACAAAAGTAAATACAAAAGAGCACTGGTAATATGGGACAACTGTGAATTTCCTGGAAGATATAAAGCAGATGGAAATAGACTAATATCAAAATTCAACTGAATTAAGACTATCTCAATCAGATAAGGCCTTAAACAATCCCAAGATAAAGCCATTCCTTGGAGAAATATTGGATGATAAGCAGTCAAGAGAAAAATAAAAGCACGTTGGAACCCCAGTGAGAGTAGCTGACTCTTTAAGGTTGGTAATTACTATGTTTGCTACCTCAAAAAATGAAAACAAACATGAGTACATTCTATCAAAGTAGGAAGTCTTACATGAGAGACTCCAAGAGTGGGCAAAAGTGCCAGAAATATGAGACAAAATCCTAGGTAACACATTTTCTAGGACATACAAGAAAACTATAAACGGTTGAAGGTTATTGTTCCCCCCAAACAATAATAAGAGGGAAAATTCCTGTCTTTAGAACTTGCATTTGCTGTCAAACAAAAAGGAATTATCATCCAGTCTGTGGAATTATACTGAAGCTACTAAGGCTGTACAACCTGAGACCAGTGGAGAAAACCATCAACTTGATAAGGAGATACCAATCTACTACCCCAAGGAAATATGAATAAACAGACTAAAAAAAAAATTAAAAGAAAGATTAAAAATGGGTAGAACTAATGTCCTAATCATGAATATCCAAAAGGATAGTGAGAATAAACAAAAAACAAAAAATTATACAACCACATAAATAGGTTATTATAGAAATCATAAACAGCATAATTAAAATCAAAACAAAATACATCAAGCACTAAATAGCAGGATGAACCCTGATAAAAAGTAGTAATCTGGAAGACTGAGAAGTGGGACCTCCCCGCAGAATGCAGTGGACTAGGGTTGGACAGTAGAGGACAAAAAGTTTAACAGTATGAGAGAGCAAAGTTAAAAGGTGTATTGATTAGATATTGAAAGGCTAACATGCATCTAACAGGAGTTCTAGAGAAAGGTGACAGAGAAAAAAGAATAATCATAGTAAAAAACAAAAAGGAAAATTTCCCTAAGCCTTAGAAAGACTCTATAAAATAAAATTCATGCATACAAATAAACAAAATCTGCCCATTAGTTAATTCTTAAACTGATAAGAACTATGCTAATTACACAATTACTGTGTGAAAGATGTTTAATTTCATTACTAATCAGATATATCGAAATCATAACAACATGACATCACTTTTTGTTCATCATATTAACAAATATTTAGAAGGTTGATAAAATACAACGCTGACAAGCTTACGGGGAAATGGATGTTCTCACACAACTACAGTGAGATCATGATTAATTTAGCAGGAACGTTAAAGAATGTATTAAAATATTAACTGTAAATATATTTTCACCTATCAATTCCATTTCTAGGGCTCTATCTTGTGGAAGTACACACATATACTAGAACGTATAAACTTAGGTTTATGGCACCATTTTTGAAACAAAAAAGATAAAAGTTTCTGTGAAAGTTTCAAGATGTGATCATCTTAAACTGACATTAAGCATCTTAAAGTTAATTCCTCAAAATAATCTAGTTCAAAAGGTTGATGAAAGTAATCTTATAAATTTAAGAACAATTAAAGTATGTGACCAACACTTTACTACAGTATACATATCAAAAGCAGTATTACATATGTTCATTTCCTTAAAAATGAAACTAACACAGCATACTTGAAATAAGGCCATACAAACTTGTAGAAGCTACTCTACCTTCGTGAGATTCGTGTTTGAGGGATTTTAAGTGGAGGTTTGAAACAGGAAGCTACAAATGAATACTTCTTCCTGCGCACAGTCCTAAACTCTACCATCCATTACACATTGTGAAAGCAAACTTATTGCAACATTATCAATCGCACTTGTTGCTTCAGTAAATTAGCTCATTTCCAACAGCATCCTACTTTCTTCCACATTAAATCCATCAGGCTTCTTGTCCATGCAGCTAATTTTTCTTTGCCTATAAATACATTGGACACGTATTATTCCCACAAAGCTACTACAGGAAAAATATTCCGTCAAAGCAGCCAGGTTTATATATTTTATTCCTTATAACTCATCAACAGTCGAATTAATTTCACCTGGGCTGTTTACAGCTTTCAAAATATTTCTAGGATAAAATAAAATACAAAAACAATAAAAAACTCAATCTGCTGAAGACAAGTGGCCTTGACTAGCCAAGAATAGAACTACATTTACTGAGGCATCTGTTCAACTTTTGCTCTTGGCAAGACCTTGGATCTCCTCAGAGAACTAAAGGGAAGCTGATTTGTTATCAAGAAGAACAGCTGCTGATACAATAAAAAGGAAGTGAATAAAATTTTTCCCTTAGAACTTCTGTAAGTGAAAAAAAATGAAACAAATCATTTATTAGTTTCCATAGTTTCTTGAAGCAATGGAAAACCTGTGAACACCAGTTTTAACATGTTTACTTAACTACTGGACTTTACAAACATATTGATTCTGATATCTCACCTTAAGTATTCCCCCCTCAGCAAGCAAAGGTATTTTGTCTCCCTTAACGACGCCATCTCTGCTAGCACTAGATCAATTTTGCCCAAAATCAACTGATCAAATAATCACCAACCTTTACCAAATGTATCAACTCATAAGAAGTATGTTAATGAATTTTAAAATTATAGTCAATAGCTCTATATTTTAAATGAATCTATCTAAGTAGCGTCAGTTTTAATTTTGTATTTATAGCAATTAAAATATAAAATCTCAGCAACTGATATGTGATGGAATTGTTTTGGGCTGTTTTCAGTTTGCACACATTCTTTACTATTTCATGTAAGTTTGTCATCATTTCACCAAATGGCATACCAGTCATAATTTTGTAATTAATAGGAAGATCATTAACATTTGACATTAATGTGTTTCTAGATAAAGCTATGTTTCTGAAGGTGATTATAGGTCAGATTTGGTATGCTAAATCTTATTCTAAATTTTGGTTACTAAATATGAATCACATATTTCTGAATATTAAATGAGAAATTTTTCCTAAGAAAACCAAGTCATACTATGACCTTCTAAAAATTCTCTTTCAAAAAACTAATTATTTAAAATATTGCTATGAAGACCAAAAAGGCCAAAACACTGAAATTTACAGAAATTTTAAGAAACCATTAATTTAGCCCCACAATATGAACTGCTATATAATTATAAATAATTAAAATAAATCTAATCAATGTTACTTGACTTTTAAAAGAATTTGAAAGAGATCACAGTATACTAATTTTCATATGAAACATTTGTTAGATTCACTTAAAATAGTAAACAAAACAATATATTTATAAATGTATTCATAAAAATTAACTCAGTATTGAATATTCATTGAATATGTTCAAGAACAATTAGATTTTTGCTGGCCAGCTTTTAAACTACCTTTCTGGCCTGTCAGAGAATGTATCTTAACTGTTGTTGTTTCTTCAACCAGACACCTTTGATTTAGCTGACATCTAAAATTCCTGCAATTGTAAGCTGAGGATGAAAAGTTCTAACCAATATCTAGGGTTTTAGAAGCAGTTTATTTAGTAACTCAAATATATATATGGGTTACGGCTATAAGTCAAAAAGAAAAACTACCCGTAGTTTGTGTTAAAAAAAAAACAAACAAACTTGTGAGCTGGAAGCAGTGATGCACGCCTGCAGTCAGCTACTTGGGAGAATGAAGTGGGAGGATCGCCTGAACCCAGGAGTTTGAATCCAGTCTGGGCAACATAGCAAGACCCTCTCTCTACAAACAAAATCAATCAAACAAACAAACAAACACTTGTGGAATACAGGCTGGTTTTCTTCAGGAATATGCTATTTATTTTTTAAAAAAGCTTTAAAAACCTAGTTCTTTATTTTAACATAAAACATTCATAATAATGTAATTTTATATTGTATTTGTATAATGGAAGCATTATGTAGCTAAGCAAATAATGGCTTCGTACTTTACCTCTGCAAATGTGATGCTTTATAGAATCATTTGTTAAAGAGTATATATTTATAAATCGATTTTTATTAAATTTTTGAGAATCACCAGATGTTCTACAACAAGAGTTAGCAAACTAAGGCCCTCTGGACATAATCACCCCACCACATGTTTTTGTTAATAAAGTTGTATTGGAAACTAACCACATTCATTTGTTTACATATTGTCTATGGTTGCTTTCACGCTACAACTGCCGAGTTGCATGGTTATGATGGAATTCTATGGCCCGCAAAAGCTAGACTATTTACTCTCTGGTAATTTACAGAAAGATTGCCAATATCTCTGCTCTAGAATATATTTGCATACTCTACAACAAGAGGCAAACTGTCACAGCTAGACAAATATTATCATAAAAGTTACATTTTAAAGCATCATCTAAAGCCCACTAAAGAAATAAACACAATTACAGAAACAAAAATTGTGCAGCAATATTTGGTCATAAAGTGGGAATCCATAGACAATATGCAAACAAATGAGTAGGGCTATTTTCCAGGAAAACTTTATTAACAAAAAACATGTGGTGGGCTGATTACATCCAGTTAATTCATAAAAATAAAAATGCATATTTGAAGTCCTTAGAGTGCTCATGGACCCTAAGAATATATCTGGTGACGCTGGTACGTGTATAGTGGTTACAAAACACAGTAATAAGTAATATAACAATAAATATATTAAAGACATAATTTTGTACCTGTACCCAATTCATGAAATTTTACCAGAGTATTCAGCCAACAAGTAGATGAGGGCTGATAAAAGTTTGTTCACAAAGACTTTTTAAACTATCTGGAAAACTATTACATTATATGTACAATTTAAAACATATTTAATAAAATGAAAACACTCATATTTATATAGTTAACTTACATAAAGAGGCTCTGTATCTTATGCATTTGTTAACACCCAGGTTCTAAGTTTTGTTATGTTCCCCGTGCACTTAAGGAAAGCTATCTGTTTCAAATATGCTTGAAATTCCATGTGAGTTTGGTAAACCAATTGTGAAAGAGAATACTTCTGGGTAACTGATCACAGAACAGTATTTTTTACTCCATCAGGTCGTGTTAGTCTTATGAGTGAAGTGGGTGATCAACTGAGGTGATATAACCCCAGTGATACACATTAACAAGGTATGGTCATCTGTACTTAGACAACCTTGGTTTTTCCAACTGTTTTAGCATAGGCTCCGTTGTTGTTATTTCATGACAATTATTTATTTATATTATATATATGCATAGATAGATATGTATGTACACAAGTATATATATATCTATGCATATCTACTATGTACATATGTAACAATATTACATTTATTATGTATAATAACTTATTACTATAAATCTCATACTTTGCAAATCTGTGCTGATTTTAGTTATGAGTTTTTCAGTATATTCTCTATTGGTTAAATGTTAATCAAATTTGCTTTGCAGGCTGTTTTTGTATGGTTCACAGCAGGGACTAGTCTTAGATTTTTAAGTGGTTGAAAACCAAAAAAACAAAAAGAACAACATTTTGTAACATGAAAATAATATGAAATTTGAATTCCAATGTCCATAAATAAAGTTTTATTCTGACATAATTATGCCCATTTGTTTATGTATTATCTATGGCTGCTTTCATGCTACAACAGCTGAATTGAATGGGAGACCATAAGGCACACAAAACCTAAAATATTTACTATCTGGCATGTTACAGAAAATGTTTGACAATCCTTGCTTAAGAAGCAGAAAACATTACTGGGTGTCTCCATTGAAAAACTACACATTGTCCTCCTTCACCCCTCTCTGTAATGGAAAAGCCAGTTTTATCTCCTTTTGTACAGTGATTTCAACATTATTTTGCTCCATAAAAACTTGGGATTCATTCACTTCTCCTTTGAACTTCGTAACATCTGCCTAGTTCCCTTTTTAATAATGAATTAAACAAAATCTTTAACATGTTTATTTTATATCTATATGAAAGTTACGATTTTTCTTTTTTAAAATTTATCCCTCAACGAAACAAAGAAACACATCAAAGAATATGTCTTATTCTCCCTGCCTCCACCTCTTACATCATGTGAGGGCAGGGCACAGAAAGGTGATCTGTTTATGCTCTGCCCTTTCAATATATGAATAAAAGACAAGGGCCAGAAAAAGTGCCCTTAAGCAGCACAATAATTTGTGAAATGCCAGGTGTTTCAACAAGGTTTTCTTTTGGAGAGACTTTTGAAAATGAAACAAAAGGCATGTGCAAGTGTAAAGGACATTCATTTCAAGCTCAGTAATGGTGCGTTGCAATTTTTTTTCTTTTTTTTTTTTTTTTACATTTTTTAAAGAGGAGCATTCCATATAAAATAAAGCTATGGGAGAATACACTCCTGTGAATTGTGCGATGCAGCAATGTCTCCTAGACAATCAGAGAGGTGATTCAGTAGACTTACCTATTCCAGAAGGTTTTAATGCTGATTAAACTAGTTCCTGTGGAAGCATTTGACTTTTAAAATTGTTTCTTATTGCTGTTTTTTAAAGCATACTTAGTAATAATTTTTATTGTTTTTTAACTAAATCCCTATTTTCCATGAGACACTAAAGTTTGTCCAACAACTATGAGGGTAACATCTGCAATTGGTAAAATATTAACTTACATTTTGAAGCAGAGAAAATGAATGTGTGTGCATGTGTGTATGTACATTGAATGCAGAGGTTTACCACTCAGAATGCAAATCATGAGGAAAACTTTAAAGAATGTTTTAAACAATATTTACATTGGGGGAATAAATGTGGAAAGTAAATATAAGACCATTGCTTTGACAGAATTACCAGTAATTAGAATGTAGGAATTCTAATACATTTGAATTAGTATTTTTCATAAGATTTAAATCCCCAGCAAATAAATCATAGGAGCATAAGCATGCTAAATACCTAAACTATCAATTACAGTGATAAATGGTCCTCTTGTAAATCATCTTTACAGCAGTACTTTCTGTCCAAAGTAATATCATGTGAGAGATATGAAACACATGAAAATCAAGTCCCACTTAAAATTATGTTATTTCTTACAGGAAGAAAATATACGCAAATCCTACATTTGGTAAAGGACTCATCCATATTAGAACTCTCATAACTCAGTAAATCATCATCATCATCCAGTTTAAAATATGGCAAAAGACTTGGATAAACATTTCATCAAAGAAGACATCAAATAGCTAATAAGAACATGAAAAGTGTTCAACATCATTCATCTTTAGAAGAATGCATATTAAAACCACAATGAAATAACACTATACACTCACCTGAATGACTATAATCAAAACACAGATAATGAAAAGTTTTGGCAAGGATGCAGAGAAACTGAAAATATTACTGATAGAAATGTAAAATTGTATTGCCACTCTAAAAAATAATTTGGCAGGACTTTAGAAAGTTAAACATAAGCTTACAATGATCCAACAATTTCACTTCTATGAATCCACCCAAGAGAAATAAAAATACATCTCTCTACAAAAGACTTATACAAAAAATGTTCATAGCAGTATTATGAATAATGCTAACAGCCAAAAACTGAACAATTCAAATAATCAACAACTGGTATATGGATAAACCAAGTATGGTATATCTATATAATGCACTACTATTTGCCAATATAAAATAACAAAATATTGATACATCCTACAACATGGAAGAACTTCAAAATGTTATGTTACATGAAAGAAACTGGATATAAAAGACTACATATTGTATGATTCTGTATGTATGAAATATTCAGAAAAGATGATGGTCTAGACCTCAGGCATTTGCACTAAAAAATAATTTCACATCATTTTTTATTTCAAGATTTGCATTTCTCCCACTTGTTCTGCAATAATCTAGTGTCTCCATACATATCCTCAAAATTCATTCCCTGATCAAATGCATTTGAAAAATACCAAATACTACCTTTACCTTTTAGAGAGTCACAGTGCATCCTAGGGTCTGAGAAATCCAACATCAACTACAATAGAATTTAACTTTATTTAACGCCATTTTAAAACGAAATATCATTATCATTCGTAAAGTTATAAAGAATGTATTTTTGTCAGCCAGCCTTATTAAACGTTAAGATTTTTCAGTTTTTCTTTATATTTTAAATTAGAAAAATTACATATACAGTTGAAGTGCTTATGTATCAAAATTCCATCCTTTTTCCCAGCTGATCCACTATCCTAAGCTGTGTTTATTATTACTATGCTTCTTTTTATACTGTTGTCACATAGCTATGTCTATAAACAGTATACAGTATTTTTAATATGCTTTAAAATTTTAGCTAAGCAGTGACATACTTGTATTTTCTCTCTCAAAATTATGTTTTTGAGATTCTGCCATGTTTAGGTGGTTCAATTTCATAAGGGCTTAGTATTTAATTGTATGATTATATTGATAATTTACTTATCCAATTTACAGTAAAATTTGCTATTATAAATAATGATGCAACAAGCACTCTGAACATATCTTCTTGTGTACTTGTAGTGGATGGTTTTCTAGAACATATTTCTAAAAGTGGAATTGTTCTGTCAAAGAGCATGCTTATGTTCAAGTTTACTGTAACTTGACAAATTGCTCTCCCAGAGTGGCTGTTTGAATTCATATGAACATAAGCATGTTTAAAATCCCTTTCTCTAAATTCTTGCCAATACCGTAAATGTTACATTCAAACTTTTAAAAACACACTGGCCATATAAATGTGAAATGTTTTAGTGTGCATTTCCCTGTTTGCTAATCAGGTTCAGCATCTTTCTCTTTCTTATGCTGACTTACCGCTAGAGTTTCCTCCTCTGTGAATTGCGTTGGTCCATTTCTCTTTTAGACTAACCACAAGTTCTTTTAAAATTCTGTATGCCTTATTTTGTCAGCCACACGTGTGACAAATACCTACTTCCAGTCTGTATCTTCCACGTCAAATATGTTTACCACAGGTTTTGCTGAGGTTGTTAAATGCTTTTACAATTATAATTTAATGGCATTTGTAAATCTTTTCTTTATAGTTAGTCAAATTTTAGTTATTTGTTTATTTAAGCCTTTAGTCCACTTAGAATAGCCACTTCATCTTTTCCCAACTCATCTGTAATGTTAACTCTCCCCTATATCAGTTTTTATAAATATCTAATTCTGTTTCTTGGCTGTATATTCGATTCCATTGTCATTGTTCCATGCATGCACGATACCTTCTTACCTACTTACTATAATTTAATGTATAATAAACCTTGCCATCTGGTAGAGTTGGTCTCCACACCTTGTTATTCTTTAACATTATCTTTAGTGTGTTTTTTTGTTCTAACAGTATTTATATTCTCCAGGGCTTTCTACATAGACAATGATATCGTCTACAAATAAAAATACTATTTTTTTCTTAATTACATATCTCATTTCCTTTTTTATTATTATAGCACATTGGCTAGAACTTCCTGTACAACATTAAATAGGAAAGGTAATAGCACAATTCTTCACTGGTCCCAAATTTTAATGGGAATGCCTAAAGCTTCACCACTAAATATATTAACTGTACATTTTAGATAAACACCTTTAATCAGGTTGAGAAACTTGTACTGCTATTTTGCTATGATGTTTCATAATGAAGAAGCATTGAAAACTACTTAAATTTTTTCTGTATCCAAGATCATTCATTAATGTGTCATTTAGCCTTTGCTAAATGTAACAAAATGCCCAAAACTGTTGTGGCTTAAAAACAACTATTTTTTTCTCAATATTTTTCAAATGCATTTCTCACGAAAAAAATAGTTGTGTGTTGGCCGACCATTCTGTTCTTGTTATTTTATGACAATTTTACTTGTTCTTACTTACCCTCACTCATAAGGCAGAACTCATTCTGTTCTTACTTACGCTCACTCATAAGGCAGAATATATTCAGTAAAGAGGCCTACTAGGGCTCAGCTAGTACTACTGGGGCCTCTTTCCCTATTTGTCTTTTCATTGTGCTAGAGGCTAGTCCATGCTTCTTCACAGGATTATATCAGGGCTCTGAGCAGGAAAAAAAGCTGAAAGCTTGATGCACAACCACTTTTTAAGCCTCTTCTTTTCTTGGGGGGACGGAGTCTCGCTCTGTCGCCCAGGCTGGAGTGCAGTGGCGCGATCTTGGCTCACGGCAAGCTCTGCCTCCCGGGTTCATGCCGTTCTCCTGCCTCAGCCTCCCAAGTAGCTGGGACTACAGGCACCTGCCACCACGCCTGGCTAATTTTTTTGTATTTTTTTAGTAGAGACGGGGTTTCACCGTGTTAGCCAGGATGGTCTCAATCTCCTGACCTCGTGATCTGCCCCCGTCGGCCTCCGAAAGTGCTGGGATTACAGGCATGAGCCACCACGCCCGGCCAAGCCTCTTCTTTAATAAGATTTGCTAATGTTCCATTGGCCAAAGCAAGTCACACAGCTGAGCCCAGATTCAAGGGATAGCGAAGCAGATTCCATCTCTTGATGGGAAGAATAACAAAGAATATATGGCCTCTATTTACAATCCAGTCTCTTTTTTAGTATAGTATATAAAAGAACAGTTTTGGGGTTTGGTTTTTTTGTTTGTTTGTTTTCTGATGAGGAACCATACTTTTCCTGTGTTATAGATACCCAGGAATTTGGTCATTTTCTTTTCTATACAAATGTCACGCACAACACTGAATTCACTTTGTTAGTATTATATGTGTTTGTATGTGAAAAAAGGATTGGCCCCTAATTTTATTTTTATTACTATTCTTGTCCAGTTTTGTAACAAGATTTCTAGATCAAGGATATTTCACTCTTTCTCTGTTTGTTGAAACTGTCAGCCGAGATTAGGGATCATCAGTTCCTTGAATATGTATGCTAATAATCTTTCTGTTGTCTGTGCAAGACAGGGGACAATGAGGACAAACTATAAACATCTTTGAGTTGATTTTTTAAATTTGTTTGTTTGCTATTTGCTTATTCAACTTTTCTATTTTTTGAGTCAATTTTGGAAATTTACAATTTATAGATATTCATCTATTACATATAGTTATTATATTGGCTTAAATTTGCTCATGGTAATCATAGGGTGTTAAAAATATCTGTTTTCCTTTTTATTACAAATTCATTTCTTTATGTCTTTTCTCTCTTTTTAGATTAATCTTGACAGATATTTACATATCATTAATTTATTCAGAAACCCAAGCTTGTTTTGTCGTTCATCTCTTTCTTTCCCTTATATTGAACATTTCTGATCTATCTTTGTTCCTCCTCCTTTCTTTCTGCTACTTTCTTTAATTTTATTCCATTTTTCTTTTTCTAACTTCTGGAGTGAAATGAAATATAGAACAAAGCAGGAGAAGGGCAAGGAATAGATCTGAGAGGAAACAGCAAAGACCAGCACACAATCCTTCTGGGCTCAATTTTCCTCTTGATAAAGTATATCTTTTAAAAATTATTTTCTGAATGTTTATTAGGGATAAACTCTTTCAGTATCAGTATGACTAAAAATGTCTTGCCACAAAAATAGGCTTTGACAAATAAAAATATATCATGTTACTGGAAAGAAAGCAACTTCATAAAAATGTTAATCCTCTCTAAAACAGTTTATGTTTGTTATGATAATATTCAGGCCATCTTGAAAATTGCATGCCTTTTTATATTACCATGTTATATTTCTGTCTCTAGTCTACCAAAAGAATTTAATTTCTATTTTATTTTATTTCCTCTGACCAATATCCTTTCTCTGTGATCACCCTATGCAATTAGATATGACAATTACTTGTGAGCAGAAGTATCAGATGGAATGTATTTTTTAAACTTTGTGTAATCATCTAAAAATATGCTCTCACAGAATATTTTACAAAGAGTATATCCTCATAGCCTATCAAATAGTCTTTTTGGGGAGATTTAAAAGATCAAACCAAACCAAACAAACAAACAAAAAAACAAACAAACAAAAAAAACCATACAACTTTGTACTGATTTGCTTTGTAAGTATAGTGAACCAGATTGTAAAGCCACAATAGCAATTTTGAATGCCTGAAGTCAAGTTCAGAAAATACAAGAACCTGCCCGAAATAAGGCAACTTTTGGAAGAGTCAAACTTAATGAAACTGCTAATGGCTTATTCTTGTTATAACGTTGGCAATTCCTAATCTCCAAAAGTGTAATATTCCTAAAGTCAAAGCTAATCTTCCATTTTGACAGCCTTCTGTTTATTCCATGATAAATATCAGGCAGTTCAATAGTAGCTTTCATAATTGTTTCAACAAGAAGCATGTCTCTCTGAATACTTTGAAATAAATACTTCAAAATTCCTTTAGCTCTGATTAGAGTCTTGGCCCTTTGAAGGGCCAAGTCTGTCTTGGCCCTTTGAAGGGCCAAGTCTGTCTTGGCCCTTTGAACAAATGTAGGTCATGCCAGATCGCCTTCACAAAACTCTCAAAGTAGGTAAAGGGTTGAAATAGTTAGTTTTATAATACATTCTAGGCTATCCTAGCATATTTTCTCTAAACTTTTCAGCAGAAAATACTGATTCTGAAGCATGATTTTGACTTTTAAATGTTTTGAGGGTTCAACCTTTAGTAATCAGTACAAATTTAAGAAAACTTCTTGGTACAAAAGCTTCTCAGTTTTTCCTATGTACTCTGATTCTGGCCATGTATAAAAGCATCAGTCTTACGTCAGAAAACCTGCCCTTCTGCATTTTATTAAATAATCATACTTTTACTAGGGTGTCTCTTGAAAAAGTCCTTCTCTTCCTACTTACCAACTCTACTGCAAAACCACCACGAATGTCATTTACATAATTTCCATCTTTATAATCTTCCCTACTGAGATTAGAACAAGAATATAGAGTGCAATGTGTATGGATACACACTTCTCCTCTACCTAGAGTTTCAGCATCTTTCAACAAGCATTAATATCCTGTTTCCCCTACGACTTTACTTAAATAACACTATCTGTTATTGTATTTCTTTGGAAACAATAAAGAGAATGATTTTATTGTAGCTGTTACTATTATTTCATTCTGTTAAACTCTCTGCAGATCTTGTTCAAAAATACTTATATTTTAACTCTTTCTCACAAAATTTGTTCTGAAATACTACCAAATCTTTCAAGCCCCTGAGATGAGTTAGAATATTTCTACTTTTAACTAAAATATCTGCCAGAAGTATTTTAATTGTCCCTGTTAACATTCATCTTGGAGAGAAATAACTACAACAAAAACGGATCATAACTGATATTCTTAATGTTGACAGTGAGGCCCATAATATTATCTTTCAAATGACCAGTAAAGATTAAATTGTTAATCAGCATAGTTTTTTAGCATTAAGCCAAATATTTTGTCTTTATTACTCAAAATGGATAATTCATATATGGTATTTTACTATCACCACAGATATGCATATTTGGCAAGCGTTAGAGAAACAAATAATAAACATTCTCCCATCCCAAACAAAACCAGATCAACAACAAAAACAGTAATTTACCAGGAGTAAATTCTCTACAAAAACTAAAGAATTCTAGTTTAGGGTAAATAATCTCTCAGCCAAGAAAAAAAAATGTTTATTACACTAAAAATATATCCTTTCTCAACAATATATCTCATATTTATCCCCAACTTCCTAATTCAAATTTCCCACTCTGGTTCAGGTAACATAATACTATGAATACAATTCCTACCTTGCTTCTTTGCTTTTAGTGTCGCATCTTACCTAATCCATCTAACACACAGCCTCCTGCCTCAGGAGTGAGCCTAAGTGAGGACAGAATGCTCAGCCAACACACAACTTCTTCTTAAAAGCAAGACTCCCTGCCAGTTCAATATTTTGTAATAGCTCCAGTTATCTATTTATTAAAGTCTAACCATATTACTTGACATGCAAGACCTGAACCATAAGTCCAAATTACCATTTCAGCCTTCCTGAAATTTGCCTCCCTATGTTTGTCTTCAAGAATTTCCTGCTCCAGTAAAACCTGCTGGAGGACCACACTCCCTTTCTAGCCAACAGATTCTACTCAGAATTCAAATCTCAGTCTAAATTCTCCTTTCTCTATTCCCCTTATGAAGCAGGCTTTCCATTTGCCCACTCATATTCTTTGCTGCTAGGTTTTTGTATAATCTTTCCATTTTATACTGTGTTATAGTAATGCCAGTCTTCCCTCTCTTACTGTAGTGTATCTTGAGGAAAAGAAACATTCATCCTTTTATTGAAGCAGCTCCCTTAGCAATATGTAACACAATGATTTGCAGAGTAATTTTTGAACTTATGTTTTCAGCACTGAGTTAGGACCTAAAGATTAAGAGACTGAAAGAGACCACTAGCCCTTTATTAGCTATTCACAATTTTTTAATGAACAAAAACTTAAAATGACTAATGATTTCTGTTCTCCAAAGATAGAGCAATAAAAAAATCTCCAGGTATAAAATATAATACAAATAAGTAATTTTTTTTTTATTTCAGAAGCCTCAATTCTAAATCTTATTAACAATCCAGTGCAGAATTTTCTGGAATTGGCAACCCAATTACTGCATTTACTTCCCTGTGCTATTCAGTGTCGCTAGAAGGCATAAATTAATTTTGATAAATGAATAAAGAACTGAGTTGGTAATATACTAAACAAATGTTCCACTGACTTTAATATTAAGAAAAAAAAGTGAAGCAAAGCATCACCTTCTAATATATAATGACATGTTCAAATTTAGTAGCTAGAAGTGTGGCAAAAACTGAATTAACTATGTCAGAAGATGGATGACTTCCCATTAACTGCATTTTAAAACAGTGTTAAGATTATATTAATTATGAAGTCTTTTCATTTTAATTGTCTATAAACAGAAGAGGTTAAGTCAATTTCATGTATATCAAATAATTTTTAAGCAGGCTGCTACATTAACACATGAATAATTAGTTCATTCATGATTCTTTAAAATGACTTTCTTTTGCACATCAACACACCCTTGTTCTCTCTCCTTTCTTTCTCACTCTCTGTCTCTGTAGGTGTATAAAAATAATACACATGTATTTAAATATACATGCATTTAAATACTCAAGTTTTAATATGTATATATTTAAAAGATAATAAATATTACACAAAGAGGTATTTCCCTAAAACCAATAATAAGTAGAAGTACAGAATGGGGGAGGCTGCTGTCTACCAAGTATTTTGAATTAAAAGATAGAACATAATAGAAAATAATTCCTATTGTATATTAACCAAAACATGTCATAGATGCATGACAATCATTACTTCTGGGTGCCTTATTTGTGAATTTGGCTACTCATTAAAACTCATTTATAACCACAAAATCAGTACTCATGAATCTTTTACAATTATTTGCAGACACACACAAAGCATTAAAATATTTGAATTACCTGACACATTCCCACCTGTGGCTGAACAAAGTGATGCTCTGCCTTCTTGGTTTACCTCTCATACTGTAAAAACAAGTGTCTTTTTTGTGTTCTATTTAGTGCCGTGTTTTTTGCATTTTTGTGCTTTTTGTTGATAATTTTCTTTTTTAAATTGGCTCAGAAGTATAATGCTGAAGTACTGTCTAGTGTTGCTAAGAGCAAGACTGTGATGTGACTTATGGAGAAAACACATGTGTTAGATAAGCTTTGTTCAAGCATGAGTTATAGTGCTATTGGTTTTAAGTTCACTGGTAATAAATCAAAAATATATATTAAAGTTGCCTTAAATAGAAATACACATAAAACAAGGTTATGTATTGATTGTTTGACAAAATTATTGTGACCAGAGGCTCACAAGAACTTAACTCCTATATCTCCTTTAGGAGAAATGGTCAAGTATTTGCTAATTCAGTGTTTATACAATTTTATAGAGCATAACTAACACAAATAATGAGAATCAACTGTATATCATATACACACAAAACCATAAATGGAATAGAATATTCTGAAATATAGTTATGAAATTAAACAATCAAAAGATAGGTAATGTCAGAAAAGCTACTTTTTTCAACTATATAACACTGCATGCTCAAAATCCGTATGTTCTGGTCAAACTGAGTATATATTCTCAGTTAAAGGAAGAAAATATTTCTATTAACTTCTCTGATAATTTTAAAGATAATGATAGTCTTAAAAGAATCTTAGGAAAAAAGAATGTGTCTTCCATATTAAAATTATGCTAAATGCACTACTAACCACAATCTCATAGCATTTTCAGATATATCCAACACTTTCTGTCTCGGTAATGTTCTTACTTAAACTAGAAAGGTCTCCGTTGAATGAGAATACTCTACCTCATGTTTATAGAGCCTCATACTGTTTAGCTGAATATTTTCAGCAGAGTAAGGGCACAATGTAGACAATGGTTTCTATCCTAAACAGCTGTGCCTCTCTAAGCCTCCAGCTTCCTTACTTTCAAATAAGAAGCTGAACAAGGTAATTATTCAGGTCTCTTTCAGGGTGTTAGCAAAAAATGAATCCTGAATCTACTTGAGAGAAAAACTGAAGTAAAATATTAAAGGACGAGAGGTGAACAAATATTTCACCTCAAACTCAGCTGGACATATTTTCTGAGAAAATTCTAACAACAGGAAACAAGTCTAGAGACAGTACTGGCATCATAATTTGAATTTTTATCATTTTGGTATGCATTATTTCTAACAAGCTAACGTAGCTAAATTGATCCTAAACTCCCACACAGCTGCTGGAAATTTATTAATTGAGGAAAATGTGAAATCTGAGTGCCATACGGGAACTTGGACTTGTATTCAAATCTAAATATAAATAGCTCACAGATCTTTTTTAGCCCCTCTGAAAAGTCATAGACAGTATTAGGATACCCAGTTTATATTCAGCCTTTACACTTTATTGAATAAATACATGATCAACAGAAGAATCAAGATGACAAATCAATTTTCATTTTAGAAGCTGTGAAAAGGAGGTGATTTGACAGTATTTCCAAAAGAAACATATAAGGAAGTGTATAAGAACTAGTCACTGTATTCTTTGTAGAGTTTATAGGAAAAATAATCATAAAACAGTATTTTAACTATTTAGTCTCATAAAATATGACAAATTCATTGCCATTCTATGGAGCAATTTGAAATAAAAGAAATTGTACAAAAAAGCATGACCGATAAAATTACAAAACAGTTGGCCGGGCGCGGGGGCTCACGCCTGTAATCCTAGCACTTTGGGAGGCCGAGGCGGACGGATCACGAGGTCAGGAGATCGAGACCACGGTGAAACCCTGTCTCTACTAAAAATACAAAAAGTTAGCCGGGCGTAGTGGCGGGCGCCTGTAGTCCCAGCTACTCGGGAGGCTGAGGCAGGAGAATGGCGTGAACCCGGGAGGCGGAGCTTGCAGGGAGCCGAGATCGCGCCACTGCACTCCAGCCTGGGTGACAGAGCGAGACTCCGTCTCAAAAAAAAAAAAAAAAAAATTACAAAACAGTTATTGTGCAGGTTTCAAGTCAACAACTTCTTAGAGAAATGTGTAAATATGAACAGAGTATCTCTATATTACTATATTTAGACAAAGGCAAACTGTCAGCAAAAGTCTGGACTCAGAAAATACTGGTTTCTGGTGTGAAAATATCCTCTAAAACTCATGCCACTTCATCCAAGGTTAAGAGGCCAAATTCATTAATTAAAAAAATACTACTTCATATTCTGACTAATTGGTCAAAGATTTTACATAATAAAACAAAATTATTAGTGCCTAATTCAAAAGGGCGTGTTTCTTCCTTTCATTTACAATGATTTTCATTAACAGAAACAAAACAACCATGGATGGACTCAAATATTCCTTTTCTGAAACAAAACAGGCACATACTATTTACTATTCAGGAATAAAAATATTTTAAATTGCATATATTTCTTCTTTTTAACCCTCCAGACTTTAACAGTCATATCCATCTCCTATGCTAGACACCACTAGGAGAATAGTGATTATTTATTCTTTACTTTTATAATTATATCCAAAAGCGTGTAGTAAATGCCTAACTAATTGAATAAAGAACATGTTTTCAGACACAATGCAGAAATAAACTCACTAAAAACTTGCAAGTTCAGTTTTAATTTAGTTCTTAAGATTGAGAATGTAAACTATAATTAATATTCCTTCATAACTTGAATGAGGTCCAAATTAGAACTTTTTAAATAAATCCTTGACTATTCACTAGCTTGCTTAACCCCATTCTATTTATTTTTCCATTTCCCTAAAGATAGACAGAATACTAAGATATGTGAACTTGTCAAGACGTCCGTATGATCCTTTGGAGACATTTTTAATACTATTTTTGAGGAAACTGCCATATTTGTGTTTTAAAAATTTATTTTATTCAAATGTATTTGAAAATATTCAGAAAAATAAAATCCCTAGTAATACAGTTGCTTTCTAAGGCCTGGAGCTAATGCAAGAAGTAGAGGTGCCAGAACATTACTGAAAAAAGGGAAGAAATCCATTTCTGTAGATATGGGGCCTAGTGGTGAGCTGTGGGAAGAGCAAGGGGGAAAATGTTACCTGCCACAGGGAATCTTTTTCTTACTTCTTTTTATCAGTACAGGAGACAAAAGACAGAATCAAGCGGTGTAGAGTGGGAGTGGCCAAGTGCTGGGGGTGGTGAGCTGGAGAGGCAAAGTCAGAGTGGTAATAGGGGAGAAAAAAAAGGAATGTGATTATAACACACAGATACTAGATACTACAACAGATTAAAAAATCAATAAAGACACCTGTGAGAACAGTCAGATGTCAAAGTCAAACCTGATAAGCACAGTTACCAAGAATTTATGCTTAGATGAGTCCTGGGGACACAAAGAGAATTATTTACTTTGAGGATAAATGTGAAGATGTAGAATATGCAATAATCAAGAGAATCAGTTATAACTCCTTTGTTATGTGAATTTATTTAAATTGTAGTCTAAATGTTCTCTCATTTTTCTCATAAAAAATAAATTATGAGTAGCTTGTATTAATGATTTAGTGTGTTCTCCAGACATTTTATTTGTGGATGTGTGTGTGTGGGTGTGTGTGTAGGTTTATGCCTTTCTCTCCTGCACTGACTTCTCTAAATCGCTTACTCTATGAAACTTACAAACTGGGCACAGAGCTAAGACATCCGAGTTGAGTATGTTGTGAACAAAGTGGATATACCTCAAAATTTTAATTATAAAGAAAAATTAAATAGTTCTATTGGTTGAATTATTTCCTGTTTTTACACTTGCAGAGGTGTAAGCCCTTGCACATTGTATGGCACATAGCAGATACTCAATAAATATTTGTTGAAAAAAATAACTAGGAAAAATCCGGGCACTGTCCAGGCATCCATTGCTCAACCCACCACCACCACCATTGCCCAAGGCACTCACATTGCCGGTCCAGTGCTCAGGGAGAAATCACTTCTTCAAGTCACTGTCTCACAGACCTAAGCCCTGATTTGCTAACCAGGTTGCACATAAGAAATACAGCATGGCATTTGTTTTTTTTTTAAATGAGATGCCAGGATCTCTCCTAAGGGATTCTGATTCAGCAGTTTTTGGACAGAGCCTGGGAATCTGCAGTTTTCAAAAACTTATTAGGCAATTCTGATATGTAGCCTGAGTTGAGAGCCACCTAGAATGAAATGAATCTCCATACCTAGGATTGTGTTTTTTTCCTTTAATTAACCTAACTCACTTTTATTCCTTTAATTAACCTAACTCAGATTTTTTTTCTTTTCAATAACATACATCCAAGAAGGCATATAGGTAAGCAGATAGCAGGAGATGGGATTAGAGCAATTAAAAAACTGACAAAAACTTTATGGTACAATCAAGAAGACTGGTGGGGGGAAGGGGGAAGGTAACTTCTGCCACAACCACAAGGTAGATAAGAGCTTGAACCTAACATAAGACAAGTACAGAGTTTGAACCATGACTCTGCTACTTGTTCAGCTGTGACAAATTGCTTGCATTGTCCATACCTCCGCTTCTTCAGCTTTAAAATGGAGCTGAGGTCAATATCTCATAAGACTGTTATGTGGATTAAATGAGGTTATGTATAAAACTTGCTTAACAGAGAGACTGGTACTTAATAAGAGACCAATAAATGGGAGGTGAGATGATGACAAAGATGACAACAGTGATGAAAACAACAATGCTGGTAATGATGGCTCCTGAATATAAGTGATCAAGGAGTTTTATAAAGTCTAGGTAGTTAAATAGAAAAACACTTTCTATTATTCTTCTTTCACACTTATCAGTTTAAAAACTTTTTTTTATATCTACTGTGTTTTGACACTCTGCAAGGCACTGGAGAAAAAAATCATTAAAAAGACAAGACTGTCTTTAAGGGGTATGTATTCTTATGGAGAAGAGAAGTATATAAGTAAAAATAATAATACCAAAGTAATGCCATAATGAGTGCAAACAAGGCCCCCCTCTTTCTCTGAGGTACATATAGTTCCAAATACAATTTTTTTGCAAAGACAACCTAGATACTAAGAGGTAGCAAAATTTACAATAATATTTGCTCTTTTGTTACTTGTACAACCCAGGAAGGTAGTCAAAGTATTCCCATTACTGTGAAGTAACAGATGTCAGAAGAAAAAGACATTTTTGCCGAGAAAATCCACTGACAGACAGCAACTATCTACACAGTGGGAGTCTTTGTCACTCCCTCCTACATGATTGAGAAAGGGAATCACTATACTCAGATGAGATTACCCCATTGTCACACAATGAGTGCAAACACCGTCAAGTTCTTATCCTCATTCAGAATGAAGATCCTTGACAATTAAGTAAGCAGAAAAAACCAACAAACTAACCAACACCAACATAGTAAAATTGCATGTGACTTGTTTTCAAAACTAATCTCAGTTTCTCACTTTATATCGTCAACCCAGGGCCATGTCTCACTCTGGATTAATGAGATAGTTTTCATTTTACCTATAAACTTAGAAGTGAAGGTAATTAGCACATTTCCTTGCTCCCTTAAAAAATGTCACAGATACAAATTTTAAAAGTATACATGAGATCATTTAAGTGGATCTAGTAATCAGAGGAGCAGAGCTGTCATTCACAGCATCTTGGTCTTGATAGGCTAACTTATTTATAGAGTCGAGCTAATGAATACTCGAAAATTGAAGACTTGAAGAGAAGCCACATACTTCCACCATGTTCATCAACCCTTAAAAGATGACAACTTGAAAAAATGGATTGTAAGTAGGGATCATTCATTTTTTCTGAATCTTAGTTTTTATACCTCTAGTCACTGAGAAATAAATAGATATAGAGAGATAAATGAACAGGAGCAAAAATATAAGCTGTATTCTCCAAGGGACCTAATTTAACCTAGAAAACTTGGCAAGTGAGAACGTTTTTCAGAAAGTAGAAAAATTGATTTTTTTGAAAACTTATGTTTATTTATATGATTAATTGTTCCGGAAAAGAAATTACTCATATTGCTCACAAAATATATACAATTTACAAAAAATATATAAGTGAGGAAATTAGAACAAGTAAGAATAAGAAAGAGACTATGTGGCCAAGGATATTATCTTTACTCAAAATATATGCCCCAAGGGGCCGGGCGTGGTGGCTCAGGCCTGTAATCCCAGCACTTTTGGAGGCCGAAGGCGGGTGGATCACGTGGTCAGGAGATCCAGACCACGGTGAAACCCCGTCTCTACTAAAAATACAAAAAATTAGCCGGGCGCAGTGGCGGATGCCTGTAGTCCCAGCTGCTCGGGAGGCTGAGGCAGGAAAATGGCTTGAACCCAGGAGGCGGAGCTTGCAGTGAGCCGATATTTTGCGCCACTGCACTCCAGCCTGGGCGAGAGCGCGAGACTTCGTCTCAAAAAAAAAAAAAAAAATATATATATATATATATATATGTGTGTGTGTGTGTGTATATATATGTGTGTATATATATGTGTGTGTATATATATGTGTGTGTATATATGTGTGTGTATATATGTGTATATATATGTGTGTATATATGTGTGTGTGTATATATATGTGTGTATATATGTGTGTGTATATATATGTGTGTATATATATATGTGTGTGTATACATATATATATATATATATATATATAGATGCCCCAAGAAGTGGGGCACTTGCTGAAGGAAGACTGAACATTGAAGTTGGAACATCCTTAAGCCTGTGTAAGGAGGAGTCATGATCAGTTTCACATTGTTCCCCAAATCTCTTCCCTATGTAACTCTCTGATACTGTAAAATGTTCTAAATTCTGTAAGCTTGAGACCCTATTACATCATATATGATATAACACTTTGGGTGCAATGAACATTCAGTTGAAGTAGTAATACATTTTACATAGCTGTGTGCATGTGTGTGGATACATGTGCAAGTGTGTGTATACATTTGTGTGTGTTAAACATAGAGCTTAGGGAACTGTTAAGAAAGGGGTAAAAATAGGACGTGAAAAACAAAACAATAAATTTACTTAGCACAATTTTAGAGACATACTTAGAATGTTTTTTTCCTCAATATTCATGTGTGTAAAATGTGAATGATGCCATTTCTTTAAATGTGTCACAAAAATTTGATAGCATGAAATATTAACATAAAGTGAAATAAGGGAAGAATGAAGGATATAAGGCTGGAACACAGGGATGTGGATCTCCTCCACAGATCTCAAATGGGAACATACATGATTCCTTCCCAAACTAGTTGGTATTTGTGAAAAATAAATGAGATAATACGTGGTTTCTTTTTTTTGTAACAAAGTATTGAATGTAATCTTACTGATAAAATCATGTTGAGTTCCTTGAAAACAAAACAAAAAATGATATACAACTTCTCAGTCATTAGAAGAATATGTATGGATCCTTGATAGGTTCCAAAAAATTCACTTTAGCTGGAGCTATCCATTTATTGAGGGACAATTACGTGCTAGGTTATCTTTGTTATAAAACAGGATAATATAATGTATCTATTTCAGTTTCCATTTCTGTTGAGGTCTGAAAATACTAGGTGCTAATGCCTCCAGGGTCCAAAGGGAGGTGAGAAATAACACACAGGATTTTCAGATGCGGTCAACAAAAACCAGTTATGCATACTCTTAACAACGCTTCTTTCATTCCAATGTTAGAAAAGAGTGAGACTAGGCTAGGCTGGGCGCGGTGGCTCACGCCTGTAATCCCGGCACTTTGGGAGGCCAAGGCGGGCAGATCATAAGGTCAGGAGTTCAAGACCATCCTGGCTAAAACGGTGAAAACCCATCTCTACTAAAAATACAAAAAATTAGCCAGGCGCCTGTAGTCCCAGGTACTCGGGAGGCTGAAGCAGGAGAATGGCGTGAACCCGGGAGGCGGAGCTTGCAGTGAGCCAAGATCGCGCCACTGCACTCCAGCCTGGGCGAAAGAGCGAGACTCCGTCTCAAAAAAAAAAAAAAAAAAAAAGAAAGAAAGAAACAAAAGAGTGAGATTAGGAGATTTGGAGATTTGGGGTGGAGTTTCTAAGAGGCAGGTCGTGAAACTTGGCCCAGATGTCATCCAAGTGGAAGGAAAGCACTGGCTCCATAAAAATGAGTTTGAGCAGGCAATTGAGTCACTGGGTGCTCATTTAATAAAACAGTGACAATTATATAATGTTTAGGTGACAGATTCGATGTTTTCAAATTTCTTTTCAGCCACAGAATTCCTTCCTCAAAGGAAAACTAATGATCCCAGACTTGCTCCTGTTGGCGGAGGGATGGTGAGGAGGAAAGTCAGGAGAGGTATGTGGTAGGCCCCTAAGAGTGCTGAAGGATAGTTTGAAAACCGACCCTGAGATGTCTTCAACACCTTTGGATTTTAATTTTTTTATTGGAGTGATGAAAATGTAGTAGATCCACAGATTTTTCTGAGGAAATTTCATAATGAACTTTCATACTTTAAACACTTTTAATCCTTTAAACACTTCCTGAAAGCTGTTATTCTTCGTCCTTCATATTTGAAAACGATAGTTACACGAATGGGAAGACATTCAAACACTCAGATGGCACATGCCCTCATTCTAAGGTTTATGGCTGTTCACATTTACCCAAGTCTGTTGGCTCTTTTGGGGTGCATCACCATTTGCTCAGACAAATCATCTTAGCCCTTGAGACCTGCAAGTCCTGAGAGCCCATTCCATACAATTTACAGAGGAAGAAACTGGAGATAAAAATGAATGGGTAGAATATGACTCAGCAATTAAAAAGAAACTATTGCTATAGGCATGTATCAACTTGGATGAATCTCAAGGAAATGATGTTTAGTAGAAAAGTCAACTTCAAAAACTACTTACTATATAATTCCATTTATATGATGTTCTTGAAACGACAGAATTATAGAAGTGGGGAACAGAGGGCCGGGCGCGGTGGCTCACACCTGTAATCCCAGCACTTTGGGAGACTGAGCCAGCAGATCACCTGAGGCCAGGAGTTAGTGACCAGCCTACTCAACATGGCGAAACCCTGTCTCTACTAAAAATACAAACAAACAAACAAACAAAAAAGTTAGCTGGGCATGGCGGCAGGCACCTGTAATCCCAGCTACTCGGAGGCTGACACAGGAGAATCGCTTGAACCAAGGAGACAGAGGTTGCAGTGAGCCAAGATCGCGCCACTGCACTCCAGCCTGGGTGACAATAGTGAAACTCCATCTTAAAAAAAAAAAAAAAAGAAGTGGAGAGAGGTGACTATGGCATGAGGGATTCTTGTGATAAAATTGTTCTGTAACTTGACCTTGGCGGTTGCTCCACAAAACTACACATATAATAAAATGGCATAGAACTAAATACAAACACACACACTCACACACAAACACACACAAATGATTCCATGTAAAACTGGTGAAATCTGAAGAAGGTAGGTGAATTGTTTCAATGTTAAATTTCTGGTTGTGATACTGTGTTATAGTTGAATACCCTGGAAGACACTGGACGCAGGGCATCTGTAATTTCTCTATTATTTCTTATAACTGCATGTGAATCTATAGTTATCTATAAAAAATGGAATAGAAAAATACCAGAATCTGTGTACAGTAACTGGATTGCCATTCACTTTTACGATTCTCGTGCCTTAAGTATTTTCATTAATAAAAGGATATTGACTTGTAAAAAGTCCTAAAAAGCAATGCAGGAATACCTTATTTTGAGAGGGAAAGTAGAATCACATTCCTTGGTCTCAAATTTATAAAAAAATATGATTCAATAGATAATCTTCCCTACTGATAAATTTTCAGTTTATAAATTGAAAGAGGAATCTTCATTTTATAAAATGATTCACATTTAAATGGGGGAAATCTTACAAATGTTTCGATTTATAAGAAGAAATGTTTTGAATAAACTATGACACATCTACGTTAGCAAAACCAACATTGCTTCAATGCCTATGAGATTTCAATTATTTAAATCTTTTCAATTCCCTCATCAACCCTTTTTGGTAACAATATGATACAACTTAAAACACAGGTCTGACAATTAGGACAACTGGCCCCAGTGTTGTCTGTGTCATTTACCTGCTAATGACTATAAACCAAATAATGTTGAATTTCCTCATCTGTAGAATTGGGATAAAATGTCTTCCATGTCTCTCTCATTTTGCTATGAGGAACAAATAAAGGAGACACTTGTGACAGAGAACATTTGGAAATATTATGCAAACATACCACAATACCTAATAATGCAGGAGGCTGGATATAACCTCAGCTAGTTATTAACAGCAGACATTCCAGCACCACAACTGAGATACTTTAAACAGAGCTGCAATCCTTCTATACTAACCACTAGTGGCCTTGTCACCTTGGGTCAAATAGCTCACATTGATGACTTTGTCACAGAACATTTAAAAATTTATTATTCAGTGGATAAATCTATAAAACTTGCTTTAAGGGTACTAGATATCCCTGCTGCTTTATAGTGCAGCATAGAGTTTAAGATTACATACCATCACCATCCTTGATTTGACTTTCAAAGAACCTACTGATTTTCTTATTGCTGTCCCCAAGCCTACTGTCCATTTTTGGATAGCATTCCAACAATTTAATCAAATTTGCCTCCTTTAACTAGAAAAGTTCTTCACTTTATGAAAGCTTCCAATGAGGCAGGCGAGTTTTTTTTTCATATTTTACAAATTCAATCATCCAACACATATTTGAAGTTTGGACTATGTACTACGAACAATGCTGGGGACAAAGCATACACTGATCAACAGGATTGAGTTGACTGCCATCCTTTTTAGCTTATATTCTTGTAAAAGTAGGCTGACTGTGCAAAGCATTATACAAAAGTGTATTTTTTTGCATGTGCAGTTTTTAATCATATTGAAATATCAGAACTCTTTTTTGATAACATTTTTATGTATCTCACAGGTAGCATCATAAATTTTGTATTCTATGGCATTCACTGTAAACATTAACTGCATGTGTATGTGAGGAAATAAAAAAGCCATTTTAAGATACAAAACCCTCATTTTACAAAAAAAGATGTCTAACCTTTTTTAAAATAACTTTTAATTTTTGAAACGTGTTATTTTTCCCCCAAAGATAACAATAATAAGGCAAATATGATGGATTTTATTATTGACTCCAATTATCCTTTGAAACATAACTTTCAGCTCCCACTCACTGTGGGAGGGCATCATTCCCAAGCCCATGCTTGTCCATGTGACTTACTTTAGCCAAAGGGATATTAACGAACATGACACAAGCAAAGTCTTGAAAATCATTTGTGTTATTGGGCTGGCTTTGTTCTACTTCTGCTGACAGGATCACGCTCAGCATTTCAGGAGAGACATCTGGAGGAGAAATGCCCTAGTTGAGCTTCCTCAGCCAAGCCCACAGGAGCAGAGCCTGTAGACAATCTACATACACATGAGTGAGTTCAGCCAAGATCCCAGAGCAACCCAGCTAAGCCCAACTTGGATTAGATTACTCCCCACCCAACTCACAAACAAGTGAGTAGATAACTAACATAGAAAACAAGTCTGTAGTTTTTATGCTTTTTAAGAAGACATTATCTGGGAAGCTCAACCTATAAAGTTGCCAACTGGCAATGTTTTATAAACAGTATTTAGTAGGTTACTCAGGAATTTACCTCTCTTGTTAGAATAAAGTACCCAAAAGGCTGTTTTTACCTAAGGAGTAATAACCCACTGGTGTTGGAGAATTGAGAGCTCTGCTGTAAGTCCAAAGCTTGCTAATGACCAAAAAAAATCAACACTAACTTTAATCTAATTTTACTGTTAAAATAATAGGTTTGTATTATTAATTTGACTATGTTCATTGTTAACATTACTTGTTTCTCAAGTAATAGTTTACGTTCAATAGTCTGTACCTGCACAAACAATAATACTCCAGAAAAGGCTGCTCATCAGAGTTGAGAAAATTGAATGCAGAGGACGTGTCATTCTATTAGGTTCGTGTGAAAGTAATTGCTGTTTTTGCCATTACTTTTGCACCAACCTAATAGTGCTGTAGTTTTAACTCTACCCTTCTCTCTTCCACCCCAGAAATCATTTTTAACAGCATTTTTGAAGTACAATTCATGTACAATAAACTGCACAGAGTGTACAATTTGATAACTTTAACAGATGTATAAGCCCAAAACCACCACAATCAAGACAGTGACCATATCCATCACCCCCAAAAGTTTCTTCATGTCTCTTGTAATTCCACCCCTCTTGATCCTGACCCCCACCCCTAAAGAACCACTGATGAGCCAGAAGCATTTTAAAATTCAAGTTAGTGTGACATTGCTTTACAGATAACTCTGAATATATTATAATATTAACAAGCTTTGGACTTACAGCAGAGCTCTCAATTCTCCAACACCAGTGGGTTATTACTCCTTAGGTAAAAACAGCCTTGTGGGTACTTTATTCTAACAAGAGAGGTAAATTCCTGAGTAACCTACTAAATACTGTTTATAAAACATTGCCAGTTGGCGACTTTATATGTTGAGCTTCCCAGATAATGTCTTCTTAAAAAGCATAAAAATAGCTTGTAAGTATCTCACAGTGAAGTCACGTATGATCATCAAGTTCTTAATCATAAATTTAATGCCTTACACTTTAGATCCAATTTTTGCCTTTTATTAAACAGGGCCTGCTATTGTCAAAACCATGTGTATAGATTCCAGCTTCACTACTTACAAAATGTGTGACTTTTGACAATTTATTAAACCTTTCTAGGCTTCAGTTTCCCAATCCATAAAGTCAGAACAGAAACATCTAACTTGCATTGTTGTTGAGATTAAATTAACTAAGGAAGGTGAAAATATCAAGTACAGCATTAGGTCCAAATTTGCTTATTAAATGTTAATTATCTTCCCTTTTCCTCTTTTCAAACTAAAAGCACAGTAAATTTGAAGGAAGAGCATGGGTTTTGCAATTAAGAGGAGAATAACAGCCAAGCCTTCTCCTGTTCTAGCTTTGAGACAAAAATACTTAGCCTCTTTAGGGTTCTCTGGCTCCTTGTCTCTCAAGTGAGCACAATAAACATGTCTAGGAGCAATGACAGGTCAAAAGAGACACGTGTCATCTGCATGTCAATGTTTCTAGCATATGAAAATTAAAGAGATATCAGTGTTATATCAGCTGTTGAATATTTAATATTTACTGTTGACCCTTGAACTAGGGGCACCTCCCTCCAGTAGAAAATCTGCATATAACTTTTGACTCTCCCAAAATTTAACTACCAATAGCCTGCTGTTGACTGGAAGTCTTACTGATAACACAGTCAATTAACATGTATTTTGTATGTTATAGGTACTATACACTGTATTCTTACAATAAATTAAGCTAGAGAAAAGAAAATGTTAATAAGAAAGTTATAAAGAAGAGAAAATAGATTTACTATTCATTAAATGGAAGTGGATAATCATAAAGGTCTTCATCCTTATCATCTTCACATTGAGTAGACTGAGGAAGAAGAGGAAGAGGAGGGGTCAGTCTTGTTGTCTCATGGGAGGAGGCAGAGGTGGAAGAAAATCCTTGTATAAGTGGACTCGCGCAATTCAAACCTCTGTTGTTCAAGAGTCAACTGTGTATTAACAATTAAAATTGTGGAATAATTTTTGTCAATTTGATCAATCTACCTCAGAAGATAATATAAAAATTAAATTATTTTAAAAGTCTACTTTTTGGAAATTTGTGCTTGGCAATCTGAGGCACACCCAAAACCCCTGCCTAGTTCAAATGGCTTTGAAAATGATTTTATGAAGTGAGTATAAAATAAGGTATAAATTAGGGACTGCTTTGAGAGTGAAAGTAAGTATTAAATAATAATATAATTCTTTAAGTATTTGGTTTTAGTTTTGACTAGTTTTATTATATTGATAAACCTATAAAATTTACTTTTTGCAAAACTATTTTAAAAAGTAAAATTATTTGTTTTATATATATATATAATTTTATATATACACATTACCTGAAAATAAAATAGTACACTAAACACAATAATATTTTATTATATTTTGTCATATTTAAATCATGTATTTAGCCATATCTGTCTCTTATGCCAAGTTGTTGGTGTTATTCTGAAGACTATGTTTTTGCTTTTCCTCTATGTAGTATCATTATTTTTATTTTTTTCATAAAATTGCCTGTAATTTTCCTCAAAGGTGCACTTCATAGTTAATAAATTTGAAATTGTTGACATCTTCCATAAACTATTCACAACAGACCATAAAAATTTTAATTGAAAAAATATTATCTATGGTTGCTAAAATAACCTGTAGGCATACAGCAAATTTTGCTATATACAGGATATTTTAAATTCTACTTTTCCCCCAAATTTTGATATGCTACGAATATTCTGAATTATATACTTTTTATATTGGAAAGTGCAAACATTTCAGTCAAAATATTACCTCTTATTTTGCCTCATTCAGGGTAACTACCTTCAAAAACATTTTTGTAATATAAAAATTTATCATAATAGGTGTCCATATGATTCTTTGTAATGTTGTTCCAGATTTAGAGATTGCAAAATCAGTACGGAACTTAAATTTATCTAATTAAAAACAAATTCCACCAAAATATTTTCTAAGTTAAAATATCTCAAAGAAAAATTAAATCATTTTAATATTAAGTCTAGTAAATAGTTTGAGCTCTCATTGTTTAATATTTTTCCCTTCCTTATCTAGTAATATATTTCTTTTTTTCTTTTTCTTTTTCTTTTTGTTTGAGAAGGAGCCTCACTCTGTCGTCCAGGCTGGAGTGCAGTGGCGTGATCTTGGCTCACTGCAACCTCCACCTCCCAGGATCAAGTGATTCCCATGCGTCAGCCACAGACATGCACCACCATGCCCAGATACTTTTTTTTTTTTTTTTTGTATTTTTAGTTACAGATGGGTTTTCACCATGTTGACCAGGCTGGTCTCGAACTCCTGGCCTCAAGTGATCCACCTGCCTCGGTATCCCAAAGTGCTGAGATTGCAGGTGTGGACCACCACGCCTGGCCTTCAGTAGTACATTTCAATGTGCTTCTATCTGCAAGTTTTGTTTTTAAAAAGTTGCTATTTGTTAAAATGTTTAAAAGATGAAGTTTTTAGTGTTTTGTTTAATTACAAACCTTGGTTAAATATTTTCAAGTGATTTCAAATAAAATGTAAAGAAAACATAAAAGGCTCATTTAGAAAAGACTAATAACTTTGTTGAACACTTAGATTGTTTACAAGTAATAATTCAAAGGCTCAGATATTTCAAAACTCTGACAACAGGCATTAAAAAAAAGAAACCACGTAGTATCATGCCAAATAGTTTTTCTGTATTTAATGTATCTAATCACTTAGTGTAATTACTGTACCTAATTCACCACATATAAAAATATGTGGTAATTTTGACCAATCCAGCTTCTATAGTGATTAACACAAAAGTGAATTATGTGTACACTACATCAAGTCCAAGAACATTTATGCTTCATACATTTTATTAATTTAGAAAGCAGTCTTTGCCATGTTACTGTGCTCTACAAAAATTTACAATTGCTTTGTCACCATAAAATTAATACCTTTATCTTTAATGACCTTTTAAACTGAATTTACAACAACATTTACAGAGAAATATAATTCACCTACAGAACGAACTTTGAAAAGTTTTACTTCAATTCAATTAGATACAAAAGTTCAACCATTATTAAAGTTAACTGGTTTTCCACTGGAAACCCTGATGACATGAATACTTGCCAAGTGCTGTTACTAATAACAACACATTAATCACTGGTGCTTCATTCTTTTCTACACACAGAAGAAAACTTGGAATCAAAATGAACAAAATTTTCAACAATAAAACAGAACAAACTACTGCTTCCCTCGAAAAAAGGAATAAATTGCAACATCATTTATCTAAGTGAAAGAAGGCAGACAAAGAATGCTACATACAGTAATTCCCCCTTACCTGAGACGGATATGTTCCAATACCACCTGGTGGATGCCTAAAACCGACGATAGTACCAAACCCAATTGCCCTCAATTGGAACATGTTTCTGTTCATGTATTCTACCCACAAATGTAATGCTTTTTTCATGTTAACTAATCACTTATCATGCATTGTGGCTGTAACTTTTGCAGTTTGAAGTGTGACAGCAAAACTAGCACAATTTTTTTCCCATCACAATTTCACAGATAGGTTTATTCATACTGTGGATCTTAGCAACCTCAGCATATTTTTTCCTCTTCTCACTCTTTTACTTAAAGGAAGCACTTTCACTTTTTTACTTAAAGGAAGCACTTTCTGACTTCTTTTTGGTGGTGCCGAATCACTAGCATCACCACTCTTGCGCTTTAGGGCCATTATTAAGTAAAATAAGGTTTACTTGAATACAAGCACTGTGAAACCGCAACAGTTGATGAGATAACCAAGATGCCTACTATGTGACTAAAGGAGAGGTAGCATGTACAGCATGGATACTCTGAATAAAGAGATAGTTCACATCCTGGGTGGGATGGAGTGGGATAGCGTGAGATATCATCACACTACTCAGAAGGGTGTGCAATTGAAATCTTATGGATTGTTTATTTATGGGATTTTCCATTTAATATTTTTGGGATTCAGCTCACAGAACATAATTGAAATCATGGAAAGCAAAGCTGCTTGTTAAGGGGCCGGGTACTGTATATAATTTCATTAAAATTACATATTAAACAAAGGAAATTTTAGGCATAAAAATAGATTAGTAGCTGCTATGTACTGGAAGTGGGAGGAGGGTACTGACCTTTGGGGCTGAGGATGTTGTTCTAAATCTTGACTGTGGTGGTGGTTACATGATTGCATATATTTTGCAAAATTCAATGAACTCTACACTTAAAAGGAGTGATTTAATATATGTAAATTATATCATAAAAAACTCTTACCAAAAAAAATGAATAAATGAAATTCATTTGGAAGAGCAGTCCTTTGATCTAAATGAAAAGTCATGCTTCACAAAATATGTCCAAGATACCTTCTGCAGAATGAATCATAATTTTTAAGTACAGTCTTCTTAAATCGGTTACTGGTTTTTAAAATACATGCTGATGCTTATTCAGCAGATTTATGCATTCTGATTTTAATGTGGTCAGTGACTATAATGCAGTCAATGTGGGCACCCATGACAAATGTAAATGTCTGCATTTTCTCCCAGTTATCTATGCATCATCAATTTTCTTAGAAATGAGAATTTAATAATTCATTAAACTTATTTTTCATTTTTGTTAGGTCATTGATCCCAAAAAGGTTTATTGTAGGATTTTTTTAATACCAAAGATACTGAAAAGTTCTAAATATATTGCATGTATACATACACTATAATTTCCCATATTTCCAACTGACTCCACTAACTTGTGGGCTGGTAACCTCAGGCTCTCACAGACTATGAGACATTACTAGTTGGTGTACAATGTGCATGTTGTTGTAGGAAAGGAGATGATATATAGATATAGATACAGATATAGATATAGATACAAATGTTTCGTATCTGAAGTGTTTAGATACAAATGTTTTTGTGTCTGAAAAATATGTGATATTTCTGGGCATCTTTCAGATTTAAACACACATTGAAGTAAAAACTATATTCACTACACAAACGTTTGAGACACTATTAGACAAGGCCACAGCCAAAACTATAAGAACTGGAGATCTGCCAACCAATCTTGGCCCTGTTTTCATGCAACAATGAATAACAATGCCTTATTACAATATGAAAAATCGGCACAAATGCTAAACCAGGTGGGACCACCTTGTAATCGGCACAAATATGGGTGTGTAGTTTCCTTACCAAAGTCAAATAATATACACGTCCAAGAAAAGAATGTAAATTCCAATATATGTACATCATATCATATATGTGTATATATATACCATACTATATATACACTATATTATATTTGTGTGTATATATATTTTTACATATATATCTCTCTATATATATTCAGTGTAAAAGTCCTATTAGTGGAGGGAAAATCCAGCAACATAGCAAGTAACTTTTATTGAAGGGATGCAAAGATAGTTCAATATTATAAAATCTGTTGAATTCATTATATTAATTGATTCAATAACACAGAAAGAATAGTCTCGATAGATAATAAAATGACAATGGATAAAAAGGCTTAATGAAATAGGAATACATTACAAAGTCTTCTAATAAAGCACAAATATATAATAAAATATTTACCTCTCAAACAACAAGCCAGAAAACACTCATTAGAAAAACAATAAAATAATACCCCTTAAAGTTAAGAAGGAGAAGGGTTTTCTTTATGGTCGCCATGTTTTAACATTGGTCTTAAAATGCCAAAGCAATTAAACAAAAGGGAAAAAGTAAGAGTTGCAAAAATTAGCAACAAAAGGCAAAATTTTTATTATTTAAGACCAGTATTATTTCTTATCTGAAAACTTCAATAATCCAACACCAGAATTATTACAAAGGATAGGAGAAAGTCAGTAAGCTGGCTGGTTAAAAAAATTAATAACATATAGAAGTTAATTTCCTTCAAGTAAACAAACATGATTGAATTAGAAAAAGCAAAACAGTGAAAGAAAACTTTCTATTTTACATAGCAATTGCAAAGATAAAATTACTAGGAATAAAATAAGTACAAAATGTTTTATTGAGAACTCCCTCAAAAGGTGTAAACAATAAAAATACCTAGCAAGTTTTTGAATATGAATGTTCAACATCACAAAAATGTCGTATTTCCTGTAGATCAGTCCATTAAAAATACCATCAGGATTTTTTTCAATTAGAAAATCTGATACTTAAAGTCATACAGACTTCCAAATAAGTACAATTAGTCAAATAAAATTCTGAGAACAAAATCATGGAATGAGAATTTTAAGAACATATCACAAATATTCTATAATTAAAATTGTAGTACTAAAATATACAGAAAAAGATCAGTTAATATAATAGGATAGAAAGTCAAGAAATAGAATTACATAGAGGAATATAAAATATGATAAACTAGACATTTCAAACTAACATAAAGAAGATGAATTGTTGAATAACATTGTTAGGAAATTTGTCCAATTCTTAAGTCTATAAACTCTTAGGATAGGAATTTGAAAGTAAAAGTTACAGAACTTATTAATGGAGGAGAAAAAAATTGAATACGTAAAATAAAACTATAGTAGAACATATGGGATATGTTTTAAAAATTATACACCTACTATGTACCCACAAAAATGAAAAATTAGAAATAATAATAATAGTAATTTCAAAATAGGGAATGCCTCTCTAAGTATGACACAAAATCTAGATATCATAACAGGGAAATTTATTAATTCATCTATATAAAAATCAAAAGACCAACCAAAACTGGGACAATGTATACAATTCGTGTTACTAATAAAGTGTTCCATTTTTAAAACTATATAAATGGCTCAAAGATGTCAAAAAAGGGAAAAACAACAATTCAGTTAATAAGAGACAATGAATATAAACAAGTAATGCTCAACAAAGCATTTAAATATCTCTTAAACATATTAAAAAATTCTGAACTTCAATTATAGTAAACAAATGGACATTAACAATCACAAGAAACCACTTTTCATCCATTAATTTGAAAACAATTCAAGTGATGACATAAAGAATGCTGAAATGCTATACAAATATTAGCCATTATTAATATCTACCAAATAATTTTATAACTTTTGACTTGCCAGAAGCAATAATACAATATATAATATGAGTACTGTACAGCTAAACAAGAGGCCTAAATTTTTATTAATGATGTATCCTAAAACCTAAAATTACACATTTGTTGAGAGAGAAGGACAGGCTCATTTTCAGATGACTGAGATGTAGCCTAACCAAAACTGTACCAAATTAATACAACACAAAAGCTCCTTCTCATTGCCCCAGGCCCAATACCCTCATTCTTTTCCATAACTCATCAAATCACAGCAAAACATTTATCCAGATGTTAAGGTAAAAACCTTGCCCAATTTTACCTTCTACTTTATTCTCTCCATTGAAGGAATAGCCAGAACACCACAGGTAAGAGCCATCTACTTCTTGTCAAACTGGATATTTGGCATTTCAATAAAATCTGAACTTCTTATGTGGATCCTTTTTTCCAGAAAATCAAATAAAACATGGTAAGACTGGTAAGTGCTCTGGTCTCTGTTCCCTTTAGTTCAATAACTGGAATAAAAGATTCATTTGGACTGACAAATACAATAAAGATGTCTGTCCAAAATACTTAATAGAACAAAAGAAAACCTTTTTTTTAAAAAAAAAAAAAAAAGCTTTATAGACTTGAGAGTTGGAGGGCTAACTACCCTTACTTCTTCCTGCAAGTTCATTGTGGAGAAAAGGTAAACTATTTCTGTTAAAAGATGTCAACAGTACCTGACACTGGAAAATATATTCCTCCCAATAAAAGCAGACTCAAAATACATGGAAGAATTTCCTCTATATGACCCTAACAAGGTAAATATCCAAAATGATATCACTATAATAGCTATGAGAATTAGAATATCTTCACAGACAGATTAACCTCACAACAAAAGGAAATCACTAGAGAGTACTACAGTCAGCAAATTCTAAACAGAAAAATCTCAAAGAAAATGGATTTCCTTTTTAAAAAAAATGGACACTAGATTTTCTTTGATGAGCTAAACTGCTTTGCACAGTGAATGCATTTAGTAGTTCCAGTTATGAATCTTTAATACCTATTTTAAAACATCACTTAAATGACAAGTATTTAAAGCATAATATATCCAAAGGGGAACAAACAGCATATAAACTAGAAATGGCTAAAATCTTTAAAGAAATATCTCATTTGCAAGAGCTAGAAACTAGAAACGATACCACAAACCACCCTAGTCTGTTTACACTTGCTATACAAGCACATTTTAGAGGCAGTATGATATAGTAGAAAAATCACAGGCTAATATGATATAGTAGAATTCTGGGCTTGAATTTTGTCATCTTTGACTCAAAAAGTGGGTGCTGCCTTCCACCTTGCTGGGTTATTGGGTTGTGATAGGAACAGAAAAAGCACCAGCACAGTACACAGCATGCATGTAGACATGCCCAAGATGATAGACACTATTATCACTAGAGTTTGTAAAAGAAATTTGTGCTTGAACCACGTGAAAATAAGAGGCTGGAAGGCAGTCCAGTATTCTCTCTCAAAACTAAAGGTAATCATGCAATAGTGAATAAAAGGAACACCAGGTACCACTAAAGGGAGATAAATATAATTAATACTCAGCCCTGGCCTTCAAAGAAGTTGAAATTCTTTTACTCAAAGAAATATTTACTGAGCAAAGACCATTTCAACTATAAGTCTAAGCAATGGGAGTAATGACATAGTTAAGGCTTCAAGGAGTTCATGGTCGAGTGTTAAAATATGAAAGCATATAATTATAGCACATATAAAAGCTGATTAGAGGAATGGGCAAGGCCATGTGGAAGTATAGGGGAAATGTCATGTAACTTTACTCGGAGCCTCAGAGAAGGAGTTTGATAGAATGTAATCTTTAGGATGGATCTTGAACAAAAAGCATCTTGCTCTTCAAGTGAAAAGCAGAGTCCCAAAACCATGAAAGAGCAGGGAATTTAGAATGAGTATGTGTGTAGCCTGGGAGACAGTGGTTGGAAAAGATTCTGCAGAATCATCTTGGGGTCAGATGATGCCAAGGACATTGGACATTATCCAAAAGGCAGCAGGGAGCCAACGGATGGCTCTAAGCAGGAGTGTTACATGATTAAGTGGTAATATTGTTTTTAATGGAAATCACTCTGGGAACAATGGAAACTGAACAAGTGGGAGTAGAAGGGACTGATGGTCACAGGGGTCTAGTTAGAGAAAGGCTGCAATTGTAGAGATAAGAAAAAGATGATCAGAATTAAAACAGAAGCAATAAAGAGGGAATTGAGGTACCAAATTAGGGCATTTCTGCAGTAAAATATTAAAAATTTGATAATTAATTAGATGTGTAGGCAGTCAAGGCCAACTCAGATTTGCAGCTTGAAGAACTGGATGGGTCGTGATGCCAATAATGAGGCTGGAACATGTAAGAAAACAAATAGGTTTCAAAGGCTAGAAAAGATTATTAGTTCATTTGGGGACATGTGGCATTTGAAGAGTTTATGTGACAAAGATGGTTGTATTAACAACTATAAAGGAAAGCAAAACATATCTTCCAGGGAATTTATAATCCAATAACTATATTTGCCTGTTTAAATTACTGAGAAAGCTCTTCAATTGCTCCAGTTGCCAAATATGAACTAGGTCATAGGTGAAGTTGAAGTCTCATCTTTGATGTTTGTATTTTGGATTTTAAACACAGCATTTAGATGAGATCAGCAAATATATACTGCCAGGGCGAAGCATACTATCTTTGCAGCAGTTCCAACTCTTTACCTTTTACTGTTGGGATTTCTCCAATCAAGTTCACTGGCACTGAATTCCAGCAAACCCTCAATTCTTTTTCTTGACCAAGGACATAACTCTAGAATAATACAGGGGTAAACCGCCCTGGAGGAGAAGAGTAGTCAGCTGTGTGGTGAGAAATAAATCTATCACTTCCTTAAGAGAAAGTTAACTCCCTGGGAGAAAGAAACATTCCTAAGAAAATGAACACATCAACTTCACTGCATTCTATGGAACCTTTATTTTAAAAAGCATTATTAGAAGAGATAGTAAAAAGAAACATCCCAAGTCTAAAGTTGGCATCTACTGTAGTGTGCTTTAGACTGTAGAACATGGGAAGGTTGAGCATTTTGGAAGTTTTTTAACTAGACATAGATGGCACCATAGTTTTTTACCAAAATATGGATCTATCACTTCCAATGGCTTATTATAACCAAAAACTGTGGGTTTAAAGATCTTTTATGGCTGGTCTAACCTACTTTCCATTGCCCTCTTACTTCTACATTGACCCCTTAACACCCTTTAAAATGCCTCTTATTCTCACTAAAGGCTCTTTCCAGCCTCAATGACAAGTACTGTACAAAATGGCAAATTAAATAGAATATTGTTTTTGCACCTATCATATATGATACAATCATTCCCACCCAAAGTTATTTATTATATGAAGCCCTCTCAGATCATTCCTGCATAGAAACTATTCCTCCCTCACCCAAATGTGCATAGCCCTTTGTCTGCACCTTCTGAATTACACTTATCTTTTTCTAATCTATATTATAGTAATTTGTGCATGTTACATTGCCCCATTTGAGAAAAAGATAATCCTGATTTATTCCAAATATCCTAGCATGATGGCTTTGTGTAAAGTTGGTATTCATTGAATATTATTAGAAAAATGATTGGGCCAGGTGCAGTGGCTCACGCCTGTAATCCCAGCACTTTGGGAGGGCGCGGTGGGTGGATCACGAGGTCATGAGTTCAAGACCAGCCTGGCCAAGATGGTGAAACCCCGTCTCTACTAAAAATGCAAAAAAATTAGCCAGGCGTAGTGGCAGGCATCTGTAATCCCAGCCACTTGGGAGGCTGAGGCAGAGAATTGCTTGAACCCGGGAGGCGGAGGTTTCAGTGAGCCAAGATCGCACCACTGCACTCCAGCCTGTGCGACAGAGTGAGACTCGTCTAAAAAAAAAAAAAAAAAGAAAAAAGAAAGAAAAGAAAAGAAAAGAAAAAGAAAAAGAAAAATGATTGAGTGAATGAATAAAGTACACATTTCTTTAGAAAGACTGTGCCTCTTCCAGAAGTATGTTGAGTCTAGGATATCTCAGAAACTAGTAACTCAGGATCCTCAATATGCTTCTGTAAAGACTTTTTGTCCTTTGCCAGTCTCATTGGCCAGAAGAGGTCTCATGCCACGACCTTTGAACTGACAGTAATGAAAAATGTTAGAGCCTAGAAAGACTATATCGTGGACACAATTTCAATTTTCAGCATATTGCATGTCCATTTTCTCTATATAATAATGTCAAAATTATCTGATGTTAGCTTTTAAGACTGTGCAATACAACTTTTCTTATTATTTGTATATATCACTAATCAAAAGAAAATCATTTCTGGTAAAGACATAAATCCAATTCCTGTAATTCTAACACTTTCTTCATTGTAGTGAAGTTATCAGAACCCCTGTGATAAGTCCTTTAGAGGGCACAGAATTCATCTACAAAGTCAAGAGTATGATAATGGGTACATTATCCTTCTCCCTATGCTTCTAACATTAAGAGGTCTATGTACCTTGATGAAAGCAAAAAGATAAAAAGAAAAAACCACTGAGAATTTCCTCTGTAGAGGAAGTATTTCAATTTTAACAAATTTCTTTTCTTTTTTCTTTTTTTTTTCTTTTTAAGACAGAGTCTCACTCTGTCACCCAGGCTGGAGTGCAGGGGCATGATCTCAGCTCACTGCAGCCTCTGCCTCCTGGGCTCAAGGGATTCTCCTGCCTCAGCCTCCCAAGTAGCTGGGATTACAGGTGCATGCCGCCACACCCGGCTAATTTTTGTATTTTTAGTAGAAATGGGGTTTCACCATGTCAGCCAGGCTGGTCTCGAACTGCTGGCCTCAAGTGATCTGCCCGCCTCAGCCTCCCAAAGTGCTGGGATTACAGGCGTGAGCCACTGCGCCCAGCATCAATTTTAACAAATTTCTTTGGACCATTTCAAACAGGCTATATAGAAGTGCATAAAATATATGCAAATATTAATGAGTTTCTAAACAACCATTATTTTGAATACTTTGATTGGAATCTTCTTGATGGAGTCCACTGGGCTACAAACTTCCTTTAAAACTTAAATTTTTGTCTTAGTAAACCAAAAGGGAAGAAGTAGTCTGGCCAAATTTTGATATGCCTAGAAAATGTAGGCTAATCCACCATTATGTTTGAAAATGGATACTTCCCTCTGAAAGCTTTGTATCTTTTTTAAAAAGCTGTTTTTCTCAAATGGTATCCTGTGACAAACAATTGTACTAAAAATACTATTTTTTCAAATATAAATACATTGGTATATATTTTTTCAAATATATACCAATGTGTTCCCTTATTGTACTTTCCCTTTGTCCAAATTAATAGTTACTTAAAGCAAAAGTCTAAACAGAAAAGATTTTCTTAAATTACAGCAAATATGTTTTAAAAAAAAACTATGGAGAAGTGAACTAGTTGCAGGCCATAACGTTAGGAGTGTGTGTGTGGTGTATGTGTGTATGTGTATGTCTTAGAGTGGTACAAGTGAGTGGTTTTTGCTATGTGTAATAATTCAAAGAAATTAATTGGAATTACTTTTTCTTTTTCCCCCTAAGTGGGGTATACGTATTTAAGATTTCTAAGGTTCTTAGTTTTTCTAAGTCTTACTACACTTCAGTTAAATACAAACCATAAAACATATTTCAAGAGTAAATATATTTAGTGGTAATTTTATATAATATTTTTATTTTTCAATAATGGTTGCAAATTATATTGCATATCAGAAAAAAATAGCCTCAATTAATAATCCACAAGTGTCTTTCAATCCTGACAGACCTCACTTTTTAAATATTAAAAAGAAATATTATAATATGTAAAATAATAAAGTGTCACTAAGTTATAAAATGTATTATTAACTTCCATTATGTTGCCCTGTGATAATATCTCAACTGATAAATAGTAGGATTATGTTATAGAGTTTTATGTTGTCATATATTTATTTTTCCTGGGAGGATTTTCAGATGATGTCTTACATTGTTTTATTATTCTCCAATAAAATAAATTAATAAGGCTAATAATAATACTGCATGTTGGGTACATTAGCAAGGCAGTTTGCCAGGGTTGTTGTTTGCTCTCTAATTTTTTTTTCATAAAAATTGTCCAAAATAAAATAAGAAACTAGCATGACCGTAAAATATACTTCACAAATAAGGTAAAAATTATACCAACTCAGCATATTACATATTCAGTATAATTAACATTATTCACTTTCCAGCAAAGTTTTTGAGTAGGTGGCAATTTTGTAAATTTAAAATTTGTAAATAGTTTTCTCTTGCAAAAGAAAATAAATGACAGCTATAAAAATCAATAGAAGTAAGGATTATCATAGGAAAATAGTTTCAGAGATAGTAATTACAAAACTGTATCAACAAGAAACAATGGCATAAGAAGATAAAGTAAATAGCTAGCTGGAAAAATGGTATACCCATTATTCTAGATATACCAAAATTTGTGGCTAAAATTTTGTTTAAGGTATTTTAAGTTTCAGATTATTCAAGTCATCCTGCTATTCAAAAAGAAAAAAAAAAGAAAGGAAAAGAAAATGAGAAAAGAAAACCCTCTTTCATTGAGTGGGGGTTTCTTGGGAGGAGAGGTGTTCACTAAATGTTGTAAACAAAACCTTGCCAAAGTCAACCCTTATGTTACTTATCACCTTCAAATTTGCTTCTCTGATTGTCAGATTTCATGCAAACTGGTTCCCTCCAGGAATCCCCCAGATGCTGTGGAGCACAGACCAAGCATGGTCTCCAAAAGACTTTTTGATTTCTTACTATACTAAATACAGGTATGTCAGGATGGTCTTCTTTAAAAATAAGGATTTAAAGTATCTAACCTATCTTATTAACATTAATGTGTAGCCAACATAGAAAAAGAACTATTCACAAGTACATCCATCTCTCCCTACATGCCCTCCTGCTTATCATGCATATCACTATAGTCAGAGTCAGAGGCCAAGATATTTCCACGCTGATGATTTAAAGCCCCTCTCATTAGCAATTGATATCTGAATGTATCACTGCAGTAATTCCCAAGGCTGTGCTGGGATGATTCACTACACATTACACTTCATTCAACTTTAAATGGCAATGAGATAAACAATTACCATTTGCCAATTACCTCATTTTCAATAGACAAATTCAGGATCAATGTTTACAGCCTTTTAGTTTTGGATGTTCAACTTCAAAAAAAAAAACATCCACATTAAACTGATCAGTACCTCAGGTAATGAATAGTAAAATAGTAGTATCCGCCATCATGCATGGTAAAACACAGCAGTGGTGATTTTGTGTGGCGCTTCAGTGGTGTGGTAGTGGCAATGGCAGGGACTTGAAGTTTTCCTATAATATTTATCATTATTATCTAAAAAAGACATACGTAATAACATTACACCTCATACATAACATCTAACACATTTAGAATATAAAAGGGAAAAGAATGGCTAGATGTAAAGATAAAAACACTTATGAAGTGACCAAATATCCACACCAACTACCATGATTAGACTAGATGTCAAAAATAAAAACTGAACAAAATTAAAGTGATTCATTTCTTTCTCATGTAAACTTTTCCAACTATCCCTGAAGCATAAGTCCAAGACTTGCTTCCCACCCAAAGATAAGACTGTGTATTTAGACTACTGGAGTGGAAATGAAATTAGTATTGCTCTCCCATATCAGCTCCAAGAAATATACAGAGTAAAAGCAATGACACTTGAACCACTAAGAAGGACTTTAGGATAAATGAGTTTCTCTGAGTCTCAACAGAAAAATGGAAGACAGTGCACAGAAGCAAGATAAGCTAGAAAGAAGATGAGGATATTCGTAGTGAAACCAACTGAGAGCATTTGTTAGGGGTGGTAGTACAGACTCCTAATTACAGGGTTAAAGCCAGCTAGGAAGATCCACAGGGTCAAGTAGAGAGCTTGAAAAGCCTGAGAAGGAGTGGGGACCTGACCGTGGTCCTGAAAGAGAACAACTTGCAGATGATAACGAACCGTCTGCTAGCAACCACACAACATCCTATCTATTTTTTTTCCTACTGTAGCTTAAATGAGCTAAATGTCCAATAATATTCGTACTCAAAAAAAAAAAACTAAAAACTTTCTCTTATCATCAAATCGTCTTTATTCATGTCCTTCTTCCTGAACAGCCTCTGCTTGAGTGTTAGGCTCATTTAAGGATTAAAAGATACGCTATTCTAGCTCAAAAGCAGGAATCAAGGTTCTGACAAACTCACAACACTTAAAATTCTACAGAAAGCTTACACTTGGCAATCCTGCATTTCTTAAACTCAGATAGAAAATCATACCTATCCGAAATATATCACGGAATGAAGCTCCAAGAAAGAACACTCCAAGCTCTCCTTTTGATCTAGGGAGCCTTGAAACTCTAGAAAGATTAGGTACACCGATATTCCCCTTTTCACCTCAGAAAATTACAACCAATTCCCTAAAGATACACCAAAATGCAGGTCCCACAGTGAATACGGGCGTCGGTCTTTCCTCAGGCTGCGTTTCAGTCCTTAACAAACCCAAGAACTCAAGAGAGCCAACTATTACACCAATACAAAGTGTTAATACTACACCAAACCATGAGGGAACAAATTTCTCCGCACAAAAGATACCTTGGCAAGAACAGAAGAAAATTCACTCCGCTGGTGCAAAAGGGAAGGTGGGAGCAAAAGTAATGTGTACGAGAAAAATCAGTCTCAGAAAATGCCATACCACTCGTTCAAGTGTAAGACTTACGTGTTCCGTCAAAACGGGTGGCGATGGTGTCCAGGAAGGTGTTTTGCGGCGCCAGTAATCCTTTCATAACCGGCATTTTTCCAGCGTGGTGTGAAATTCTCCATCAAAGTTTGTCCAGAAGGATGGTTCGAAAGGAAAGTGCCAAGAAGGGAGAAGGGGAACCTGATGACGGCAGGGAAGGGGGACCCGGCCTGACGGCGGGGCCGAGCAGGGGAAGTGGAAGGATGGAGGGAGAAAGGGAGAGAGTTCCAGCCGCCCCGGCTGTGGCAGGAGGAGCCCCAAGAGCGCTCCCCGAGCCCGCCCCGCACCTCCAGGCTCAGCCCGGCGCAGGCTCCCTCTCCCGCCCCCTCCACCCCCGCCAGCTGCTGAAACCCCCCCACCGTCCCTCCGCGGGCAACAGTGCCCGCCAGGCGCCGCCGCGCGGTGCCTCGCCCCCCACGTCGCCCGCCCGGAAAGAGCCCGCAGTGGCCCGGGGCGCCGCGCCCTGACCGACGTCTCTGGGGTCTGGGAGGGCGGCGCTGAGAGCTGGGAGAGGCGCTGAGCCTCCCGGTCTCCACGGGACGCCGGGAAAGGAGAGCGAGCGCAACTCCCACGCCCCGGGAGCCAGTGAACAAAGACCCCTTTGTTCCCTCTCCGTCCCACTCCCGGGGAGACTGGAGTCCCGTGGGTGTGGTATTGGAGAAAGGGAGGAGACAGGTCGGGGCAGGTATCCGGCCTCAACCTAGAACTTAGGAGGGGGAGGCCCCCCAGTGGTGTCCAAGGGAGCAGAGGCAGCCAGGAGCCCCACGGGGAGGCGGCCCCCTTCCGGAGCACTTGCCATTGCGAGCCCACGCGACAGGGGCAGGGCAGCCCGAGTTAGTTGTGAGGCCCATCCCCAGTCACCAGGGTCTTTTAGTCCGGGAAACTGGCCCCGAGCTCCAAAAAGGGGTGCTTCAGCCCTTCTCCCCAAATTGCCATTGGCCTCCCCAAGCCATCCCAAACTTTAAAAAAATAGCCTTTTGAACGGACAATGGATGGTTTCCCATTCTCCGGTAAAATGTGAATAAAGCATTTCTAGAAAAGTTTGCTATTTTTATTAATTTGCAAAATACCACGTAAGTAAAAACAGTAAGGCTGCCTTCCAAAAATAGCTTCAAACACAAATCCCCTAGCCTGCCCCCCTTTCCCCAGCCCCCACTCCCGAAGACTGACACCTCCAAGAAGAAAGCCTGGCGGACGGCCAGGAACTGAAGGCGTCTCAGAAAACGAAAGTGGTCTCTCCCAGTCCTCCCCCCTGGCCCCCCCCGCGGGGACTCCCTCTCGGCCAACGTTCTGCGGGGAAAGTCGCCCAAGCCTGCGGCACAGCCCTGTGGGGAGTGCAAGGGGACACCCAGAGCCCGAACTTTATAGAAAACTCTGCAAGGGAGGTGGAGTGTGGAAGGGAAGTTGAGAGCCCCAGGGTAGAAAAACAAACGTAAGCCCAGGTGCTAGTGCACCCGGAAGGAAAGGAGGGAAAAAGCAAACAGGTGTCAGAGCCGCGGCGAGGCAGCTCTGATCTCCAGGAACTCGGGCGTGGCGGGAGGAGGGAGGGAGGGCCCACCCCCCGCCCCCTTACTAAGGGGGTTTCTTGTTTCAATTATCTCGGCTGTTGGGGCTTCGGGGGGGACCCCGCGGGTTTCGTCACGTCTGCCTTGGGCTCCGGGAGGGAGGGGGAGAAGAGAGAGAAGCGGCATCCCCCTCTCCCCGCCCCCAGGCCCCCTTTCTCGTGATGCACTTCCTGCGGCCGAGGATTCCCTTTGTGTTGAAATTCGAGAAGATCCGGCAGAGGCTCTAGGCTAGCTGGGCGGGGGCGCGCCGGGGAGGGGACAGGATTCCGGAGTGGGCGGCGCGGGGCGGCCATCCCAGAAGAGAAGCTACCAACGTGGGGTTCCTCGCCCAGCTGCACCCTGCTTCTGCCGCAGGTCCGTCCCTGTCCTCCCCTCAATCCTTGTGTCCCACCCCAGCTTCGCTTTTCGGAAACCGAGCTCACGCGGGTGGAGTCCCCCACGCGGCGAGCCGATCGCAACTGCAGGTGGCTATGTGGCTCAGTCTTGGGCGGAGCTGGGGAGAAAAAGATGAGGGAGTCCCTGTTGTTTGGGTGGCGCATCGTGTCCCAGAAAATTCAGGCTGTTGCTGCCGATGTAAAACGGAGATAAACGCCACCCGTGAATTGGCTCGAAGTTCAGGATGAAATGTATTAGTTGTAAGCTATGACTGTGGTTCATAACAATTTGCACTGTAGGGCCGTGTGTGTAAAAATTGTTTCCTCGTGGTCCTGATCTGTTACCTAATATATGAAATCACTGCAAGAAGCAAGCCACATAGTGGCTTAAAAATGACAACCCAAAAGAAAGCCCCAGTTTCATGGCAAAAGGAGCCTGGCATTTATCATTCACTGTCTCCCCTCCAACACCTATTATGTGTCAGGAACTGTGCTAGGCATGGCAAGATCCCTGCCCTAAATTCAAATTCAAGCCCTGTATTCTACTGAACTGCAGTAGATGGACCTAACTATCTCTTATATCCTTTGCCCACCAAGAAGTGTTTCTTAATGAAGACAGCCATCACCACTCTGGTCTTGAGTTCCAGGCCCTTTTTAAGTTCTAGCCCGAAACCTAATGTTCATCCTAAGGGTTTGTGGCATCAGTGAGGCCAAATTGTGCCATTAGAACATGACCTCCATCCAAGTTTAAGTATATTAAATCCCTTTAAACATGTTTTGCCACCTGGAAAGCAAAGACCGTGAAAGAAGCACCATGGGAGTCTGGAGTTTTCACTATCATCTGCCCCAAATCACCAAATCTCATGTGCTTTCCTTAAGGAAATTTTCCCACTGTCCCCACTTATTGACACAAAAAAACCCAACTCATTTTGTTGCAACTCATTTTATTGACACAAAAAACCCCAACTCATTTTATAGTAGATCACACACTACAGGGATGTGATCTTTCTCTACGGACTAAACGAGACAATGCTACAAGAATACAGGATAACCACACAATAGAGTAAACTTAATGCCCTCATTAAAAATATTGATGTTCATGACAACACATGGACACAGGGAGGGGAACATCACACACCCGGGCCTGTTGGGGGCTGGGGAGCTGGGGGAGGGATAGCATTAGGAGAAATACCTAATGTAAATGACGAGTTGATGGATGCAGCAAACAAACATGGCACATGTATACCAATGTAACAAACCTGCACATTGTGCACATGTACCCTAGAACTTAAAAGTATAACAATAATAATAAAAAATTCATGTTCACAGAAAAGATATTTTTCTTTCACTTTAAAATGTAAAGGAAGGCACAAAATCCCTATAACCAGACCAAGGTACTCTATTATGTACTATAGAAGGCCTCTAGGTAAAACCAACCTAGGCAAAGTTCACTGATACAATAAACTGCCCCAAACCCTACTGACTTAAAATGTCAACAATATTGTATTTTGCTTTCAGATCTCCAATTTTTACAGGGATCAATGGGGCAGGTTATTTCTGAGTACACTTAACCTGGAACTGGAATATACACTTCCAAGATGGTTCACTCAAAGTTATGGAAATTTGGTGCTGGCTTTCAGCTGGGAGCTCAGCCAGTGCTAGGGCCTTGGGGCTTCAGTTATTGGTGTAGATCTCTCCAGGAACTACTTGGGCTTCCTCACAGCATGGTGGTTTCCAGAGTGTCTGAAGAGACAGGAAGTAGGAACTGCCAGTTTCTTAAGGCCTGATCTAGAAACGGCCAGATTGAAAGCAAGCACAGAATCCAGGTTAATCAGAAAGGGGGAAAAGTCCAACCTTTAGATGGAACAAGTATCAAATAAAATGGAGCCATGTTTTAAAATCTTCCTATCAATTTGTTAGTATTTTGAGTTTCAAAGGAAGTTGCCTCATAACAGCATTCCTTAATGTGATTAAAAATCCATTTTTACCTATTCTTTATGTCTCCATAAGCATTTGAGATTTATGGGTACAAGATCTGGGTTCAACTCTATAATTCCTTATAGGGAAAATGTAACACACAAGAGAGAAAATACACATTAAATTCACTTAAGAGTTATAAGCCACAGATAAAGCAATTTTTATTCTTATTTTATTTAAGACTGACTCTCATTAGCATTTGATGTTGTCTTTTCAGACTGACTGGAACTGGAAAAAGCTTCAGGGCTCTCTATATTAGTTTGATGGTTTTAGGTCGGCTTCACGTCTGTTTTCTAATTATAGCATTCATCCAATACCATGACACAAAATAGCTGCAAATGCCTTATTGATGCATATGTATTTGACTGTAGGCACTGAAAATATTCTTAAACTTTTTCTGGCAACAAGAATTTTAGCCTTCGCAAGAAGGCAATATTTTAATTTACAGGCATCTACTCAGATGTATTGAGTTCTAGTTTTGTTTCAACCACTTATCCCCTTTGTCATTTAAAGTTTGTGGGTTTCCATTTCCTTAACTGTAAAACTGGGATAATAATACTTTCCCTACTTACTCCACTGAGTAGAAGAAAATATTTATGAAAGCCTTTGAATCTCATAATATGTGGCATACAATAAAAGGGATGATAATAATCATTGTTCTCTTTTTTATGTTCTAACATATCTAATACAAGTTGTTTATCCACAATAAATATTGTTGACCAACTATGACAGTTTATGGTCCTGTTAGCTCAGAACACATTTATGTATTAATAATTTGTTACAACCTATGACTGGTGAGCTTTTCCTTCTAAATATAAATGACTTTAGAAGCTCAGAAGGAAAATCAAGCAGTTCATTTCTTTGACTAACGCTTTCAAATTGTTGTGCTCTTATATCCAACCAAGCTGGATTCCAGTGGTATGTTCACTGCCTCCTCTTCCCCAGTGTTCACTGCCTCCTGTTCCCCAATGGTCACTGCCTATTTCTCAGTGTATGTAGAAACTAAAATACTCCAGCACAATCTCCAAAGCTATGGTTTCAGTCAGAGTAATCTAGGTTATGCCTCAATAAAAAACATAATATCTCAATGGCTTATTACAATAATGCTATTTCTTGCTCAGTCTACATGTCCCACCTGAGTTGGTAAGAGCCTGCTCATTATTGGGGCCCAGATTGATGGAAGTTCTGCTCAAAAGGTATTTTCTTTGAAGAGAAAAAGATAATCCGGCAAAGCATATACTGTTTTTTCAAACTTCCACTTACAACTTAATGACCAAAATAAGTCATATGGCCATCCTAATTTTAAAGAGGTGGTAAAATACAATCCAACCCTTGCCCTCAAAGAAAAGGAACTCTGGAATATTCAAGAACTGACATTTAGTAGCAATAGAGGTGCACTGTTTGGATCTCATGTCAAGAGAACCTGGTGGGAAAAGTGTTGCTGATGACAGTCTTCAGCTGCCAAATCTTCAAATCTGCCACACTGTCCATGTCAGCCGATGACCAAACGTGATGCCAATAGTAAAGTTCAGCCCTTTCTATCCTGTGTGGGGCTCGCCTAATAGGTAATCTCTGTGCCAGGATTCCTCATTAGCTTGACAAAGACTTTCTCAGTAGTGCACCATTCTTCCTACCCACTGTTCCTTCCCTCTCCTTCCGAGATGTCAACCCTGCATCACAGTCTGAAAACTCTTCCTGCCCCCCCACCTACCTTTATCCTTTACATGCTCTTTCTTCAGTGTCAACTCCTATCTTGGTGTCTGCTTGACGGAGGATCCAGATTGACCCTGGCATATCAGGGAGGTTTTCTGAGAAGAAAGAACCATGAGCCCATTTACTAAATTCTACAGCTAACAATGAATCTTGAATAGAAAATAAACAAAAAACATCTCACATGTATCTTTGTTGCCTTCACTCCAGCACATTCTTTTCCTTTGCTCCCTATTTTTCATCCATGATTCACCACTAGCCCAAAATACAATCTGGGAACCAGTCTTGATTATCCTCTCTTTACATTAAAATAAATAATCTATCACTAGTTTCTATTACCTCTAGCTTCATAAAATCTGTAGAATCTGTCCTTTTTCCATTTTCCACTGTCACTCTTTTAACTGATATACTCATTATTTCTTACTATAACTATTTCTCTTAGCTGGTCTTCCTGCCAGAAAGCATTCTTCTTGAATTCCTCCTTTATACTGCAGCCAGCATGGTGTTTTTCTATAATATAAATTAATCATGTACTCCTTCCTTAAAATCTTTGTATCTTTGAGGACAGAGCAAAATTATATCACCTATTAGTTGAAGCCATTCAATAACTGTCCTCGACGTAGCCCTCCAGCGTCATCTTTTATGCACATAGCAAGCTAACTCCTCCATGATTTTATGTTTGACACTTGCTCAATTATGTACAATTCCCAGAACATGATATCTTCTTTCAGGACATCTCTTTAACATGCTGTTACCCTTATTTCAAATGACTATCTCATACTCGCTAACTTTCCTCATCAGTTGAACTCATGACCCAAAGATTACCTTTAACATCGCTTCCAGTGAAACCTTTCTTTGAATTTTCTAATCAACTTAAGTACTCATTTTGTATGTGTCCCTATATTAACTCGCATATGCCTCTGTTATAACCCTTACTTTATAGGTATAGGTATGTGCCTGAATATCTACATAATATAAGTGCCTTATATTAACTAGAATTCTGCTTGTCTGCTAGTAACAGAATACTTGCCTTAAAGTGGGTAAGAGTGGCTTAAACAAACAGGGTTATTCTTCTCTAAAATAACTGGTCCTGGGGTGGTTAGTTGCAGATATAAATTCAAAAGCACAACAATATCAGTCATTATTTCTGGTTATCTTGACCTTTTCCTCATGGTTGCAAGATGGCTGCTAAAGTTCCATCCAGTACTTCTTTGGTCTACTATCAGAAGTGAGGAGGAGGTAGTGCTGGCTGAAACCAGCTCTTTTTATTAGGAAAAGTTAAAACTTCCTTGGGAAAACCTCCTTTTCCTCTCAGGACATTTCTGCTATTTCTCATTAGCTAACACTGTGTAATAAAGATGTCTTTAGCTACAAAAAGAATGTGGAAGTGATTAATTACCCAGGATTTATAAAAGAAAGAAGCAAGGTCTAACAGTTTAAGAATGCGTGTGGGTCAACCAACCTACCTAGATCTTCTGCCACATATTTCAAAGGCAGTTAGAAACAAGGTGTGACATGAACAAACGTCCATAATATGGATGACATGCAGGTTTTATATACACTTCAATCCTAAAAATTAATAGCAACTACTAGGCTTTCTGTATTGAAAATAATTCCTAGATGGCTCCCAGACTCATCAAGAGAGTTGAAGAACAATTAATAATGTCTACCATGGGCATGGTAGAAAATCTTAGGGATTCAGATCACTGCAGTAGACCTGGAGCTGTTAGCTCTGTAGCAGATTCCTAAGAGCCGTATTTGTCCCCATCTCTCCATTGCAGAGGAAAGTGAAGAAGTACTTACTTACCCTATGATTTAGTGCTATATCTCTCATTTTGATCACTTGTTAGTCAGGCTATGTTAGATTATTTTGTGGTAGCAAATTAATACCCTACCTCAAGTTTAAGTAAGTTAACCACCAAAATGTAATTATCACTTATAAAGCAATAGAGGGGGCTCTTCTTTACACAATTACTCAGGCACTCAGGCTGATGGACACTCATCCATGTTACAGTTGCACATCCAGAAACAGAGGCCTCCATCATGATCACTGAACAGAAAAGTCACCTGCTATCCTGTGATTCAACCCAGAAATTATACACATCACCTCTTCCTAAAGCTTACTGACCAGAATTACTCATATGCTTTTACTCACCTATGAGAAAGAGCACCCGGAAAGTACTCTGCCAAATCCCCTCTATAAAAATAAAAGATGATACCACCAACTCAGACTTTTCGTGATATTTAAATGACTGAATAATATAAAACACACAGAATAATGACCGAATTATAGTAATAACTCAATAAATGCAAGGTATTACTATTTTAGGTAATTCCGCATATATTCCCACCTTCAGAATTCAGGTCACTGCAACAGACCTTGGGCAATAGTTCAGTAGTAGATTCCAAGAGGTACATGGTTTCAACCAATAGTATTCTCAACTCTTATAAATTTTCACAGTGGTCAAGTTACATAAGGAGGAATACATTCCATATCTTACTGCCATTCAATGAATCTGAGCCTCTTTGGAAGAGTGGAAGGTGAAAAGTGGAGATAATACTGCTTATTTATTTATTAAATCTCACCATCTTTCTCTTGTTTTGAAAATTTCCTGCCACAGGAAACAACATGTCCCTCAGTGCCTATCCAATTTTCAATACTCTGTTCAGGCTTGTTACACAAACACTGGAATCCCAGTCTCATCAGACCTTAATGGTAAATACCTTCCATTTTTGCTCTCTCCTGTACCAGTGTATGTATACACTGTGTCCATCCTACTTTCTTTTCTTCCAGAAGATTAGGTGTTCTCTCCAAAAGTAATACACAGCCACCTGAAATTTTCATTGTCTGTTTCCAGAATCATGTTCCATTTGTCCTCCCCTTCTGTCCTATATCTTTGTTTCTGTCTCTTTTTCTCTCACTACTTGTTTGTTCTCTCAACCTATAAATATTCCAGCTATTCTAATCCTGAGACATATCCTTCCTTGATCTATCTGATCTTTCACATTTCTTTTACATGTAAATTTCCTGAAAATCCATCTAAAATTATTTTGATCTTGTTGCTTCTTCAACCATTCTAAAAAGATTTATCAAAGTCAATAATGACGTAATTTTCTAAAATAATGGACATTTTCAATCCATATATTCCTAATTTTTTGTTGTCTTTGACTCTGTCAATTCCTTCTTAAAACTTTCTAAATTTCTAAAATAGAAAACTTTATTGTTTTGAACAGAAAGAGTCTTTTCTGTTGAATGGTTGGGTTTCTTGAAAAAAGAAAAAAAAAACCCTCTTCCCTTAGCCTATCTTTATATTCTAGTCTCCCTCAAGACTCCATAAACTGGGCCACTAAACTCTACATTTCAGTTACTGTCATATTTTAAATATTTCCTTTCTGAGAACACTTTCCTAATCTTTTTCTGAAACCCAGGCCTCTAAGCTTCTGACAATACCTAATTGTGCTCTCGATATTACTCCTTAACTATTTATTTCACATAAACTTCTGTGTATACCACCAAGTAATCTATGTGAGATCCCAAGTAGTCCTTATTCTTATATCTAAGAGCCATATTTGGCTCCAGTCTATTGTCCAGACTGGAGTGCAGTGGTGAAATCATAGCTCCCTGTAACCTCTAACTCCTGAACTCAGGTGATCCTCCCACCTCAGCCTGCTAAGTAGCTAGGACTACAGGCATGCACCACACACCCAGCTATTAAAAAAAAATATATATATATATATATTGTAGAGACAGATCTTTGCTATATTGGTCTCAAACTCCTGCCCTGAAGTGATCCTCCTGCCTTGGCCTCCCAAATCACTGGGAGTACAAGTGTGAACCACCTTGCCTAGCCTCTAAGCCTTTCTTTACAATGTAGCTAGCATGATTTTAATAAAAGGCAAATCTGAGCATGTCACCCTTCATTTTGCCTCTGGGATTATGAGCCCATCTTATTTGCCATGGCTCATTTCTCACCATCCTCAAAATTTATACTCAAGGAAAACACAATTCCTAGAAGTTCCTAAAATACACAGTGCTCCTCTAGAGACTATGACTTTGATTATGATAACCTCACTTCATGAAAAGTGCTTCCCAGACCTTCTTTGCATGACTAACACACACATACCCACTTTCCACTTCAGCCTAATTTGAATGCCACTCAAAATAGAAGCATTTGCTTTCATAATAGATGTTGTATATCTTCTGACCTAGTTTTATCTGCGCAGTTTTAGGCAAGCCTTTTCTTAGTTTCATGGAGATTATAATAACACACATTTCACAGGGCAGCTGCGAGGGATAAATGAAATAATATAGAGAAAATGATTAGTACAGTATCCACTGTTTTTTCACCATTGTATCTCCAGTGGCTAACATAATCCCTGGTACATTGTAGGCACATAAATATTTGTTTAAAAAAAAGTTAGTTAACATAATTATTATCTCAATCATTTTACCACCACATTGCTTTATATTTATTAGCTTATCTGTCTGTTCCACAGCACCCTGAGCTTCATATGGTTTATTATCTTATCCTGTCCAACCTTTACGTAAGGTTATCTACAACACAGGATGCATGAGACAATGTTTAATGAATTAGAAATGAATATATAGAACAACAGAATTAATCTATAGCATGTCTTTTTCAGGAGCAAGAGTCAAAATTGACTTTATGTCTCTTTTACTACAATTCTCTTTTCTATACAATCTTTTTCCCTTGGTTTATTCATACTCTGAATGTAGGGGTATATGTACATGTGAAGGTATGTAAATTTTATTTATTGATTTATGAATCATGCAAATGTGAAATTAAAATAATATACCTACCATTTTTCCCCATACTGCTGAATTGATCATTTACATGAAAAAAATGAATCAAGGAGTTGGTATATGATCCAAACTTCCTCATTCAAATTAGGCACTTTCTATTTATGTGTGTTCTTTAAGTCACAGTATTTTAAGGCTATAGAATGTTTCTTAAATCTATAACTATTCACTATGAGGCCAATCTCCCATGCCTATGTCCTGTACTGGGGCTTCAATCTCATCATTATATATATATATATATATACACACATTTGTTTTAAACAAGGTCTTGCTCTTTTGCCCAGGTTGGGATGCAGTGGTAGTCATAGCTCACTGCACCCTCGACCTCCCAGGCTCAAATGATCCTCCCACCTTAGCCTTTTGAGTAGATGGGACTATAGGTGTATGCCTCCATGCCCGGCTAATTCTTTGATTTTTTTTATAGAGACAGAATCTTACCATGTTGCCCAAGCTGATCTTGAACTCTTGGAGTCAATCCTCCTGCCTTGGCCTCCCAAAATGCTGGCATTACAGGCATGAGCCACTGCATCTGGCACAATACACATATTTTTCAAAAGGCTCCCATTTGTTGGATGCCTGTTAAGCTATATGAACTATGCATATTAATAAATGGGTGGATATTTGTGAAAAGTGAGGTGATGTAAGTTCTGCTTAAGAAAATAAATTTATCTGTAAAGTAACTCCTTTCTATTTTGTAAACTATCTCAAGGCAGCTTACAATCAAAACACATATAGAAATTATTTCAAGTAAAGTAATATGAACTGATAAGATTATAAGACATTTTTGCTTATTTATACTCGGACATGTTTTTCAAATTTTCTATAATGAGTATACATTATTTTAAAAATGAAATTCAAAATACATTGGGGAAAAAAACAGAAAAAATCAGGAAGTATAAAGGCGGTGGCTCACGCCTGTAATCACAGCACTTTGGGAGGCTGAGGTGGGCGGATCACGAGGTCAGGAGATGGAGGTCATTCTGGCTAACATTGTGAAACCCCATCTCTACTGAAAATACAAAAAATTAGCTGGGTGTGGTGACGGGCGCCTGTAGTCCCAGCTACTTGGGAGGCTGAGGCAGGAGAATGGTGTGAACCCAGGAGGCGGAGCTTGCAGTGAGCCGAGATATCACCACTGCACTCCATCCTGGGCGACAGAGCGAGACTATCTCAAAAAAAAAAAAAAAAGTCTTCTACTTTTAATCTTTTTCCACTTTGACCATCACTTTAACTTGAAGTGATTTAAATCTTGAATATTGTACAAGGAATGTGGTTTACTCACCTGAGCATTAAATTAAGCTCTCACATAGAGAGTAAAAAATGGCCTAGTGATGGCCAGACGTAGTGGCTGATGCCTGTAATCCCAGCACTTTGGGAGGCCAAGACAGAAGGATCACAAGGTCAGCAGTTGGAGACCAGCCTGGCCAACATGGTGAAACCCCGTCTCTACTAAAAATACAAAAATTAGCCAGGCTTGGTGGCAGGCACCTGTAATCCCAGCTATTCTGGAGGCTGAGGCAGGAGAATCACTTGAACCCAGGAAACAGAGATTGCAGTGAGCCAAGACCATGCCATTGCACTCCAGCCTGGGTGACAGAGCAAGGCTCCATCTCAAAAAAAAAAAAAAAAAAAAAAAAAGGCCTAGTTAAAATTAGCATCTTGATTATTTGGATGAGATCAAAACATTTCCTGGTAGTAAGTTCCAAGAGAAAACTCTCACTTGTTTTTTATTGAAATAGCAAAATACCAGACATGAAAACTCAAGTTCTCTACTCCAAGCATATTGTTAACTAATTTTGAGACCTTAAACAAACCACTTAACATTTCTGAAATTCATATGGAGGAAGAAAGACGGAAGAGTAAGTTCAGATTTCGGAAGTCCCTTTTGCTTTCATATGATCCATGTTCAGCTAGAAAATTTCAAAATAAGATTGGGAGCTATTTCTTTTCATTTGAAAATTGAACCCCAGCAACAATCCTTGCTGACCCAGAGAACTTGAAAGAAAAACTTTATCTCTTTGCTGACATACAGATAAAGACAATTCAGAGTTTTTCCTAGTGCATTAAAGATGAAAATACTGATTCTCACACCCTCCTTTTCTTCCCTAGATTCTACCCCGGTTTCTGTTTTTAGACTTTCACACAAGCAAAAAATAAAAAAATAAAAAAATAAATAAATAAATAAATAAAATATATATATATATATATATATAAAGTCAGTCTTTTCTAAGTCTCCTGCTGCTCCTTTGTATGTATTTAAACCAAATGTTTTAGCAGAAGATGAGAATAGATACTCAGTGCTGATGTAAATGGCAATGCCGTCATCACTCAGCTAAAAGAAAAAAGAAATCAAGGGGAGGGAATGTGAGCAGTTCTAAGTGCTGATGAAGTAGATGTTTAAAAACTGTAAGTTCTTAGTGGTCAGACATCATGCTATCCACTTCTTTTTTATTAACTCATGGTACTAGCTCAATGATCTCTTTCTTTTCAGAATTATAGTAGCACTGCCCAAATTCTCTGTCTGCTAATGTCTCACGCAATATCAAGGCATGTCTTCTTTTGATGTCTTGACTTCATTCTATAAAATATAGTTTCATTATTTTCCAATGCTGTACACGTTAGGTCTGCTACTAGACCAGAGGTAACTTAGGGGAAAGGATTATATTTTAGATTCTTTCTTTCATAGTACCTATACTGAACCAGTGTTCTTTGTAGGTTTTCAATACAGACTTGTATGCTCTGCACATGCTGGGTTATTTAGGCAGTGTGTATTGATCAGGTGAACTTAGCTAGAGCCTCCATATTGCCAGTTCCTTCATTCTAATATTTAAATGAAAATCTTTGAACTGCAGATTCCTTTCAACTACATTTTTTGTTACTTCTTCAACTCAATCCCTTCTTTCTTTTCTTCTTTTTATTACTTAGCTACCATCTTCTTTTCCAGATTTTGCTGAAAATTCACCTACTTTAAAAATCTTCTACTTTTAGGCCGGGCATGGTGGCTCACGCCTGTAATCACAGCACTTTGGGAGGCTGAGGCGGGCAGATCACGAGGTCAGGAGATCGAGGCCATTCTGGCTAACATCATGAAACCCCGTCTCTCCTGAAAATACAAAAAATTAGCCGGGCGTGGTGGCGGGCACCTGTAGTCCCAGCTACTCGGGAGGCTGAGGCAGGAGAATGGTGTGAACCCAGGAGGTGGAGCTTGCAGTGAGCCGAGATATCGCCACTGCACTCCATCCCGGGCAACAGAGCGAGACTCCATCTCAAAAAAAAAAAAAAAAAAAGTCTTCTACTTCTAATCTTTTTCCACTTTGACCATCACTTTAACTTGAAGTGATTTAAATCTTGAATATCTAGTGTTTCCTTTGTTGCTGCCATCTTTAAATGTTTCTTATGTAATTTCGCTCTAAAAACACTGCTTCTAAATAAACTTTAAGGAGCAGTCTTGGGTCATTTCTTTTTTATTGCTGAGTATGCAATGAGTGGCAAATTATAGTAGCTAAATAAATGCTGTTTTCTTCCCTTTGCAGCAGCCTCAAAATAGCAGGCAGTCAAAACGTGTTTTAAAATTACACTGTCAAAACACTTTCTGGTGATGAGGTTGGCACTTAGGGAACATTGCCACTCTACTGTGTTTGTTAATTCAAAGTGGAATGTTGTAAAATGATAAGAAATTCAGTAAATTTTAGAATCACAGGATGGCAAAACTAGAGAAGACTCTAGAAGCTATGCAGTGACTCTAGCAGGGGAGGGATGGCACACTATAAAAGGCTGTGACTTTTCCAAAGTCAAACAGCCAAGTCAAGAAAGAGTACTTAGATCTAAATTGTCTTAGTAGAATACTCTTGTGACTTTGCTTTTGTAGCTCTGCTTTTTCCTGGATCAATATTTTTGAGACTATTAACATGGTGTACTTCTTGATGCACAATCTCTCATGTGCTCATGGAAGGTAAATTTCCTCGTTTTCTTTTGAGTTAAATTATTCTGATAAAATATTTATGGCAGTTAATCTTTTGTAGACCACCTTCCATGCTTCTCAAACTGGCATATATGTGCCTTTGATAATTCATGGTATGTGGTAAAGTTATTTCTGAAGACATAATATAAACAAGGCACATATTCCAGAAACTTCATTTTTGTATTAATATACAGTGATATATTTCCTTTTAATAAAGGAATTTTTTAAAAATTCAAAGTTATGGCTGTCACTTCAGATCATTCTCCCTGGTATATGCATTCAGGCTACCTTGAGGTTAGCAGAACTCAAGAAGAAAAATTGAAGTAGAGAATGTAACAGTATCTAGTGAATTGCAGAATATCTGCAACATCAGTTTATAAAACTACCTCGAGTTATTACATAACCTGTTGTTTAACCTTCACTTTCTATCTATTAATCTTATTATTTGTGTCCCCTACCATTTAACTAAGTACGGACCATATATATATTTGTTGCCTATTAAATGTAGAATATATAGTAAGGATGACAAAGAGTTATTGAGACTGTAAAGTTAGAGGACTTGAAGATTCTGCCTTAGGAAATATGCAAATCCAGATATGACTAAATAGTATCAAGGAATTTAGAAGTTACAACACTTTGAGAATATTTTAAGCTCTAAGAAAAATTAGAAAAGAACAATTCTGGGTTTCTTTAACAAAAGCTTTCATTTTAAGTTACAGATGTGAGAGAAAACAGATGGAAAGTTCAATAAAGCCTATTAGGCACATAGTTTATAATAAGAACAAGAATTAAAAGCTCAGTAGCTTCTACATGCACATTAATTGATCATTCTATTATACAGTTATCTGATTCTATATGCTGTCTTATTCTGTCTAAGAGAGACGCACATAAAATATAACATTAAAGATAAATCAATCACATTTGAGTTTTACTCAAAAGGAAAAAGGAAAACATTCAAATAATGAAGTTAATGAAATAATAAAATTATTAGAATTTTGTATCTTTAAGCTTATGGATTTTTTTTAAAATAAAAAAGTCAACACTTTCACATTGTAGAGCAGAGATTTTTAGAGATATTATTTTCCAAAATAATGATACATTTTAAAAGAATATAATTAATAGTTAACTTTTCACTAGTCCTTTCTTTCTTTCAGCTGATAATTTTATGTGACAATAACAATGTTTTTTGGGAAGTTAGAGAGCAGATCCAAAGAAACAACTTATACAAATCATTGGAAATACTAAAATATATTTGATAGGGTGAGGCTGTAATGGCTTATTCTTTCCATTAAAAAATACACAAGGATCAATATCATGGGTATGCTTAATGTACAAAATAATTCAAAATGAAAACAATTCACAAAATTATTCAGGTACCACAGAGATGTGATTGCCTCAATGAGGAATGAGTGAACGTATGAATGAATGAAGGAGTGGAGTACTGCTTGATGAGGCAGCAGGTCCCTTGCCTCAATGTGTTATTTGCTTCTGTAGAGTATGATGCAGAAGTGTGAGTTTATTTGAATTTTGGAAATAAATAAATTTTTTTAATCAACAAGCCCACACTGTAGATCCTTTATATTAAGTTCAATTTCAACAGTTAAACACTTCCCTTGATAGCATTTTGTAAGCTTAGTCATTCTTCTTTGCCAAAGACAAATACACACACACACACACATATATATATAACAACAAAAAAACAAGAACAGCTATCAGTTTTATTCTAATTGCTGTTGAATGGTTATTTAAGCATATGCAGAAGAGTTTTGGGGAAAGTAGCTAAAGTCGCCACTATTTCCTATCCTTTTTTGTTTTTTTTAAAGGATTAGGTCTTTTAAAAATAAGTCCTTGAATGACTTACTTAAATGTATATTAATATATTTAAAGGATAGATAGTACTTAGTTGCATTGATTGCATTCAGGTAAAATTAGAAGTTAAAAGCTAATAATTAAATTAATATTTAAATAATTGGTCATTAAGTTAAAAATTTTTTTGTCATGTTCAAAGTTTCAAGTTTCATTTAATTGCTTCCTGAAACATGACAAAAATAAAGTTTACTGATTTTTGTGGATTATAAATTCACAAAATCAAAAACATAACTTAAAATTGATTTTTTTCATATTATTATATTAATATGGATAATGGCTCCTTTCTTATACAAACTATGTATAATAATTTGAATATACATGTTTCAGAAGGTAAACAGAGAAAAGAGGTTTCTAAACATTGGAACCTTTTCCAATGTATAATTGGAAAATCACTGGACTTGGAATCAAGGGACTTGAGTTTGAGTCCAAGTCTTGAACTCTTAGGACACGTAAATCATATCATAAACATTCAAAATCTTTGATATCCAAAATGAAACTTATTGACTAGATTCAATATTGCTCACTTTTCTGTGGTAATTTCCCTTAAGGACATGCAGCATACATTTTATAGGTCTCTAGTGCAGTATTTTTCAGAGTACGATACTATGAGTTGTTTGTTGGATGAGTTCAGATTATACCAAGATGACATTATTTAACATTTATCTATTATTAAAATACATATTAGAAAACTATTTTCCTATTTTATTAATGATTAAAATATTCTTTAATGTTTACATTCTTTTGTTAGCAGTAGAAGAGATCTGAACCAGCACTTTGGGAGGCCGAGGCGGGCGGATCACGAGGTCAGGAGATCGAGACCATTCTGGCTAACACGGTGAAACCCCGTCTCTACTAAAAATACAAAAAATTAGCCGGGCGTGGTAGCGGGCGCCTGTAGTCCCAGCTACTCGGGAGGCTGAGGCAGGAGAATGGCGTGAACCCGGGAGGCGGAGCTTGCAGTGAGCCGAGATCGCGCCACTGCACTCCAGCCTGGGCGACAGAGCGAGACTCCGTCTCAAAAAAAAAAAAAAAAAAAAAAAAAGAAGAGATCTGAATTACCCCAAGTTACTGGTGACGAATCTGTAGGCGTCTACAACAACTTCAATTTTTGCCTCCTCAGAAGAAAGAATTCCACTGAGGGGCATAAAGCGGAAAAAGAGACTGAGGCAAGTTCCAGAGCAGAAGTGGAAGTTTATTAAAAAGGCTTTAGAACAGTAAAGAAAGGAAAGAACGCTTGGAAGGGATCCAAGTGGGCACTGAGGCCCAAGAGAGAAAAAAGAAGAGCGTTTAACCTTTGATCCTAGGACTTCTTAGGCTCGCCTCTTTCCCATGATTCATCTCTTAGGGTAGGCTTTCCTCATGTGCGGTGCTCTCCTACCCTTGGGAACTGAACATACTGAGTGAGTTTAGGGAGTTATATACATGCCTGTCTGAAGCTTTCTTTCCTTTTTCCAGTGGAGTGTACCCGGAAGATTGTACTTCGCCATTTTGTCTCTTAATGTGCATGCCCAGGAAGATGCTTCTCCCTGGGGTCTGCCTTTAATTAACACTTTAATGTTCACAGGTATGAATCATCAGGAAATGGCCTCTCCCTGGCACCGGCTGCCAATTTATCACTTTTAGAGAGGCAATGAGATTTACTGCCGAACCATCACCTGACATTTCTAGTGGGTGAGGGGAGAGACCGCTCCTCCCCACTCATGTCTGTCTACCTACCTATAACACTTTAAATTGTTTTAAAAAAGGTTATACAAAATATTAGTATAAATATAATAGGTGGTAATAAAGTAAAAAATATATGTTTAAATGGTGGAGAACGCCTGATTATTGGGAAATATATACTTCCCTAGGCAATGCAAACCAGGTTTGAGAACTGCTTTACTACACAGTAACTGAGATTCCTTCCAATTTTCAAATACAGGCCTCAAATAGAACTGAATCACAGTAGCTTTCCACTAGATGGCAAAAAAGAGACCACACAGTCTCTCTTTTGTATACTAAGTATACATTTTGTATCCTACATGTAAACTTCGGTAACTCTAAACTAAATTTTGTTTTTCTTCAAAATCCAGTCCCTTATGTATTGGGGAGTACCTTCACATTAGTTATTCAAGGATTTTTAAATCTTAGCTCTTTGAGGCATTTTAAATGGAAGCTATCATATGGATATAGCCCATCACCCAGGACCCCTCCCAAGGGTATATGGTTCCAATAATCCAGTATAGAGTTGATGTAAAGGCAGACATAAAAATGAAAGAAACAAAATAACAGACTACTGAAATAGATCCATTTATATAAGGCTAAATTTTAATATTTGTACTGTCGATGAAAGGCATCAAACTCTGTAAAATATTTGAAGAGATTTATTCTGAGCCAAATATAAGTGTCCATGGCCTGTGACACAGCCCTCAGGAGGTCCTGAGAACTTGTGCCTAAGGTGGTTGGGGATGCAGGATGGTTTTATACATTTTAGGGAGGGATAGGACTTAAATCAATTACAGTTAAGAAAAACATTGGTTTGATCCAGAAAGGTGGGACAACTTGAAGGGGAGTGGGGTCCAGCTTATAGGTAGATTTAAACATTTTCTGCTTGACAATTGGTTTAGTTTAACCGAAGACCTGGGATCAATAGAAAGGTATGTCTGGGTCGAGATAAGAGGTCCTGGAGACCAAAGTTTTATCATGCAGATGAAGCCTCCAGGTAACAGGCTTCAGAGACAGGTTGTAAAATGTCCCTTATCAGACTTAAAGTCTGTGTGGACGTTAATGCCAGAGAGGTATAAAGAGAAACGTCCAACCCCGCTTCTGTCATGGCTTGAACCAATCTTTCAAGTTAAATTTTAAAAGAGCCCTGGCTGAGGAGGAAGTCCATTCAGATGGTTGGAGGACATTCATTTAATTTTTGGTTTATAGTACTGCGATAGTTAATACTGAGTGTCAACTTGAATGGATTGAAGAATTTAAAGTACTATTCCTGGGTTTGTCTATGAGGGTGTTGCCAAAGGACACTAACATTTGAGTCAGTGGACTAGAAGAGGCAGACTCACCTTCAATCTAGGTGGGCACAATTTAAACAGCTGCCAGTGCAGCTAAGATAAAAGCAAGCAGAAGGACGTGGAAGGACTAGACTGACTAAGTCTTCTGGCCTCCATCTTTTTCCCATGCTGGATGCTTCCTGCCCTCAAACATCGGACTCCAAGTTCTTCAGCTTTCGGACTCTTGGACCTACACCAGTGGTTTGCCAGGGGCTGTCAGGCCTTCAGCCACAGACTGAAGGCTGCACTGTCTGCTTCTCTACTTTTGAGGTTTTGGGACTCAGACTGGCTTCCTTGCTCCTCAGCTTGCAGATGGCCTATTGTGGGACTTCACCGTGTGATCCTGTGAGTCGATACTCCTTAATAAACTCCCTGTTATATATACATCTATCCTATTAGTCCCGTTCCTCTAGAGAACTCTGACTAATACAAGTACCTAAATATTTCAATAGGGAGAGTATAATCTTTTACTAACAATTCTCAAACAACTGGAAACTTGTTTGGAAAAAAAAAAGTCTTGACCTTTATCACACATGACACACACACAAAAAATGCAAAATGGACCATAGATCTAAACATAAAAGCTGAAACTACAAAATTTCTAAAAGGCAACAAAGAAAATCTTTGTTAATATAGAGTTAAAAAGAAGAAGATTTCTTAAGATTTCTTAGATAGGTTACAAAAGTACCAACATTATAAGAAAAAAATTATAAATTAAATGTAATCAAAATAAAAAAGAAACTACTCTTTGAAAGGCATTACTATGGAAAGCAAAAGAAAAGCCACTAATTGGAAAAAAAAATTACAGTACAGATATCTGATAGAGAGAAGTCTCCAGTAAACATTAAAACTTTCGTTACTCTAATAAAAAGGCAAACACCCAATTTAAAAAAAGATGGGCAAAATATTTGAACAAACACTTCACAAAATAAGACATACAAACAGCTAATAAACACATTATTAATTATCAGGAACACACATATTAAAATAATGAGATATCACTATACATTCACCTGAAAGGCAAAATTGTTTTTTAAAAGATCGGCAGTATCACATGTTGGGAAGAAAATGGGGCAACTAAAAGTCTCATACATACTAGTGGGAATATATAAGCACTTTGGAATAAATTTTGCAGTAATGTTGAAGTAAAGCATATACTTACTATATGACATATCAGTTCCATCCCTAGATATTTACCTAATAGAAATAAAATACATGTCTATAGAAAATCTTGTACACAAATGCTTATAGTGGGTATAATCACAGTAGCTCCAAACTGGACGAATAGATAGAAAACTATAAACATACAATATAGTACTACTCAGTAATAAAAAAGAATGAATTACTGCTACATGTGACAACATGGAACGTCTTAGAAAAGTGCATAAAGAAACGAGAGTACATAGTGTAGTATTATTCCATTTATATTAAATGCTAGAATTTTAGCATTTCTAGATTTCTGTAGTAACAGAAAACAGATCGGTTTCCTGTTTTTCAATTTAAGAAAAGTTATGTTGCCAAGGAAGATGTAGTAAGAACATATGAGCACTGATGATGCTCACGATTGAAATGATTTGAGAAGAGTTGGACTCTGAGTGGGAACACATTTTAGGATTCTCGTAACTAGCATATTTGACTCTCACCCTTATACTCCTTCTAATGAATACCCCCCAAAACTTATATTTTAAAAATCTACATCTAAAAATGTCTAACAGAGATCTTTCAAAACATATAAAATTTTCAAAACCTTAGGGATTGTAAGTCATTGATTCTTAGTTTAATTGGAAGTATTTTTTCCCCAGTAGTATGTAAAATGATAATGCTTCTTCAAATGAACACTATTTTAGATTAAATATTAGATTTCTTTCATTGTAAGTGAAAACATAAGAGACTCCAACTTGCTTAAACACTAAAGGGAATCAATTATTTTACTTAATCATAAAGTCAAGTTTTTCAGCTTGAATCAGGTAAGTCTTGAGCCAGGGATTAATAATGTCATTAAGAAACTGGGTTTGTGTTTCCACTCTATCTTCCCCTTTATAAGCTTCATCTTCAGGTTATCTTCTTTTATAATGTCAACATCACTCCAGCAGTTGCTGGGGCTACAGGCTTCTTTTTCCACATTCATCAGGATAAAGTGGGAACTTTCTCCCAGAGATCCAGAAAAAGTTAACATATAACTCTTTTTGGACCAGCTTAAGTTGCCTGATCCACCCTTTGGTCCCTAAAAGTAATAGGAAATTCTTGTACAAGAAGAAAGAGATAGGAAATGGATGCAAGGAAAGCAATCACAAATGATAAGACAATTCTCTTATTTACCAAATATAGCAGGCTTATTAATTCCCATATTATCACACGCATCAGAGCTCTTGGGCCTGACTTCCAACTGCTAGCACCTGCATCTGTTTGCCTGAGGACTTTTTTGGTCTCCAAAATCCCCTTTGTCCACCTATGCAAACAGGACAGAAGAGGAAGAAAGTTAATGGCCCTGATATGGTTTGGATCTATGTCCCCACCCAAATCTCATCTCAAATTGTAATCCGGAAGTGTTGAAGGAGGGAGGTGATTGCATCATGAAGGCCGTTTCCCCCATGCTGTTCTCATGATAGTGAGTGAGTTCTCAGGAGATCTGATGGTTTTATAAGTGTTTGTCATTTTCCCTAATTTTACTTCTGTCTCCTGCTGCCATATGAAGAAGGTCCTTGCTTCCCCTTCACCTTCCACCATGAAGTTTCCTGAAGCCTCCCCAACCGTGTGGAACTGTGAGTCTATTAAATCTCTTTCCTTTATAAATTACCCAGTCTCGGGTATTTCTTTATATCAGTGTGAAAACGGACTAATATAGGCCTCAATGTGGGTGGATAAATACCCTAGCTCCTACTTCCTTTGCTCTTTGGGTTAGGATAATATCATTCTTGTTCCTAGAGCAGGATTAAATACTACTAGCCCGCAGTGGTAAATGATTTGATAACCAATTATTTATTTGTTGATTTACCTTGCCGCTCTCATTTCTCCACTTCCTTGTCATGTTTTCTTGTTCCAAAGAAACTCTTTGCACTTGGCTCAGGATCTACTTCTGGGAAGACAAAAATTCAGTGATATTAAAGCTTCATCTTTCCCTACTCGTCTCAAATAAAGAATTTATTCTTCAACATATATCTGAAACTCAGTTTCCTCCTGAATAAAATGAAGATAATAATGTCTGCTCCACTTTTCTTTTTTTTTTCTCAAGGTGACCAGTGAGCTTTATTCTTTTAAAATCAGAGTAAGCATAAGGATTAAACATATTTCAATCCACTGCAATTGTTACTCTTTTTTTAATTTAACTTTTATTTTAAGCTCAGGGGTACATGTGCAAGTTTGTTATACAGGTAAACTTGTGTCATGGGGTTTTGTTGTACAGATTATTTCATCACCCAGGTATTAAGTTTAGTACCCATTAGTTAATTTTCCTGATCTTCTCCCTCCTCCCATGCTCCACCCTCTGGCAGGACCCAGTGTCTGTTGTTCCGCTCTATGTGTCTATGTGTTCTCATGTGCTCCACTTTTCTTAACAGGACTGATATAAAGTTCAAATGAGATAATTCATTTAAAAAATGTTTTCTAAAATGCTGTGCAAATGAGCATTGCTATTGTTATAACTGCTATTGTTATACCTCAATTATTGGCAAGTAAACAGCAAAGAGTGTTCATCAGTGGCAGGATTCCAGGTGATGCCCTCTGCTTTCTCTTAGAATCAAAAAGGAAAAGAATTAATAAAAAATCAGATGATTCATCACAAAAGAATTACCTAAGGTATTACTTTTCATAGGCTACAGCTGTCATTTATTTGTTGTTAATACCAGAAACATCTCAGCAGGAAGGGAGCATAAAGTAAACAAGTAAAAAGTCTAGAAAAGAGCAAAGAGAAGCTGCCCACTGGGCACTGCTCTCTCAAAGACTAATTTAACCTGAACCGACTACACAGGGCTGCTTATCAAGACCAAGAATGTAACCCATGCCACAGCCACTTAACCAATACAGAATGTTTGTTTCCAGGAAAAAAATTTAGATCAATAAATAGCTGCCAATTACACAGTAATTGATTTTACTCAAGTTTGGAGATCAATATGCTTTACTTTGCTTTATTTTATTTTTATTATTTTTAACAATAAAAAATGTTATTGCACTCTAACAGACATGTAGGAGAGTTCACAAATCATACACGTGCCTTTTAAGTAATTATGACATTGTGAACAAATTGGTAATTACTAGGCAAATAAAAAAATAAAGCATTATGCGCACACCTCATATGCCCTCCCAGTCACTACCCTACTCCCTTCCATAAAGCTTATCTCTTTCTGGATTTTATCACTAGGGATTAATTTTGCCTGTTGTTGAACTTTATAAAAATGTAATCATACAGTAGATATTCTTTTCTGTCTAGCTCCTTTCACTAAAATTTTGATTGTGAGGCTCATCTGTGATGTTGTCTATAGTTGTATTTCATTCCTTTCATTGCTATAAAGTATTGCATCATATGATTTTATGATGAGTTATTTTCCCTTTCTATTGTTGATTGACATTTGGATTGTCTCTTACTTTGGGCTGTTATTACTAAGTCTGCCATGTCATTCTCATAGAAGTTTCTATGTGGATGTGTGGACTCATTTCTTTGGAACATATACGTTGGAATTATTGGGTCAGAGAGCAGGTATATGTTTAATTTTATTAAAAATTACAATCTTCCACATGTATCATTTACACCCCCCCTCAACAGTTTATGAGAATTCCTATTCTTATACATCCTTGTAAGCACTTCATTTGTCAGTTATTTTAGTTTCATACATCCTAGTCATGTCTCATTTATATTTAAGTCACATTTTACTGATTACTAATGAGTTGAACATAGTTTAAAATATTTATTGGCCATTTGGATATCTTCTTTTGAAAAGTACCTGTTTAAGTATCTTTATTTTTTCTACTGGTTGAGTGCTGTTGCTGACTACTCAACTCTTGCTGGCTTTGTGGTAAGAGGCAGGGAGTGTGTCCTCCGTTGTTTGGATTTATTCTCAGTGTCAGGCAGCTGCTAAAACACTGGATCTCAGGGATGAAGCCTTCTCTGTGATCTGGTACTTCTTCTAGTGACAAGGAATCTCTAAGGTCAGGCCTTTTTGCCCCTCTCCCAGAGTAGAAGGTTTTTTGTTGTTGTTACTGTTTTCTTCCCCTAACTACAATAAGTTTTCACCTGTGATGTAAGGGCAACAGGATTTAGTGCCCCTCTTCAGGAGCTTAAAGCTTTTGTTCAGCATGGGAGATAGCGGGGAAACATCAAGACAAGTTATTCTGGCTTCCTCACAGTGGCTGCCTTGCTCTCTCTTCAGATGCACCAGAAGTGGGGCTTTCTATTTTTTTTTTTTCTTTTTTTCTTTAAGTTCTGGAATACAAATGCAGAATGTGTAGTTTTGTTACATAGGTATACATGTGCCATGGTGGTTTGCTCCACCTATCAACCCATCATCTATTTTAAGCCCAGCATACATTAGCTATTTGTTCTAATGCTGTCCCTCCCCTCACCTCCCACCCCTCGACCGGCCCCGGTGTGTGATGTTCTCCTCCCTGTGTCCATGTGTTCTCATTGTTCAACTTCCACTTACGAGTGAGAACATGTGGTGTTTGGTTTTCTGTTCCTATGTTAGTTTGCTGAGGATGATGGCTTCCAGCTTCATCCGTGTCCCTGCAAAGGACATGATCTCATTCCTTTTTATGATTGCATAGTATTCCATGGTGTATATGTGCCACATTTTCTTTATCCGATCTATCATCAATGGGCATTTAGGTTGGTTCCAAGTCTTTGCTATTGTAATTAGTGCTGCAGTAAACATACGTGCTCATGTGTCTTTATAGTAGAATGATTTATATTCTTTTGGGTATATACCCAGTAATGGGATTGCTGGGTTAAATGGTATTTCTGGTTCTAGATCTTTGAGGAATCACCAGTCTTCCACAATGGTTGAACTAATTTACCTTCCCACCAACAGGTAAAAGTATTTCTATTTCTCCACAGCCTCACAAGCATCTATTGTTTCTTGACTTTTTAATAATTGCCATTCTGACTGGTGTGATATGGTCTCTCACTGTGATTTTGATTTGCATTTCTCTAATGATCAGTGATGTTGAGCTTTTTTCATATGTTTGTTGGCTGCATAAGTGTCTTCTTTTGAGAAGTGTCCATTCATATTTTTGCCCACTTTTTGATGGGGTTGTTTGTTTTTTTCTTGTAAATTTGTTTAAGTTCCTCATAGATTCTGGATATTAGCCTTTTGTCAGATGCGTATTTTGCAAAATTTTTCTCCCATTCTGTAGGTTGCCTGTTTACTCTGATGATAGTTTTGTTTGCTGTGCAGAAGCTTTTTAGTTTAATTAGATCGCATTTGTCAATTTTGGCTTTTGTCTGCAATTGCTTTTGGCATTTACATCATGAAATCTTTACTCATGCCTATGTCCTGAATAGTATTGCCTAGGTTTTCTTCTAGGGTTTTTATGATTTTAGGTTTTACATTTAAGTCTTTAATCCATCTTGAGTTAATTTTTGTATAAGGTGTAAGGAAGGGGTCCAGTTTCGGTTTTCTGCATATGGCTAGCTAGTTTTCCCAGCGCCATTTATTAAATAGGTAATCCTTTCTCTACTACTTGCTTTTGTCTGGTTTGTCAAAGATCATATGGTTGTAGATGTGTGGCATTATTTCTGAGGTCTCTGTTCTGTTCCATTGGCCTATATATCTGTTTTGGTACCAGTACCATGTTGTGTTGATTACTGTAGGCTTGTAGCATAGTTTGAAGTCAGATAGAGTGATGCCACCAGGTTTATTCTTTTTGCTTAGGATTATCTTGGCTATACAGACTCTTTTTGTGTTCCATATGAAATTTAAAGTAGTTTTTCCCTAATTCTATGGAGAATGCCAATGGTAGTTGATGGGAATAGCATTGAATCTATAAACTACTTTGGGCAGTATGGCCATTTTCACAATATTGATTCTTCTCATCTATGAGGATAAATGTTTTTCCATTTGTTTGTGTCCTCTCTTATTTCCTTGAAGAGTGATTTGTAGTTCTCCTTGAAGAGGTCTTTAATATCCGTTGTTATCTGTATTTCTAGGTATTTTATTATTTTGTAGAAATTGTGAATGGGAGTTCATTCATGATTTGGCTTTCTGCTTGTGTATTGTTGGTGTATAGCAATCATTGTGATTTTTGCACATTTATTTTTGTATTCTGAGACTTTGCTGAAGTTGCTTATCAGCTTAAGGAGTTTTTAGGCTGAGACGATGGGGTGTTATATGTATACAATCATGTCACCTGTAAACAGAGACAATTTGACTTCCTCTTTTCCTGTTCACATACCCTTTATTTTTTTCTCTTGCCTGATTGCCCTGGTTAGAACTTTCAATACTATATTGAATAGGAGTAGTAAGAGAGGGCATCCTTTTCTTGTTTACAAAGGGAATGCTTCCAGCGTTTGCCCATTCAGTATGATATTGGCTGTGGGTTTGTCATAAATAGCTCTTCTTATTTTGAAATATGTTCTGTCAATACCTAGTTTATTGAGAGGTTTTAACATAAAGGAATTTTTATATTTTATGGAAGGCCTTTTCTGCATCTATTGAGATGATCATGTGGTTTTGTCATTGGTTCTGTTTATGTGATGTGTTATGTTTATTGTTTTGTGTATGTTGAACCAGCCTTGCATCCCAGGGAGGAAGCTGATTTGATCATGGTGGATAAGCTTTTTGATGTGCTACTGGATTGAATTTGTTTGTATTATATTGAGGATTTTTGCATCAATGTTCATTAGGGATATTGGCCTGAAATTTTGTCTTTTTGTTATGTCTCTGCCAGGTTTTGGTATCAGGATGATGCTAGCCTCATAAAATGAGTTAGGGAGGAGTCCCTCATTTTAATTGCTTGGAATAGTTTCAGAAGGAATGGTACCAGCTGCTCGTTGTATCTCTGGTAGAATTCAGCTGTGAATTCTTTTGGTCTTGGGCTTTTCTTGGATGGTAGGGTATTAATTACTGCCTCAATTTTAGAACATGTTATTGGTCTATTCAGGGATTTGACTTCTTCCTCATTTAGTCTTGGGAGGATGTATGCATCCAGGAATTTATCAATTTCTTCTAGATTTTCTAGTTTATTTGTGTAGAGGTGTTTATGGTAAGTACTCTCCGATTGTAGTTTGTATTTCTGTGGGGCCATTGGTAATATCCCCTTTATCATTCTCCTTTCTTCTTTATTAGTTTAGCTAGCAGTCTATTTTGTTAATTTTAAAAAAAACAGCTGCTGGATTCACTGATGTTTTTGGAGGGTTTTTATGTTTCTATCTCCTTCAATTCTGCTCTGATCTTAGTTAATTCTTGTCTTCTTGTAACTTTTGCAATTGTTTCCTCTTGCTTCTCTAGCTCTTTTAATTGTGACGTTAGGGTGTCAATTTGAGATCTTTCTAGCTTTCTGATGTGGGCATTTAGTGCTATGACATTGTGTTAGCTGTGTCCCAGAGATTCTGGTACATTGTCTCTTTCTTCTCATTGGTTTCAAAGCACTTCTTGATTTCTGCCTTAATTTTATTATTTACTCAGGAGTCATTCAGGAGCAGGTTGTTCAGTTTCCATGTAATTGTGCGGTTTTGAGTGAGTTTCTTAATCCTGAGTTCTAATTTGATTGCACTGTGGTCTGAGAGACTTTTTTTTTTTAATGACATCAGTTATTTTGTATTTGCTGGGGAGTGTTTTACTTCCAATATGTAGTTGATTTTAGAATAAGTGCCATGTGGCACCAAGAAGAATTTATATTCTGTTGATTTGGGGTGGAGAGTTCTGTAGATGTCTGTTAGGTCCACCTGATCCAAGGCTGAGTTCAAGTCCTGAATACCCTTGTTAATTTTCTGTCTCGTTGATCTGTCTAATATTGATGGTAGGGGGTTAAAGTCTCTTACTATTGTTGTGTGGGAGTCTAAGTCTCTTTCTAGGTCTCTAAGAACTTGCTTAGAATCTGGGTGCTCCTGTATTGAGTGCATATACATTTAGAATAGTTAACTCTTCTTGTTGCATTGATCCCTTTACCATTATGTTATGTCCTTCTTAGTCTTTTTTGATCTTTGTTGGTTTAAAGTCTGTTTTGTCAGAGACGACAATTGCAACCTCTGCTTTTTTTTTTTTTTTTTTTTTTTTTGCTTTTCATTTGCTTGGTAAATTTTCCTCCATCCCTTTATTTTGAGCCTATGTGTGTCTTTGCATGTGAGATGGGTCTCCTGAATACAGCGCACTAATGGGTCTTAACTGTATCCAATTTGCCAGTCTGTGTCTTTTAATTGGGGCATTTAGCCCATTTACATTTAAGGTTAATATTGCTATGTGTGAGTTTGGTCCTGTCATCATGATGCTATCTGGTTATTTTGCACACTAGTTGATGCAGTTTCTTTATAGTGCCATTGGTCTATATTTTGGTGTGTTTGCAGTGGCTGGTACTGGCTTTTTCTTTCTATATTTAGTGCTTCCTTCAAGAGCGCTTGCAAGGCAGGTCTGGTAGTGACAAAATCCCTCAACATTTGCTTGTCTGGAAAGTATTTTATTTCTCCTTCACTTATGAAGCTTAGATTGGCTGGATATAAAATTCTGGGTTGAAAATTGTTTTCTTTAAGAAGGTTGAATATTGGCCCCCACTCTCTTCTGGCTCATAAGGTTTCTGCTAAGAGGTTTGCTGTTAGTCTGATGGGCTTCCCTTTGCAGGTAACCTGACCTTTCTCTCTGGCTGCCCTTAACATTTTTTCCCTTCATTTCAACCTTGGAGAATCTGATGATTATGTGTCTTGGGTTGAAAATCTCATGGAATATCTTAGCGGTGTTCTTTGTATTTCCTGAATTTGAATGCTGTCCTGTCTTGTTCGGTTGGGGAAGTTCTCCTGGATAATATCCTGAAGTGTGTTTCTTAACTTGGTTCTATTCTCCCCATCTTTTTCAGGTACTCCAATCAATTGTAGGTTCAGTCTATTTACATAGTCCCATATTTCTCAAAGGTTTTGTTCATTCCTTTTCATTCTTTTATCTCTAATCTTGTCTGCATACCTTATTTCAGCAAGATGGTCTTCAAACTCTGATATCCTTTCTTCCACTTGGTTGATTCGGCTATTGATGCTTGTGTATTCTTCTTGAAGTTCTCGTGCTGTGTTCTTCAGCTCCATCAGGTCATTTATGTTCCTCTCTAAACTGGTTATTCTAGCTAGCAGCTCCTGAAACCTTTTATCAAGGTTCCTAGCTTCTTTGCACTGGATCATAACATGCTCCATTAGCTCAGTGGAGTTTGTTATTAGCCACCTTCTGAAGCCTACTTCTGTCAATTCATACATCTCATCCTCTGTCCAGTTCAGTATCCTTGCTGGGGAGGCATTGCCATCATTTGGAGGAGACGAGGCACTCTGGCCTTTGGGCTTTCACTGTTTGTTGTTGTTGTTGATTCCTTATTTCTTTCTCATCTTCATGAGTTTGTCTAGTATTGATCTTTGAGGCTGCTGACCATTGGATGGGGTTTTTGTGGGGACTTTTTGTTTTTGTTGATGCTGTTGTTGTTGCTTTCTGTTTGTTTTTCTTGCAATCTCTATTCCATAGGGCTGCTGTGGTTTGCTGGGGATTCACTTCAGGCCCTATTCATCTGGTTCATTCCCGTGCCTGGAGGAGGCTGATGAACAGCAAAGATGGGTGCCTGCTCCTTCCTCTGAGATCTCTGACCTAGAGGGGCACTGACCTGATGCCATAAGGAATGCTCCTGTATAGGGTGTCTGACAACCCCTGTTGTGGGGTCTTATCCAGTTGGGTGGCATGGGGAGCAGGACCTGTTTAATGAAGCACTTTGACTGTCCCTTGGTGGAGGGGGTGTGCTTTGTGGGGGAAACCCATTCATCTGGGCTGCCCAGATTCCTTAGAACTAGCAGGAGGAAAGGCTAATTCTGCTGGTCCATGGAGACTGCAGCCATCTCTTCCCCTGGGGGCTCAGCCCCAGGGAGATCAGAGTTCTGTTTCTGAGCCCCTGGCTGCAGTTGTCAGAGTTCCTGCAGGGAGTCCCCACCCAGTGAGGAGGGATGGGTCAGGGTCAGGCCTGAAAAGGCACTCTGTCCACATTCTGTCCCAGCCGATGTGTTGGGTTGTAGGGTATACCTCTTGGGACCAAGTGGCTCAACCTCCCTGACTCCAGCAGGGGAAAAGCATGGCCTGGAGCTATAGAGATGGCTGCCACCCTTCCCTCATCCTGGGAGCTTAGTGTGTTAGGCAGCTATCAGTCCCAGTATTGGCTGTTGCCCCTCCCCCAAGGAGCTCAAACTGCTTAGACAACAGGCAGCGCAGCTGTGGTGATGGTTGCCCCTCTTCCTGGGAGCTCTGCAGGCTTTAGCAGATTCTAGCTTAGTGGCTGTTGAGAATCTGCATGGCTCCATGGTTGGAACCATAGCCTTGGTGGCATGGGCTCATGAGTGGGATCTTCTTCCAATCCGTGGGTTGTCCGTGGAAAAAGCACATTTTCCCAGGCTGGGTAGCATGCTCACTCACTTCCTCCCTTGGCTGGGGAGTAGGAAGGTGGGGGCTCCCCTGTCCCATGTGGCTCTCAGGTCGGCCACCACACCACACTGCTCTTCCTTCCTCTCTGTGGGTCACACCAGCCACCTAGTCAGTTCGGATGAGGGAACCTGGATACCTCAGTTTCTGGTGCAGGATTTGCATGCTGTTATGGGTCTTTTCAATGGGAGCCTTTTAATCGGCCATCTTGGACAAGTAGGACTTTCTTCCTCGTTGCCCCTCATTAGTGAATCTTGGGAAGATTCATTGATAAGAACCTGAAAATAAGTGTTAATACTTTGGGGTCTATTGTTCTCAGAAGCTTTATAATTTCCTCCTGCCTCACACATGTCCCTTAGTAATTTAATAAATACTTCAACTCTTCTTATTGGCTTGTGTAGGGCCCTGATCCAGGTAAGCAATTGTTCTTCTCTCCTTTCTCCTAAGAGCACATGTTTTTCCTTAGACTTCAGGTTAGTTGTTTGCTTTAAAGCCTCAGGTATTTGTTGCCTTGAAACCTCAGCTATCTGCTAGGTTTGAGAAAAACAGGGAATTTTCAGATTATCTGGTGTCTAAATTTTTGTGGTAAGGTTGGAAGCCATATTCTTTCCAGTTTTCTCCATGTTGAGCAATAGCTACAAGCTGATCATGATTTTTTAAAACTATTTTTATTTTCAGTTGTAATGTGTCTTTAAGATAAGTTAAGAAACAAGGACAAAATAATAATTTATATTTACCTACATGTTTACAATTTTTTGTGCTCTTGATTTCTTTGGTACCTCTGAATTTTTTAATGTTATATAATTTTCTGTCAGGCTGATGAAATTTCATTAACATTCTTCATAATGTAAATCTTCTGGTGACACATTCCTTCAGCTTTTGTTTATTTGAAAATGTATTTTGTCTTCAGTTTTGAAGGATACTTTTGCTAGTTATAGAATTGTAGGTTTTCTTTCTAAAGATGCCAGATCATTGTCTTCTGGTTTGTGGTGATTTTAATATAAGTCAGTGGTAACTCATATCATCGTTCATCCATGTGACCTGATTTTTCCTCTCTGGTTCATCTTGAGATGTTCTAGGAACATTTCGAATGGAATTAGCTGAAGCTTGCCAGATGTAATTGAGTGTTCTAGAGAGGTAGGTTCAATGTCCTCAGCAGAAGTAAAAGCTTCTGCAATGACTCTGAGGCAAGAAAAAGCTTGGTCGTTATAAGAAAGTGAAGGAAGGTAGAGCTGGGCAACAAATTTGTCTCAGGACTGTACATGTTTTAAAACTAAAAGTTCTGTATCCCAGGAAACCGCTCAGTACCACACAACCCAAAATGGTTGGTTGGCTACATCAGCTTAACTCTTTATTATAGTTTATACCTTCTTTCCTCTCTATCCCATTGATGACTAGCTTATTTCAGCTCTTTTACATTTTTATTGGGGTTGTAGTGACGTCATGCTAAGTGACTTTCTTGCTTTTATCATTGGCCACATGTATTGTTAATTTTCACAATCATTTCCTAGTTTACAAACCCAGAACATCCATGACTTCTAATGATATTTCTTGTAACTGGTTCTATATCTGATTTGCCTTGAGACCAAAGCTATCTCTCTGCTAGAACACTGTGACCAATTTGTTCTAATAGTGCAAGAGTCTATGCGTGGGCTATAGAAAATGTTTTGTCTTGATTATATTATATAAAGTGCTGTGTTTTCTAGATCCAGTGTGCAGCAATTGCCACTGTCAAATCAGATCCAGAGGAACTTAATATTTTCTCTAGTGAGTTGACTATCCCTGCTAATTTCTAGCACTCATGTGGGATGAATAAGTGTTGGGCTCTTTTTCAGTCCATGTGGAATTAGAGTGATCCCGGGCTTCTCAGGTTGCTATTTCAGGAACAAAAGTGAATTGTTACAAGAAAATTATGCTTGTTAAAAGTACATATTGAAAATAGGGTTTGGATGCAAAGAAACCAAAAAAAATTAAGAAAGTAGAATGAATTTTGAACTATGTTTTAGCTTGTGGCTATTGGAAAGTTAGGATAGTTTCTATTTTCTCTGGTTCTTAATTACAGATAAGCCAGTTGTTATGGACTCCACTGCTTCCTTAGATGGATGATTCTATGCACTTCTCATCTAAAGCAGTGTCCTAGAAAGTCAAGAATATCTCTAAAGAAAATGTGGGCATCCCAACTACCTTCAAGCAGTCTTAAATAAAATAATTATACCAAAACAAAATATTTATACCAGCTTATCAGCAGCATTTAATGGAAGTTTTTAATTCTTTTTTATATAATTTTATATAATTCTATTTCCAATTAATATAATCACTGCTAAAAACTTTATCAAATTCCTTAAACATTCCAGAAATATATTGGGTACAGATCTTGGCAAATGAATTACCTTATGGCCAGAAATCCGTGGACTTTGTAGTTAAATGTTATGGCTTAAAGATTGTTTAGTAAAACTGTTTTAAAATTATACTTTTCTTTTGCAGTGGACACTTTTCTTCAAACAAAATCTTGCACACAAATGTAGCATATAAAATAAGAAAAGGAACACTTCTCTGACTAAAGCGTGGAAATATGACTACTCACAATTTTCCCCTTCTCCAGTATTTGTTGTATTATGAAGAAACAGTTATTATAATTTACAATCACATTGTGCCAAGTTTGCAAAAAATTGTAATGTAACCTGCCCAAAAACTACGTGAAAAATTGCTCCCTAAATTGTATTCCTGAAAAGAATACAGTGGAAAGGTTATAGTTTTCCTATCAGATTGAAATTGGATATATTGTGCATTATAACATTACAAAAGAGCTCGAAGGGAAGCTTCCAAAAAAACCTAGTATTTTGAAAATCACTGTATAAAACTAGCCTTGACTTATGCATAAAATACCTATTTGAAATGGTAAACTATTATCTCTTTAGGATTTATCTTTGTAAACAAAATAAGAATAATAACAATTATAAAAACAAACACATATTTTTGAAATAGAATATGTCAGATTTAAATTCATAGAGATATAAACTAGTTTTTGATATATATATATCTGTTTTGTATCCTTTGACTATGTTTAAGTCTGTGGAATTTCTTCTTCAAATCAAACTTTATGTGCAAGATCAATGGGTAAAATAATTTGAAGTTGAGTTCTTCTGCTTGAAGCAAGGATAGGATTCTGAAACCCTTACTGCATGCCTCCCTAATGACGTGGCTGTTTTCCAACAGTCTTAACAGTCTGTCTCATTAGTCCTAGACCTCCTCTCTGCCAGGGTGGGAGCCCCTCTAATAAAGGCCATAAACCAGAATATTTAAAGGTGCAGGCTCTGGAATCAATGAAGCCTGGGCTTGATTTATCAACCTAATATATCTGAGCTCCAATTTCCTTGTCCAGAAAATGAGAATAATTGCAATTGATAGTCTCCAAAGTGGGCTGGCATCCTTTTCTTTTCTCTCTGTATGTCCTACTGCTCCACCCCTTGAGAGGTAGAGTCTTTCTTCCATTTTCTTGAATGTAGGCCAGTCTTGTAAAATCCTTTTAGCAATAGATTGTAGAAGAAATGAATCTGTGCCAGGTCCAGCAATAAACCTTAAGAAGTCTGGTAGCTCCCTCTCAGGAAAGCCAGCTGCTGTGCTATTGAGAAGTTCAGATGAAACTGTTAGATGGGGGAAAAATCATGTAGTGAGAGAGAGGAACACCGAGGTACCAGACATCTGAGTAGGGACTTCTCGAACTCTCCAGCCATGCCGAGACACTGGCTGAAGCCAGATAAGTGAGTGATTATCTATGTATAAAGAGAATCATCTAGCTGAGACATGCCTAAATTCCTGACCCACTGAATAGTGAGAAACAATAAATTGTTGCTTATTAATCCACTCATCTTTGGAGTGGTTTGTCATGCAGCAATAAATAATTGCATTAAAAATAGAATATACCTCATGTGGTTGTTAGGATTAAATGAGATAGCAATAGTTAAACAATTAGTACCCTAAGGTGGAATATTCCAATTTAATTCAAATGTTGCCAGTGACTGCACAGCATCAGTGAGTTAGAGTTCTAGGGACCTCTCCTTCTGTGGAGCTTACCTTCTTGAAGAAGCAGACAGAAATAATAAGTAAATGATATAGTTTGTTAAAATGTGGTAAATACTATGGGGAAAATAGGAAAAAACAATAGAGCAAAGTAGATTGGAAATATGGAGTTGGAGGAAAAAGGAGACAGTTTTCAATTTTAAATAGGATAACCAAAATAGTCTTTATTAAGAAGATTAAATGTGAGAAAAAGAAGGTAAGGGGATGAAGGAGCTATCCCTGCACATATGAAGAAAACAATCCTGAGAAAGGACAGAGACAATACAAATATCTTAAGGAGGAAGCATACTTCGAGTGTTCAAGCCTCAGGAAAGAGGTCACAGTGGCTGGAACACAGTGGACATAGAGGAGCACGTGAAGAGATAATGTCAGAATGTGGGGACCTGTAGAATATTGTAGGCCTTGGCAGTCCTAGAACATTGTTAAAGAGATGTTCCATATAATGACGGCAGTGCTCTTTTCTTTCAAAAAACTATAAATTGGAAATTCAGCAACAGTTGAAATACCTGGTATTATTTCCTTCCTAACATCTATCATCACCTGCAAGTGTCTTGCTTTGTTCATTTGTTTACTTGTGTAATTGCCAGTCCTACTAAAATGTAAGATTTATGAAAACATGGACTTTCCCTTTTTATGTCATCACTGTATCTACAAACCCTAAAAAAGCCTCTGTCACAAAGTAGATGCCCAAGAAATATTTTTATTAAAGGAATTCATGGGGCCAGGCACGGTGGCTCACGCCTGTAATCCCAGCACTTTGGGAGGCTGAAGCAGGTGGATCACCTGAGGTCAGCAGTTCAAGACCAGCCTGAGCAACATGGTGAAACCCTGTCTCTACTAAAAATACAAAAATTAGCTGGGCACAGTGGCGCGTACCTGTGATCCCAGCTACTAAGGAGTCTGAGGCTGGAGAATCACTTGAGCCCTGGAGGCAGAGGTTGCAGTGAGCCGAGATTGTGCCATTGCATTCCGGCCTGGGCAACAGAGAGAGACTCTATTAAAAAAAAAAAAAAAAAAAAAAAAGTAAGGAATTCATGGAAGAAAAGAAATTATGAATAACAAACATCTCTCCAATATATCATAATTTACAAAAGGCTTTTACATAAGTTATCTCATTTTAACCTTACAACACTGTGAGGTAAATAACATTATTATTCCATATTATAGAAACGCAGAAAGTTTAAGAATCTTGCCAGAGGGGTTCTTTTCAGGACCAGATGTAAGTGAACTGGGCTAATTTTAAGAGGTATTCAAAGCTTTTGTTTGCATACTGTCTGGTTTTTTTTAAAAACTGTCACATTGCACATTTTAACTTTATATATAAATAAATTATATATATATTTAAATAATTACAAAGAATGTGATTTCTAAAATAATAAATTTCGAAGTCTTTTGTATGTAACAAATCCAATACAACTATAAAAGCTATTTGATCCCCACTATTGTCCTTAAAGCATACATAAAAAGTTTTCTTTAACAGTTGGAAATCTTTACATATTTCTTTTTTCTTCCTTGATCTCGAATTTCCATTCCATGTCCTCCATAGCACTTTATCTTTAAAAAGTTGGAAACTCAGTGATCCCCAGACCCCAGTTTGAACACTGCTGCCCAAGACAACAGTCTGTAGAATTGCCCAATGTAATAAGGAGATAAATGAATGTAATGATAAAAATTAGAGTCTAGAAACATGACCTCAAAGAAATCATGAGGCATGGAGATCCAGGAATTGCTTTATAACAAGGGCACAAAGTGGCTGAAGCAGGCAGTTCAGTACCCAAGTCCTACAACTCTGGACTGCTGGGGGTGGAGATGAGAGTGGCAGTGGCAGGAGTCTTTAAGGGCTGGAGTCTTTAAGAATTATTCACCTTTAGATCACTGGAAAATTTTATGTGAAACTTCTCTTTGAATCTTATGAGATAATGTGATATGAAAAAAATTATAAAAGAAGGTCCATGTAAAGGAAATCATACACCTGTATGTGCTAGTTTTAATATTTTCTTTGTTTGATGACAAGTAAAAAATGTGAGACAATATAGAGCTACACCGTCCAACATGGCAGCCACTAGTCACATATGGCTATTGATCACTGGACATGTTGCTAGTCAGAATTCAGATGTGCTGTGTGTGTGCAATGCACACTAGATTTCAAAGATTTAAAATAAAAAAAGAATGTGAAATCTCTCATTAATAATATTTTGTAATGATTACATCTTAAAATGGCAATACAGGAATATATTGGGATAAATAGAATATATTATTAAAATTAATTTCAAATTTCTTCTGACTTTTTAAAATGTAGCTATTAGAAAATCTTAAATTACATACCTGCTTCGCATTTTCTCTGGGATAGTGCTGAGGTAGAGCTTCTTATTTATCCGAGAATTTTTTAATTAAATCATTTTTGGATGACTTTAAGGTTACTTAATTTTAGCATAAAAGAAACTTTTATAACCAGGAAAACAATAAGGTTGCTATATAAAATTTTAAAAGATAATGATATAAATAAATGCTCAAGATATATTAACTAAAGTATCACTAAAACATCATAGTACATCATGCTCCCAAGTTTGAAAAACAAATTAAACACACATAGATAAAATAACAGGGAAGCTCTTCACAAAAATATTAATAATAAATTTTCTCTTAATAACAGTAGTATGTGTGACTGTGGATTTTTATTATATGTTTGTATTTTCTAACTATCCAAAATATGCATATATTATTTTTATTATTAATTTTAAAATAGCATAATGGGAATATGTCTTTTTATTATCTAATTACAAAACAATAAAACTGTATATAGAAAAAAATGAACAGAGGCAATTACAAATATTTCTATTGTTTGGAGCATATAATATCAAAACTAAATTATGTGACAAATGATAAATATTTTAGGGATACATATAGTTCCTTTCCTTCCTGGTCCATTATCAATGAGGACTTCTTGCTCTCTTCCATTGTCATTAAACTTCAAAGTAACAGGCTTCAATCATAGAAGGCATCACATTTTCTTGAAAATAACAGGAAAAAAGCCAGAAAAAGCATTTGCTCAAATTTTCAAAAACACTGTTTGCAAGAAAAATCTGTCTGCTTGGCTACCACACAAAAGACTGAGCATATGTAAAGCATTTTATGGAGCCGATCCCAATACAACACAAAAATAGGAATTACTTTGTTGATCTGCTCAGATCTCTGATATGGCTCCAAATATCCAACTAAAGTTTACCAGCACAGAGAATGGAAAGTGAAGAGGATTTTCCAAGAATTTGCATTCTCAGCATTTACTTTTTAAAATTGTGTTTAGTTCACTAGAGCACTGATGTTCTAATTATACTCAGATGGAAGGGAATTCTGCAGTACCCCAAAGTATCTAACCTATAATCAAGGAGCCATTTCCACCAGGACAAAGTAAATCTGTTTGCAGGTATATCTCAGACACCTCAAACATCTGGTTTATAACCATCTAACCACATGATTCCTTTAAGGGGTGAAGATATGTAACCCAATATATGAGAAACACTGATGTCTGAAGCCTTCTGATTGGCAAGAGCAAAAAGACTGCTTAATTAAAAAGTGGCAAAGTAGTCTAAACTCAGCAAGAAGGCAACTTCTCAGCCTTCATACTGACCACTGATCTGCTTTTTAATCTTCTCTGGCTTATCAAGTTCTTTCTTTTCTTAATAACTACTTTATTAGTTCTTGTTGCTCCTGAGGCTGTGAGAATGGAGGAAGAGGCTTGTATGAAAATTCCAAGACTATGCTGTTCATACTCTGTCCAGTGGTTCATTTTAATAGCCATCACTTATGGGGTCAAAGTTGTCAGCAAAATAAGACTCCTCCATTACACTTTGTTATTGCAACTGGCATCATAAGATACAAGTCACTTGATACAGATGTGGCAGGAAGTGAGTGAAAGACTGCCATTTTGGAAAATGTGATATGTGCTGTAATGGAGAGTTGTACATATGTCCAAAATGTTCTAAAAGCAGAGGGTACAGAGTGATGTAGAGCAATTCTTTTCTGCTTAGTGAAAAAGGCTGTGGGTTTGGAGAAGACTTCACAAAGAGCTGTGAAATCTGGGTCCGTTTTTGCCAGGCAGAAAGTTGAAAAGAAGTGAAGAGGATGTCCTAGACCAGAGGTTGTCAAATTTTAACCCAAATCACTGGGTCTCGCCCTAGAGTTTCTGATTGAGTAGATCTGTCATAGGTTCCCATGAGTTCCCCAGGTCATGCTAATTCTGCTAGTCCGAGTGTCTTATTTTGAGATCCACTTTTCCAGGCTAAGGGAACATCAAATATGTATCAATTCTATGACAATGACTCCTTTTCCCATCATCACCAATCTATAATACAAATTCTCGGGAAAACTGACCAAGGAAAGAATGTGTGGCATTGTGTCTAAAGTTAAGCAGACCCTTAGGAGGAATCCTTTGGAGATTTCATCTTGGTTCTTATAGATCTAGTGGAACAACAACTCACTTAGTACCTGGTAGTTTCTTAGTCTTCAATAGGCCTGGCAGATGACAGTTTGAAAGCTGTAGTAGGAAGGAGATGAAATGGAGAAAAAAAAATTGTGCTATTCCACTGTGTGAATACAAACTCTTTGGTGGACTGGAATGGCTTTTTGGATGATGGAACAGTTAGAAAATAATTTTTGTTTTGAGTATAAACTTTATTGATTATGAAAATTTGGGTGTTAAGCTTTGTTCTAGGGAGATATATGCTTTCAGTGTGTGTGCAAGTGTTATGATCAGTTATCCACTGAAAACCTGAAAAAATGAAAGAAGCATAAGTGCAACTTTTTTTTTAAGTTGCAGGGCCACCTTTAAAATGACAGAATTTGACGGGGCTATGCCCAACCTGAATTTTGCCGGGGGATCTTGAATACCAAAGTCAACCTGAACTGTTCTTCACGCATCTCCAGGAAAGTATTCTAGATGTAACTCAGAACGAGAAAATGAACTGTAGGGGTACGGGGATGAAGACTAGGGTAACTCTAAAAACCTGTGTGGGTAAGAGATGAGTTTCCCAAAAGGTAGATCAAATTTTCATACCTGAGGTTAGATGACATTACTTTCTTAAAAGAAAGTAAATCCAGAACAAAGATAACAAGACTGGGAAATAAGTCACATGTACAAACATACTCTCTGCAAAGGATTTTAATTTGGGGGTGCTTTTCCCATTGACTATGGGAAATACAACATGTAGCTCATAGCTTTAAGTTCTTTCTATGTCAGTTAATTTGCTTTAGCTTTTTCTAAGCCTACCATATAGTCTGACATGTTCATAAAACTGTGTGTGTGAGTGTGTGTGTTTTCAGATGGAGTCTTGCTCTGTCGCTCAGGCTGGAGTGCAGTGGCACAATCTCAGCTCACCTCAGCCTCTGCCTCCTGGGCTGAAGCGATTCTCCTGCCTCAGCCTCCTGAGTAGCTGGGATTACAGGTGCCTGACACCATGCCCGGCTAATTTTTTTTTTTTTTTTTTTTTTGTATTTTTAGTAGAGACAGGGTTTCGCCATGTTGGCCAGGCTGGTCTTGAACTCCCGACCTCAGGTGATCCACCCACCTTGGCCTCCCAAAGTGCTGAGATTACAGGTGTGAGCCACTGCACCCAGCTGTGGTGGCCTTTTTAGAGGAAATAAGGAACTAAACCATAAGGGGAAAAGAGTCTTGACTCCTGCAAACTAACAATTCCCTTTATGGAGACCTTTTCAAAGGTGTGTGCATCATGTGCACCACAAGGAAGACTGAAATACATGGATCCTATTGATGGCAGCAGTGGCCCATCTGGAGCAGCTGCTGCCATCATGCCAGCTGCAGCAGGGAGGCGTGGCCAGGGTTGCACACTCCAACACTCAGGGAGCTGGCAGGAGCCAGGGACTAGTGAAAGCCCTGCTTCTTCTGAGTCAGTGGGGTGGGAGCTCCCCGGCACAACTCTGCTGCCCAAGTAACTGCTGCAGAGCCAGGCCTCCTGCTCCAAGGAGCAGGCAGAAGTCCTGCCCCCTAGGCGTGGGTGCAGTTGCCCAACCCATGGCTGCAGACCCAGGCATCTCTGCACTCTTGAGGACCTAGGAAGGCCCCCACTGCCCTCACAGGCTCAGAAATGCATACTCCCACTGCCTGTCTTCTCCCTGCTCTCAGCATATGCTCTGATCTTGGAGCAAAATTGGGGCCAAGCTGGGCACTGTCACAGCCCACCAGGTGTGCACACACTCAGAGTAGCACTGACATACCAGCCCTCTGCTGCCTCAACCCCCTCTGGACTTTGGGCACCAATAAGCATAGGAGGGAAGCTGAGGTGGCACTGAGGGCAGCTTGGCACGGGCCTGCAGGCACCTCTTGGCACCTACAGCCTTGGTGCCATGAATGGCAGCCGGACACAGGTTCCTGGGCAGAAGGGGGCAGTCCCTGGTGTGGCCCCACCTTCAGGCCAGGGAAGGCCTGAAGGTTGGGGGCTGGGCTTCCAGTTCCACAAACTGGAGTGGGAACTTGTGCTGCCTTTTCCGGCCCACCCATGGCCACCCATGGACGAATTGGTGTGTAATTCCTCCATTCTGAGGCCCATAAAAGTCCTGGGCTCAGCCAGAACTGAGCAGACATCAGGATGACCACCTGTAGAGAGGAGCTACCCACTCCAGGGCCTCCTCTCTGCTGAGTGATGCAGATGTTGGGATGACCAGCTGCAGAGAGGAGTTACCCACTCCAGGGCCTCCTATGCTGAGAGCTGCAGATGTTGGGATGACCAGCTGCAGAGACAGGAGCTACTCACTCCACGGTCTCTCTCCTGAGAACTGCAGATGACAGGAAAACCAGCTGCAGAGAGAAGCTACCCTTTCTGCTGATAGCTGAACAGTTGTTGGGATGACCTGCCTGCAGAAAGGAGCTACTCTCTCTGCTAGGAACAGAACACTCATCAGGACACTCTGGCTGCAGAAAGGAGCTACTGCCTGTGGATCTTCTCTGGGTTGTTCTATTGCTCAATAAAGCTCCTCTTCATCTTGCTCATCCTCCACTTGTCTGTGTACCTCATTCTTCCTGGTCACAGGACAAGAATTTTGGACTTGCTGAACGGTGAGGCTGAAAGAGCTGTAACACAAACAGGGCTGAAACATGCCCCTTGCTTGCCATGTTGCAGACAAAGAGAAGGAGAGTTGCAGTCCTTCAGGAATCCCAAACCTGGAAGCTCCCTGAGCTGGTGCTGTGACTCCCTCTTTGGAGACTTGTGGTTCCTGGCATCTCCAAGCTTCTCGGTGCCACTGAATTCCCCAGTGCCAGCCAGGGAAGCTGCTTGCAGTGTGCCTGCTCCAGCCTCAGTCTTGCAGAGAGCCAGTGTCTATGCCATCACCTGGAGCTACCCATTCTGTGGCAGCAGCCAGAATGTCCAATTGTGTGCAGTGGCCAGACCTCATGCTTGGTCACACACCTCTTGCTGCTCCATGCCTGACTTGCCCTTGGCAGGCTGGTAGTGTGAGCCAAGTGCAGCCTGCCAGGCTGAGTGAGCAGAATGAGCCCAGCAGGCCCAAGCAAAACTTGGGCAAAGGCATCACTGGCCACAGAGGTTTCTGTCCAGAAAAGCAACACCTCAAAGATCCCATAACACTTTGCCCCAAACAATTACCAAGTCAGTCAGTGACTCAAGGGGTCCAGGACTGGGTGAATAACTTAAGAGAAGGTATAAAGGTGTTTCTCAGGCACACACATTTTTACTATAATGAAGAGGTAGTAACGTAAATGGAAGTGAAAAGCTGACGGTTTGGAAAAATTTAACACAACATATTGCGCAACCCCTTGCCGAGGGCCTTAGAAGGAACTCCTGGGATTGAGGCCCTGAAGTTGAAGTTTCATTTGCTTCACAGTAAATCTGCTTGACACATTGCTCCACTTCCCTCAGGATCCCACAACTGGTACCTCACTCTCCAGCATCCTACTTTTCTGTCTCAGGTTAGCAAGTCCCCACCTTTGAAATAAGATCATCATGGGCTGGAATTTTTTTTTAACTCAAAGTTTAATATGTATACATAAAAGTGAACATTTCAAAATTATACAGATTGATGGTTTTTCACAAACTAATTTCATTTTTGTACCAACACTCCAGAAAGCCCCCTTTCCACTCATGATACCATCTCCCAATGTCCAAGCAATCATTACCCTGATTTCTACCAAGTAGAATAGTTTGCACATAGGTTCACTTTATTATGGAATCATACAGTACATACACTATTTTTCTGGGTTTCTTTCTTTTAATATTATGTTTCTGAGACACATCCATATGGTTGTGTTTATTTGTCAATTGTTTATTCTCAATGATATACAGTATTATATTGTGTGAGTATGACTTATTTATCTAATTTTTGATGACCATTTTGTAGTTTTGTGTCTTAGGATATTAAAAATATTGCTGCTATAAACAATCTAGTACATATCTTTTGTTAAGCTTGTGTGTACATCTATTGGCGTGTGAGTAAGTGTGGAAATACTGGGTCATAAAGTATAAGATTAATGAATACTGCGAGACAATTACTGAAGTGGTTATACTAATTTACACTTCTACAAACTGGTATGAGGGTTCTAATCATTTCATACCCTGACCAAAACTTGATAATGTCTTTTTCATTTTGGCAATTCAAGTGAGTATATACAGTATCTAATCATGGTTTTATTGGAATTTCACTTATGATTGATGCTATGGATCATTTTTTCAAATATATGTGGGATATTTTGTTATCTTCTTTTGTAAAGTATCTCTTCTAATCTTTTGTACATTTTTCTGTTGGTTCATCTGTGTTTTTCTTACTGATTTATAGGAAGTATTAATAAGTTCAAGATAGAAATGATTTGTGGGATACATGTATTCCAAATGTCTTATTTAACTCAATATCTTGCTTCTTGATTTCAGAATGGCACCTTTTGATTTAGGAAATTCTTAAATATAATCTGATTTATCATTTTTTTCTTTTATGAATTGAGCTTTTTGTATCCTGCTCAAGAAATTCAGGGGTATTCCAAAGACATAAATATGTTATTCTATACTTTCTCTTAAAGTTGTATGTTTTATTTTCATATTTAAATATGTAATCCATCTAGAATTAACTTTTGTGTACAGTGTGAGGTATGAATCAATCTACTATTTTTTCTCCATATGGATAAACAATTGACTCAGCACTATTTATTGAAATTAGCATTTTTTTTTCACTACAGGTCTGAACTGTTGCTTTTGTTACATATCTGGAAATTTGTTTTATAGTTTATTAATATTCTGAAATACAGGAATGAAGTGGGTGCTCAGGAATGAAGGACAATGGAACAGAAAAAAAAGAATTAAATTCAGGTGCATATTATTGTCACATTAATTAAGGCAAGGGCTACAGAAAACACAAAAGGAGCCAGACAACAGGCAATCAAGTGTCCTCCAATAAACTGATTAAGATTCTTGGAGAACCATGTTTACAGGCTTAGGTCCCTGCCCATCAGTCATGGGAGCCTTCTTCATTGTTGTAGAAGAAATCTTTGGACTAAAAGAGCATGGATAATTTTCAGAAAAAACAATCTCCTCAGTTGTAAAATGAGGATAATAATTTCTATCTCATAGGGTTAATTTGAAAACAAATAAGTAAATCTATTTAAAACTTTGAGAAGTTTGTCCAACTTATATAGAGTGATATATAAAGTTTTAACAACATTATTGCTGTATTTATAATTACAGTCCTGAATTTCCCTCCTCAGGCATAATTTTTGCTGTTTCCACAAAAGAAAGAATGTATTAGTCCATTTTCATGCTGCTGATAAAGGCATACCTGAGACGGGGTAATTTATTAAAAAAACAAAGTTTAGTGGACCTACAGTTCCACATGGCTGGGAGTCCTCACAGTCATGGCAGAAGGTGAAAGACACATATTACATGGTGGCAGACAAGAAAGAATGGGACCTAGACTCCTGGACAAGATGGCCAAAATAGGAACAGCTCCAGCTGCAGCTCCCAGTGAGACCAATGCAGGAGGTGGGTGATTTCCACATTTCTAGCTGAGGTACCCAAGTCATCTCATGGGGACTGGTTAGACAGTGGGTGCAGCCCACAGAGGATGAGCAGAATCAGGGTGGGGTGTTGCCTCACCCAGGAAGTGCAAGTCAATATCATACTGAATGGGCAAAAACTGGAAGCATACCCTTTGAAAACCGTCACAAGACAAGGATGCCCTCTCTCGCCACTCCTATTCAACATAATATTGGAAGTTCTGGCTGGGGCAATCAAGCAAAAGAAAGAAATAAAGGGTATTCGATAGGAAGAGAGAAAGTCAAATTATCTCTCTGCAGAGGATGTGATTGTATATTTAGAAAACCCCATCATCTGAGTCCAAAATCTCCTTAAGCAGATAAGCAACTTCAGCAAAATCTCAGGATACAAAATCAATGTGCAAAAAGCACAAGCATTCCTATACACCAATAATAGACAAACAGAGGGGGCAGGAGCCAAGATGGCCAAATAGGAACAGCTCTGGTCTACAGCTCCCAGCGTGAGCGACGCAGAAGACGGGTGATTTCTGCATTTCCATCTGAGGTACCAGGTTCATCTCACTAGGGAGTGCCAGACAGTGGGCGCAGGTCAGTGGGTGTGCACACGGTGCGCCAGCTGAAGCAGGGCGAGGCTTTGCCTCACTTGGGAAGCGCAAGGGATCAGGGAGTTCCCTTTCCGAGTCAAAGAAAGGGGTGACGGACGTACCTGGAAAATCGGGTCACTCCCACCCGAATATTGCGCTTTTAGGACCGGCTTAAAAACGGCACACCACGAGATTATACCCCGCACCTGGCTCGGAGGGTCCTACGCCCACGGAGTCTCGCTGATTGCTAGCACAGCAGTCTGAGATCAAACTGCAAGGCGGCAGCGAGGCTGGGGGAGGGGCGCCCGCCATTGCCCAGGCTTGATTAGGTAAACAAAGCAGCCAGGAAGCTCGAACTGGGTGGAGCCCACCACAGTTCAAGGACGCCTGCCTGCCTCTGTAGGCTCCACCTCTGGGGGCAGGGCACAGACAAAAAGCAGTAACCTCTGCAGACTTAAATGTCCCTGTCTGACAGCTTTGAAGAGAGCAGTGGTTCTCCCAGCACACAGCTGGAGATCTGAGAACCGGCAGACTGCCTCCTCAAGTGGGTCCCTGACCCCTGACCCCCGAGCAGCCTAACTGGGAGGCACCCCCCAGCAGAGGCACACTGACACCTCAGACGGCAGGGTATTCCAACAGACCTGCAGCTGAGGGTCCTGTCTGTTAGAAGGAAAACTAACAAACAGAAAGGACATCCACACCAAAAACCCATCTGTACATCACCATCAGCAACGACCAAAAGTAGATAAAACCACAAAGATGGGGAAAAAACAGAACAGAAAAACTGGAAACTCTAAAAAGCAGAGCGCCTCTCCTCCTCCAAAGGAACGCAGTTCCTCACCAGCAACGGAAGAAAGCTGGATGGAGAATGACTTCGACGAGCTGAGAGAAGAAGGCTTCAGACGATCAAATTACTCTGAGCTATGGGAGGACATTCAAACCAAAGGCAAAGAAATTGAAAACTTTGAAAAAAATTTAGAAGAATGTATAACTAGAATAACCAATACAGAGAAATGCTTAAAGGAGGTGATGGAGCTGAAAACCAAGGCTCGAGAACTACGTGAAGAATGCAGAAGCCTCAGGAGCCAATGCGATCAACTGGAAGAAAGGGTATCAGCAATGGAAGATGAAATGAATGAAATGAAGAGAGAAGGGAAGTTTAGAGAAAAATGAATAAAAAGAAATGAGCAAAGCCTCCAAGAAATATGGGACTATGTGAAAAGACCAAATCTACATCTGATTGGTGTACCTGAAAGTGATGGGGAGAATGGAACCAAGTTGGAAAACACTCTGCAGGATATTATCCAGGAGAACTTCCCCAATCTAGCAAGGCAGGCCAATGTTCAGATTCAGGAAATACAGAGAACACCACAAAGATACTCCTCGAGAAGAGCAACTCCAAGACACATAATTGTCAGATTCACCAAAGTTGAAATGAAGGAAACAATGTTAAGGGCAGCCAGAGAGAAAGGTCAGGTTACCCTCAAAGGGAAGCCCATCAGACTAACAGTGGATCTCTCGGCAGAAACCCTACAAGCCAGAAGAGAGTGGGGGCCAATACTCAACATTCTTAAAGAAAAGAATTTTCAACCCAGAATTTCATATCCAGCCAAACTAAGCTTCATAAGTGAAGGAGAAATAAAATACTTTACAGACAAGCAAATGCTGAGAGATTTTGTCACCACCAGGCCTGCCCTAGAAGAGCTCCTGAAGGAAGCGCTAAACATGGAAAGGAACAACTGGTACCAGCCGCTGCAAAATCATGCCAAAATGTAAAGACCATCGAGACTAGGAAGAAACTGCATCAACTAACGAGCAAAATCACCAGCTAACATCATAATGACAGGATCAAGTTCACACATAACAATATTAACTTTAAATGTAAATGGACTAAATGCTTCAATTAAAAGACACAGATTGGCAAATTGGATAAAGAGTCAAGACCCATCAGTGTGCTGTATTCAGGAAACCCATCTCACGTGCAGAGACACACATAGGCTCAAAATAAAAGGATGGAGGAAGATCTACCAAGCAAATGGAAAACAAAAAAAGGCAGGGGTTGCAATCCTAGTCTCTGATAAAACAGACTTTAAAACAACAAAGATCAAAAGAGACAAAGAAGGCCATTACATAATGGTAAAGGGATCAATTCAACAAGAAGAGCTAACTATCCTAAATATATATGCACCCAATACAGGAGCACCCAGATTCATAAAGCAAGTCCTGAGTGACCTACAAAGAGACTTAGACTCCCACACATTAATAATGGGAGACTTTAACACCCCACTGTCAACATTAGACAGATCAACGAGACAGAAAGTCAACAAGGATACCCAGGAATTGAACTCAGCTCTGCACCAAGCGGACCTAATAGACATCTACAGAACTCTCCACCCCAAATCAACAGAATATACATTTTTTTCAGCACCACACCACACCTATTCCAAAATTGACCACATACTTGGAAGTAAAGCTCTCCTCAGCAAATGTAAAAGAACAGAGATTATAACAAACTATCTCTCAGACCATAGTGCAATCAAACTAGAACTCAGGATTAGGAATCTCACTCAAAACCGCTCAACTACATGGAAACTGAACAACCTGCTCCTGAATGACTACTGGATACATAACGAAATGAAGGCAGAAATAAAGATGTTCTTTGAAACCAACGAGAACAAAGACACAACATACCAAAATCTCTGGGACACATTCAAAGCAGTTTGTAGAGGGAAATTTATAGCACTAAATGCCCACAAGAGAAAGCAGGAAAGATCCAAAATTGACACCCTAACAACACAATTAAAAGAACTAGAAAAGCAAGAGCAAACACATTCAAAAGCTAGCAGAAGGCAAGAAATAACTAAAATCAGAGCAGAACTGAAGGAAATAGAGACACAAAAAACCCTTCAAAAAAATGAATACAGGAGCTGGTTTTTTGAAAGGATCAACAAAATTGATAGACCGCTAGCAAGACTAATAAAGAAAAAAAGAGAGAAGAATCAAATAGACGTAATAAAAAATGATAAAGGGGATATCACCACCGATCCCACAGAAATACAAACTACCATCAGGGAATACTACAAACACCTCTACGCAAATAAACTGGAAAATCTAGAAAAAATGGATAAATTCCTCGACACATACACTCTCCCAACACTAAACCAGGAAGAAGTTGAATCTCTGAATAGACCAATAACAGGATCTGAAATTGTGGCAATAATCAATAGTTTACCAACCAAAAAGAGTCCAGGACCAGATGGATTCACAGCCGAATTCTATCAGAGGTAAAAGGAGGAACTGGTACCATTCCTTCTGAAACTATTCCAATCAATAGAAAAAGAGGGAATCCTCCCTAACTCATTTTATGAGGCCAGCATCATTCTGATACCAAAGCCGGGCAGAGACACAACCAAAAAAGAGATTTTTAGACCAATATCCTTGATGAACGTTGATGCAAAAATCCTCAATAAAATACTGGCAAAACGAATCCAGCAGCACATCAAAAAGCTTATCCACCATGATCAAGTGGGCTTCATCCCTGGGATGCAAGGCTGGTTCAATATACGCAAATCAATAAATGTAATCCAGCATATAAACAGAACCAAAGACAAAAACCACATGATTATCTCAATAGATGCAGAAAAAGCCTTTGACAAAATTCAACAACCCTTCATGCTAAAAACTCTCAATAAATTAGGTATTGATGGGACGTATTTCAAAATAATAAGAGCTATCTATGACAAACCCACAGCCAATATCATACTGAATGGGCAAAAACTGGAAGCATTCCCTTTGAAAACTGGCACAAGACAGGGATGCCCTCTCTCACCACTCCTATTCAACATAGTGTTGGAAGTTCAGGCCAGGGCAATTAGGCAGGAGAAGGAAATACAGGGTATTCAATTAGGAAAAGAGGAAGTCAAATTGTCCCTGTTTTTACATGACATGATTGTATATCTAGAAAACCCCATTGTCTCAGCCCAAAATCTCCTTAAGCTGATAAGCAACTTCAGCAAAGTCTCAGGATACAAAATCAATGTACAAAAATCACAAGCATTCTTATACACCAATAACAGACAAACAGAGAGCCAAATCTTGAGTGAACTCCCATTCACAATTTCTTCAAAGAGAATAAAATACCTAGGAATCCAACTTACAAGGAATGTGAAGGACCTCTTCAAGGAGAACTACAAAGCACTGCTCAAGGAAATAAAAGAGGATACAAACAAATGGAAGAACATTCCATGCTCATGGGTAGGAAGAATCAATATCGTGAAAATGGCCATACTGCCCAAGGTAATTTACAGATTCAATGCCATCCCCATCAAGCTACCAATGACTTTCTTCACAGAATTGGAAAAAACTACTTTAAAGTTCATATGGAACCAAAAAAGAGCCCGCATCGCCAAGTCAATCCTCAGCCAAAAGAACAAACCTGGAGGCATCACACTATCTGACTTCAAACTATACTACAAGGCTACAGTAACCAAAACAGCATGGTACTGGTACCGAAACAGAGATATAGATCAATGGAATGGAACAGAGCCCTCAGAAATAACGCCGCATATCTACAACTATCTGATCTTTGACAAACCTGAGAAAGACAAGCAATGGGGAAAGGATTCCCTATTTAATAAATGGTGCTGGGAAAACTGGCTAGCCATATGGAGAAAGCTGAAACTGGATCCCTTCCTTACACCTTATACAAAAATCAATTCAAGATGGATTAAAGACTTAAACGTTAGACCTAAAACCATAAAAACCCTAGAAGAAAACCTAGGCATTACCATTGAGGACATAGGCATGGGCAAGGACTTCATGTCTAAAACACCAAAAGCGATGGCAACAAAAGCCAAAATTGACAAATGGGATCTAATTAAACTAAAGAGCTTCTGCACAGCAAAAGAAACTACCATCAGAGTGAACAGGCAACCTACAAAATGGGAGAAAATTTTTGCAACCTACTCATCTGACAAAGGGCTAATATCCAGAATCTACAATGAACTCAAACAAATTTACAAGAAAAAAACAAACAACCCCATCAAAAAGTGGGCGAAGGACATGAAGAGACACTTCTCAAAAGAAGACATTTATGCAGCCAAAAAACACATGAAAAAATGCTCATCATCACTGGCCGTCAGAGAAATGCAAATCAAAACCACAATGAGATACCATCTCACACCAGTTAGAATGGCAATCATTAAAAAGTCAGGAAACAACAGGTGCTGGAGAGGATGTGGAGAAATAGGAACACTTTTACACTGTTGGTGGGACTGTAAACTAGTTCAACCATTGTGGAAGTCAGTGTGGCGATTCCTCAGGGATCTAGAACTAGAAATACCATTTGACACAGCCATCCCATTACTGGGTATATTCCCAAAGGACTATAAATCATGCTGCTATAAAGACACATGCACACGTATGTTTATTGCGGCATTATTCACAATAGCAAAGACTTGGAACCAACCCAAATGTCCAACAATGATAGACTGGATGAAGAAAATGTGGCACATATACACCATGGAATACTATGCAGCCATAAAAAATTATGAGTTCATGTCCTTTGTAGGGACATGGATGAAATTGGAAATCATCATTCTCAGTAAACTATCTCAAGAACAAAAAACCAAACACCGCATAGGTGGACACAGGAAGGGGAATATCAGACTCTGGGGACTGTGGTGGGGTGGGGGGAGTGGGGAGGGATAGCATTGGGAGATATACCTAATGCTAGATGACGAGTTAGTGGGTGCAGCGCACCAGCATGGCACATGTATACATATGTAACTAACCTGCACATTGTGCACATGTACCCTAAAACTTAAAGTATAATAAAAAAAATAGACAAACAGAGAGCCAAATCATGAGTGAACTCCCATTCACAATTGTTACAAAGAGAATAAAATACCTAGGAATACAATTTACAAGGGATGTAAAGGACGTTGTCAAGAACTATAAACCACTGCTCAAGGAAATAAGAGAGGACACAAACAAATGGAAAAACCATCCATGCTCATGGATAGGAAGAATAAATGTCATGAAAATGGCCATACTGCTCAAAGTAATTTATAGATTCAATGCTATTCCTATGAAGCTACCATTGACTTTCTTCACGGAATTAGAAAAAACTATTTTAAATTTCATATGGAACCAACAAAGAGCCCATATAGCCAAGACAATCCTAAGCAAAAAGAACAAAGCTGGAGACATCACTCTACCAGACTTCAATCTATGCTACAAGGCTACAGTTAACCAAACAGCACGGTGCTGGTACCAAAAGAGATATATAGACCAATGGAACAGAACAGAGGCCTCAGAAATAACACCACACATCTACAACCATCTGATCTTTTTTTGACAAACCTCACAAAAACAAGCAACGGGGAAAGGATTCCCTATTTAATAAAAGGTGTTGGGAAAACTGGCTAGTAATATGCAGAAAACTGAAACTGGACCCTTCCTTACACCTTATACAAAAATTAACTCAAGGTGGATTAAAGATTTAAACATAACACCTAAAACCATAAAAACCCTAGAAGAAAACCTAGGCAATACCATTCAGTACATAGGAATGGGAAAGGACTTCATGACTAAAATACCAAAAGCAATGGCAACAAAAGCCAAAATTGACAAATAGGATCTAATTAAACTAAAGAGCTTCTGCACAGCAAAAGAAACTATCATCAGAGTGAAGAGGCAACCTACAGAAGGGGAGAAAATTTTTGCAATCTCTCCATGTGCCAAAGGGCTAATATCCAGAATCTATAAGGAACATAAATAAATTTGCAAAAAAAAAAAAAAAAAAACAAGCAACACCATCAAAAAGTGGGTGAAGGATATGAATGGACACTTTTCAAAAGAAGATATTTATGTGGCCAACAAACATATGAAAAAAGGTCATCGTCACTGATCATTAGAGAAATGCCAATCAAAACCACAGTGAGTTACCATCTCACACTAGTTAGAATGGCGATCATTCAAAAGCCAGGAAACAGCAGATGCTGGAGAGGATGTGGAGAAATAGGAATGCTCTTACACTGTTGGTAGGAGTGTAAATTAGTTCAACCATTGTGGAAGACAGTGTGGTCATTCCTCAAAGATCTAAAACTAGAAATATCTTTTCAGCCAGCAGTCCCATTACTGGGTATATACCCAAAGGGTTATAAATCATTCTACTATAAAGACACATGTACACCTGTGTTTATTGTGGCACTATTCACAATAGCAAAGACTTGGAACCAACCCAAATGCCCATCAATATTAGACTGGATAAAGAAAATGTGGCACATATACACCACAGAATACTATGCAGCCATAAAGAAGAATGAGTTCATGCCCTTTGCAGGGACATGGATGAAGCTGGAAACCATCATTCTCAGCAAACTAACACAGGAACAGAAAACCAAACATCACATGTTCACACTCATAAGTGGGAGTTGAACAATGATAACATATGGGCACAGGAAAGGGAACATCACACACTGGGGCCTGTCAGGGAGTGGGGGGCAAAGGGAGGGATAGCATTAGGAGAAATACTAATGTAGATGACAGGTTGATGGGTGAAGCCAACCACCATGGCACATGTATACCTGTGTAACAAACCTGCACGTTCTGCACATGTCTCCCAGAACTTAAAGTAGAATTTTAATAAAAGAAAGAAAGAATGAATGAGAACAAAATGTAAGGGGAAACCCTATAGAAAATATCAGATTTTATGAGACTTATTTACTATTATGATAACAGTACAGGGGAAACCCTCCATGATTCAATTATCTTCCACTGGGTTCCTTCCACAACATATGGGAATTATGGGAGCTACAAATCAAGATGAGATTTGGGTGGGGACACAGCCAAGCCATATCACACACCATGCTTTGAAAATTTCTGTGAGAAATCAGCCTGTCTAGAGATTACACTGCCTTATTATCTTAATGTTTTTATTAGAAATCTGATGGGGAAGAGGGTTGGAAATACAACCCTGATTCTCACTGTACTCAATGAGAAAAGTAAGGTTGCATTGAATGGTATCACAAGCCATCATTTTTACCCAGAAGAGGTTATAACAGTTTCATAATACTGGCTCCCTTAAAATAATCATGTCCATAGAACTAGATAGTCTGTCCTGAGTAATTCTTACTATTTTTTGTTGTAGTTTGTTTTTGCTTTTTAATATGAAATATTTCACACATACAGGAGAATAAAAATTAAAAATGTAAATAATAATAATTAATAAAACCTTGGTATCCACAGCGTGGGTTAAGGCAAGGACCATTACCAGTTTTCAGATTCTGTGTGACCTTAGCCACTCCTTATCCCATACACAGAGAAGAAAACTATTCAGATCATTGTACTTATCTTTTCCATGCATTTCTTTATTGTTTACCACATAAGTGTAATTAAAATTTATTAATTTGCTTTGCACATTTTTGAACTTTAATAGAATCATATTTATGTCATATTTTGACACTTTTTCTTTTGGTTAAAATTTTATTATAGATTTTTCCATGTTAATCTGTGTAGTTGTAGTTCACTCATTTCACTGCTGTGCATTATTCTTTCATATAAATATACTGTATTAGTCTGTTCTCACTCTTCTAATAAAGACATACCCAACACTGGGTAATTTATAAAGAAAAGAGGTTTAATGGACTCACAGCTCCACATGGCTGGGGAGCCCTCATGATCATGGCGGAAGACAAGGGAGAAGCAAAAACATGTCTTACATGGTGGCAGGAAAGAGAGCTTGTGCAGGGGAACTCCCAGTTATAAAACCATCAGATCTCATGACACTTATTCACTACCATGAGAACAGTATGGGGGAAACTGCCCCCATGATTCAATTATCTCCACCTGCCCCACCCCTCTGACCCTTGACACACAGGAATTATTATAATTCAAGGTATTTAGGTGGGAACACAGCCAATCCATATTGTATACCACAACTTATTTACCCATTCTTCTGCTGATGGCCATTTATAGTGTAGCATTTGGGGTATTTGTAGTATTTTACTTAAAAAAAAAAACTGCTATGAGTATTTGCATACTTGTCTCCTAAAATATACATGTAAATGTTTTGGGTTTTTCATGTGAGAGAAAATTTCTGGGTAATCAATTGTGTACATCTTAAAATGTAATAGATAATGCCTAATTACCTAGATGGTAGTGAAAATATACAATCTCAAAAATAATAAAACTTGTACTACAGCCTTCAAATACTTGGTATTGTCAGACTTAAACATTTCTGCCAATCATGTCAAGCAAAATTATATTTCATTATAGTTTTAATTTGCATTTTTCTGATTATTAGATTACAATCATTTCATAGATTTGATACCATTCGTATTAACTCTTCTTTGAAAACCAGTTCAATAATATTTTCTAATTTTCTGTTGAGTCATTTGTCTTTTTTTCTATTATATTTTTAGGATTTACTTACATAATCTGGGTACTAAATCCTTTGTCAATTCTAAGTGTTTCAAATAGCTCTGCTTATGGCTTGTCTTTTTATTTCCTTTATAAGGTCTTTTGATGGAAAAGTGTTTATTTTAATGTCAAAGTTCTATAGTGTATTCATACCACACACATATACACCATGGAACACTATGCACGCATAAAAAGAATGGAATAATGTCTTTTGCAGCAACATGGATGCAGTTAGGGGCCATCATCCTGAATAAATTAACAAAGAAACACAAAGCTAAATACCACAGGTTCTCACTTATAAATAGGAGCTAAACGTTGAGCACACACAGACATAAATATGGGAAAAATAGACACTGCAAACTACTAGAAGTGGGAGATAGGGAGGACAACATGAGTTGAAAAAAATTCCACCTATCAGGTACTATGCTCACTATCTGGGTATCTCTTTAATCTTTCTCCTCCACCATTCTTCATGTGAATTGCCCTTTTAAGGTCATTTCATGATGCAAAATGGCTCGTGCATTTCTAGTCTTCACAGCAACTGTTCAGGAAACAAGAAGGAGGAAGTTGGGGGTAGGGATATGGGGGAAAATCAGTTTCTATTAAGAGGCCTTCTCAGGCTAATATCCAGAATCTACAATGAACTCAAACAAATTTACAAGAAAAAAACAAACAACCCCATCAAAAAGTGGGCGAAGGACGTGAACAGACAATTCTCAAAAGAAGACATTTATGCAGCCAAAAAGCACATGAAAAAATGCTCACTATCACTGGCCATCAGAGAAATGCAAATCAAAACCACAATGAGATACCATCTCACACCAGTTAGAATGGCAATCATTAAGAAGTCAGGAAACAACAGATGCTGGAGAGCATGTGGAGAAATAGGAACACTTTTACACTGTTGGTGGGACTGTAAACTAGTTCAACCATTGTGGAAGTCAGTGTGGCGATTCCTCAGGGATCTAGAACTAGAAATACCATTTGACCCAGCCATCCCATTACTGGGTATATACCCAAAGGACTATAAATCATGCTGCTATAAAGACACATGCACACGTATGTTTATTGCGGCACTATTCACAATAGTAAAGACTTGGAACCAACCCAAATGTCCAACAATGATAGACTGGATGAAGAAAATGTGGCACATATACACCATGGAATACTATGCAGCCATAAAAAATGATGAGTTCATGTCCTTTGTAGGGACATGGATGAAATTGGAAATCATCATTCTCAGTAAGCTATCGCAAGAACAAAAAACCAAACACCGCATATTCTCACTCATAGGTGGGAATTGAACAATGAGAACACATGGACACAGGAAGGGGAACATCACACTCTGGGGACTGTTGTGGGGTGGGGGAGGGGGGAGGGATAGCATTGGGAGATATACCTAATGCTAGATGATGAGTTAGTGGGTGCAGTGCACCAGCATGTCACATGTATACATATGTAACTAACCTGCACATTGTGCACATGTACCCTAAAACTTAAAGTATAATAATAAAAAAAAGAGGCCTTCTCAAAGAGCTTGCAAAACCCTCATGTTTCATGAGTAATCAGCTACAAGTGAAGTTAAAAAATGTGGGGTCTTCTTATAGTTTACACAGATATCCCATCAAAATTGAGATTATTTAACTAAAATAGAAGCGAATATTGGAAAGTAAATAGGGAAATAGCAGTCTCTGCCTTTATCAGGTTAAAGAAGTTCCAATCAATCCTTGGTTAGCTAATAGTTTTTTTTAAATCATGAATATTTATTAACTTTATTAAATGCTTTGCTGCATCTATTCAGATTATCATATTTTTTCTTCAATCTGTTAATTTTATAAATCAAATACATTGATTTTCTAATTTAAATGTACTTTGTATACCCAGCATAAACTCATTTTGATCGTGATATATCTTTGCTGTATGTTGTTGGAATTGACTTGCTAATATTTCATTTATGATTTCTTTTACACCTATTAATGAATGAGATCAATTTGCAGGTTTCCTTTTTCATTTTTCCCTTGCTGGTTTTGGGTATCAAGTTTATACTATTCATAAAATTAATTAGAGGGAGTTACTTCTTGTGTAAGGTTCAAGTTATCTCTACCTTGAAACTTTGGTAGAATTTTCTAGTAAAACCAGTCTTGTCCTGTGATTTCTTTTGTAAGAAGATTTGTATTTTTGGTTTTCTGAAATTATCAAAATTTCTGTTTCTTTCTGTCTTTTTAATTTTAACATAAAAACTCTTCTCAAATCATTTTATTTTTCTAAACAGTTATGTGATTTGCTTACAAGGATCAAGAAAATGTGTGTGTCTCATAACCCATCTGTTGTGGTAGTTAATCTTTTTTTTCCTAGAGAAAAAATCTAAAAACATCTCAGTAAGATCAGTTCTTAGTAATCCTAGGAACAAGGAGAACAGGGACTGAAAGTATATAATAAGCTGTACTCTAACTGGCAGACAGAACTTGACATAAGTCCATCCCTAAGCCTCATGTCTAGATTATCTGGATTCATGAGCTCAATGAACTGAAGACTGCCTCTTCCCTCATGTGTGACCTAGCTCGAGTATTGCCTTCTGCTCTAGTCTCTATATTTGATTCCCACAGCTGGAGTCAAGCAGTGAGCTCACATCTACTTTGTAATGATGTTTTCTTTTCCTAGAATATGGCCTCTGTACATGTCTTTACATCCCAACCACCTGGACCACTACCCTTTTATATTCTTTCTCTTAAAACCCCAATTCATATATCATTTCTCCTGGGAAAGTTTCCAGAATGTAAACAGAGTTGTATTGTCTGTATTTCATGTCATTTCTGTATCTATTACTTTTCCCTCCACTCCATTTATTACACATACTATTTTAAAAACTTTTTACTGTAATATAATATACATCAGAAATATATATATATCAAAAGTACACAGATTTATAAATTTTCAAAGATATTGCATTTTATATTTTTGTATCTTGGCCTCTCCCATTATACTGTGAGCTAACCAGTGGTTCTCTATAACATTTCTAGGACTTACCACACAGTGGCTGGAACAAATATTAAACAAATGATAGATACTCATTTTTTCTCATTTACATTTTTGGTTTCTAGTTACTGACTATACAGCAATTTATTCATTTCTCTTAACACTGTGAAGTTGCTGCTATTATTGCCATTTTTCTGAGGAGAAAACATTATATGTTTCTTGCTTAAAATAACAAGTGGGAGATTGAATTGTTGGCCCCAGCACATCTTCCTTCTCACAAACAAGCCTGTTGCCATGTACTTTTGCAGTTTTTCCTACCACCATGGGTAGAATCTTTTTCTCTAATCCTTGACTGTGGGCTCAGCCATGTAACTTGTTTTGGCCAATTGAAGATTAGCAGATGTGATGTAAGCAGAGATTTGTAAAGTGCATTTATTGTCAAGCACTCTTGTGCCTCTGCCATTACTGAGAAAAGAGCTCTCCCTGTGCGGCTGTTGCTCCTCAGGCTGAGTACTAGAATGAGCAACATAAAGTAGAATTTAGCCAACCTAACCCAGCCTGAGTCAGCTGACCTACTGACCTGAGTGAGGCAATTGAGCACAACAGAGATGCCTCAATCAACCCAAAGTTTGAGATAGTTGCATATCAATGAGAGTACTGTTTATCGTTATGTATCACTGACTCACTAATTTAGCCAATGTTAACAGATTTGGCTGACACTCAGATCACGTTTTTAAGCAAAATACAATTCTCTCTTCTTTGATACATTTTCCAATCAAGTGTTTAGGCCTCCTCTTCATGCATCTTCTAGTTCCTGATTCAGTACAAAAAGTCTTTTAAAATACAAAGAAATCTATTTACCCTTCGTTTATTTTTTTCTCTCCTTCCTTCCGAATTCTTCCTTCTTTCCTTCCTTCTTCCTTCCCTCCATCTCTTCCTTTTTCTCACCTTTCTCATGCATATTGTAGTACTATCTGTCTAGGTATTCTATTTCATTTACTATAATGTGAGTAGTTTATCATCAATATTCTGCACACTTTATATAATTTTTTTGTCTTCTCCTTTGAGTAAATATTGAAGCATGAGGATTATTCTGTACCCAATTTTCCATAGCTTGGGATGGCCTTAGAAGAAGAGCTAACCATAGTCTTTGTTGATGGTCCTAGGTCTTTTGCATTGTGTTCAAAGTCTTGTATTTGGGTTCACTCCTCTCAGACAGCAAAGCTACCTATTTCCTTGGGGATATGGCTTTGGGTTTTGGAACATTTTTTCTATTCATCATGAAAACCTGAAAAATACTGATTTCTGGAAATTTTTGTTGCCAGCATTGAGAGTCTATAGTAGAAGGCTGGTGCTTCCAGACTCCAGTGACTTTTCATTTCTCTTCTCTAACCTGCCTGCTCTCACTCTCAGTTGCTTTTTCTCCTAATTGGTAGAAATAATTCTTGGGATTTATTTTACTCATGTTCTTTCCACATTATTGGTTCTCAAAACCAGAGAAGGCTTAGGAAATATACAAAGCAAGCTAGACATTTCCATTTAATTTTTATGTCACTACTTTTTGTAATGGATGAAATTAATATTCTTATTTAGTTGCCATTGTTAAATTAAGTTCCTGTTTTTATTTCTTTTTGTTCATATCATTATGTATTTTAGGGAGACACATTTCTCTTTTCTAAGGTACTGGCCACAGCCACCACTGTGTTATCGACACTGAGTCTTTAGCCTTTTCTTTATGCTTAGTTGATAAAGTTCAGCAGCCATTTGCAAGATTTTCTTTTTCTTCTTTGTCTATAATTTTACATTTCCAATTTATTTAGTTTTAAGACATCATAATGTTACTAAGACATGGTTCATATACCATACCTTTAAATCTATCCAACTGAATTATATAATTCATCAGTTTTTAGTGTATTCAGTTGTGTAACCACCAGTCCAATTAATTTTAGAACATTTTCATCACCCACAAAAGAAAATCCATACCTATTATCAATCACTTCGCATTTTTCCTCCAACACTCCAGCCCTAGGCAACAAATGATTTAATTTCTGTTTCTGTACACAAGCCTATTCTGGACATTTCAAATTAATGGTATCATACAACATATGGTATTTTGTGACTAGGTTATTTCATTTAGCATGATGTTTTCAGGGTTTATCTATATTGTAGTATGCATCCATTTTTTATTGCTTTTCTTAAAAAAATTTTTTTCAGAGCAGTTTTAGGTTCACAGCCAAATTGAGAAGAAGAAACAGATATACCACATACCCTCTGTACCCACACACACATCGCTTCCCCCACTATCAGTATCTCTTAGCAGAGGGGTACATTCGTTACAACTGATGAACCTACAGTGACACATCATTATCATTCAAACTCCATAGTTTATTTTGAGGTTCACTCTTGGTGGTGTACATTCTACGAGTTTGGACAAATGTAAATGGCATGTATTCACCATATAGAGTTTTACAAAATGATCTCTCTGCCCTAAAAATTCCCTGTGCTTCTTCTATACATTTGATCTTCTTACTGTCTCCATATTTTTTTCTTATCCAGAATGTTGTATAGTTGGAGTCATACAGTATGTGCCCTTTTCAGATTGTCTTATTTGACTTTATAATATGCACTTAAGTTTTCTCCCTATCTTTTCATGGTTTGATAGCTTCTTGCTTTTTAGCACTGAATAATATTCTATTGTCTGGATGTACCACAGTGTACCTATCCATTCATCTACTGAAGGACATCTTGTCTGCTTCCAAGTTTTGGTAAATATGAATAAAGCTGCTATAAACATCCATGGGCAGGTTTTTGAAGACAAAATATATGAACTCCTTTGTGTAAGTACCAAGGAATGCAATCGTTGGAATATACGTTAATAATATGTTTAGTTTTATATGAGACTGTCAAACTATCTTCCAAAGTGGTTGTATCATTTTGCATTCCTACTAGCAATGAATGAGAGTTCCTGTTGCTCCATATACACACCAGGATATGGTGCTGTCTGTTTTGGATGTTGGCCATTCAAATACGTGTATAGTAGTATCTCATGGTTGTTTTAATTTGCAATTCCCTAACGACACATGATGTTAAACAATTTTTTGTATGCTTATTTATCACCTGCATAAATTCTTAGGTCAGGTGTTTGGCTCATTCACATCTTTGGCTCATTTTATTTTATTTTATTTTTTTATTGTTGAGTTACAAGAGTTCTCTGTATGTTTTTAAGAATCCCTTACAAGATATGTCTTCTAAACATATTTTCTTCCAGTTTGAGGGTAATCTTCTCATTCTCTTGGGGGTGTTTTTTGCAAATCAGAAGTTTTAAATTTTAATGAGGCCCAGATTGTCAATTCCTTTTTTCATGGACCATGACTTTGAGGTCATATCTAAAAAGTCATTGCCACACACAAGGCCATCTAGATTTTCTCCTATATTATCTTGCAAGAGTTTTGTAGCTTTGTGTTTTACATGGAGGTCTGTGATTTATTTTGAGTTAGTTTTTCTGAAGGGTGTAGGGCTTGTGTTTAGATGCCTTTTTTTTTTTTTTTTGCATGTTGACACCCAGTAGTATCAGAATCATTTGTTGAAAGGCTTTCTTTTCTTCATGGTATTGACTTTGCTCCCTTGTCAAAGATCACTTGACTATACTGATGTAGGTCTGTTTCTGAGTTTTCTATTCTGTTCCGTTGATCTATCTGTGTATACTTTTACCAATACTACAGTGTCTTGATTACTGGAGTTTTATGTCTTGCATTTGGCTAGTGTCAGGCCTCCACCTTTGTTCTTCTCTTTCAATATTGTTTTGGCTACTCTTGGATTTTTGCCTCTCCACTTTATAATCAGCTTTTGGTTTTCACAAAATATCTTGCTAGGAGTTTGATGGAGACTGCACTGAATCTATAGTTGGAAAGAATTGACATTTTGACAATTTTGAGTCTTCCTATTCATGAATATGGAAACTTTCCCCTACTTATTTAGTTATTCCAATTGTTTTGTCAGAGTTTTGTAGTTTTTCTCATATGGATCTTGTACATATTTTGTTAGAATTATCCTTAAATATTTCCTTTTGGGGGGTGCTAATGTAAATAATATTGTGGTTTTAATTTAAAATTCCATTTGTTTATTGCTGGTATATAGTTTTCTTGTAATATTTCTGTATGGTTTTTTGCTTTAGGGCAATACATAGAATGAGTTAGGAAGTATTTCCTTTGCTTCTATCTTTTGGAAAAGATAGTAGAGAATTGATGTCATTTCTTTCTTAGCTGTTTGGTAGAATTTACTAGTTAATCCATGTGGGCCTGATGCTTTCTGTTTTGAAAGTATATTGTTTAGTGATTCAATTTCTTTAACATATGTAGGCCTATTCAGATTTTCCTTTTTTATGTGTGAGTTTTGGCAGATTTTGTCTTTCAAGGAATTCGTCCATTTCATCTTGGTTATCAAATTTTGGGGCATTGAGTTGTTCATATTATTGCTTTACTATTCGTTTAATGTTCATAGAATCTGTAGTGATGTTCCTTCTTTCATTTCTTATTTTAATAATTTCTGTTCTTTCTATTTTTTCTTAGATACACTGGTTAAAACCTTATTCATTTTATTGATCTTTTCAGAGAAGCAAGTTTAGGTTTCATTTATTTTCTTTATTGATTTCCTGTTTTCAATTTCATTGATTCCTACTCTAATTTTTATTTCTTTTCTTCTGCTTACATTGGATTTAATTTGTTCTTCTTCTCTGGTTTCCTAAAGCGGAAGTTTAGGTGATTGATTTTACGTCTTTCTTTTTTATAATATATGCATTCAATGCTATACATTTCTTTCTAAGTACAGATTTCACAGCATCCCGTAAATTTTGATGTTGTATTTTCATTTTCCCTTAGTTCAAAGTATTTTTAAATTTATCTTGAGATTTCTTTTTTGACCCACTTATTATTTACAAGGATATTGTTTATTCTCTATGTATATGTGATTTTTCAATTTTTTTGTTGTTGATTTCTAATTGGATTCCATTGTGATCTGATAGCCGATATTGTATGATTTCTCTTCTATTCGCTTTTCCCTTCCATTTACTTGGTGCCCAACCCATTAATTTACTTTTAACTTAAATGTGCCTTTATATTTAAAGTAGGTTTCTTGTGGGTACTTATATGCTAAGGTGTAATTTGTGGCTTACAATGTAGTTTATCTTCAAGAATGTTCTATGTGAACTTGAGAAAAATGTGCATTCTGCTTTTGTTTGATGAGGTACTCCATAGATGTCAATTATATCCAGTTGAATAATGGTGCTATTGAGTTCAACTACATCTTACTGACATTCCGCCTGCTAGATCTGCCCGTTTTTGATAGAAAGATGTTGTTGTCTCCAACAACTGTAATAGTAGATTTATCTATTTCTTCTTGCAATTCTATCAGTTTTTGCCTCATGTATTTTGATGCTCTGTTGTAGGTGCATACATATTAAGGATTGTTATGTGTTCTTGGTGAACTGATAAAACTGATAATGAGTTTATCATTATGTAATGCCCCTCTTTATCTCTAATAACTTTAAAGCCTCCTTCGTCTGAGATTAACATAACCATTCCTGCTTTCTTTTAGTTAGTGTTAGCATGGTATCGCTTTTCCCTTCCATTTACCTTTTATTTTTATTTTTTTTCTTTTGAGACAGAGTCTATCTCTGTCGCCTATGCTGGAGTGCAGTGGCATGATCTCAGCCCACTGCAACCTCCATCTCCTGGGTTCAATTAGTTCTCTTGCCTCAGCTTTCCAAGTAGCTTGGATTACAGGCATGTGCCATGACACCCAGCTAATTTTTTGTATTTTCAGTTGAGATAGAGTTTCACTATGTTGGCCAGGCTGGTCTTGAACTTCTGGGCTCAAGTGATCCACCCGCCTTTGTATCCTAAAGTGCTGGGATTACAGGTGTGAGCTATGGTGCCCAACCCATTCATTTACTTTTAATTTAAATGTGCCTTTATATTTAAAGTAGGTTTCTTGTGGGTACTTACAGTTGGGACTTATTTTTTGATCCACTCTGACAATCTCTGTCTTTTAAGTGTTGCATTTAGACCATGGACATTCAAAATGATTATTGATATAATTGGATTAATATTTGGCACATTTATTGCTGTTTTATTTGTTCCCTTTTTCTTTGTTCTTATTTTTGTCTTCTTTCTGCTTTTTGTTATTTTAATTGAGAATTTTATATGATTGGATTTTTTCTCCATTCTTAGCATATCAGTTACATTCATTTATAATGTATGAATATCATTATCATGTATCAATATCATACAGCATTGTAATGTATCAATAAAACATATCAGTTACATTCATTTATAAACTTATTTTAGTGGTTTCCCTAGAGTGTGCAAATACATTTACAACTAATTCAAGCCCACTTTCAAGTAACACCGTACTGCTTCAAAGGCAGTGTGAGTACCTTATAACGAAATAATCCTCATTGCTGCTTCTCATCCTTTATCTCATTGTTATCATTTATTTCACTTATATATAAGTGTGTATAACACACATATATATATACACAAAATGGGATAGTTCCCTTGGCCCCTTCAGGAGTGGGACTTGTGAAGGGGCGGCTCATTTACTCAGCCTGCAGCTCTGAACCCCTCATGGGATGGGGAGCATGCAGGTGAGTAGGTGCAGGAGACAAAGCTAACAAATGCTGGAACCGGCTGATGGCTCCTCTCTGGTGGGAGGAGGCTCTGTGTAGGCCGCTTGGCAGCATCCTAGCACGTTACCATGCTCTTTTAGCACTGCCATCTGGAAGGGGGTGCCTGTGAGCCCCGGAGCCCCACAGGGTATGTTACCAGCCCAGTGAGCCTTTTGCCTCATTGTATGAGGCAGCTGCCCACTGCCAGCAAGGGCGAAGGGCCAATGTGACAGCCTTTTCTGGGTTCCCGCACCCAGTGCATCCCAAATTTTTGTCTGGTGCCCAAGAGGAATGAGGCCACACAGACTTGAAGGATGGTGAGTGTGGAGATTTTATTGAGTGGTAGAAGTGGCTCTCAGAGGGATGGGAGCTGGAAAGGGTATTGAGTGGGAAGGCAGTCTTGCCCTGGAGTTCAGCCTTCCCCAGCAGTCACTGACCATCCCTGGCAAACTCCTCTCTGACTGTAGTCTCCAATGTCCAGCTACTTCTTCTCTCGACATTCAGATGCTTCTCTCTTCTGTGTGTGTGTGAGCTGAGTCTGGGGTTTGGGGTTCTTATGGGCATAGGATAGGGGGCATGGTGAGCCAAAAGGCAACATTCAGGTGGGAAAACAAGGATGTGAAGCTCTCACTTAGGGCTGTGGGTTTAGGCTTGAGGGTGGAGCCCTCACCAGAGACCCTTCCCTTTTCTACCCAGTATTTCCCTGCCTCTTGTCTGTATCATATGCATACATAACTAATATGTTGTTTCTGTTTTTATTTTGAACAAACTATTATCTGTTAGGTCAATGAAGAATAGCAAAAATAAGTTTCTATTTTACTTGCATTTATTCCTTTTTTGATGCTCTTTCTTTATGTAGATATGAGTTTCTGACCTATATCACTTTCTTTCTCTCTAAAAATCTTTTTTTGTTTAACATTTCTTGCAGTGCAAGTTCATCAATATTTGTTTGTCTGCCAAAGTCTATTTCTCCTTCATTTTTGAAGGATAATTTCACAGGGTACAGAATTCTAGGTTGGTGGGTTTTTCTTTCCCCAATAATTCAAATATTTCACTCTACTTTCTTATTGCTTGCTTGGTCTCCAAAGAGAAATCAGATGTATTTCTTTTTTGTTTCTCTATAAAATTAGCTGTTTTTTAGTTTGGAACTTGCAAAAAAAATACTAAAAATAGAGTTATATGATTCAGCAATCCCGTTGCTAGGTCTATACCCCAAAGAAAAGAAATCAGTATATCAAACAGATATCTGCACACTCACGTTTATTGCAGCATTATTCACAATGGCTAAGCTTTGGAAGCAATGTACATGTTCATCAACAGACAAACAGGTAAATAAAATGTGGAGCATATTCACAGTTGAGTACTATTCAGCCATAATAATGAATGAGGTCTTGTCGTTTGCAACATGGATGGAACTGGAGGCCATTACTTTAAGCAAAATAAGCCAGGCACAGAAAGACAAACTTTTCATGTTCTCACTTATTTGTGAGAAATAAAATTAAAACGATTGAACTCATGGAGATAGAGAATAGAACAATGGTTACCAGATGCTAGAAAGTATAGTGACTAGGGGAAGAGACAATGGTTAATGTGCACAAAAATACAATTAGGTAGAATTAATAACATCTAGTATTTTATAGCACAACAGAGTGACTCCCGTCAACAATAATTTATTTTACATTTAAAAATAACTAAAAGAGTATAATTGGATTGTTTGTAACGTAAAGAAGGGATAAATGCTTCAGGTAATGAATACCCCATTTACCCTGATGTGATTATTGCACATTGTATGCCTGTATCAAGATATTTCATGTACCCCATAAATATATACACCTACTATATATCTACACACACACACACACACACAAACTAAAAGCAATAAAATTAGCTGTTTTATCCCCCTCTGGCTTCTTTCAGGATTTAGAAAAAAAATCTTTGATTTTCTGTAGTTTGAAAATGGCATGCTTAAGTGTAGTTTTTTGTTGTTGTTTGTTTGTTTTTGTCATTTATCTTCCTTGGTGTTCTGTGTACATCCTGAATCTGTGGTTTGGTGTCTGATATTAATCCGGAAAAATTCTCAGTTATTATTGTCTCAAATATTCTGTTGTTTTCCTTTTTCTTCTAGTATTTCCACTACATGTAAGTTATACTTTTTGTAGTTGTTCCACAGTTTGTGGATATTTTATTCTCCCTCTGTCCCCACCTCTCCACCCCGCCCAATCTTTGTCCTCTTTGCTTTCCAGATTTGAAAGTTTCTATTAATATAGTCTCAAGTTCAGAGACCTTTTTCTCCGCCATGTCTAGTCTACTAAAAAGCTCATCAAAGGCATTCTTTATTTTTGTTAGTGTTTTCTTGTGTCCAGCATTTTCTTTTGGTACTTTCTCAGAATTGCAATTTCTCTGCTTACATTGCCCATCTGTTCTTGCATGTAGTCTCCTTTACCCGTTAGTGCTCTTACCATATTAATAATGTTTTAAAATTTCCTGATAATCCTAAATTCCCTGCCATGTCTGGTTCTGATGCTTTCACTGTCTTTTCATAATGTTTTTTGCCTTTTAGTTTGCCTTGAATTTTTTCTTGATAGTCAAACCTAATGTATTGGATCAAAGCGACTGCTGTAAATAGGTCTTTAGTAATGTGGTGGTGAGGTGTGTGGGAAGGGAAGGATTATATAGTTCTACAAGTAGGTTTCAGTCTTTTAGTGAGTTTGTCTCTCTGGACTGTGAACTTTACACATGCTTCTCCATCCTTTCCCCAAACCTTAAGTGGAACAAAATGGCTAAAGTAGGCTTCAGTTGGGTATTTTTCTTCTCCCAAGTCAGCTGGGTTTTCCCTAGGAAATTAGGCTCTGTGGTTAACTGGTTTCTTTTGAGGACAGACCTTATTAAGAACAGGGTGCGCTTAATTCAGAATGGATCCTTTCCCTTCTCCCTTGCTGGAAGCATGGAAGTATTTCTTTCTGATGTTTTCTGTGAGAACCTGGTGATAAAACTCACAAACATGTCAGTACCCTCCTATGACTAGGTCCGCCTGAAGTTTTTAACTCTCAGACTTGTCCACAGTTAGCCTCCAGGAATTTGTCAATTATAGCTCAGGTTTTTCTACTTCAGCAATGATTCCTGGGGAGATTTGTTCTCTGGTATATGGAGAGTCTCTCTATCTGCCCGTATTTCCAGTTTGGGAGATAGCAGATTTACCCTGTGACTTTGCTTCTGTGAAGTATCTAAGTTGTTTCTATTTATTTATTTTTTAGTTTATTTAGCTTTTTACTTATTTTTACCTATTGTTTGGACAGAGTGGCAACTTCCAAGCATGCAGAACTGGAAACTGAACTTCATTTTGTTTTTAATCATATCTTTGAAATGGAAAATTAGCACTTGTCAACAAATTACAAATATAACACTTTCAAAATAGTTTATCAATGATTTTCAAAGTTTTTTTTGTAATTTAAAGACTTTGTATTGAAATTACTTTCCAAAATTTAAAACAGAACTTTTATTTGAGTTTCCACATTCCTCAAATATTAATAACTTGCTTGGGAAAAAATGGATTGTGTTTTCCTTTAAAATACATACGTAAACTGTTTTCAATGGTGATTACAAGAAAAACTATAATAAGGTTATTTTATATAATCTGGTATTACATTATAGTACAAAAACTAAAAAGAACTAAAATTTTATTGTTTTAAAGCTGGGATTCAAATCTGAATTTTGTCATTTACTAAATAAAAGTTTTTCCACATGCGTTTCCCTGGGTATTAGTTTCTGCATTTGAAAAATAAGAAGTATAGTACCCACATGAGTTAGGTCATGAATTGTTACAAGAATCAAACTGAATAATATATATGAAACTCCTCATAAATTTAAATTGATATATCAATTAAAGTTATTTATTTTCTCAGCACTAAATGAAGAACTCCAGAAACTCCTAAGAAAGTTTGACAATTGCATAGTTAAAAACAATTTGAAAGCAGCAAAGAGTCCATAACTTGAGCTAATATTCCTTCATTTCAAGCTGAGGTCTTTGGTAACCAAGTAATAATATGAATGTTGAGAAGGGTAACAATTGTGACACCCTCTGACCCTCCCTCTCCTCTTTCTCAACTTTAGTTTGGTAGACAATTTTTTAAAAAGAAGAAATAAATAAAGGAGTTAACCACCTGATAGTTCGGCCAAAAAATAATGGGAGAGCATTGTGTTCCACAGGAAGTTAATTAGTTTCACAAAATGACTCATGTAACAAAAAAAAGTCTTATTATTTTTGCTTTTGAGAGAGAAATGATTGATACCAGACCTTGATACTAGATTAAATTAGGACCTATCAGGTGAAACAGAATTGTTTTCTTCCTTAATTTTCTATGTATCTGAATCAAATTATTTCATTTAGTTTTCTTTCCCATTACTACTCACTAATTTATTATTGTTGTTGCTTGTTGTTGTTGTTGTTGTTGTTGTTAAGGCAATTTACCTAGATGAGCTAAAAGTATCCATGAGTCATCCAAGGTTTGAGGTTGTCTGTCTTGGACCCAGAATACTGGTTCCCAGTTGTAAGTCAAAGGAATTAAGATGGAAAATTATTACATTTTGCTGGCTCAGTCCTGGGAAAGCATTACACTTGGGCTTAGTCTCATTCTTGCTTCTTCTTTCCCTATGGATTCTTTTCAGATATCATGGGTCATTTAGTGAATAATGGTTGTAAGCCCAAACACAGAATCCAGACTAAGTTTGGGTTCAAATCCCTCCTCTTAATAAGCTACGTGATCTTAGGTAGATCACCTCATCTCTTTTGGCCTTGGTTTTCTCATAAATAAAATGGAGATATTTAAAATCCTCCTTCTTAGGTTTGCTAGGAATGCCACAGAAACTGCACATGTATACCTATGTAACAAACTGCATGTTTTGCACATGTATCCCAGAATTTAAAGTAAAATTTTTAAAAATCTAGCACATATTAAATGCTCATTATTGTTAGAATATTCTAGAATTTAAATTCAAGTGAAATCTTAAGACCATAATATCTTTGTTCTGAAAAACATTTGATTTCAGCTAGCCAGCTTCTCTGTCAATAAGACAGTGCTTCCCCAACACATGCAGGGCTGTTTGTTTTTCCTTTGGCCTCAGTGTCTTTTAAAATAAACCCATGTTTAAATCTAAAGCAAATCCAAACTAATTTAGCAATGGTGAATATTTCCTTGCTGAAAATAAGACTTACCTCACTCCTTAAGTCAAGCTGGAGTTTCCTGTGGATGCCAAATGCCGAAAGCCTGCTGAGAGAGCAGCATGTGATGAATCACCAGAAAAGATGAAAATGATCATACTCTGGAAACACATTTTGCTAACACAAAGACCACAGAGTCTCCTCTCTCCATACCATCAGGCTATTACCACTTCAACCTCAGGGCATTACAGTAAGACAGCAATGATGATAAACTCTGAACTTCTTTGGTAAGGGGTCAGAAGAAGGGAGGCCATGGGTCTGAAGATATTTTTATAATATTATCCTGTCCTTTGTATTACATACTTGTTTTTATTTCATGAAATTGTTCTTGGTCTGGTGTAAGGAACATGAGACTAACACTTACAGTGTGTTCTAGACCAGTGGATCTCAAAGTGTAGTTCCCAGATCAGCAGCAACAGCATCACCTGAGAATTTGTTTGAAATGCAATGCTTGGTTCCATCAAAGAATTACTGAATCAAGAACTCTGCTTGTGGGGCTTAGAAATCTGTGTTTTAATAACAGGTCCCCCAGGCGATTCTAATGCATGCTCAAATTTGAGAACCAATTACAAGAAGTTGGAGAACAAAGTCTCCTGTGCTGGCTCTGCAATTTGTTTCCCTGTGGCCTTGAGTTAGACCTCTTAGAACTTGAGCCCTCCCCTGTAAAAGATAAATGGAGATAATGGGCCACTGGCAAGGAGACAATATGTGAGGGTGCTTCATAAACTATGTGATAAATACATGTGTCATTTTATTTAAGTCTACTGATATAGGCTTCAGAAAATTATGTCAGAAGGGGATTAATCAGAAGATTTTTTTTTTGAAACTGAATGAATTTTTAATTAAAAAAAGATAAAATAGCCATAAACCTATTCTCAAAGCTTAGGGCTGCTTTCATGAGGAGACCAAACTAGATCAGTCAGAGCAACCCACAGGGGCAGTGGCCAGGGAGGTGGGAAGCAATCCCAGAATTGTGCCAAGGCGGGGGTTCCACTGGGGAAAAGGGAACAATGGTTTTTCCTCTCCCTTTTACAAGTAATTGTACTTCTTTGACTCACATTAGACTGCCTATTTCCTTGTAGTACAATGAAGATGAGAGATCGCTTGTGTTACCCCCAAGATCATAAAGCCACAGTCAAGAAAAGTTAGTTTGAGTAAAATACCTTCATAAAATTACAGCTAGCAAAAGGGAAGCCTGATCGTTTGGACCCCAGAAAAATATATTCTTTCTGTGCTCAAGAGAATACATTAGCATCTTCCTGAATCCTGATTGAAAAGACTCAAGCTCATTCTCTAGTCATTCAAAAAGGATGCAATTTTCCAGTGACAATAAGGGCTATTAAATGTCCCAGTTGGAAATGAGAATAATGTGTGGCTCAGCCAGCCAAATTCCAAATCAGTATTCTTCCTTAGCATCAATCAAATTGGTGATGCTGTCTATTTCTATATATTGCTTATGGGTTATTTATATGTGCCATTGGATTTTATAGAAATATTTAAAATATAATATCTACGTATGAAATGTCTTTGCTCTCAAGTGATATTTTCGAAGTCATAAGTAATAATGAACACAGAAATCTAAAGCTATTTTTTTATACAATGAAAATGCTCTTTGTAAGAATTACTAGCCCTTTTCGTTTCAAGCTCTTTCTTCCTGTAAGGTACCACAGACATACCGAAGACACTTTTTTCAAGGAAATGGAATATTAGGTTTCAAATGCCCAATATTAAGCTACATTTACCATGTGTACTAATCAAATTATGCATGTTCCTTGCGGGTTCAAGGAAAAAAACATCATATTATGGGGAGATTGTTGTGGTAGAGATCTTTTCCATGAGATAAGCATACCTGTTTCTGTGTCATTTACCAAGCCAACTTTACTATACAAAGGCTCCCATGAACGGGGTCTGTCAGCATACTTGGAAATTATGACTTAGAGAATGACGTTGAAGAGGAGCTGGCATTGCCCAAACCATGAATCTACCCCACATCCAGCTCTGAGTCAAAAATTAGTAAAAAAAAAAGCTCCCTGGCTTTGGACACTAGATTTAACATACCCTACTGCTACCAAAACCTGAGGTTAGAAGACTTCAAATTAATTTCTAGGTTTACCACCAATAGGTTGACTATGGTGTGCCCATTCATGGGAGTACAACAATTTCCCTTTAATACAAAATAGGATAAATACTCTAGTAAGATTATGTTACTATCTATACTGCTGTAGTCTGTTTTTTTGTTTTTTTGTTTGTTTGTTTGTTTTACTTTTAATAGACTTTATTTTAAAAGCCATTTTAGGCTTACAGCAAAATTAAGCAAAAGGCACAGTTTCCATATATTACTTGCCCCCCACACACCCACAGCCTCCTCCACTATCAACATCCCTTATCAGAATGGTACATTTGTTACACCTGATGAACCTACATTGCTATGTCATTACCATCCAAATTCCATAGTTTATACTAGGGTTCACTCTTGGTGTTCTATATTCCATGAGTTTAGACAGATGTATAATTACATGTATTTACCATTGTAGTAACACAGATTAGTTTCTATGTCCTAAAAAATCCTCTGTGCTTTTTCTATTCATTTCTCTCTTCCCTCAAGCCCTGGCAACCACTGATCTTTTTTTCACAGTCTCTATAGTTTTGCCTTTTCCACAACATCACGTAGTTGGAATCATACAGTATGTAGCCTATTCGCATTCTTTTCTTTCGCTTAGTAGTAATGCATTTAAAGTTACTCTCTGTCTTTCCGTGGTTGATAGCTGTATTAGGCCATTTTTGCATAACTATAAAGAAATATCTGAGACTGAGTAATGTTTAAAGAAGAGAGGTTTAATTGACTCACAGTTCTGCAGGCAGTACAGAAAGCACGGCACCAGCATTTGCTTCTGGTGAGGGCATCGGAAAGCTTCCAATCATGTTGGAAGGCAGATGGAGAGCAGGCATGTAACATGGCAGGAGCTGGAGCAAGAAAGAGGGAGCAAGAGAGAAAGTGAGAAGGTTCCACACCCTTTAAAATAACCAGATCTCATGTGAACACAGAGCAAGAACTCACTCGTGCACCAAGGGCATGGCACTAAGCCTTTCATGAGGGATCTACTCCCATGACCAAAACACTTTCCACTGGGTCCCACCTCCAATGCCAGGTATTACATTTTAACATGAAATTTGGAGACAACAAACATCCAAACCATATTACTTAGCCCCTCCCCACCTGCCGAATCACATGTACTTTTCATATTGCAAAATACAATAGTGCCTTCCCAACAGTCCCCAGAAGTCTTAAATTGTTCCAGTCCTGACTCAAAGATGGCAAGGTGCAAAGTCCAAAGTCTCATCTGGAGATGGAGTTCCTTCCAACTATGAGCCTATGAAATCAAAACTAAGTTATTTGTTTCCAAGATACAATAGCAGTACAGGCATTGAGTAGACATATCCATTCCAAAAGAAAGAAATTGGTCAAAAGAAGGGGACTATGGGCTTCATGCAAGACTAGAGCCCAGCAGGGCAGCCACTAAATCTTAAAATTTCAAAATAGTCTTCTTTGGCTTCATGTCCCACATCCAGTACATGGAGTGGTGCAAGGAGTGGGCTCCCGAGGTCTTGGACAGCTCTGCAGCTGTGACTTTGTAAGGTGCAGCACCCATGGGTGCTTTCATGAGTTGGAGCTGAGTTCCTACAGCTTTTCTAGGCTCAGGATGCAAGCTTCCTGTGGCCCTACCATTCTGGGGCCTGGAGGGTGGTGGCTCCCTTCAACACCTCCATGAGGCAACGCCCTTGTGGGGACTCTGTGTTGGAGCTCCAACCCCACATTTACCCTCTGCACTGCCCTGTGGAGATTCTCTGTAAAGGCTCTGCCCCTGTGGCAGGCTTCTTCCTGGGCACCCAGGCTTTCTCAAACAACCTTTAAAATCTAGGAGGAAGTTTCAAAGCCTCCTTCACACTTGCATTCTATATGCCTGCAGATTTAACACACAGTGGAACGTACCAAGACTTATGATATATGTCCACCAGAGTGGCAGCCTGAGCTGTACTTGTAGCTCTTTGAGCCACTGCTGGATCTGGAGCTGCCAGGATCTTGGGAGCCGTGTCCTGAGGCTGACCAGGGCAATGAGGCCCTGGGCCTGGCGCCTGTAATTATTCTTTCCTTCTCTGCCTTTGGACTTGTGATGAGAGCTGAGAGCATCTGTCTCTAAGATTTCTGAAATGCCTTCAAGGCCTTTTCCCCATTGTCCTGGATATTAGCACTTGGCTCCCTTTTAGTCATGCTAATCTCTCTAGTAAGTGGTTACTCTACAGCCTGCTTGGATTCTTTTCCTGCCATATGGCAAGGCTACAAATTTCCCAAACTTACACTTTACTTCCCTTTTACACTTTACTTCCCTTTTAAATATAAGTGCCAACTTTAGGTCATTTCTTTGCTTCCATATCTGATCATAGGTTGTTAAAAGTAGCCAGACCACCTCTTAAATGCTCTGCTGCTTAGAAATTTCTTCTGGCAGTTACCCTGAGTCATCACTCTTATGTTCAAGTATCCACAGATCCCTAGAACATGTGCACAATGCATCCAAGCTTTTTGCTAAGGCATAACATGGGTGACTTTTACTCCAGTTTCCAATAACTTCTTCATTTCCATCTAAGACCTGTTCAGCCTGGACTTCACTGTCCATATTTCTATTAGCATTTTGATCACAACCATTTAACCAGTTTCTAAGAAGTTCCGAATTTTCCCTCATTTTCCTGTCCTCTTCTGAGCCCTCCAAACTCTTTCAGCCTCTGCCTGTTACCAAGTTCCAAACCTGCTTTCACATTTTCACTTCTCTTTAGAGCAATGCCCCACTCCTCAGGACCAATATTCTGTACTAGACCATTTTTGCATTACTATAAAGGAATTCCTGAGGTTAGGTAACTTATGAAGAAAAGAAGTTTAATTGGCTCATGGTTCTGCAGGCTGTACAAGAAGCATGGTGCCAGCATCTGTTTCTGATGAGGAAATTTACAGTCATAGAAGCTTACAGTTACTGCAGGAAGGTGAAAGGGGAGCAGACACATCACATGGTGCGTTAGGCCATTCTTGCATTGCTACGTTGGAGACTGCATAATTTATGAAGAAAAGTGATTTAATTGATTCACAGTTTTGCAGGCTATACAGGAATCATGACATGAGGTATCTGCTTATAAGGACTCAGGAAGCTTACACTCATGGCAGAAGGCAAAGGGGGAGCTGGCATGTCACATGGCAAAAGCAGGAGCAAGAGAGTGAGGGGAGGGGAGTTGCCACACACATTAAAATGACTAGATCTCATGAGAACTTACTTCATTCATGGGAACTCTGCCCTCATAATCCAGTCACCTCCCACCAGGCCCCACCCCCAACATTGGGAATTGCATTTCAACATGAGACTTGGGCAGGGTTAGATAGTGAAACTATTACATGGCGAGAGCTAAACCAAGAGAGAGGGAGCAAGAGAGAGAAGAGGATGTGCCACATACTTTTAAACAACCAGATCTCACATGAACATAGAGCAAGAACTCACTCATCACCAAGGGGGTAGTGCTAAGCCATTCAAAAGAGATCTGCCCTACGATTCAAACACCCACCACAGGCCCCACCTCTAATACTGGAGATTATATTTAAATATGCAATTTATAGTGGACAAACATCCAAACCATATCAATAACTCCTTTCTTTTTTAACACTGAATAATTCCATTGTTGCATATACCACAGTTTATTAATCCATTTGCCTACTGAAGGACATTTTGGTTGCTTTTGTGTTGTAGCTATTATGAATAAAGCTGCTATAAACACTTATGCACAGGTTTTCATATGAATATAAATATTCAAATCATTGAGTAAATACCAAGGAACACAATTGTTGAACTATATGTTAAGAATATGTTTAGTTTTGTAAAAACTGCCAAACTGTCTTTCAAAGTGGTTGTACCATTTTTCATTTTCAAAATGGTTGTGCCATTTTTCATTTTCACCAGCAATGAATGAGAGCTTTTGTTACTGCAAATCCTCACCAGCATTTTGTGTTATCTATGTTGTGATTTTGGTCATTCTAACAGGTGTGTAGTGGTATCTCATTGTTTTAATTTGCAATTTCCTAATGACATATGATGTCAAGCATTTTTTTGTGCTTATTTGTCATCAGTTTATCTTCATTGGTAAGAAGTCTGTTTCATATCTTTTGTCCATTTTTAATTGTGTTGTTCATTTTCTTATTGAGTTTTAATTGTACTTCATATATTTTCAATAACAGTCATTTATCAGATACATCTTTTGCAAATACTTTCTCCCAGTCTGTTGCTTGTCTTCTCATTGTTTTGATAGTGTTTTTTACACAATATAAGTTTTTAATTTTAATGGAGTTTCACTTACCAATTCTTTCTTTCACAGGTCATACTTTTGGCATTGGATCTAACATATTAGCTTTATACCCAAGGACACGTATATTTTCTCAGATGTTATCTTCTAAGAGTTGTATAATTTTGTGTTCTACATTTAGGATAATTATTTACTTTGTTAATTTTTGTGAAAAGTGTAAGGTCTGGATCTACATTCATTATTTTGCATATAGATATCTAGTTGTTGCAAGACCATTTGTTGAAAGACAATTTTTTTCCATTGTACTGCCTTTGCTACTTTGTCAAACATCACTTAACTATATTTGTCTATTGATGAATTATTCTGTTCTATTGGTTGATCTATGTATACCCTTGCCAGTACTACAGTGTCCTGGATACTGTAGCTTTACAGTATTAGTTGAGGTCAGGTTGTATTAGTCCTCTGACTTTGTTCTTTATGCTGGCTCCTCTGCATCTTTTGCCTCTCCATATAAACTTTAGAATGTTTGTCAATATCCACAAAATAACTTTTTCTGGGATTTCAATTCAGATTGTAGTGAATGTATAGATCAGGTTGGGAAGAGCTGATGACATCTTCACAATATTGAATCTTTCTGTCCATGACCATGGAATCTCTCTCCATTTATTTAGTTTTTATTTTCTGTTTTTTTTTAATCAGTAGTTTTCCTCATATAGGTCTTGTACATATTTTGTTAAGCTTATGCCTAATAATTTAATTTCTTTAGTGTTAATGTAAATGATATTGTGTTTTTTATTTAAAATTCCACTTGTTCATTGCTAGCATATAGGAAAGTCATTGACTTTTGTACATTAACCTTGCATCCTGCAACTGTGCTATAATTTCTTATCACCTCCAGGAATTTTGTCCATTCTTTCAAATTTTATACATACACAATCATGTCATTGAACACAGTTATATCTTTTTCTTCCCAATCCGTATACTTTTTACTTTATTGCTTGTCTGATTGCATCAACTAGGACTTCTAGTACAATGGTAAAATAAGTAGCAAGAGAAGGCATTTTCTAATTTCTTATTAGTAGGTATAATGTAACCAGTAGGTTTAGGGTAGATGTTATTTTTCAAGGTTAGGGAGTTCTGCTCTATTTACCGTTTGCTGATAGTTTTTTTAATGTAATAAAATATTTTAATTAATAAAGTGTTCTAAATTGAAGAAAATAAATCTTCTCACAGTTTGAGCTCAAATCTATGTTTCTAAACTTGCTTGGAATGTACTAGCTCTCTGATTGGTCTGCTTTCGTCTTAAAATTTTATAGGATCCAGTTCAGGTATTGTCTTTCCCTAAAGCTTTTCTTGATCACCTTAGCCCAAACTGGCCTTTTCCTCCCCTAAACACAGTGACATATTTTTAATTGACATGTTGTAATTGTACACATTTATTGTATACATAGTGATGTTTTGACACGATGTATAGTAATCAAATTAGGTAAGCATGCTGAGTTTTTTTTTTAAATTATGAATAGGTGTTGAATTTTGCCAAATATCTTTTCTGCATCTTTTGATAGTTATGTGATTTTTCTTTTATAGGCTGTTGATGTGATTAATTATATTAATTGATTTTAAAATGTAGAACCAGCCTTGCATACCTGGAATAAATGCCATTTGGTAATGAGGTATAATTATTTTTATACATTGTTGGATTCAATTTTTAAATTTTTTGTCAAGGATTTTTCATGTATGTTCATGAGATATATTGATCTGCAATTTTCTTTACTTGTAGTATCTTTGTCTGGTTTTGGTAAAATGGTAATGCTGGCCTTTTTATGTCCCTTGCTTTACTAGCTTACTATCATTCTACACAACTGACCTAAATTTATTTGTTTAAAAGTTTTCTTCAGACTTGTCTTGTCTTTTAACCGTGATCATTGGTTTATTTCCTCAAAGAGGAGAATTGTCATTTACTGATGTCAAATAAGGCAATACAGAGTGTTAAGTCTACCCATATTTTGATTTTTGAGTCATACCTTTAACAGGACTTAATCCAATCCCAAGAGGAAATTCTTTTCCTTAATTAGGGAACTGTGCATGGAGCAAATAATGAATCACTCAGAGATATGGAGTACATCCAGTTTATGACTCAAATTCTCTGTAATTGAATTATATTTTACCACTACATAATTATGTATTCCATACTGGTCTTTAGGGAAAAAACAGAATGTTATTCCCCTACCACAACCATTTAGGAAAAAAAAAAAAACAATTTAACAGAATTTTTCAAATATGTATCCTTACATTATAAAATTAATTATAGAGTATAATACAATATTTTAAATATCTGAATAGACATATAAGGTTATTCTAGACATATTCAATACATCAAAATTATTGAAAGCAGGTCAGGATTTGTAATCACATTATATGGTTCAGTTCATAAGTACCATATCCACTTTCAAAAAAGGACTTTGCTTCTTATCCCAGTATATGGCTTGTTTGCATAGAACACAACCAAATAAATAATGTACCCAAAATATGATCAATCAAATTATATTTGTATTATATTAATTCTGAGTTTACTTTACAAAGCATATAAATAATACTAAGTGTGAGAAAGGGAATTCTGTTGACTGGATGTGGCAGATTACATTTTCCAATGATCACCACATTCTCTCCCAAAGCACATGGGCTTCATACAATGTGACTCTAATATTCCTCCAATATTAGAAGGGAGATTTATATTCTCTCCCCTTGAATCTGGGCAAATTTGTGACTACAGTAGATGTGATACAATGTGAAATCTGAGACAAATTTATGAAAGTTGACAGCTTCCAACTGGCTATCTTTCAGGGCATTTTCTCTTGGCATCCAGCCACCATGCTACACAGAAGCAGAGATCACATGGAGACAATGCATATGCAGGTGTTTTATTTGACAGCCCCAGCTTAGGTCTCAGCCAACAGCCAAAATCACTGCCTGGCATTTGGATGAGAAGACGATTTTAGCCTCAAACATTGAGATGCCCCTCAAAGCCTTCCTAGAGTATGCTCCAGACATGATGGAGCAGGGACAAATTGTGCCTCATGTTTTTTTCTGAATTTCCAACCCCATTGCCCATGGGATGCCAGGAATATATCTGTCTTTCTGGACTCTGTTAGATGTTGTATTACTCAAGAAAGTCTGGCAATGAGTATCTGTTGCTTTTCCAGGCACATGGTGCAAGCTGTCACTGGCTGCTGGGGTCTGTAGGATGGTGGCCCTCTTCTCACAGCTACACTAGGCAGCGCCCCAGCAGGGACTTTGTGTGTGGCTCCAACTCCACATTTCCTATCTGCACTGACCTAGTAGAGGTCCTCCATGAGGTCTCCGCCCCTGCTGCAGACATCTTCCTGGACATCCAGGTGTTTTCATACATCCTCTGAAATCTAGGTGGAGGCTCCCAAATTCTTGCCTTCTGTGCAGTGGCAGGTCAAACACTGTGTGGAAGCTGCCAAGGCTTGGGGCTTGCACCCTCGGAAGCCATGGCCTGGGCTGCACCGTGGCCCCTTTTTAGCCATGGCTGGAGCTGGAGTGGCTGGGACACAAGGTTCCCTGTGTCAAGGCTGCACAAAACAGGGGTGCCTTGGGCCCAACCCATTAAATTACATTTCCCTCCTAGGCCTCAGGGCCTATGATGGGAAGGTCTGCTGCAAAGGTCTTCAACATGCTCTGGAGATATTTTCCCCATTGTCTTGGCAATTAACATTTGTCTTCTCTTTACTTATGCAAAATTTCTGCAGCCATCAGCTTGAATTTCTCCCCAGAAAATGGGTTTTTCTTTTCTACCACATGGTCAGGATACAAATATTCCAAACTTTTACACTTTGCTTCCCTTGAAAACACAAGTTCCAATTTCACACCATCTATTTGTGAATGCATATAACTGTGTGAAGTTAGGAACAGCCAGGTTAATTTTGAATACTTTGCATCTTAGAAATTTCTTCTGCCAGATACCCTAAATCATTTCTCTCAAGTTCAAAGTTCCATAGATCTGTAGGGCAGGGGCAAAATGCTGCCAGTCTCTTTGCTAAAGCATAGCAACAGTGACCTTTACTCCAGTTCCCAATAAGTTCCTCATCTCCATCTGTGGCCACCTCAGCCTGGACTTCATTGTTCACATTACTCTCAGCATTTTGATCAAAACCATTCAACAAGTTTCTAGGAAGTTTCGAGCTTTCCCACGTCTCCCTGTCTTCCTCTGAGCCCTCCAAAATTTTCCAACCTCTGCCTGTTACCCAGTTCCAAATTTGTGTCCACATTTTCAGGTGACTTTATAAGAGTGTCCCACTCTCCTGGTACCAATTTTCTGTGTTAGTCCATTTTCACACTGCAATAAAGAACTACCTGAGATTGGTTAGAGGTTTCTGCACAGTTCTTCATGGCTATGGAGGACTCAGGAAACTTACAATCATGGAAGAAGGTAATGGGGAAGCAAGGCATGTCTTACATGGCAGCAGGACAGAGAGTGAGGTGGGGACTGCCACACACTTTTAAGCCATCAGATCTCATGAGAACTCACTCACTATCATGAGAACGGCATGGTGGAAGTTGCCTCCATGATCCAATCACCTCCCAGCAGGTCCCTCCCCAGATATGGAGATTCAAACTCCTGGACTAAAGGTGGCTTAGTTTTAAAACTGAGAAAATGTACAGGCATTCTTTTGTAATTGCAGTCAATAAGAGTATACTGGACATCAATGAAAGACAACTGAATTCAAACACTTTCTCTAGAATTCACCACATGTCCTCCCACCTTAGCTTTCCAAAGTTGTGAGATTAGAGGTGTAAGTCACCACACCCGGACCACCTCTGCTCTTGATTATGGTACCTGGAGACCCCTATCTCATCCTCATCTCCAGAAGAGAAATCCTTACTTTGTTACATCTTTCATCTTTCAAAATTATAGACAAAACTTGACTTTCAAACAGATTCATGTTAAAATTTTCATAGAACTGGACTCGATTCTTCTTAGATTATGATAACATTTTGATTTAGGTCCTGGGGAGTAGGATTTTCTTCCAAATCCCTGTACATAACAGGACAGAGGCAGCTAACACTGTCTTGCCCTTGGCTTGGGAACTATAGCTGGCCTTGGCCATAGCTTAGTTGATTTGTATATCCAGCTTTGAGGGTCAAGGAATTCACAGAAAAATAAAAGTAAGTAGAACATATTTGGGCCACCTCTGGTTAACATTTTTGTTCTGATGAATTTTTTCTACAATGAGGGATAAATATAAACAATTCTATAGAATACCTTATTCCTTTATTTGTAATGATGTAGGCAATACCTTTAATCTTTTGATTTTGAATTTTCCCTTTAGACCATTAGGGAAACTTTGCATAAGCTAAACACATAGGTGATAGAGCCACAGTTATAGGAAGCTGATTCTCCTGAACACAGCAGGTTTTATTATAATTCGCCAAGTCTTCTGGTTTAGGCACTTAGAGAGAGGTTAGGTGAGGCTTAGTTTTACAACTGAGAACATGTCTAGGCATTCGTTTGTGATTGCAATCAATAAGAGTACACTGGACATAAATGCAAAACAATTATAAAGAACTACCTGAGATTGAGTAATTTATAAAGAAAAGAGGTTTATTTGACTCACAGTTCCACAGGTGGTGAATTCTCTAGAATTTAATTGATTCACAGTTCCACATGTGGTGAACGCTCTAGAATTCACCATGTCCTTGAATCAAGACTCTCAACATCTTTGTATTTCAGTTTCCCACTGAAAGATTGTTCTGAGTGTTGAATGTTATATCATACATGATAGCATACAGCAAGGAGCTGGAAATGTTGTGAATCTTCAAATGTTACTTCAATCTATCTTTAATGCTTTTCTGTAGTTTCAATTTATCTACTAGGTAATAGGCAAAGAGTTCCTTGCCTTTATGACGTGTATCTTTATTTTGGCTCTTACACAGTAACTGACACACAAGTACTCATTATATTTTTGCTGAAAGAAGAGAAGGAAAGAAGAAAGCAGAAGTAACCATGAAATGACCAACAATTATACAATCAGAAACTGGTTTAAAGGCCAGCAGAACAAGTTGAAACTCTGTTGTTACGTGGATTAAAGATTTGTTATGTCTCTTTAAAGTAGAGTTTGATGATGGTATTTCAGAATCAGTTGTCTTTATTCAACATTATACAAAACACTCATCTAAATTTTGCCCAGAAAAATGCAGTTGTACAGAAAGCTTTATGTCATTATCACCAAGAAAATAATCATAATGCAGGATTATCCTACTGAGCCTAAGTCATGTCATAATTATTGTTTTGTTAATAAATAGTTGCAGCAAGATAACTGAGAACAGCAGCAGCCATCTGACCTGGGATATCTCATTAAAACTATAGGAGCCCAATGGAAAATGAAACATAAACATTAATTTTAGTCTCTAATAGAGAAGTTGGTTGCAGCCCAATCATTTGAATAATTTTTACTATTCAACAAATCTATCTCTCACAAGCACATTATTGTATATATGTGGTAGTTGGTTCAAAAGCCAACCCACCAAAGCCTGTTTAATGGCTAGTACACCTGAAGAAGTCTTTGTGCTTACAGGGCAGTGTGATCAGGTTTTCCTCATGGGATGCTAGAACTGTGTCTATCTTTCTAGAGTCTGTGAGATAGGAAATTCCTTTCTTGCTTCTAACCACTTCAATTCCCATTCAGCAGACAGGAGGACATGCTAACTGGAAGATTCGGGTATGCAACATTTGCTCTTGAACTGAATTTAACAGGGGTAAAGATTAGAGGAATCATTTCTGGGATGAGGAAAAAGACAAGAGATGTTCAGTGATCCTAATGGACTGTATATAATAATATTGAGACTATTAGCCTTTTATTCATTCCTCAACTTTCTTATGTATTGGAGGGAAAAAATACACACACGATGTCTAGCATATATTTTGTCTATAGTCATATAGTTATACATATAGTCATAAATTAAGCATAAAACTTAACAGCTATAAGGAATCTGTTACTTTAGTGTATAATTGCAAATGAACTATTTATTGGTGTTTTTCTGATGAGCTCCCTAAAAAGCTTTTTACAATAATTCCAACTCTACAAGAAGCAGAGAGTGACCTTTCCTAACCATGCAGGGAAAAACTCTCTGAGTCAACTCCTGTTGACACTACTGAGCTATTGAGCAGAAAACAATTCTCTCACCTCCACAAGTCTTGGACTCCAACCCTGAAATCAAAATGTAGACCCATTATTGGCCCTGCATTCACATCTATCTTTTTAAATGTTCTAATTTGAAAAAAGAATTGTTCTCACTTTAGTTTTCAGCCTGTGTTCTGTGGTTGGGGGCTCATGTGACAAGGCTACCATCTAGTGTGTTATAGACTTCATTACATCTTGAAACTAGAAAAAAAAATTATAACAGAATTGCACCACTACGATTAGCTAGTGAGGTTTTTCTGGTGATTTTAAGATGCAGGCCAGTCAAAACTCACTAACAGAATTACTATTTTCCATCACATTTTACATACTATAATTAAAAAATATCTCAAACTGTAGCCCTCACATTTGGAGTACTTTGCAGAATCAGAGAAAAATATGTATGCACATCGTTAGAGTCTGATTTGTGAAAGAAATCAGGACTGCTGAAATTAGATTGTATGTACAAAGATTAGAATCAGCAAAAATTTTCTTGCTTCACTGACAATTTTCAAACAAATTTAAACAGTCTATATAAATAACGTTGGTGTCCTGAACTCCGTTATGACTTGACAAGGTATTGGTGAACTCACACCAAAGACTTTTATAAAAAGAGGTTTAGCAAAGAGGCAGTATAAAATGGCGGCAAAGAGCATGGGTATTTAAAGCCAGACTGTCTGGGTTTAAATGCTGGCTTCCCTACTTAATAGCTGCGTAGACTGTGAGAGTGTTACCTAATGCCTGCATGCTTCAGTTTCACCATGTGTAGATGGGACTAGTATAGCAGTTAGTCACAGGGATGCTGTGAAAATTAAGAGAGTTATGATATACAAAGAAATCTACTTTGCTTCTTTTAAAAAAATAAATATTGTTCCCTTTATTGAATAACCAAGGATAGCCCGAATTTGGGTTTTAGAGACTGCATCACTTTATTTAAAGTCATACAGTTGGTAGTTAATAAAGAAGGAAGCCTAAAATCTACTTTTATGTTTATTTTTCTCCTTAGACATCAGCCAAAGAAGCGGCCTTGTTTTCTGCGCTGAAAAATTGCATTTCAAGGATCAATGCGAGGAAATAGCCAAAAAAAGAGGGGAGGGAGAGGAATCTGGAAGCATGAATGTTATCAGAATTTTTCAAAAAGTAGGAGAAAAGCCAACTGGTTTGCAATGAAAAGCGTCTGCTCATAGAGTTTAGCTCACTCGCTCTCCACCCTTTATTGAATTACATTCAATGAATCAAAATGAAGTGAAATGTCATATCTCAACTGCCTGAGTAATTGAAAAAAAATATGAAACAGAAGCCCATTTTGTCGTATAATGAAATCATAGAATTTACAGAAAAGACATGCAGAAACACAAAAAAGTAACAAAGTTAGTTAGTGCTGAAGGCTAACTCCAGAGGCGCTTCTCAGTACTCAAAACAGACTTCAGCAGACAAAATAAAGGTCACTAAAATGACATTTTTATTGATAACTAGCTCTTTTAGTAAGCATTGATCAGGCCAATTAATTACAACATATATAATTGGGAGAAATTACTCCAGCTTTGCAAATACCATTTACTCACACATCTCCTTACCTATGTTCTTCTCAGCATGCATAGGCACAGATATTTACTTGGGGCAAGAAGGGAGGCCCAGTAAGGGTAAATTGCTCTTGTATCTTGGAGAATTGAGCCAGGACTAAATGTAAGAAACCCAGAAATGTCCTAGAAAAACAATTCCTAAGGGCGCAAATATTTTTTAATATCAGCAGAAAAAAGCTCCTATGAACACCAGAGAGCAGAAATGTTGAAGAGCTTGACAATCAAGGTGATCACTTCTCCACTCTTGCTCTTGTGGGAGCTAATTCCTCAAAAGCCATCTAGATAACTACCTGGGCAACCATTAGTTATAGCAGACACCTTTGGTGTCTTATGCCACAATCCCACAGCGCAAGAGTATTTCAGCAGCAGGTGTGGTGGACAACACTTATTCAGGCTGACAGTTTCCCACCTGGATTCTCCAATGTTATTACTCAACAGTTTCTCAAAAACCAAGGGAGCTTACTCATAACATGTGGGAGAATTAATCTTCCCAGGGGAGATCATTATACAATGGGAGATTGGAGTCACTAGAAAAATGTCTCAACCACCCACCTTTTCATCAGGTAATTTTGAAGTGCATTCTGCAAGGTTTCTCAAAAGTCCTTAGTGGGATTGCACCCCAGTTGGCTACTGCAATAACCAGTTCAAATAACAGACACTTTTAAAAGCTTCCCTTTCTCTTTCCTTCCTGCTTTCTGGAATTACCTCTCCAAAAAAATCTACCTGCCTCTGAGTGCTTGTTTCAAGCTGTGCTTGTAAAGACTCCAATATTATAGTCTGGATAATTTTTGGCTCCCTGCTTTGAGTTATTCTTCATTGGTCAGATGAAACATTCAAGGATCACTATTAACTTACCTGGCTTACCTATAATGAATCTTTGGCTGTCTGACATCTCTTGGAGGGAAATAAATGCAAACGTCCATCAGCATTTACTATATTTTATTGCAAAGCTGCAAGTATCTCTTTCAAGATGGGAAACAAAGGCTAGAGGGAGTTTACTATGAACCAAGCTCTTTTCCTGTATAGTACTTCCCAGGGATTAGGACAGGTTCCAGGGCCTGCGACACAGCCTTGGTGTACATCTCCATGTGACTCTCCTCAGAGTGGTTTCTCAGACTGGAGAGTAGGGGGGAAATATTATGCTATAGCCTGCCCCTTCACATGTCTAGTTCACAATTGCTGCAGCCAAACCAAACATACACTAGACCAACCAGGCCCATATCTTTTGTTCTTTAAGATACTCTGAAGTCCGATTAGAGAGGTTAAAACTTTGGTAGTACTCATAAACATGCTTAATCATTAAAGAGTTACGTGTATTTGATGATCCACTCAGAACTTCATTTAGAGATGAGGGACGTTTTCTCCCAGTGGTTGGGAGTCTGTCAGCTAGTGGTCTTAAGCTGTCAGCTATCTCCAGAAATTATTCTCCATGATCCCTCAGTACTCCTTTGCCCACAGTCACACGCCATCCTAAGGCAGCTGACCCACATGATTCAATGGCTGGTTTACTTGGTTGAATAAAGACCTGGCCATCCCAGCCCAAGTCAAAACAACTCTGAACGGCCCAGCTCCAAGGCTTCACTTGGAGTTGGTTAAAGCCCTTGCTGAATCTTCACCACAGCCTACTCTCTCCCTTGGCACAATTCTGCTTTCTTCCTTTTTGTCTACAGGTGTTGATCCTGAGAATATGCGCTAATAAATTATCTGCCCTTTAACTCCATTGCACTGTCCTTCTCCTGGGAAACAACAAACGACACTATATAACTATGCCTGATTGACACAGGGGAGTTTTTTGTAAAACTAAAAATGCAGTCCTAATTTAAAAACAAAAACGTTCTTTTAATGTTTGATCAGCATTTACCCCTTGGGGATAGGATCAACACCAATGAGGAATGTTATATTCTTGCTTTTGTTTTTCTCTCCTTCGGCCCTAGAGGACTAATTACATATTTCAAATGATGGCTAGGAATCTAATGTGAATTCCTAGATTAACTGTCACGAAATTTTCCAAATGTTTTAATGTCGGTTACAGAAACATAGAAAATACCCATGTATCCCACTCCTTAATCTGTTGTGGGCCTATTGTATGATACTGAGAAAGCCACTAAAATCTTGTGAGCCTTGGTTACCTTAGCCATAGAATGTAGATAATTGTGTCTTCCTCACAGAATGATTGAGAGAATTGAATTAAATAAAAATATAATGTCCTTGGTCCAGAATAGCTATGCAGCACAAGTTAGCTTACTTCTCTCACCTTCAGCAAACGGAACCATTCATACTTTTTCAGTAGGGTAAAGTGATACAAATTATTATCACACAAAAACTACAGCTATCAAAACATCACGTTTTACACTGTAAATTTATACAACAACAACAAAAAAAACTATGGTTATAATAAAGTCTGATTCTCCTGTGGGCCTTCAGTATTTGCTGAAAAATACTTAGTGGGCCATCTGTTTGTTGGGAAAGTTGAGTTTCTCCCAAGGAGCGAGTCAAAAACATCTCTGATTAGTGTTTGAGGATTTTCATCATGTTGATGGCTACAATTCATGTTGAAATTTTCTCTCTCAGCCAAGATTTTCTTTTAGGGGCTACTACATTTTAACAAGAGAGACCATTTACTTCAAAGGTGCTTGGCCAGGTCTTCATAGTACATTCTGCTACTTCTGATAACCAAAGCAACTTTCGAAATGGCAATATTTCTCCATGTAAGCAAACAATGGCAAAGGAATAGAAAGAGTTTTAATATGAGGTAAGAGGACACAAATATAAGGTAGTTGTCTTGACTTATTAGTCCTTGGAGATACCACTTGCCATTTTTATTAATCCTAGCATTATCTGCCACTCACTTGTCTAAACTCCAGGTTCTGTAACAATTATCTACTTCCCAGAATCTCTCTAACCTAAAAAAATAGCTTAACATAATTTACACAAATCCTATCTGTGTTGCAGTGAGGAAGTATGAACCAAAAGAAGATTCAGGACTTCTATGTTCCAGGGGCTTATCTACGTAGATTTGTGGGTTCCAGAGATCCAGACATCCAATAAAAATTTCCAGGTTCATCTTAATGGGATATGGAATATAGAAAAAAATTACCTTTTGGTACAATAAAAATGTGCTCTGAAATTTTTTAATGTTCTCATAAGTTCAAGGAGATATTCAAATAATGATTCATACCAGGAAGAAAAGAGGTAAAATGAGATCATCATTTAACCTGTAGAGAGTAACAGACTAGAACAAAGTCAAAGGTGAAAGTTAGTTGAGTATTCAGATGGAAGCCCCAATCCTTCCCTCAACCTGTCAATTGAGTTACTTTTCTGTCTTTTCTCCTCATTTACTCTCCCAACCTCTTCCAAACCTGAAATCTTAGAGGTTTACTTCATATTGACCATCAAGCTATTACACTGTTATTAAAGATAAAACTAATTGAGACTGATTTGAAATAGAATTATTCTCATTGACAGCAGCAATGCCAGATAGTACTAGGAAATATGAATAACTTTGATTTAATGCTCTAGCTTGGCATACTTTATGTTTGTTTCCTCTTTGTATGCAACTCGTCACCCGCATGGCATATTGAATATGTTTTCCCATAACAATGACTAGTATGGGGAGAGATGGAGAGTTATGCTTATTGAAACTTATCTACTTATCTCTCATTCCTCAAGGACCTGGTTTTTGGTTAGTTCTCAGGCTGAAAAATAATCTAAATAAATAAATAATCTAAATAAATAAAGCATCAGTATGTCCAATTATGTCAATGGATATTCCTTCCTCATTTTCACCCTGATTGAAATTTTCTTTAATTATGTGTGCATCATTTTTCCAAAAGTCATTTTTAAATTATGCTAATTATATCTCTTTAACCTATTCAAATTTTCTTCAGTCTACTGCTTCTTCCCTATTCAGCCCACAAATGACTATTTCCTAGCTATTGGAATAACATATAGAAACTTTATCCAATAACTTTATTCTTGCCATATAGATACATCTTTATGTAACAAGCCTGATAATACAGTCTTATAATAACTGTTTTATGCAATTGTGTTTTGGGTTTTTAATCAGTTAAGAAAAGAGCAAAGACATATATATATATTTATATATGTATTTTTAGTTACATTTCTACTTACATGTAGGTATATATACTTTTACTTGCTCTTTTATATTTACTTACATAATTAGATCTACTGGTACTGTTTATTTCTGTATGGATTCTAGTTACCATATGATGTCATTTCCCTTCCATCTGAAGTCTTCCTTTGTATTTCATGTTTTGAAAGTAGCTTAGCAGTGAATCCTCTCAACTTTTGTTTGTATCTGGAGATGTCTCAATTTTGCCTTAATTTTTGAATGATAGATTTGTTTAATATAGAATTAGTTGTTGACAGTATTATTCTTTCTGCACTTTGACTATATCACTTCACTGCCTCTGTCTTCAATTTTTTTCTGTTATCTGTTCATTTTAATGTGGTTCTCTTGTTCATGATGAGTTGGAGTGTGGGTTTTTTTGGAGTTGGAATATGATTTTTCATTTGGCTCTTTGGTTTATTTGGTGATAGGTCTAGATGTGGCTCTCTTCGTATTTGTCCTACTTGAAATCTGTTAGCCTTCCTGGATATGTAGATTAAAGTTTCTTTCTGGGGACAAAGTAATCAAATTTTAGAGATGGCTAGCCATTATTTCTTCATATATTTTCTCTTCCCCTGTCTATCTTTGCCTTCTGACATTCTCTTTACACCTATGTTAGTATGCTTTATCTTGTCTCACATGTGACTAAGTCTATTCCATCTTTTTTTCCTTAATTCTTTCTTCTTTATGTTCTTCAGATTAGACAATCTTCATTCGTCCACTCTGGTGGGCTGATTTTTTTTTTTTTTGCCAGCTCAAATCTTTTGTTGTGATATTCTAGCAAAATTTTTTGCTTTAAATTTACTTTTCAATTCAGGAAATTCTACTCGATTTTTATAATTTACATCTGTTTATTGATATTCTGTACTTGATAAGCCATTGTCATCAGATTGTCCTGTAATTCTTTGAGCATGGCTTCTTTTTGCTTTTGAACATAGCTGGTTTTGTCTACTAAATCCAACATCTGTGTTCCGTCAGAGAGTTTCTGTTGAAACAGAAACAGTTTCTTCCTGTGGATTGGTCACATAGTCTTATTTTTTGTCATGCCTTATAATATTTTGGTTGAAAATTGAATACTTTAGATAATATATTGTATACTCTAGATTTTGATTTTCACCTCTCTCAGGGGTTGTGAATGTTGTTGTTGTTTTTAACTTGTGTATTTGTTTAGTGATTTTCCTAAACTAATTCTATAGTGTTTAAAGCCCCTGCAGGCTGTGACCATTGATGTGTTTGCCTTTTTTTAAAAAAAAACCCCTTAATTCTTGCCTTTATTTTTAAGAGTTTTTTCATGTGGGTCAGCAGAGTTTAGTGATTATTTAAATATTAAAGGGGTGATGTAAAAATTCTATCTTAACATGATTTATCCAATTAATTTTCTAATTTTAGAGTCCCACATTTCTAAATCCTTAGAGACATTCACATACAATTATTCATAAAGGCCCTGCTATGCATCAGACACTTTGCTAAACTGTGGAAAAATAACATGAATAAGAAAGTCAACATTTTTACTTCCTGGGAAATTGCAACTTCCTAGGCATGATAAAAGAAGGGAGAAAAATCATAGGAATCCATATTCAGGGACTGAGGCAAATATGAAGAGGGGTAATATAAGTTTTTTCTTTTTAAAAAACTTGGTTTTGTTGGCCATATCAAGACGATTTTTCCCTAGATATGGCTTAAAACACCTAGTGAGATTCTGAAATATTGAAGGCAATGATTGCTGTTGCAAAAGGGAGTCATGGTATTTTAGGACATGTTTGTTTTTTATTTATTTACGTATTCATTTGTCAGTGACTAACATGGTGGATTACTAGGCCCTTGTTTTTATTCCTTGATGAAACAAAAGCAAAGAAAAGAAAGGAATTTTGCTGTTTCTTTTGTCTCTATGACAAGCTCTCACTCTCTTCAATAAGTTGCCTACTTGGAGCTTATGTACCCACGCAAGGGTCCTAATCAGAAGACTAGTTTTATTTATTTACAATCAGATAAGCTACTTTGCTATGAATTTTGTTTTATTATTGGTGTTCAGTTGGGGATAGGATATAATAAAAAATCAGAAATTCTTAATCCATGGGGATGGAAATACTGATGCCTGCAAAGCAGTATCTCTGACCTATGTGTGGTAGAATTTTCACAATTATAAGGAATAGGACCATCAAATGTGGTTTTTATAATGCTATTTATTTCTGTACGGTTCCTTTCAGGAACACACATTACAAATCACTATACAAATCACTGGAGTTTATCCAGTAAATACATTACATAGCTTTAAATATGGCATTGCATATATCAAGAAACTACAGCATCAAGAAGACAAAAATGATTTTAAATGGGACTATCACAAAGTATGGCATAGTTAAGACATACTGAGTTGATTGATTTTATTATAGAGGTCATGAGAAATTACAGATCAGAGAGAAAGATTAGAATTCTGAAGTGATGAATTAGTTACACACACACACACACACACACACACACACACACACACCCCAAATAGTTATATTGTTTATCATTTCATAAGCAAAACAAGAAAAGGATACACACAGAAATGAACTGAAAAGAAGGTCTCTCTTGCTTTCAAAGATTTGTTTCTTTATTTATATGTGATTTGTTCATTTCCCCCCTCATATACAAGAATAGCTTAGCTTTAGTAGAAACAGTCTTGCTTAAGTAATGATTTTCTAGCTTCATTGTAGAGAGACCGTTCAGCTGGTAGAAAATCATGTTTTTGCTCCTAAGTAAAATGATTTTTCTATGAAGCATAATGACTGATGATTTTTAAAAGGAATATGATTTTCAAAACAAACTTCACAATACCATATTCAGGAGGTTTCTTTTTACTGTAATTAATGGAAATAACTTCCCCAGCTGAGCCTGTGAGTCCCCAAGGGCAATGTTGTTTTAGCTCAGGATTCAGAGAAAAGTCATGATGTGTAGTCTGCAGGTATCACTCAAATGCAGGGTGGGGAGGAAACTGAGTCTAAAATTAGACCCATCCTCTCCTAGAGGAGAAGAAATACTGGCAGTTTCAAGAGGGAGGAGTGTGTTTGTGTATATGTGTGTGGGCAGGGTGATTCTTTTTTTTGTTGGCAGTTGAGGTTGCCAGGAGAATTACTTGCTGATCCTGGAATTACATTTTTTTGAGTACTGCATTCTTCAGTTATGTTTCTAGTGAAAGCAACAATCTGAGAACTTACACTGGTTTTCCACTGTTGTGTAAAAACACATTACAAACAGTAATATTAAACAACATGCATGCATTATCTCACAGTTTCTGTGGGTCAAGAGTCTAGGCACTTACATGGATTCTCTGCTCAGGATCTCATAAAGCTGCAATCAGGATACTAACTCAGCTGCATGCCTTTCTAGAGCTTGAGTTCTTCAGAGGTCACATAATTACTGGGTGAACTTAATTTCTTGTGGTAGAAGGACAGAGATCTCCATTTCCTAGAGGTCAGCCAGCATTATCTGCCACACAGCTCTGTCTTTAACAAGGCAATCTCTTTCTCCAAGGTGAATGGGAGCATCTCTGATGCTTTTTTAAAAAAATCTTATTATACTTTAAGCTCTGGGGTGCAGGTTTATTACATAGGTATACATGTGCCATGTTGGTTTGCTGCACCCATCAACTCATCATTTACATTAGGTATTTCTCCTAATGCTATCTCTCCCCCAGCCCCTCACCCCTGACAGGCCACAGTGTGTGATGTTCCCCTCCCTGTGTCCATGTGTTCTCATTGTTCAGCTCCCACTTATGAGTGAGGACATGCAGCGTTTGGTTTTCTCTTCTTGTGTTACTTTCCTGAGAATGATGGTTTCCAGTTTCATCCATGTCCCTGCAAAGGACAGGAACTCACCCTTTTTATGGCTGCATAGTATTCTATGGTGTATATGTGCCTTTTTTCTTACTCTAGACTCTGTTTTAATTGATCTATATTAGGCCAACTCACCCAGAATAATCTTACTTTTGATTTTCTCAAAATCAATTGACTTGGGACCTTAATTACACCTGCAAAATCCTTTTTTTGCCATGTGACACAAGTTAACCATGGAGTTATGTCCATCATATTCCCTTACTCCCATCCACACTCAATGGGAGGGGATTATACAGGGTGTATACATCAGGAATCCGTGCTAATCTTGGGGGTTCTCTTATAATTCTGCCTACCACACGTCTCAGTATGAGCTAGCTGAGTAAATCACTAAAGGCAAGGATGAATAAAGAAGGTAAACACTGAAATCTAACAGGAAGCAACTCATTATTGAATAACAGGGCTTGACTTGAACAGAGATGAGACTGAAAGATTAACTCAGAAAGATCAAAATTTTGCACAGAAAAGCTTCAGGTTTGAAATTTAGAACAGAGCAAGGCATTAACGTTAATAGGAATCACTGTAGGCATAGGGTCTGTTTTTCTATCCAGTATTAAGAATGATGTGTGCTTAACAGAGTGTCATGTACATATGATACAAAAAATAAAAGTGAGGGCCAAGTTTTAAGCCCTGTTAGGGGTTAAGAGTGATATTTTCATTCCAATAAATAAAATATGCCTGAATAAGAGTAAGGAATTTGGAGATATCTGAATCCTGCCTTGACAATCACTTTACATCCCTTTGACTTCCTAAGAGAGCTATGTTTAAAAGACACAATAGCAAAATGTAGAATTAAAGTAGCCCTTCATTGATATTTGGGATAATATTCAATACTACATTATAGGCAATCTCATAAACACTGAATGGGAAAATGGTACTAAAACTTGAGGTCTATGTGGAAGCTTCTAAACTCTGACATTTCTTCTCCACTCCCAGCTTCAAATTATGTAATTGGAATCAATGTGACCAAACAACTTTGAAGAGAGAGAGCAAGAGAAAGAACCAAGAAAGACTCTGAGTCCACTCAACCAGACACATGGAATACAAAAAGAAGTTCAAAGGACTAAATGATTTTTCTTACCCTAAGGGTAAGGTCAGAAAGTCAGAATAAAGGATGAAAACTAAGCTCATAAAATTAATGTATGGGAGCCATTTTTATTATTATATATGATCTGATTCAATGAATATCCTGAGTTATGGTCAGTTGTGACCTCTTCTTGTAGTGGGAGAAGTTAGGAAGGCCTATAGTAAGATGATGGGCAGATTTTTTTTTTCTCTGGTTTAGTGGGGAGGGCCCAGAGATGTTTTAAAAATGTGGCCTATTTTCTTTTGGGAGGTGGCTTAACTACAGTAAACATATCTTTGAATGGCAAAGAATAGATCAGGTGACTTGTAGCAGCTGCTTATGCTGGTACTTAGGTTTTCTTTGTTCTTGGCCTGGTGAGTACCATGTCAAGGAGCAACAGACTCTAAGTTTCACTAATTACTGAATGGTTGTTTTCATTGTACTATCTGTTTTAATTATCACTGGCTTATCCCACAGTGGATCTCAGGTGTTTCAGCTCAATTTTATAATATCCAGTTTTGATTCCCTAATATTAGACACTGTGTGGTATCACTGAACTAAAATCATAACATTGTGATAAATAGAAATTATGTTGTCATAGTTTGAGTGCTGTAGTTAGTTTAATTACAAAGTTGTTTTTGCTTTTATTGGTGCTTTAAAATGTCTCACAGTTATTTAAAACATATAAAAATGTTTGTTTTTCAGAGTGTAAAATGTACATGCTTACTATAAAATATTTGGAAAATGTTATAGTGTAAAGAGGTAAGTAACAACGGTATACAGACTTACCATCATTTAAACTCTTTTCTATTTCAATCAAAATCTCAGCTTACTCTTCAGTGACTCAATCATGACTTTGGCTTGAACTTGCCAAATTAGTATCCTTTCTTGGGTAAATTGTCTGTGCCTATGGCTGGTGGAACAGAGCTTTGCTTCATTGTAGTAATTGGAGTGACTACTAACACATATAAAATGTGCACAGTTCTTCATATTTTCTTTAGGAAAGATTTTGGGAATTAGAATCCATCATCAAGTGTATGAATCTATTAAGCCTTGTGATAATGTTGCTGTGATGGTCAGTTTTGTTTGTCAACATGGCTAGGCTATAGTCTCTAGTTATTCAAACACTAAATTAGGTGTTGTTATGAAGGTGTTTTGTAGATGTGACTAACATCTCTAATCAGTTGACATTAAGTAAAGGAGATTATCCTCAATAATCTGGGTGGGTATGATCCAATCAGTCGAAAGGCCTTAAGAACAGAACTGAGGCTTTCCTGAAGAAGAAAATCTATCTGTGGACTGCTGCTTCAGCTCCTGCCCTAGAATGTTCAGCCTCCCCTTTTCTAATGGTCTTCTGCCTTGCAGATTTCAGGTTTGTCTAGCTACTCAGTGCTTTGCTTTGTCTCTCTCTCTCTCTCTGTCTCTTGCTCTCTCTCCCTCTCTGTGTATATATGTATACATACATATGCATATAAATATATACATATATGTTAGCACATACATATATGTGTAGCACACACATCACATACATGTATAAACATATGTCATATATACTACATATATAATATTGGCTCTGCTTCTGTAGTGAAACCCTGGCTGATACAGTAGCCAATTTCTTTCCAGAATTATTATATCAATAGTTTATAAGAATGTCTTACTCAGCATATTCTAACTCAGCACAATACTAATGTTGAGTATTATTATTCCTTAGAAATGAGGATCTATTGACCTTTTTTAATGGGGTATTTTAACCGAGAAATGCCAACAGAATGGCATTTCCATCCATAACACTGATATGGTGACAGTGAGTAGGTTTTACAATAAGGATGGATGAAGAAATCAGGGAACCTGATGAGGAGTTCACTGTCACAGATCACGGTGAACTCCCAAATACGCAACTCATATCTAGTTGACAACGTGTATCTATTAGAATTCTCACATATTCTTTCCTTCTTTTCTGTAATTGTCTATATAAATTAAAACTAAGTTTAGAAATGGTCTACCCAACTGATGGTTCAAGTTTTAGGGTTATCAGAAGAGTTTGAATTCCTATCAAATACACCTCAGGTAAATTCTTTGGGCTATTTATCTATCCTGGAAAGTAGCATGGTGTTTCTTTATTCAAACAACCACTTATTAGATTTTCTTTGGTTTACAATTAGCCACACTTTATACAATAATCCTCGATTCTTCTATCAAAGAAGAAAACTGACTACAAATGTGGAACAGTGAGTTAGACATGAATTTCTGTAGCAAAAATCTCATTCAAAGATCTTAGGAAGGCATAATAGGTTCTGTGTGTATAGCCATTACTAAAGATGCCTCACTCATGGGGGCAATGACAAAGCAACACAACTTTAATTTTAGCTTTTGATTCTCATTTTAAATCTTACCAGTCCAAGAACTGTGTGGCAATTCTTCCCCTGCCTTTGCATCAGATTGCAGGTAGTCCCTTGGCTTTTCTGATTCCTTTCCAGTAAAATTAACAATAGCCAATCAAAATTACAAACATATCCTCAGTTTAGTAATTTAAAAGTTCAGTCTCATGTGTAATTAAAAATATCTCATCCTCCTGTTGGTTAGTTGTCCTGTAGCCAGGACATCCTCTTGTCAGGGATGAGGGTATAGTTGGCATCTTTTCCATAATTTATTTGCTCTCCATCTGCTGACAAACTTTGTGTTAAATTAAATAAGTAGGATGCCATTAGCTTTGGGCTGTTCCCATACTTTTGGTTCCTACGTAATAAACCGTAACCTAATTTAGAGGTATAATTTTTGTAACAGTCAGGTTTTAGCCAATCACAAACAATAAAGCTTTAGCCAACCATAAGCAGCTAACTGATCTAATCATGTCCAACTGTGTCAAATGCTTAGCTATAGCCAATCAAATAATTTATCTACGTTGCTTCTGTCTTCAGCCTATAAAAGCTCACTGCTCACAGCTCTCTGCACCTCTTCTGGTTCTGGTTCTGATTCGTGAATTGCTCTTTGCTCAAATTAACTCTTTTAAATCTAATTTGCCTAAAGTTTGTCTTTAACAGTCTTTGTCATTAGAAGTGGGATCCAGAGGAGACCTTCAGTGACCCCTAGAAACACCCAGTAACCAAATGAAGGTACACGCTGGCCCACTGTACCCCCTGTTCTGTCACTGCAAATGGAGGTTGTGGGTGAGTACTATGCCAGATTTGAGTCAGCAAATTTCACTTTTGAGCCCTCTGACTTTACTGAGCATTAAAAAAACTGGATTGGGTTCAGAATCAGATTGGATTTGATAACTAACTTGACTGGGCTTAGAGGTCTCAGATAGGTACCTTCTGAAAATAAGTTCCTCTGAATTTAAGGACTCCAGGATTCTAGTACTTCACTTTCTGGGATGCCAACTAATCTTATCTTAAAAAATTACACTCCCAAATCCTGTGTATTTTTACAAAAATGGTTTGACTTTACTAAGAACAACTGAGAAATACAGTGCCCACAACAAAAAAGTTTGAATTCTTGAGTCATGTTAGAAAAACAAGAATCTAAAATGCCTCAGAAACAATAGGATGCATATTTTATTGAAATGTAGAGCCTTCCAAAAGACTAAATGAATCAAAAGCTGCCCCTCTAAATGACCTCTTATAAAAGGCAAATGAGAAAGCTTAAACGATTTTTTCCAATATTAATAAAAAGCTTTAGCTATATGTGCAGGTAATCTTATCTCACTGGCCAGAAAAAAATCAATTCCAGGTATTCTTTAATAAAATAGTGAGCTTTTATTATTACACAAGGCACATGGCTAAAATTTTAGAATGAAAGCTGTAAGATCTGCTTCTATCTGCATGTTTATGTATGTATACGTGATACATTTTCCACCTCTGGATGGTATCACCAAAATTAAATCATAAAAGAGCTCTATTGAGTTGGCTTAAAGAAAAATAAGTATTGATAAATATTAAGCATTCCTTAAACTCTTAGAAAGATAGAAATTAACCTAAAATGTTTTTCAAGTTCATGTAATCTGGGATAATCTTCAGTAAATAAAAGCTAGTTCAAGTTTGTTAGTTTGATGAATATAGGCATGTCTTTAGAGTTGTCAGCATTAAATATAATATGACACACAACTTTTCCTACCTAAGTTTACAAATAAAATAAACTGATGTTATCTCTTACATTATAAAATTATCAGCCAGAAAACTAACTTGAGATGATGACTAGTTGTTTAATGTCTCATTTTTATGAGCAATCCAGGCAATATTGTTAAAAATAAATGAATTAAATATATGTAAGATAACAGTTTATAAATAAGCTCTTCACAATAATTATGTTTCTATAATGCCTACTTAAAAAAAAAGATTTCCCAAATCTCTTTGGTAACTTACACATCTAAAGTTATATGAAGTTAAATTAAATAATGCATATTCATTGAATATTTCAATCATTTACAAATAAGATAATGTGCCAAAACATTTCTTGACATAATTTTAAATTTATTTACTCTTTGCTTTGAAGAAGTTCATAAGATACCCCCTCAAATACATTGCTCTGACATATTGTCTATTTTGAGTTAAAGGTAAAAAAAAACTAAGAAGACAGAAGACAGAGATAAAAATGTTGTGTCCCCTACAATTTCTTATTGCACAGAGACTAAAGATAGTTGTGTTTGTTAGTAAATATGTTCTGTGCCAAAATGAAAAATTATGCTATGAGGAAGCACATGCTTCAAGAAATTATGATTTATAGGTTTGCTAATCTATAGAATGTTGGTGTGACAGGCAGTTCACAATTGCATACTTCTTAGTTTTCACCAGAAATTGAAGTTTCTAAGGGTTAAAAATTCAAATTGATATACACTTAACCCTTGAATAATGCAGGAGTTAGTGGTACCTTTCCCCATGTACAAATATTTGCATATAACTTTCGATTCTCCCAAACATAACTAAAATACTAATAGCCCACTGTTGACCAGAAGCCTTATCAATAACATAAACAATTGCCATTTATTTATTTATTTATTTATTTATTTATTTATTTATTTATTGAGACGGAGTCTCGCTCTGTCGCCCAGGCTGGAGCACAGTGGCGCGATCTCGGCTCACTGCAAGCTCCGCCTCCCGGGTTCACACCATTCTCCTGCCTCAGCCTCCTGAGTAGCTGGGACTACAGGCGCCCGCCACCAGGCCGGCTAATTTTTTGTATTTTTAGTAGAGACGGGGTTTCACTGTATTAGCCAGGATGGTCTCGATTTCCTGACCTCGTGATCTGCCCTCCTCGGCCTCCCAAAGTGCTGGGATTACAGGCGTGAGCCTTTGTGCCCGGCCTAGTTTAATCTCTTAAAACAACAAGTTTTGTTTGTTTTTGTTTGTGTTTGTTTGCTTTTAGTATTGGTCTGCTCTTAATACAGGCGTGAGCCACCGTGCCCGGCCACAATTGCCACATATTTAATATGCTATATGTACTATGTACTATATCTTTACAATGAAGTAAGCTAGAGAAAATGAGACATGTTAAGAAAATCACAAGGAAGAGAAAATATATTTACTATATGTTAATAAATGTCTTCATCCTCAATGTCATCGCATTGAGTAAGTTGAGGAGCAGGAAGAAAAGGAAGAGTTGATTTCGCTTGTCTCAGGGTGGCAGAGGCAGAAGAAAATCCATGTAGAAGTGGGCCTGTGCAGTTCAAACTCGTGCCATTCAAAGATCAACCATAAATAACTAAAATTATTTTACATAATAAAGGAAACAACTCTATGTGCATGTATACAAAGAAAGTAAGGTGTGTATTTTGTTAGAAAACCTATTAAGTATGAAAGTGTGTTTTGATTAGTTAAGAGAAAAATGGTAATTTTTGTCCCAAAATAGAAGGACTGGCTGTTCCACAGTGAGAAAGAGGAAAAACATAAAGACAAAAATTGAATAGATATGAGAAAGTTATAGGTTTGTGGAAAAGGAAGTTTGATAAAATTTTATGTGTGCTCAAGTTGGCTAAGATTTGAAAGGAAATTATTTGTAAGTTTTTAAAATGTAGTTTTAATGTCAAAAGTATACTAATGCAAAATTAGATTTTAGTTTAATCGCTCTTTTTTTTTTTTGATATGGAGTCTTGGACTGTCACCCAGGCTGGAGTGCAGTGGCACGATCTCGGCTCATTGCAAGCTCCACGTCCCGAGTTCACCCCATTCTCCTGCCTCAGCCTCCCCGGTAGCTGGGACCACAGGCGCCCGCCACCACTCCCGGTTAATTTTTTATTTTTTTATTTTTTAGTAGAGACGGGGTTTCACCGTGTTAGCCAGGATGGTCTCGATCTCCTGACCTCGTGATCTGCCCACCTCGGCCTCCCAAAGTACTGGGATTACAGGCGTGAGCCATTGTGCCCGGCCTAGTTTAATCTCTTAAAACAACAAGTTTTGTTTGTTTTTGTTTGTGTTTGTTTGCTTTTAGTATTGGTCTGCGCTTAATAATAAATTGTGAAAGGTTTTTCTTTAGCTTTTTAGTAATTGGACTGGGAAACAAAGAATCTGTGTTTTATCCAGATGATTTCCTGTAGTTCACGTTGGCTTTATTAGGCTTTCGATTACTTAAGAAAACTGAGTCCTCTTTAATAAAAGCTAAGGCTTTTCCTAGAAGTATGTGGTTTTCTGTATTTGCCATTGAAATCATTTAATAATCTCTACAGTTAAATGAATATATACTGTTTCACAGTGATCTGTGATTCTATTTTAACGAAGTGTTTCCAATCTTTTAACATTTTTGACAACTTCCCAAAATCAAATTGTAAACTAAGATCTTTTGATCTCAAACTAACTTCGGGAGTTTTCAGATGGACCCCTGGAATATCTCAAAAGAATTAAAAAAATTTTTTTTTATTGTTTAAATTTTTGTGTGTACAAAATAGATGTATATACTTATGTCATACATGAGATATTTTGATACAGGAATTTAATGTGAAATAAGTACATTATGGAGAATGAGTTATCTATCCTCTCAGCATTTCTTGTTTGAGTTGCAAACAACCCAAGTACATTCTTTAGGTTATTTCAAAATATACAATTAAGTTATTTTTTGACTATAGTCACCCTATTCGGCTATCATAATAAGTCTTATTCATTCTTTCACTCTTTTTTGTACCCATTAACCATCCCCACCTCTCCCAAGAATTTTTGTCTTATAAAAGGAAATGTGTTAAACTAATTGTCTTATATGATATGTTAAATTGCATGGGAAGTATGGTCAAATAATGTGATGCTGAACCTTTTTCAAACCATGCTATGGAAATGTTATTAATATGTGTTCCAGAAATTGTGCAAAACTCCTATAAATCTGATGGTCCTACAATAATGCTGTCAGTCATAATTCTAGTTAGTATCCTACAATATTGTATATCACAGAAAAAATGTAATTTCCCTGAAAATTGCTTTATAATAATTTCTCATCAGATATTTTGCATGGCCACTTTAAGTATTGTCTTCTACTACAGTTAATAATTTTACTCTGGTACTTTCTTGAGCACTATTGAAGCAACTATAAATGTAAAGTGTCTTTAAGGAAATTCATGGGACAGACTTTGATAAGTATACATTTCTGATAACTTTAAGATCATACTATTAAACTGGATGATAATTGCCATAACTCTAATGAAGAAGCCGATTGGTTCATGAAACTGCTAACCTAACATCAAGAAGGACAAGAATTAATTGAGTACCAAATAAACACTTTGGCAGATTTTCATGCTAAACCAGCTAGTACTGAAACTGTTAAAATATGCAATTTGAATAAACTCCACAGGATTGATCCAAGTCAAATTACCTAAGATAACCTATTTAATAAACAGTGCTGTGCACCAGAATTAGAGAATGAAAATTGATATTTAGAAGAAAGTATATTCAAAATTGACTGTGGACTCATAGAGGGCCCTGATGGTTGCCTGTTCTTTCCTGAGTCTTTAAAGTTTCTATTATTAGGAGCTCTGCACCCTGCGACTATGATGGAGTAGTCAAAATGATACAAAAAATATTGGTATAGAAACTAAGAATTTCTAAAATGGTCTATAACCACTGATTGGATTGAAAACTCTTAATCCTAGTAAAATAATAAAAACCTCAAGTGTTACATTTCTGCCACCTACTGGATTATTTGAACACTTAAAGATGGATTTCATTCAATTTCCACCCTCCATGGATTATCAAAATGTTCTTGTAATTATCTGTATGTTATTTGGTTCAATAGAAGATTTGCTATATAGGAAGGCTGGTGTTATACCAGTAACTAAAATATCATGAGTAAATATGTTTTCTTTATAGGATATTCTCAGATAAGTCTCTGATGATAGAGGCACTCACTTTACTATACATATTATAAAACAGTTACATAAAGTATTACAATCACAATGGCATTAACATTGTCCCTATCATCTTCAATCTTCTGGGAACATTGAAAGGACAAATGTTATTTTAGACACTAAAATTGGCAGAAAACCAAAAGAAAACATAATTCAACAGTTTGTAGTCAAGTCTGTAACCCTAATTCTCTAATTATTAGTAGTTTCCAGCCATGCAATAGTTCAGTAGTAGAGCTTTAAATAAATACTACTAGTGCTTTCTTACTGATGACCCCTAATGCGAAAGGTATCCCACAAGAAGTTGTCTTTTGTGCTTCTCCAGGATATATTTTCATCTGTGGAGGATTTATTGATCAGTCACATATATGAGCAATCCATGTCTCAACAAGTGGGAAACAAGAACTCAATGCATGTAATGGATTATAATGGTACCACCGTCACTTTATAATGAATTTGAAACTGAACATTGGTCTATACCTTCTAATTTGTATTCTAACATAAGAAGAAATTTGCCAGAAGGCATAAATATCTCTGTGATGGTTAATACTGAGTATCACCTTGATTGGATTGAAGGATACAAAGTATTAATCCTGGGTGTGTCTGTGAGGGTGTTGCCAAAGGAAACATTTGAGTCAGTGGGCTGGGGAAGGCAGACCCACCCTTAATCTGGTGGGCATAATCAAATCAGCTGCCAGCGAATATAAAGCAGGAAGAAAAACGTGAAAGGCGAGACTGGCCTAGTCTTCCAGCCTACCTACATCTTTCTCCTGTGGTGGATGAGTCCTGCCCTAGAAAATCAGACTCCAGGTTCTTCAGTTTTGAGACTCTAGTGACTCTTCCCTCTAGAGAACCCTGACTAATACAATCTCTAAATGGGCAGCTTTGATAGAATGTTTCTTCTTTGGCATGGCATAAATATAAATGAGGTTATGATTAAATATCTATCCAAACACTAGCTACTATTGTTGACTCTACTGCAAAGGCATCTCTATTATGGCTGATATTCTTACTTCCTCCCAGCCCCTACCAATCCAGCAATATTTCCAGCCTTTTCTATTAAGGTCCCTTAACTCCCTGTAGTCTTCCCTTTTGGACAAAATTTAAGATTACCCCGGCCAAGTGCAGTGGCTCACACCTGTAATCCCAGCACTTTGGGAGACCGAGGTAGGTGGATCACAAGGTCAGGAGATCGAGACCTTCCTGGCCAACATGGTGAAAACCTGTCTCTACTAAAATACAAAAAAATTAGCCAGGCATGGTGGCTTGTGCCTGTAGTCCCAGCTACTTGGGAGGCTGAGGCAGAGGAATAGCTTGAACCCAGGAGGCAGAGGTTGCAGTGAGCCTAGATTGTGCTACTGTACTCCAGCCTGGTGACAGAGCAAGACTCCATCTAAAAAAAAAAAAAAAAGAGATTGCCCCAACACTGTGTCCCTTGCACACAGGCCATGCACGATCTCCAGGTGAGAAACACTCTTTCATCTTTTTCCCTGACAAATTCCAACTATGCAGGTTAATTCCACCATACTAGAAACTTAACATTTTTCCCTGCCATTGATCAGCTAGTCAACCAGTCTCTCTTGTTCTTTGGATTTCTTAAGTGAGAGACAGAGTTCCCCTCTATGCTGCAAACTATGAGAAACATATCCCTCCAAGTGGTTGCATTGAAGCGTCTTTCCCTAGTCTTAATGGAAGCTGCCTGCACTCTCCAGCCCCACCTCAACCACTTGTGAGGGGATAGGACTCCACAGCGCACATTTTAGAGTTCTCTCTAAAATAACTTCCACTTTCCTCGTCTCCTAATATATAACTGTTTATATTATTATTGCAAGTGAAATTTGCATCATAGTTGTACTGCACTTCATTTAGGATGCAGTATCTACTGAATTAGAGAAGTGGTTCTCAAAGTGGCCACAGACCAGCACTATCACCACCACTGAATAACTTATTAAAAGTGCTGCAAATTCTTAAAACCCACCCCAGAACTACTGGGTCAGAAATTATAGAGATGAGGCCGCCATTAGTCTGTGTTTTTAACATCCTTCAGTTAATTCTGATGCATGGTAATGTTTGATAACCATTGTATTAAAGCATCTGCCAAAATTCCACTTTACTATCCTTTTACATGTGTACTTGCCTGATGCTGTCAACCCACTTAATCTATTTCTCATAATAACTCATATGCTTACAGAGTCAATAAATAAATATAAAAATGATAAATCATAATTATCCTTTACTACAGTTAGTGTCTGATTATTTGACATGAGTTAAAGTTTTGGCCAATAAGGGCAGCTGGAGGAATGTATCCTCATTCCCTTTCTTCTGTCTCCCTATGTCCAGTTTGCTCTCTAAATTGCAAAATAAATTATCGTTTTGTAAAACATTGCATTACTATTTTGACTTTGAACAGATTATTTTTTATTTCGAGACATTATCTTTTTATTTTATTCACTGCCTTTTATAAGACTCTCTTAGGTCCTTTTGTTGGTGTAAATCAGGGCTTCTCCACCTTGTTGCTATTGTCATTTTGAGCCAGGTGATTCTTTATTACAGGGAGCTGTCTTGGATCTCAGTAGCAATCACTAAGTTGTGAATAATAAAATTTTTTTCACACATTGTCAAATGTTTTCTGGGAGTAGAAATCAACTACAATGGAAGAATACTGGTTAAAAGGGATAACCAACAAATCCCCAAATAGATTAAACATTTCTTTGAGAGAATCCACCTTTTGAGTTCTAGAAGAAACACTTCATTTTGGTCAGGCCTTCTAATCAGCATAGAGATGATTTCAAAAATATCTTAAATAGTTTTATTTTGCAACTTGTTATAAAAATGCAGCTTTAGATTGCTGAGAAAATATTCTTAAGTTCATCTGATTCATATCATCAATTAAACTCGTAGAATCATTTTGAGAATTGACTGTCTGCGAATCCTCATTTATAAACACAACAGGCTCCAAAAAAACACAATTACTATACATTTTCTGAAGGAAGGGAGTGGTTGCAGCATCTTAGACTGTTGATTTAAATTGTCTTCTTTTTTTCTTATTTCATTAAGTGGTAATTCAACTCTTCATCTTTAGCGATTTTCTTTACTTACTTTAGGCAATTATTGCTGGCGATTATGATGTTAATGAGTTATGCAGAGCAGACTGAAAAAATGAAATATATTTTTAGGAAGTTAAGTTAATGGGAACAACAATTTGAATGCATGCAAAAAGCAGGCATCTTTCTTATTGTGCCCTGATTGATTTTATAAGTCAGGTGTTCATATGAATAGATAACCTTTACTTAGCGCAGAGTATTTTGACAAGAAATTTACTCTGATGAGCCATAAAGGAAGTCTTTTGTGAGATTGCCTGTTTTGCATTGTGTCTGATTTTTTTTTATATTACTGGAGTTAATTTTAAGGCCTCCCAATCTAAGCAGAAGATGCTGATCAACATGAAAACCATAACCCTTTTCTTAGCTCCTTTGTAGTTGAATTCTAAATGGTCTTGACATATTGTGGTATTGTTCACCAGGGTGACATAAAATACAATCAAATGCACACACAGATGACTACAGAAAAGCAAATCCAGATGACAACACATATCAATAGAGTATTTTCTTTTACCTTTTTCTTATTCTTCAGTGACATAGCAATTAAAATAACCCTCCTTTTGAACACCTTTGATTCAATCAAATGCATATTTCCTCCTCAAATGAGGTTGAAATATTAGCGCTTCACTGTCATAACCACCTTTGTTTCTAAATTAATACCCAATATTTACATACCAATAAGATTCATCATAATATGCCAGACTGTCATCTTTCTCTACCTTCAGTCTTATAAACTACCTTTTTCTGTGTAAACATTCAAACTGAATGCTATTGAAAATATTATACTTCAGTGATCCAGACCGGTTTTTGTTTTGTGAGAGATGGAGATGGCAACAGGGAGCTAATATAGGTTAACCATGTTTTTTTCAAGGTAAAAACATCTTTAAAAAATTATATCTATATTTAAGAAAATTTATTTTAAATCAAAAAGGACAAAAGTCTGAAAGTAAAAAATAGTTCTTAAGTAGATAATATACTGGGAAATGTAAAAATAAGTCTATGATATTTATATTGTAGACATCAATACCGTACAATAGAACCTTCTGAGATGATGGATGTGTGTTATATATACACTTTTCAAAATGAAGCCATTAGTCACGTGTGTTTATTGAATACTTGAAATGTGGTAACTGTGAGTAAATAATTTAATTTTTAATTGTACTTAATTTTAATTAATGAAAATTTAAATTTCAATAGGCACATGTGGCTAGTGGCTACTGTATTGGACAGAGAAAGTCTATATGATTTATATATTACTATATTTGCTCTTAGTTTTCTCATTTTACAGAAATCCTGGCATTTAGCTATTATTCTGTTTTAAACTGCTTTATTGGTACCATAGCATGCCACATGTCATTTTCTATATTATAAAAAATATTATTACAATTGACTCATTTAAAGTGTACAATTCAAGGACTTTTTGCACATTCAGTGTTGTGCATTTATCACCATAATCAGCTTTAGAATATTTTCATCACCCCCCAAAATAATCCTACACACTTTAATTGTCACCTATAATCCTCAATACTCCCCAACTCTAACCCTCCAGCCCTAGGCAATCACTAATCTACTTTCTGTCTCTATAGATTTGCTTACACTAGAATATTACATATAAATGGAGTCATACAATATGTGACCCTTTTTGACCGATCTCCTCACTTAGAATTATGTTTCTAAGATTCTCCCATGTCAGTATTTCATTTGATTTTATTGCCAGATAATATCTTATTGTATGGATATATCACAGTTTGCTGATGCATTTATCATATGATGGACGTTTGACTTGTTTTAACCTTTTGACTATTGTGAATAACATTGCTATAAATGTTAAAAATGTGTGTACATGTTGTGTGGACCTATGCTTTTATTTTTCTCAGGTATAAACCTAAAAGTGGAATTGCTGTATCATATTTGAAGTACTGTTAGACTGATTTCAAAGTGGCTACATTAATTTATACTCCTACATTACAATGTTTGAAGGTTCTGATTTTTCCAAACCTTTGCTAACACTTGTTATTTCTTATATTATAGCCATTGTAGTGGGTGTGAAGTAGTATCACATTGCTATTATTAGACATACGATTTGTAAAAAATTTCTTCCATTTTGTAGGTAGCCCTTCTATGTTTTTGATGGTATACTTTTGAAGCACAAAATTTTTAATTTTGATGATGTAGATGATGCATATCTTATCTTTTTTTGCTTGTGCTTTTGGTATTATATCTAAGAAAACATTGCTTAATGCAACGTCATATATATTTATGCCTAAATTTTCTTCTAAGAGTTTTATAGTTTTAGATCTTACTTTTAGGTCTCTGATTTATTTTTAGTTAATTTTTATATGGTGTGAGGTAGGATCCAACTTCAGTTGCATGTGGATATTCAGTTTTCCCAGCATCATTTGTTGAAAAGACTATTATTGCACCATTGAATTCTCTTGCCACCCTTGTTGAGGATCAACTGATTGTAAATGTTAGGGCTTAATTCTAAACTCCCAATTCTATGTCACACACACACACAGACACACACGCACACACACAGTAGCCATACCACACAGTCTTGATTACAGTCTCCTTATAGGAAATTTTAACATCAGAAAATGTGAATTCTCAAACTTTGCTCTTTTTCAGGATTGTTTTGACTATTCTAGGTTCCTTGAATTTATGTAGGAATTATAGCAACAGCTTTCCAATTTATTCTTGCAAAGAAGACAGCTGGAATTTTGATAGAGATTTTGCTGAATCTGTAAATCAATTTGGGGAGTACTTCCATCTTAACAATATCATCTTCTGATTATTGATGATATAATATCTTTCCACTTATTTAGGTCATTTTTAATGTCTTTCAATATTATTTTAAAGTTTTTAGAGTGTAAGTCTTGCATTTCTTTTTAAAAAAATTTTTCCTGAGCACTTTTTCATGCTATTATGAATTGAATTGTTTTCTTAATTTTACGTTTTCCTGTCTCAAAGACAAAACATACCAGAATCTCTGAAAAGCAGTGTTCAGAGGGAAATTTATAGCACTAAATGCCCACAGGAGAAAGCGGGAAAGATCTAAAATCAATGCCCTAACACCAAAATTAAAAGAACTAGAGAAGCAAGAGCAAACAAATTCAAAAGCTAGCAGAAGACAAGAAATAACTAAGATCAGAGCAGAATTGAAGGAGACAGAGACATGAAAAATCCTTCAAAAAATCAATGAATCTGGGAGCCGATTTTTTGAAAAGATTAACAAAATAGATCGCTAGCCAGAATAATAAAGAAGAAAAGAGAGAAGAATCAAATAGACACAATAAAAAATGATAAAGGGGATATCACCACTGATCCTACAGAAACACAAACTACCATGAGAGAATACTATAAACACCTCTACACAAATAAACTAGAACATCTAGAAGAAATAGATAAATCCTGGTTGCATACACCCTCCCAAGACTAAACCAGGAAGAAGTTGAATCCCTGAATCGGCCAATAAATTCTGAAATTGGGCAGTAATTAATAGTCTGCCAGCCAAAAAAACCCCAGGACCAGACGGATTCACAGCTGAATTCTACCAGAGGTACAAAGAAGAGCTGCTACCATTCCTTATGAGACTATTTCAAACAACAGAAAAAGAAAGAATCCTCCCTAACTCATTTTCTGAGGCCAGCATCATCCTGATACCAAAACCTGGCAGAGCACAAGAACAACAAAAGAAAAACTTCAGGCCAATATCTCTGAAGAACATCAATGTGAAAATCCTTCAATAAAATACTGACAAACCGAATCCAGCAGCACATCAAAAAGCTTATCCACCATGATCAAGTCAGCTTCATCCCTGGGATGCAAGGCTGGTTCAACATATGCAAATAAATAAACGTAATCTATCACACAAACAGAACCAATGACAGAAACCACATGATTATCTCAACAGATGCAGAAAAGGCCTTTGATAAAATTCAACACCCCTTCATGTAAAAACTCTCAACAAACTAGGTATTAATGGAATGTATCTCAAATTAATAAGAGCTATTTATGACAAACCCACAGACAATATCATGCTGAATGGGCAAAAACTGGAAGCATTCCTTTGAAAACTGGCAGAAGACAAGGATGCCCTCTCTCACCATTCCTAGTCAATGTAGTATTGGAAGTTCTGGCCAGAGCAATCAGGCAAGAGAAAGAAATAAAGCATATTCAAATAGGAAGAGAGGGAGTCAAATTGTCTCTGTTTGCAGATGACATGATTGTATATTTAGAAAACCCACCATCTCAGCCCAAAATCTCTTTAAGCTGATAAGCAACTTCAGCAAAGTCTCAGGATAAAAAATCACATTCCTATACATCAATAATAGACAAACAGAGAGCCAAATCACGAGTGAACTCCCATTCACAATTGCTACAAAGAGAATAAAATACCTAGGAATACAACTTACAAGGGATGTGAAGGATATCTTAAAGGAGAACTACAAACCACTGCTCAAGAAAATAAGAGAGGATGCAAACAAATGGGAAAACATTCCATGCTGATGGATAAGAAGAATCAATATTGTGAAAATGGCCATACTGCCCAAAGTAATTTATAGATTCAATGCTATCCCCATCAATCTACCATTGACTTTCTTCACAGAATTAGAAAAACTATTTTAAATTTCATATGGAACCAAAAAAGAGCTCATACAGCCAAGACAATCCTAAGCAAAAAGAACAATGCTGGAGGCATCATGCTACCTGACTTCAAACTATACTGCAAGTCTACAGTAATCAAAACAGCATGGTACTGATACCAAAAGAGATACATAGACCAATGGAACAGAACAGAGGCCTCAGAAATAATGCCACACATCTACAACCATCTGACTTTTGTCAAACCTGACAAAAACAAGCAATGGGGAACGGATTCCCTATTTAATAAATGGTGTTGGGAAAACCGGCTACTCATATGTAGAAAACTGAAACTGGATGCCTTACTTAATACCTTATACAAAAATTAACTCAAGATGGATTAAAGACTTAAACGTAAAACCCAAAACCATAAAAATGCTAGAAGAAAACCTAGGCAATACCATTCAGAACATAGGCATGGGCAAAGACTTAATGACTAACACATGAAAAGCAATGGCAACAAAAGCCAGAATTGACAAATGGGATCTAATTAAACTAAAGAACTTCTGCACAACAAAATAAACTATTATCAGAGTGAACAGGTAACCTACAGAATGGGAGAAAAATTTTGCAATCTCTCCATCTGACAAAGGGCTAGTATCCAGAATCTACAAGGAAATTAAACAAATTTACAAGAAAAAAACAACCCCATCAAAAAGTGGGCGAAGGATATGAACAGACACTTCTCAAAGGAAGATATTTATGTGGCCAACAAACATAGGAAAAAAGGCTCATCATTACTGGTCATTAGAGAAATGCACAACAAAACAACAATGAGAGACCACCTCATGCCAGTTAAAATGGCGGTCATGAAAATGTCAGGAAACAACAGATGCTAGAGAGGATGTGGAGAAATAGGAATGCTTTTACACCATTGGTGGGAGTGTAAATTAGTTCAACCATTGCGGAAGACAGTGTGGCAATTCCTCAAGGACCTAGAACCAGAAATACTTCACTTGTTATGATTGTATTCAGAGTTTTTTTGTTATTCTAAAGAAAGTGGCCATTGTTTGTCTTTCTAGAGGTTTGTACTTTTTATTAAACATATCTAATTTCTTGACCTACAGTTGTTCATTATTTTTCCTTTATAATGCTTTGTATTCCTATAAGTTTAGTTCCTCGAATAACCAACTTTGGTTTTGTTGATTTTCTTTTCTACTATCATCATTTTTAGTTAATATAATATTTACTAAAGTTATTGAAACTGTAAAGAAACAAACAAATCTGTCATTCAGAAATGATACAGTTCTTTACACAGAAAACAAGAAGAATGCAGCACTTTTTCTGGATGATACTAAGCTAATATTAAGAAGTCAACTGTTTTTCTATTCACCAGCCACAATTAGTTAGAAATGTTTCTAAAAATAGTATTTACTTTTTAATTAATGGCATTTATTTTTATTATTTTTTAAATGTTTTAATTTTTAATTTTTATACATACAGAGTAGGTGTATATATTTAGGGTTACATGATATATTTTGATACAGGCATACAATGTGTAATAATGATATCAGAGTAAATAGGATGTCCGTTATCTCAAGCATTAATCATTTCTTTGTGTCATAAACATTATGCTTATAGTCTTTTAGTTATTTTAAAAGGTACAATAAATTATTGTTGACCAAGTCAGCCTACTGTGCTATCAAATATTAGATCTCATTTATTCTAACTATATTTCTGTACCCATTAACAATGTCTACTCCGCCCTGCCATTATCCTTCCCAGACTCTGGTAACTATCATACTATACTCTCTGTCTATGAATTCAAATATATTAATTTTTAGCTCCCACAAATAAGTGAGGAAATACAAAGTTTGTCTTTCTGTGTTAGGCTTATTTCACTTAATATAATATCCTCTAGTTCCATCCATGTTGTCGCAAATGACAGGATCTCCTTCATTTTTATGGACGAATAGCACATCATTGTGTTTATGTACCACATTTTCTTAACCCATTCTTCCTTCAATGGACACAGCTTGATTCCAAATCTTGGCTGTTGTGAGTAGTGCTGCAATAAACATGGGAGCACAGATATTTCTTTGATAGACTTATTTACTTTCTTTTGGGTATATACCTGGCAGTAGGATTGCTGGATCATATGGTATTCTGTTTTAGTTTTTTGAGGAACCTCCATACAGTTCTTCAAAGTGGCTGTTCTAGTTTACATTCCCACCAACAGTGTATGAGGCTTTCTTTTTATCCACATCCTCACCAGCATTCACTATTGCCTGCCTTTTGGATAAAGCCATCTTAACTGGGATACCATTAATATCTCATTGCAGCTTTGATTTGCATTTCTCTGATGGTCAATGATATTGAGTACCTTTTCATATACATGTTTGTCTTTGGTATGTTTTATTTTAGGAAATGTCTATTCAGATATTTTGTCCATTTTTTAATTGGATTATCAGATTTTGCATTACTGAGTTGTTTTACTTTCTTACACAGTTTGGTTATTAATCCCTTGTTAGATGAATAGTTTGCCAATAGTTTTCGCATTCTGTGGGTTTTCTTTTCATTTTGTTCATTGTTTCTTTTCTTTTTCTGTGCAAAGGTTTTTTGACTTAATGTGATCCCAATTGCCCATTTTTGCTTTGGTTGCCTGTGCTTATGGGGTTTTACTAAAGAAATCTTTGCCTACTACAATGTCCTGGATAGTTTCCTCAAAGTTTTCTTTTAATAATTTTATAGTTTGAGGTCTTAATCAATTATTATTTTATTTTTGAATATAGTGAGAAATAGGAAACTAGTTTCATTCTTCTGCATATACATATCCATTTTTCCCAGTACCATTTATTGAAGAGACTGTCCTTTCCTCAATGTATGTTCTCGGCATTCTTGTTAAAAGTGAGTTCACGGCGCGGTGGCTCACGCCTGTAATCCCAGCACTTTGGGAGGCCGAGGCGGGCGGATCACGAGGTCAGGAGATCGAGACCATCCCGGCTAAAACGGTGAAACCCCGTCTCTACTAAAAATACAAAAAATTAGCCGGGCGTAGTGGCGGGCGCCTGTAGTCCCAGCTACTTGGGAGGCTGAGGCAGGAGAATGGCGTGAACCCGGGAGGCGGAGCTTGCAGTGAGCCGAGGTCCCGCCACTGCACTCCAGCCTGGGCGACAGAGCGAGACTCCGTCTCAAAAAAAAAAAAAAAAAGTGAGTTCACTGTAGGTGTTTGGATTTATTTCTGGACTCTCAATTCTGTTTCATTGGTCTAGGTATCTGTTTTTATGCCAGTAGCATGCTGTTTTGGTTACTATAGCTCTGTAGTATAATTTGAAGTCTGGTAATGTGATTCCTCCAGTTTTATCCTTTTTGCTCAGGATGGCATTGGATATTCTGGGTCTTTTGTGGTTCTCTGTGAATTTTAGGATTTTTTTTCTCTATTTCTATGAATTATTTTATAGGCATTTTGATAGGAATTGCATTGAATCTGAAGATCACTTTGCATAATATGGGCATTTTAGCAATATTGATTCTTCTAAACCATGAACATGGAACATTTTTCCATTTTTTTGTGTCCCCTTCAATTTATTTCATCAACATTTTAGAGGTTTCATTGTCGAGCTCTTTCAATTTTTAGTGAAGTTTATTCGTAGGTATTTTATTTTATTTATAGCTACTGAAAATGGGATTACTTTCTTGATTTCATTTTCAGATTGTTTGCTCTTGGCATATGGAAATGCTACTGATGTTTTGATGTTAATATTTTATCCTAGAATTTTACTGAATTTATCAGTTCTAACAGTTTTTTGGTAGACTCTTTAGATATTTTCCAAATATAGGATCATATCATCCACAAAGATAATTTGACTTCTTCCTTTCCAATGTAGATGCCCTTTATTTATTTCTCTTGTCTGATTGCTCTAGCTAGTACTCTTCCAGTACTATGTTGAATAACAATGGTGAAAGTGAGCATCCTTGTCATGTTCCAGATCTTAGAGGAAAGGCATTCATCTGATACTAGGTGTGGGTCAATCATATATGTTTTTTATTGGGTTGAGGTATGTTCCTTCTAAAGATAGTTTTTTGAAGGTTTTATTTTTATCACGAATGAATGTTGAATTTTATTAAATGCTTTTTTAGCATCAATTTACATTATCATATGATTCTTTGACTTCACTCTGTTATGATATATCACATTGATTGATTTGCATATATTGGATCATCCTTGCATCTTTGGAATAAATCCCACTTGTTCATGATGTATGACCTTTTTAAGATGTTGTTGAATTCGTTTTGTTAGTATTTTGTTGATGTGTTTTGCATCAATGTTCGTCAGAAATATTGGCCTGTAGTTTTCTTTTTTGATGTTTCTTTGTGGTTTTGGTATCAGGATAATACTGGCCTTGTAGAATGAGTTTGGAAGTATTCCTTCCTTCTCTATTTTTCAGAATAGTTTGAGTAGAATTGGTATTAGTTCTTTAAATGTTTGGTAAAATTCAGCAGTAAAGCCATTGAGTCCCAGATTTTTCTTTGCTGGTAAACTATTTAGTACACTTTTATCTCATTAATTGTTACTGGTCTCTTTAGGTTTGGATGTCTTCATTGTTCAATCCTGGTAGGTTGTACATGTCTAGGAATTTGTTGATTTCCTTCTAGGTTTTCCAATTTAGTTGCATATGGTTGCTCAAAATAGCTTCTCATGATCCTTTGAATTTCTGCATTGTCACTTGCAATGTCTCCTTTGTCTTTTCTTTTTTCCTTTTCTTTCTTTCTTTTTTTTTTTTTCTTGAGACAAGGTCTTGCTCTATCCCCCAGGCTGGAGTGCAGTGGTGCAACCATAGCTCTCTGCAACCTTGACCTTGCAGGTTCAATCGATCCTTCCACCTCAGCCTCCTGAGTAGTTGGAACTACAGGTACACACCACCATGCCTGGGTAATTATTATTATTATTTTTTTTTTTACGGAGTCTCGCTCTGTCGCCCAGGCTGGAGTGCAGTGGTGCTATCTCGGCTCACTGCAAGCTCCGCCTCCCGCGTTCATGCCATTCTCCTGCCTCAGTCTCCTGAGTAGCTGGGACTACAAGGCGCCCGCCACCACGTCCGGCTAATTTTTGTATTTTTAGTAGAGACGGGGTTTCACCAAGTTAGCCAGCATGGTCTCGATCTCCTGATCTCGTGATCCGCCCGCCTCAGCCTCCCAAACTGCTGGGATTACAGGAATCAGCCACGGCGCCCTGCCATGCCTGGGTAATTTTTTCACTTTTTGTAGAGATGGGATCTAGCCATCTTGCCAAGGCTGGTCTCTAATTCCTGGACTCAAGCGATCTGTCCACCTCAGCCTCCCAAAGTGTTGGGATTACAAGTGTGAGCCACTGTCCACAGCTTGTAATATCTCTTTTTTCATCTCCAGTTTTATTTATTTGGGTCTTCGGTTTTTTTCTCTTAGTCTTGCTGCAAGTTCGCAATTTTGTTTATCTTTTCAAAAAGCAAACTTTTTATTTTGATCTTTTATATTTTCGTTTGGTACAATTTCATTTATTTCTACTCTGATATTTATTGTTTCTTTTCTTCTACTAATTTTGGGTTTGGTTTGCTCTTGGTTTTCTAATTCTTTAAAATGCATCATTAGATCGTTTATTTAAAGTTCTTCTACTGTTTTGACATAGGTACTTATTGCTTTAAACTTTCCTTTTAGTACTGCTTTTGCGGTATCCTGTAGGTTTTGGTATGTTGTATTTCCATTTTCATTTCTTTCGTGACATTTTAAAAATTTTTTTCTTAATTTCTTCATTGACCCACTGGTCACTCAGGAGCATATAATTTAATTTCCATGTGTTTGTATAGATTCCTAAGTTTCTCTTGTTACTGATTTCTAGTTTTATTTCATTGTGGTCAGGGAAGTTACTTGATATAATTATATTTTTGAATTTTTTAAAGACTTGTTTTGTGGCCTAACATATGCTTTATTCTTAAGAATGATCCGTGTGCTGAGGAGACTTATGTGGCCATTGAGTGAAATGATCTGTAAATATCTATTAGGTCCATGTGGTCTGTACTGCAGATTAAGTCTGGTGTTTCTTTGTTGATTTTCTATCTGGATGATGTGTCCAGTGCTAAAAGGGGTGTTTAGGTCTCCAGCTATTATTGCATTGTGATCTATCCCTTTAGCTCTAATAAATTTTGCTTTATAAATCTGTATCTCCAGTACTATGTACATATATATTTATAATTTCTATGTCCTCTTCCTGAATTGATCCCTTAACCATTGTATAATTACCTTCTTTGTTTCTTTTTATAGTTTTTGTCTTGAAATCTGTCTTATCTAAGTATAGTTACTCTTGTACCTTTTTGGTTTCCGTTTGTGTGGAATCTCTTTTTCCACCCCTTTATTTTCACTTTATGTCTGTCTTTACAGGTAAAGTGAGTTTCTTGTAGGTAACAGACAGTTGGGTCTTTTATTATTATTATTTAGCCACTCCATGTCTTTTGACTGGAGAGTTTAGTCCACTTTGGCTCAGTGTTACTATTAATAAGTAAGGCCTTAGTGCTGCCATTTTGTTACTTATTTTCTGTTTGTTTTGTGGTCTTCCCTTCTTCCTTCCTGTCTATCTTTTTGTGAATATGATTTTTCTCTGGTAGTCAATTTAAATTCTTTCTTTTTGTTTTTGTATGTGTGTGTGTATTTGTATCTGTTGTAGGTTCTTTGATGTGAGGCTACCATGGGGCTTTCAAATAACATCTTATAACTCATTATTTAAATCTGATGACAATTTAACTCTGATTGCCAAAAAAAAAAAAAAAAACTAACAAATAATCAAAGACAAAACTAATAAAAATGTTACAGTTTAACTTTATTTTCCCCTACTTTTAAACTTTTTGTTTCCATTTATATCTTATTATATTGTCTGTCTCTTAAAACATTGTTATAGTTATTTATTTTCATAGATTCCTCTTTTAGTCTTCCTATAAGATATGAGTTGGTTATTACAATGTTATAATGTACTGTATTTGTCTATGCACTTACAATTACCAATGAATTTTGTACCTTCAGATGATTTCTTATTGCTTGATATTGCCCTTTTATTTCACACTGAAGAACTGTGTTTAGCATTTATTGTAGGACAGTTCTCATGTTGACAATCCCTCAGCTTTTGTTTGTCTGGGAATATTATTATTTCTCCTTTATTTGGAGAATATTTTTATGGAATATACTATTCTAAGATAAAAGGTTTTTTCATTCAGCACTTTGAATATGTCATGCAACTCTCTCCTAGCTTATAAGATTTCTACTGGGAAGGCTGAAACATATTGGAGGTTCTTTGTATATTATTTGTTTCTTTTGTCTTGTTGCTTTTAGGATCCTTTATTTATGCTTGCTTTTGGTAGCTCAATTATTAAATGTCTTGAGGTAGTTTTATTTGGATTAAATCTGCTTGGTGTTCTATAATTTTCTTGTACTCGAATATTGATATCTTTATGTAGGTTTGGAAAATTCTCTGTTATTATCTATTTGAATATACTTTCTACTCCATTCTCTCACTCTGCCTTCTCTTCAAGGCCAATAACTCTTACATTTGGCTTTTTGAGCCTATTTCCAAATATTTTAGGCATGCTTTTTTCTGTTATTCTTTTTTCTCTTTTCTCCTCTGTGTATTTTCATACAGTTTCTCTTAAGCTCACTAATTCTTTTTTCTGCTTGATCAATTGAGAGGCTCTGATGCATTCTTTAGCTGGTCAACTGAATTTTTCAACTTGAGAATTTCTGCTTGATTAAAAAATTTATTTCAATCTCTTTGTTAAATTCATCTGATATGATTCTGAATACCTTCTCTGTGTCATTTTGAATTTCCTTGAGCTTCCCCAATATAGTCACTCTGGAATTTGTCATTGGTTCCTTATTCAGTTAATTTGGTGAGTCACGTTTTCCTGGATGGTCTTGATGCTTGTGGATGTTAGTCAATGTCTGGGCATTGAAGAGTTAAGTATATATTCTAACCTTCAGAGTCTGGGTACCCATCCTTCCGGAGAAGGCTTTTCAAGTATTCAAAGCAAATTGAGTATTGTGGTTTAAATCTTTGCTCACTGCAGCTTTATGTGCATTAGGGGGCACCCCAAGCCTAGTAATGCTGTGACTCTCGCAGAATTATAAAGGTACCACCTTGATGATCTTCCGTAAGATTCAGGATAATTCCCTGGCAAAGTCTTTTGGTCCTTTCCCTAACTCTCCCCTAAACAGAGTCTCTGTCTCTCTATACTGAGCTGCTTGTAGTTGGGGGAGGAATGACACAAGTCCTCCTATAGCCACCACTGCTGGGATGATGCTGGGTCACACTTGAAGCCAGCACAGTACTGGGTCTTCCCCAGAGCCTGTGCCCAAGGCCTGCTTAGTCAGCAGGTGGTAAATCCTGCCAGGCCTGGGTCTCTCCCTTCAGAGAATTAGGTTCCCTTCTTGTTCAGGAAGGGTCTAGAAATGTGGTCCAGGAGCTGTGGCTTGAAATAAGGGACTTTAGGAATCTGCTTGGTACTTTATTTTACTGTGGCTAAACTGTACCCACTTTGCTAGACAAAGTCCTCTTCACTTTTTTCTCTTTTCCTCAAGCGGAAGGATTCTCTCCCCAAGGTCTCCACAGCTGGGAATCCACTAGGTCACACCTGAAGCCAGCATGGTACTGAGACTCACCCAAGGCCTGTGGCAACTACTCTGTGACTAACGCTGATGTTTATTCACAGCCCAAGGACTTTTTAGTCAGCAGGTAATAAAACAGGCCAGGACTAGGTTCTTCCCTTCAGGAAAGTGGGTTCCCTTCTGGCCCAGAGTGGGTCTAGAAATGTTGTCCAGGAGCTACAGCTGGAATGGGGGCTCCATGACTCTGCTTGGTGCTTAATTGTACTGTGGCCTCGCTGGTATCCAAGTTGCAAGACAAAGTCCCCTTTATTTTTCCCTCTCCTTTCCTCAAGCAGAAGGAGTGTCTCCTGAAGCTGTGAGCTATGTTGCTTGGAATTGGGGGAGCAGTGGCCCAAGCTCACACTTGGCCATCCCAGCTGGTGTGTCTCACTGAATCTTATGCACCCCAAGTCCACTGGTTCTGCACCCAGCACAGCACCAAGACTTCCCAGGAATTACAGTCCTTGTGTCCTATGCCATCTTTCAAGTTTATTTAAGGACCCAGAGTCTTTTAGCCCATGGTGGTGGGACTAGTCAAAACTCAGGTTTCAATGGCTGGGATGGACACTTCCCCTCTGGCTAGGGCTGATCTAAATGCTCCCTCCAAGGGTGCATTCTGAATTCTGCCCTATTTTGCTTTCTGCTCTGACAAGGAGCTCTGAGTTCCAATGAAACATCCCACAATCACTTTGCTCTCCCTCTCCGAAGCACACAGACTCTTTCTCCCTAAGCCATGGAGCACTGCCAGGGGAAGTGGGAGACGGCATGTTGGCTACACAAGACTGTCTTTTCTACCCTCTTCAGTGCCTCTTTCCTTGATATGATGTTAAAACCAGGCACTGTGGTCACCTACCTAATTTTTGTTTCTTATGAAGGTGTTTTCTTGTGTGGATAGTTGATCCATGTGGTGTTCCTGAAGGGGTACAATCACTGGAGGGTTTCTATTCAACCATCTTGCTTCCTCGTTCTGGTGATTTTGTCTATTGTTAATCATCTATTTTATTAATTTTCATTCTAATACATATGATTATTTTCCTTCTGCTTGCTGTGGATTTAGTTTGTTCTTTTTCTATTGTCTTAACAGGGATACTTAGTTGTTGATTTGAGGTCAGTCTTCTCTTTTAATGTAGGTGTTTACAACCATAAATTTACCTCTTAGCAGGGCTTTAACTGCATTCTGTAAGTTTTAATACGTCTGTCTTCATTATTCATCTTAAGTGTTCTTTACTTTACCTTGTGATTTCTTCTTTGACTCATTGGTTGTTTAGCAGTATGTTTTTCAATTTTCACATATCTGTGAAATTCCCAAATGTATTTCTGTAATTCATTTCCAGTGTCACTCATTGTAATAAAATGCCCCTCTTTATCTCTTTTTTGTTTTAAGGTCTACTTTATCTGACATTAGTATAGCCATTCCAGCTTTCATTTGCATTAAGTGAACATTTTCTATTGTAATATTTTAATGCCTGTAATAGTTTTCTACTAAAATTTTTAGCTATATTCTTAGTAGTTGCTTTCAAGCTTACCATATACATCTTAACTATTAGGATCTACTATCAGATTTATACTAACTTTATTTCAATATAATATGAAAACTTTACTTCTATATAGCTCTATTCCCTCTTCTTTCTTTCTGTGGTATTGCTGTTATATGTATTACACCCATCTATGTCACAAACCCAATAATACCTTGTAAAACTTATTACTTTATATAATTTTATGTCTATTAAAAGTACTGAGAAATAAAGAGCAAGTGCATACTTCTAGAACTTGTTACATTTACCTCCTTTTTTCCCATTTCTGTTTCTCTTTATTTGTTCCTGTGGATTTAACATCTGGTTTCATTTCCTTACTCCAGTACAACTCTGCTTCTACCCAGCTCCTTTTTCTGTTCTTGTCAAATATACTATATTTCTATATGTTATAAGCACCACAATATAATTCTTTGCATATTGTTTTATATAATCACTTTGTAAACTATTAAAGAGAATAAAAAATAGCATTTATATTGTCTTTTATAGTTACACTATTAAATTTATTGGTGCTCTTTTTTTGCTCATGTGAATTTGAATTTTCATGTTGATAGACTTTTGGCCTGAAAAACTTTCTTTAGTATTTTTTTGTAAGGTGGATCTGCTAGCAATAAATCTCTCAGCTTTGGCATTTTTGGAATGTCTTTATTTTGCCTTCATTATTTGAAAAATAGTTTTGCTAGAAGTAAGATTCTTGGGTGACAAATATGCACTGGTTTTTTTCTTTCAGCACTTTGAATATCCTATTGCCTTCTGGGCTTCATTGTTTCTGATGTGGCGTCCTCTGCTAATCTTATTGAGGTTCTCCTGTATGTGATGGGTCATTTTTCTCTTGTTGCTTTCAAGATTTTCTCTGTCTTTCAACTTTTTTTTATGAAGTGCTTGGGTGTAGATTTCTTTCAATTTATCCTACTTGGAGTTTGTTGAGCTTCTTGAATTTGTGGATTAATGTCTTTTTTTTGCAAATTTGAAAAGCTTTTAGTCATTATTTCTGCAAATATTTTTATATTCCTTTCTTTTTCTCCATTCTTTCTGATTTCCCCATTACATATTTATTGGTGTACTTAAAGTTGTCTCACATTTCTGTGAGGTTGTATTCATTTTTCTACTTTCTATTAGTTATTACTGCTAGGTGTCACCTTTTTTTTTTCTCTCTCACACACGCATAAACATTAAATTTATCATCTTCTCACAGCACACAGTACCAGGATCCATGACTCCTCTTCAATGTATATATTAACATCAAATAATAGCGATAAATATAAGTCAGAAGAAAAATAGGATCTCTGGAAGCACCATTATGAAGTGGATTTGGAGACAGGTGATCTGAGTTTATTTCCCAGACCCACCACTTTTTGGCTACATAAATTTAGGAAAACTCATATCTTAATATATTAGAGATTGTCATCTGTGATATTGATGGTGAGGATAGAAATAGAAGCTGTCTCAGAAGCTTGCTGCAAGAAATAATTGTAAAGAGGTGGCAATAGTGTAGTGTATAAATAAATGAAAATGATAGCTAATAATATTTTTAGGTAGAAGAAATATGAGATACTTTAAAGCAGTACTCTCCAATAGAACTTTCTGTGAGGAAGAATATTTTCTGTCTGCCCTGTCCAAGAAAGTAGTCATTAGCCACAAGTGGCTGTTGAGCAACTGAAATGTAGCTAGTGTAAGTGAGAAATTGACATTTAAATTTGATTTAATTTTAATTTATTTAAATTTAAATAGTCAGATGTGGCAAGTGGCTACTGTATTGGGCAGTACAGAATTTAGGGCCATATATTAGACAATAAAAAATAGGAAAGGATTTCTCTTTTTGTTTTTGGAGCACCTGTTATTGGTGCCCTGTAAATGACCCCTTAGTTTTTATGATTCTTGAGCTGAGATAGTTCCTTAGGGCTAGAAAAAATGCCAGTAAATGTATAGACATCAGAATACTATGGCACAGACTTGACCAAGGATTAAAAGTATAGAAAAGTGTGTAAAATGAATTTATTAAGTAAGATTATTTATAAGATAAGTGAAACCACTAGCTAACTATATTTCCAGAGAGGGTCTAGGGGACACGTCCGTCATGTAAGTGGTAAGGCATTCACTAGGGAGAGAAACACTGGCATCATTGAGAAGCTCAGTAGTGGCAGTTTCCTGATACTTATAGAAGTGGGCTTGCTTCTGTCAATGGGAATAATGAACCAGGAGAGAGAAAACTGACAGCAGCACCAAGACATCAAAGGCAAGGCAGTTGTAATTACCTGGTTAGCATTAAGGCCAGTATGGGCCAAGGGGCCTTGACTTGCAGCAATCTGTGACAAAGGCATATAAAGCATGGTGAGTCTAGGGGTGAGATAGATGAGTAGTCAACGATGATGCTGTTTGTCTACTAAAACCACAAAAGATCGAGTAAGTGACCAAGGAGATTGAGGAGAGCCAGCAAAATAAAATAAAAAAATACAATTTTTCACCTAGCTTCCAGACATGAGCCAGTTCTTTGACCAAGACATCACACAGCTTTTCCCTTTAATGAAAGGACATTTCAAGTTCCCTTGAGGAAGAACCCTGCAATTCCACAGCAAGGGTATGTAGTAGCAGTTTCTCCATTCTTTCCCTGAAGGGCTTTATGGCTAATTGCCAAATAACTCTGGAAAGTGGAACACTGAGATCTTTCAATGGCTGTTAGTTACATAATCTCAGGTGACACTATAATCAGATGGCTCAAAAATGGCAACATGGCCCTTCTGATAGTATAGAAACTTGCAAAGGTGATAAATAGAGTCCTGGTACCAGTCTATCTCAGAGAGGTTCTAATGTGTTCATAGATACACCCTGTGATTTTTAAAAAAAATCTGTAAGTGCATTATTGGGATGAATATACCAAATGGTAGGAAAAGGAAAACACCTGGGTCTGATTCACAAACTAGTTTGGCTTATGTATTAGTCAGCTTTCTCCAGAGAAACAAAGTCAATAGAACATATGTATATGTATATGTGTGTGTGTGTGTGTGTATGTATGTATATGTAAAACACAATTTATTATAAGAAATTGGCTCACGTGATTCTAGAGGCTAGCAAGTTCATATCTGCCATGGAGACTGGAAGGACCAAGGCCAAGCAGAGCCAGTGGTATGATTCTCATCTGAAGGCTGCCTGCCTGGAAACCCAGGAGAACCAATGGTGCAGATGAAGTTTAAAGGCAATCTACCTGAGAATTCTCTCTTGCTTAGTGAGTCCATTTTTTTTTTGTTCTATTTGGGGTTTCAACTGATTGGGGGAGGCCTATCCACATTATAGAGGACAATCTGCAGTACTCAAAGTTCATTGATTTAAATGTTAGTTTCATCTCACAAAGTTGGCCCATAAAATTAATCATCACAACTTGATTACAATCGATGTGGGTTTAAATTGGAATGCTGCTTTACTACAGCCTCATTCAGGAGGAAATTTTCCTAGAAAAAAAAATGGTGATGGAAAAACTTCCCAGTGAGCAGAAAGCATACTATTAAGTTACATCTGTACCTAACATGGTCTGTAAATAAAAGTGGTCTTAGGTAAGAATATATATGGACCCCTGAGGAGAGACAAATGATTTGGTTGCTTTGTTAGTGGCTACAAGAAACAAGATTGGCCGTTTAGAAACAAAGAGGTCTGGAAAGCAAGATTTGAGTGGACCTATGGGAATGGGTGGTATCAATTTTATGCTATTCTAAGCTGAAAGTCTTGAAAATGTTGGTGTTCCCATGTCATTTATCACTAGTTTACAGCAGAGCAGGCATTGAACACAAGATGAATAGGATAATTCTTTAGATGGCATTTAGTGCGCATAATAGCCATGCTGACAGAGAGGAAGGCAGAGAAGGGTCCTCAAATAGGGGTTTGCTTTTACCAAAGTTGAACCAGCTACTGCTTCTGCTAAATGTCTTACCTGCTAGCATTACAGTCAGATGCTAAGCCCTCTACCGCTATATGGCACCATTCTCCAAGGAGAAAAACCAGCCAGATTTTGAAAGTTAATATATTATACCTCTTCTATCCCAGAAAGAACAGTAATTTGTTAATATTTAAATTAATGTGTATTTAGGGTATGGATTAGTCTTTTCTGCCCACAGTGGCTCAGCACCATCATCCAAGGTGGTTCTGACTTACCATGATGAGCTCTCCTTGGACCAAGTGGCCTGCACATGACCGTGAGATTTTCATCACCCAGAAGCTGATGATCTGATAGAACAATGGAAGGGCATCTTGTAGGCACAGCTAAGGTTCCAGAAGGGAAATGACATCTCTCACTATTGAAGCACTATTATTGAAAGCATGGCATATACTTTGAACCAAGTGCCATTGTGTGGAGCACTGTTCCAAACTACTAGAAAACGCAGATATAGAAAATAAGAAATAGAACTTAGAGTGACCCATTTTACCACCAATCCCCCATGATCCACTTGTACCGTGTGTATTTTCTATCTCCAAAATTTCACCTCTGAGGAACTAGAGGTCCTAGTTTTTTAGAATTGGGTTGGGTAGGGATTCTTCTATCAGAAGACGCAATAAGAGTCTAATAAACCTAAAGCTATAGCTGTCATCTGGTTATGAAGTCCCTCATGAGAGTGCAGAAACAGGAAAAGAACAAAATTACTATGCTGGCAGGGATTAATGTCCCTGATTGTCCTGAGGAGAGAAAAAATTGTGCTACATAATGAAGGCAAAAAGAAGAATGTCTTGAGCTCAGGGGGTCCATTGGGATATCTCCTGGTGCTTTCTTGCCCAGGAGTAATCATGATCGGGCAACTACAGCAAGCATAACTTTACAAAAGAATGTAACTAGAGGCTTAGACAACGTAGGAATAAAGGCCTGAGTTACCCCATAATGCAAGCAACATGCTAGATAAAGGATCTGGAATGGGTGGTAGAGGAGAAAGATGGGAGACATTAATATTTAGATAAACTGAAGCAACAAGGATAGTAACTTGTTCTACTAAACCTACTGTGTAAAATTTTCCTTTTAAAAAAATTAAAACTAGACACCACCTTGAAGCATTAACTCAACACAGTGAACTTAAAGGGGGGCACAAGTGGATCTGAATGGTGCAAGAGTTTAAGTATAGCTGATATTGATGATGCTCTGTCAGTATCCCTCCGGCACTTATTCATAAGCACACCAACCCAATAACTTCCAGCTACAAATGCTTGCAGCTCTTTATCTGGAGCCATTCATTCCACAGGCTAGAGATATCAGGTAGTAGCCCACCTCCTCAACAGCCTTCAACCAATGATTGACAGGAATTGGTGCATAAAATGCTCCTGGTACTTTGCTGGGGTTAGTAGTTAGGCATGTTGGGCTAACTCTGAGGCACATTTTACACTGTGTCCCTAAGCCTCAGTTGCCCACTGATGGTTATCTGCACAATAACACACCCTTTATTTGCTTCCTTCTCCTCCTTGACTCACTTCCCCATTTTCCTACAGGTGCTTTCTGGAATCATCTCCCAAATAAACTATTTGTACTATATCATTGACCCAATGTCTGCTTTGGGGAAACCCAAATAAAAATATTTCTACCTCTGAATCAAACCTCTGACTTCATGTTTCCTCTTTTGAAATGAGATAGAAACATTGAGGGAAAGAGAAAAATAGTAATGCAGAATAACTGAAAGAATGGAAGGGAAAATGGGGATGTTCTTCACTCCACGCACAGAGTGTTCTCCAGCGGTATTGTGGGTTCATGTGCTCAGAAAGGAGAAATATGAAAGAAGAGCTAGGCTCTGACCATTTCGCTCCATCAGACACTTACCCAACCCTCAAAATAACCCACAGAGAACACATCTGGTTGCCTGAAACTGTTACTACAATATAAGCTTTGTCAATTGGAGAAGGGGTCAGCTGCAAATAAACTGACTGCAGTCACTTGAATGCATAAGATTTGCTTTTATCAAATCATAAAATATGAGGCAGTGAATGCAGGTCTCTTCCAACTGCTTAGCAATAACGTCAAGAACCCAGACATGGTCTACTTTTGTGTTTCAGCATCTTTTGTACTTATGCTTGCCATCTTCTGTTTGTAATATAGCTGACACACCCTCATCTCACTTCTATTGCAGGCAGAAAGAAGGTCAAACAGGAAGGCATCGTAGTTATGCTGGGAAATCTAAACTTTCCCAGAAACCCTCAAGTATTTCTACTGGCTAGAACTATGTCTCATGGTCATCTGTACATGCAATAGACTATTGTTAGCTGGGTACATTACCACCCTGAATAAACAAGAAGGGATTTAGGAATTACTAGTAGGTCAACAATTACTTTCTGCCACATAAAGTGAACACGAGTAAAACTCAAATTATTTCACATTAGGGTTTGTGCATCTCTCTAAGGTCATTTTGTAAAATTAATTCCTGAGGACTGGACCCTAGGGATGAGTGCGTGACTATTCCTGTGTTTTCATGCAATTAGAGGGCTACCTACGTGGTGGATGTGTGTGTGTGTGTGTGTGTGTGTGTGTGTGTGTGTGTGTGTGTGTGTATTTGGAGAAGCAGGTAGGTATTATCTAACAGTATGCCAATATGTGACTAATATAAAAATGAAATCAATTAAAAACCCAGGATAACAAGCAGAGAAGGAGCCAGAAACACAAAGGCAAGAAGGTATAGAGCTCATGCAACAATCCAAACAATAGGACACTACTTTTTACCCAAATGCATAGCTGATTAGGCTTAATCACAGAAAGCAGAAGAGCTTTCAGGTGGGCCTTTTGAGCATAATTTATCTTCTGTAGTCTACGTATGAGGTTGAATGACTTTATAGAGTGAAAATTGAAGTCCTCAGTTTAACATCTTAAATCTCAACTTCAGAAAAACTGTCTTAGCCATCATGTTCTATTTGTGCACATATTGTGTTTGTGTGTGCATGTGTATGTGTATGCATGTATGCACCCTCACATACATGGCATTTTTTTAAAGTCAGAATATTCTGGAGTCAATCCTCATACTGATTTTCAATTCCTAAGGGATTTAGAGAGAATTCTGAGAAACGATTCCCTTGTACTCACCTGCAAAATTCACTTGTTGAAAGTAATGAAATCCCAGGAAGATATAACACCATTACGCTTCTGTTCTTTTCTTAGTTTCCAAAATATGTACAGAGTCTTTTGATCTCTCCAGACACACCAAAAACTGCCTATGGATAGAAAGATGATTCTTCCGAGATTCATAATTTTCCTTTTCTCTGAGTGTCTGTAGCTCTTACTATATGTACTGCACACACATGACAATGCAGAAAATATAAACATGGCTTCTTTTATTTAGAATTAAAAGTCTTCAGGAAATTCATTGGAATGGCAATAAGAAATGCACGCTGATACATTACTAATCTCTGCTGTAAAAAATGGAATTTACAGTAACATGATGTTTATACCTTGTGCTTCTGAGATGCAGAGACATGTGCCTCTTTTTGCCAGGGACTTTAAAGCAGAACTATTCCATTTCATGCTGATGGCATTGCAGCATCAGAGTACCAGTGAAATTGTTCAGGGTTTTCCAAACAAATTTCTAGATTTCATTATCAAAAAAATTGTCTGCCCATTCGTACTGCCTGTCTTAGTCCAAACTGACAGCATGAACTGGAGTGACTCCAAATCTGTTTCTGTAGGGATATCTCACAGAACACAATGGCAGTTACAGAATATATTTCAGAATTCCATTACATTACCTCATTGTTTAAAAAAAATCATAAGGAGTTCTTATTATTTTATTTTGTTGTTTTGCAAGAGAACTTCTAGAAAATTTGCATTTAAAATTTCCTGCCAGGAAAGGTGGAGTATAGTTACACCAGGTTTTCTGGAATACCAGACATGAGGACAAAAATTATAGATTTCCAGGTGCATCACCTGGGCTAATTATAATCTCATAGGCTGACTCAAATTTGCATAGGAATAAGTATAGTTCACATACCCACTACTCCATCATGTATTCAAAGTTGCTACAGGTTTGATATAGATTAGTTGTTTTCAGCTAGATATTTCAGCTTAGTCTTGTTACAGATTTCCTTCTAATCTACATCCTTTTTCCTAAGATCCCCCATAAAGTAAGACATTTTGTTATTTTGACCCACATGAAATTGTCATTTTTCTAAGTCAAAAGTGTTTGCATATAGATAATTTGATTTGGCTCATCCTAATATTTGGCCCTAACTAGAAAAATAACTTGAATTAACTATAACTGCCTCTCTTCCCTAAGAATTTACCCCAGAATCCTGACCTCTGAATGGTTCCAGATAACACACTCTTTATTTCATAATTCTCCTTGTAGGATACATAGTATTGCACAGGGATTTGGACAATTGTGGCTTAAATGGTGGTTCTTCCATTTCCATAGTCTTAGGTTACTTACTAATAATGGTTCCAATGCTATTGGTAGTGGTTGTCATGGGTTTTTATGAGGTTTACAGATTAGGAAACTGAGGCAACTGTGATGAGAATGATTCCTATAGTTATCATTTAGGCAAGGACGATGTCAACCTCAAGTCCTTCTCATGCTCACCTCTGTTGCCTAACTCCAACAGGGCTGTGAGGTCTGTAACTGCTCACAATCAATCACAGTGCTTCAGTCTACACAATTCAAATGATTTGTCCTCACTTGTCATCTCTAAATGTGAATAATAATTGTATCTACTTCATAGTATTGGTGTGAGGATTAAGATAGTCAATACATGTGAAATATTTAGAGTAGTGTTTGTATTGGAAAAATGCTATGTGTGCTGGATATTATTGTTAGATTTTTTTATTCAAAAGCCTCCTGCTCTGGGAAGGTGAAACCTGATGAAATAAAAAAAGCCTTACACTGGAATTTTATTACAGTGAGTTTTCATATGCATGAAAATAACAATATTAAAAATACAACTAAAGATAGATTATGAGTAGGTGTATAACATTCTGCCATAATAGTGATCTTATGCTTCACCATCCAGGGAGTTCATCCATATTCCTTTTTGTTTATGGTCTTATGTTGGGTAGAGGAATAATTTTAGGAAGTCATAAAAAAGCCAAGGTTTTTATCATAGCACCTGGAAGCAAGCATACCGTGGAGGAACCATTCACCACCTTTGGTGCCAAAACACCTCAAGTCCTTTCACTGCCATGACTGTGGTCTTGGACATCACTGAGCCAGCCATTGCCAATCCAGCATGTCTGTTTGATGGTGCAGTGTTTTAGGTATTGAGATCATCGATGAGTTCTCTGGCTGCATCTCACAACTAGTGCTTTTTACAAGGCCTGTAGGATTGGAGCTGTTGGTCTCTGGGCTCATTCATATGGCCACATATGAAATGCTCAAAAAGGACAGATGGGAGCAACTTTGGCAGCTTCTGGTTTACAGTGTATTACTAATAGACTGCTTCATCCAAAGACCAAAAACAGTACCTAAGTAAGACTGTGTTATCAGCCTGCTTATAGATAAGTCTTAGCTTGTAAGATAATCATATGTACTTTCCCAGCCATATAATAATTGCTGCTATTTTATATATCTGTTGCCAAAAATACTTGATTCTCTAGTTACCAACAATTTGCTTCTGAGTTACTAAAAATGTCTAAATGTAACTGTTGAAGTTGCGATTGATTAGGTGAGACTCTTTCTGTTGAGGCTCCAGGAAGCAGGGGAGTCAAGTTGATGAGGGATGGATCATGGAATTGCAAGCCCAGGGTGGGAGTAAATGGCCTGGTTCATGTACATTCTGTACAGCTGTTGTAGAGATGCTATTTCCCAGTTTCTCATGGGAATAAGATGCCTAGTTGGGGAAGAGATGAAGTTTGTGAGCAAAACAAGTGAAAGAGTGGAGATTATATTTATGTTGTGATAGTGAAGTATTGCCTTAGATGGAAAGAACAGTGAGGGCAAAAACCAGTGGAATTTGATAGAATGAGGTGAGTAGAAAGGCTTAGTATGTGAGCTGAGGCAATTCAAGATCTGTATCTACAGAAGCTGGGAAAGTAGCATTCATAAGACCTTCATAAGACAAAGGATCAGTGCGTTTTCTTTGTTGTAAATATAATAGTTCCTTAAAGAAATGAATTAGGTCAGATAACAAAAGCTTAAACTTGAAAGTTGCATAAGAAAAGTCCCATAGTAAGAAAATAGATTGGTATATCTTTAAAAAAATTTATTATACTTTTAGTTATGGGATACATGTGCAGAATGTGTGGGTTTGTTACATAGGTATACACGTCCCATGGTGGTATGCTGCACCTATCAATCTATCATCTACATTAGGTATCTGTCCTAATGCTCTCCCTCCCCTACCCGCACCCTCTGACAGGCCCCAGTGTGCGATGTTCCCTTCCCTGTGTCCATGTGTTCTCATTGTTCGACTCCCACTTATGATCGAGAACACCCAGTGTTTGGTTTTCTGTTCCTGTGGTAGTTTGCTGAGAATGATGGTTTCCAGCTACATCCATGTCCCTGTAAAGGACATGAACTCATACTTTTTTATGGCTGCATAGTATTCCATGGTATATATGTGCCACATATTCTTTATCCAGTCTATCATTGATGGGCATTTGGGTTGACTCCATGTCTTTGCTATTGTGAATAGTGCTGCAATATACATATGTGTGCATGTGTCTTTATAGTAGAATTATTTATAATCCCCAGAGTAATTTATAGATGCAGTGCTATCCCCATCAAGCTACCAGTGACTTTCTTCACAGAATTAGAAAAAACTACTTTAAATTTCATATGGAACAAAAAGGAGCCCATATAGCCAAGACAATCCTAAGCAAAAAGAACAAACCTGGAGGCATCACGCTACCTGACTTCAAACTATGCTACAAGGCTACAGTAACCAAAACAGCATGGTAATGGTACCAAAACAGATATATAGACCAATGGAACAGAACAGAACAGAAACATCAGAAATAACGCCACACATCTACAATCATCTGATCTTTGACAAACCTGACAAAAACAAGTAATGAGGTAAGCATTCCCTATTTAATAAGTGGTGTTGGGAAAACTGGCTAGCCATATGAAGAAAACTGAAACTGGAGCCCTTTGTTACACCTTATACAAAAATTAACTCAAGGTGGATTAAAGACTTAAACGTAAAACCTAAAACCATAAAAACCCTAGAAGAAAACCTAGGCAATACCATTCAGGACATAGGAATGGGCAAAGAGTTCATGACTAAAACACGAAAAGCAATGGCAACAAAAGCCAAAATTTGACAAATGGGGTCTAATTAAACTAAAGCACTTCTGGTTCGGCAAAAGAAACTATCATCAGAGTGAACAGGCAACCTACAGAATGGGAGAAAATTTTTGCAATCTATCTATCTGACAAAGGGTATACTTTTAATAAATGACATTTCCTCCAAATTTCTTTTCATGAGTTAAAACTGGAGGTTAAAAAATCAGTGAAAAAGAAAGGTAACAATGTCAAAATAACATAGTAAGAAACACATCCTCAGCTGAACAAACTGTAACGAATCGGCTTTCTTTTTTGATGTCAGGGGCAAAGTTCACCCAAGACTGGAATTCCTGTTGATGCCTAATAAAAGGTTGCAGAATTCTTAGGCCTGGAAAACTCAGTGTTGAACTGAAGCAGATTTCTTAGTTGCAGAGCTTCTCAGAGTCTTTACTAATTTCTAATAGAAGCCTATAAAACACATTTCCCAGATTTGATAATAGCAGACCCATCAGTAGGGACTAATGTTTTCCCAACACATTTTCAGAAATGTTATTCAAGAGGTCTCAGCAATTCTCCTTTATGAGCCTCAGGATATCTTAATAGGCCTCATTAGATTGTCGCTATTATTGTGTGTGAAACACTTTACACATATTATTTTTAATTCATAACTCTCATGTATGCAGGCATTATTAGTGCCTGTTATAATTAAGGAAAGAAATTCGGAGAGGTTAATGGATCCATCCAAAGCCACACAGCTAGTAAATGAGCTGTGTTTTAAACATAGATCTGCCTCAGTCTACTGCTTTTTTTTCCCCTCCTGTATAAATACAATTTCTTTCTTCATAAATATTGTTGAATTCCATAGGTGCTCACTCTGTATTTGCAGAAGAAGATGGTATTCTTCTATCTTTTAGAATTAATTACAGTAAAGAATACACTTTTGATAAATTTAATGCTTAATTTAAATAGCTATTGTAGAAGGCCGACTGTTAAAAAAAAACCAACAAAGGAATGAAATCATTCCACATGAAGCAGGATGTAACCAAATTGTGTTGCTGAGTAAGACTTGAAAATAATTTTCAAGGCCGCATTAATGCATCATCTACTGGCTTTCCCCTGGCTTCTGCTGTTACTTTGCCAGATTCAGATTTGATTTAATAAGCAACAGCTTAAGAATAACCATTTATGAGCTATCCTTGCAATGCTCAGAAACATGTTCAACTTGAAAGCATCTTGGAGACTTTGTTGAACCAGAAGGACCATATCCTGCGCATTTCTTATTTTGCCCTGAAATAAAACCTCTACTTTTCTTGTCCTTGCACTCTTACTTGTAAAACCTGGCCTATAAGCTTAAATATGTTTTCCTGCAGGAACAATCCTTGCTACTTTACCTTTGCTTCAACCACACTAAATGGTTGACAAAGCACAACTGCCAACTTTAATGGGCTTTGCCTCCCCAGCCACTCCTCTCTTTACGACAAGGGTCGTCATATTCCAAATGGATGGTTTCTAAAGAGAACCACTCTATCAGCTTACTTTTCTAACTCTAGTGCTATCAAGTTAAAAAAAAAAATAGTCTCCTTTTCTTTTTTTCCAACTGCAGTGTGATTTTTTCCTTTTATTTTATGATTTCAGAATGCCTGATTATTATAAACTGTTCAAGTTTTCTATCTTACATCACAAGAAGTCCTCTGACTTAAATTGTAACTCTTTATCTTGATTCTGTTTCCACCATAAGTGTGGAATTCTGAGGCTGTTAGATTATACTTTTTGAGGCCAGTTTCCTATTTCTAAGACCGTTCAGGGTCTAAGAGAACAGATTGAGAAATTCATCGAAGATTATGGGGTGTTCAATCAAAGTACCTCTTCTTTGAAGTTTCTTTCATATTTACTACAATGCCTTTTCTTTTTCTAATTTTGTTTTATTGTGGTAAGATAATCTTCTTAATAAAGTTTTAAGTGTATAATATATTATTGCTGACTGTAGGTTGAATGCAGTACAGCAGATATCTAGAGCTTATTTATTTTGCTTAATTAAAACTTCATACCCATTGATTAGTCACATGGAACAATATTCTGTGATAGGAGGTGGGAAAGGTTGGAGAAAAGGGAGATAGTGACCTGGGAATGTAAGTAGAATGGCCAGATAAAATACAGAATGCACAGTTAACTTTGAAATTCAGATAACAATGAAATTTTTTCTTCTATAAGTATGTCCCATGCAATATTTGAAACATACTTATACTAAAAATTTCTTCATTGTTTATGTAAACTTCAAAGTTAATTGTTGTCCTGTATTTGTATTTGCTAAATCTGCAGCCCTACATATGGGAGAAGTCTTGGTACAGAGGGCAGGAGGTGGTCATGAGTGAGAAAAACTGCGTGTGGAGCTGGGTACATCTGGAAGGAGTTGGAACAGGAAGACTCTAGAGGCCAGAATGACTATGGGGTGAGCATAAAAAGGGAGGAAAGAAAACCTGCTTCTTAGTTTCTACAGTTACACTTCATGAGAATATTTAGGAAATAAAATGAAAATAACAATCATTTTTATAAACAAATAGACAAAACATCAAATGTTAATGTTTTATCACATTCCCATATAAAACACCAAATGTGGGCTTTTATAAATTCTGAATTCAAACTGGTTAGTTTTATTTTTACAAATCATTTCTCATTTTATCTGAAATAGTAACATCAGAACTGTGTTTTGTAAAGTTTATTTTTTTAGTAAAATTGCATGTCTTTGGAAAATAGTTTATGTTCTAGGATTTGTTTCAAGATAATTTATAGGGTTTGCCCTGTATATTTCTTCCCCACACCTGTATTCTAAGCACATAGCTGACACTTTTGCAGATAGACCTCTGAGATGAATCCTCAGTTTCCGCCTGGCTAGGAAAAGCCTAAAAAGATAAATGCTAAGATTGCTTATGAGGACTAGAGACAGAGGAAGTGACTATCAGAGCAACAGGGATGAAGAAGAAAAATATTTCCCAGGAAAGAAAAAGAGATGGAGGAGGAGAATGGTAGGGTGAGGACTGGCATATTTCCTTGTGGTAGTACTCTGCCTGCAGACTGGTGAGTGTATGATTTCCTTGAGATATGGCTTGGGGAGGTTTATCCCCAGGGTGGACATAGAGATCCCCAGCCTTCCAAAGTACATCAAACAGCTCAAGTAGAAATGGAGCACAGGTAGACCTGAAGGCAGCCTGAGCACTAGGCCTGCTGTGCCTCAGTAGTAACCATGACAGACTGATAGCTGATGACCCAGGGGCTTCCTCATTTCCAGATATTACCTAAGACCTGGGAACCTTTGCATAACACTGGGTGGAGGGCGTGGTCCACATACCTCTGATTAAGTTTCCCACCAGCACAGCAGATATCTAGAGCTTATTTAGATAAGGTGAGATGAATCAGAATTAAGTTGATTTGAGAAAAAGAAAGTGAAATTTCTTGCACACATGTGGCCTAAGATTTATGCCCATGCTTCATATTTGCTTAATTTGAATTCCACATTTACCAATTACTAGGAGGAAACCTTTTTTTTCCTGATAATTATGCCTAAGGTATCATGATATGAAATACTAATTTTATAAATTTTTTCTAAGATACTGTAGGTAATAGAGAAATTCCCAAATTGCTTGATTTTGATTCAGGTAGGCCAGGCTGTAACTAATTGTGTTCTTTCTAAGATTTGAGAATAATTGAATCTGTTTTTGCTTTTTGCCAAGTCCTCGAGAGTAGTGCTCAATATAATAATATTTTCCTAGCATTACTTCAGCAGTCAAACAAGAATATAATCCAAAAAGTCCCCTGTATTCACAATGACAATGCTCTTATGATGAAACCACAGAAAGAAGTTGTAATTAATGCAAGGAATAATGTGAACAATCTATTAACATAATCTGAATGAAATCCTTGCACAGTTAAATGCAGACACTAAGTGCTCATATAATACTTTATTAATTAACAAAGTATTTATCCACAGGGAAATGAGGATAAGAGACCACACACTTTGTCAGACTACAGGAAAATGTATTAGTGCTTCATAAGAAATGCATACAATTCAAACAATAGCATGATTATCTTTTTAAAGCAATTACATTTAATCTCAGAAGAAAGAATAAATACATTAATTCTTCCATGTTCCCTGATAAGCCACCAAGATACATAAGCGATCATTTTCTTTTCCTACAGCTCTGGAGGCTGGTGACAATTCAGCGTGTGCTGCTTAGACAACTTTTATAGTGAAATACCACTTAGCACACAAAAACACATTATGAGATTAACTGACTTTTGGCTGAATAGAGTTCTCTTCCCTGGGAAGCTGTGGTTTGTACTTAACTTTGCACATTCCTTTCAGCTTTGGAGACTTGAATGATGAGAAGGTGGATGCTTTAGTCTGGTTAGTATTGTTAAAACAGAATACCGGAGGCTGGGTAATTTATGAAGAAAATAGTTTTATTTAACTCATGGCTCTGCATGCTGGGAAGTTCAAGAGCATGGTGCTGATTTCTAGAGAGGCTTTCATGCTGCATCATAGCATGACAGAAGGTCAACAGGGGAGTGGATGTGAAGAAGGGGCCAAATAGGTAAAGGAAACTTGCTTTAAAACAAATTACTCTTGTGGGAACTAGTCCATATCTGTGACAGCAAGAGCTCACTTTTCAAGAAGACCTTAACCTATTCATAGGGATACACCCCCGTGACTCAAACACCTCTGACTAGGCCCCACCTTCAATACTGCTACACTGGCAATAAAACTTCAATATGAATTTTGACAGGAACAAACCACATCCAAACCATAGCAGTGGATTGCCTATAATAATGGTGTTTGGTGTTGAATTCCAAGTCTGTTTTTTCTTGTTGTTGTTGTTTTTTATCTTGATGTGCTGGGCTAAACCAAGTACCATCACCAAAAATGTCTTCTACCTTTAAAGCTCCAAATGGAAGTCAAAGTAGTTAGCACCATGATTTCTTTCTTTTGGCCTCACTCAGCGATTCTTGACCTTCCAGACCTGGGAGCTGATAAGCAGAAGGTCCACCCTGCATCATATTAGCAGATTGTGACATTATATGATGATCTACTTACAGGCCTTGTGGCCAACAACTAATAAGACAGAGTTTTGGCCAACATGGCTCTTATTTATCACCTCCTAAGCCATAACCTGATTATCATAGCTCCAGTTTCCAGCCCCATACCAGTCTCTTGTCAATCAGTATCAGAAGGCCTGCTCTAACTTCTCTTATGGTTGCTTCATAGCTGTCTCCAATCGCTACTGGCTTCTCAGAAATATCCCTTTCCAGTTTAACCCAGGGACCGAGACCCAGAGTACTACGTGCCCTCAGATGTCATAACTCCTCACTGGGTTTGCAGCAGATAGATGAGAGCTGGTGTAAGACTACAATGGTAAGAAATATATCCTGAATAAGACGTTCAATAGGATAAGGCATAGAATCAAGAGACCTAAGTCCTCTATGTCATATGATATGACATTGAGAAAATAATTCAACCTTTAAGGCTTCTGTTTATGAGATCCATAAAATGGCTATATTAATTATTTTTCTGTTGTCTCCCAGGGACTGTTGTGATGAAGAATTATTACTATATATGTGAAAGGGTTTTGTTTTTTTGAAAAATACAGAATGTTAAACAAATGCATTGCATCATTGCATTAAGTCAGCCCTTCATAATGTTCTTCCTAAAGCATGTCCATCAACCATCACAATGCATCATGGAAAAAAATGCTATAAATGTTACATGATCTAATACATTTGGCAAAAACTGCCTATGGTATCTTCTTCTAAAAGATGGATGATGCTTGTTGGCATAATGAAGATTCTGAAAATTCCTATCAAAAAGACATTTGTTAAATTTTGGTTAACTCAATGTTTTCCTTACTTCTTTGACCATTGAACTTTTTAAAAAAACGGCATTAGCCATGAGAGGAAAAGACATAAAAATATAAAACAACAAATATTTCATGGAACCAGTTTTCTATAAAGCATCATTTAAGAAGCTGGGTAGAAAACTATTTCAAATGAGACCCTGAAATGAAATGTGAAGACATCATAGTTTTTAAAAGAAAAGTTGCTTATTTTTATATATGCATTCTTAGGCTAAAGCTTGAATCGTGTCAATATGAAATAAAAAGGCACCCTATGTTGTTTTCCACCAAGTTTTATAGGCTTTCCATTCATCGATTTAAATATTATGATCATGATATTTATAATGATGTTTCTAGGTAAAGGACAAGGAGACCGTCAGAAATTCTCACATTCCTAGTTGTTGCCACAACTTCCTCCCCAACCACCCCAGTGAAAAGCAAACATCGGAAAGGAGGAGCTATGGGGAAAAGTGAACAAATCCTTTCAACCAGCCCTATATGTCAGGACACGACTAAATAACTATACCTGAAATAATGCTCAGTTCTTATCAGCTACTTTGTCCTCTTATCCAAGTAAAATTATAAGATCAGTATTATTTTCAAAATCTGGTAACCAGAGGACAGCAATGGGCCAGGTTTTGAGTTTGGTTTCTGTGCAACTTATCACTTCATCTCACTTCTCTGACTCCATTTTCCTTACTCATTTTTCTCGTTGTGTCTTCTTTTGCTTTTCTTTAGCAACTCTATTTCTTTGTTTGTTTGTTTGTTTGTTTTTTAGATATCATTGATTGTAAGGTATACCATGGATTTAGTAATAGCTTGGGCAGAAAGAAAGTAGATATAGTGATTTTTTACAGATCAATTCTGTAAATCATATGATTTTATAAATTTATTTGAATGAAATGGGATCTAATTAAACTAAAGAGCTTCTGCACAGCAAAAGAAACTACCATCAGAGTGAACAGGCAACCCACAAAATGGGAGAAAATTTTCGCAACCTACTCATCTGACAAAGGGCTAATATCCAGAATCTACAATGAACTCAAACAAATTTACAAGAAAAAAACAAACAACCCCATCAAAAAGTGGGCGAAGGACATGAACAGACACTTCTCAAAAGAAGACATTTATGCAGCCAAAAAACACATGAAAAAATGCTCACCATCACTGGCCATCAGAGAAATGCAAATCAAAACCACAATGAGATACCATCTCACACCAGTTAGAATGGCAATCATTAAAAAGTCAGGAAACAACAGGTGCTGGAGAGGATGTGGAGAAATAGGAACACTTTTACACTGTTGGTGGGACTGTAAACTAGTTCAACCATTGTGGAAGTCAGTGTGGCGATTCCTCAGGGATCTAGAACTGGAAATACCATTTGACCCAGCCATCCCATTACTGGGTATATACCCAAAGGACTATAAATCATGCTGCTATAAAGACACCTGCACACATATGTTTATTGCGGCATTATTCACAATAGCAAAGACTTGGAACCAACACAAATGTCCAACAATGATAGACTGGATTAAGAAAATGTGGCACATATACACCATGGAATACTATGCAGCCATAAAAAAGGATGAGTTCATGTCCTTTGTAGGGACATGGTTGAAATTGGAAATCATCATTCTCAGTAAACTATCGCAAGAACAAAAAACCAAACACCGCATATTCTCACTCATAGGTGGGAATTGAACAATGAGAACACATGGACACAGGAAGGGGAACCTCACACTCTGGGGACTGTTGTGGGGTGGGGGGAGGAGGGAGGGATAGCATTGGGAGATATACCTAATGCTAGATGATGAGTTAGTGGGTGCAGTGCACCAGCATGGCACATGTATACATATGTAACTAACCTGCACAATGTGCACATGTACCCTAAAACTTAAAGTATAATAAAAAATATATATATTAAAAAAAGAGAAAAAAAATCATAAAGTACTTGCTATTATACCAAACTCAATTCTAAGCCCTTTTTATTTATTAACTCATTTACTCTTCATAATTACTTGATCATAGATACTCTTGTCTTTATTTACAGATGAAGAAACTGAAGCAGAGAAATAAGGAATTTGTCCAAATCTCACAGCAAGTAAGTGGTAGAGGCTGTATTCAAACTCAGCAATTCTTTCCACTGCCCTATTTGATCTCAAAAATCATTCCGAGCCTCAAAAAATAGATTATAGCTGATAAACTATATTCCTGTTTTATACATCATAAAGTGTAATGAAGATTAGAACAGCATAATGAGTAACCTACAATCAATGATTTAGCTTTATATCTTACAGATATATATTAGACTTCTACTGTGTGCATTCTGGTGCAGATTGTCCTTGGGGGAGTAAAGAGGTTCTGCCTCAAGGTGGTTACAGTTATGCTGGGGAAAAATAAGATATACACATGTAAACCAAAGTGTGAGAGAGGACTGCCCTTTGGAATGCTGCCACATATGCTGTTTACAGATACTTCTTTTATGGTTCCAGTTTCTTGCCTAAGATCATACAGTGATAATAGCAGGACTTGACAGTTTATTATTTTTTAAAACAATATAATATTTAAAATAAGTTAGATTTATTCAGTTCAGAATGTATGAAAGTTTTTACCAAAGAACAAGTGACTGCTTTATAGTCTTCATTGCAACCTGTTTTTTCAATGACCTCATTCCTAAAATGAATTTCAAAAATGCCTTTCAGACATTCTATTTTGGTAGAGAACTTCTCTTAGTGGTCTTTTGACCTAATAAGCTGCAATGATATTACTGCTAATCAGAAATAGCAAGTATATGATTACAATACATTAGTGGGAATATGAAGCCAGTAACACTGAATTTTATTGACATGCTGGAGAAAGTTGTCTTCTGTATAATTGAAAAAGTTGCATGGTATATTTTCCCACATGGACAACAAGCTGTCTAGGTAAAGGAATTCAGTGGGATTCTGAGAAATGTGGTACATATAGTTAGAGATCAGTTTTTTCTTGTTCATTCTGGAAACTGGCTTTACTCAGGAGAGATCTTGAGATTCCTGCAGTCAAAATTGTATGTCCCAACACCTTACACTGACGGCTGAAGTGATCCAGCATTATCATCACTCCTTCACGTGATGTGACTGTATCTGGGAGAATCGACTCTCTAACTAGATAATACATTAAGTAGAATTGATTTATGTCAAAATTTTATCTTTAGACAAAGCTGAGTAGAAATGAAGTAGAGAGATTAAAGTCTGGCACATTTTGAGGATGGGATAGCCTCATAGAAGGAGAAAAGGCCTATTAAAGATTGTTTGAAGCAGCTAAAATCAGAATTATAGTAATTCTCACACTAGTTCCCAAGTTCTTTGTGCAGTCACAAAAAGTCTCTATTAATTGTACTCATTAGAAGTCACTACTTTATGTCAGTGATGCTAGAAAATGAATCTGCTTGGAAGACTTCAAATTCAACATAGCCAGGACCTTGTCTTCAAGGAGGACTTTGCAGATGCTTCCAGAGAGGTAGCTTTGTTATACGTTCTTAGTAAGCCCTGAATTTCTCAGCATTTGCCACAATTATAGAAATTAGTTTAAGCTGGCAACACCAGGATCTCTATGTTTCCAAATCCCCAACCCTCTGGAGTTACTCTTTTCTTTACCATTAATATAGTCAATTTGACTTTCTGTGTCCTCGAGGTAAGTGTAACAACCTATCCTATATCATTCAGAATTCCCATGAAAGTAAAATTTACATTCTCTTGGGATCCCTCACTTCCTGGTCAGAAGGCTACTCCCATCTCAATTTTGATCAGCTTTCACCTTTTAATTACCACTCCCACTCACAGCTCTCACCCTCTTGCCTTTGTTTTCTAAGTAGGATGACAAGCCATCTGGGTTTGCCTTGAATGTGGGACTTTCTGGGCTAACAGTGGAAAAGTCCTAAGCAAACTCAAACACCGTGCTCACCTTATTCTCTAAGAAACCAGTATGTTTTCATCATTTTAATAGAAGTGACTGCAAATTCAAGGTGAGGTTAGGCTCAACTTCATTATTTAAGATACTATGAAAGGAAGCATTATGGGGTCAGTTATATATGGCCTTACTTTTTGTGTCAGTCATCATAATCCTGACTCTTACCACTGTGTGGTTCAAACATCCACCAGCCTGCTGTGTGGGCAAATTTCGTTAGTCTCCAGGGATTATTAAGATGAACAGTGTCTTGTCCTCATAGAGCCAACTGTTTATATATTAACAATGAAAAATTCATGTCATATGAACTGTAGTAGAAATGTATGCATGGTGCAATGTAACATAGAAGAAAATCTTATTAAATCTGCCTGGGGGATAATTCTGCACTATCTCTCATACATAAAGCTCAACATAAGGCCCTAAGGATGATATCAGTGTTCAATAATGTTATCCTTTATCCCTACTCCAAAGCTATGTTCTAGCCTAAAAGCACTTTTCTTTTAAAATTCTGTTTGCTACAGAATTTTAGCTGTCATCAGTAGTGTGGTGACAAACAGGTTCCCCCTTCCCAAATAAAGTCTTCATATATAGCGTTTACTAATTTCCATGGTGTAAACATTTTCATCATGGCCAATTTCAAGCTGCAACACTTTAACAACTGGTCAAGAAAATTGCTGAATATTTAATTCACTATTTTGAGCATATATAAGCCAGCTCCCACACACCGTTGGCATAATCTGGTAAGATTATCCTAATCAGTATATCTTTAAGTATTTTTACACTTAAAAGAACTTTTAAAATTTAGGATTTTATGAAGATTATTCATTCAACAAGTATTATTTTTTCTCTTACTATGTGCCCAGTCCTTTTATAGGTGCTGGAGATGGAGCAAGAAACAAAACAAACATGGCTCCTGCCATTATGGTGTTTCTGATCTAGCGGACAATGATGACTATAATGGAGAAAAATAAAGTGGGGCAAGGAGGGCACTGAGATATTATAGGAAGTACTACTTTGTATGTGATGATCAGGGAAATTCTTATTGATCAGATCACATTTCAGCAAGGTTTAAAAAGAAGTAATGTAGAAAGTCATGCAGATATCTGGAAGAGGACACTGAGGGTGTAAAGACTCTGAAGGAGAAGTGTGCTTGGCATGTTTGAGAAAGAGCAAGAAGACTACTGTGTCCTCATTGGAAAGAGTAAGGAATACAGTGGTAGGGAATCAGGTAATAGAGGTATATACAGGTAAGATGGGAGGATACATACTATGGATTAGTATAATTTATTAAATGCCTACTTCGTGGCCATAGAAATGGTAAGAGTATAAAGATACTGTTTTATTTAATCTTTACAAGCCTTTGGGAGAGTTATTATCATGCCACTCCCTTACCAGTGATGAATTTGAGGCTTAGAATAGTATTTTAGTTTGAGTTACCCAAGAAGCAAATCCTAAACAAAGGGTCTGAGTTCAAGTAATTTACTTGGGAGCTGATTGCAGAAGATGCCAGCAGGAAATGTGGAAAGTGAGTCAGGGAAGGAAGGAGAACAGAAAAATGATGAGACAACTATCACTGTGGACAACTGGAGCTTAATACCACTGGAGAATCCTAGAAGCTAGTGTAGAAGCATGACCCTCAGAGTTATCTCACTGAGGTGTTACAGAAATGGAATATGCATACCCCAAACTCCTATCAGTTATAGGCTGGTGCTATTCCCAAAGGGTGCTAATTATCTGTACTTTCAGCCTACTGTACATTTGAACATGTTATCCAGTCACCAGAAGAAACATTTAGACAAAGATTGACAGGGGACAACAGTTAGTAGTGCTAGGTGCCCAAAAGTGTTAATTCCAAAGAAGTTATGGGTGGGATACTGGGAACATTGACTACAAAGACTTAAGTAACTGGTATTTCTCAGAATCAGAATTTGCACACTAACCCATACTACAGTGCTGGTGGAAGAACTTAAAAGATTATTAGGATCTCAACTGGGCCTACCTTTGTGTTACAGGGAAGGGAAATATGTTTTATTTCATAGAAATCAATATACCCCTCCCATTTTGAATACTAGTACTGATTCATAATGAATATTACAACTAGTTTTCATCAATAACCCCAAAATGTGACTAAGAATTATCATGGGTTTTATTTGAAAGTGATTGCCAATATAAAGAACATTTAGAGATGATGAGTTTTTTTTCATATGTTTGTTGGCCACATAAATGCCTTCTTTTGAGAAGTGTCTGTTCATATCCTTTGCCCACTTTTTGGTGGGGTTGTTGGTTTTTTTCTTGTAAATTTCTTTAAGTTCTTTGTAGATTCTGGACATTCGCCTTTTGTCAGATGGATAGGTTGCAAAAATTTCCTCCCATTCTGTAGGTTGCCCGTTTACTTTGATTACAGTTTCTTTTGCTCTGCAGAAACTTTTTAGTTTAATTAGATCCCATTTGTCAATTTTGGCTTTTGTTGCCATTGCTTTTCATGTTTTAGTTATGAAGTCTTTGCCCATGCCTATTCCCTGAGTGGTATTGCCTAGGTTTTCTTCTAGGGTTTTTATGGTTTTAGGTCTTGCATTCAAGTCTTTAATCCATCTTGAGTTAATTTTTGTTAAGGTGTAAGAAAGTGATCCACTTTCAGTTTTCTGCATATGGCTAGCCAGTTTTCCCAACACCATTTATTAAATAGGGAGTCCTTTCCTTATTGCTTGCTTTTGTGAGGTTTGTCAAAGATCAAATGGTTGTAGATGTGTGGTGTTATTTCTGAGGCCTCTGTTCTGGTCTATTGGTCTATGTCTGTGTTTTGGTACCAGTACCATGCTGTTTTGGTTACTGTAGCCTTGTAGTGTAGTTTGAAGTCAGTTAGCATGATGCCTCCAGGTTTGTTCTTTTTGCTTAGGATTGTCTTGGCTAAAAGAAATGCAAATCAAAACCACAATGAGATACCATTTCACACCAGTTAGAATGGCTATCATTAAAAAGTCAGGAAACAACAGATGCTAGAGAGGATGTGGAGAAATAGAAACGTTTTTATAGAGTTGGTGGAAGTGTAAATTAGTTCAACCATTGTGGAAGACATTGTGGTGATTCCTCAAGGATCTAGAACCAGAAATACCATTTAACCCAGCAATCCCATTACTGGGTATATATTCAAAGGATTATAAATCATTCCACTATAAAGACACATGCACACATATGTTTATTACAGCACTGTTCACAATACCAAAGACTTGGAACCAACTCAAATGCCCATCAATGATAGACTGGATTAAGAAAATGTGGCATATATACATCATGGAATACTATGCAGTCATAAAGAAGAAGGATTCATGTCCTTTGCAGTGACATGGATGAAGCTGGAAACCATCGTTCTCAGCAAACTAACACAGGAACAGAAACCAAACATGGCATGTTCTCACTCACAAGTGGGAATTGAACAATGAGAACACAAGAGACAGGGAGGGGAACATCACACACCGGGGCCTGTCAGGGGGTAGGGGGCTAGCAGAGGGATAGCATTAGGAGAAATACCTAATGTAGATGATGGGTTGATGGGTGCAGCAAACCACCATGGCACGTGTATATCTATGTAACAAAACTGCACATTCCACACATGTATCCCAGAACTTAAAGTATAATAAATAAATTAAAAAATAAAAAAAGAGAACATTTAGGAAAGATCAGTGAGGAGTTTTTCTTGAAATCTAAAATCACAGTAATTTAAATAGATCAGAAATTTCCACCAGCAATGGTGCCAAAGACACAGGAGTTACTTGATATCACTGGAGATTAAATTTGTTCTTCTCTCTCCGTTACAGTGTTAGCACAGTTCAGAGGACCAAGAAGCTGAGGGATAGTGCAATGTGAGGCAGTACCCTTAATGGTAAGAGAAAGGGGAGGGTTGGAATATTGCATTAAAAAAGAGAACTGAGACATTTTCAATGAAGAGTTGCTATGTTTGTCCGAGGTCTCACCATGTCCGCATATAAATAGATATGAAGCAGCTCTGGCTTTCAGAGAGCAGCCCAAGTGTGCCTGTGGTCTCTCAGCTCATCCATACGTGACACTTCAAAAAAAGAGATGGAGAGTGGAAGTGACTGGAAAGAACCCTTTGGGTTATACTGATCATTGCCATGTGCTCCACAAAACTCCACTATCTGAAAGGTAGTGGTCAGGAATTCAAAGAAAATCCTATAGAGAGTGTGATACAGAAGGTTTTGCATAAATTAAATATAACACAACCATTCCCAGACCTCAGAGATCACATTGTTTTTCTCTCCAATCTCCAGTTAGATTATTTATTTGAAATGGTATCAAATATGCCTGTCCCCAGGCTAGGAGTAAAATAGCAATTTTGATGCTGAACATAAGGAGAAGAGAACAAAAAGATTAAAGCAATCAAAACAAAATGTGGCATGTTTTGAAAAAGGCTAAAAACATGGCAAAGAGAATACCATTCTTTGCTGATACGCAAAGAGCCAAAATTTAAATAAATAAATGTTAAGGCCATGTTCAAGATAAGCACAGTTGTTGGGTATAGAAAAATGGATAATATAGCAGAGAAAGACATGATCAAAACCAATGGTTTAAAACCATTTTTAAAACAGCAGAATGCTTTTATTCCAGTGTAATTGTACATGAAATTCAATTGATAAAGCAGATAAAAATGCAGCTGCTCCAGTAGAATAAGGGGAGACCAAAGGCACTGTACCTCTGCCTCTCTTTTTTCTCCTGCAGCTGCTCCTGTAGCCCTGCCAAGGAATTCTTACACTCTGCAAAATGGAATTTGAAAAGCAAATGTTGTAATGCCACAACTTCTATCCATTGCATAGTTTTATAGGTGTTAAATATTATTAACTCCTTTTAAACTGGTAGGCATACACTAATAAAGTTGTAGGCCGTTCTCCTTTCTTGTGTTCATAATTCTACATCTTAAAAATAGAGTTGAAAGATGTAGCAGCTGACAAAAGTATAAAAATTGTGCCAGCCCATCTCACACTTTCTGGTGGCCCTGCTGATACTGGCAGGAGAGAACTGTATGTGGATGATGTGCAGTATTCACATCAGTAATAAAATTCTTGCCTGCCCCTTATGGTCTGATTTATTTGAACTTCTTATTGTCTCTCACATCCTTGACCCAGGGACTGTTGGTAATTTGCATTGTTTCTACTGAGTAAGTCGGATGTGTTTAATATTTATCTTCAGAAGTTCAGAGACCTTAGGTGAACTTTGTATCTAGTTAACTGGAATGATTAATTCATACATCCAAAAGCTAAAGGGTTCTTTCTGTGAATTGTCAGCATCCATTCTTCGAAATGCAGCAGGACGGTTTAATGGCTTAAATGCACTGGTGTTGAAGGTTTGAGGAGGGCTCAGTGCTTCTTGGTTCCATGTGGAACTGAAGGCACAGAAGCAAAAAGGACTATTTAGCCCCTGCTTAAGCCATAACCAGGATATAGAAGTCCTTGGCCCTGTAATTTAAATCATCAGTCGCCAGTGAAGAAGAGAAGGTGGGTTTATGTCACTTCTGAGTGGATAATCTGAGGAATGAGAAGGCAACCTATAATACACTTGCTGTTGAAAGAGAAACAGCAGTCAGAGCAGGGCTGGGAGACATACGGACATTCAAATTCTCAAGGCTTCCCTGCTTCCAGCTTGCTTTCTCATCTGTAAAATGGAACAAGAATAGCTGCAAGACTGGGTGTGGTGGCTCCTGCCTGCAATCTCAGCCCTTTGGGAGGCTGAAGTGGGAGGATTGCTTAAGGCCAAGAAGTAGAGAGAGGCTGCAGTGAGCCATGATCATGCCACTGCACTCCATCCTGGGCAACAGAGTGATACCCTGTCTCAAAAAACAAACAAACAAAAAGAAGTAAAAGAAGAATAGCTATAATGGTACGTTCAATTATTCAAAAATATTCACTGTTTCTACCAACTTTATATCAGGAATAAACTTTCCTATTCCATCGACATTGGGTTTAGCCATGCATCTGCGTTGACCTCATCCTGGGCAGGAAGTACTTCATATTTTGGCTTTGGCCTTGAACTTGCACAGCTAGTGGGATATCAGCAGATGTGATGCAGTAACAGTTTAAAACATGCTTATCATGAGAAAAAATGCTCCAGCTACCCTGATGTCTAAGGAGTAGGAGAGGCTTGTTGAGCAGAACTGGATCCAACCTTCAGCTTGAGGTCAAGTCCAGCCTACATCACCAACCCCCCCAATGACCCACAGAGAGAACAAAATAAATGTATTTTTTAAGTCCTGGGTGTTAGGGTGCTTTGTTACACAGCAATAATTAATATGCTTACATATAGGTTACTATAAAGATTAAATGAGGTGACATATATAAACCATCTTAATACAATGCCCATCAACCATTAAACACTCAATGAATAATTTCTGCTATTATAAACAATGTTCACATTAGCATTTGGGTTATTTTTTCCTTCAAATTTTGCTGGTGAAAAAAAGGGATAGCACATAGCCTTTTGGCTGGAGTCTTGGCCTGCTGAGAAAATGCTTGACAGAGTACATTTCGAGGCAAGTCTCCTTTATACTGCCCTACCCTTCTAGTTCTTTCACCTCCAGTGTGGAATACTGAAAAAAATGGTAAGATTAGACATTTCTTTGGGATTTTTTTTCTTTTGGAAAGAGGTCTTTTCTTGGCAACCAACCAAGATGGTAGGCTTTCCACAAGGTTCTTTGGGTGTGCGGTTGTAAGCATCTGGATGCTCGTGGTCTGATGCTGGCTCTGCCACTGTCTTCCCTGTTGCCTGAGGAACTTAACCTCCCTGTATTGCACTTCCCTGATTTACATAATGGGGCTGATTATAATTGCCAACCTCACAGGATTGTTGTGCGAATTAACTAATGTTTGTAAAGTGCTTAGAGGTCCATAGATGAAAGGTGCTATATAAGCCTATTATTATGTCATCAGAAATGAAATTCCAATAAGATTATACTTTCATTTCAATTCCCATTAATTTTGTCATCATTCTAGATTAATTCTCACTGGTTTTCTAGAGCAAATAAATAAATAAATAAGAGAAAAGGGTGATATATTAAAACATGAAGCATTCACATGGAAAGGAAATTAGCTAGAAAAAGCTAACACTTAGAAGTGATTTTTAAATTATTATCCTTTAATGAGCCCTGATCATGTAATCAATATTATGTAAAACCCAGATATGGTCTCTGAGTTTACAAACTAAATTATGAACCTGACTGATTAAATAGCTAACATTTTCTATTTCAAGTGTGTAGAAATGAATGCTATATAAAGACCTATAACTCAACTCATTTTTAAATTGGACGTCTGGTTATAGGAAATAACCCCAAAAGATTAAAAGTGTATAAAGAGTATGTTTATGAGGTTATCATGTGGTCTGGTTAATTCTATATTAAGTCCATGTGAATTAGTGTTGATAATCAGACCTACTTAAGTGACCTGTAGGTAATTAGTAGCATAAAGTTTGATTATAAATCCTCTCATAAAATCAGGAAATGTTAGATCTTTAACATCTGATTTAATCCCCTCATTTTACAGATAAGAAAACAGAGACCTTGAGTATTTAAATAGTTTACATAAAGTCTCATACCTAGAGGCTGGCAGATTTGGGCCACCAAAATCTCCAGCCAATGCTGTTTCCAACACAGCTATTTGTACCTATGAATAAGAATAGTTACTTATCCATGTTGTAACATAGATTATCTCTTCCACGCTGTTGGCATTGGGGATATAGTAGATAGATATTTCAAGTCCTCATTGTTCACTGAAGTAAGTTTTTTGTATTAATACTAGTAAAATGGCTGCCTTCATTTGGATACCATACTGATTTCAAAAAATAAGACATTATTCTGGGTGTCCTAAATACATAGAAATGAGTCCTTTTTCCAGGACTGTTGACAAGATATGGCAGATGGGGCCTTGGAATCTGTTTTCTTCTTTGGAAATCCAGAGGGTGGAAAAATATCCAGTTCTCCAGTTCTAAAGATCTATGCATCTGAAATTCTGGGTTCATTAGAAGTAAAGAATGGTACTAGATCCTATGCTTGTAACAAGGACAGTTCACTGGATTCCTTGAAATTGTAATGCCAGTAGAAGGAGATGGATGCTGTTGCTTCATTTTCCATTAGGTAGATGCTACATACAGATAATAAAGGAAAAGTCTATTTAGAGGCCTAATGCACACTTATTTCTTAGGTTGCCTCATGCTGCTGATGTCTGAAGATGCAAATTTTCTTTTTAAAATTGGGAGTGATATCAAGTCCAACTAAACTTCACTGGGTTATGGATGGAGGAAATTATGTTTCATTTGATAACTGCAGTAATGCCAAAAGAAACCTGAAAGACAAATGCCTGCCTTAAATATTGAGACAGAGATAGATGGACTAAAAGATGCACTATAGGAAAACAGCAGCAAAAGCTTTAGTTAGTGAGAATCTTATTCCTTCTCTAGATTCAGTTCATCTTTTCACTCCAGTACAAGCTTTACCTATAAATTATTTTTCTGTTTCTAAGAAATTGAAAATGTTGGTTGCTTAACACCAAGGTGTGCAATCCTGAGGACTTGTTCATTTATTCCTACATTCATTCATTCAGTGCTTTTCAAGCACCTCCTATCTTGTGGGATGCATTTTAGGAGGTGTTGTAGTGACAGATATTATTGCTAATTTTTACATCATTTTTATATGTCATATACTGTTCTATTTGTCTTATATATATTAATTCATTTGATCCTCACCACAACCCTATGATGCTGTAATTATTATCCCCATTTTACAGATGAGGAAAATGAGACAGAGAGGTTGAGCAACTTGTTCAAGGTCATTGTATTAATCATGTTTTTCATTTTCTGTACCTTATAATGTTTTGAAATCTTAAAAATCTTAGTGGTCAGGGAAGTCTTCCTTCCAAGGATGAGCCAATCTTTAGAGACAACAAAGGGCTAGGCCATGAGCCCACCTTTCATACCCAAACCAACTAATCTCCATCCACCTGCTTTATGTAGCCTCATACACCAAGCCAATATTTCCCCTGACCTAAATTATTCCAGGGCCAGATACCAGGCAATAGAGACCACTCCTATAGCCCAAAGCCCATCGGGATTATTCAAACTAGTCAATCCTGAACAGGTTATTCTACTCCACCTTGCCTTTCCTACAGAAACCCCGATAAAACGTCTGGCCTAGGCTTCCCCTACAGCCCTGTTTCTGTCTCCTGTCCAAATCTGCTGCCTCTTCCTGTGGCCCTGCATGGTATGCCCTGCATGGTATGCCATGCCTCTTGCTTCTCAAAGTGTGAATGACATTAAACATTTCTTTCAGTGGCATTGATGTCTCCATGTCATCCATCAGACACCTTGTTAAATTAAGACCTGAGCACTATTCACTTGTGAATTTGAGTCTGTGCTCTTAACATATGCGCTATACTAATATAAATAATAACTTTAAAGGGCTCATAGTTTTGTTCAGAAACAAAGTCAGAACAAAACTGTTATAAAATAGTATGTAAATACAATCATGAAGAGATCATTGTTATAACTAGCTCATTCAATAGCAATATATTAGTGTGAAAAGAATATATACCCTGGTTTAATTCATATTTGGAGGAGTTTTGGTGAACTTGCTTGTTTTTATTTAGTTCATTTGAATTCAACAAATATTTAGGCATTTATTATGTGCAGACACTTAGTCAGTTACTGAAGACGCACACGCAAAAAGGGAGCAGGGGGTAAAATACACCTTTGAGTGGTGAAGTGGAGAACACAGGCACTTAAATAGCAACCATAATACAGTGTAATGGATGCAAACACAGAGGAATGGCTGTGAGAGCTCAAGGGAGGGGTAATTAGTTTTGATCCTAAAAAGCAGTTGGGGCAGGTGCGCAGTAAAATTCCTGTGAAGAATTAGAAATTAGGAAACTTTTGTGGGAGATGGCACAGGCTGGGGGCAGGAAAAGAGTGTGAAGTTTCATTTAGTTCGGAAGGAACAGAATCAGCAAGGATTTTGAGGCATGTTGTCACGCAAATCTGATGAATTGGTTTGTATCTTTGAAGATCTGATTTTGTGGAACACCAAAAATGAGACTGGATTATTGATATGGTTTGGCTCTGTGTCCCCACCCAAATCTCATCTTGTAACTTCCACAATTCCCACATGTTGTGGGAGGAACGCAGTGGGAGGAGATTGAATTCTTTTTGTGGGGGTGGTGGGTTCTTTCCTGTGCTGTTCTTGTGGTGGTGAATGAGCCTTACAAGATCTGATGGTTTTAAAAAATGGGAGTTACCCTGGGCAAGCTCTCTTTGCCTGCCGCCATGCATGTAAGATGTGACTTGCTCCTCTTCGCCTTACACCATGATTGTGAGGCTTCCCCAGCCACGTGGAATTGTAAGTCTAGTTAAACCTTGCTCTTTTGTAAATTGCCCAGTCTCAGGTATATCTTTATGACATACAGCATTAAAACAGACTAATGTAGTAAATTGGTACCAGTAGAGTGGGGCACTGCTGAAAATATACCCAAAAATGTGGAAGTGACTTTGGAACTGGGTAACAGGCAAAGGTTGGAAGAGTTTGGAGGGCTCAGAAGAAGAAAGGAAAATGTGGGAAAGTTTGGAACCTCCTAGAGACTTGAACGGCTTTGAACAAAATGCTGATAATGATATGGACAATGAAATCAAGGCTGAAATGGTCTCACATGGAGATGAGGAACTTGTTGGGAAATGGAGTAAAGATGACTCTAGCTATGTTTTAGCAAAGAGAGTGGCAGAATTTTGCCCCTGACCTAGAGATTTGCGGAACTTTGAACTTGAGAGCAATGATTTAGGGTATCTGGTGGAAAAAATTTCTAAGCAGCAAAGCATTCAAGAGGTGACTTGGGTGCTGTTAAAAACATTCAGTTTTAAAAGGGAAACAGTATAAAAGTTTGAAACATTTGTAGCCTGACAATTTGATAAAAAGAAAATCCCATTTTCTGAGGAGAAATTCAAGCTGGCTGCAGAAATTTGCATAAGTAATGAGGAGCTGAATGTGAATCCCTAAGACAATAGGGAAAATGTCTCCAGGGCATGTCAGAGGTCTTCATGGCAGCCCCTCACAGCACAGGCCCAGAGTTTTAGGAGGAAAAAATGGTTTAGTGGGCCAGGCCCAGGATCCCTCTGCTGTGCGCAGTCTAGGGACTTGGTGACCTGTGTCCCAGATGCTTCAGCTGTTGACTAAAAGGGGCCAACATACAGCTTGGGCTGTTGCTTCAGAGGGCGGAAGCCCCAAGCCTTGGCAGCTTCCATGTGGTGTTGAGCCTGCAGGTGCTCAGAAGTCAATCACTGAGGTTTGGGAACCTCCACCTAGATTTCAGAAGATGTATGGAAATGCCTGCATACCCCGGCAAAAGTTTGCTGCAGGGGCAGGACCCTTATGGAGAACCTCTGCTAGGGCAGTGCAGAAGGAAAATGTGGGGTGGGAGCCCCCACACACAGAGTCCTTACTGGGGCACTGCGTGGTGGAGCTGTGAGAAGAGGGTCATCATGCTCCAGATTCCAGAATGGTAGATCCCCTGACAGCTTGCACAGTGCACCTGGAAAAGCCACAGACACTTAATGCTAGCCCATGAAAACAGCCAGGAGGGGGTCTATACCCTGCAAAGCCACAGAGGTGGAACTGCCCAAGACCATGAGAACCCACCTCTTGCATCAGTGGGATGTGGATGTGAGACACAGAGTCAAAGGAGATCATTTTGGAGCTTTGAGATTTGACTGCCCCGTTGGATTTTGAACTTGCATGGGGCCTGTAGCCCCTTGGTTTTGGCCAGTTTCTTCTATTTGAAATGGCTGTGTTTACCCAATGCCTCTACCCCCACTGTGCCTAGGATGTAACTAACTTGCTTTTGATTTTATAGGCTTGTAGGCGGAAGAGACTTGCCTTGTCATGTTTGAGACTTTGGACTGTGAACTTTTGAGTTAATGCCAAAATGAGTTGAAACTTTGGGGGGCTGTGGGAAAGGCATGATTGGTTTGGAAATGTGAAGATAAGAGATTTGGGAAGGGCCACAGGTGGAATGATATGGTTTGGCCCTCTGTCCCCACCCAAATCTCATCTTGTAATTCCACCAATTCCCAAGTGTTGTGGGAGGAACCCAGTGGGAGGTGATTGAATTACAGGGGCAGGTGTTTCCTGTGCTGTTCTTGTGGTGGTGAACGAATCTCACAAGATCTGATGGTTTTAAAAAAAGGGGAGTTACCCTGCTCAAGATTTTTTTGCCTGCTGCCATCCATGTAAGATGTGACTTGCTCTTTCTTGCCTTCTGCCATGATTGTGAGGCCTCCCCACCCATGTGGTTCTGTAAGTCCCATTAAACCTTTTTCTTTTGTAAATTGCCCAGTCTCAGGTATGTCTTTATCAGCAGCATGAAAATGGACTAATACAACTATATTCATAATTTTAAGCCCAGATCACACACAATACTATATGGCAGTGGGGAGCAGGTCAGAGCAGTAGAGAGTGACAATTTTTGGAACTTGATAGATCTGAGTTCACATCTTGATTTTCTCACTCACTAGCTGGATGTCATTGGGTGAATTACTTAATCTCTCTGAAGTCCAATGTGAATAATTTTGCCTACCTAAGATATGTAAAGCACCTAGCTAAGGCAAAAAGAAAGTTTTCTTCCACCATCTGGACAAAAGATTCTAGTCGATTTTAGTCAAAATATATGTAGAAGTACAGAACCCCCACAAAGATTGCATGAATTTTAAGAATATTCTAAAGGCTATGGCAGCAAGACTTAAAACAGGTTTTTGTTAATATCCATTATAATATGGGAGTTATTAAAAGTAAGATGTACCAATTTTCTGCCTTGTTTTCTCCTTTGACTTATCCCTTAGCAGCACTCTCTTGTTTGGATGGGTCTTAAGCATGAACCAGTTTGTGAACTCTTGAACTATAAGAGGCTGAGGATACTATATTGGCAGAGTGTTACTCATACCATGCAAGAATTATAAATGAAAAGCAGAATGATGTATCAAATTGTTAGTGGCTTACTTTCATTTCTCAATCAGTATTTTTCTTTTCTTTTCTTTCATTCATTCTTTCTTTCTTTTCTTTTCCTTTCTTTTCTTTTTTTTGAGACTGGGTCTTACTCTGTTACCTGGTTTGGAGTGCATTGGCACAATCTCAATCTCTGTTCACTGCAACCTCCACCTTCCAGGCTCAAGCAATCCTCCCATCTTAGCCTCTCAAGTAGCTGGGACCACAGGTGCACTCCATCACACCTGGCTAATTTTTTGCATTTTTAGTAGAGACGGGGTTTCACCATGTTGCCCAGGCTAGTCTTGAACTCCTAAGCTCAGGTGATCCACCCACTTTGGCCTTCCAAAGTGCTGGAATTACAGGCATAAGCCACTGAACCTGGCCTCCAGGCAGTATTTTTCATTTGCTTTTCATCACCAAATGATCAGGCCCCAACATCTCTTCCAAATCTTCCTTTTTGGTCGCTGTATCAAATTTCCCTGGAAGATGCACACACATCATTTTTTGAGTGTTTGCTATGTGATGTGCAGTTTGGGATACTCACTACATTTGCATATATTACAATGACCTTGGTTTTAAGCTTACTAAGCACTAACACATTTGAACTCATCTGCTTTGGGCCTCCCTCTTGTCAATGGTAAGAGTTGGATTGATCACTGGATAATCTTTACTTCCAATGTGACACATATTCATTTATCATTTGATTTCATATTAGAGACTGACAGAAGTTGATTTATTGTGGATTAGTAGAGTAAATTCAACAGTGTGTTGCTTCTTGATGCCACCTTAACAAGAGTTCATAGGGAGAAATCTGGAGTTAGACTGCCTAGATTATATCTTGACCCCTTCATATGCTGGTCTGGTGACATCAAGACAAATACCTTAATTTCTACGGACCTCAGTCTTCTCAAGCATAAAAGTACCTACTTCATACAGTTGTGGTGTTAATTAAATGAGATAATATTTAGCCCGGTGCCTGGTATGTAGTAAGTACTCAAAAGATATTAGTTACCATTTTTATTGACAAGGACAACTCAATGCAATTAACTTCCCTATGCTGTCCATTATATTAGCCACCAGATGTGGTTATTTATATTTAAATTAATTAACATTAAACTGTAAAAAATCAATTACTTAGTTGCACCAGTTACATTTCAGGGGCTCAATAGCCACATGTGGCTAATGGCTACTGCTGGATTGTGCAGCTATGGAATATTTCCATCATTGTAGAGAGTTCTGTTGGACCATACTGACAATAACATTGCCATCAAACCCTAACAATAATGAAAGAAAAACAGCAAATGCACCACATACTTAAAAACATTCAGTTGTCTGTTCTACTAGGGCTTTAAACTCAAAGAAATCCAAGATACCTAGTTTAAGTGTGTGTCAACCTTTTGAAACAATTATAGCCTTATTTTTTTCCAGTTGTTTTGTTGTTTCTCCCTGCCCCCTTCCCTATTTTAAATATCTTTCTGATGGAGTTACATTCCATATGTAACATTGTTACAGGTGCAAAATTGTTTCTTTTAATTCTGAATGCGGTTGCACATGTGCAGCAACAGCACTGAAGGCCAACACACTATTACTGTGCATCCAGGCCTCTCTCTCACAGTCTGTGGGTCAACAACATTCTTCTTTGCTTGCTAATGCTTTATTGTCTCTTAGTATACATTGGAATAATAATGGTAATTTATGCAGATATTTTGTATGCATAGCAAATAATGAGAAACACCTGCAGAAATTTCCCTCCTTCTCTGAGTTCAGCAACTAATTATATTTTTAAATAATGGCTACCATTGAACACAATTATCCAAATCACTTTAAGTAATGGAATCTTTTTAAGGTGTTTTTGAAAATTTTAGCACAGTTTTTAAACACTCATTTTTATCTAGATGATGGGAGAAAAAAAAGGCTAGTGGGCGGCTTACTCACCCAAAAAGCAGTTTCTGCCAAGAGTAGATCAGTCCGGAATATTCCTCTGGGCCCAGTCTTTGCTCCAGAGGTTATGACCAGCTGATGAAAACCAGGTTTTCCAAAGAGCTTACCTTCTTGATTTTGGTGCCTCGCTCTTCTTCCCTTTCTTCCTTTCTTAATGTAATATAAAAATAATTAGATTGCCTCTAAAAATTCTCTGTTTTAAAAGCACAAATTGCCACATGATTTTCCCTTCTGTCAATTTAATAGTTTGAGTGGGAAAAGCACTGGCTGGCAAGTCAGAAGACCTAGATGTTTTGTCTTCCTAGGTCTCAATTTCCTGTTCCATACATTTGGAAAGCTGAGACAGATAAATTCCTAACACCTTTCTAATGCTAAAATCTGCAACCCCATGACAGCCACAGATCTTTGTATCATAGCACACCAGGAATCAGGTTTAGCAAAGAGAATCTGAAAAATAAAAGTGGTTAACCAAGAGCAAGGCCAATAAAAAATACATATTTTCCTCTCCATATTGAAACTTCAGGTTGTGTTCTTAATTAGAGCAAAGTTCCAGTAACTTGATGTATATATGTGTAATGTGTGTGTGCATATTTACATATGTGTGTACATATCTGGGGATTGGAAGTTAAACCCTCAATACACACACACACACATACACACATACACACATATATATAAATACACATATGTAAATAGAGAGAACAATTTGGAGAATTTACATCTTCCTTTTAGGCACTGTGCCATTGCCAGCATGATGATCAATTTCCCTTCCTAACATTCCTAACCCCCCTTCTATGTGCCTACCAGGAGTTATTGCTCCGTGGAAGGAAAAACCAGCTCGTGCATAAATCATATATTTTTCTGTCAGATTTGGGTTCATTTGGTCAACTGGCATTTATGGAGTGCTCCTTAAAAAATGAATAAGTAGTAAGAATTCCTGACCTCATGGAGTTTACAATCTGGAGATGGAGGTAAGTGTAGTATCAATAAAATTCAAAATAAAACAGATGAAAATAAAATAATGAATAGGAGCTTAGATGAAACAACTGTTCATTTTTACATGGGAAATCAAGAAGAATCTCTTGAAAGAGGTAAATTTGACCAGGACTCTAAAGAACAACAAATAGTGAGCTTGTGCATTCCAGATTTTGGTCTATAGACTAGCACTACTGTATATTGAAGTTTAGCTGATCTAATTGATAAAAGCATAAAGAAGAAAAAGAAGAAAAATGAGATAAATGTGATGATTTTTAAAAACTAAATATAGCTAATGGAAAAGGATGTCTTTTTTTTTTCTTTCTGAGATTATGTTCTACCTGTTCTTTTTTTGCTAAAGTCTCTTTATTAAACAATGGTCAGAATATAAGGTAATCCTCAGGATTTCTTTCACCTTTTTTTGGCAAAATATTAATAAAAAGCTGGCAAATAAGTGTCAGTCTCAAAGCCTGAATATTTGGTTGACATTTTACTGGATCATTAAATTCTGGTTTCCTCTGTGTTACAGTTCCCCTATTTCCTTCTTTGTTTTGCTAACTTCCAAGTGCCTCTGTGATTTCCTAAGAGAATGAAGGAGGAAGGTAAGGAGCCAATTGGCTTTTTAGGTTTTATTTTTCCTGTGCAAGTGAATTACATTGATAATCTCATCAAGAAAGAGAGAAACAGACAAACAGAGAGGGAGAGAGACAGAAGCAGAGACAAAAAGTGAGCAAATGCAAGGAGCAATTAACAGTTTGATGGTACAGATCATATAAAAAAACGAGTTGATGGACATTTTTAATACCCACAAGAGGGTAATCAATCACTACACATTTGTGGAGGAACATCTCCTGGTCATTGTTTCATTTAATCATGTCTTTTTTTTTTTTTTTTTGAGATAGAGCTGAAGTGCAGTGGTATGATCTTGGCTCACTGCAACCTCCGCCTCCCAGGTTCAAGCGATTCTCATGCCTCAGCACGTGCGCATCACCACGCCTGGCTAATTTTTGTATCCTTTCTTTCGGTAGAGACGGGGTGTCACCATGTTGTCCAAGCTGGTCTCGAACTCCAGACCTCAGGTGATCCGCCTGCCTAGGCCTCTCAAAGTGCTGGGATTACAGGCGTGAGCCACTACCCCCAGCCTAGTCTTATACATTTTTAATGAACAAAAGAAAGGGAAAAAGTCCAAGGGAAATAATTATAGTGGATTCCGCATTAAATCCACAGGAAGCTTCAGAGCAGACCTGGGTTGAATCTGACAAAAGGAAATGCATGTGCAAAGGTGCCTCCCAAGCCCAGTCGTGGTAGAAAGTGGCATCAGAGAACCAAAATGGGAAATAACTTTGCTTTTTAAGCTCACTATTTTAAGGGGGGAAAAATCATTCTTAATTTTGGAATCTGCTGAAACTTAAGTTGATGCTAGTCCTATTTCCTTAATACATAACCTTCCTCTCTTATGAGAGCTTTTGATGTGACTCATCTTGCAGGTGAATAGTGAAAAATTAACTGCCTGTGTTTTTATTAACAATAGAAAGGTGTGCACTTCTAAACAAAATGGAGGCTCATGAGCAAAACATGCGGAGCTGCCCTGGCAATGAAGTGAAGAGACTTGTAACTTGGTGCCTGAGCCTGTGCTAAATGAGGGAGGGAACGGAAGGAGTTCATTTGGAATCAGAAGACTAAGTGATATGTTGTCGGTAATTATATTATCGCCATACTCTTGCTTCTTGACGACTAGCTCTCTATCACCCTCCTTCGACACACAGAAATCATGTCCGTTTCCATCCCGAACCTCATTTTCCATGTTAAACTTCCAAATAAATAAACTCTGTGGTGAATGAGAAATATTGTGGCTTGAAAATGGCTTGACAAGTACGAATGCTTTCATTCTTTCAAAAGGATCCTTAAAGTAAAATTGAAAGTTGGCATTTTTATTACTCAGAATTTTGAAGTGTACTGAAACACATCGCATCCGACTTGCGTGGATGGTTGCAATCTTTTGTAGATACAGTCATATGACCTTGGTGCAGATTCTTGTCTCTGTTACTAACGACACTTTACTTTTACATTAAACACAGTCTTAAGAAAAAAAAAATCTACTTAAGGGACATGTCTGTTGCTGTTCTGAACATAGCTTAACACAGACAGAAAGTATTTGTGGGCTGTTTACAGTTGCGGTGTCAGAAGAATGCTCTTTATTTACAGTAATTCGGAGAGTGTAAGATGGTGGCCCCTGGGGAAATCTGACTCAAAATAAATTTCTAAAAGCATATATCAAAGATGCTTGGAAAGATCATCTTAGAGGAGCTGGTTAATTGTAAGATTTTTACCCCCTCTCAGATGATCTTTGAGGATAAAATCTGAAAGGACAAGCATAATCTAGATTTAATTGTACACTTAGGATGTTCCTTTAGGAAATCATTTATATTTTTAATAGTGAAGTTATACATTTATTTCTAAAGCTACAGAGACAGCCTAAACTGCCTTTTTTCCAACATACACTTCAACATATTCAAAAATGTCCCAAAATGTGGACTCTATCCCCTATAGGAGAGTATTTTTCTGATACCACCAGGAAATAAGCATCAGGATGCTTTGCTATTCTTTCACCCCAAACACCAAAACTTACACCTTACTGAAAATAAATCAGAAAGACTTGAGAGTTCTGGGAATGCCTCTAAATACAAGGTGCAAGTAGATTACTACAGTATGCTTGTCAAAATCTGTTTTATAGTCACGAGATTTTTACTTTCCTCCTTTCCTAAATCGCACTATTGAAGCATAGCCACAAGAGGGAACCATTGTTTAAATGTTGGAAGGACTGGGTTGGTTTGAGGCATTCATCCAGCTCAAATCTCTCTTTAATATAAGAACCTGGTCAAAAGGGTTGAACAAAAAAAGTGAAAAAACACATGCAATCATCGATTCGGTTCTTTTAGATAGCTAAACTATTTCTGCTTTTAAACATACAAATAATCAAAGATGTTCCTAGGGCTGTAACCTGGCAACAGAAACCAAAGACCAGAGTCAAACACCTAATAGAAATTCATGTAATAAAGAAAGCACTGGTGAGTTTTTATTTTTCCATTGGTTCTAGCTTGCCTAAGAATGAGGCAAACTTTTTTGATGCAAACAGAAAATATTGAAACATTAGGAAACAAAGACAAATCTAAGCCTTTAAGCTCAAAGTGTTGCCTATCAAATAGCAAATTGTAACAATGATTGGTAACCGGAGAAGGGGAACATATGTTGTAAAGACTTCTTGCTCACTGCGTTGTGAACCAGCACAATTGTGAAATTCAGACTAATGCGATAAAAGACATATAGAATGGCTTCTTTGAGGTTGCACGGCACCAGGCTGGCACAGGTCCAGTTTCTGCACCAACAGAACTGCAAAACAAACTGGAAAATATTTGATGCCAGTAGGGCTTTTATAGGAAAACAGATGACGGCTGAGATTATTAATCCTGACAGTTTCCTGATTTATTAGGACGTGTCATCCTCTCTTTTTGTATAATTTGGCAAATGATCATAGTATTAGACTTAGTGGAGGCAGAGCTAAAGGTTTCCGCCCATCCTTTAACAGTGGCAGCAGGTATAAAGCAATATGGATTGGGTTTAGGCAAGAAGTGGACGAAATGAATTTTCAGTTACATATTGTCATTTGAGGAACACTGAGTGAATTTTCAGTTACATATTGTCATTTGAGGAACACTAAGTTGGTGTTTTTTTTCTTTTTTTTTTAACGACTGTCAACCTAGATACAGCTATGTAACTAAAATGCATTAATTAACTCTGAGAAATATACCTTCTGTTTATTTAATAAATCCAAAGTAAAGGTGACTAAATTTAAAACCCAGGTCTCTAGCAATTAAGAACAAATGTTACTGTTTACCATGCAAGCAATGAGAAACAAAGAAAACAGTCAGAAAATAGTAGTAATCTTTGAAAGCCATTCCTCTAAATTGTTATATGCTACAAAATGAAACACATGGAATTTCTCACTCTGAATCATTCATGCAAAAATCACTAAAACAATCTTGAGTGACTTCATAGTAAATTCAAGAAAGAAAACACTTGATATATTTTATTAGTGATCTCCTTCACAAAGATATTTTTATATTCTATTTTTATAATCCCCTGCATTTAAAATAACTGCAACAGAAATTAAGTCTCAATCAAAGTGTATCACAACTAAAGATATTTCCAATGAAACAATATTATCTCCAATACAGTTTTATCAAACTATAAAAAACTGAACTTAAAATGCTACAATTGAACACTTTTTTTATTAAGAAAAATCATGCCTGCACCTATATTTCAAGACTGACATATTGTGCAATAAACAGCAATCAGTCTAAAGATGCTATATTAAACAAACCAAGTTTTGTTTTGCTAAACTAAGCAAAATTAGTTGAATGCCCTAAGTAATAGTTGCTGGTATTTTTTTCTAAATTATTTCTCCACTTGTTTTTGTGTCTATGCATAAATTAAAAATCTGCTGAAATTTATTATTCATCTGAGATGTAATTAATATGCAAAATTATGCAAATTAAGATGCAATTAGGCTTCAATTCTCTAGTGGAATTTTCCATTATAATTTAATACAAAGTAATAGAGTAATTGGTGTCACGTGTAATTACGGTTACTCACGTGTACTTGCAGACGTGCAAATGATGTGGTATATGTTAGTTATCCTATGCAAATGGATCATGCAATCTCTTAATACTTGGGAATGAAGTAAACAAAGATGGTCTTCAAAAAACGGGTGAGAGGGACCCCTCTTTCTTCTTATGTGCTACCATTTTGAGGAACTATGTGAATAATTGTAACTAATTTCCTTGCAGTTATTTCTAAGAATTTTTAAAGTGGTGTTATGCAGTGCATTGTTTATTACTCTAGAGAAATTATTTCTGGTAAAAAAATGAATCTTTAAACAGAGACCTAATAGTGATTCAGATGCCACATAGGTGCACCCAGGATGACAGCAAGCAAACAAAAACTGTGTCTATCAGGGCAAAGGCTGTTTTTGTATCAGGCTGAAAAGGTCTCTTCTCTAAAAGAAATAACATAGCCAGCTTTGCCAAATAAATCATTTAACAATTTTCTGTTATTTCCTGATTATGAAGTTGACCAATTTGCTTTGCAACCTCTGCAGAAGCCAGACAGTTTGATTTTTAAAACCAAAATTTCTTCCCTCCTAATATGTAAAATTCCAGGAGAATTCAGTGTCATTTCTTTCTGAATGAATAAAGCAATAAGTAAATTGAACTATATAATTCTCTTCGTCAGTAACTCTGCCATTTGGTTCAAGGGACTCATCTGCTAACTACCGTGTTTCTCCTTGTGCCTTTCTAGAGAAATGAAAAGAACGGCTCTCCCATGCGCTTGTCCTGAGCCTGGAGCTGCTGCTTATAATTTCTCCATGAGAAATGATTGCTGCTTGTTTTAAAACACCCATGCTGTGTTGAATCTTGCACAGAAAACATTATGATCTCGACACTTTCCTTCTCATAACTGAAGCACACACTTTAAGACGAGTATTTTATATTCTCAGCTCCAATTAACCTGAAGTGTTTCTCTTCCCTATGTCTCCCCCCACCCCCACACCCTTCACCTGAGTCTATCCTTCTACCCTTTGTAACAGACAGATTTTGTTTTTTCCAGGAGGGGATGTGTGATATACTCTATTATAATTAATAAGTGTGGGCACTGGCAGACAGGAAGGGGCATGATATAAAGTAGTAGATAAGCAGCTTCACGCTTTCTCCACTATATTCCTACTTTCTATCCCTTTTCCTCCACCCACTGTGGATGGTTATTTGAAATAACAGGCATGGATAAGAGAAAAGAAAAGCTACCATTTGTCTCTCAGGCTATACCCTTTTGTAGCCCCACCCATTCATCCATATGTGGCTTTCCCATTCATTCCAGTAATAATACCAATTACTATGCAGGCAGGGCCATTCTTATTCACATTTGCAGCTCACTGTGGACATTTATGCTACACTCTGAGCAACATTCATAACTTCAACAACATCGATTATACAGCTGTTGTACAATCATTGTAAATGAAATATACAATGCCTTATTCAGCTCTCTGAATCATTTGTGATCCTTGGATGTGGGGCAGGAGGGAGGTAGCTTGCTCCCTCTGCCTTACTTTTCTCTGGCACTGACCTCATTTTCTAAGTCCAGATACTTTCAGGAGCTTAGGATAAGAAGAGACCAACAGGCCAATTTGTAAATAAGAACCAAAAAAGCTGAAGCAGTGTTTCTTTTTTTTTTTTTTTCTGACAGGAGGGACTTTGGAATCCAGTTTAATGGAAAAAGGAGGCCCCTGAGTCTTCAGCGTCACAAACAATGACTGTTCCTGGACTTGTGTGACCACACATCCCAGGTCAGACAAATGGACCTTGACGCAAGCTTTCTGAGATCACCCAACCAGAATGTCCAATGCAGGCATATGCTTCTCTCTTTGAGCTATTTTCTCTCTTTCCTCATCAACTTTTCTCCTCTGTTCTCAACAGGTTACATTTATTGGCCAAAACCAATATTACGTATCTGTATTTTCTTCTTTGATGAAATTTTTAAATTTGGTCTGCCTTTTCCAAACGGATCTAATTCATGAATCTTTTGATGTTCCTTTCTTTCCCCAATTTTGGTTCTTTCAAACCTCAGACTCAGATAGCTGAATTGACATACACAAGATGCTGTACACATGACCATCCATTCACCCATGTACACAGTCACATACAATGATTGCAAGTCAAATTATGTTTGTTTTACAGATAAAAAGGTCAATGCCTTAAAGAAGGCCATATAGATAATATATGATGGAGCTGAGACTTAAGTAAAAAGACTAGCCTTTTTCTCTATAAAAATTTATTTTTATTTATCAAACATTTTGATATTTCTTTAAAGCTTTTCAAATAAACTTTTTTACATTTTATCAACTAGGAAAATCAAAAATATCTTCTAATTAATAAAATTTTGACAGTCATTCTCAGAAAAACAGCAGTGATTATGTAGCTGTTGATGTTTGTATATGCACAAACATTTTTTGTTGTTATTCTTGGTGAGTGGCTGAACAATTGAAATCCTTTGAATGTTTAGTCAACAATCTTTAACTTAAGGACCATTTAAAGAAACAACACAAGTCTTTCTGTTTGAAAATTCTCCATTGACATCTTCTAGTAAGATCAAGAAAGTGCCAACATGAAAACTCTTGTTATGGTTTCAGTGACTTAGAAAAAATTCCAGGAGACAATGGGGAGCACTCTTTTAACTGCTACATCACCAGTGCTGCTAATAGCACCAACAATAATACTGTGTTTAAATCACAATGGAAAACTAATTCATGTCAGGCTAATAATGTGGGGAGGTTTTAAGAATACAAACCAAATTATTTCACTTAGTATTTCTTACACACACACACACACACACACACACAGACACACATATATGCCCATGAGTGACATATGATAAAAATTACTGTGAAAATAACTCTGAAAGAGCTGTTTAAATAATTATAAAACAACAATTCCGAGTGATAAGAAAGCATTGTGTCATAGGTTAATTAGCAGCCATCTTTTCGTTCTTAGGGGCACATAAAAAAACGATGCATCTTATATTCAGTGGTGTCTTAGAAACATGGAAATATATTAGAAACTCATTTCATCTCATAAACATTGTAGGAGGTTGGTGCTATTTGTTTCACTTTATATGTTAAGGACTGAGGAACAGAACTAACTCATGTGAGGTTACATATCTAGTACATCCTGGAGCAAAAATTGGAACCCAGATAATTTGACTAGAGTTCCTGCTTACACTGGACCAAATCTGGCCTATAGACAGAATCTGTTCAGTTTAGACATTGATTTTTTTTTCTCTCAAGTTATTATTACTTTGCTGTTTTTGTTATAGGCACTTAAAATTGGGAAATTTGGGGGAAGCAAGATGGCCAAATAGAACAATCCAGCAATTCTTCCCATGCAGTAATACCAAATTTAACAACTATCCCCACAAGAAAGCATCTTCATAAGATACAAAAATCAGGTAAGCGATCACGTTACCTGGTTCTAACATTATATCAAGGGAAGAGGCACTGAAGTGGGCAGGAAGGACAGTCTTGCATTGCCTACACCACTCTGTCCTCATCTTTTGACAGCTCATGAAGAGAGAATCTGTATGCTTGGGTGAGGGAGAGAGACATGATTGTGGGAACTGGTATTGAAACTCAGTCCTGCCCTGTCACAGTGGAACACAGCACAGGGCAGAATTTGTCCAGTGACCATGGAAGAAGCATTTAAACCAGTCCCAGCCAGAGGGTACTCCTCCACTCCAGTGGCAAGAACCCGAGTTCTGCCTAGCCCCACCACCAGAAACTAAAGTGCCATGGAGTCCTGAATAAATATTAAAGGCAGTCCACAAGGACTGCAGAACTTTGGCAAGTCCTTGTGCTGCACTGGGCTCAGAGCCAGTGGACTTGGGGTGAATGTGACCCAGTGAGACACCAGATGGGGTGGCCAACGGAGTTCCTGTATCACCCCTCCTCCAACCCCAGGAAGTGCAGCTCAGGGAAAGACTCCTTCTGCCTGAGGATAGTAGAGTAAAGAGTAAAAGAGTAAAGAGGACTTTGTCTTGCAACTTGGATGCAAGCTTAGCCACAATAAATAAGGCAGCAAGCACCTGAAGCCTCTGATTCCAGGCCCTAGCTCCTTGATGGAATTTCTAGACACACCCTGGGACAGAAGGGAATCCACTGCCCTAAAGAGAAAGATCCAGTCTTGGTAGTATTCACCACTTTCTGACTAAAGAGCCCTTAGACCTGGAATAAACATCAGCAGTAGCCAGGCAGTAGTCATCACAGGCCTTAGGAAAGACTCAGTACCATACTGGCTTCAGGAATGACCTGGCACAGTCCCAGCTGTGGTGGACACAGGATTGCTTGCATCACCCTTCACCAACTCCAGTTCAACATGGCAAGACTCCATTTGTTTGGGGGAAACTGAGGGATGAGGACAAGAGACTCTGCCTGGTAATCAAGAAAGTTTCTCCAGACTTTATCCAAGCCCACCAAGGTGATACTTATATGATTCTGCAAGAGTTGCAACATTACTGGGCTTGGAGTGCCCACTAGTGCAGATACAGCTGTAGTGACCAAAAACTTAGATCACAACACTCAATTCCTTTTGAATACCTGGAATGCTTCTCAAGGAGGATGGTACAAATAAGCCCAGACTGCAAAGATAAGAATAAGTACCAAACTCTTCAAAGCCCAGACATTCTGAACATCCACAAGCATCAAGACCATCCAGGACAACATGACCTCATCAACTGAACTAAAATAAGGTACCAGGGACCAATCCCAGAAGGACAGGCATATGTAACATTTCAGAACAGAGGATTCAAAATAGCTATTTCAAGGAAGCTCAATAAAGTTCAAAATAACACGGAGAAGGAATTAAGAATCCTATCAAAGAAAGTTAACAAAGATTGAAATTTTTTTTTTTGGTGACTTTTTTTTTATTATACTTTAAGTTTTAGGGTACATGCGCACAATGTGCAGGTTAGTTACATATGTATACATGCGCCATGCTGGTGCGCTGCACCCACTAACTCGTCATCTAGCATTAGGTATATCTCCCAATACTATCCCTCCCCACTCCCCCAACCCCACAACAGTCCCCAGAGTGTGATATTCCCCTTCCTGTGTCCATATGTTCTCATTATTTAATTCCCACCTATGAGTGAGAATATGCGGTGTTTGGTTTTTTGTTCTTGAGATAGTTTACTGAGAATGATGATTTCCAATTTCATCCATGTCCCTACAAGGGACATGAACTCATCATTTTTTATGGCTGCATGGTATTCCATGGTGTATATGTGCCACATTTTCTTAATCCAGTCTATCATTGTTGGACATTTGTGTTGGTTCCAAGTCTTTGCTATTGTGAATAGTGCCGCAATAAACATATGTGTGCATGTGTCTTTATAGCAGCATGATTTATAGTCCTTTGGGTACATACCCAGTAATGGGATGGCTGGGTCAAATGGTATTTCTACTTCTAGATCCCTGAGGAATTGCCACACTGACTTCCACAATGGTTGAACTAGTTTACAGTCCCACCAACAGTGTAAAAGTGTTCCTATTTCTCCACATCCTCTCCAGTACCTGTTGTATCCTGACTTTTTAATGATTGCCATTCTAACTCGTGTGAGATGATATCTCATTGTGGTTTTGATTTGCATTTCTCTGATGGCCAGTAATGGTGAGCATTTTTTCATGTGTTTTTTGGCTGCATAAATGTCTTCTTTTGAGAAGTGTCTGTTCATGTCCTTTGCCCACTTTTTGATGGGGTTCTTTGTTTTTTTCTTGTAAATTTGTTTGAGTTCATTGTAGATTCTGGATATTAGCCCTTTGTCAGATGAGTAGGTTGCGAAAATTTTCTCCCATTTTGTGGGTTGCCTGTTCACTCTGATGGTAGTTTCTTTTGCTGTGCAGAAGCTCTTTAGTTTAATTAGATCCCATTTGTCAATTTTGGCTTTTGTTGCCATCGCTTTTGGTGTTTTAGACATGAAGTCCTTGCCCATGCCTATGTCCTGAATGGTAATGCCTAGGTTTTCTTCTAGGATTTTTATGGTTTTAGGTCTAACGTTTAAGTCTTTAATCCATCTTGAATTGATTTTTGTATAAGGTGTAAGGAAGGGATCCAGTTTCAGCTTTTTACATATGGCTAGCCAGTTTCCCCAGCACCATTTATTAAATAGGGAATCCTTTCCCCATTGCTTGTTTTTCTCAGGTTTGTCAAAGATCAGATAGTTGTAGATATGTGGTATTATTTCTGAGGGCTCTGTTCCATTCCATTGATCTATATCTCTGTTTTGGTACCAGTACCATGCTGTTTTGGTTACTGTAGCCTTGTAGTATAGTTTGAAGTCAGGTAGCGTGATGCCTCCAGCTTTGTTTTTTTGGCTTAGGATTGACTTGGTGATGCGGGCTCTTTTATGGTTCCATATGAACTTTAAAGTATTTTTTTCCAATTCTGTGAAGAAAGGCATTGGTAGCTTGATGGGGATGGCATTGAATCTATAAATTACCTTGGGCAGTATGGCCATTTTCACGATATTGATTCTTCCTAACCATGAGCATGGAATGTTCTTCCATTTGTTTGTATCCTCTTTTATTTCATTGAGCAGTGGTTTGTAGTTCTCCTTGAAGAGGTCCTTCATGTCCCTTGTAAGTTGGATTCCTAGGTATTTTATTCTCTTTGAAGAAATTGTGAATGGGAGTTCATTCATGATTTGGCTCTCTGTTTGTCTGTTATTGGTGTATAAGAATGCTTGTGATTTTTGTACATTGATTTTGTATCCTGAGACTTTGCTGAAGTTGCTTATCAGCTTAAGGAGATTTTGGGCTGAGACAATGGGGTTTTCTAGATATACAATCATGTTGTCTGCAAACAGGGACAATTTGACTTCCTCTTTTCCTAATTGAATACCCTTTATTTCCTTCTCCTGCCTAATTGCCCTGGCCAGAACTTCCAACACTATGTTGAATAGGAGTGGTGAGAGAGGGCATCCCTGTCTTGTGCCAGTTTTCAAAGGGAATGCTTCCAGTTTTTGCCCATTCAGTATGATATTGGCTGTGGGTTTGTCATAGATAGCTCTTATTATTTGGAGATACGTCCCATCAATACCTAATTTATTGAGAGTTTTTAGCATGAAGGGTTGTTGAATTTTGTCAAAGGCTTTTTCTGCATCTATTGAGATAATCATGTGGTTTTTTTCTTTGGTTCTGTTTATATGCTGGATTACATTTATTGATTTGTGTATATTGAACCAGCCTTGCATCCCAGGGATGAAGCCCACTTGATCATGGTGGATAAGCTTTTTGATGTGCTGCTGGATTCATTTTGCCAGTATTTTATTGAGGATTTTTGCATCAATATTCATCAAGCATATTGGTCTAAAATTCTCTTTTTTGGTTGTGCCTCTGCCCACCTTTGGTATCAGGATAATGCTGGCCTCATAAAATGAGTTAGGGAGGATTCCCTCTTTTTCTATTGATTGGAATAGTTTCAGAAGGAATGGTACCAGTTCCTCCTTGTACCTCTGGTAGAATTCGGCTGTGAATCCATCTGGTCCTGGACTCTTTTTGGTTGGTAAGCTATTGATTATTGCCACAATTTCAGATCCTGTTACTGGTCTATTCAGAGATTCAACTTCTTCCTGGTTTAGTCTTGGGAGAGTGTATGTGTTGAGGAATTTATCCATTTCTTCTAGATTTTCCAGTTTATTTGCATAGAGGTGTTTGTAGTAATCTCTGATGGTAGTTTCTATTTCTGTGGGATCGGTGGTGATATCCCCTTTATCATTTTTTATTGCATCTATTTGATTCTTCTCTCTTTTTTTCTTTATTAGTCTTGCTAGCAGTCTATCAATTTTGCTGATCCTTTCAAAAAACCAGCTCCTGGATTCATTAATTTTTTGAAGGGTTTTTTTGTGTCTCTATTTCCTTCAGTTCTGCTCTGATTTTAGTTATTTCTTGCCTTCTGCTAGCTTTTGAGTGTGTTTGCTCTTGCTTTTTTAGTTCTTTTAATTGTGATGTTACGGTGTCAATTTTGGATCTTTCCTGCTTTCTCTTGTGGGCATTTAGTGCTATAAATTTCCCTCTACACACTGCTTTGAATGTGTTCCAAAGATTCTGGTATGTTGTGTCTTTGTTCTCATTGGTTTCAAAGAACATCTTTATTTCTGCCTTCATTTCGTTATGTACCCAGTAGTCATTGAGGAGCAGGTTGTTCAGTTTCCATGTAGTTGAGCGGTTTTGAGTGAGTTTCTTAATCCTGAGTTCTAGTTTGATTGCACTATGGTCTGAGAGATAGTTTGTTATAATTTCTGTTCTTTTACATTTGCTGAGGAGAGCTTTACTTCCAAGTATGTGGTCAGTTTTGGAATAGGTGTGGTGTGGTGCTGAAAAAAATGTATATTCTGTTGATTTGGGGTGGAGAGTTCTGTCGATGTCTATTAGGTCCTCTTGGTGCAGAGCTGAGTTCAATTCCTGGGTATCCTTGTTGACTTTCTGTCTCGTTGATCTGTCTAATGTTGACAGTGGGGTGTTAAAGTCTCCCATTATTAATGTGTGGGAGTCTAAGTCTCTTTGTAGGTCACTCAGGACTTGCTTTATGAATCTGGGTGCTCCTGTATTGGGTGCATATATATTTAGGATAGTTAGTTCTTCTTGTTGAATTGATCCCTTTACCATTATGTAATGGCCTTCTTTGTCTCTTTTGATCTTTGTTGGTTTAAAGTCTGATTTATCAGAGACTAGGATTGCAACCCCTGCCTTTTTTGTTTTCCATTTGTTTGGTAGATCTTCCTCCATCCTTTTATTTTGAGCCTATGTGTGTCTCTGCATGTGAGATGGGTTTCCTGAATACAGCACACTGATGGGTGTTGACTCTTTATCCAATTTGCCAGTCTGTGTCTTTTAATTGGAGCATTTAGTCCATTTACATTTAAAGTTAATATTGTTATGTGTGAATTTGATCCTGTCATTATAATGTTAGCTGGTTATTTTGCTCGTTAGTTGATGCAATTTCTTCCTAGTCTCGATGGTCTTTACATTTTGGCATGATTTTGCAGCGGCTGGTACCAGTTGTTCCTTTCCATGTTTAGTGCTTCCTTCAGGAGCTCTTTTAGGGCAGGCCTGGTGGTGACAAAATCTCTCAGCATTTGCTTGTTTGTAAAGTATTTTATTTCTCCTTCTCTTATGAAGCTTAGTTTGGCTGGATATGAAATTCTGGGTTGAAAATTCTTTCCTTTAAGAATGTTTAATATCGGCCCCGACTGTCTTCTGGCTTGTAGAGTTTCTGCCGAGAGATCCGCTGTTAGTCTGATGGGCTTCCCTTTGAGGGTAACCCGATCTTTCTCTCTGGCTGCCCTTAACAATTTTTCCTTCATTTCAACTTTGGTGAATCTGACAATTACGTGTCTTGGAGTTGCTCTTCTCAAGGAGTATCTTTGTGGCGTTCTCTGTATTTCCTGAATCTGAACATTGCCCTGCCTTGCTAGATTGGGGAAGTTCTCCTGGATAATATCCTGCAGAGTGTTTTCCAACTTGGTTCCATTCTCCCCATGACTTTCAGGTACACCAATCAGACGTAGATTTGGTCTTTTCACATAGTCCCGTATTTCTTGGAGGCTTTGTTCATTTCTTTTTATTCATTTTTCTCTAAACTTCCCTTCTCTCTTCGTTTCATTCATTTCATCTTCCATCGCTGATACCCTTTCTTCCAGTTGATCACATCGGCTCCTGAGGCTTCTGCATTCTTCACGTAGTTCTCGAACCTTGGCTTTCAGCTCCATCAGATCCTTTAAGCACTTCTCTGTATTGGTTATTCTAGTTATACATTCGTCTAAATTCTTTTCAAAGTTTTTAACTTCTTTGCCTTTGGTTTGAATTTCCTCCTGTGGCTCGTAGTTTGATCGTCTGAAGCCTTCTTCTCTGAACTCGTCAAAGTCATTCTCTGTCCAGCTTTGTTCCATTGCTGGTGAGGAACTGCATTCCTTTGGAGGAGGAGACGTGCTCCGCTTTTCAGAGTTTCCAGCTTTTCTGCTGTTTTTCCCCCATCTTTGTAGTTTTATCTACTTTTGGTCTTTGATGATGGTGATGTACAGATGGGTTTTTGGTGTGGATGTCCTTTCTGTTTGTTTTCCTTCTAACAGACAGGACCCTCAGCGGCAGGTCTGTTGGAGTTTGCTAGAGGTCCACTCCAGACCCTGTTTGCCTGGGTATCAGCAGCTGTGTTTGTAGAACAGCGGTTTTTCGTGAACCGCGAATGCTGCTGTCTGATCGTTCCTCTGGAAGTTTTGTCTCAGAGGTGTACCTGGCCGTGTGAAGTGTCAGTCTGCCCCTACTGGGGGGTGCCTCCCAGTTAGGCTGCTCAGGGGTCAGGGGTCAGGCACTCACTTGAGGAGGCAGTCTGCCCATTCTCAGATCTCCAGCTGCGTGCTGGGAGAACCACTGCTCTCTTCAAAGCTGTCAGACAGGGACATTTAAGCTTGTAGAGGTTACTGCCGTCTTTTTGTTTGTCTGTGCCCTGCCCCCAGAGGTGGAGCCTACAGAGGCAGGCAGGCCTCCTTGAGCTGTGGTGGGCTCCACCCAGTTCGAGCTTCCTGGCTGCTTTGTTTACCTAAGCAAGCCTGGGCAATGGCGGGCGCACCTCCCCCAGCCTCGCTGCCTCCTTGCAGTTTGATCTCAGACTGCTGTGCTAGCAATCAGCAAGACTCCGTGGGCGTAGGACCCTCCGAGCCAGGTGCGGGATATAGTCTCGTGGTGCACCGTCTTTTAAGCCCGTCGGAAAAGCTCAGTACTCGGGTGGGAGTGACCCAATTTTCCAGGTGCTTTCTTTCACCCCTTTCTTTGACTAGGAAAGGGAACTCCCTGACCCCTTGTGCTTCCCGAGTGAGGCAATGCCTCGCCCCGCTTTGGCTCGTGCAAGGTGTGCTGCACCCACTGACGTGCGCCCACTGTCTGGCACTCCCTAGTGAGATGAACCCGGTACCTCAGACGGAAATGCAGAAATCACCCGTCTTCTGCGTTGCTCACCCTGAGAGCTGTAGATTGGAGCTGTTCCTATTTGGCCATCTTAATTTGGTGACCAGAAAGACTTCTCATCTTCTTATCTGTAATACTGCATACTTTCCAAATCCCAAGGAAAGGCTGTCTTGAGTCGTAATTATGTTCCTGGGCACACTAACACTCAGGAGGGGGAGGGCAAAGCTCGAGATTGAAATTTTTAAAAAGTCAAGCAGATACTCTGGAACTTAAACATTCAATTGACAAACTGAAAAATGCATTAGAGTCTCTCAACAGCAGATCTAATCAAGCAGAATAAATACCGAGGCTGAAGACAGAAGACAGCCTACTTGAAAATACAGTCAGAGGAGAAAAAAGAAAAAAGAATGGAACACACTTACAAGATCTAGAAAATAGCCTCAGAAGGACAAATCTAAGAGATATTGGCTTTAAAGAGGAAATAGAAAGAGAGACTGGGGTAGGAAGTTTATTCAGAAATAATAACACAGAACTTTTCAAATCCAGAGAGAGATATCAATATTTAAGTACAAGAAAGCCATAGAACATCAAGCACATGTAACCTAAATAAGATAATTAATAATCAAATTCCCTAAGGTCAAGGATAAGGACACTAAAGCATCAACAGAAAAGAAACAAATAACATACAAAGGAGCTCCAATGTCTGGCAGCAAACTTTTCAGTGACAACCTTACAGGCAAGGAGAGCGGCATGACATATGCAAAGTGCAGAAGGAAAAAATCTTGTCTTAGGATATTATATCCAATAATATATCCAACACATCCTTCAAACAGGAAGCAGAAATAAACACTTTCTGAGACAAACAAAAGCTGAGGAATTTCATCAACACAGACCTGTCTCACAGGAAATGCTAAAGAAAGTTCTTCAATCTGAAAGAAAAGGGTGTTATCAAGCAATAAGAAATTATCTGTGGGCACAAAACTCACTGATAACAGTAAGTGCACAGACAAACACAGAATACACTAACATTGCAATTGTGGTGTGTAAATTACTTATATCTTGAGTATGAAGACTAAAAGACCAGTCTATCAAGAATAATAACTAGGCCAGGCACAGTGTCTCATGCCTGTAATCCCAGCACCTTGGGAGGCCAAGGTAGGCAGATTGCTTGAGGTCAGGAGTTTGAGACAAGGCTGGCCAACATGGTGAAACCCTGTCTCTACTAAAAATACAAAGATTATCTGGGCATGGTGGAGTGCACCTGTAATCCCAGCTACTCAGGAGGCTGAGGCAGGAGAATCACTTGCACCTGTGAGGCGGAGGTTGCGGTGAGCTGAGATCATGCTACCGCACTCCAGCCCGGGCAACAGAGTGAGAACCTGTCTCAAAAAAAAATAATAATAATAACTACAAAAGCTTTTTCAAAAATAGCAAAAATGACAAATAGAAACAAGAAGTTAAATAGTAGGGTGATGAAGTTGAATTACACAGTTTTTGTTAGTTTTCTCTTTGCTTGTTTTTTCTCTTAGAATCAGAGTTAAATTGTCATCAGTTTAAAATAGTGGCTTATAAGATATAATTTGCAAGCATTGTGGTGGCCCTAAATAAATAAATAAGTAAATAAATAAATAAATAAAAAGTAAATACACGAAATATGAAAAGCAGGAAATTAAAACATACCACCAGAGAAAAATCACTTTTCCACAAAGGAAGACAGGAAGGAAGGCAGGAAGGAAGGAAGGCCATAAAACAACTAGAGAACAAATAACAAAATGAAAGTAGTAAATTCCTACCTATCAGTAAGAACACTGAATGTAAATGAACTGAATTCTCTAATCAAGGGACATAAAATGGCTCAATGGATTAAAAAAAAAAAAGACCCAAATATATGCTGCCTACAAGAAACTCACTTCACCTCTGAAGACACACAGACTAAAAATAAAGGAATTAAAAATATATAACATGCAAATGAAAACCAAAAATATAAAAAGCTGGAGTAGCTATACTTACATTAGATAAAATATATTTTAATATAAATACTGTAAAAAGAGACAAGGTAATTGCATAATGATTAAGGGGTCAATTCAGCAAGAGGAAATAACAATTTTAAATATATATGTATACAACACCGGAGCACCGAGATATATAAAGCAAATTTTATTAGAGCTAAAGAGAGTTAGACCTCAAAACAATAATAGCTGGAGAACTAAACACCCCACTGTCAGCATTGGACATATAGAAAATCAGCAAAGAAAAACTAAACTTAATCTGCACTATAGACCACATGGACCCAATAGATATTTGGAGAACATTTCATCCAATGGTTGCAAAATACAAATTCTTCGCAGCACATGGATCATTCTTGAGAATAGACCATATGTTAAGTCACAGAAAAAGACTTTAAAAACTAAAAAAAATTGAAATCTTATTAAGTAATTTGTCTGACCACAGTGGAATAAAAGTATAAATCAACAAGAAGAGGAACTTTGAAAACTATACAAGCATATATAAATAAACTGTATGCTTCTGAATGAGGAGTGAGTCAATAAAGAAATTATAAAGCAAATTTCTTTAAACAAATGAAAATGGAAACACAGCATACTAAAACCCATGGGATACAGCAAAAGCAGTGCTAAAAGGAAAGTTTATAGCAGTAAGTACCTGCATTAAAAAAGTAGAAAAACCTCAAATAAACAAGCTAATGATGCATCTTAAAGAACTAGAAAGCAAGAGCAATCCAAACTGAACATTGGTAAATAAAAGAAGTAATAAATATCAGAGAACAAATAGCTAAAATTGTAACAAAAATATGAAAGATGAAAAACATGAAAAGTCAAGTTTTTGCAAGGCAACTTTTATTCAAATGAAGAGCAAAAGAAAGAAACAAACAAAATCAGAGATGAAAAATGAGACATTACAACTGATACTGCAGAAATTCAAAGGATCATTAGAAGCAACAACTATGAGCAGCTATATCCCAATAAATTGAAAAACTTAGAATAAATAAATAAATCCCTAGATACATAAAACCTCCCAAGATTGAATCATGAAGAAATTCAAAACCTAAATACACCAATGACAAGTAATGAGATGAATGCTATAATAAAAAGTCTCACATCAAAGAAAATTCTGGATCCCAATGGTTTCACTACTGAATTTTACCAATAATTTAAAGAAGAGCCAATACCAACCCTACCCAAACTATTGCAAAAAATAGAGGAGGGGGGAACACTTCCAAACCTATTCTATGAGGGCAGTATTACCCTGATAACAAAACCAGACAAAGACACAACAAGAAAGAAACTATATGCCAATATCGCTGATGAACATTAATGCAAACATTCTGAACAAAATACTAGCAAACCAAATTAAACAACACAATAAAAGAATCATTCATCACAACAAAGTAAGATTTATGCCAGGGCTGCAAGAATGTTACAACATATGTGACTCAATCAATACGATACATCATATGAACAGAATGAAGGACAAAAAACATATGATAATTTCAATCAGTGCTGAAAAAGCATTCAATAAAATTCAACATCTCTTCAGGATAAAAACCTTCAAAAAGATGGCTCTAGAAGGAACATACCCCAACACAATAAAAGACATACATAACTGACCCAAAGCTAGTATCAAATGTGGAATACATGAAGTCTTTCCTCTAAGATCTGGAATATGACAAGGATGCACACTTTAACTGCTGTTATTCAACATAGTACTGGAAGTCTTAGCTAGATCAGCTAGACAAGAGAAGATATAAAGCACAACCAAATTGGAATAAAAGAAGTCAAGTTATCCTTGTTTGCAGATAATATGATCTTATACTTGGAAAAACCTAAAGACTCCACCAGAAAACTATTAGAACTGATAAACAAATTGGGTAAAATTGCAGGATACAAAATGAACACATAAAAATCAGTAACTTTTCTATATGCCAAAAGCAAATAATCTGAAAAAAAAACTAAGACAGTAACCCCATTAAAAATAGCTATAAATAAAATAAAATTTCAAGGTATAAACTTAACCAAAACAGGAAAGATCTCCACAATGAAAACTATAAAACATTGATGCAAGAAATTGAAGAGGACACAGAGAAATGGAAAAATATTCCATGTTCATGAAATGGAAAAATCAATATTGTTATACTGTCTATTCTACACAAGGCAATCTACAGATTCAATGCAATCCCTGTCAGAATACCAATAACATTCTTCATAGAAAGACAAAAAACATCCTAATATTTATATGGTACCACAAAAGGCCCAGAATAGTCAATGCTATCCTGAGCAAAAAGAACAAAGCTGGAGGAATCACATTACCTGATTTTAAATTATATTACAGAGTTGTAGTAACCAAAACAGCATGGTACTATCATAAAAACAGACACATAGATCAAAGGAACAGAATGGAGAACCCAGAAATAAATACACTTACCTACAGCGAACTCATTTTTGACAAAGTTTCCAAGAACATACACTGGGGAAGGGACAGTCTCTTCAATAAATAGTACTAGGAAAACTGGATATCCATACATGGAAGAATGAATAGACCCCTCTCTCTCACTATATATAAAAATCTAATCAAAATGGATTAAAGATTTAAGTCTAAGAGCTAAAACTATGAAACCACTAAAAGAAAACATTGGGGAAACTCTCCAGGGCATTGGAGTGGGCAAAGGTTTCATGAGTAATGGTTCACAAGCCCAGGCAACCAAAGCAAAAATTGACAAACAGGATCACAGCAAGCTAAAAAGCTTCTGCACAGCAAAGGAAACAATCAACAAAGTGAAGAGGCAATCCCCAGAATAGGAGAAAACATTTGCAAGCTAACCATTTGGCAAGAAATTAATAACCAGACTCTACAAGGAGCTTAAATAACTCAATAGGAAAAAAATCTAATAATCTGATTAAAAATGGGCAAAAGGCCCAAATAGACATTTCTCAAAAGAAGACATACAAATGGTTAACAGGTATATAAAAACATGCTAGCATTATTAATCATCAGAGAAATGCAAATCAAAACTGAAATGTGTTATCTTATTCCTGTTAAAATGGCTTGTATCAAAAAGACAGACTGAGGAATCATGGCAAGAATATGGAAAAAGGAGAATACTCACACACTGTTGGTGGGAACATACATTAATACAGCTACTATGGAGAACAGTATTGAGTTTCCTCAAAAAATTATAAAAAAAAGAAAACTATCATATAACATAGCAATCTCAGTGCTAGGTATATATCCCAAAGAAAGGAAATTATTATATCAAAAAATATCTGCACTCCTATGTTTATTGCAGCATTATTCACAATAGAAAGATTTGAAATCAACCTAAGTGTCCATCAACAGATGAATTAATAAAGAAAACATGATATATATGCACAATATAATATTATTTGGCCATAAGAAATAATGAAATCCTATCATTTGCAAAAACATGGATGGAACTGGAGGACATTATGTTAAGCAAAATAAGCCAGGCACAGAAAAACAAATTTTGCATGTTCTCATATGTGGGAGCTAAAAATTAAAACAATTGAACTCTTGGAGATAGAGAGTAGAATCATGGCTACCAGAGGCTTGGAAGGGTAACGGGGGACTTGGAGGATTTTCTGATGATTAATAGGTGCAAAAATATAGTAGAAGGAATGAATAAGACCTAGTATTTGATAGCACAACAGGGTGACTACAGTCAACAATAATTTATTGTACATTTAAAATAACTAAAAGAGTGGAAATGGAATGTTTCTAACACAAAAAAATGATAAATTCCTGAAGTGAAAGATACCTTATTTACCCTGATGTTATTATTATTGGATGCCTTTATCAAAAGATGTACCCCATATGATGTGATTACTCCATTGCATGCCTTTATCAAAACATGTATCCCATAAATATATACACCTACTGTGTACCCATAACAATTAAAAATTAAATAAAATCAATTAAAAAAATGGGAAATTTTGTATAAGAACTTCAATTTCCAACCTTTTATGAAATCAGATCCAGCAATCTGAATGTCATTCTTCTCACCTAATAACAGTGGGTTTCAGATTTGCTGCCTCCTCTTAAAGAGGTAGACTCTCCAATTTGTCCCCAGTCTGCTCCCTTTACCTTCCTCACTTCTCATTTCCCCGTAGAGTGTTTTTATATTATTTTAGTAATGTTGCTGTATTCACACAAGGGACACCCCTTGGAGAATCTTCCCCTCATGAATCACCATTCTTACCTTAACCCCACCTGTCCACACCCATACCCCCATATAGCAGCACAAGTACAATCAGGCCAAAGCAGGCTGAAATGCCTCTTGCCCAAAGTTGTGAAATCGAAACCTTTTTTTTTTGTCCATGGCATCAGGCAGGAATTGATCAGAGAAGTGAATGTTCCAGGAGTGACTGAAAATATGGGGCTTCTCATAGAGATTTTACCATTTAATATTGTGGGAGCTGGTGAAACAGTAGATGTGGGGCTACTGTGTTTGCATCTAGTTCTGTGCCTGATATCAGCAGGGCTTGCTGTGCAAAAAAAGAAAAGTCGCTGTTAAATAGGAAGAGCAGGACCAGCTGGAACCTCTGAGGAGATCTGGGACTCAATTCCATGCTTCCTGCTTGGTTAATGAGAGTGATCTGCTGGAGAAGCCAATCCTCTTATGGAGATAAACAGAATCCTGGCCCAGGGTTCACAGAAGGTGAAGGATGAGACCTAGCCAGAGTTGGAAGAACAGTGCTCGACTACTGCCTCACACCAACCAGGCAAGCCAGAATACCTGTGATAAGGTGCATGAGCTACAACCAATCCTGACTCTGCACCAACCCTTCAAGCATAAACATGACCATTGTTGTATTACTGCCTTTTAACCCCATGCAGAATTTTCTTATGGCCAATTGGTAGCTTGGAACCATAAAAGGAAGGAGATTCTGGGAATTGTAATTGCAGTTCAGCTAAATTAAAAAAAAAAAAAATAGAGCCGGGCTGGGCGTGGTGGCTCACGTCTGTAATCCCAGCACTTTGGGAGGCCGAGGCAGGCGGATCACGAGGTCAGGAGATTGAGACCATCCTGGCTAACACGGTGAAACCCCGTCTCTACTAAAAATACAAAAAATTAGCCGGGTGTGATGACGGGCGCGCCTGTAGTCCCAGCTACTCAGGAGGCTGAGGCAGGAGAATGGCGTGAACCCGGGAGGCGAAGCTTGCAGTGAGCCGAGCTCGCGCCACTGCACTCCAGCCTGGGCGACAGAGCAAGACTCCGTCTCAAAAAAAAAAAAAAAAAAAACAACCCAAAAAACAAAAAAACAAAAACCGTAGAGCCACAATAGCTAAGAGTCAAGAAATCTTAACTGTCATAATCTCTTGCCTTGATAGCTTCATTTTCCCACCTTTGAGTCACCAGAAGGATCAGAAGCATGCCAAGATTTTTGTTTGTTTTTCAATGAGACTTGGAAGAATCCATAGAACTTGGGTCATGAGATATTCATAGGATAGTGCCTCCTAATTGTCTGCTACCCTTACATAAAGTCTGAAAGGCTCATTTTGCAAGTCCAGCTTCTATCTTGATTGACTACCACAAACCTATCTCTCTTCTTCCTGGTTCAATCCCGCCTTAGCCAACTAGTTCCAGTGCTCTGAGGCACTGACTCATCTGTATTCCAGGCCCACTCCCCTCAGGGTAAGGATGCTTCCATCCAAGCAGCAGCCACTGACGTTACCATTGCCACATTTGTTCTGTTCTTAGGCCCCAGCCCTGGTTTCAAAAGTCTCTGAGAGGAAGAAACTGCAGAATCTTGTTTTACACACAGTAAAGGCCTTATGTAATCCTGCTCATCCACTGATGACCACATGCATTAGTTCTGACGTTGCTGCTCAGCACAGCAGCTTACAGGGAAAGCAGAAAACAGAAGCACCTCCCCTCAGGGTTACCCTTATCTGTAATGGCTTATACTGCCTGAGGACTGGGCTTTCATTTTTACAGCTGCCTGTGTAGTACTCACATGCACAGGTAACCTGCCCCAAGTGCATTCACAAAGTCCAGGTTAGGTGGCAGTTCCAGCCTGATCCTCACACTGTGCTCAACCCTGGTCTATGGCAACAACTGAAATCCACCCTTACACTCATAACAAATTTCACATTAAGGGCCCTGAGTGTCTTCTGCTGCTGATCAGCCTCACTTGGGACAATCTTAATAAATCAGAGTCATTCTAATAATCTTTAACCCCAAAGAGAAGGACATTTTAATCTTTTCTTTCCTAGAATCTCGTTGATCCCTTATACAAACTTGACCACCCTTACCAGTTTACCATGCTAAGAGCTATGGAATGGGGAGGAGTTAAGCCTTAAAAATTGCCCCATTGTGCTCAGTCTTAGCTGAAGTTCTCCCTAAAGTGATATGAGGAAACAGGAATGAGGGATAGGTAGAGTGAAACAGGAAAGGAGAAAAAACTAAGACAAGGATGCATGATCGAGTTGAACCCTGCTATGTGACTGATGTTCATCACATGAGATTTTCTGGAAAGCCTTATAAAATACATCTTCGACCCATCTGTCTGGGAGATAGAAAAGGAAATAATTTATCTATTGGCCTCCTAATCCGTTCACATTTCTGGGTTGCGTGTATTTTGAGTTTTGAGTGGAAAAGCTCATGTGGAACTGGTTATTACAGCAGTGGCTGGGAAAGTAATAGGGCTGAGCAGAAAGTGGGGCACAAGAGGAGTCAGGGGCAGCTTATTCATTGCAATGCTTAGCTTCACTTATGCCTTTCAGTAAGGCCATGTCCACTGACCTGGTTATAGAAGACTACTGTCTTCCTAAAATTTAAGAAAATGTGTTCATTTTATAGAAAAATAGGGTGTAGACACCAAATTTTTGGAGAAAATATCAAGCTTACCTTTGTGATCTTCCCACTGATTTAGACATTAATAAACTCACTGGATTAGATATAAATAAAACATGACAATAACTGATTCCTTACATAATCAAATAATACATATTTTCCCAAGGAAAAACTTTTCAATTACAGAGGCTTCCCAGAAGCCCGTATTTGCAATGGTGCAACATATGCATTGTTGTGTTCCAGCAATATAGTTGAAAAATTGTTGATGTTTGTTAAATTAAGTAAAATTGAACTGGCATGAATTGAAGGAGTGGGAGGAAGACGATATAATCATTGTGCTAGGGACGTTATATCAAATATGAGGTAGGTAATAATATTCCCATTTTGCAGATGAGGAAACTAAGGTTTAGAGACAATAGGTGAGTTGCTAAACATCACACAAGTAGTAGTTAATATGGAAGTTCATGAATTCTAACAGCCAACCCTCTTTCCACAATATCAAATGCTACCTTGAATTGATACAAATGTAAATTGAGTCAAAGTTAACTGAAATGAATAGTATTGAACTGGAAAATTCATCACAGTGCAGAGATGTGGGGCTCAAGACTCTGTAGTGCTCACATTAATTATGGTATATCATTACATCCAACACCAATCACTATATGCCTATTTCCTAAGGGTCACTCTTTAAAATATTGAACCCTTAATATGTCTTTAATCTACTTTTATTAATAAAAGTTTTAGTTAATCAAAAAAGTTTTGAACCAAACTCTTGGGTGATTTATATTGCTGTAATAATACCTACCTCTTTCTTTGTGAGAATGGCCCCTTTGGTCTCAGAGTGCAGGAAACAGTCCTGATTAGCATTGGTTCATAATACTTCTGGTCTCATTTGACCTGTCCGCATGGTGCAAAGTTGTCTGGAATAATAATCATAGTAGGAACGTTCACTAGTGCATCAGCTACCAAGATAAGCTTTTAGGAAGCAAGTTCTGTACTTCGTTTTTAAAAGTCATCTCACACTTTGAGCCAACACACTTAAGAAAAAGCAACAACTGGCAATATTATCATTGTGGAATGCTACTTACAGGTGGCTTTTAAAAACTAGATCAAGTTCAACTGCCTCATTTTTCAGAACAGGAAACAATGCTAAAACACCAAACTGATCTCCCAGTTTACATAGAATATTCACACATCTACTATCCTGTCTCTTAGGTAATTTGCGGCATCAGCCCCTAGAGATTAAGCAAATTGCCTAAGGTCTCATGGTTAATTAGTGACAAAACGAATATGAAGAGTCAGAAACCTTGAGGTTTGTTAAATGTGTACTTTTTTTGACTGATTTGGTGAACAAATATATATTGAGCAAGGTGGAATAGACACTGTACTTAGAACTTTGCATTGGAGTGGCAAAAAGAGAGTGTGAAATATTCAATAAGTGCTGTATTGCCCTCAACCTGCATACAGTCTAATAGCAAAGGAAAAGTTGCCAATAAAATTGGAAAATGCCTGTGAGTAGTTCTAATCATTTTGATGAAAGTTCATGTAGGAGTGATTACATTTAGCTCAATGAAGTCAAAGGTCCTCAATGATTTCTAAGTGGGAAGATATTTGCGTAGATTTTTAGATAAGCAGGATATGTAGATATATATAAGCAGAATTTGTAGACCTGGAGCATACAAAACAGAGGGAATGGTTCTAGACAGGGACAGGCAGCAGAGAACTTAAGATGTAGAAAATAATAAGGACTCTGCTTTCTTATTTCTCAGTCACATTATATTTCTAGACTTTACTGTCTATAAAAACGTGATTTATCTTAGAATCGATTTCAAAAGAAACTTACCATCTGTAAGGATGTGAAATAAAATGTGTATTAAACAAATGATAGACTTTTCAATTGATAGTGTTTCATAGTCAAGGACTATTGATAATTCATTTTGGCAACATCATTCAAGGGTGAATGAAGAAAAGTAGCAGAAACTTCAACTTCAAATTTATCTTGTGGAGAAATCACGAAAGGCCTTGAAAATCTGATTAAAGTTATGGAAACTTTACTCTGTGGGCAATCAGAAGCTATTAAAAGAGGAAGATTACTGAGAGGTGATTAAAATAGTTAAGCACAGAAATAATCTGAAGCACCAAATTAGTTGCTGAATAACCGGCCATTCCAAAACAACAGTTTTGGAATGCTTTAGTTGCTTAAAACAACAAACATCTATTTATCTCACAATTCTACAGGTTGGTAATTTGGGCTAGGCTTTGCTGGGCAATTCTGGTTTCAGCTGGCCTCACCCATGTAACTACACTCAGTTAGTAGGGCTGGCTGATCTAAGATGGCTTCAACTGGGATGGCACATGTGGTCTCCATGTGGTTTTTCATCATCCAGCAGACTAGCTTAGACTTGTCCACGTGGAGGCTTCAAAGAGTTTCTGCAGAGAATAGAATTGGCAAGGGCACATGAAACCTAGGTTTACAACTGCCACAACGGCACTTCCACTGCATTTCATTGGTCAGAGCAAGTTACAAGTTCAGACCATATATAACGGGTGGAAAAGCAAAGCCTACCTTTTGATTCAAGATACTGCAAGTGGCAGTGCAAAGGGGCATGAGTAAAAGGAAGAGATGAAAATAGTTATGTTCATTTTTTTCAGCAATCTGCCACACTCTCCAAATTATTACTTCCTTTGTTATTTTTTTCTTTCTTAAAATTTTTATTACTATAGTAACACCATAGAAAAATAAGCTATTTTTGTGAAACAGATCTTATTAGTAATCTCTATCTAATTGGTACCTTTATTGCTAAAAGGAAGAACTGCAATACTGTTTTTAGTTAAAAATCACCAGTTCTATTTTGATTATTCAGTTCTATTCTAATAGGCCTAAATAGAAATAATCTTCTAGCCATATTTAATATGAACTAATTTAATTTTATAACTAAATTTGTCTTCTTTTTCCTCTTGTGCTTAAATTACATTATAATAAACACAATATTCTAGTCTTAGTGAAAAGTATAAATCAGTGGAGGCCCATGAAAGATATTCCAATATGCTATTTAAAAATATTTGGTAGGCCAGGTGCAGTGACTCTCACTTGTAATCCTAGCATTGTGGAAGGCTGAGATGGGAGGATTGCTTGAGCCTAGGAGTTCAAGACCAACTTGGGCAACATAGTGAAACCCTGTCTTTACAAGAAAGGAAAAAAATTAGCCAAGTGTAGAGGTGCATGCCTGTGATCCCTGCTACTCAGGAGGCTGAGGTGAGAGAATTGCTTGAGCCTGGGAGGTCAAGGCTGCAGTGAGCCATGATGCTGCCACTGCTTTCCAGCCCGGGAGACAGAGCAAGATCAGGTCTATAAAATACAACTTAAAAAAAGAATGGTGAGAGAGGAGCCAAGATGGCCGAATAGGAACAGCTCTGGTCTACAGCTCCCAGCGTGAGCGACGCAGAAGACGGGTGATTTCTGCATTTCCATCTGAGGTACCGGGTTTATCTCACTAGGGAGTGCCAGACAGTGGGCGCAGGTCAGTGGGTGCGCGCACCGTGCGCCAGCCGAAGCAGGGCAAGGCATTGCCTCACTCGGGAAGCGCAAGGGGTCAGGGGGTTCCCTTTCCGAGTCAAAGAAAGGGGTGACAGACGTACCTGGAAAATCGGGCACTCCCACCCAAATACTGCGCTTTTCCAACCGGCTTAAAAAACGGCGCACCACGAGATTTTATCCTGCACCTGGCTCGGAGGGTCCTACGCCCACGGAATCTCGCTGATTGCTAGCACAGCAGTCTGAGATCAAACTGCAAGGCAGCAGCGAGGCTGGGGGAGGGGCGCCCGCCATTGCCCAGGCTTGATTAGGTAAACAAAGCAGCCTGGAAGCTCTAACTGGGTGGAGCCCACCACAGCTCAAGGAGGCCTGCCTGCCTCTGTAGGCTCCACCTCTGGAGGCAGGGCACAGACAAACAAAAAGACAGCAGTAACCTCTGCAGACTTAAATGTCCCTGTCTGACAGCTTTGAAGAGAGCAGTGGTTCTCCCAGCACGCAGCTGGAGATCTGAGAACGGGCAGACTGCCTCCTCAAGTGGGTCCCTGACCCCTGACCCCCGAGCAGCCTAACTGGGAGGCACCCCCCAGCAGGGGCACACTGACACCTCACACGGCAGGGTATTCCAACAGACCTGCAGCTGAGGGTCCTGTCTGTTAGAAGGAAAACTAACAAACAGAAAGAACATCCACACCAAAAACCCATCTGTACATCACCATCATCAAAGACCAAAAGTAGACAAAACTATAAAGATGGGGAAAAAACAGAAGAGAAAAACTGGAAACTCTAAAAAGCATAGCGCCTCTCCTCCTCCAAAGGAATGCAGTTCCTCACCAGCAATGGAACAAAGCTGGATGGAGAATGACTTTCACGAGCTGAGAGAAGAAGGCTTCAGACAATCAAATTACTCTGAGCTACGGGAGGACATTCAAACCAAAGGCAAAGAAGTTGAAAACTTTGAAAAAAATTTAGAAGAATGTATGACTAGAATAACCAATACAGAAAAGTGCTTAAAGGAGCTGATGGAGCTGAAAACCAAGGCTCGAGAACTACGTGAAGAATGCAGAAGCCTCAGGAGGCGATGCAATCAACTGAAAGAAAAGGTATCAGCGATGGAAGATGAAATGAATGAAATGAAGTGAGAAGGGAAGTTTAGAGAAAAAAGAATAAAAAGAAATGAGCAAACCCTCCAAGAAATATGGGACTATGTGAAAAGACCAAATTTACATCTGAGTGGTGTACCTGAAAGTGATGGGGAGAATGGAACCAAGTTGGAAAACACTCTGCAGGATATTATCCAGGAGAACTTCCCCAATGTAGCAAGGCAGGCCAATGTTCAGATTCAGGAAATACAGAGAACACCACAAAGATACTCCTTGAGAAGAGCAACTCCAAGACACATAATTGTCAGATTCACCAAAGCTCAAATGAAGGAAAAAATGTTAAGGGCAGCCAGAGAGAAAGGTCGGGTTACCCTCAAAGGGAAGCCCATCAGACTAACAGCGGATCTCTTGGCAGAAACCCTACAAGCCAGAAGAGAGTGGGGGCCAATATTCAACATTCTTAAAGGAAAGAATTTTCAACCCAGAATTTCATATCCAGCCAAACTAAGCTTCATAAGCGAAGGAGAAATAAAATACTTTACAAACAAGCAAATGCTGAGAGATTTTGTCACCACCAGGCCTGCCCTAAAAGAGCTCCTGAAGGAAGCACTAAACATGGAAAGGAACAACCGGTACCAGCCACTGCAAAATCATGCCAAAATGTAAAGACCTTCGAGACTAGGAAGAAACTGCATCAACTAACGAGCAAAATAGCCAGCTAACATCATAATGACAGGATCAAGTTCACACATAACAATATTAACTTTAAATGTAAATGGACTAAATGCTCCAATTAAAAGACACAGACTGGCAAATTGGATAAAGAGTCAAGACCCATCAGTGTGCTGTATTCAGGGAACCCATCTCACGTGCAGAGACACACATAGGCTCAAAATAAAAGGATGGAAGAAGATCTACCAAGCAAATGGAAAACAAAAAAAGGCAGGGGTTGCAATCCTAGTCTCTGATAAAACAGACTTTAAACCAACAAAGATCAAAAGAGACAAAGAAGGCCATTACATAATGGTAAAGGGATCAATTCAACAAGAAGAGCTAACTATCCTAAATATATATGCACCCAATACAGGAGCACCCAGATTCATAAAGCAAGTCCTGAGTGACCTACAAAGAGACTTAGACTCCCACACATTAATAATGGGAGACTTTAACACCCCACTGTCAACATTAGACAGATCAACGAGACAGAAAGTCAACAAGGATACCCAGGAATTGAACTCAGCTCTGCACCAAGCAGACCTAATAGACATCGACAGAACTCTCCACCCCAAATCAACAGAATATACATTTTTTTCAGCACCACACCACACCTATTCCAAAATTGACCACATACTTGGAAGTAAAGCTCTCCTCAGCAAATGTAAAAGAACAGAAATTATAACAAACTATCTCTCAGACCACAGTGCAATCAAACTAGAACTCAGGATTAAGAAACTCACTCAAAACCGCTCAACTACATGGAAACTGAACAACCTGCTCCTCAATGACTACTGGGTACATAACGAAATGAAGGCAGAAATAAAGATGTTCTTTGAAACCAATGAGAACAAAGACACAACATACCAGAATCTCTGGGACGCATTCAAAGCAGTGTGTAGAGGGAAATTTATAGCACTAAATGCCCACAAGAGAAAGCAGGAAAGATCCAAAATTGACACTGTAACATCACAATTAAAAGAACTAGAAAAGCAAGAGCAAACACATTCAAAAGCTAGCAGAAGACAAGAAATAACTAAAATCAGAGCAGAACTGAAGGAAATAGAGACACAAAAAACCCTTCAAAAAATTAATGAATCCAGGAGCTGGTTTTTTGAAAGGATCAGCAAAATTGATAGACTGCTAGCAAGACTAATAAAGAAAAAAAGAGAGAAGAATCAAATAGATGCAATAAAAAATGATAAAGAGGATATCATCACCAATCCCACAGAAATGCAAACTACCATCAGAGAATACTACAAACACCTCTGCGCAAATAAACTAGAAAATCTAGAAGAAATGGATAAATTCCTCAACACATACACTCTCCCAAGACTAAACCAGGAAGAAGTTGAATCTCTGAATAGACCAGTAACAGGATCTGAAATTGTGGCAATAATCAATAACTTACCAACCAAAAAGAGTCCAGGACCAGATGGATTCACAGCTGAATTCTACCAGAGGTACAAGGAGGAACTGGTACCATTCCTTCTGAAACTATTCCAATCAATAGAAAAAGAGGGAATCCTCCCTAACTCATTTTATGAGGCCAGCATCATTCTGATACCAAAGCTGGGCAGAGGCACAACCAAAAAAGAGAATTTTAGACCAATATGCTTCATGAACATTGATGCAAAAATCCTCAATAAAATACCGGCAAAACGAATCCAGCAGCACATCAAAAAGCTTATCCACCACGATCAAGTGGGCTTCATCCCTGGGATGCAAGGCTGGTTCAATATACACAAATCAATAAATGTAATCCAACATATAAACAGAACCAAAGACAAAAACCACATGATTATCTCAATAGATGCAGAAAAAGCCTTTGACAAAATTCAACAACCCTTCATGCTAAAAACTCTCAATAAATTAGGTATTGATGGGACGTATTTCAAAATAATAAGAGCTATCTATGACAAACCCACAGCCAATATCATACTGAATGGGCAAAAACTGGAAGCATTCCCTTTGAAAACTGGCACGAGACAGGGATGCCCTTTCTCACCACTCTTATTCAACATAGTGTTGGAAGTTCTGGCCAGAGAAATTAGGCAGGAGAAGGAAATAAAGGGTATTCATTAAGGAAAAGAGGAAGTCAAATTGTCCCTGTTTGCAGATGACATGATTGTATATCTAGAAAACCCCATTGTCTCAGCCCAAAATCTCCTTAAGCTGATAAGCAACTTCAGCAAAGTCTCAGGATACAAAATCAATGTACAAAAATCACAAGCATTCTTATACACCAAAAACAGACAAACAGAGAGCCAAATCCTAAGTGAACTCCCATTCACAATTGCTTCAAAGAGAATAAAATACCTAGGAATCCAACTTACAAGGGATGTGAAGGACCTCTTCGAGGAGAACTACAAACCACTGCTCAAGGAAATAAAAGAGGATACAAACAAATGGAAGAACATTCCATGCTCATGGTAGGAAGTATCAATATCGTGAAAATGGCCATAGTGCACAAGGTAATTTATAGATTCAGTGCCATCCCCATCAAGCTACCAATGCCTTTCCTCACAGAATTGGAAAAAACTACTTTAAAGTTCATATGGAACCAAAAAAGAGCCCGCATTGCCAAGTCAATCCTAAGCCAAAAGAACAAAGCTGGAGGCATCACACTACCTGACTTCAAACTATACTACAAGGCTACAGTAACCAAAACAGCATGGTACTGGTACCAAAACAGAGATATAGATCAATGGAACAGAACAGAGCCCTCAGAAATAATGCCGCATATGTACAACTATCTGATCTTTGACAAACCTGAGAAAAACAAGCAATGGAGAAAGGATTCCCTATTTAATAAATGGTGCTGGGGAAACTGGCTAGCCATATGTAAAAAGCTGAAACTGGATCCCTTCCTTACACCTTATACAAAAATCAATTCAAGATGGATTAAAGACTTAAACGTTAGACCTAAAACCATAAAAATCCTAGAAGAAAACCTAGGCATTACCATTCAGGACATAGGCATGGGCAAGGACTTCATGTCTAAAACACCAAAAGCAATGGCAACAAAAGCCAAAATTGACAAATGGGATCTAATTAAACTAAAGAGCTTCTGCACAGCAAAAGAAACTACCATCAGAGTGAACAGGCAACCTACAAAATGGGAGAAAATTTTTGCAACCTACTCATCTGACAAAGGGCTAATATCCAGAATCTACAATGAACTCAAACAAATTTACAAGAAAAAAACAAAGAACCCCATCAAAAAGTGGGCAAAGGACATGAACAGACACTTCTCAAAAGAAGACATTTATGCAGCCAAAAAACACATGAAAAAATGTTCATCATCACTGGCCATCAGAGAAATGCAAATCAAAACCACAATGAGATACCATCTCACACCAGTTAGAATGGCAATCATTAAAAAGTCATAAAACAACAGGCATTGGAGAGGATGTGGAGAAATAGGAACACTTTTACACTGTTGGTGGGACTGTAAACTAGTTCAACCATTGTGGAAGTCAGTGTGGCGATTCCTCAGGGATCTAGAACTAGAAATACCATTTGACCCAGCCATCCCATTACTGGGTATATACCCAAAGGACTATAAATCATGCTGCTATAAAGACACATGCCCACGTATGTTTATTGCGGCATTATTCACAATAGCAAAGACTTGGAACCAACCCAAATGTCCAACAATGATAGACTGGATGAAGAAAATGTGGCACATATACACCATGGAATACTATGCAGCCATAAAAAAGGATGAGTTCATGTCCTTTGTAGGGACATGGATGAAATTGGAAATCATCATTCTCAGTAAACTATCGCAAGAAGAAAAAACCAAACACCGCATATTCTCACTCATAGGTGGGAATTGAACAATGAGATCACATGGACACAGGAAGGGGAATATCACACTCTGGGGACTGTTGTGGGGTGGGGGAGTGGGGAGGGATAGCATTGGGAGATATACCTAATGCTAGATGACGAGTTAGTGGGTGCAGCGCACCAGCATGGCACATGTATACATATGTAACTAACCTGCACAATGTGCACATGTACCCTAAAACTTAAAGTATAAAAAAAAAAGAAATATGTAAGCAATAAAAAAAAAATTAAAAAAAATGAATGCTTAGAACACTAAAATTGCTTTGAATCTAAAATTTTACTGACTAGCAATTTGGGGAATTTTTTCAAGTTTTCTCATCACATTGGTAAGTCTGTTTTCAAAGACCTTGAGAAACCAAGGAGAACTTTCTGATACATTTCATGAACTAAGAGAGAGGCAGAATAAAATGTAATTGGATGCCTTAAGAAAATTTTCCTTAAGTGCCAGCCCAAAAGAAATATGTCTTCCTTCCACATCTGTTTTATAAACATGTATTTAAAATACATGTGCCTCTGATTTCAACCAGTTGTCTTCTTGAAATTCAACAAATTACAAACATTGCTAGATGGAAACATCTAGAATCCAATGTCATTAAGTAAGTCAAGTGTTCTGACAATATTACATAGTTTATAAATACTAAATAATAAATCTAAATCCTTATTGAATCTCATGATCACTGCCATTTCTCCAGTTCAGGTCTTCGTCACTTTTCTTTTGGACAAATGATGTATCCTCTTAATTCATTACCCTGCTTCCAGTTTTTCCTGTTTTGCAACACATCATTTTGCTCATCGGTTCATTTCTAATGGGATATTAGTCTAGCCAGATGTTCTCTGAAGATAAAGGATCTGTGTTCAAATAAGTTGTAAAGTGCTATACATACCATATCCTCCATGTTTGTAGAGTCATAACACCTGTTAGCACGTGAAAAGCTTTGAGAAGTCCTGGGTAATATGAAGACATTAATGTGTGTTTCTTTTCCACATTACTGATGATCCTCACTTTGTTTAATCTGAGGCACCTAATGCCTTAGAGATAATTAGGATGTTTATAACAGGAATTTGGAGAGAAAGAGTCAGTATTCAGCATTCAACTTCCCAAAGAGGACTATGAATATGAAGGCTAGAAAAATTATTGAAACCCTAGCTTTAGTGGGAGAGATGGATTTCTAATTGTTGAAGACCTTCTGCTTATCAAAAATCAGGCTTGGTGGAATCATAGATCACTAAGTTTTACCAAAAAATAATGTTGAGAGGAAAATTAGAAAGCAATCTTATATGGGGAATGCCAATCAGAAAAAGGAAAGAAGATACCACTCATGAGAGGAAGAAGAGCATTTGGAAGGATTAAGCATAGTGTAAAAAAGCAACCTGGATTTTTCAGGAATCCAGTCAACTCACCTCCATTAACTGTAATCCAAGGGGCACAGGAGAGGGGAGAGGAAAACTCCAGGGAAGTTGGAAGGGAAGTTGAACCCCTAAGGTGCATGTATTTTCCTTCCCAGTTGTAACTCTGAACTAAGACTGACTTCCAAGATTCTTCCTTGTGCTGATATGAGATGGTTATAGTGGAATGGAAAATATTATAGACATATTTAGGTAGAGAAACAGCAGGAAATTTTGCCAATGGAACATCCCTTGACAGCTCTGTGATGTGGAAGGGATTCAAAATTTCTTTCATGCTCTCACTGGGGTAACTGGAAATACCTAAGAAGTAATAACAGTTGGTCTTCCATGGGTCAATATAGCAAATTGCAAAGTGATCACATATGAGATACAGTGGAGTGGGCAATCTAAGCAAGAAGTAGAAGTTACAGCTGAAAATCAGAAGATTTAGAAAGTCAGTGAAAACCAAGTACAAACATAACATCCGGAAGAAAGGATGAATATATATTAGTTTACTGAAGCTGCTGTAACGAATCTGTTCCATGTCTCTCTTCTAGCTCCTGGTGGTTTGCTGGAAATATTTGCTGTTCTTTGGCTTATAGAAGCATCACCCCCAACTCTGCCTTTATCCTCACATGGCATAGTCCTGGTTTGCATGTCTTTCTCCAAACTTCTACCTTTTTGTAAGGACATAGTCACATTGGATTGGGACCTATCTTAATAACCTCTCAACTACTTATATCAGCAATGGCCTTATTTCAAAATAAGATCACATTCTGAGTTACTAGGAATTAGGACTTTGTCACATGAATTTTGAGGGGATATAATTCAACCCATAACTATAAGGATAGATACCTTGAGACTTGATTTTTCTGTGACAACAAGTAATAAGGTATATCTGTTATAGTCACTTGAACAGCAGAAACAGTAGGAAAAAAGGCCATTGCCCAGAGTAAGGTGAGACAAGCTACACTTCAATGGGAGTTCACTAAGAGTAAGCCCCAGAAAACATTTGCACAATTCCAGACACCATTTGGAAAAGGAAATGGTGAGTATCACCTGGAGAAGTTAAACTGAGTGAACACTCACTAAATGAGGAGATTTTAAACTGGAAAATATTGAGTTACCTGTAACTGGAAAGTTTACATTACTTTCCAACCATCAGTAGATATGGGGATCATAAAGGAATTTAGGTACATAGCTAGCAATATTAGGAAAATTTTTACAAATGAGTGTAAATATGAATTGTCTACTCTGTTATGTCGGTAAATCTTTTTCCTTTTTAGATCCAGAATCTCTCAAATTTATTTGTCAATAAAAAAAGTACATTAATACATGATATCATCTCTTAGAATTAGTATTACACAGAACATCCTCTGGAAAATAGGGTCCTAGGATATTATTAGGTTATTTCTTCAAAATAATCTTTCAAGAAATTGTTTGTTATTCATTTGTTTAAAAAACACTTATTGCAGTTCTTGCATGTTTGGGGCGTTATGCTAGGTGCATAGACTAGAAAGATAACTAAATCATGAATTCTGATTTCAAGAAAGTCACAGATTTTCAGAGAAAATATGTACTTGCTTTGGCAGCACATATACTAATATTGGAACAGTACAGAGATGACTAACATGAATACTGTACAAGGATTGCATAAAATTTTATAAAGAGATTCACATTTTCTCTTCAGTAGTTTATTTTCCTTCTAAGACAATGATCAAGGCAAAGATGTTCTCTCACTATTTCTACTCTACATTAAATGAGAAGTTTAAGAAAGTACAATAATGCAAGAGAAAGGCATAAAAATTAGAGAGTATGATGAAACCCCATCTCTACTAAAAATACAAAAATTAGCTGGGCATGGTGGTGTGCACCTGTGGTCCCAGCTACTCAGAAAGCTGAGGCAGGAGAATCACTTGAACCCAGGAGACAGGTTGCAGTGAGCCAAGATCGCACCACTGCACTCCAGTCTGGGCAACAGAGTGAGACACAGTCTCAAAAAAAAAAAAAAAAAAAAAGAATTTAAACTGTCAGTATTTGCAGATGACATGATTGTGTAGTAAATCTTAAAGGATATATAAATATCCACTAGACTACATAGCAATTTAGCAAGGTCTCAATATACAACGTTAAAATGAAAATTTTAAAGTTCTATTTCCACTGCTTCCAAATATGTAAAATATTTAGTATAAATTAATGCAAACAAAATCTCTGTACAGAATCCACAAAATATTAATGAGAGAAACTTTTAAAGTCCCAAGTATATGGGGTGATAGACCATGTTCATGGACTGGCAGACTCAGTATTATCAAGATGTCAACTCTTCCCAAGTTGATATACAGATTCAACATAAGCCCAATCATAATTGCAATATGCTTTTTATTTTAAAAATTGATAAGTGGATTCTAAAATTTCTCTCAAAGTACAAGTGATCTAGAATAGTCAAAACAATCTTGAAAAAGGAAAATAATACACATAGGAAGAGAGCTAACAGTACCTGACTTCAAGACTTACTTGAAGCTACAATATAAAAACAGTGCAATATTTATAAAATGATAAAACATAGAGTTCAGAAATACACCCAAAATTGTGCAGTCAATTAACTTTTGATAATGGCACTGAAGGATTTCTATGTGGATACCACATAGAAAAAAATGAACTTTGACCTGTCCTTCATGCAATATGCAAAAATTAATTTGAGGTGAATCATAGACCTATTTTTAAAAGCTAAACTTAAAACCTTTTGAAAGAAAATCTAAGATATCTTTATAACCTAAGATTATATCTGGCAAAAGACAAAGAAACTTGTATCCTATAATTGAGTAAGAAAAAGACAATTCAATGAAAACAGAGCCGAACAGAGAATTCACAAAGAAATAAGTATATATGACCAATAAGTAAATGAAAAAGGATCCAACATCATTAGTTAGCTGGAAAATGCCGTTAAATCCTAAAGAGATACTACTCCGTATTTAGCAGAATGGTTAAAATAAAAAAAGACCAACACTAAATATTGTCAGTGATATGGAGCAACCATAATTCTTATACTTTGATGATAGAGTAAAAATTATACAATCAATTTGAAACCTTTCAGTTTTTAAAAATTGAACATATATCCTCCCTATGATATATCGATTCTTCTCCTATGAATTTACCTAACATAAATGAGAATACATTTTTACAAAAGACTTTATAGAAAATGTTCATGGCAGCTTTTTTTAACTGTTCAAAATTGGGAACAACACAAATGCCTGTCAACTAAAGAATAGGTAAATAATTTTGATATCAATATGCAATGGAATAATACTGTGCAATAAAAATGAAAAACTATTTATCCATATAATAATATGGATGAATCTTTTAGACAATGAAAGACTGAGCAAATGAAGCTGGACCCAAAAGAATTCACACTACGTGATTTCATATACATAAAAATTCAAAAGAGAAAACTCTAACCTATTAGATGAGGGAATTTACCAGGAAGAGGCAACGGGAAGCTTTCTACAATGATGACATTTTCTATATCTTAATAACCAGTGTGAGTTTCATGAAGGCACGTACTTATTACAACTCAATGAATTGTAAAGATTTGTATATTTTACTATTCATAAGTTTTGCTCTGAAAAAAAGACAAATAGTAAATTCCACTTAATATAACTGATTTGCACTATGGTACAGACAAACAATTCTGAAATCATGCCTGGTGTGTTCTGTGAGTGAGCAAATAAGTAAATATATTGATGATAAAATGGATACCAAATTTTTCACTATTGGAGAAGGGGATTACAAACACGGAAGGGAATATAGTTGGAATAAACACAAGTGACTGGAATTGTAATTATCAGGTAAATTCATTGTTTTTAATATATAATCAGGTAGATACAGAAAAAATATGTGTACTTGTGTGTGTGTGTGTGTGTGTGCATTTTCAGTTATTTTTCCTAGTTCTGAACATTGAGATAGGCTACAAGCAATGAAATGCCAGTAGCAATGAGCACAGCTAGTACTCAAATATTGGTTCCTAAATACCATTCTCCACTAAAAGGCATCAGGGCTCCTTAGAGGAAAGGTTAATTTCAGAGCTACAACTAAAATCATACACAACGAGTTGTCAAAAAAGCAAGACAGTACTCAAGGAATGTTAGAGACATGTCAAAAGGACACAAAAGCCACCTTGAAGAGACAACCAATGTCCAAAATCTGGTACAATTTAACATCAACATAAATAATGTTGACAGTGAACTATAACCCATTGAATAAAATAAAAATCCTTAAGCCTAACTTCACCTTCAAAGCTTTTATAATGAATTTATACAAATAGTAAATACTTTAGGTGGTAGGGTGTTGGTGGGAAATGACAGGTAGGTGAAAGGAGGTGCCAAATCTCATGGGGCCATGAATGCTTTTTCACAGCTCTCTGCTTGCATTCATAGTTTCCCGTCTACTAGAAATAGCCCTTCTTTTCCTCACCAGCTTGATGTCCTCCTTCCCCCATTCCTCCAAGGCCCAATTTACAGGTCACCTCTTTGGGAATGGTTTCTTGAATCCTTAGAAGCATCTTAGTAAAGTAATTATTAACCATTTGTTGTCTAGCTTGTTTTTCATAATCTCTCAGCATTGGCAGCATAAATTATTTTTATATTTCTTAGAGCTTTCTTCTCTCTTAGGTTTACATTGTCTTCTAAGTTTCTTATTCCTATACTCCAACTCCCACTGGTTGGCATTTAGGTTTTAACTCATTTTTTGATGCTTTGCTATGAAAAATCCTGTAACATTAATTGCATTGTATTAAATTGTATCTCATCAATTGGTCGTGAGCTGATGAAAATGAAAGTAATAGAGGGTCAATTCAGTAAAAAAATTAGTTTATCCTGATGCCAGCTGTGAAAAATACAGAAGACTGGCTGGGAGCCAATCACAAAAGCCCTGTAAGGTACATCCCTCCACCTGCTTGAAGGGAAAACCTTATTTAACTAAAAAAAAAAAAATAGCAGATGACTGTAGCTCTCCTTCTGTCCTGTGATTCAGATATGTGGTTTGTTTTGCTCCCTTACTACACGGATCTGAGTTGGGTTCCTTAACGACAGATGGGTCTGTCAGCCAGTCGGGCCAAATGAGTCACAGTGATCTGCCACAATCGTGGACGTCCAAAAGCCATGGAGGGATCTGGATGCCCACTCACTGAGGATCAGAAAGAAACCTCATGCTGGATGCCAAGCCTGCCTTCTCCTCTCCTTAGCACCTGATAAAATAAACTCATATAAGCCACATAACACATCTCTGCCACCAATTGTCTCTTCTGAAGATTATATACAAAAATAAGTGTCAGAAGCAAAACCCCCTCTGAGGAGGGTAGGGAATTCCTCAATGCGAGTTAACTTTAAGGAGCAGACCAGGCAAAATAGTTGATACTACAGACACTATTTTACCACTATCCTGCTCATTAAGTGAAAAGCCATTCTATATTTTTGCTTTGCTAGATATTAATACAAACACTGTAGCCCAACTCCTTCAGCCAGATGTGCCTGGTCATATTATTATAATGACAGTTAAGTGGCAAACTGGGGCTACATGAGCACCTATCTGAGCCAAAACCCCAGGAACATGTACTTACTGAAGGTATGCACAGGTTTGCATAGCCCCAATAAATGAAGGGCAGCATCTGAGAGGCCATGGAAAGGCTTCTGTTTCCAGTACTTTTCTTTGGATTTTTAGTGGCTTCTTCTGACCAGCTAACATTTTTATAATCACGGAAATTACTGTATATTATAAACATTTAATTATAACCAATATTGATAGTCATTTCTGATCTACACAATAGGATCAGATCTCCAATTTCAGCACACTCTCTTGATAGCATCATAGAAATTACTCCTCTAAAAGAGATATAATAATCCCCATTTTATAAAGAAACAGAGACTTTGAGAGGTAAAAATATTTTTCATTGTAAAAATAAAATAACTTTGTAATTCTGGGCTGAAAAATAAAGAGATATTAACATACAAAGTTGAGCAGGCAGTAAACTAGTTGTATGATGGGTATTTGAAAAAATGAAAAAAGATGAGAAGAAATATAATTGGTATTATCTAGTCAAATGTTCTCAGTAAAAGATGGTATCAAAGGAGGCTGGGATAGGTTAACTCAACACCTTATTACCTATGGGACTTGGACTTCAGGTGTCTGAAGATGTTGCTTGGCTCTGTCTGGGGAATGGAAACATCCCTTCCTAAATTCACCCAGTTATCTTGCAGATTTTGGGGCCTTGGGGTAAGAGGAAGCATTAACAAGACTGTGAATGACTCAGGGGCACTTCTATCATATTAATGAAAATAGTTCATATCAATGTAGGGTACTATTCTGTTTCATTCCTCTGTAATTCCTGTCTCCTCTCCTTACTCTGCACTCCATATTGATTACTGTAAGGGAAAATGGTGCAGCAAAGCAAAACAAAACAAACGAACCAACAAAAAACCAAAAACAAACAAACAAACAAAAAACAGATTTGACTGATTTTCAAAAGCCTTATTTTAGGCTCAAGGTAAAAATATTGAGAATAAGAGATCAGTCAGATTCAGGAGGAATGGTAAAGAAGAGGTAGAAGGTACAAAAGAAAATTGGAGACAATGGATCCCATCAAAGGAGCCCTGCACCCTTCACTCTGTCTTCTTGATACTTTATTTTCCAACTATGTTTAATTTCACAGGATGATAAAAGAATATCCAGAGAATATGGGGATTTGAATGTAAATATTAAGAATCATGCAAATTTTCAAAAGCAATACCTAGGATGGAGGCAAGAATGTGTCCAAAATGATGAAGAAGCAGAAGAAATAGCTATGGTCAGACAATAAATCAGAAAATATTCCACCCTAAAATCAGCCTATTTTGGGGAGGGGCTGTTAACAAGGGGTTGTTTGCTGGTTTAGGCAGAGGGTGGGTCAAAGTTAAGATTCCTGGGGGAAGGAGAGAAAATTAATCAAAATTTAGTTAACAAGTATTTTGCTCTGATTGATGGGGGTGGGGGGCAAACAGTTAAGCTAATCATTTATGAGGCAAACAATGAGAATCTAGAGAGTCTGTTTATCCCTTGTCATAAGTAAACAAGGTGGCATCCATGAGTATTATCTAAGTCTAATGTGAAAGTATGGTGCTTTGCAGTAAGCAGCTTCCCAGAACAGGAAACAGTGGGGAATTTCTTTAACATGTACTGTTTTCCAGGATCACCAGGCTTCAGTGAAATTCAACATTGTCAATGGATACCCAGCAGACCAGGAAAAGTGATCCAGTATGGTCAACTCTAAGACTTATATTTGCCTTTAAAAGGTAAAGGCAAAGAAGGAGGTGATGGAGGAGGAGAAAGAGAATGAGAGAATGGGAGAAGGGAGGACGAGCTGCAGTTACAGCAGCAACCAGGAAAAAAATAAAAACAAAAATTCCTAAGAGGAGAACAAAATGCTAGTCTTATATTTCTTCTTAAAAATATTTAATATGAGAAGGCTGTAGAACAACACTTGCAAAATACACAAAGTAATGACTTTGAGTCAAAGATTGGTGTAGCTACTCAAATTTGATTTAATATATAATACCTATAAACAAACAACTTTTACCATGCAAGAGCTCAGAGAATCTTGCGCCATTGAGCTCTTATTGAAAGGATCACTAGAGAATGAGTTAGGGCCAAATAAGAAATAACTAGACAAACACTGGCAAAATGACTGAAAATAAATACTGAATATATAGAACCTAAATGAAAGCAAATATGGAAGTTGACATGTCAGAATAGAAAATAAACATCATATTCCTTGCCAATGCAGAAATGATATATTTAACAAAAATTGGACAGGCAGCCACGTGCAATGGCTCATGCCTGTAATCCCAGCACTTTGAAAGGCTGAGGTTTGTGGATCACTTGAGGTCAGGAGTTTGAAACCAGCCTGGCCAACATGGTGACACCTAGTCTCCACTAAAAATACACCAGTTAGCCACATGTGGTGGTGGGCGCCTGTAGTCCCAGCTACTTGGGAGGCTGAGGCAGGAGAATTGCTTGAACCCCAGAGGCAGAGGTTGCAGTGAGCAGAGATCGCGCCACTGCAATCCAGCCTGGGGGGAAAAAAAAAAAGGACAAGGAAGAAAGGGTGTCAGAAATTAAATAAACCCATAATCTCATTTAATGAATTAAAAGTAAACACCATTAGTAACTAAAGTCAGGTAAGAGGGAAGAATAAGAGAGAAAAGGAAGAGGAAATTTCCAATTTTTAATTATTATTCATAACAGGGAACTTAGAGATGATGTATTCGAAAGAAGTACATGAATAAAGGTCTAATGTAAAATTATTATTATAAAGGTAATAAATAAAGAAAAATACACAAAACTTCATCAGCAGATAAACAATACAAAAGAAGCAAAGGAAACAAAACTTATAATGAAATACTATTTTTAAAACCACAAAGAATATGCAATACAAATAATATGACATAAGAAAGAAAAAACACTGCTTTTGTATCAGTAAATTTTTGTATCAGTAAATAACCTATTAAAGGCTTAACTTAGCTTTCAAAAGAAAAAAAAAAATTTCAGGATGGATTATAGTGAACCCAATTCTATATTCTATGGTATAGACTTACTTAAAACAAAGTACTTCAGTAAGACTGAAAATCAAAGAATGTAAAAGTATATACCAGAAAAGACAGACAAAAATAAACAAGGGTCTCCAGCCAAAGAGCATTAAAAAAGAAAAAAGGAAAGCTAATAGCAGAAGTGTTCACAATGGACATACTACAGTTACATTCATAAAGCATAAATGTGCCAAACATTCATAAACCATAAAAGACAGGTGATAGAGGCTGAAATAGACATGAAAACACTAATGAGAGGTGTTATTGCACCTTTCTGGGTCCATGTCAGATCAAGTAGACGAAAACTATTAAGTATACAGAATATCAAAATAACATAAATAATAAAGTAGGGCTAATTGATAAGGCAATTCTGTACCTTATTAATTTTGAATAAACTTTGGAATATTTGGGAAAATTGATGGTATATTAAACCACCAGAAAATCCTTAATCCATTCTGAATTAAAAATAAATAAGAATCAGAGGTGCAAGCTTCTCTAATGACCATATAATAATAAAACTAGACAAAAACTAGGGTGCGGTGACTCACACCTGTAAACCCAGCACTTTGGGAGCTGAGGTGCACGGATCACTAGAGGTCAGGAGTTTGAGACCAGCCTGGCCAATTGGTGAAACCCCGTCTCTACTAAAAATAAAAAAAATTAGCCAGGCATGGTGGTGGATGCCTATAATCCCAGCTAATCAGGAGGCTGAGGCAGGAGGACTGCTTGAGCCCCGGAGGTGGAGGTTGCAGTGAGCCGAGATTGCGCCAATGCACTCCAGCCTGAGTGACAGAGTGAGACTCCATCTTAAAAAAAGAAAAAGCTTCCTTTTCCTGAAATTTGTAAAAAGATTTTCTTAAAATCTAGGTTGAAGAGAAAATAGAAAATAAAAATTGGGGCATATATATGAAAAAATGTAATAAAGACACTTTAGAATCTATAGGATGTAGATAAAACAGGGTTTAGAAGAAAATTTATAATCTTAAAATCCTTGTCATGAATAGATATTCAACTCAAAAAGTTAGAAAATGGTAAATGAAATAAACTGGAGGAAAGGAGAGAAAATTTGGTATATGAATACAGTTCCCACTTTTTCAGATTTTTTTGTGTATGTCTTCTACCCCTGATTTGGGCTCAGTCATGTGGATTCCTTTGGCAACAGGATGCCAGCAGATGTGATGCAAGTAGAGTCTTACAATGTGCTTGAGTAGTTGAGTAAGCCCTCTTGTGCTGTTGCCATTGCTGTGGGAATAACACGCCTAAACTAGCCTGCTGGTCCTAGGAGGAGGATGAGAGACACCTAGAGGAGAGCCACACAAGCCAATTCAGCATAAAAAGGAACTGCTTCAGCCACCAAAGTCGGGAGAGAAACTGCCCCAGCAAATGTGGAAGTTCAAGAGTGAGACAATGCCACTGAGATTTTGTGGTTGTTTGCTGCATGGTACTATGACAAAATGAAATAATGGACTAGAAAACAGAATAATGTTAAATTTTATTTGTAAGTTTTTATTTTTTAAATTTATTTGAGTTTGATTTATGTTTCTATTTCTTTAAAAAACTAATATACTGTTAATCTCATCAAGAGAAAGAGAGAGAGCATTTAATAGCAAAATTAAGAAATATTAATTAATGGGGAAATATTCACAGAAATAGAGGTAATTTAGAGCTCAGTAAAATAATTTTGCTCTAATATCGAATAAATTTGAAAACCTGAATGAAATGTATTATTTTCTAGGAATAAAAAATATTCCAAAACTTACCTCAGATGAAATAGAAAATTCAAACAGACTGATTCCATACAAGAATTAGCCAACTCCCACAAAACATCAGGAACCAATCATGCTTCTTCCACGTCCCTGACCATCCAGCCAAACCATTGGCTACAGCCCATGAATCAGCATATAATCGCACATCTGGCCATCTCTCCTTCCATGCAAAGTGCACAGCCATTTGCACTGCTTCAAGTTCTGCCCACTGAGAAGATTTTCCTTAATGCCTGTCCTTCAGGGATGTCCTAGAAAGGGGCTGTAGTGCTGCAGCTGTCTACTTTCAGGTGGTGCCTGCATATCGTGCAGAACCATCTGTGAAGCAATCCCTAGTCTTCTCTTCCTCTGTCATCTGATCATAGGACACTCTCCATGAGGCCTTCGATGCAGACTGAGGGAGAGAAGGTGGGTTGGCAGGAGTGGAGAGCATGGGCAATTGAGCCACTTCCTTATGTAACTTACTTGTGCCTTCAGGACCTGCTCGAGCCCAATCACATATATACCACTTTCATTTGATGATGGAATGCTGCTGTGCATGACCCACTTTATGGCTAGATGGGATCAGAAAGCATCCAGTTCATGAAAGGCAGTTCAGGTCTCATGGTGACTTGATGACCCGTAGTCAAACATTCAGTTTCCACCAAAGCCCAGTAACAGGCCTAGAGCTGCCTCTCAAAAGGAGAGTAGTTATCTGCAGAAGATGGCAGGGCCTTGCTCCAAAATCTGAGAGGCCTCTGCTGTGATTCACCTATGGGGGTCCACCAAAGGCTCCAAACAGCATCCCTATCTGCAACTGACCTCAAGTAGCATTGGATCTGCTGGGTCATATATCCCAAGTGGCACAGCAGCTTGCACAGCAGCCTGAACCTGTTGCAGAGCCTTCTCCTGTCCTGAACCCCATTCAAAACTGGCAGTCTTTCGGGTCACTTGATAAATGGGCCAGAGTAACACACCTAAATGAGGAATGTATTGCCTCCAAAATCCAAATAGACCCACTAGGTGTTGTGCCTCTTTCTTGGTTGTAGGAGGGGCCAAATGCAGCAGCTTATCCTTCATCTTAGAAGAAATAACTCTGCAAACCCCACACTACTGGACCTCTAGAAATTTTACTGAGGTGGAAGTTTCTTGAATTTTAGTCGGATTTATTTCCCATCCTCTGGCACACAAATGTCTCACCAATAAGTCCAGTGTGTTGGCTACTTCTTGCTCACTGAATCCAGTCAGCATAATGTCATCAATGTAATGGACAAGTGTGATATCTTGCGGAAGCGAAAAGTGATCAAGTTCTCTCCGAATAAGATTATGACACAAAGCCAGAAAGTTGATATATCCCTGAGGTATGACAGAAAGGCATATTGCTGGCCTTGTCAGCTGAAGGCAAATTGCTTCTGGTGGGCCTTATAGACAGAAATGGAGATAAATGCACTTACCAAGTCAATGGCTGCATACCAGGTAACAGGAGATGTGTTAATTTGCTCAAGCAATAAAACCACATCTGGTACAGCAGCTGCAATTGGAGTCACCACTTGGTTAAGCTTATGATAATCCACTGTCATTCTCTAAGATCCATCTGTCTTCTGCACAGACCAAATGAGAGAGTTGAATGGGGATGCAGTGGGAATTACCACCCCTGTGTCTTTCATGGTGGCACTAATCTCTGCAATCCCTCCAGCGATGTGATACTGTTTTTGACTTACTATTTTTCTAGGTAGCAGCAACTCTAATGGCTTGCATTTGTCCTTTCCCACTGTGATAGCCCTCACCCTACCAGACAGGGATCCAATGTGGGGGTTCTGCCAGCTGTTAAGTATGTCTATGCCAATTATGCATTCTGACACTGGGGAAATGACCACAGGATGAGTCTCAGGACCCACTGAACCCACTGTAAGCTGTACCTGAGCTAAAACTCTATTAATTACCTGACTTCCATAAGCCCATACTTTTACTGGAGGATCATAGTGATGTTTTGGGTCCCCTGGAATCAATGTCAGCTCAGAGCCAGTGTCCAATAGTCCCCAAAATACCTGATCATTTCCATTTCCTCAGTGCACAGTAATCCTGGTAAAAGGCTGGAGGCCTCCTTGGGGAAGGATGCTAGAAAGATTCACTGCATAAATTGTCAGATATAGTGGGGTCCTCTCTCAAGGTGACCTGGCCTCCCCTTCATTCAAAGAGTTCTGGGTCTGTAGACTTGTTCAAGTCTGGAAATTGATTGAGGGGCTGTGATTCTGTTTTTATAATTAAAATTAGTCTTTTTCCCATTCCACCTAGAAGTTTTCTGCTTATATAAATTAAGTAAGAATGCAGTAGGCTTCCTATCAATTTCACTTCTAGGAATACCGTGATTAATTAGCCAATGCAAGAGCTCTACATGAGTCAGACTATTTCTGATTACTACTTTGTCTCTGCTGTTCATTATGATAGCTATGCCCACCTTCTCTTTGGTGATTGAGTGCTGCCACTTAGCCCTTACCCCTCAGGATCCAATTATTCCCATTGTGTTTAAATTTTGTAGTTGAGTGACTGCAGTTCCCACTGTTAGATCTGACATACAGAGAAGAGCAATCACAGGGCTCTTCAAAGATACAGGTGCTGCCCTCACAAATCTATTTCACAAGGCATTGGTCAAGGGTATATCTTCAGGACCCTCCCAGCTGGGATGAGCAGGTCTAAAGTGATTAATCCACTCCACCATCTCAATCTCCCTAAGCCTTTGGCTCCCTTCCTCTACATTAAACCAAGGGAGATCAGGCATTTCCAGCTCACTGACAGTGGGCTATCTTTTAATCCATATATCAGCTAACCAAGAAAATAAACTACTAGGACCTTTTTTAACTCCCCAATCTATGACCCTACTTAGTGGGCCAAAGTCAATAAATTCAGCCTGATCCAACTCTATGTTCCTTCCACCATTATCCACACCCTTAATATCCATTCCCATGGCTACTCTCCAGATTTCTGTTTATATAAATTAGAGAACTCAAGCAGTTCTGCTTGAGCATAGCGCACATTCTCATGGGTCACACTCTCAACCTTACGTCTAGAGGCCCATTGGGACTTTAGTCTAGTTATAGGTCTAGAAGCAAAAAGGGGTGTTGGGCGAGGCTCCTGAGGAGAATCAACATTATCTCATCTGGCAACTGCCTCAGGGGAGGCCATCACTGTTGCCTCAAGCAGTGCAGGGTTTATCTCCTCAGACAAAGGTGGAAAGGCTGATGGCAGCATGGGTTGGGGAGGGGATGTTGCCACTAATGGGGATGGGGAGGCTGTTTTTTCTGGCAAGAAAGGTTCATCAGAGTTTACAGTCTCAGTGTCCCCAGCTATCAGGGTCCTCCCACAGTCCCCATTCCAAGTTGCAGGGTCCCATTCTTTTCCAATCAATGCCCTCACTTTAACAGTAGACACCTGGCCAGGCTGCACGTGTACCTTTCATTGCAGGTCAGCCACTCACATGATAAGAGCTTGTGTCTGTTTTTCCACAATTTCAGCTCTTTCTCTACAGGAGATAAAACTCTCACTCAGGGCAATCTTAGCAGATTTGAGACTCAGTATCTGCTTCTGAAGCTGGGAGATAGAATCTCTGAATTCATTATTTTCTTTCATCATTTTGTCCACTGAACTTAGGAGCAACCAACCAGCTTCATTATGTTCCTTTGTTCTCCACATATGGTCAAAGGTATTATGTATAGAGTCACTAAACTCTTTTCCTTTAACGAGCAATGAATCAGGACTGTCAAATGCATTTATTTTGCATGACTCTATAAACAGTTCACACCAAGGACTATCAATATTCTCCATACTATTAGAAGTAGAGTCCTTTGCATTTTTTGGCCTAATCGTATTAAGCAGCCAACTCCAGAAACCCCAAAACCAATGAAAGAACTTCTTCCTTAATATTCTGTTCCTCTAGAACCACTCCTGAAACCAAAATCTGTATTAATCAGAGTTCTCTAGAGGGACAGAACTAATAGGATGTATATAAATATATCCCTCCAGAGAGGGACAGAACTAATATATATAAAACTAATATATACAGAGCTCATGTATATATATATATATATATATAGATTAAGTATTAACTCACACAATCACAAGGTCCTGCAATAGGCCATTTGCAGACTGAGGAGCAAGGAGAGCCAGTCCAAGTTTCAAAACTGAAGAACCTGGAGTCCGATGTTGGAGGGCATAAAACATCCAGCATGGGAGAAAGTTGTAGACTGAGAGGCTAGGCCAGTCTCTTTTTACATTTTTCTGCCTACTTATATTCTATCTGCACTGGCAGTTGATTAGATTGTGCCCACCCAAGTTAAGGGTGGGTCTGCCTTTCCCAGCCCACTGACTCAAATGTTAGTCTCCTTTGGCAACACCCTCACAGATACACCCAGGATCAATACTTTTTATCCATCAATCCAATCAAGTTGACACTAAGTATTAAGCATTGCAATGATTAACCTCACTTCTTACATTCAAAATATACATTTGAACTACAGTACAATATCATTTTTAAACTAATATTAGCAAAAATAATGTAAGTTTCATAGCTCCTTCATGTCCAAAGCAGTAGGACTGGATATGGTGAGAATGGATAATGATTCAAACTAATATAATTTCTAAAGATAATTTGACAATATTTTTCAGAAGTATAAATGAATTTACCCTTCTATCTAGCCAACTCATTTATGCTATTTATCTCATGGATTTACTTGTACCAGTGCAAAATAATGTATGCAGTGGTGTTTATAATAGAAAACTCTAGAAAACCATTATTGGAAGAGTCAAATAAATTGTACTATGTATCCTTACAAAGAAATATGCTGCTGTATAAATGAATAAGTAAACACTATGTAAATATATGATATATATATATGACACCAGTGTAGGTATACACTGTGTGTGTATTCATATATCTTATATATTTGTGTATTTTATTTATTTATTTATCTATACTTCAAGTTCTGGGGTACATGTGCAGAACGTTCAGGTTTGTTACATAGGTATACACGTGCCATGGTGGTTTGCTGCACCCGTCAACCGGTCATCTACATTAGTGTTTTCTCCTAATGCTATCTCTCCCCTAGCCCCCGACCCCCGACAGATTCCAGTGTGTGATGTTCCCCTCCCTGTGTCCATGTGTTCTCATTGTTCAACTCCCACCTATGAGTGAGAATATGCGGTGTCTGGTTTTTTGTTCTTGTGTTAATTTGCTGAAAATGATAGTTTCCAGCTTCATCCATGTCCCTGCAAAGGACATGAACTCATACTTTTGTATGGCTGCATAGTATTCCATGGTGTATATGTGCCACATTTTCTTTATCCAGTCTGTCATTGATGGGCATTTGGGTTGGTTCCAAGTCTTTGCTATTGTGAACAGTGCTGCAATAAACATACATGTGCATGTGTCTTTACAGTAGAATGATTTATAATCCTTTGGGTATATACCCAGTAATGGGATTGGTGGGTCAAATGGTATTTCTAGTTCTAGATCTTTGAGGAATTGCCACACGGTCATATGGAACCAAAAAAGAGCCCACATAGCCAAGACAATCCTAAGCAAAAGGAACAAAGCTGGAGGCATCATGCTACCTGACTTCAAACTATACTACAATGCTACAGTAACAAAAACAGCATGGTACTGGTACCAAAACAGATATATAGACCAATGGAACAGAACAGAGGCATCAGAAATAATGCCACACATCTACAACCATCTGATCTTTGACAAACCTGACGAAAACAAGCAATGGGGAAAGGATTCCCAATTTAATAAATGGTGTTGGGAAAACTAGCTAGCCATATGCAGGAAGCTGAAACTGGATCCCTTCTTAAACCTTATACAAAAATTAACTCAAGATGGATTAAAGACTTAAACGTCAGGCATAAAACTGTAAAAACTCTAGAAGAAAACCTATTTATGTATTTATTTTTAAGTAAGAAGTTGTATTAGTCTGTTCTCACATTGTTATAAAGAAATACCTGAGACTAGATAATTTATGGAGAAAGGAGGTTTATTGGCTCACAGTCCTACAGGCTGTACAGGATGCATGCCTGGGGAGGCCTCAGAAAACTTACAATCTGGCAGAAGGAGAATGGAAGAGCAGGCATGACCTACATGACCAGAACAGGAGGAATAAAGAGTAGGGGGAGGTTCTATACACTTTTAAACAACCAGATCTTCCAGTAACTCCCTCACTATCATGACAACAGCATCAAAGAGGAAATCCGCCTCCATGATTCAATCACCTCCCACCAGGCACCACTTCTGACATTGCAGATTACAATTTGACATGAGATTTGGGTAGAGACACAAATCCAAACCATATCAGAAGTGATTTTCAAATGATTGACTTTAAGAAGAAAAAAAAGTATGTATAGTATGCAATGTGTTATTTATAATGGGAGGCATAAGAATATGTGTGTGTTTGTGGATACATTTGTTTTGCTTTCAACAGATGGAATAACATTGGTGAAAACGCATAAACCAGTAACTCAGAATGAGAAATGGACAGATTGAGGCAGCGGTGGAAGTACGGCTTTTCATTGTGTATCATTTTATATTTTCTCTTCATTTTTGAGACACAGTTCATCTATTTAGGAAAAAAACCTCAGTAAAGGATTAATCATAACAACTAGCAAAGTGTTGATAACGAGAAATACATCAAACTACAGTAAGTAGACTAATGGATGAGCAAAAAAGGGGAAAGGATAAAATCAGCCCCGTAGCTTTGACATCTTACTGTGTAGTTTCAGCACCAAAATCTGGTAACCACTGGCTGAATTTAACACTCAGATGTGTGATTTTTCTGGCCAGCACACTATTGTTTTAAAGTGTGAATCTTAGCATCTATGTGGGTCTGCACTTTTTAGTTTACTATGGTCACTAATGATCTCTATTATTTTATACTAGAGACTGATAAGCATTTGAGTTATAATCTTGAACGTAGAGTCATCTTTAATGGCATTTTCATTATGGGCTGTAGGAATGATTACATTCTCCAGATCAATCTCTGAGAGTTTTTTCCACCATAGGAGAATTACTAGCTTCTAAATGTCAAAATCTGAAGAGATGACCCTTTGAAATAATTTCTTCAGGAGTCAGAGGATCTAGCAAGGTCATGAAAGAAAATCTGTGTTTCTGCCACCTATAACAGATTTGACCTGTTTGTGAAAAGCTTTTCATATGAGAAAACAAATGCTCCTCCTAACATTTACTTAAATAATTAGAAAATGGGTTAGTAACAGCATTATCTCTCTGATTTACACAAGAAGACAATGTGACCTTTTAAATATTCTTTTTTAGTAAATTTTTAGGATCAAGATTGAGAAAAGAAATTGAGAATAATATTGGGAAAAATATGACTGTTAAACAGTCAAACCTAGAAGAGTGAGCCCCACAAAAGGGAAAGTAATTGATAGATGAATAATACAATGTGTAAAGATGTATTAGTGTTTTCATTATTTTGTACTATTTCTATTCAGTTGGAGCTGATTTCCATAGTAATACAGTTACCTAAAAATCTGCCTTTGCATATAAGGTCTCCACAGGAAAAGCAAATATGAAAATGGCAATTTTTAAAACAATATTCTGTTTTTTGTTTAATAAAACTAATGTTTTCAAGTCTGCTTTTATTAAAACACAATAAATACCATCAATTTTTGACATGAAATTTCATTATATACTGTAAATATTTATCACTTTCTAGGAGAAGATTATGCAGTAGATGACTTCTCATTGATTCACTCATAAAGCTGAGTTAGAAGTGAAGCTCTTTTCATTTTCATAAAAATAAAGGGACTCAGAATTTGACATCCATTCTGTTTTGACCAGCTAATTAGACAAAGCGCAGATGGTGCACTTTTCAAGTGCATTTCTTCAGCATTAGAAAAATTAACAGTAATGTTAATATAAAACCTTCAAGGTAAAATAGACTGAAAATGGACAGTGCAATTTCAGAGTTCATTCCTTCCCTGGTTCTGCGACTCATTTTCTTTTTAAATCTAATGTTTGGGTATCATATATTTCATTAAAATATGGGTAAGATGGTATAATTTGCACTGTTTTATATTTACAGATCCGTAAAGAAAATCTTTAGGGTGAAATAATGGCTTAAAGTAAAACAGAAAACACTTACATGGTCTTAATATAAACTGGCCATGGCTGCTTGAGAACCATCATAGCTCAGTCATTTGTCAGATTTCTACAAACTTAATATTATTTCTTATAGATATATTTGATCATTAATGTCAACAAACATATAGATTGTTAAGGCCTATCCCAGTTTAAGCTAAATTTATCCCTACTGCATGTTGCTATGATATGAAGTGAAACCTTGGTGATGAGAAAAATAGATTGCATGTCTTTTAGGAACTGGTGCTGTCAGGGGTTATGCAGAGGCAAAGGACAGTGGCCAAAGACAGTTAGATGAGTTCTGATCTAGGTACCCATATGACTCATGACTGTGCTGCTCAATGCTGCTTGGACTGAGTGTAGTCACTTCCTTTGTCTGGGCCTCTGTTTTTTAATCTGTAAAATGAGAAGATTAAATTACATTTGTGACTCAAACTTTTTATAAGACTAAAACTTTGTGAGTCTGATGAAAGTTAGATATGCACATGTATCTATAAAATTTTGCATTCAAAATCAAAGGAGTCACAGACCTTAGAAGTGCTTCCACTAAAAATCCACGGACCACTGGTTAGGGGCCTCTGAAATAAATAATTTCTAAACATATGTCCGGGTCTCCTTTTCATCCACTTATTACTTGGTCACATTCCCACTCTCTTCTTTAGAAATATGTGAATCACTGTCTAACTGCAAGTATTTTGATACTCAAACTCTAAAGTGGATTCCATCATTAATATTTCTTAACATATAATTCTACCTCTTAGTTCTAGTCATAAATCTGTAGTTTCTGTCTCACTTATGGAGACAAAAGAGAGTCTGATTTGAATTTTGTCTCTATTTTCTTCTGAGTTAATGGTAACGGAGGAAGGGAGAAAAGAAAGATTCCTCTATCTTTACTGAGCAAATAAACTCACGTAAGATTTTAGCCCAGCATGTTCACCTTTGAAAATTTATTATTTGACCCCAGTCCTTCCAGACAGTCATACAACATTTTGATTTTTTTTACCGCCGCTTGACTTTTTTTGAAATAGTAGAAGATGAAATCATCATAAGAACAAACCAATTAGCTTTAAAATAGTATTCCTTATTTCTATTATTGGTTTAATTAGCTTTTTAAGTGTTATTATTTATCAGAGAGAAGTTGACATCCCAAAGTTTTCAAAGTGATTCTGATTTTTATCAGTTTGAAATTCAGAAAAAATTTTGTAGATGTAAATTGCAGAAGCAACTAACTTGTGTGCAATTAAACGATTTCTCCTTCAAATGGTTTCTCCTTCAAATTAGTTGACTTTTCAATTAATGCTCAATGTATTTTAAAGGAGCTAACTATTTACTTTATGAAAGCAATTATTGAATTATTCTGGGCAATAGCATGCATGTTGTCCCAGATTCAGACAAAGTTATTTTCCAATGTCAGCCATTTCTGTTCTTTGACCCTCACATTTACAGTGTTTTAGTCAGACTCCAGGACTTTAAAAATAATGCAATATATTTACTCTAATTTGGTGTCTGTAATATAATTCTTAAAAAGTAATAATATAATTTGGATGTTTGTCCTCTCCAAATCTCATGTTGAAATATAATTCCCGATTTATGTTACCTGGGGAGGAGCCAAGATGGCCGAATAGGAACAGCTCCGGTCTACAGCCCCCAGTGTGAGCGACGCAGAAGACGGGTGATTTCTGCATTTCCATCTGAGGTACCGGGTTCATCTCACTAGGGAGTGCCAGACAGTGGGCGCAGGCCAGTGGGTGCACGCACCGTGCGCGAGCCGAAGCAGGGCGAGGCATTGCCTCACCTGGGAAGCGCAAGGGGTCAGGAAGTTCCCTTTCCGAGTCAAAGAAAGGGGTGACGGACGTACCTGGAAAATCGGGTCACTCCCACCCGAATATTGCGCTTTTCAGACCGGCTTAAAAAACGGCGCACCACGAGACTATATCCCACACCTGGCTCAGAGGGTCCTACACCCACGGAATCTCACTGATTGCTAGCACAGCAGTCTGAGATCAAACTGCAAGGCGGCAGCGAGGCTGGGGGAGGGGCGCCCGCCATTGCCCAGGCTTGCTTAGGTAAACAAAGCAGCCGGGAAGCTCGAACTGGGTGGAGCCCACCATAGCTCAAGGAGGCCTGCCTGCCTCTGTAGGCTCCACCTCTGGGGGCAGGGCACAGACAAACAAAAAGACAGCAGTAACCTCTGCAGACTTAAGTGTCCCTGTCTGACAGCTTTGAAGAGAGCAGTGGTTCTCCCAGCACGCAGCTGGAGATCTGAGAACGGGCAGACTGCCTCCTCAAGTGGGTCCCTGACCCCTGACCCCCGAGCAGCCTAACTGGGAGGCACCCCTCAGCAGGGGCACACTGACGCCTCACACGGCAGGGTATTCCAACAGACCTGCAGCTGAGGGTCCTGTCTGTTAGAAGGAAAACTAACAACCAGAAAGGACATCTACACCGAAAACCCATCTGTACATCACCATCATCAAAGACCAAAAGTAGATAAAACCACAAAGATGGGGAAAAAACAGAACAGAAAAACTGGAAACTCTAAAACGCAGAGCGCCTCTCCTCCTCCAAAGGAACGCAGTTCCTCACCAGCAACAGAACAAAGCTGGATGGAGAATGATTTTGATGAGCTGAGAGAAGAGTGCTTCAGACAATCAAATTACTCTGAGCTACGGGAGGACATTCAAACCAAAGGCAAAGAAGTTGAAAACTTTGAAAAAAATTTAGAAGAATGTATAACTAGAATAACCAATACAGAGAAGTGCTTAAAGGAGCTGATGGAGCTGAAAACCAAGGCTCGAGAACTACGTGAAGAATGCAGAAGCCTCAGGAGCCGATGCGATCAACTGGAAGAAAGGGTATCAGCAATGGAAGATGAAATGAATGAAATGAAGCGAGAAGGGAAGTTTAGAGAAAAAAAGAATAAAAAGAAATGAGCAAAGCCTCCAAGAAATATGGGACTATGTGAAAAGACCAAATCTACGTCTGATTGGTGTACCTGAAAGTGATGTGGAGAATGGAACCAAGTTGGAAAACACTCTGCAGGATATTATCCAGGAGAACTTCCCCAATCTAGCAAGGCAGGCCAACATTCAGATTCAGGAAATACAGAGAACGCCACAAAGATACTCCTCGAGAAGAGCAACTCCAAGACACATAATTGTCAGATTCACCAAAGCTCAAATGAAGGAAAAAATGTTAAGGGCAGCCAGAGAGAAAGGTCGGGTTACCCTCAAAGGAAAGCCCATCAGACTAACAGCGGATCTCTCGGCAGAAACCCTACAAGCCAGAAGAGAGTGGGGGCCAATATTCAACATTCTTAAAGAAAAGAATTTTCAACCCAGAATTTCATATCCAGCCAAACTAAGCTTCATAAGTGAAGGAGAAATAAAATACTTTATAGACAAGCAAATGCTGAGAGATTTTGTCACCACGAGGCCTGCCCTAAAAGAGCTCCTGAAGGAAGCGCTAAACATGGAAAGGAACAACCAGTACCAGCCGCTGCAAAATCATGCCAAAATGTAAAGACCATCGAGACTAGGAAGAAACTGCATCAACTAACGAGCAAAATCACCAGCTAACATCATAATAACAGGATCAAATTCACACATAACAATATTAACTTTAAATGTAAATGGACTAAATTCTGCAATTAAAAGACACAGACTGGCAAGTTGGATAAAGAGTCAAGACCCATCAGTGTGCTGTATTCAGGAAACCCATCTCACGTGCAGAGACACACATAGGCTCAAAATAAAAGGATGGAGGAAGATCTACCAAGCCAATGGAAAACAAAAAAAGGCAGGGGTTGCAATCCTAGTCTCTGATAAAACAGACTTTAAACCAACAAAGATCAAAAGAGACAAAGAAGGCCATTACATAATGGTAAAGGGATCAATTCAACAAGAGGAGCTAACTATCCTTAATATTTATGCACCCAATACAGGAGCACCCAGATTCATAAAGCAAGTCCTGAGTGACCTACAAAGAGACTTAGACTCCCACACATTAATAATGGGAGACTTTAACACCCCACTGTCAACATTAGACAGATCAACGAGACAGAAAGTCAACAAGGATACCCAGGAATTGAACTCAGCTCTGCACCAAGCAGACCTAATAGACATCGACAGAACTCTCCACCCCAAATCAACAGAATATACATTTTTTTCAGCACCACACCACACCTATTCCAAAATTGACCACATACTTGGAAGTAAAGCTCTCCTCAGCAAATGTAAAAGAACAGAAATTATAACAAACTATCTCTCAGACCACAGTGCAATCAAACTAGAACTCAGGATTAAGAATCTCACTCAAAGCCGCTCAACTACATGGAAACTGAACAACCTGCTCCTGAATGACTACTGGGTACATAATGAAATGAAGGCAGAAATAAAGATGTTCTTTGAAACCAACGAGAACAAAGACACCACATACCAGAATCTCTGGGACGCATTCAAAGCAGTGTGTAGAGGGAAATTTATAGCACTAAATGCCTACAAGAGAAAGCAGGAAAGATCCAAAATTGACACCCTAACATCACAATTAAAAGAACTAGAAAAGCAAGAGCAAACACATTCAAAAGCTAGCAGAAGGCAAGAAATAACTAAAATCAGAGCAGAACTGAAGGAAATAGAGACACAAAAAACCCTTCAAAAAATCAATGAATCCAGGAGCTGGTTTTTTGAAAGGATCAACAAAATTGATAGACCGCTAGCAAGACTAATAAAGAAAAAAAGAGAGAAGAATCAAATAGACACAATAAAAAATGATAAAGGGGATATCACCACCGATCCCACAGAAATACAAACTACCATCAGAGAATACTACAAACACCTCTATGCAAATAAACTAGAAAATATAGAAGAAATGGATACATTCCTCGACACATACACTCTCCCAAGACTAAACAAGGAAGAAGTTGAATCTCTGAATAGACCAATAACAGGATCTGAAATTGTGGCAATAATCAATAGTTTACCAACCAAAAAGAGTCCAGGACCAGATGGATTCACAGCCGAATTCTACCAGAGGTACAAGGAGGAACTGGTACCATTCCTTCTGAAACTATTCCAATCAATAGAAAAAGAGGGAATCCTCCCTAACTCATTTTATGAGGCCAGCATCATTATGATACCAAAGCCGGGCAGAGACACAACCAAAAAAGAGAATTTTAGACCAATATCCTTGATGAACATTGATGCAAAAATCCTCAATAAAATACTGGCAAACCGAATCCAGCAGCACATCAAAAAGCTTATCCACCATGATCAAGTGGGCTTCATCCCTGGGATGCAAGGCTGGTTCAATATATGCAAATCAATAAATGTAATCCAGCATATAAACAGAGCCAAAGACAAAAACCACATGACTATCTCAATAGATGCAGAAAAAGCCTTTGACAAAATTCAACAACCCTTCATGCTAAAAACTCTCAATAAATTAGGTATTGATGGGATGTATTTCAAAATAATAAGAGCTATCTATGACAAACCCACAGCCAATATCACACTGAATGGGCAAAAACTGGAAGCATTCCCTTTGAAAACTGGCACAAGACAGGGATGCCCTTTCCCTCTCTCACCGCTCCTATTCAACATAGTGTTGGAAGTTCTGGCCAGGGCAATCAGGCAGGAGAAGGAAATAAAGGGTATTCAATTAGGAAAAGAGGAAGTCAAATTGTCCCTGTTTGCAGACGACATGATTGTTTATCTAGAAAACCCCATTGTCTCAGCCCAAAATCTCCTTAAGCTGATAAGCAACTTCAGCAAAGTCTCAGGATACAAAATCAATGTACAAAAATCACAAGCATTCTTATACACCAACAACAGACAATCAGAGAGCCAAATCATGAGTGAACTCCCATTCACAATTGCTTCAAAGAGAATAAAATACCTAGGAATCCAACTTACAAGGGATGTGAAGGACCTCTTCAAGGAGAACTACAAACCACTGCTCAAGGAAATAAAAGAGGACACAAACAAATGGAAGAACATTCCATGCTCATGGGTAGGAAGAATCAATATCGTGAAAATGGCCATACTGCCCAAGGTAATTTACAGATTTAATGCCATCCCCATCAAGCTACCAATGCCTTTCTTCACACAATTGGAAAAAACTACTTTAAAGTTCATATGGAACCAAAAAAGAGCCCGCATTGCCAAGTCAATCCTAAGCCAAAAGAACAAAGCTGGAGGCATCACACTACCTGACTTCAAACTATACTACAAGGCTACAGTAACCAAAACAGCATGGTACTGGTACCAAAACAGAGATATAGATCAATGGAACAGAACAGAGCCCTCAGAAATAACGCCGCATATGTACAACTATCTGATCTTTGACAAACCTGAGAAAAACAAGCAATGGGGAAAGGATTCCCTATTTAATAAATGGTGCTGGGAAAACTGGCTAGCCATATGTAGAAAGCTGAAACTGGATCCCTTCCTTACACCTTATACAAAAATCAATTCAAGATGGATTAAAGATTTAAACGTTATACCTAAAACCATAAAAAACCTAGAAGAAAACCTAGGCATTACCATTCAGGACATAGGCACGGGCAAGGACTTCATGTCCAAAACACCAAAAGCAATGGCAACAAAAGCCAAAATTGACAAATGGGATCTAACTAAACTCAAGAGCTTCTGCACAGCAAAAGAAACTACCATCAGAGTGAACAGGCAACCTAAAACATGGGAGAAAATTTTCGCAACCTACTCATCTGACAAAGGGCTAATATCCAGAATCTACAATGAACTCAAACAAATTTACAAGAAAAAAACAAACAACCCCATCAAAAAGTGGGCAAAGGACATGAACAGACACTTCTCAAAAGAAGACATTTATGCAGCCAAAAAACACATGAAAAAATGCTAATCATCACTGGCCATCAGAGAAATGCAAATCAAAACCACTATGAGATATCATCTCACACCAGTTAGAATGGCAATCATTAAAAAGTCAGGAAACAACAGGTGCTGGAGAGGATGTGGAGAAATAGGAACACTTTTACACTGTTGGTGGGACTGTAAACTAGTTCAACCATTGTGGAAGTCAGTGTGGCGATTCCTCAGGGATCTAGAACTAGAAATACCATTTGACCCAGCCATCCCATTACTGGGTATATACCCAAATGACTCTAAATCATGCTGCTATAAAGACACATGCACACGTATGTTTATTGCGGCATTATTCACAATAGCAAAGACTTGGAACCAACCCAAATGTCCAACAATGATAGACTGTATGAAGAAAATGTGGCACATATACACCATGGAATACTATGCAGCCATAAAAAAGGATGAGTTCATGTCCTTTGTAGGGACATGGATGAAATTGGAAACCATCATTGTCAGTAAACTATCTCAAGAACAAAAAACCAAACTCCGCATATTCTCACTCATAGGTGGGAATTGAACAATGAGATCACATGGACACAGGAAGGGGAATATCACACTCTGGGGACTGTGGTGGGGTCGGGGGAGAGGGGAGGGATAGCATTGGGAGATATACCTAATGCTAGATGACACGTTAGTGGGTGCAGCGCACCAGCATGGCACATGTATACATATGTAACTAACCTGCACAATGTGCACATGTACCCTAAAACTTAAAGTATAATTAAAAAAATAAAAATAAAAAAGAAAAAAGAAATATAATTCCCAATGTTGGAGGTTGGGCCTAGTGGGAAGTGTTTGGATCATGAGGGCAAATCCCTCACGAATGCCTTGGTGCCATCTTCATGGTAATGAGTGAGTCTTTGCTCTGAGTTCATGTGAGATCTGGTTGTCCAAAAGTGTGGCACCTTACGTCACTCCCTAGCTTTTTCTCTCACCATGTGATGTGCCCATTCCTGCTTTACCTTCTACCATGAGTGAAATCTCCCTGAGGTCTCACCAGTAGCTGAACAGATGTTGGCACCATGCTTCATGTACAGTCTTCAGAACTGTTAGTTCTTTATAAATTACCCAGTCTCAGGTATTCCTGTATGGCAATGTAAAATGGACAGGCACAGGCAGTATTCTTGAATTTGTTCTGGGGAAATAGGATGAAGAAAGCAGACTGAGAGCATGCAGCTGTCTTTCCTCCTGCTCAAAATTTCTGAAATGATAGAAGAATTTTTTAATTAAATAATTACTATATTGAAAGTATCATTAGTGCAGCAAGAATTTTTAAAAATTCCTGAACAAGTGGAAAGCAGACAGAATTGGATGCATGGCAGTAACTGAATGTCATGACCTTTACAGACATTTCGGCAGTTGTTCCATAGAAGTTCAAAGCTAAGAGTAAAAGGATTCAATAGGGAAAGGGAGCACAAGGACAATGGTGAAGGTGACAAGTTGGGGAAACATACCCTGGGTGCCTAGGTGGCCCAACTCTTTCCTACTGACTTGTTTCATTGGAGCAAGTTACAATAGCAAATGATTGAGAAAAGCTAGTCAGCATGGCAACAGGAGGGCCTTGGAATCTTCAAATATCAGAAAAGCAATTTCAGAAACTCTGTAACCAGAAACACATCCTACCCAATCCTCATATAATTGGTAGAGAGATACCTATGAAGCAGGATAGTTGACCAGAGTAATTCTCCAAAAATGCTTCTCAACAAAGAATTGTAGAATACTTCAGAAAAGTCATATTAGCCATGGACAAGAGATCTAGAAATTTCAAGAAAAATTCTGTCTAAATTTGGAATTTTAGTAGAAGAGAAAATGAAAAATGGAGGAGATAAAAATATTTTTAAAAACGCAGAAAGTAATTCCAAAGTTGAATAAAGAAACGATTATTTTGCTTTCAAAATATACTTTGTGACAACAGAATGTATACAATAATTACACTTCGTGGATTAAATTTTTAAAAATTAAAGATAACAAAAAAATTAAAAGTTTCCAGAAAAACAGAAGCAGATTTTCTACAAAGATATGAAAATGAATTGACAACACGCTTTTCCTCAAATGTACATTAGAAAACACAGGAGGAAAATGTTCACTATTCTGAAGTGATTTTGAACTTAAATTCTACACCCAGTGAACAGTGAAAATGGCATTCAATTTGAAAGGCCTTACAAAAACATTTTAGAATAAAAAAGTTTCAAAATATTTACCATACATAGACTTTCTGTAAAAAATGGTTAAAAATGACTCATAAATAAATAAATACATGCATATGGCAAAATCCATGACACACAAAAAACCAGCAAAACAAAAGCAGAGTTGTCATCCAAAGAAACTCATAAAACATTTAGTTAATTCTAAATAATATTTGTGCAGAATCTAAAAATATAATAACCATTAGAATCTAAAATCCTAGATGATCTTAACATGTAATGTGGTAGGGGTTAGGAGACTAGAACAATGTGATAGAGACAAAAGTCTCCAAGAATGAATGGGGAAAAAATAGGAAAATCTGAGAGAAAAGATAGGACACATAAAAACCTCTTCTACAGATCTAACATGCAAATAGCAGGAACCTCAAAACAGGAGAACTGAGAAGATATTATGGAAAGAATTACTGAAGCAATAATAGGGGATAATTTTCTTTTTCTTTCCTTTTTTGTTTTTTAGATATGGAGTCCTGCTCTGTTGCCCAGCCTGGAGTGCGGTGATGTGATCTCGGCTCACTGACACTTCTGCCTCCCAGGTTCAAGCATTTCTCCTGCCTCAACCTCCCTAGCAGCTGGGATTACAGATGTACACCACCATGCCGGGCTAATTTTTGTATTTTAGTGGAGACAGGGTTTTGCCCTGTTGGCCATGCTGATCTCAAACTCCTGACCTTAGGTGATCCACCCACCTCAGCCTCCTAAAGTGCTGGGATTACAGGCTTGAGTCACTGTGTCCCACCTAGGGAAGAATTTTCTAGTGTTGAAGAATGACATGAGAAAAATAACCATATTTCTATACTAGAAATGTTCATTAAAATGGTCAAATAAACTAAGAAAGAGGAACATATGAGTCCATAAAACAGTCGATAGTGAACTAAAATTATATTGTAATGTATGATGTAAATTATACATTGTAATTGTAAATTATAAATGTAATTAATGTAAATTATAACTAATATACATTAAGTTATTTAATACCTATCTAAGAAATCTATATTAGTTTTATCATATTATCCTTTCCAAAAGCCTAATATTTACTGTGTAAAGTAATAAAGGGAATGATTCAATGTGACTTTTTTTTTGAGACAGTCTCACTCTGTCACCAGGCTGGAGTACAGTGGCATGATCTTGGCTCACTGCAACCTCTGCCTCCTGGGTTCAAGTGATTCTCCTGCCTCAGCCTCCTGAGCAGCTGAGACTACAGGTGCATGCCACCATTTTTAATGCGTATATTTATTTGAAATTTATGAATCAAGAAATACAGATAAAAGATGTTGCTTTTTTTTCTCAGAAATCCTTTTTACCTACTGGATTTATTACTAGTGCAGATGTGAATTTGAAAAAATACAAATACAAAGTAAACAGAAGCAGAAAATAATAATAATTAAATTTATTGCTTCCAAGTCACAAGAAGAGGGGAAAAATGGCTCAAAGGTAAACTTTAATCGATTCAACAAATGAAAAGGAAAGAAAGATGGTGTAATGAATAGAAAATATTTAATATGGTGACAGGATTAATTCCAACATTACAACAAACATAAATGTGATAAATTTCTGTATTAAGATATAGACTCCTTTAATTACAAAGAAACCAGTTATTATTACTTGCAAATGATACAGAGAGGCACACACTTACCTGTTTTGAAACATCCAGCTTTTTTTGACATTTCCTTTTTGAAGACTCTATTATAAATTTCTCTTTCACAGGGTTAAAATAGAGTTTGATGTTCCTCATGTTGATATGAATAGACTGAAAATCATAACATTTTAAAAACAGTCAACAATCACCATTTTTAAAACTATCACCCTTTATAAAGATATTAATACCAGTAAGATTTTATAAAATTAATACTTTATAACAGTTTTAGGCTTACAGAAAAATTGAGAAGAAAGTAGAGCTTCTCTATGCTTCCTTTCTCCTGCACACAGTTTTTCATAATAGCACCTTGCATTGCTGTGGTACATTTGCTACAATAGAAGAATCAATACTGATACATCATTATTGACAAAATACACATAATTAACATTAGGGTTCTCACTTTGTGTTGTACAGTTCTGTTGGTATTAACAAATGAATAATCCACTATTACAGTGTCATACAGAATATTTGCACCACTCTAAAGTCCTCCTGAACTCCACCTATTCATTTCTCCCTCTGCTTGAACCCCTAAAGACCACTGACTATTTTACTATCTCTATACTTTTCCCTTTTTCAGAATGTTGTATAATTGGAATCATATAGTAAGTTATCTTTTCAGACTGGCTTCTTTCACATGGCAATATGCTTTTAAGGTTTCTTCATGTCTTTTGTGGCTTTATAGCTCATTTCCTTTTATTGCTGAATACCATTCAATTGTATGAGTGTATCACAGTTTGTTCATCTATTCACCTATTAAAGAACATCTTAGTTGCTTCTAGTTTGTGGCAATTTTGATTAAAGCTGCTGAAAATATTTGCATGCCAGCTATTGTGTGGGCATGCTTTCAAATAATTTGGGTAATTACCTAAGAGAGCAATTACTGAACTACATCATAAACCTCTGTTTAGCTTTGTAAGAAACTGCCAAACTGTCTTTCAAACTTGTTGTATTACCTTGCATTTCCATGAAGGTTCCTTTAATCCACATCCTTACAAGAATTTGGTGTCAGTGTTTTAGATTGTCACCATTCTAATAGTTGTGTAGTAGTATCTCATTGTTGTTTTAATTTGCAATTCCCTAATGACATGATGTTAAGCATCCTTTCGTATGTTTATTTTCCATCTATATATCTTCTTTGGTGAGGTGTCTGTTCAGTTCTTTTTCCCATTTTTTAATTGAGTCTTTTTTTATTGTTGAATTTTAAGAGTTCTTTGTATATTTGGATATAAATTCTTAATCAGATATGTGTTTTCCAAATATTTTTTCCCGGTCTGTGGCTTGTCTTTCTGTCTTAACAGGGTAGTTCTCAGAGCAGAAGTTCTTAGTTTTAATGAAGTTTAACTTTGCATATATTTCTTTCATGGCTCATGCTTTCGGTATTGTATCTAAAATGTCATTGCCAAAACCAAGGTCATCTAGGTTTTCTCCTCTTATTTTCTATTATTAGAAGTTTTATAGATTAGTATTTTATATTTAAGTCTATGATTCATTTTCACTTAAATTTTATGGAAAGTGTAAAATGTCAAATCTGTGTCTAGATTTATTTTAGGATGAGGAGAGGGTTGTGGATGTCCATTTGTTCCAATAATATTTGTTGAAAAGACTATTCTTTCTCCATTGAATTGCTTTTGTTCTTTGTCAAAGATCACTTGCCTATATTTGTGTGGGCCTATTTCTGGCTCTATTCAGTTTCATTGATCTATTTGTCTTCTTATTTTTTCTGCCAATACTAATACTGACTTAATTATTTTAGCTTTATAGTAAGTTTTGAAATCATGTAGTGTTAGTCTGTTGACTTTGTTGTTTAATATTGTGCTGTCTCTTCTGACTCTTGGTTTTCCATAAGAACTTTCGAATTGGTTTGTAGATAAACACAAAACAACTTGTGATTTTTGGGAGGATTGCATTCAATATATAGATCATATTGGGAAGAACTGATATCTCAAGAATATTGAGTCTAACTATGTACCAGAATCTCTGGGACACATTTAAAGCAGTTTGTAGAGGGAAATTTACAGCACTAAATGCCCACAGGAGAAAGCAGGAAAGATCTAAAATCGACACCCTAACATCACAATTAAAAGAACTAGAGAAGCAAGTGCAAACACATTCAAAAGCTAGCAGAAGGCAAGAAATAACTAAGATCAGAGCTAAACTAAGGGAGATAGAGACACAAAAAACCCTTCAAAAAATCAATGAATCCAGGAGCTGGTTTTTTGAAAAGATCAACAAAGTTGATAGACCAGGTAGCAAGACTAATAAAGAAGAAAAGAGAGAAGAATGAAATAGACACAATAAAAAATGATAAAGGGGATATCACCACCAATCCCACAAAAATACAAACTACCAGCAGAGAATACTATAAACACCCCTACACAAGTAAACTAGAGAATCTAGAAGAAAAAGATAAATTCCTGGACATATACACCCTCCCAAGACTAAACCAGAAAGAAGTTGAATCTCTGAATAGACCAATAACAGGCTCTGAAATTGAGGCAATAATTAATACTCTACCAAACAAAAAAAGCCCAAGACCAGACATATTCACAGCCGAATTCTACCAGAGGTACAAGGAGGAGCTGGTACCATTCCTTCTGAAACTATTCCAATCAATAGAAAAAGAGGGAATCCTCACTAACTCATTTTATGAGGCCAGCATCATCCTGATACCAAAGCTTGACAGAGACACAACAAAAAAAGAGAATTTTAGACCAATATCCCTGATGAACATGGATGTGAAAATCCTCAATAAAATACTGGCAAACTGAATCCAGCAGCATATCAAAAATCTTATCCACCACAATCAATTTGGCTTCACGCCTGGGATGCAAGGCTGGTTCAACATACACAAATCAATAAACGTAATCCATCACATAAACAGAACCAAAGACAAAAACCACATGATTATCTCAATAGATGCAGAAAAGGCCTTTGACAAAATTCAACAGCCCTTCATGCTAAAAACTCTCAATAAACTAGGTATTGATGGAACGTATCTCAAAATAATAAGAGCTATTTATGACAAACCCACAGCCAATATCATACTGAATAGGCAAAAAGTGGAAGCATTCCTTTTGAAAACTGGCACAAGACAGGGATGCCCTCTCTCACCACTCCTAGAGTGGTTGCTCTAGACTTTGCAATATACATCTACAGCTAATCTAAGTTCACCTTTGAATAACCCTATACTATTTCACAACTAGTGTAGTTACCTTATAACTGAGTATTCCCAGTTCTTCCCTCCCATCCCTCATAACATTGCTATTATTCATTTCATTTATTTAAAATCTATAATCATTCAGATATTGTGGGTATTATTATTTTGAACAGTTGTCTGTAGAACCAATTTAGAATTAGAAAATATAAAAAGTTTTTTGATTTTATTTGTTCCTTCTGTAATGTTTTCCCTTTCTTTATGTAGATAGAAGTTTCTGACCTATACTATTTATCATGTCTTCAAAGAACTTCTTTCAAAGTCGATTGATGGTAAATTATCTCAATTTTTGTTTGAGAAAGTCTTTTACTTTTGCTTTACTTTTAAAGGATAATTTCATTGGATATAGAATTCTAGGTTGGTGCTTTTTTCTTTTAACATTTGAAATATTTCACTTCACTCTCTTCCTGCTTGTGTGGTTTCTGGGAAGCAAGTCTAATGTAATTCTTATTCTTGTTTTTCTGTATGTAAAGCTTGTTTTCCCTTCTGGCCTTTTTCACAATATTCTCTATTTCTTTGGTTGTCTGCAGTTTGAATATGATATTCCTATGTATAGGAATTTTGTTTCTTTTTATTCTGATATTTATATTGCATGTGTCTTAAAACTGGTTAAATTGTCCCACAGATCTTGGATATTCTGTTTCATTTATTTTTTTTCTCTTTGCTTTTTAGTTTAGGACATTTCCATTAACATATCTTCAAGCTCATTGATTCTTTCCTCAGCCATGTCCAGTGTCCCTATGAGCCTATCAAAGGCATTCTTTATTTTTATTATAGTATTTTTAAGTTCTAGGTTTTTTTTTTTTTTTTTTTGAGATGGAGTCTCACTCTGTCACCAGGCTGGAGTGTAATGGTGTGATCTCGGCTCACTGCAACCTCTGCCTCCTGGGTTCAAGTGATTCTCCTGCCTCAGCCTCCTGAGTAGCTGGAATTACAGGTGTGCACCACCATGCCCAGCTAATTTTTGTATTTTTAGTAGAGACGTGGTTTCTCCATGGTGGTCAGGATTGTCTCAATCTCTTGACTTCGTGATCCACCTGCCTCAGCCTCCCAAAGTGCTGGATTACAGGCGCGAAGGTTTTAGCATTTTCTTTCTTAGGGAGAATTAATTTTTGCAGTTTTCATCTCTCTGCTTATTACTCATCTGATTTTCTATGTTGTCCACCAGAGAGTATTTTCCACTGGAGCCCTTAGCATAGTAATAATAGTTATTTTAAATTTCCAGTTTGATAATTCCAAAGTCTCTGCCATATCTAAAAGTATGACCTTGACCTTGCTTTGTCTCTTTAAACTGTGCTTTTTGCCTTTTATCATTCCTTTTCATTTTTTTTTAAAAATCTGAACATGATGTGTTAAGTAAAAGAAACTGAGGTAAATAGGTATTTAGTGTGAGGTTGGGTTCTGTTTACTGTTTGCTGTAGGTGTCAGATATTAAAATTTTCTGTTTTCTTGTTTTCATCTCTCATGTTGTCTTTGGCTTTCTCTAGAGACACCTTCTTAAATAGAATTGGAGGCTTGCAGTTCCTTTAGCTGTAATTTCCTGTTATTATAAAGGAGACTTGTTGATGTGGCAGTTAGTTATGTTGGTGTGTAGAAATTTATTCGGAGTTTGAGTTTTTTTCTCACAATTAGTTTCCATTTATGTGCTTCTACCAGTTGCTGGCTTCAGCAGGTTCTGCTCCTAGTACACTATGATTTCTGCATGTGCCTACCTGTCTCTCTAGTTTTTAAGGTAATGATTTGTCCTGTGACCTCAATTTTCTGATGGATGTAAGAGGAGTTGTTGATATTCAGTTTGCTCAATTTTATTTTTGTTTTTGCAAAGATGGGAATGGTGGCTTTCAAACTCTTACATGTTGAACCCAGACAGTTTTATAGATAAATTCTACTAAACTTAAAAGAAGAGATTCCAATGGTATTAAGATTATTGCGGATCATAGAACCATATGCTATGATTTCAATACAATGTACAAAGCTCTTATAACCTGTATACAAATACCAGACAAAGTTAGCACAAAAACTGAAAACTTTGGGGCCATATCTCTTACAGATATAGAGGAAAATGTCCAAAATAAATTGTTTACAAAGCAGATGGACTTTTATTGCTACCTTTTTCTTTTAAATATATTGTTGAAGACATTTCTTAGCTGTGTTAATAGCTTTGTTACCTCACATGAGAAGCTTTTTATTTTCAATTCCTTGAACCATTTATTGAGCACAGTCCTGGGCACAACACAGGTGTTCTATAAATATGTTTTCAATAAATGAAATATTACATGTAGAGTTTTGTAAGAGAAATTGTGGGAGTCCCTTAATGAACAGGACAAAGTTACTGCCTTTCAGGAGCTCACATTCTCATGGGGAGACTACCACAAATAACAGAATAACCCAAATTGGAACAAGATAATTGCTACTACAGAGAAACAATCACACTTCTATAGGCACATGAGGGAAAAAGAGATTAATCTTAAAAGGCAGTATTTATTTAGATTATTGTTTAAGAAATAGAAGGAAATGAAGCTTTCTGAGTAAACTTAATTTTACAATTACCAAGAATCATAGAATTAGATTTGCACAGTGGTCTATCAGAGGTTTAGTTATTGCCAATTAGATCACAGAATCATTTTAGAATGCTTATTCTGGACTCCAAAGAACTGATTTGGAACCTGAGTTTTCCCAGACTTTCTCATTCTAAAGATAATACAGTTCACTTTCACAGTAAATATAAGACATCCCTGATATCTTTCTCAGTGTGTATTACTTAAAAACTCCAGTACCTTAAAAATTTCATCTAAATATTTCTGAACATCCTTGGGAAAGTTTCATATGAACACTTAAACCTCTTCAAGTTTTTCTGCCCTGCCTTTCCCTCTTGTTGAGGTCCATAGCCCCATAAGCCTCACAAAGTAGGACCTCCCCTTGTCACTGCAGCTTGTGCCTCATTGATCCATCAGTGGTGCTGACTCCTAGTTTTTTTCTGCAGCAAAGTTATTTTGCTCATATGAAAGGAAAAAAAATCTCAGTCGACAATGTCATGTTGTGTTTGGGACACAGGACACTATGTCAAGACCTCCCAGAATCCCACTCTCCAGACATACTATTCTTCTCTGGAAACTTACTGCTTGCTTAGGCTGCTGCCAGGGAGATGCACACAGCCTTCTCTGTTAGCACGATGCTCAGATCTTTCCCTTCTTGCTTCCCACTCCAACCTCAGCCCATAAAAATATTCTTCTAGTTGAGGTGGCTGGGAGTTTCCCTGCTCCTGTCTTATACTTTTTTTCAAAGCTACTCTGCTTCTTCTTACATGTTACCTTGCTTCCTTTCTTCCACCTCTACAAAATGCATGTGATTTTCTAAAGGCTTAGGTGGGGAAACAAAGCCAAGACATCTTCTGGTTTTAGTCCTACAGCATTTCTCCCCTCCTGAGACGATGCCAAAGACGTCTGTGTTTTCAGAAGGAGGAAGGAAAAGAGGCACAACATGAGGATAATATAACTCTAAAATATATCTCAAATCTTATCCAGCTACATCAGCCTCAACTTCAACTTAGGTTCCTTACTATATTTTAGAATTGTAAAAACATTTAAAGGTCCTACTTCTATCCCTGATGAAGAGAAGAAGGTATAGTTATGGTTATCTATAACTGTGTAGCAAATGATCCCAAAATTTAGTGGCTTAAAACAATAATAATGCTTGGTATTATTATTATTATCTCTCATGGTACTGGAGTTGATTGGGTTCAGCTTGGCGGTTCTCATTTGGAGTCTCTATATGGCTGAATCAGATTGTAGGTGGGACTGGAATCACCTGAAGCCTTGTTCATTCATATATCTGATGGTTCATGCTGTCTGATGGCTCAATTAGGTGGGGGCCAGAACAGCAGAGGCCCCTTTAGCATCTTTCTCTATCTTTTTGTGGCTTTTCCAGATAGTCTCTTTAACATGGCAACATCAGGGTAGCTGAGTTTCTTACTTTGTGGCTCAGGACTCCAGAGGTACATGCTGAAAAAGAAAGAGAGAGAGAGAGACAGAGAGCTAGCATTAGCTATATCACCTTTCAAGAGCTATCCTCTGAAAGCAAGTCTCTAAACCATGACCAGTTTTTATTCAATGGTGAAACATTATTCTACTTTTTAATGGAAGTGTCAAAACATTTGCAGACATGTTTTAAACCATCACAGTTGTATATCTTATGCTAGGATGTTGATCACTTCATTTCTTTAACATCTCATATTATATCTATCCTACCCTTTCCAGCATCTAGTTTATTCCTTTAATATGTCACTGCGATAGGAAGATTTCTCTTCACTCTTATAATCAAATCTCTTATTGGCTTCCTTGTCACTTCACATGTGAAGTCCAGCCAACTCCTCTCTCACTTTCTTGGCTTCTTTACTTTTCTGCCATTTTTTCTAGCTCTAACCAGGCCTAAACAGTAGTGATAAAATTATTTTCTGGACTCACACTATCCATTCATTCATTTTTAGTTTTCTTAGAAAGTATAACATTTCACATTATTATAGCAGCTGATCTTTTGCTGTTTGAATAAAGCACAATAATTACCCAGAAATATTAAGTTTCTGACCCAGGAGAGTCAGTCTTTCTGATACAATTCTACGCTCCATCTTACTGTAGGAGAAAGTGTTGTTGAATTACAAAGAGATGTTGCACACCAAAGGGAATCTTGAGAAAATAGCCTAGAGTCAACTGCAGATTCTCTAGAAAGTAAAATGTGAAGATTTAGAACAAGGCTGGCAAACATTCAGACAATGTGTCACAGTACTGTTTTCCTTACCCATGGAAGATATGACTAATCAATCATGGCTTTGCAGCTGCAAGTAGCCTCAACACAGTGCCCTAGTAGCTACAACCAATAGATCTATCAAGGTGGACATACAAAATAAAATCTTTGCCTTCTTGGGTTCATAATCTTCTTGGCAACCCATAACCCAATCTTCTTGGGTCCAGAAAGAGATGAAATGAAGCTAATGTTAATCATTTATTTACAGAAGTCTGTGGGTGGTGGATTTTGCTTCCAAAACATACTGATAGCACAAGGTATAGTGATGTGAGTAGAGTGGTTTTCTGACTGGCATGAGACAGTCCTACCAAAGGGTCCATCCAAGTAAATGTGGTCAATAATCACTTGTGTTAATTGTGACATATGGCACCTTCAAATTATTTTGTCCTCAGGCTTAAGAGATTAATGACCTTGGGTACACATGGGAACGTAGCTTCCTATTATTCATTGGTTTACTCAAGCCTATATACCTTGTCATCATAAATGGCAGGGAAATCTTCTAGCAGCAAAGAGATGGATGTAATCATGGTAAATATGAGTCTGTCCTCAAGAGACATCCTTTGCAAATTTTTACTTCTCGGTTTCCTTTTACTGCTCCCACGTCCATACCTCTGTGTTGAATTTAGCACACTTAAGAGGTACAAGAATCAATGATGATGATGTGATCACAATTATTTTTAAATTCATACCCTTCAACATGCTGCAGAAAAATTAAAAGGGAAATTCAGAAATGTTTTACAAAGCATATTGCATATGTCATTCTGGATACATATATAGTGTCCTGATGCTTCAGACAACTGCTTAGTTGTTCATTTTATTTAAATAAAAAAGAGCCTCTTAAGAGCTAAAACTGAAGGATATTCTAGTTATAATGTTTAGAAAAAGAGCATTTTGGCAAGTCCATGATTATTTCTAATTGCCTTAGAGAACTCGTGTTCTGGGGAGGGGTGTTGATAAGAAACAAAGCATAAAGAATCGATTTTGGATGCTATTAATTAGATGCCAATGCCACACTAAATAAACAACCATTCTATTTTGCGCCAGCTTCTCCTACAGAGGACACAGTGGAAGAAAAGAATGCCTGGGCAACCTTTTGGGTGAATCCCTGTGGAGGGCCTCAGAAACACATGCTATCTGGGCATGCACATTTATCAAATGGTTTACACATTTTTTTTCCTAGCCTGTATTACAGACATGACACAATTACTAGATTTATTAATTCCTTGTTGCAGAGACCAGAGATTTCCCAATGTGATGGACCAATGCATATTGCATTAGCTCTAACATCTGGGGCTCTACACACACCAACATCAAGAGATTAACTGAAACACAAAAATACAACATTTCCCTTTGTCTCAATGCAAGTCTCCTCCCTCCCTCCTCACATTGTGAGCTTTATCTTTCTCTCCGAAGCACTCAACATGCTTTTCTGAGCAAGGGAAGCAAAATAATATTTGATTTACAACCTCATTTTGTCTCTGCTTGTATTTTATCTTCCATCTTCACATTTCTTATTGAAACCACGATAAGTGGGGGGAGATGTATGGACTATCTATTTGCCTCTCAATCTTCAAGTCTTTGGAGAAGCACCAATCACCATTCAAGTTGTCAAGAATTCTATCAAGATCTAGGAGTAGAGCTCGAAAGAGCACAATAGCATATGGTTCTTACATTAGACCTGGGGTCTGGGGGCCACTTCATCTTTTGGTGGGGCTAAAAGAAAGCAGAGAATATGATGGTCATACGTCTATTGAGATCACTGGCCTGTCATCACACCTGCTCAAATAAATGCCTTCTGCCATTAAAATTCGTGTTGCCTAAGATTTCCGTGTTGCTAGTACTGCTCTATTGTTATCTCCCAATTTCTTTAATTCTTGCTGCTCAACTCCTGCACTCTAGGACTTTCCCCACAAAACAATATATAAGACAGGGGTCTCATTATCATCTTGGGTAAGGCTCTCAATCTCAATTATTTGTAGGGTCACTTATGGAAGCAGGCCAAGTTTTTACAAGCAAGAAAGCAAGTACTGTGATATAGATGGCAATTGACACACAGTTTCAATGTCAGAGAGACAATGTCATTGTCATCATGAGCTGATTAACTCATGTCCTAACTACAGGGGGATGCCATAGTCCTAGCCAATTTGTCACCATATGAGAATATGTGGCCTAAATTGCCAGGTCTTTTGATTTTTCAAAAGAAGCCAGAAATCTGGGTTTCCATGTAAACTCTTCCTATTTGTGAATGTTGGCAACTAACTCACATTTTTTAAAAAAAAGTGTAATGCAAGCCAAACAAAACCCATCTGTGAGTTTGATTAGACCCATAGGCTGACAGAGTGCTGCCTCTGGTTTGGGACTCTATTTCCCAATTGCTATGCTAGGAAATGCCAGGAAAGTTTGTCCAGAAGTTCAAACCTTTTAAAATAGCTTTTCCTCTTCTTTGGGCTTCTACTGAATTTACTTTTGACTAAATATCCTTTACCCTCTCACAGGGTCTCCTTACCTATCTTATTTCAATTCACCAAATGTTTCATTGAGCATCTCTGATGGGTGAGATACCTTATGAGACACCCTGAGAAATGCAAAGATAAGTTTATTATTGAGAATGGATTAGGCTGCTGCAAAGTTGACCCAAATTGGTGGTGGCTTAAACAAAATAGGCATTTGTTTCTCACATAAAGCTCAAGAGGAAATATTTCAGAGGTCAGATATTATCTCCACAATGTCTGGAACCCAGGAATTTTTGATATTGTGACTCTCTCCTCTTTAAGGTGTTGACATTGACTGCATGGCCCAAAATGGTTCTCCTTCTACTCTAGACAAAATGTCTTTGCCACACTAACATATTTATATGCATATGCCTTCTAGCAGGAATAATGAATTAGCAAAAAGAGGGCATGTCCAGAAAGTATATACATAACTAGTACTCCTATTCTATTGTATAAATCTATATTACATGCTCAATCTTAGCTGCAAAGGGGGCTGAGAAATGTGTTTTAATTCTGAGTGACCTTTTTTTAAAGCTAAAACAAGGTTCTCTTATGATAGAAAAAGGAGAAAACATAGTGAGGAACAACTAGAACATTTTGCTATAATGAACTTGATATGGTCTTTGCCCTAAAGGAATTTACTGTTTAGCAGAAAAAATAGATGTGTACATAAATGATTATTTTGAGGTTAACTATGTTTTGCTTTAAAAAATTTTATGAGGAGCATAAAAAAAGCTAAGGAAGGGCTAAGCCATTGATAATAACTTAAACAACCAAACAATTATAATGAATTAGAGAAAAACTTATTCTTCAAAATACCCTGGGGTCCTAAGGAAAGTCTACTGTCCCAGTCAAAGAAGCCCTCAGAGATGAGGAGATGAAGCTACACTTCCATAGGGCTTCTTACAGTGGGGACTGGTCATATTACTACATTGGTAGGATAAATATAGTTTTCTTCCATATAGTCCTCGTTTAAACTTGTGGTTCCGGTATAGTTACTAATAACACCCTATTTCAATTTTAGAATGTCCTGATTTGGGCAATATAAATTTTTTGTTCACTTTATTGATTGGAGGCCAGGCTTTGGGAAGGTAGAAGATAATGTGAGGAGGGGAACCAGGAAGTTGTAGGAGGCTGTATGGTGCCCAGTGTGATTTCTTCCCAAGATCTTATGTGTTCATTAAAGTTACTAATGGAATGAAATCATACGTGTGATTGAATTTCTTATGGAAAAGAGTGAATGGATAAAGTAATTATACTAGTTGGAATGAAATCATTCCAAGATGGCAGTGGAAAAAGGAAATCTGGGGAGTTATGCGGCAGTAATTTTTAAAATTCGCAGATATCTTGGGGAAGGTACTAGATTTCACAGCTATAAAATTGAAGGTTCAAGCTAAGTTCAACTGATGTCCAAAGGATAAGGGGGCTCCCAGCATTGTCAATGTTATACTCTACATTTTGCCATAGATACTATCTGAGCGAGTCCTAAACGATATTTATCTACTGATTGGCATGCCACTTGGAGTCTGCATTTCCACGGACTGTCCAAGTCTTCCCTCATCCCCTCTAATAAATCACTAACTCCCATACAACTTCCACCTTCCCCAAATAGAATCACACAAGCCATCCACACCAATGCTCACTACCAGTACTTCTTTCTCCGCTCTTCACTCATACCACTAAGACAAGTAGAATGAAAATGTTTAGAAAAGCACTTGTTTAGGAAAGGTTTACTCATATCTCACTCAATTAAAACATGTAAACAGTGAACTGGCACACAAGAGACCTGGGTTGATCTTTAATTTGGAAACCTTCACGTTCTTTGGGGAATTTGAATTTACATATACATAAAATTTACATATAGATAGAATTTACATGTACAAAAAATACACTCTTTGAATTTGAATTAACATATACATAAAATGATGTTTGGGAGCTGAGTGCAGTGGCATGAGCCTGTGTTCTCAGCTACTTGGGAGGCTGAGAAAGAGGATCACTTGAGCCCAGGAGTGGGAGGCTGCAGTGAGCTATGATAGTGCCACTGCATTCCAGCCTGCACAACAGAGTGAGAGCCCATCTCTAAAATATATATATATATATGATGTTTGGGGACCAGACCAGTTCCGCAAAATGCTTATTTTATGAGATGCTATTCTTAAAGCAGAAAAAAACTTCCACTGAGGAGCATGGTGAATCCACACAACTTATCAGAATAGTAAATCCCCAGAGAGTTCCTCCTCAAAGAATTCCTATGTAATTGTTTAATTGTGTCAAATCTGCCATATCCAAAACAAAGGATGTCTCTTCTGACATTTCACATTGACAGGGCAAATCTGGCCCCCTAATTTGAATGCTTGCATGGATCCAAATATGTATGCTTCCTTCACCCCACTTCCATCCATCTATATCCATACTGGTTTCTTTCCAGCTCTTGCTTCTCCTGGTTATTTTTAGGATAAGTTACATCCAAGAATATATTATCCAGGTGGTACTGGGGCAGCTTTATCCAAGTTCTTTAGACTTCTTCCTTCTCAAGGTCACCTTTACTCTGGGCCTTCTTCAACTTAACACTTAGAGTCTGTTTCTGCTATTTTCAACTTTATTTTCTGCATTATAACTTTTCATATTAAAGTAGGAACTGTGTATTCTTGATTTTGTATTCTAGAATTTTTGTGGAAGACTTCAACCTTTTCTTAGATGTTTTTTGAACTAATCTCCCACCCCCTTTTTGTTTTCTATTTAGTATTTGCTTTCAGCTCATTTTGCCTTCAGTATTTTCTTCACTTTAGTGTAAATGGGGCTTCTGTTTGGTTTTGTTACCCAACTGCAGTAGACATTTTTACTTATGCTTTATTTTAGCTGTTTTGGAGGACAGTAGATGGTGAGCTTCAGAGATTATCATACTACTTTTCCCTCTCAGCAGAGTTCCAAAATTATTTTTAAAAGAAGACAGGTGAGGAGCTCTTGATAACTCATCTGTCCTTTATTTATAACACATTTATTCACATTAAAGGCATACCAATCAGTTTTAATAACCTAGTACATCCAAGGGCAGAATACTCAGTAGGGGACCTAAAGACATCACACATATGTAGAAATAGGTTTTCCAGAGTTAAATTGCATGTAATTTACTGAAGATATCCTATTTGTCTACTTAAAAGATCTTACCCTCAACTTGATCCAGAGCAGAACTTTGAAGACAGGAAAACATGCTTCAGAAACAACTTGTCATCCCAAGTAAGTTACTTAACTTCTGAGCTTTATTTCCTCAACTGTGTAATGGGCATAATAATATCTATTATATTAAATGAGATAGTTTGAATAACATATAAATGCTGATTTTCAACATTTTTAACCTATAAAAATGGCAATTTCATATTTTCAATTCTGCCCCAACATAATACATGAGCCAGAATAGGTCATCAATAAAAGTCAATTGTCTTAAACTGCTCTTTATCCAACTATTCACCCAGTGCCCCAGTAACGCCCTGCTCTGCTTTTTCCTAATTATATTCATGTATTAAATATACTCTTTTCTACTGAAGCTCAGAAGTAAAAGACTGTCAATCTGAAAGTTGTGATTCATCTGCCACATTTTTGTCTACTGTTTTTCCTGACAAAAAGTAATGCACATTCTGTAGAAGGTAGAAAAACACAAAAGACTTTTAAAAGCACTAATAACCCATCATTCATCATCCCTGAAAAATAAATTACTCATTATTTATTTAAACTTCCAGATACATAGACAAATATAGAAATAAAACTTTTAAATATATAGGGAGAGGAGAAAGCATTTTCATTTTAGTTTTCAAAATAAATCTATCTTACAGCTATGATTTTATATCATTTAAATTTAATATATTATTAACGAATGTTGTGTCATCAATTAGTCTTTTACAACATATTTTTAATGGTTATGTGATATTCTATCTTAAGGAGACATCGAAATGTATTTAAACAAACCCTGCATATTTATAAGTGCTATTTTGCATTATAGAAATTATTATGAAATTCTGATAAATAAATGTCTGTAGAAATCCCTATTTTTTAAAAGGATAAACTATTAAAGGTAGAAATTGTTGGTCAAAAGTTAGCCAAATTTTAATAGTTTTGACAGTTTTACAAGTTGCTCTGTGGAAATGCTGCATCCAATTTACAAAACCAATTGTATAATTGGTTTTTTGTATAATTTGCTGAAAGCAAATACTAAATAGAAAACAAAAAGGGGGTGGGAGATTAGTTCAAAAAACATCTAAGAAAAGGTTGAAGTCTTCCACAAAAATTCTAGAACACAAAATCAAGAATACGCAGTTCCTACATTAATATGAAAAGTTATAATGCAGAAAATAAAGTTGAAAATAGCAGAATTGTATAATTGTATAATTATTCATTACCCTATACCAGCAGTTCTCAAACATTCTAGTCTCAGACCCTTATACGCTCAGAATAGTTGAATTCCCCTAAGAGTTTTGGTGAAATGGATATTTTTGATATTTATCATATTAGAAATTAAAGCTGAGAATATTATAAATGTGTATATATTGATTTTTAAATAACAATAATAAACACTATATGTTAATACAAATAACAAATTATGAAAAATAATTATATTTTCCACACCAAAAGACATGTACTGAAAGGAGTAGCTTTGTTTTTCATTTTACAAATCTCCTTCATATCTCACTAAACAGAAGACAACTGGATTCTCATATCTACTTCTATAATTCAATGTGCTTTTGGTTGACATACATGAAGAAAGTCTTGACTCATACAGACATGGAGTTGAAAAATAGAGAAGTATTTTAATAGACTCTTCATAGAAATTGTAGACATTCTTTGATAAAACCCAGAATTCAACAAGTTGTAGTTTCTTAAAGGTTAGTTGCAATATGAAATGGGAAGTGAATGTTTTGTACTCTGTTGCATTAAAATCCATTCTTCTATCTTGCATTTTTACCCACTCATGATTATGTAACTCCATGTGTTGGTCATTTGAAAAATACTGTTCTCCATGGTTATACAGATATTACAATCTTTAAAACATTCTGTTACATAACATCAAAAAACATATTTATTAATGCTACCTTCCATCTCTTGGAAGTATTGGGGAGCTGTCAAGGCACGATCTCTTGAAAGATTTAATTTTTTAATCAGCTGAAAATACTGTCAGTTGTTTTTCCTGAAGCCACAGGCCCCCTTTATTTATTTGCAAGAAAATGTCTGCAAAATATTCAACTTTGAATACCCATAGTTTGTCTGTAGATTCTTTCAGGTAAAAATGATGGTTCTCAAACAAAAGGGACTAGTGCAGCTGGCATCTCAATCACACAAGTGCTTTTTTTTGAGACAATTGTCATACTTTGGTATGCAGCAGAAGCACTTCAAATATTCTTCTCTTTCATCACTCAGAATGTTTAAGACTTGTACTCAAGGTTGAGATTTAATAAAATTAATATTTTTACTACTTCACCAAGGACTTTCTTAAACGAAAATGGTTTTTCCCCCTGCAAGTAAATAGTAATGAAGAAGATAATTATTCCTAGTGCAGTTTGTTTTCAAGGTCTTAATTTTTGCTAAGACTCCACTGTTTTTGCCTTATCAATACAAGTGCCAACACAGTGAAAAGGCAAATATCATCTTAGTATTACTATGAAAATAGTTCTGACCTAATGGCCTACTGAAAGGAAAAGAGTGGCTCCTGCTATTCTATTATACTTATTACAATTATCGTAAGTATTCTTTCCACCCTCCTTTAATTGAATGGAAACAGGGATGGATTGGAAGAGCTGTTTTTCTCCTTTCTTTCCCGCGGCAATATTTACTATTTAATTCCACTTACTAATACTCAAAGAAACAAAACCAAACTTCTCAATTGACAGTGCAATGACACAACAAAGACACGGGTTCTTGAATTCAAAGTGGAGCAGGAGGGACGGTAAATACACATTTACTTTAATATATATATATATATATATATTTACTATTTATGTGTTTAAAGCACAAATTAGTTTGGTAAAAAACATCTCATGCCTGTTTTATTTCCACATCCCTGAGACTGACAATGGGATGCCTATCAATTAATTCATTTAGAGAGCCATACACCACAAGAAATAAATTATTTGTCCTCTGGAGCTTGTCACAGGGGGATTTTTAAAAAACCATTAAACAGAAAGACAACTGTTCATCTTAGAAAGATAAAAGGCCAATTCTTCCTCTCCGGCTGATAGGTTCTTAATAATAGTGATATCTGCTAATAAGGTATTTTACATAGTGTAAAGCATGTTCACATACAAATTACTTAGCCTCTTTGAGCCTCAGTTTTCTTATATGTAAAACTGGATTAATAGTACATTTTGTGTTTAAAAAGATAATGTATATGAAGTGTTTAGCATTTTTGCTTGGCATCTAGTTCAGTTCTCAGTAACTGATGTGGTGGTGGTGGTGGTAATAGTAGCAGTCAGATCTGTAGTAATAGTAGCAGGAGTTGTTTTATAGTAACTGAGGCCTGGCAAAGTTAAAGGGCTCTTTCATTAACACCCGGAGGGGAAGAAATGAAGCTGGTCTTCAGAGGCAGGCTATTTTCACTCTGTGTCCCAAATTTTTCCCCCTAGACCGTTTTTATACTTCTGGGGCTCTCAGAAAATATTCTCAGCTATTCTGTTAGCTTGCTCTCCTACCATTTGAGAGTGGGCTTCCTTCAAACAACCAAATTTCCAGGTATTTCTAAACTGCCCTTCCCCTACACCATTCTTTAGTTCAGTATTTCAAGACACCTAACAGAAATAGTACATTTATGTGTAAGCACAGGATACTGAAGTATTTACAACAAGTGCTTTGGAACCAGCAAATATGAATCAGAATCCAGCTTTCCTTTCCTACATACATGACATTGGGCAGCTAATTTCTAAGATTTTACTTCTTTATCTATGAAAATGGAGTACTAGTACTTGCTTTGTGCAACTGTGATGGTTATTACATGAGGTAGCATCTAGAAACAGCTTGCACATTGCCAGGAACCCAGTGGATGGTCAATGAATGACTATTTGAGGACTAACTATTACAGAAATGTTTACTCTTCTGAGTCCTGATTTCTAGTCTCCTAGACTAAATAGGTTCACTGTTTTCCTCCCGGTTCAGTTTCCAGACACATCACAGAATTATAAGAATATTAAAAACTCAGGCTTATACCTACACAGGATTTTCTATAACCCTCTTTCTGCTTTGAGCTCCTAAAGCTATTTCATAGAAAAATGACCTTATTTTTAAATAGAGGGGGCAATTGAAAATCAGTGAACGGACCTACCCCCTAATGATTTTTTTCTCAGACATAATTATAATAATTAGCACTATAAAGTGCTAATTATCTTTGGACACAGAGGACCTGCACACCAGAGACAGAGGTCCGCATTAAGTAAAGTGGATTTCACTTTCTTCAGTTGTGAGATTTCTCTTTTTTCTTCTTTGTAATGATGCAAAGATATATCGTCCACCTAGCCTCATTTAAAAACTTTTTCCAGTTAAGGAAACTATCTCTTGGCCATCCACAGCCAGACTCCATATTGAGATTATGGATATTCAAAGAAATTGTATTTCCTTTGTATATTTTCATTACTTTTTGTGAAATGTTTGTTTTATAGTTCCAGGCCAGCACCTAGAACCTGGCTAGAATAAAAAACTGCAGAAATCATGAGTTGCTTGTTTGGATGAAAGAGCACACCTATTAACAAATGATAGATGGCTATACTACTGTGAGTCCTGAAAACTGGTGGTGTGATTGTTGAATGGGTTAGGGGTATAGCAGAAAAACTCAGTGTGGGGTACATACAATTTCAGCTTGAATCACACTTAACAGATCCTCTATTCCAACCATTTAAATTTACAAAGAAGAAACTAAGGCACAGAACTACTTGGGAAGAGAAGCAGAATTGAAAACTAGAGCTCCTGATTGTTCTCAAAATAATTTTTATCATACTGCATTGGGTTCTAAGTGAGAGGGCTTCTTATTTAGTAATGCCAAGGTCATGGGTTAATATGTAAAAAAAAATTAGACAAGGAATGGGCATTGGTGTAAGATTATACAGAGTGTAAAGCTGGGCTTTCTCTTATCATCTGTTGTCAACAACAGGATGATTGTTAATGTTACCCAGTCCTTACCATCATTAACACAGAGACATTGGATATTGAGGAGAGACTTTAAAACAGGATATTAGTAATGCAGAGCTATAAAGAGCCACGATCATATTAATACAATTCTCCATACACATAGTGACCTGTCTGCAGCTCCAGCCTAGAGAAACCCAGTTATTCACTTGTAGGGGGCAGCCCCATTATCAGAAAGCGCTCGCTGTTCAATTGGAAGTGCTCATCTGTGTTAGGTCAAAAACGACTTCCTCTAAATATCCATTCTGTGTATTGAAGCACAAATGAGTCCCACTTAAGAAAAAACAAAACAAACCAACTTCCAATGATTTAAAAATACTAACGTGACCCTCTTACGTTTACTCAAAGCTAGTGTTTCTCAAACATCGGCTGTATCAGAATCCCTGAAGGGCCTGTTAAAACAAATTGCTGGTCTCTACTCTGAGCTTCTGATTCATTAAATGTGGGATGGTACCTGAGAATCTGCATTTCTAACACGTTCCCAGGTGACCCTGATGCTGTTGCTCTGAGAGCCACTTTGAGATCCACATCTCTAAGCTAATCAGCCTGTCCGTTACACCTTACAAGACATACTTTCCTAATCTGACACCCTTCTATTTGTCTTTTTTTTTTAATGCTTTAGAAATTTAGCTGTTATCTTTTTTATGTATTTTACATTTGTTACAGCTTTCCTTGGTGGACATATATGACTTTTCTACTTGAAAATAAACATGTTTTTCTTTAAAATGTCATTAAATAATAGTGTAATTAGTGATTTAAAGCAAGATGACTAAAAAGAATCTCTCATTATTATGTTTGCACAGCCTGTATACAAATTATTTGAACTAGAAAGGATTTGCTAAGTAAATTATTTCTATTTGCATCACTTAATAGTGAATATTATGGTGATTAGGAGAAAAAATAAGCTTTCTTTTTTCTTTTGAGATGGAGTCTCACTCTGTCACCCAGGCTGGAGTGCAGTGGCACCATCTTGGATCACTAAGCCATCTTGGCTTCCCCAGCTCAAGCGATTCTACTGCCTCAGCCTCCCAAGTAGCTGTAATTACAGGTGTCTGCCACCATGCCCAGCTAATTTTTGTATTTTTAGTAGAGATCACCATGTTGGCCAGGCTGGTCTCGAACTCCCGACCTCAAGTGATCCGCCTGTCTTGGCCTCCCAATGTGCTGTGATTGCAGGCTTGAGCCACCACTCCCAGCTAAAAGAAGCTTTTCTGATAGTAACTTTGTTTTCCCATTCTGGAGTTTATGGCAGTATGAAAAGACTGAATTTATAAGCAGAAGATCTGTTTTTGAAATCTGGGGACCTGTATTTCACAATGGCTTTGATGTGTTTTGATTGTGCACCTTTAGACAACTTATCAGTTTCCTCATTTTTATACAACAATAAAATAGTAACAGCTACCCATGAAATTCTGTACAGAAGCTAGGGACAGACGCAATAACGCTTGCATATCTATAAAGGCTTTGTAAATTTGGGTATTATATCTAATGTTTGTGCACATGCTGTTTGATTATTTTCATTTGGAATTCCACTCCATTAAAGGAAAAGTAACATACAAATTCAGATTCTTGTAAGTCTTCAGGCATAAGGCCTCCATTGACTAAGTACATTGCCTACATAATTTCTCCTAACCCAAATGAATCTCCAGTTAAACCAAGTTGGTGGTTATGTACTGTCTCCAGAGGATGCCAAGCATAAAGTCCTTGAGTATATTCATCTTGGATCCTCTGATTGGACAACTGCGGTACTGAGACTTCAAGTTCCCCCTTGAAGGCCCCAGACAGTACCTGTAATTTTACTCAAGTTTTAAATGTATACTCTTTGTTAAGAAAGAGTGACAATGATTTGATTTATTTTCCGTGACTGGGGTTAGGAATGGGGGAGACTCTAGGAATGTGACTTACCAGTGAGGTTCTAGTTTTGTAAATCATAGGACAAGTTTTGATAGGCAAATGTTGGACTATAGGGCTGAGGTTGTTTTCCACCACAACATATAGACTTCTACTAGCCCTTGAAGGAAAAAACACAAGAAAATCAGTTGGGTCAGCTGAGTATTCCTTTATGAGTATGGAGCAGACTTACATAACAATTCTGCAGGTTATGGCTCTGGAAAGGTCAACCACTTATTTTTGGACAACTCTTTTCTATTCTGTATAATCACTTTTTCACCAAAATGATACTAAATAAATATGCTATAGGAAGCTATATTTTGACATGACTGTTTTAGGCAAAGATACACTCACCAACTTACTCCACAAGAGTTTCTAATCAGAGAATATCATATGGATCTATTTGAATTGCTCCCATGCTTGGCTGAGCCCAAAATAATTTACTGTGCATATGTATACCAAGTGAGAAGGTTGAGGAGGTGTCACTTGTACATCTCTTTATTCTTTTTTTTTTTGTATGTGTGTGCTATTTTCATGTGTTTTGAAAGGCTCTCTTGCTTAGCTTTTATTTTGCCGTTAAAGATTTTTTTCTGTGCTATAACTGTATTTTTAAGTCTGGTTTGAGTTCAAGAAGTCCACAAATTCACAAAAGATTAAGAATAATTTGTGAATAAAATGATGCAGAAATAAAAAATGCGTTTTCCAAATAACTCCCTTGCAGTCCTTCTCCCCCAAGTACCACTTTCTATTAAGTTTCTTCTTCCTACTATATTAAGTGCCATGAGCTTTCAATTCATTGTATTTTAAGTATAAGCTATACTTACTAACCTTCATGTTATTCTTTGCTACTTAAATAAGCTTGCTTTCATAGTTCAATTGATGTATTGTTTAACTGATATTTTTAATTGGTATATTTTGATATATATTGATAATTGATATATATATATAATTCATTTGATATATTTTGGATATGGAAGGTTGGAAGGAATCCGTTCATAATTTTTCTACTTAAAAGAAATCTTTTTTCATTTAACAGCTTTTCCCATGGGGATAGAGTTTTCATGAATAAATCAAAGTCATTAAATGAGGTATATTGTACATCTTTTAAGATTCACAGAAAGAAGCAACAACAATTTACCCAGACAGAGGTTATAAGTTTAGACCTTGGTTGCCTGATTTGTGGGACAAATTCTTTAATTTTTTTCTTTATATTTTGACTTTTTTTTGGACTCTCTCCTCCCCTTTCAGTCTCCAGGTCAAATACTTCACACCTGAATGATGTTCAATTATTTAAAAGATGGATTGGCCAGCTCAGCTCCTGTCTCAGACAGACTGTCTTTAAATGTATTTTCAACATGTCTTCAGACAGTTATTTTTTCCTCTGTTCAATTTTGTTCATCTTCTTACTTAACTGTTCAAGTGCTACTATTTCCTTTTTAAAAGTGGTATTGAGAAGTGCAAACATTATTGGAAAAGAGAGTCTTACTAGCATAATTGTGCATTATCTTCCTCTTATATTGCAGATGGAAAACATTAAATCTAGGGGGAATAGAAATATGCTCAATCAGATATTGATAGTAAAATTTCCTCTAAAAATACTTACCTGTGGAAAAGAAAACTGATTTTTTTTTTTAAGGTGGCAACTTTCCATCATTTTTAAAATAGCTAAATAACATAGAGAATTAAAACTGTCCCTTGAGAATCAGACTTCTGCTGATGCTGCCCTTTCCTATGTTTTGCAGTTTGATGTTTTATGAGGGATTTGGATGGGATGGGAGGGAGGGAGTGGTCCTGGAGGGCTGTGTATCATAATTTAAAGGTAAGAGTACTTGGAAAGGAACACAGTGCTCTGTCCCATGGCTTAGATTAAGTTTTAGTCAATAATTACTTACAAAAAGTTTAAAAGCTTTGTTAGAAAAAGTCAACAATAAAGTACACATATTTAAGATGTACAATTTAGTAACTTTGACCTGTCTTTACACACAGATTTATATCTGTGAAACTATCACCAAAAGCAAGACAGTGAACATATCATATCCATCATCCCCAATAGTTTCTTCACACCTCACCCTGATCTCAGACAACCACTTCTCTGCTTCCCATCTCTACAAGTGAGTTCGTATTTTCTAGTTTTATACATAAGTGGAATTATACAGTATGTACTCTTTGTGTCTGGCTTCTTTCATTATGCATAATTATTTTTAGATTCATCCAGGTTGTTGCATGTATGAATAGCTCATAGCTGATTAGTCTTTGTGTGGACATATGCTTTTATTATTTTTGGGTAAATAAATAGGATCAAAATGATTGAACTCTGTGGTAGGTGTATATTGAATTAAAAAAAAAATTCCAAACCATCTTTCAAAAGAATTGTACCTGAAAAAATAAACATGGGACAAAATACTTGAAACAGTGTTTTTTAAGACAGTGAACAAGATGGACAGGTAAATTTTGTCCCTATTACTCTATTTTGGCCAGAAACAGAAGAACAATAATTACTTTTAATTTATAAAGAAAATTAAAGGAGAACATAAGATTTTAAAATTGTTTTCAAAGGAGGGGAGGAGAACTTTAATTGCAGAGATGACACACAAGTGTTGGTCAAAACTGGAGTTTTATTTCACTGCCATATTTTCAGTGGTTCATATGGAGACCTGAAATTTCATATAACTGCAAATCTTTGAAGTTTGATTTTTAAATTAATGATAATCATCAAAACTTTCTCAATTAAAAAAGAATTTTTTTGTGTAATAATTTCAAATGTAGACTAATACTTTAATTTCCTGAGTCTTTCTTCCAACTTGGAATTCTTATAGAAGTCTTCGAAGAATACTAAAGAGGCGTAGTTGCCCAAATCTAGAAAGTACTTGCCTTCAAGACCATTCTCTGAGCGGACCAAATTGCCTGGAAATTTTGCCTGATTTATATCTTAGGACTCTGATTTTATAGCTTTGTGATTTATGGCAAGATTTTTAGCTTTTCTAACCCTAGGTTTTCTTATCTATGAGTTGGAGATAATGATCACAATATTTACCTCCTATGGTTGTTATATGAATGAGACAATCTGCATCAAATATTCAGCACCGTGCCTAGCTTATAGTAAATCCTCAATAAATGTTAGCTATTATAGTAATTATGACTGTGAAAAAGATAATGTAAAGAAACAAGGCACATAGCAAAAACGAGCTTAGAAAGGGAAAGTGTCAGGGTGCTAACTGCAAGCTTTGATGATTTTCAAATTTTGAGTAGGTTTTGGTTAACAATTTGGGCCTAAAGCTGAGTGGTGTCCACAGGGACTTTGCTAGGATCATAAACGGGGCACTCTTTTGCCAGTAAAGTAACTTGACAAAGCTTTAGGGCTCTACCACAAAGGGACCTACAAAAATTATGATCAGGAAATTGAATAACTATATGAATTGTCTTTTGTCTTCTTGGAAAGTAGAGTCCACCCACAATCCAGAAATAGTTTATTAGGAGGCAGGCAGTGACTACCTAGCTCTGTGGGACTTTAAAATATTTTAAATTAGGTAATTTTCAAATCAATTTCACTCTAGAAATTCCCCCCCTCTCTATTACTATTCTTACAGAAATAAAGGTGTTTCTTAGACATAAAAATAAGCAAGCATAATCTTGAGAGCTTAGAAGTTAAAAGAAAATAAATTCTGGGGAGCAGGGCTTATTGGAGTTTAAGGAAAAAGTGGCTAGTTTAAAAGATCTTTAACAAGAAATGACTAAGTACTGGCTGAAGAAATGGCTGTCACTTAGTTTGTCTTCTCTCAAACTGGAAGCTCTCACGCGTGTTGCATATGAGTAATAAGGACCTTCATAAAGATGCCTGTTGTGTGGTATTTGTTTATTTCTTATTAGTGCCTCATTGTCCCTTCCTAACCTTTCCCACTCTCACCCCAAATGCCACACCCAATTTTTAATTTAAATTCAGTCATTTCAGACAGTATTTCTCTTTGTCTGACTAGTCCTAGAATTACTTCTTTAGCCTAAATTCCTTGGACACTTCATATTCAATGTTTTCTCTATAAAGGTGGTTATCATTAATTCAGAATGCAGCCTCCAAAGAGGAAATCAGCTCTATAAACCCAAATAGATGTCTCAAAAATCTGTAAAATCATTGCTCTTCAAGCCTTGACATATTGTCTTCATTAGCCCAGCTGTGTGTCCATCATAAATGCCATCAAAGAGCTGACTGTTTTCTCCACACTGTTTTGAAAGTCTAATATGAATGTTAACTAGCCCAGCAGCAATACAATTCAGTTTGTTAAAAGCAACCTCCAGACTCAAAGACAGTTGAAATGACCATTATCTGGAAAAGGAAGACAAAGAGAGAAGCTGTTACTTGTTATGATTCTTAATTTACAAATTAAAAGCTCTTCAAACTCTCATTTCAGAGCTGGCCCTATTTGGGGCAGTAGTGATGGATAATAAACATTGTTCTAAATAGTAAGATTGCTTAAAAATGTAGAATGATAAAATAATTATACTTAAATTGACAACTATTTTTCATTTCTTAACACTTTCACAACTATGATGCAATCAAAATTATTGGGCCATCATTAGCCTATGTGTAAGCATGTGGAATAATATAATATGTACTTAAATTACTTACAAGTTTTCTTTAACTATCACGGCCTAGAATTTATGTCAAGTCCATCTTTCTAGATTGTGAGAACATTTGCATTTGAACGTGTAGAGAAGTAGATGTATTCTAGATGGGTGTTAACTTTTTAAAATAAAAGTATATACATCATATAATAAGATTATATAGAATGTCAAAGACCAGAGAGAAAATCAATAAGATTTTAAATGATCTCTTAAGAAGCCAAGATAATATTCTATATTTAGTGGCACTTCTAATTGACTAGTTTCAAGAATTTCATGAAAGATACTATGATTTATAGTAATTTACTTATGTATTCATTTATTCAAAACACATATATTGAATGACTACTACGTGCTAGATATTCTGCTATGTGCTGGATATAATGAAAACATCTTGAGACTGGAGGTCAAAAAAAAGTGAATCTAGTTCTGCTTTTGCCACTAAAGAATTATATGATCTTCAGCAAGCCCTTTAGCTCTTGTGGTTTCATTAATGAGCTGGAAAAAGTATGAACGATAATTCTGGCCTTTTTGGGGTACAGATACTCAGAATTATTATCATATGAAGAGAGTTAACTTGTTAGACCAGTGGTTTTCAAATTTCAGAAATTGATACATTAATTTTTGTGGCAGACAGTTCCCCTCCTCCTGATGTTCACTCCTCGCATAATTGCTTCTACTGGAGTGTACACAGGACCTGTGATGTATTCTACAATGCGACAAAGTAACAGGGCATACATGATTACTTGTACATGATCACATTCCATGAGATTTCAGTACCTGCTTTGTAAGGAGAGTCTCTCCTTGCTGGCTTTAAAGCAGCAAGTTGCCATGTTGTGAGCTTCCCTATGAAATGGGTCATGTAGCAAGATACTGAGGGCAGTCTCCATCTAACAGCCAGCAAGAAACTGGGCTGTCCGTCCAGTGCAGCTCACAAAAACTGGATGCTGCCAAAACCCAAGTAAGCAAGGAAATGAGTCTGTTTTTAGTCGAATGTCAGATGAAACCACAGCCTTGGCTGACACTTTGAGTTTAGCCTCGCAGAGGAAGAACACAGTTAAGCCAAGCATGAACTGCTGACCCACAGAAACTGAGAAAATAGATGAGTGCTGTTTTAAGCTTCAAAGGTTGTTACAGTATTGTTACACAGGAATAGATAATTAACATAATGTGTTATAAAATAAATTTGGTAACTGGTGGTCTGCAATTTAAAGAATGAAATAGAACAGATGAATAGAATAGAATAGAATAATAATAGAATAGAATAGAATAGAATGAATTAAGTGTCAGCAGCTTTCATTAAAATTTTACTTCAATTATACTGCATATATATGTCCATGTTAGGTCACAATAAAAAAGTATTTCATAATGTGAGTTATAGTAAGAGAAAAACTTAAAGCCTACATAAGAACTCTTAAAGTTTTAAATGTATATATTCTCATATCTATGAAAACTTTACAGGGCCTGTGATTCCTTCAGGATTGTATAAGCAGCCAGTGAGAAAGCAAAAATGCAGATGCTCCCCAACTTACGATGGAATTATGTCCCAATAAACCCATCATACGTTGAAAATATTATGAGTCAAAAATGCGTTTAATATACTTAATCTACTGAACATTATAGTTTAGCCTAGCCTACCTGAACATGCTCAGAACGCTTGCATTAACCTTACTTTACAGTTGGGAAAAATCATCTAACACAAAGCCTGTTTTATAATAAGTGTTGAATATCTCGTAATTTATTGAATACTGTACATTATGTTGAGATTGTGAAAGTTTCATATCATTATGAAGTTGAAAAATCATTAAGTTAAATTGGTGTGTGTCAAGGAGCTTCTGTATTGATGACCAAGAATATTTCTTTTCTTTTCTCTCTTTTTTTTTAGACAAAGTCTCACTCTATTGCCCAAGCTGGTGTGCAGTGGCACAATCTTGGCTCACTGCAACCTCTGCTTCCCAGGTTTAAGTGATTCTCATGCCTCACCCTCCTGAGTAGCTGGGACTACAGACATGCAACACCTTGTATTTTTAGTAGAGATGGGGTTTCACCACGTTGGCCAGGGTGGTCTTGAACTCCTGGCCTCAGGTGATCTGCCTGCCTCGGCCCCCCAAAGTGCTAGGATTACAGGTGTGAGCCACTGCAGCTGACAGACCAAGAACATTTTTTATCACATTTAGATTATTTTAGATTTTGGAGAATTAGGAAGATTATATCTGGGATAAGTTTTAGAATTATCTAATGTTCATTCAGTAGCCAATTTATAAACAGAGAGAGAGAACTAAACAAGAGTTTAAATTCTAATTTAGACTTACTTCCCCAAATTTGGCCCTCATTTCATTGTTAATACTGAATGATTTTAGTTTGCAGGCAGACAATTTAAATTTTATAAAATTTTTGAATTTATCTTAAAAATAGTTACTCCTTAGGTTGAAACTAACATAAGTAGTGTCTCCACTCCATCTCTGCATTTTTTTGGCAGCATATTACACTTTTAGTGGTATGTGAATAAGGCAAGTAACAGGAAGGTGATTTGCAAATGTCTAAAATCTGAGTCAGGTATTTTGGTTTTATAAATAAAGAAATGGAAATGCAGAGGCATTAAAATGTCTTCTTTTGTTCAATAGTACTCATGGGATCAAACACTGAAGAAAAGGAATAAGCTATTGCCTAAGTTTATGTAAATTGTAGACTCTCTTGAATTAAACAATTTATACTGGAGGAAGTGTATACATGCTTGTGATATGATAAATGTCGGGGGTGTGTGATATGCCTGCGTATGTGTATGGTGGAGGTATGTCCCTGTATGCATGTGTGTGTGTGTTTTCTGGTGGTTCCTGCATTATAAATTGTGCTAGTCTTAAAAAAGAAGATGTCTAAGGCATATTTTTTATCCTTTCAGTGTTTATAGGTTAATAAATGATCATAATCAGTAACATACTCAATAATAAATAAGTTGTTGAAATGTTGATTATTAGAAGCCTTTTTTGAGAATCATGGGAAAGATGCAAAACAATGATGGCTTTCACATCAGAAGATGTGGCTTCAGACTCTAATTCCACTATTTGCCGGTTTTATGACCTTGGACAATTAAACCTCTGTGTGCTTCATCACTGGATTGTTTATTACTCCAGTCTCTCCAGAGAAACAGAACCAATAAGATGTGTGATGTGTGTGTGTGTGTCTGTGTGTGTGTTTGTGTGATGAGATTTATTTTAATAAATTGGCTCATGTGAGTATGGAGGCTCATGAGTTCAAAGTCTAAATTAGGCAGGCTAGGCTAGCAGACTGGAGGCCCACAGAAGCACCCATGCTGCAGTTTAAGTCTGAAGGCAGTCTGCCACCGAATTGTCTCTTGCTTGGGGAAGGTCAGTATTTAGTTCGATTAAGACCTCCAACTGAGTGGATGAAGCCCATCAACATTATGAAGGGCAATCTGCTTCACTCAAAGTCAACTTATTTAAATGTCAATCTCATCCAAAAACACCCTAGCAAGAATATTCAGAATGTCTGACCGCGTATCTGGGCACCATGGCTCAGTCACGTTGACAGATAAAATTAACCATCACGAGTTTACCCCTTGTTAACTTGGCAACCATATACATGTCCTAAAACCATACTTCATCTCCAAATAAGGAAAATAACAAGGTCATACTTCCACCTAACATGATACAACTATTTTGCTTACAACCACAACCGAAGATGCACAAATCCTTACCCCAGAAGAAGACACAAAGTCCTTGAATAATGTTTACTCTTCTACTTGACATCCTATAACTTAAAAACTATGATAATAAAGTCAGTATATTTTATATACATGATAAGGAGATAAGAGAGGGAAAAAACAAAAATATAATATATGTATATATTATATATATAAATTGTTATGAGGATTAAATGAAATAAAATATACATAGCACCTAAAAATTTCTAGCATATGGCAAGTTGTTACCAGATGCCGTTTCTACATAGTGTACTCTAATTTAGGATCAATCTCTGGCTACATAGTGTCATACATTAACAACGATAAGAAGTAGCCTTTGTACAAGTGTGGGCACGAGAATTTGTATGAGGTATGGGCTTACATGTTTTGGTAAACAATAGATTACATGTGTAGTAGTTAAGTGCCTGTTTGTTTTTATATAAAATATCATTCTCCTAAATTTGTTGCATTTTAGACCATGTAAGCGCAATTGTGAAATACTTGGCAGAGGAAATCCAGAGCTTTTATATTTTTAAGAATCTGAAACTAATTCTTAAAATTCTAAATGCAGATATTAAAATAGGTCCAAACAATCATGTGTAGCTATGTACCTATCTGAATTATTTGCCTCAGAATGATGATAATGACTATTATGTGTGTATATACATATGTAAACACACACACACATACATAAAAGCATTAAATAACTGCCTTTTAAATCTCCTGCAACTGACACCTGGGAGTTTCTGTAATTCTTTCAAATGTTCAATCTTACTGTATATCCACAATGTAATTGAAAATGCTATCAACGTTATGCATGTCACCTCCTCCTCTATCCAAGCTAATCTAAAAAATAAAGAAAAATATAGGACCTTGAGCATTTAATCCAGATGTAAGATAAAGAGCTCTACATCCACATATCTTGCATTTATAGTTTGGCTTCCACTTAAAAAATGCCTTTTCCTCAATAAGGCAAGAAATACATGCCTTTGCTAAAATTCTATTTCTTACTTCGTAACACTTTTCCTAATCCTACTGTATAAGTGTAATATATAGCAAATATTTTTTCTATTAATTAAAGTCCTTCACTTTTAGAGTGGTATTTTTTAAAGCTCTTCAAACCTCTCATGATCTTTAAAAAATATCCCTTCACATAGAAATGCTTAATTCATTATTCGATACCACAAGCATTAAAAATATTTATGCTAACTGGTTTATTCTGTCTTTCTTTCTTCAGCACTCCTCACCCCCTCTTTGTATGCTCAAACAAATACCATGAGGGAGAAAACAGTCTCACTTACACACCTGCACAGAAGTCTATGGAAACTCTTGCATACCAAGAAGGCTAGTTCACATTATATCTTTCCTCCCATTCAAAATATAATAATCAGGATGGTTAATGATTGGGAATTTAAATACCACTTTCTTATTTCCAATCATTATGCTAAGATCACAGAAATAAACCTTTAGCAGTGTGTACATAATATTTTAAAAAATCTACCCAATCAGGTTATTCTGAATCCAATCTTTCCATGCCTCACAAAATCAGCTATGTCTAGTTGATTTCACAGTTTCCTGATTAAATATGTCAATAGATTTTCTATTGCTCACTCCTTTATTTATCCAGAGCATTAATGAACTTTTTGTTTACCTCCTGTGGATCCATAAATATTGCTATTTTATTATCAAAAACAACCCTTAATTGGACTAAAAATAGAATTGTAGATCAGCCTGCCACCTAAGTAGTGAATTCACTATTTTGGCTCCAAAGTCACCATTTATTTGTTCATTCATTCACTGATATTTATTGCATGCCTACTACATGCCAGGCATTATTCCTGGTGCTTGGGATTACACAAAGGAAAAGACAAATGAGATTGCTGCTTTCATGGGTCTTTGATTCAGTAAGAGAGATAGTTAAAAACAACCAAACAAAGCAGAAACTTCTTATGATGATAACTTCTATAGAAGTATGGAACAGGAAAATCTGGGACATGATGACCAGGTGGGTGAGAGTTAGAATGTGTGGCCAAGGAAGAGTGAATAAGGAAGTCCTCTTTGAATAGTTAACATCTGAATTGATGCCAGAATAACGAGAAGAGCCAATCAGGCAAAATTCCACAGGAGAGATTTTCAGTCAGAAGGAACAACAGATTCAAAGGCTCAGAGGCCAGAACAAACTTGGTACACCTGACGACAATAAAGAAGGCATGCATAGGTGGAATTAGGTAGATAAGCAACTGCAACTAAGATGAGGCTGACAATTTTTCAACTACGTGTCTTTAATAATAATGGCCAAAATGTATTGAGCCCTCAGTGTGTGCCAAGCAACCACTATATACATTCATCATCTCAGTTAATCCTCAAAACCACCACATGAGGAAACTAACTTTTATTTCCATTTTACAGTAAATTAAACTGAGGTTCAGAGAAGTGAGTGAGTTGCTGACAGGTATTCAACTAGCAAGGGGACCGATGCAAATTGAACCAAGCCTGGGTGCTTAGCTAATAAGTTACATTGCCAACCTAACATCTTTTCTGCTAATTACCTAAACTATTTTTACCTTATTTTATGTGTTACCTTTACAACTAGAGGTTAGCCACTTTCATTCTAGGACTGCTATTTATGGTACTTTTGGCACCTTTAGAATACCTTATTTACTAGGTAGGCGGTGTTGGTGTGTTGGTAACTGTTTAGCAACCAACACCAGTTGTCTCCCAAGAAAGCCCTGATTTATGGCATTTATTGATTTCTGTGGTGTAAATTCTCTCACAATAGCTTATTTCAAGCCAACTAGCTTAGCTGTCTACCAAAAGTACAAAAAAGTGTGCTTATTTGGTTCTCGTGAACCAGTATGAGCCAGCTCTGATACACCACTGTTAAGAGAGAACCACCAAATGTTAACTTGAAAGAAAAATCTACCCACCAGGGAATAGTTTGGAATCCTCTTGATGAAAGTCAGAATCACAAAGACTAAAACACAATGCATATTATTACTCTCCATCCACTAAATTTATTATTAGGGAGAAAGGTAGAAGGCATTGCATGAAAAACTAGATGCCTCTTCCCCCACTTCATGCCAGTGAGATTTTTATCATTGCCAACTGAAATGTTTTGCAATTGAGTTCGCTCACGGAAGAGCAAATCTCATTCTTGAATATAGTGTACACAAATGGTTATTTCAAAAAAAGAGGCACAGCACCTTAGGTACCTATATAAGTTCAGGATGGTTTTGCTAATTGAGAATTTAGGAGACCAAGCTCCTGGATGCAGCACCTGAGGAATTGTTTTACAACATGGAAGCCATTAGACAATATGGACCGTCTAAGAATAAGCAGGAAGCTTTGCAGTGAGGGTGGGGAAACTGCCTTCCAAGTGCAAATTTCAACATGGAATCATCAAATAATAATTCATGACAGAGATACAACATATGCTCTCATGATAGAGTGGGAGTTAGAGGACACAGAGAGCAAGTAAGCAGCAGAAACTTCATGAGTTACAGCACCTCATTGCCATTATAAAACATCTTTATTGAAAGAGAAAATGCAATATTTTGGTAGAAGGGGATGAAGTAGGTAGTCTAGATTGCTCACTTATGGTAAAGTGTGCAATTTTACAGCTGGGATATGCCTGTCTGCTTTGTGTCTTTCCCGACTCACAGCCTATCCAGAGCAGGAGTTGAGTATACACATTTTAATACATAAAGCAATCAAGGTGCTTAGGTAGAACTTGGGAAATGGAGAATTTTATAAAAAAGAAGCCTATATTTTCTTTAAGAAGTTCTCGATTGCCATCCTCTCCATGCCTTTTCAAAAGTTAATTTGATTTGTGCCATCTTTGGAAAGCTGTGTGAGTGGTCATTGTGTGTGTGTGTGTGGTGTGGTGTGTGTTCTTGAGACAGTTAGATTAATTCACCTGTATAAAATACATTATTGTTAGTATTATAATTTACTGCTAGAGTTTGGGAATTGTTGCTATTTCCTTAGGAAAGTCTTAATTTTTAAGAACACATTGGACTAGGGCACAGAAGCCTAATGCCCTCAGATCATTCAGGCTTACAGCAAATGTCTGCTTTACTTAACCAATGTTATAACAGCAGAGAGGTGGCTTATAAAGTTATTAGAGAGAGGCATATTCAATCTGAATTTTTAAAGCTGAAAAGAAACTGACCATACAAATGCTTCAGTAAGGTTAATGTGTGCAGATATATATATATATATATATATATATATATATGTTTTTTTTTTTCTAAAGCAAGGGAAGGAAACTCATGCTCTCTCCATAAAAAAAATTTTCAATGAAGTACTTCTGTGTGTTTTTTATTCTTTCTTATGAAAGGGCAAGTTAGAATTGGACCCTTTATCTATTTGGCAAATCAGAATATCAAAATAACATGAGGAAGTTTTATAGCCAAGAATAGCTATCTCAAATAATAGATACAGTGCCCAAAGCCATTTGCTGAAAATACACAATATTTAAAAATCTCCACTTTGTACCTTTTCATTATAGTGAAGGATAATATAATTTCTTTATGTAAACATTTAAGAAAGAGTTCTTATACTCGTTGTTTATTAAATAACCTGCTAGGCTTGTTGAAATGTTTCTTTAAAATATTTTGAATTGCAATCATATGTTGAGGGGTTCTTTAAAGATAAGGAGAGGTCATCAATTTTGTGCTTTCAGTAATACGATTCTAGAATATCATTATTTTTCTCTTATAAATTTGATTAGTTAAAAAATACGATTAAAAGGTCAAATTAATTCTTTGTAAGTTGGCTTCTAATAGCTATGTTTAGAAAAAAAATATTTCGATGGATGCATTGCATTGATAAGCATTACTGCCTTCATTTGTTATTGTCTTCTAAAAAGCATGAAAATGTCTTTCCTATTTGGAGTTGTTTTCAGGAAATATGGACTCTTTTCTCTCTCTCACTACCTCCTGGCTACAGTCACTTTCTATGCTATTTGTGTATCTACATTATTCATGCTTACAAGCTCAGCTGTAAAATAAAAATAGAGTGAATGAATGAGTTCTAAGGATCAACATAAAAATATGGCCTGAACTCCAGCCAAACCTTGAATCTAACTTATTTTACATAGTTCACCACTTTCTTTTTCATGGAAAATTCTGTTAGCCAATCTATTCCTATCCTAAAAACCTGGTAATCTGAAATTATGCTTTATGCCCAGGACTCTTAATTAAAATAATAAAATCTCAATATTTCATGTATTCTGTATGTTACTAGGATCCCTGAAAGACCTGGAAAGTTTTAGTATTGATCAAATATGAGCGTGCTTGGTTTTGTCTGTTTCTGAAATTTAGATCTCTTTATTTTTTAGTGCATTTTTATTCACTCACCAGTATGAAAATATCGTGTGCTTTTCTTTGAAGCTATAAAAAAATTAATATGGAATCCCCCCAACCTCACTATGCTAATATTCTAGGAAGTATGGTCCTCAGAGACCATCTGAGGCTGGCTGCTACTGCTGCTGATACTGGTAAATTGAAAAGCAAAACACCAATGACATAGTGAAAAAGCATGGGCAAGTTTACATCAGACTTCACTCTTCCTGCTGTAATGCACTTCTTTCAACACATAATAGTGACTGATCTGGGTGATCTTTTTCACTTAGGGAAAAAAAAATTTCTAAGCTCATTTTATCAGCTCCAGAGTTTCATGTATATAAAACAGAGAATTATATATGTGACAGGGCTCAATACTGGGACTAAGACATTTCCAAGCCTGAAATGAAAAACATACAGTTTTCAGGCAATTTTAGCTTTTTGTAAATTGTCCTCTCAAGCTGATGAACCCCAACCCACAGCTTCCTAGCTTTCTGCCGTCAATTGTAGTGAAATCATTGTCAATTAATCAACTGGAAGAGCAAACACCTGCCCAATTTATTATTATTTTTTTACAGGTAATTAGGGGGTCCAATAAAGCAGCAGGAGCAGATACATTTTCGGGTAAAAGCATATGTCAAAACCTGCATGCTTCTAAGCAATCCCACACCAGAGAGAGAGAGGGAGAGGGAGAGGGAGAGAGAGAGAGAGAGAGGGGGAGAGAGAGAGAGAGACAAAAGAATATATCTCTTTTGACAACAAAAAGCCACAGATATTCTGAAATGTGGAACAAAGAGGCTTGTCAAACAATGATCTTTATTGCCCAGGATCCCAGCACCTGCAAGCATATGTAAAATGTTCAAAGGAACATATGTGAGAGATATATGTAGGTCACTGTGTTTGTGTAGGTGGCACAGGTACTGTTGGCCTGAGGATAGACAATGAGCCCATATCTACCAGTTTTATGTATATTTAGTCAGCAGACAACAGAGATGGACCCTAAACTTTGCCTCTTCTCCACCAAAAGAGAGAGAGAGAGAGAGAGCGAGGGAGAGAGAAGCAGCCGGGTGGCAGAAGCCCATGTACACTTGCACAAAACAGGTGGTGTTCTAGTTAGGATGCCATATTTGCTATTTAGGGTTCCTGTGATCTCTGGAAGGATGGGTAAGCTATAGGGTGCGTAGGAAGAAGCTACACAAAGCATCCATAGCACTCCAAGCCTACAGGCTCCGTGTGACCTGGCACTCCACATACGAAGATGGGTTATCTCAGCAAGCCTGCTACAGCGTCTCTGTGAAATTTGGGTTACCACATTTAGCTGTGGGATTGCAGCACATAATACCACAGATAGGAGATAATGCCTCAGGCGTGTGGCTGGTGCAAAGTAAGCATCACAAGACTAATTATGGTAGATTTAGGGGTTGGGGGAGATGGAGGTGAGGCAGGACGTGAAATGGGTAATGAGATGTGGCTTGTGGCTTGCTAGTGTCTGTCATGGCATACCCTCTCCCACAGCCTGGTACCCCCACCTACACTATCAAACCAAAACAAAGCTATAAAATGTCATTCTGTGCTGCCATCTTCTTTCTGAGGCAGACAACAATAAATCAGAATTTATCTTCCTCAATAGGAGTCCAACAGCACATTAAAAATGCAGAATTTATTTTTTATTTGACTTTTAACTGTCCTTGTTGAGGCTGAAATGGCAAGTTAAAATCTTCTTTTTGATGTCACTGCATGAATTTTTTCTTTAATGATTCAGTGTTCATTGCTTTGAGTGGCCAGAAGCTCTCAAGATATTTATGAAGCAAGTTGTCACCTCTTGGCACCTCACCAAAACTTTGTTTTTTTGTTTTTTTTTTTTAACATTTTTGTTAGTGAGCTTTATTTCTCACTATATTTTTGTTCAATAATCTCTCCAACCCTGGTACCAGTCCTGGATAAATCTGGTTGAATTCAGAATAACACTGAACTGCAGTGATACTTCTTGCTAGCTCAACTGTCTCAGGGTTTGAACCTGTTAACATTTCCCATCTCCCAGTGTTTCCTTCCGATTTACAAAAACCATTTGAATACTATATCAACTCAGAAGGGTAATTTCACTCACCTTTCAATTTCTCATGAAAAAAATTGCTTATCATAATCTTTGCCCAACACATATAATAGGGTTTTTATGAAGCTCAAATGTAAAAAGGTATTTTTCACATGTAATTGGAGTATTTTCAGTGTGTTGGATTGCCATATCTCCTCTTTCTCTCGGGTAAAACTCTACTTGATCTCGGAAAAATGCACAACAATGAGATTTGGAGCATGTAAGAGACATAATAAGTTGTCCAGGAAGTCTTAAAATATATTCTGAAAACTACTATGTATGGTAGTCATTAGTACTGTTCTCAAATTATTTTGGGATCTCTGCCTTTTGGGCATATGTTGGGATTACATTTCCTGTCCTCTTGTGTGTGGATGAAACCATATGACTAGTTCTGCACAATTAATTGTGATCGGAAGTGCTGTGAGTCACCTCGGATTCAGAGCACCTAGAGGTTGGTGTTTGGGTGGAATATTCTTGAGCTTTCTGTTTTCCCTCTAGCACAGCAACTGGCCTGCTTCATATGATGGCTCTTCCTTCAGTTTTGGTCCGTGAACACAGCACTCCTGCTGATCCCTAAGGACATGCTGAACATGGATCATGATGTAAGAAACAGACAAATCTTTATTGAAATAAATTATTGACATCTGGGAGGCTCTTCATTACGTCAGTATAATATAGTCTACCTTGACTGTCGAACTAGTCCATTGGGAGTGAAATACATGTGGTTAACTAAAAGGGATGCAAGGCCAAGCAAGTTTGGGAGACGTTAACTTGAAGAAAACTAAATAGGTTACTTGGGTTCATTTGAATCCAATAATGGCTTGCGACTCTTCACAAGTCTATTGTAAATAAACCAAAATGTCCCTGATACAGTTCTTTTGGTTTAAAGATTATTCCAAAGGACTAATATATGCTAAGGAAAGCATGCCAACTCGCCACCACTTCACTAGCCTTTGTCTTCATGTGAAGACATTGGGACAGTTCCCCCTCCCCAGTAACACTAGCTCATGGCATGGTGCTGGTTTCAATGCTGTTCCAGGTTCTCTGCGATCCATTTGTCTGAGGAAGTCTACAAATTCATCTGTTCTTGAATGTTAGCTAGTTTTAAAGGAAAATGCTATTATATCTTGTATTATATCTTCTAGACAGAGTGGTGCTATTCTCTAAAAGGTGATGTATTTTTAAAAAAGGTAGACTGATATTTTTCTGGCTAATTTCTTTTATTTTTCTAATTAAAAAATACACTTCATTTATGAGAAAAAGTATATTACCATACATGCTACAAATAGAAGCCAAAACACCAAAGAAAGTAACTGCTAAAAGCTGGCTAATTGGAATGTAATATATTAGTTTCAAAAAGAACCCTCCACAACACACACACACACACACACGCACACACACACACACACACAGAGTCACATACATGCGCAGAATTCTGGCCTCACAGTTCTTTCTAAGGTTGTATCTGTGCTTCTTTATCTGGCAGTGTTTTTGCTGCACTTGAGAAACTGGAAAAATCTGTTCTAATGAAAACTAAAGGTGGTCACTCACATACAAAGTCAGTAACTTTGTTTTTGTTCATGATTTTTTAAATGTAGGCTGGTTGTATAGATGCCAACCTGACAGAGCATTCTGCCTGTCAATGGTGTGTTGTATTTGGAGAGGGTAATCAGAACTGAATTCTCAAAATGTTACACCTGATGCAAATCCAGGCTATTCTATTTCAAAGCTCTAGTTTATTATTAAAGTCACCTTGCATTTCTGGGGCTAATTTGGTCTGAAATGTCACCAGTTAGTGAAGAACCAGAATGTTTCCAAGCCTTAGGCTGCAGGTGGCTGAGATAAAAGTAAATCCTATACTATTAGAAGAAAGGAAGGAGGAGAATGGAAAAAGTGAAAAAATAAAATAAAATAAAAAGGAAGGAAGGAAAAAAGGAAGGGATAGAGAGAAAAAAAAGAGGAAAGAAAAAAATCTGCTCGTGTACTCATTTACTTTCTGAATTGACACATGAGCAGCACAGATCTTATCAGATAATACACACATTTAGAAATTCAGTCTGCACGTGTCTATGTTCCTACAGCCCATTCTGCCTAGCTAAAACAACATCTTTTTTTCCCCAAAAAATCTGTTTCCTTCTTACATAGTCCAAATGTTAGAATGTGGTTTGAATTCTTTTTTGAACATTAATTTAAACAGTATGGGAATAGATCAGCCCTTATAAGTCTAAATAAAACTTCCTTCGACATATATAATATGGTGTGCTTATTTGGAGGCTAATGAATTTGGAAAGAAAAAGTGGGAAAGAGTTAAATACAGAAAAGAGAAAGCTTCATAGAAGATTTTTTCTTATAAAAATTTAAAAATTTAATTGCTGCTTTTTTCCTATCCCAATCTATTTAGTAGAAATTTACAACAAAGCTTTAAACTGGTTTTCATGCCACCATTCCAAATGTTTGGATATTTTGACCTGAACAGAAAAATGCAAATAACACAGTGCCACTTAGTGGAAAGGGGGAAAAAATCACTGTGAATGAGGAAAAGAATCAACAGGCATCCAAATCGCCGTCGGGAATTACAGATACAAGTCATGTTTGACGTTCAGATGCTATGCCTTTTGATGGCTTTCAATCACATTAAACTCCTACTGCCACAACAATAAGTAAATTGTGTCACAGGTTATCACAACAAACATTTCCAAAACGAGCATGGAGGAATCCATTCAACACTGATTGTATAGAAACATTATAAACTCTATTTTCTCAAGGAGAGAAATTTTACTGACTTCTTAAGGTGAGACAGTCTCATAAACTGATGAAACCATATAATTTTTTGTAGCTTTATGAACTATAATCAGATACTTCTTCTGAATTCAACAGAGCAATTTTCTTCTCTGTGTTAAGGTGGAAGTCGTATTTGTAGGAAAGCTGGTAGATTACTCACTTCTGTAGATTTTGGGGACCTGAGAAAGTCAGTGGTGGGGCAGGACATTGTCTCTAGAGTTTCTGTTGAGTCAGGGGCCAGGGCCACCAATGTACTTTGAAGGCTGAATATTTTGTTTCCAGTAACAATTAAGGTCACTCTAAAGTGAAGATTTTTTTTAACTACTGTTGTGTTGTCCTTGGAATAAATTTTAGCATAGGTTTATGCATCTCTTTGTGAACCTATCATATGTTGTAATCAGCTACCAAGCAGCATTTCATTATTCTAATATTTTTCAAAATTCATAGCATGCATCACCAAAACGCTGACTCTATTTGTGTCTGTATAACTTGACACACCCTGTAAAGAGCATCGAGGCTCTCTTTCCCTCTCCCACTCCCTCCTGTTCTCTGTTGAAGTTAGAGCTTATTTATCCAGCTCTGAAGTGCTCTGAGATTCTGCTTCCTCCCACCACCTCTCATATTCCCAACACTTACATAAAAATGCTACCTATGGATGTTAGATTTTATTTTGATAACCCACCTGCCAGCACACACACTTTAACTCTCACCTAGGTAACTCAGAGCAGGATATATTCAAAATTCTACATTGTCCATTGGGCTAACTTGTGATCTTTTTGGGATGGGTAGTGCCAAATACTAATGGTTTTACAAAAAGTATTTGAGGCATCCCAGACAGTACTTCGGGAGTCAGCAAGGAATTAAATATGAACAGCATTCACAGCTCTTAATCAGAAGCTCTTTCTATAAGAAAAAAAGAGAAATTTAAAAAAATGTTCCTACATTACCTACAGTGTTGTTAATGTAACTTTCTATTTACATAATATGCAAAAAGGGCTGTCTGCAAACTGCAGTAATCTATATGGAATGAGGACAAAAGATACTGATTTCTCTAAAATGTTCTTGTTAAGGAATAATCAAGAAGTTAGAACCTCTAATCTTGCAGTCAAAGCAGAAGTTGGGGGGATTTTATTTTCTTTTTTTCATTTTTGCTCATGTATATATATTCACATGCACAGACGAGTACAGACAGATTTACAGATATCAAATATATCATCTTTAACATTCAGGAACTAAATTAAACTTCAAAGAAAAAGTTAAAGTTCCTGGTAAAGGAAACATTTATTCACTTTTGATTTAGCCTTAAGCATTTCCAACGAGTTTGCGCTGAGATTTCTGAGGAAAAGTTAAGTGTGTGTGTGTACTAATGTGTAAGATGGAGAGAGATGGAGGGGGCAGATGGGAAAGGGAGGAGTAAGGGAGGATAGACTAGACTAGACTAGACTAGACTAGACTAGACTAGATTAAACTAGAATGGAATGGAATGGACTGAAGAGAGGAGGGTAAGTGAAGAGAGGAGGAGAGGGAGAAGGATAAAAGGAAGAAAGTAAGGAGGAAAAGGTTATCGGATACTCTTTCTACTCTGGATGTCTGAGCTTTCTTTTTTTAAATCGACATGAGCTATATTTTACCATGAGTTAAAACACGGCCTGAGGAAGCTTCTGGAGAAGGAAATTCCAAGCAGGACGAGCTAAGAAAATGTCCAACTGCTTGTTGGTTCTGTCTTCTATCTCCACATGATGATAAGCAAGACTCTGGTTGACATCAATTGTCAAGAGATAACACATAGAGAAAACCGTCTCTAAGGCAACACGACACCAAACTAGCAAGGGATGACTAGATGAAAAATCAACATCTGGAATTGCACTTGCAAACAAACAAGCAGCTAGTACACAACCCCATTGGGATTGCTTTGTAAACTGCTGCATTGTACACCAGTATGAGCTTCCCAGATTGAGCATAGCAGGACTCAAATGAGCTCAGAGTCCTGACAGTCCATTGGATGTCTTATTACTTCCATGTCCTTAGAGTCCAAAAACTTCAATAAGTCAAACTGCACATAAAGGGCATGGGAGGTGCTAAAATTCGTTACAAAATAATTTTCACCTTACAGAGTCTTCATAGGGGTCAAATGAGATCATCTCTGTATAAAATCTTAACCAACTGTGACTAGTAACCCCATGGGGCCATTTTGAGATTTCCTTTTCTGAGGCCGATAATTTTTTTTTTCTGGGAGGATTTCTTTATTTCGCACTTACACCCAACACTCTCAGATGTCTTGGGGCCCCATGAGGGCTAAGGAGGAGGTGCAGAGTCAGCTCTTGGGGAGGCCCCACTCTCAGGGAAGGGAATACACTGGCGGCCGCATCCATCCCCCGATGGAGGGACCCGTGTTGCTCCAACAGAAAGTGCCAGAGATGCAGAAGTGGCCTCTAAGGCCCTGTGGGAGGGGGCCATGTGGTGACCCAGGGACCCCAGGCCCAGCCCAGCTGAGCTGGCAGGAGCTGCCGTTGGGTGAGCAGGTGGGGGTCTTCTCAGGCCCAGTGCCCACTGGCCCTTCTGAGCCACCTGGGCTGGGCCAGAGGTCCTCTGAGGCCAGTGAGAGGACGACCCCCACTGCATTTGCACTTTGTGGCAGACTGGGGCTGAGTATCTCTGAAAATTGTTCACTTCAGAACTATTGGTGCCATATTTGGTGGTTTAGGGTGATGAGTCTTTTTGCAAAATTTTTATAAAGATTCTGGAGAAAATCCAAGTCTCCCTTCAGGATAAAATGGAGCTTTATTTGAGGAACCTGTGTGGGGGTGGAGTGCCCTTCTCAAGTTTCTCAATAGAACATCATACCTACCATCAACTAGTTAGGTTTCTAAAGCATAATGCTCCCCTCAGTCAATAATCTAGAAGGTCAGCATTGAAAGGCCTTAAAATGAGCTCTTTCTCTGTGCAGGTGCTGTTTTTATACTTTGCATGTATTTTATTTAATCTTATTGAATATACTGTAGAGAGGTTATGTACTACTATCACTCCCATTTCACAGATGAGGAAATTGAGTCTTAATTTGATACACTTATTTGTTCAAGATTACACAATTATTGATCCTGGAAGCCATAACTGCCAGAAGGTCAGATTCTAAAGCCCATGTTTTTATCCACTTGTCAAAATAGTTTATCTTTACCTTTTCCCCTCTAGATTCTATCAAAAGCTTTGCCAGAAAAAATAATGCCATTGGAAATTAGAATGTAAGAGAGAAATAATATGTTGCAGGAATAATGCAAATTAAAGAATATTTGTATAGTATGATATTTATAAAAATAAAGCTCAATGTTTATATATGTGTAAGGGGTTGAGAAAAACATTGAAGACAATCTGAAGGAATGGATACATAACAAATTTAAATGGTGGTATGGGGACATATCAGTAGGAATGCAATTTAATTTTATTTTTATTTTTTTACATAAACATGTACCATTTGCTGTAAAAATAGTATAAATAAAAGTGTGTGTTACACAACACTTTTGAAATTTTTCTAAATTCTATATGCAGATGAACTTAAACCAAGGGAAAATTATTTGAAATCAGAGTATGTGCTCTTTGTTCCTTCATACTAATTTAATGCTAAATCCTCAGCTTCTACCACAGTAATCACAAGAAAGAGTTGTCTGCTTTCCCTATAGAGCGATTGTCAGGACATTATTTATCATGTACCTCTCTGACTTGTGTTACATTCCATACATTTATTAGAACTTAGCCAGGAAAACCTATATTTCCCCTGAAGAATTAATATGCCTTCTTTTTTCAGTTAATATAGAGGATAGACCAACCATCATATTTTCTTTATGCACAGATGCTAGACAGCTTAGCTAAATTTGCTCCTTCATTAGAACTGTATTGATCTTTATGCTCAGTTTAATCATTTCTTTCATTTCCCCACAGAACTAGTTTCCTCTTTTGCTTTCGTACTCTTTGTGGATATATACTTGAACCCTGAACAGCACAGGGGTTAGGGGCACCCACTCCTCCCACAGCTGAAAATCTATGTATAACTTTTAATTCCCCCCAAACTTAACTAGTAATAGCCTACTGTTGATGAGAAGCTTTATCAATAACATAAACTGTTGATTAATACATATTTTGTATGTTACACGTATTATGTATTGTACTCTTACAATAAAGTAAGGAAGAGAAAAAAATGTTATTAAGAAAATCAAAAGGAAAAGAAAATACATTTACAGTACTGTACTGTATTTATCAATACTGTAAATTTATATCATCTGTTTGAAATGACAAGCAACCTCAACTGCAGACCTCAGTCTATGGTGCATATCAAGCAACTCAACTTTTTCTTATAATGTCATGACTTTTCTCTGCTTCTTGGGAGAACTTCAAGCATCATTAGTTGCACTTCATGTGGGTCCCATAGTGTTATTAAAGGGTTAAAGTATTGCACTAAACATGATGAAAAATACAGGAGAACGGGGGAGATCACTTATTGCTACACACAACTTACTGGAGAGAGGAACTGCTCACATTGAGATAACTAGCATCGGTGGTTGGATACTTGCAACACTGAATTCACCACAATAGCAACAGGAGATGGCTACAAAATGTTTATAGTAGTACACTATGTACTACAGTTAATTTTATGCAGTTGTGACTTAATACTCATCTTTGCTGTTGTTTACACTTCTCTTGATTTCTAATGACACCATGTAAGATCTGTTTGTATGTTTATGTTTTGATACATTTTAACTTTTTATAATGGATTTGTATATATTTTATGAAGGTAAATGATAAAATAGACTAGTATCTACATATATTTTATACATTCATGACTTACCTAACTTTTTCTTAATTTTTTTGATATTTCTAGGCTATAAGGTTTTCCTGAAAATTGTCACAAGTCTCCAAAAAATTTTCCAATATATTTATTTTTAAAAGTCTGCATAAAAGTGAATCCATGCAGTCTAACCTCAGGTTATTTAAGAGTCAATTGCGTATTCTTTGTCCTAAGTTTCTTCAAATCACATTTCAAAAGAGGCACTGTATAAAGTACTTAGTAGTAAACTACAATAGTCATACAGCTTGGAGGTGGAACAGTGAAACTGTCTAAAAAGAAAGAAATGACTTTTAATATAAGTTTTATTTATAGAAAAAAGTAATGTAACAAAACATGTTATATTACCTTTGGGTAAAAGCAAATAGAAAAATACAAAGAACTGGAAAAATTATGTTTATCTATGACAAACTTGGTAGGGTAATAGATGGAGAATCACAGGAGCTCTGTATTTGTACAAATAGCAGTCAGCTGCTTCAATGGATGGTTCAGTTACTTAATTACATTTCTGAAATTCAACAGCTGTAAAAATGATGACCCCACAATGGCCTAGCCATGAGTCAGGATTAATGGCCAGGTTATGAGAGTTTTAAGACAGAAATGCTGGAATTAAACAGATGAAGTATTGAGAATATTCACCAGAGAGGGACTGCACAAGGCTTCTCAAGATGGATTGGGAAGAAAAGATAGAATTGAACACACTCTGGAGAGATCTGGGCTTTAACGAAGATTGAGACGTGGCTTGTCCTATGGAGAGAGAAAAAGAAGATAGCACAAGAGGCAGAGACAAAAACCTCTGGCATTTATCTAGTGGGACACTGTGGGTCAGGCTCTGTGCTCCGTGCTGCGGTAGTGAACTAGACAGCCAAGACCTGATTGGTGAGAAAGGGCACGTGATAAAGGTAGGTAGACAAGTGCAGGCATCCATGGTGTCAAGACTGTGGGAAAAAAAGCAAAAAAGGGTTTTTTGATATATGCAGGCTAGTAGATCATGGTTTGGAGACTGACTGGATTTTGAGAAGTGATCCTAAATTCTTGTTTGAGTTGGGGGATCATGGAAGAGTTTCATCATCTGATGTGATACAGTAACAAAAAAATTCATAATGGAGGGGAGGCAATTGTGTCACCTGAATATGAAGCCACTTGAAAGCATAGCATTGAAAATGGAAAACTGACTAGCCATGTGGAGAAAACTGAAACTGGACCCCTTCCTTATATCTTATACAAAAATTAACTCAAGATGGATTAAAGATTTAAATGTAAGACCCAAAACTCTAAACCATAGAGAAAAAACTTAAGCAGTACCATTCAGCACATACGCATGGACAAAGACTTCATGACAAAATGCCAAAAGCAATTGCAACAAAAGTCAAAATTGACAAATGGGATCTAATTAAACTAAAGAGCTTCTACACAGTGAAAGACACTGTCATCAGAGTGAACAGGCAACCTATAGAATGGGAGAAAATTTTTGCAATCTACCCATCTGACAAAAGGCTAATATCCAGAATTTACAAGGAACTCAAACATATTCACAAGAAAAAAAAGCAAATAACCCCATCAAAAAGTGGGCAAAGGTTATGAACAGACACTTCTCGAAAGAAGACGTTTATACAGCCAACAAACATATGAAAAAAAGCTCAACATCACTGATCATCAGAGAAATGCAAATCAAAATCACAATGAGATACCATCTCACGCCAGTCAGAGTGGTGATTATTAAAAATTCAGGAAACAATAGATGATGGTGAGGCTGTGGAGAAATACGAACGCTTTTACACTGTTGGTGGGAGTGTAGATTAGTTCAACTATTGTGGAAGACAGTATGGCGATTCCTCAAGGATCTAGAAGCAGAAATACCATTTGACCCAGCAATCTCATCACTGGATATATACCCAAATGAATATAAATCATTCTACTATAAAGATACATGCACAGATATGTTTACTGCAGCACTATTTACAATAGTAAAGACATGGAAGCAACCCAAATGCCCATCAATGATAGACTGGATAAAGGAAATGTGGTACATGTACACAATGGAATACTATGCAGTTATCAAAAGGAATGAGATCATGTCTTTGCAGGGACATGGATAAAGCTGGAAGCCATCATCCTCAGCAAACTAACACAGGAACAGAAATCCAAACACTACATGTTCTTACTCATAAGTGGGAGCTGAACATTGAGAACACATGGACATTTAGAGGGGAACATCACACACCAGGGCCTGTTGGGGGGTAAGGGTTGAGGAGATGGAAATTAGAGGACAGGTCAATAGGTGCAGCAAACCACCATTGAACACATATACCTATGTAACAAGCCTGCACGTTCTGCACATGTATCCCATTTTTTAAAGAAGAAATACAGAAATAAAAAGATATTGGCTCAGGATGCCAGTGGGTTTGGAGGATTTCTTCATATCCATTTCTTTGTTAGTTAGCCCACTTTACCCACACTCCACAAATCTGCCATTCCATAGGGCTAAGGCCCAAGCACTATGTGGTGCTTGCATCAAATTGTTTTTGTGCTCTGCGTCACATCCCCTCAGCCCAGCTCATATTATGTGCAGCTGTAGTTTTGTACATGCTGATATTATCCCACTTCAATCAGCAACTCAGCATCACTCTGCTTTTCTTTCCTAGGGTTTTACATGAAGCCAAAAGATTGTTCTCAGAAGGCAGGTAGATGATCCCTGTGAGTGAAAGGAGTTAACACTCTCAGAGAAATCCCTCAACCAATGAAGGAGGGGTGTTGGTGGATATTTCCCCAGACCTCTGGTTCTTAGAGAAATAATTTGGATGCACTTTCTACAGAGTTCCCCACATTTCCTCAGCTGGACTGAGCCCTAATTGCTCACAGCAATAACCAGCTCAGTAATGTAGTTTATTACCTTTGATAGTTGCCCATCTTACCCTCCCTGTTCCCTACTCCCTGCTACCTGGGATCAATTCCCAAATAAATAACCTATATCCAACCCTTTTGGCTTCTGCTTTCAAGAGAACCCAAACTAAGACAGAGTTCAAGGTAGTTCTTTAGGTCCTCTCTTTTTCTCCTCCTTCTGACTGTCCACTACTTACTTTGGCTCCAATATCTTCCCAACACCTGACATCTTGGCTGGATATTATTGATCGTTATCTAAGCAATGGCCACTATGAATTTCTTCCTCATATCTATTCTGCCTGTTAATTGGGCCTCAGTTCCCTCTACATTGCTTCATTCCTTTGCCTCTGTGTTTCTGAGTGGTAAATTCCTTTTAGTTCTGAAAACCAAAAGCTACCTCTAGTTGTTACAGAGCTCCCAGACAAAAATTCTGACGTAAAAGAAACATATTTAATCCTGAACAGTAAGAATCTCTCTCCATCCAGCCAATGCGGCAACTAAAGTACTTTCAATTATTGGCTGTTGGCCCTAAGAACTTTATTGATTCACCAATGACAAAAGTTAACAATTGCTTTGTTTAGAATTGTTCATTCTTCTTAAAGTTGAAGGTGATATATTAAGCATAATTCTCAGAATGTAATCAGAATGAGGATATTTTTAATTATATTGGCAGTTTTAGGGTATATCCTCAAATAATTCCATTTTCCACAGGAAGATCTTTTGTAGATATGGTATGTTTATAGAATGGAGTAAAACCTAATATACACAAATCACACAGGAACAATTTTTATATTTACTAATTGGGTTCTTGTCTACATTTTTGTTCTCAATTCCAACAATATGTATTTTTCAAACAAATTGCCTTTCCTCCATAAGATTCACAAGTAACTATCAATTACCAATAAGATGTTTGAATTTCTAAGGTAAAATAAAATCATTATAATGATAGCTAATGAATTGAGATATTTTCATGTATCAATTAATATCCTCTCTCAAAATGTCTTCCAAAACATTGACCCACATTGTCCTTGAACAATGGTTGCTACCACAAAAATGAAAACAGAAATTGGCAATGTTAATCTCATGAGCTTCTAAATGGATGTAATACCAAGGCAAACACACAACAGTTTTGAAGAAAAACAGTTCTTTTGAAGGGCCAGAGTCTATATCTTTTGAGCATGTTTCCAAGACCTTGACCTATACCTGAGATACAAAGGGACATTATATTCAGTGAGAATAACTTGTTGCCACTGGCCCAAACTGATAATGGTTCCACATTTCAGCCAGAGGAGAAAGAACAGTCAGAAATAAAGCAAAGTTAATTAAATGTTTGAAGGCTCTCTTTAAAAAGGGGTGCTGAATTCTCATTTTCATTCTCAGATGGCAATGTGGAGGGCTGACCATGCTGAGGACTAAATGCAATTGTACATAACAGCAAGGGTATATAAGGTGAAAGGATGTCAATCAAGGATGATGATGGCAGGAGGAGAAAAATTTATTATTAAGTCAATTTAAGCCTAAATTGGCTGATTCAACATTTTACAATTTGAAGAAATTTTATTTAAAAGCTTGTGTTTCCAGCTTCTCTTGAAAAATTAGATCTGGTGACATCAGGGACTCATTCTGGCCTGACATTTCTGGACTGAGTATTATCTGCCCTTGTAAAGTTAGTTCTTCAGTTTGCCTCAATCCCTACTACTTCCTAGTAAATTACACCTAGTGTATTACATCGTTACTCATTTAAATTACTGTCCTGGGTCCTGTAGGTATTTAAGTGCCTATCTTTGAGTTTAGAAAACAAAGCAAAGGAAAGGAACTGCTCAGAATATATGTACATTTGAAGAATTATATTCATCAGGTTAATTTTGTCAATAAAATTACCACTTAATGCCCATCAAATTCAGAGACTGTTTTACCTGAAAAGTCATTGTCTGCTTTTCTCATGTGGAGGTTGCCACCTAGTACCTATGAGACTGGGATAATAGAGGCCTTAGTGTCCTATTGTATGTAAGTGGGTGTAATATAAATATATACATATATACATGTATGTGTGTGTGTATATATTAGCTCTGCTAGCACCCAGCAAATTTGTCACTATCTTCCTGTAGCAAAGCTTACTTAGAGAAGATTCTGACTCTCTAGTTACAATTATGAAAACAAAACTGGTTTCTTCTTAATTTTGTAGATACCAGGTTTGCATACAGCATTAGCCATTTCCTGTACATTTCCATTAGTAATGTCTTTGCTGATTAGTTTTTTTCTAAATTAGCATGTTTATCCATTAGCATATCAATATTGCTGCCAACCATCCTCTTAATTTTTAGTTTTCTTGTTGCAACAAAATTTTTTTTTGCCAATAAAAGCAGGCATTTCTTAAAGCCTTAATTAACTCTAGCACAATTCTTTTCTGCTTCTTTAATAATAGTGTGTAATATTTACTAAGATTATAGATTTTGTCTTATTCAAAAACACCACTCACTCGAATAAGCAAAATCTTCACATTTTCAAGTTTGGCATTAACACAGTCTCCTCTTGTCAAAATAGTTTCCCTGATTTTTGAAATGCTTTGGAAATACTGTATATTTTCAACATCAGTGTAAATAAAACTTCAAGGACAAGGATTCCTTAAATGTGAGAATTTTTCTATGTGATTAGTAAAAGAAGGTGGATTTTCAATTACCATTGTAAAGGGAAAAGGATGATTATCAAAACCTGAATTCTTTGGGCAAAGTCTCTTTATCCTCATTATATCACTGCAGATAAGTAGAATTTTGGTTGACTCATAGATCTGATGTGTACAATTACATAAATTTAAAGTCACCTACACGGAATAAATAACACTATGTGTAACAAAGTACACAGGAAGCAAGTAAAATATACAGTCTGTTAGACTCCTGTCTACACCATTATTCAAGGTAAATTCTTTTGACTACAATAATTAAATATCTGCTGAGTCTGAGTAGACTGTTGTGAAAGCTATGCTTACCCAATTGTAAGCACTGTCTTATTAAGGTAAGTGCTAGTAATTATAAATCTTTATGTTTAAGCGTAAGGGTTTTTTCACACCTTTCTGGTGATTAAGAAGGAAAAATGATGAAGAAGTTGATGATGTTAATGATTTCATCACATATACCGTTTGTGGGGGTGTAAATTGTCACTGTCTTTCTAGAGAGCAATTTGGCAATATTTTTCAAATGAGGATAACCTTTGACCTATAAGTTCCAATTCTGAAAATTGTTCTTAAGGAAATAATTGAAGAAGGCAAAGATAAATTTGTAAAGACGTTCATAATAGTGAGAGAATTAAAAACAGTCTTAATACCTATCAATAGAAATTTGGCTAAATAAATTATGAAAATCCATACAATGGAATACTAGAAAACCATAAAATTTGGGTAAATCTCCACATGTTAAAATAAAAAGGTTAACAGTTATTTAATATTCAAAGTTTACATGGAGTTACAGAATAATATACATGGTATGATATAATAAGATGTATTTTCATATGTAAATACACAAGATTGAATAGGTCTAATTAAGCTATTAATATTGTTAATATCTGGTAGTCTATAAAGGCATTTGCACTTTGCACTTTAATTTACTTTGCTATTTGGTCAACAATTTTCTATTTTATTTATTTATTTTTGGGGGGTTGAGTTGTAACAATCACACTCATTTGTTTTCTTTCACCTTACTATTCCCTTTAAGGATGTTCCTGCTCTGTACAGCTTGGCTGAGGACAGTGCCCACCTCCCACAAAAGATGTTGAAGAAACCAGGTCTTCCCTCCTTTCACCTAGAGCTGCAAGGCACACTCATGGCATCCTTCTCCTCCAGGACTTTGATGCTAAACAGAGAACTCACGGTATGGGAGGAATTTGCTGTAAGATTCAATGTAGGAACAGAGGTAGCATGAAATCCAACCATTCCTATGGAGTGGTCTTGTTGTGGATCCTGCTGCATGCCCAGCTTTGGAAATATTCCTGGTTTCTGTCATTTGCTAAACCTCTTCCTTCAGCCACCTGCCAAGTCCATGAGCCCATTCTGTGCTTCTAATTAATCTCCCTTTGGCTTTTAATGGCCATAGTCTGCTTTTAACTGATATATATGTTTTGCTTTATTAAGAGAAAAGAAACTGTTTCTATTTATGAAACGAAAGAAATACTGTATTTAGAAATAAAAATCAACACACACACACACACACACACACACACAGCAAGAGGAAGAAGCCAAAAAACACCTTGAAATTCCAAATTGATAAAGTGTGGGGCAACCTGGTAAATTATGATATGGACAAAGAACAAGAGTGAGAATAAAGGTCAAGTGTGTTTGTTACCCTGAGCACCTAATTAGAATAATTAGTATATGTCAGGGAGAAGTTCATCTCTATATTTTACTTTTAATAAAATAAAACAAGGGCAATATTAAGAGTTTAATTCTTATTGTTCACTGCAGAATTATTGAACTATGAGTCCCTTGGGGAGGCCTGGTTAATTTATTTCATATGAAACAGGTATCTGCTGTGTTAGAAAATATTGTATTTTATTCATTTTTGAATTGCTAAATTATCCAGACTTGCATCTTACCCTTACTAAGATTAGATAGATTCATAGTGCCACAAATAATATAGTCATAAACAAATAATATTGGAATAATAGGGAAATAGTTTATATCATGACTTTCTCTAAGCTGAAGACATAAATGTTTCCTTCTTGAATACCCAAATAATTAAGTAAAAGTATTCTTTAAACTTTCCAGTATTCATATCTAAGAACATAAAATATTTTCACAATACAAGTACATTTACCAAGAGCAAATGTTTAAACAAAAGAACCAGGGTTCTTAATGAAACACCCTCAGGAAAATGTTTAAACTTTGCCCTTAAGTTTACTTTATTCACTAATAGGCTTCTATTTCGAGTAGAGAGTAGGAAGGGTAAGTTCAATGTGTTAATAAGAAAAAAGTAATAATATTTAATTAATTCTGGCTGAACACACATGGTTTAATATACTTGGCAATATCATTCCATCACATGATATGATAATTTAATGGAACTTTTTTATTTAAATTGCTGGCAAGTTTATGAAATTATAAAGCAAATAGGCCATGCACTTGGGTGTAATTGACTGTATAAATGTGTTTTATACTATACTGTTGGCAAATTAGCCAATCCCTGTCACGGAATCAATTATTATCTAGCTGAATTCCACAAACACAATAGCAGAAATATTGCATTTATACGAAAAACACCATGATTGTTAATCTTACATTGTGCATCTTAAAGCAAGGCAATAAACATTTATACACTGGATAATCGTCTTAAGATAATGCCACTGCCAAATGATGCACATTTAAAGATTCCTTGTTGTTGGAGACAGTCATTTGGGTTTTATTTGTGCTTGCCTCTCCGGATCAATGAAGAGGATAATGGAAGCTTCAGTAGTTCAAGTTAAGTAGGGGTTCAGGCACCTGACCTCCATTTAAGAGACGCACACTGCCCAAAGCCAACATAACACGGTACAGGCATACCTTGCTCCAGAAGCTTTAGAAAGAATAACAAGGCCTTTTATTTAAATAGAGCTATTGTTTTCCAAGTGCTCTCATGCACATTCTATCTTGTTACCTTTCAGAGTGAAAAGCTGTGTTGTAGATGACCCGAAGAAAAACTCTTGTTTCATCAGTTTCTAGTCTAGCTTAACATATTCAGCAGTTTATCTGAACAGAAGGAACAAGGAGCAGGCTCCCACATGCTTTCTTTCCTCTTCAGGTGCTCCTACAGTATTCCTAGCCTACCCTTCTGTAAACTGCTCGTTGGAAAAATTCCTTAGGCCAGCTTCTCAGATTCTGAAGCTCAAAAGTTGTCTAAGTGGGCCCTTGAGATAACATTTTCAAAACTGAACTCGATGAGACAAAATGTACCTTCTCCTGGCCATGGCCCCTTTCATTTTCTCATTTAAGATTCATTAAGAAGCCTATGAGCTTTACTTTCTTCATTGGTCTGGTGAGAAAATTGAGACTTAAAGAGTCAGGGGTATTTATCCAAGATTACACACATATCAAGTGGTAGACTTTGGATGCTGATCCTACATACTCTCATTCAAAACCTTTGTTCTTTCCTTAAGATGAAAATCTAAAAAGCAAATCCTTCTTCGTGTAGTTCCTGCTAAGAAACGAAGTCTGACAAAGATAATGCTAAACTGGATTCAACAGAGAACTCAGTAAGCACATCCCTTATAAGAATACTAAATTTTCTTCCTGAAGAGAGTACATTCTTTTTCTTCTCACCATTTCAGAAGGGAGTAGCATTCCCTTAAATATCCAATGGAAGCATGCTCTCTCCTCTTTGTCCTTTTTATATTCATTTATATGAATGTTGCAATATGCCATCTGTTTTAATAGAAGTCTCTCTGTCTTGTTTTAAGGATATAGACATTCCTTTTTTCTGGAAGCTTTTTTTTTTTTTTCTCTGATTTACCTTTTTTTTTTTTTTTGATGTTGGCATTGATTTGAATCAGTTTCTTCCCTACCCCATTTTCTTCCTCTTCTTTTTCCTTTCAATTTCTCCTGGGCCTTGCTCTCACTAGTCTCTTATAGCAATCAAGCTGGAGAACTATGTCTTTCAGTAATTTGATTTATTACCTATTCTCAGACACTGAGTTGGAGGAATAGCAAAAGGGGAGAAGAAAATGTTGCATTGAAATATTGGGTTTTAATTTCTGTTCTGCCTTCTCTATGTGCGTGATATTCAATTGATATTTGACAATAGGGAAGTGCATCATATAAACAAGGCTTGTCCCCATGCTAAACTATATTTAGTATAAGTGAATGAGTTTTTTAAAATGTCATAACTTTTACCATGAGATTCACCATCTTTAGGATCCAAAGAGCTAATCAGCCCTTAAAATTTGCAGAGATACTTCTCTGCAGGATCTTTTACATAAAAATATTTGTTGCATGTTAAAATTTGATCTATAATCACATTCCACCCTTGATTCAGGAAGAAATGGGAAGCTCTGGGATATGGCTCTGACTATTCTAATAAAACAAAGGTAGCTCAAGGAATTTTAAAATAATCATAAGCAATACAACAGATTTTCTAACATAGGCATTAGTTTAAATGTTTATATCAAACTTAGATCTACTGTAGATTTAATTTCTCCACCCTCTGAATACTCTTTTTTAAGCAGTCGATGAAAATAAATTTCTTTTATTTGCCTTGCCCACAACCTGCAAAACAGAAAATGGAATGAAGAGAAGAGCAGCAAATTTTTCCAACTTACCAATGCTGCATTTCAGATTTAGAAAAGAGGGCAACCATAATTTTTTCTTGAAATATTGAGGAGAGCTGTGGTGATGTAGATTAAAACCTACATCAATTGTGTAGAACTTTTTGAATCAGTCATTCAACAAATGCTTGTTGATTTGTTTAGGGTACTCAGTATGTAAAGCATTCAGATTTTGCAACAAAATAACTGACTAAATAAGTGATAGAACTTCCAAACCCCAAATGTATTTGTATATGTGTGTGTGCATACCCAAGTACACACCACACATTTACCGCCAACTGCCTACTAGAAATCTTGAACTGAATATCCCGAAGTAATTCCAGTTCTAACAAATACAAAGTTACAAAAATATACATAGTCTCCCCAAAACTGATTTCTTTTTAGTATCATATCTATCAGGGAAAAATAGTTATGCAATCTAGAAATCTGCCTAACTCAGAGACCCAGACTCAGAATTTAAAAGTAATCTTGAACCCCCTTGTCTATATCAAAGAACCCTCCAATCAATGAGTCCTCAAGACTTATGCATACTGCCTCAGCAAAGCATCCTCCTTCTCAGTTTCATTATGTTTAGTTCTGACCTTTATTATTTTTCCTGTCTAGCTATGCCTATTGTCCCCTAGCGGATGCAGCAAGTCTAACACTCTCCCAATGTATTCTCTACACAGTCACTAGCAATTTTTTTTTTAACTGAAAACTAATCTTATGTGTCATTTTCCTGCTTCAAAACATCATGACCTTCCAATTTCTGGCAGTATAAAGTCCAAAATAGTTCACATGATGACAAGGTCCCTCATGATCTTGCTCACTGTAGCTCTTACATTCTTGTCTCCCAACACACCTCCATACTTGCTATGGACTCAATTCTTGCATCCTCCTAAAATTCATATGCTGGAGCTCTAATGCCCAATGTGATAGCATTTGGAGTTGGGCTTTTGGAAATAATTAGGTTTAAATGAGGTTGTGAAAGTGGAACCCATATATGATTAGTGTTCTTATAAAGAGATGACAAGACTAAAGCTCTCTCTGCACTCTGCAATGTGAGGACACAGCGAGAAGACAGCCATCTGGGTATCAAGAAGCAGGTCCTTACCAGTCACCAAATCTGCCAGAGCCGTGATCTTGGACTTCACAGTCTCCAGAACCGCGAGAAATAAATGATAGTTGTTCAAGTCACCCAGTCAGCCTGAGCTGACTAAGATAACACTGAAGTTGCTTCCACCATACTTGACATGATGCTGTGCTTGGAAATGTGACTTCCTCATATGCCCATCACTATGAATGCAATTTTTTTAGAAATTAGTCTCTACAAATACCAATTGACTTATTTATTAAATACATCTAATGATTTTGAATGCCTTATATGGATGGGAGGATTAAAATAAGCTAATACATGTTAAGTGCTTGGAACAGGTTCTGGCACATGGCAAGTTTGCAATAAGTATTAGTTAGCTATTATTGCTGTGATTATGAGCCAAGTATTGTTTTTAGTCTATGAAGTTTTTTCCCCTCATCCTCCTGGAGAAATTTGATTCTTAAAGACCACTCTGGCCGGGCACGGTGGCTCATGCCTGTAATCTCAGCACTTTGGGAGGCCGAGGCGGGCGGATCACGAGGTCAGGAGATCGAGACCATCCTGGCTAACACAGTGAAACCCCGTCTCTACCAAAAATACAAAAAATTAGCCAGGCATGGTGGCATGCACCCGTAGTCCCAGCTACTCGGGGGGCTGAGGCAGGAGAATTGCTTGAACCCAGGAGGCAGAGGTTGCAGTGAGATAAGATCACACCACTGCACTCCAGCCTTGGTGACAGAGCAAGATTCCGCCTCAAAAAAAAAAAAAAAAAAAAAAAAGACTATCCTTTTTGGGTAGCCAGCTATGACTTGGCAGATGGTTATACCTTCTCTGTTTACCAATAGTACTTTGTTCATGTATTTTAGAGAGATTTGCCTGACTGGTTTGAGAGTTTGTCTCTCCCATTAAACTGTAATGTTATTAAGAGCACATTCAAAGTCTTTTATTGGAGGGGCGTCCCCAGAAAGTTAGTCAAGTGCTAGGCATTTAATAGAGGCACAATAAATGATTATTTATTGACTAGAAGACACATGTTACATTACATTGTAAGCCAACGCTTTTATCTAAAACCTCAAAGAGACTATAGAGATATTTTAAAATCCCTATTTTCTACTTCCTTCCCCAAGAGATCTTGTCCTAGGCTGCTGAACAGTGGAAGGCCCTGTTCTTTGACAACTTTTTCAGGTGAAATGGCAGATTGGTTCGTTCTGTATCTTCCTTTTGAGAGAAGAATGGTTGGGACAGAAATATTCTATTTTATCCTATCTTACATATATTTTAGAGTATGATGTATAGTATATCTGTGCTAGTAAAATTCAGAAAACATTTCATTCATTTGCATGTGATTCATGCCAGCGACCTGCCAGAAGAGTGTAGATATGAATCAAAAAATGTTGTGATTCATTATTCTTCATATAGAAGTAATTATCTATGCCCATGAGATTCTCCCAAAGGGACAGCATGATATTTAAAATAGGAGAATTTATAGCTCTCACACATATTTGCATCTTTTAAAAAGTTGATAATATTTTGAAAAGAATTGTGTGGAATATATGGGTGCCCTCAGGCCTATAGAGTTCCAATGAATCTTGCCAAATATTACAAATTAAGGAACTCCAACTCAATTGGCAATCCTAAGCTCCATCATGGGTGTGGAATGCTAAATTCTTAAGGTGATAGCCCTTACAGATACAAAGAACCAGAGCTCCTACATCCCAGATTTTCTTGAGGACATTTTCTCAAGTGCATTTTGGTATTTCTCAAGTGTCAGAGGGAATGAGAATTAATTTAGAATGATTGATGATTTGGCAACCATCAAATGAAAATGATTCACTCTTTCCCTCCTTGGCAGTCAAAACTTAATTTGGTTTCCTGCTTTCCGTAACCCATGAAAGTAAGATTTTCTAAGGTTTCAGTGGAAACTGCTGAAGAGTTTCCTATAGTACCTTCAGATGACTTGGTAGAACAGAACCAGAAGAGACATATGACAGGTTACAAACATTTACACAGATTTTTTCACATTTGAACACTGAGATGAAAAAATACTGGATTATTTGTCTTTTTTTTTTATTGGGTGATTTAGGCAGACCAATTCAAGTCTGTCTGAATTGTTTCTCCCTGGTCAGAAAATGGTTCAATTCTAGTTGTTTTGGAGATTTTAATAAGCTCAATTCTTAACTATCAGTTCTGCACTCTTCCCACACAAAAGGTCCAAAACTTGAAAGGCTCTTTAAGTTACTATCAGTTTATTTCAATGAGATTTCTATATCTTGGTGCTTCTCAAACTTTTTAACAAAGATCCACAGGATCTTTGTTAATAGATTTTGATTTTATGGGTTGGAGTTGTTGGGGCCTGCATTACTAATAAGCTTCTAGGTGATGTTGCTGGCCTGCCGACCACACTTTACCAAGTGTCTAGATGTAACTCTTCAGCCCTTTCATACCAGTCAGGGTCTGTGAACTATAATATGGAGGGCAAATGTAATGTTTTGGAACAAGAGAGTGGGTACGTTTTGTTCTGAGAAGAAAATAAAAAGTATTTCAAATGTAAATTTAGAATCAAAAGGCTTAGAACTGAGAGACAACATATCTACGCTCTCTGGCAGGTCAATGGCATGAATCACATGCAAATGAATGAAATATTTTCTGACTTTTACTGGCACAGATATACTAAAATAGGTGAATGACTAACTCATTCTGTGATATGAAAACCAGCTCCCTGCCTCAAGGTGGGCCTAACTCTCTAGCACAACTCATGTTCCAGAGCTCCCCTCAGGCGCAGTCTGGGGTTAATTTCCAATTGAACCTACTTTCTTGCCTGTTCCTAGCCCTGCCATACTGTGCTTCACTTACTCCCCTTGTCTGAGAGCAGTCTGCCAGTACATCACCTAGCACCATGATCCTCATCTTAGACTCTGCTTCTAGAGAACATATCTGAGAAAGCTTATAACACTTCTCTGTAGAAGTCAAAAGATGTTATCGAATTCCAAGAAATTCCATAGTTTTTTAAAGAAAGAATTTAAAGGAGAGTGAGAGAAAGAAAAGAAAAAAGGAAGAAAAAAAGACCCTAAATGAAAACATCTAAATTAGAGGAAATAATGCTGATATGGTGATAATATGTATTTCTTGAGTTATTCTGTTTGTGGTTGAGGGTAGAATCATTTTCTCATGCTTAGTAGAAGGAGTAATCGATGTTGATTTTTTGCTCAAGTAAGGTGAAATGGGATAGCTCCCTCTGCTAGGAAGAGAAAATGAATGCTATCAATTCTTCATCTAGAGCACATTCATTTCTGCTCACCTTATGAAATTCAAAAGAGATTGAGTGAAAAACAAACTCACATGAAGAGGACATATACCAGATTATTGAGATTCCAATAGATTAGGTTGTATTCATAATAAAAAGACGAAGCAATTGTCTATGGTTAATGTCTCTTTACTTTATCTTGTCTTTGAATAAGTGAGGGAGTTATAAATAAAATGTTGTTTAAGGAGGTATATACATAAATTGGCATAATTAGATGTCATAATTAGGTGCCCATTGCTGTTCCAGACACATTTACATAATTGTCAGTGCTGCAATGAAAATAATTGTTTGCCAGTATTGCTTCTGTTAAGGCTGATAGTACCTTAGTTAGTATAGTTTGTTCTAAGTGGTTGTTTAGAAAATATTCTAAACTCTGATTGTGGAATCATTGTACACAGGCTTAAATATTAGCTTATTAAATCTACTTTTCAAAAGTAAAGCAAGGGACAAATAGCTTACATTTGAAAACTTTATCCATAAGTAGAATTTTGAAAAAATAAAAGTTTATATACATACATATACATATATATAATTATATACATATAATAATACATAGCCAATTTTAGCCAGTTTTCTCTTGATTTCAGCTTCTAAAATCTAGAGCTTCTTGAGTAGTATTTGTATTCCTTATTAACAAATAACTGTCCAAGATCAATTGAAATACAGCAGTTGAAAAGAAATTAATAGGATTCCACCATAGAGAGGAAGGTAGGGCAGAGATTCTTTTGTAAAAGTTAGATTTCTTTATTAATCGCCTGTCTTAGGATGTAGACTTTCTAAATACTCTTCCTCCAGATGTCCCTCAAACTTTTCAAGTCTTTTTGCAGACGTCACCTTCTCAGAAGGTCCTAGTTTGGCCACTCATTTTTTTAAATTGTGCTCCCCTCCACACATACACATCATGCCCTGCTCTACTTTAGTCTTCTCTCCATAACCTTATCACCTTCCACCATTTGATTTGATTTACTGTTTAAACATGCTTATTGATTGCCTGTCTCTTCCCCACCAAAAAAAAAAAAAAAAAAAAAAACAAACAAAAAAAAAAACTAATGAGAAAACAACCACAAAAAGAAAATTATTTGTTTACACAATTTGAAAGTTCAGGAATAGTCACCTGCAGGCAAGGCTGTATCCAGCAGTTCAAATAATACAATAAGAATATGCTGTTTCTTTCTTTGTTTTTCTGCTTTACTTCTTCAATTCATCCTAAGGCAAATTTTTCTACTTAGTGGCAAAATGACCTATAGTAACTCTGGGTTACTTTCTACTAGCCTAGAAATACCAAAGCAAGGAGGATATCATCCAACCAATAGTCCCAACATCAGAGCCAAGACTGCCTTTCAATGTTTATTCTTGAACCAATCACTGTGGCCGGGGTGTAATGCACACTCATTAGCCAAGCAAAATTCCATATTCCTACCTGGGGTTAGGGGTGGAAGAAATTCTATCTAAACCCCATCATTTGAGGTTGGAAGTATTATGGTTTCCCACAGGAAAATCAGGGTGCTGCCATCAGAAGATAAGTGTGTGGATGTTCGGCAGATGAGAACAGCAGGTGCTATGGAGTGAATGTTTGTATCTATCCCCAAATTCACCTAATCCCCAATGTTATGGTATGAGGAAGTGGGGCCTTTGGGAGGTAATTGGGTCATGAGGGTGAAGTCCTCATGAACAGGATTAGAAGAGACACAGGGGATCTTGCTCTCTCTCTCTCCACTGTGTGAGGTTACAATGAGAAGATGACTATCTGCAGACCAGGAATCAGGCTCTCACAGGATCTGGTGACACCTTGATCTTGGACTTGTCAGCCTCTAGAATTGTGAGAAATAAATGTTTGTTGTTTAAGCCATTCAGCCTATAGTATATAACAGTCTCAACGGACTAAAACAGCAGGTGTACACTAAAGTTCACTAGAACAGGGATCTTACCCTTTCATCTATCTATTTCTAGTGCCTAGCATAATATCTGGTGAATAGCAGATCCTAAATAAATACTTGTTCAATTAATTCTTAGGCAAATCACTATATCTATTTAACTTCAATTTTCTCACCAAGGACAGAGTTGTAACTCTCAGGAAGTATAGCAGACTCTCAGAGTGGGGGAAACATTTGTAGTTCACAAAACCTTGAAAAGATTGTCATATACACCCCCCATCATCTCCCATTACCACCTGTTGAAAATCTTGTTTTAATCCAGCAAGACTTCCTTTTGGTGTAACATGTGACTATTACCTTAATTTTATCCAAATCATTAATCAATTGTTTTGCCTAATCTATAAAATAAAATTTTCTTTTCCCCTTTCTTCTTAACAAATTTAAAAATGTAATTTATTTTCCTACTTTCTTGTCATATATTAATTCTCTATATGATAATGTAAGAATGTATTTTACTCTATACAAAAAGTAAGAATGCATTTCTAGGTTTCATCTTCTGTTTCTTCAACCCTTTCTGTCAGTTCATATGATAGTTCCATTCTTTGATAATTATAACTTTATAAAAAATTTATTATCAGATAGTTCAAAGAACAAATGTCAAATTTTTGTATTTGCTAATTGTGCTTCTTTACTAAAAGCATCGGCCATTTGTGATTTAAGTATTTAAGAATATTCTTATTGTGAATTGTGATGCTCATTCATTTATTATAGGTTAATTTATGAATCCATGAATGCTTTGACATACGTTTCCTTTCTTATCATAACAAATTACTGTAGCAATAGTAATGGCAGTTAATTCTATCATATGAATGATTTTTGGCTACAAAAATTGTTCCTAATACTAAATAAAATGAGTGCAGCTCTTTTGTTCTAACTACCCTCTTCTACTACCACTAATAATTAATGCCTCTTTTGCTTGTAACATCATTTAACTTTTAGGTAGACAGTTATATCTCCCCTCAGCCTCCTTTGACTTGAATGAATATTCCCATTCTCTTAACTATTTCTCACAGGTCTTGTTTTCCAAACCTTTTAACATTTTTGTTGGTCTCTTCTGAACTACTGACAATTTTATTTTTAAAAATACGGTATCTGATATCATTACCTGAAACAGAATTATTTCCTCACAGAGCAGAATCAATTCTTTTGTTTAAGGATTTTGTTTGTTTGTTTTAGCTATTATATAAAGCCTCTTTCTAACCTACAGGTGGATTATACTATTGCTTAACTGGTATTCCCCTGGTTTTATAGCTATTTGGAAATTTACCAAATGTCATCATCAGACCCCTGCACAGATGTACAAAATATAATGAAGCAATTATTTAAAGGAACATAAAACTAATTGTTTTTTTAAAACTCTCCAAGTTGATTCAGCTGTTAACTCTGACCTGCTTTCAGCAGGAAGTTTACATGTAAAGAAGAGAGTATTATCTGCAGGTGTGAATGCCCCCCTTGACATGGTTAACTTAACAATTCTGTTGTGCTATTTGTCCTTGTTCATGTTTTGTTTTTGTTTTTGAATTCTTCCATTTTACATAACCAGGACTTTCAGAAAATGCAAACATCTATGCTTTTCACAATTATAATAGACATTGAAGTATTATAAAATTGCACAAGGGAAAAAATCCCAATTGACACTAAATCATGATTCAGAGGAATTGACCTGTCATTTTACTATTAATGTGCTGATCACATTTTTATTGTTATTCAGATATGACATGATGTTATATAGTTTCCTTGTATAAGGATGTCATGTACAGCATAGCACAGTCCAGGATGCATGTATAATACTATTATATTTTCTGATAGCCTGATGCAACGTATTGTCTGATTACACACACGTTCTGTAACATACTGTTACAGCATCCAACCATGCGTCTTTAATGAAACTTCAAACCTTTGTGCAATATCAATCTGCCAAAGAAAGTAGTCCCTTTGCAGGTGATATAAGCAAACTCAGCTGCTTCCCTTTTGAACTTCCAGTTTCCTCTCTCATAATCAATCTAGTTGCTACAATTATCTATGTGACAGATGTTAAATGGAGAGATGTTCAATTTTCCCAAGGTGTTATTATATACATATTTTATGTTCATTTGTTTTCACTCACCTAACTGCTTCATTGGAAGGAAATTTCCTCGATGACTGTCTTGGGTTGTGAGAGCTCCACATCTCAATCCTAAATAAGCCTTCCCTGACCTAAAAAAGTGTTTTACTACCCCATAAAAATGAATTCTTTTGCCTTGTGTCTACTCTTCTAGCTAATGATTAGATCCATATTTCCCAAAGAGTTATCTCAGTAAAATGAAATATTTTCTATGACAAAAGGGTCCTTTGATCAAATAGGGTTGGGAAGTTGTGTATTTTACTCACCTCTTGGAGAATCACAATTTGCATTAGAAAAATAAAGGTTTTGAAAAGTCCAAGAATGAAGAAACCTGTTTAAGGCAGTGATCCCTCAACATTTTTGGACTTGACATTTGATATGTTTTTATTCCCACATAGCTCCCATTAACAGTCTTTGGAAATCACTTGGAACATTGTGAAATATTGCTTTGCAACTGTATTTCATCCTGTGATACTTTCTCTGTTGATTTTCAGGTGAAGTCTAAGTCCAAGGAAGTACATCAATGGTGTTTCCTTAAGAAATTGAGCACATCTGTAATATGTATAGGCAGATGAGATAGAAGTGTATTTACCTAAGCTTGGGAGATGGGAAGAGTGAGTGCCCGTACTAATTTCCGGAAGAAGTAAATAATTCTTAAGCACCTATTTTATGCTAGACACACTTACATACTTTATGTACTTTTACTCATTCAACAAATATTTATGAAATGCTTATTATTCTATGAGGTAGGAATTGGTCTAGAACAAGGCTAACACCCCATTCTGATGATGCTTAGATTATCATGTTGAGTCTTCAGGAGGTAAGGACTCTTGTCTTTATTTTACAGATCTGGGAATTGAAGCTCAGACATGCTACAAAACTGGCCCAAGGTCACAGAGGTGGTATGGTATGTCAGCATGGAAAGATATGTGGAGAATCACGCAGGTCTCCTCATGAGGCTTACATCCTAGCCCATACCCCCTGTACACTGGGCCTTGCTGCAAGGTTTTAGAGTGGCTGACAGCAGAGACCCACAGGAGATGAAATCAGGGGATTCATACTCAGAGACGACTCATCAAAGCTACTGTCCTCAAGATGCTTGATTACCTGTTACACAAGTTCTTTAACAACTACCTATAATAACGCGAGGAGATAAACCTGGAGGCATAGTTATGTGCTTAAATAACACTCTTTTCCTTTCCAAGACATTTTGCATCAGCATTCTTAGTAAACACTTTCATCTTTGGTTCCCAACCTAACTTTACAGGGAAACTTAATCTATATATTTACAAATCACTCTCCAAGATGAGTCTCAAACCCATCTTTAAATTCACAAAACCCCTTATTCTGCCTCTCACAGCTGAGAATATGCTGTATCCAGAAATTCTCCCTGAGTCTTTGACCCATGGCTTTCATGGGGAAACAGAATGGGCTTTGAATTCTAGGTTTGAATACCTGCTCTCTTTCTTACTTAGAGATCACGAACAATTCAAACCAGTTTTATTCCCCCTCTCCTCTTCTCTCCCCTCCATTATACTTTCTCTTGCTTCCTTAGAGCCAAGATGCTTTTTCAAAGCTGGCTCTCAGGGAAGGATTTAAAATGCATTTAGAAAACATAGATTCCTTTTCATTCTGTCTCTAATAGAATGAAGTTTCCCTTGGGGATGTTGAGGCGATTGTCTTTTGGACTCCTGTAGAATGTTATCCCACATCATTGGCTTTAACTTCTGCCTGAATGCTGTTGGCTCACCAGTGTTCAGGTTGATGTTTTCTTCTAAACTCTAAACCCCCATTTTCAATAACCTACCTGGCATTGCCATTTAGATATATTGTAGTCACTTCAAATTTCCTCATCCAAACCTGTTCCCCCTTAGCATTCCCTACCTCAGATCCACTCTGTAACTTAGCTGTTATGTAGGCCTTACCTTTGCCAAGAGGGGAAAATTTATATTTATATCCCCATGGCTCTGCATGTTCTCACCATGAAGTTTCAATCATGGCACCTCTAAGTCATGACAATGCTGATTGTTTACACAATCTGTCTTCCCCACTAGACTGTGAGCATGGTGAGGGCAGCTAGCATGTCTTATCTGCTTTTACATTCTCAGGACTTTACAAGTGTTATATATGTTGAGTTTCAAGTGCTTGATAATGGCAGGCAGGAAGGAAGGCATGAAGGAAAGAGAGAAAGAAGGAAAGGAGAGAAAGAAAGAGAAAGAAAGAAAGAAATAGAAAGAAAGGAAAGAAAGAAAGAGAGAGAGGGATTAAACGTAAAGATGATAATTTCTATGACTGCCAACTATTTGCTAAGGATACTTATAGTTTAAGAGATATATAAAGTTCAAATTAAAATAGTAAAACACTAGCAGCATTTTCTGTATTTGTTAAGCAGTGTTTCTGAACTTTATACAAAAAAAACACACTAAAGAAGAATGTGAGGATATAGCTACTAAACTTGTTTGAATCCTATAAATATGAAGTTTAGGACTCATCTAATTTTTTTAAATATAATTTTTGGTATCTTGGATTGAGAGGCAAAAATACAAATTGTAGGTTATGTATTTATAATCTGTTGTTACATAGTCAAAGTGTTCTTTTAGTATGACATCATAGATAAGGAAAGTCTAAGATGGCGGTCAGAAAATTTCTCTGAAGTTGGAAGCAGTCTGGAATGCTTTGTCTGGAATTGCTTGACCCAACTCTTCCCATGATTTCTTCAGCTTACTGGCTTCTTTTGACTTTAAAAACAAAAAATAGGGACTATCGCTATTTATCAAGTTTGTACAAATTGATTCTCTCTGGGATGATAAAAAAGGATCTTAGAATTTGAGCATCATTTTATGTGTCATCTAAGGCAGAAGGTTATCTGCATATTAAATGCAGTAATGCCACAAAGAACCCCCTTTCTTCTTATAATAGAACAACAAGAAAACCGTAGCCAAATTTCCCAAGTTTTTCCACATATAAAAATAAAAGGATCATAAGCCTTCTGGTATTTAAGATGTTATCAATGTTATTATAATTCATTCAATACACAAACAGGGGAGATTCCACAACTTTCTCTATGATGTTGTTGACACTTGCCTTTCTGACAATGAAAAAAAACCTAACTATCCTATTTTGTATTTTTCTTTTTAAACATTAAGGGCTTTATTTTTAAATGGCAGACTACCTCACTGCACAAAATAGAGAACATCACACAAGTCACTTGAAAATGAGGGCAGGGATCTTCCAGTCTAAAAGGAAATATATATATATATATATCTCTCTCTGATAAGGGGGGGTCATAATGACCGGACATGGTGGCTCAGGCCTGTAATCTCAGCACTTTGGGAGGCTGAGGAGAGCAGATCTCTTGAAGCCAGGAGTTTGAGAGCAGCCTGGCCAACATGGGGAAGGGAAGGGAAGGGAAGGGGAGGGGAAAGGAGGGGAGGGGAGGGGAGGGGAAGGGAAGGGAGGGGAGGGGGAGAGGGAGGGAAGGGAATTACTTTAAAAAAATTTATTTAACAAACCCTTACATAAGGCTCGCCTTGTACTAGGTGCTATTCTAAATCCCCCAATACTGATTTATTTAATTTAATCCTACTAAGGACTCAACGAGATAGATTTTTTTTAAATCCCTATTCTACAGATGAAGGAATTTAAGCAAAAGGTTAAAATCAAGGTCACAGAACAATAATTAACTGAGCCCGGAAGAGTAAAAGTAAAAAAAAAAGTAAAAAAAAAGTAAAAAAAAAAAAGAGCATTAATCATGGCCCACTTTTTATATGTTTATCGTTAAGGGCAACACAGTTTCTTTAAAGTAAATAGCTTTGTCTGTTGCAAAATCATTTTTGAGAAGAGCTTTGCAAATGGACTTAAAACCTTGTCTGGATCCTGATTTAAACAAACTAAAAGAAAAAGAGACATTTAATGAAATAATCAGGAAAGGTTGAACATAAACTGGGTATCAGATAATAATAATGGATTATTGCAATATTATCCAGTGTGATAATGTTTTGAAACTTCTTATCTTTTGGAGAAATAGTAGTTGTTATGGATGAAGGAATGAAATGAAGGGATTTAAAGAGTGAATACATTGATTAAACAAGAATGGTAAAATGTTGATAATTGTTGGAGCTGGGTATCAGGTACCTAGATTATGTTATTCTCTCTAATTTTGTGTATGTTTAAAATTTTTTACAATTAAAAAGTTTTTAAAATACTGTTGATTCCTACGGACAGATTTTGAGATTATAAGAAAGGAAAACTTCTTACATTTAATGCAGTAATAATATTGATTGTAATTAATGTAAAACAATATATCCCACAAGGCTTTTAACACATATAGCCTTGAAACCATGTTTTGCTTCTTTTAAGCAGTGATTTAAACATGTCTATCATGTATTATAGCCTTTCTCACATGACCAAGTGATCACTTTTTCAAAAGATGTGGTAAAAGCCTTATAGTAACAGCAGCTCTGTCTTCTCCAAGATAGGGGTCCACTGGGGCTGAGTACTGACATTTTCCCTTAGAGAGAGTCTGTGCCCTCCAGCTGAGCACAGCCCCCCATCACTCGCTATTGTGTTACTCTCACTTGCTCTAGCTCCCTGGAAGAGTGTAGCTATTGCAAATTACAACTCTGAAGCCGTATTTCTTCTTAGATCATAATGTGCAATAAATTATTTCCCGTGTTCACACCTCTGTACATACTGAAGACTCCACCTGAAATTTGCCCCAAATCTTATCCAACCCCAATCCCACTACCTGCCTCTACATAATTTTTTCTGCCTGGCTAAATTAATCACATTCGTTAAAATTCATTGCCTTCTCTTAATCTTTCCAAATGGGCCATTCTAGGCTTCTTTATCTGTCTTAGCCATTTACCCTGTATAGTTGTTGGGGGAAGGCATTGGGTTTTATTAATTTTTGTATTCTCATCTACTAACATAGTTCCTGAGTTATAGAAGGGATAAATAAGTAGTTGGTGAATGAAGGAATAAATTAAGCTGTTTACTTAAGCTTTGCTAACATACCTGTTATACTGACCAAAGTTAATTTTTTTTCAACCAGATTTGCCAATATCCCCAACCACCAGTCATCTAATGTCCTGGCTGCTCATCTTCCTATGACTATGATTAGGTAATTTGAAGGTGGAAATTAGATATTTGCTTAATGTTACAACCATAGGACTCTCAGAGAAGCACCATGTATGCCACAGGTATGAACAAACTAGTTTATCACACAATTTTTAATTATTGTTAGACTTAAGAAAATCATAAAATTTAGAGCTGGAGGGGCTTTACTCTTTCTTCCTACTTTTTCATTTTATAGCAAGGATATGGAGATACAATGAGGTTAACTGACTTGTCCAAATTCATACCAATGCTTAACTTTTTTTGGTCTTTTTCCAAAAAATTCAATTCTGATTCTACATTTTATATTAGATAAGGTTAACACTTTGGCGTTCCTTTTAAAGACCCGAAGCTTATACAAATGATGCATTCTGGAAGGTGCATCATTTCCCAAAGTTCTATATCATTCTAGAAAGTTCTATTGGAAGTTTTCGGCTAGACCATTATCCTTATTGTTCCTTTTGAAACTATAACTATTCATGCTGGATGCTTATGAGTTTTTCCCTCTAATTATTTTCATGGAAAACACTATCTACACGCATTTTTTTTATAAACTGTCCATCATGTTTTGCATATAACTTTAATGGTATTATGAAAATAGTAAAGTATGAAATATTTAAGAAACTATTTTGGTCCAGTTACCAGAGATTGCTAATTCTGAAAAGATCAAGATATAATGGCTATCTCTGATATGGTGTCAAAGTGACATCACAAGTTTTACAAGAGAAAAGGTTGTTCACAATACCAAACAGTTCATCTTGGTCAGCCTGTCTCCGATGAGTAATAAATCCTCCCTGTTTGCTAACTCAGCCAACTGATGTGCTTGGTTGGCCCTAGAGAATTTATAGTCTCTTTCTAAACATTTATTACTGAGTGGATTAGTATATTTATAATTTCAGGATCCCTAACAAAGTCTCATCCAGCCATCTCAGAAATAAAGTGGCATCATTTATTTGAGTTATTTGAGTGGTAACTAGAGTTTCATGAGTATTCCCCCTCCAAATCCATCTCTGTCATGCCTGTCAGTAAGTTAAAATGTAGTTAAGCTAAACTAATTATTTTTTTAAAGACAAACACCTCATTCCACATCACCAACTCTGGATATAGTTTAAAAGTGAATCAATCTCCTTTATGAAAAAACTAAACTCCGGTAATTCATCTACCTAGAATAACCAAAAGAGAAATAGGTCATCATTGCAGCAAAAACAATAAGCTTAGCACTATTTGGAAGAATCAATAGTGTCATGATAAATGAAGTGCCCCTCTTGTATTGCTGCAACAAACCTCCTGTGACTGGGAAGTTGCAACTGACTCCCCACCAACCCCCACTCCCATACAGTCAGGCCCTAGGGTTCTCTCTGAGACTCTTCTGAAATAAGTGTCTAGGTCACATAAATCAAAAATTGCCTCACAGATACAACTACAGTCAGAAGTAAACCAGTACCTTCTGAAAGGGCACCCCAATAAGGCAAACTGATTTCTGGGCCTTTGTCATATTTTCGGCTGTGCTGGCTGTATCTTGCAGCCACCCTACTTAGCAAGTGTGACGGACACTCAACGCAGGGAGAACTTGATGTCATTCCTGCTGACAAGGACGTTAACAGACTATATTCTTCTTGTACCATTCTGAGGCACATTAAACAAAGAAGTAAGTGGTCAGAATGTTCAAAGTTAACTGCAAACAGGAAAAAGAAAGTTAATGTGACACACTGCAGTATTCTCTCTTAGCATGCAGTTGCAAGCTTTGAAAGTCCCGTTAAGTATCTCTTTTTTAAGATAAATACCTATTAAGTAATGTATATGCACAAGCTGAAGTGTTAAATGGTTTGTTGAAACCTATTAGAGTACACAAGATGATAAACATAAATTATAGCTAATATACTGCACCAGTGATTTTTAAACATAAAAATTACTGACACTGTAAAAACACACTTGAGTCATCGTAGCAGCATAATAGCACTAATCCATGTTTATCCAACCATGCACTTTTCAAAAACAACACAAACCTTTAATAAATGCTTTGGCTTCACCTTGACAACTTATATGGGTTATTGCCTCGTTCATGCCTGGATAACCATGTGTTATGACTTAAATGTTCTTTAATATCAATTTATGCCTTGAAGAAAAAAGATTGAATAACATAGTGTACATATGGTTCAATTTATTACAGCAAAACAATCATTTTAGTTTGAAGATATTTTCTCATGGTGCATGTCGTAGAAATCTTCTTCAATAGAGCTCTCAATAAACCAGATTTTTTATGTCACAATAAATGAAACTAAGGCAGCTAATTGTTGCTAAGATTCTAAATAGATGGGTCTATTTGGCTTCCTTGTCAATCAAGAAATACATTCCTTAACACTTGTATTTCTGGATTCTAATGTCTCTAATTGGATTTTACACTATCTGATTAACGAGGTAGTTTATAGGCTACTATAAAAAAAAAGATACTCAAAAAATAGAGGAGGAAATTGTAGATCGTCAGCATTATTGAAGTCAAGAACAGACCAAGAATCACAAAAACCAAATGGGAAGAAAGAAAGGAGGAAGTGAATTATAGAGAGTAAATGAACATTGTCTTTGGTAATCTTAGAAACGTTTCTGAAATAATGAACATGCTACTGTTGAAATCAGGATTTCCAGGGCACTGAGTACACCCCTCCCCCTCCACACACACCAAAATTCCAAGTCTTGTAAGTAGATAGTTACTTTTATTTGGCCCTTGCTGTGTGAAGAATTAGGGTTCGGTCGTACGCTCAGTACACTGATATGAAAGCTCAAAGTGGTAGGTGAGATTGCAGATGACATGGACTCTGCAGGTATCTATTTCCTTCAGAAGAGTTAGCCAGTCACACCAACACTTATTCATAAAAAGGGAAATATAACCAATATATTCACAAATGGCTCACAGTAAGATAGCAAACTCTACATCAATTTAAAAATATATTCCTTTATTCTTTTTTTTCATTTTCTCTCTGCCAATCAATACTGTTATTTGAGAACACTTTCTTGGGTGGAGGATGGGGGTAAAGCGGAGCAGATAGGCTAAGAAAAGATTATATTAGTGTCTGATAAACACTTGCAGGGACGTGTTGAGGAAAGAAGACTTCACGGAGAAGATAGCTTTGGTTGCTGAATCTTGAAAAACACAAATTAGTCTGAAAATGACCCATGGGATATGATAGAAAGCCAACAAAAAATAGACATGTCTTCCTGAAATGAATGTTAACGGTAAAACTGAGAACCAAAAAAATATATCCAACAAATGCTAGGCAATGGAATATTCCACGTACATAATAAACTTGCTCACTTCCAAATAGGGTTTCCTTGAGATGCTCCACTCAAGCAAATGCTAACTCTCCTGTTTCTCAATGAGTCTCTGTAGCTAACTAAATTCAATCTTTCCATACGGTCTTTTCCATAACCACTAGCTTTCTCTCACCAAGGTATGTGGAATAGGTGAAAAATATTCTTGAAACTAGATTCATCTTGCTAGGCACTCTAAACAAATCCAATTATGAACTGATTAATAAAAATCCAGTCAATCTTAACTTTCTTGTTTTCAGAACTTGACTGTCTTTCTATATAGTTCTTCAAGTTTTTGATTGCATTGGTTTTTCTTCCTAGAATTCCTTCCTCTCTCATCTCTAAATACTCAAATTCCACCTATCTTTTAAAGCCCTAATCTTATCTCACTGCCACAAGGAATCTTCCCTGATTGCGAACAGCTTTGAGTAGAGCCTGTTTCCTCACCACTCCCACAGTTTTCTCCTGAACTTTTTCTATAGAACTTTCTGATCTTTATCCTCTACTATCATTGTTTATATTTGTGTTCCTTATCTTCCCTGGTAAACTCTAAGCTCCTCAAGGGCAGGCAGAGCCATTACTTTTCTCACTCTGTGTCTTCCTTAGAATTTAGTGCTGTACCTTGAGTGGCATAAGCTGCAACCAGGCTTGTTTAATAAAACATGATTATCTTCCATAATTTTGAAGCTTTCTTCTATTAATGCTAGAGAACCTCACCATAATGAAGATTATACTTTTGCAAAAGTATTAATGAAGAACTCTCATGGCCTAATTACCTCCCAAGGCCCCACCTGCAAGAGATATTTCTTCTGTAGCCCTATTATTCTGTTAACAGCAACAAAGAAAAACATTGACTTACAACCATTACTTCTTTCACTTCAGTTCTACTCTTAATCCATCCAAAGGGACTGGATTTTACAACCCCATGGTTTACAAATACATATGGGTATTTAAAGCACCAAGAAATATGACTGTCTTGTGTATCCTTGTAAATATCGTGGTGACAAAGTACAGAGCATTGTCTCCTAATAGACTAAGTCTATGTGTGTGCCCACTGGAATGCATACTTGAACTGTCTAATTCTTTCCCATTATCCATTAGCCCAGGACACATATTCTGGGATGAGGCTCAAAGTCAATGACTGTTTATCATCATTAGTTCCTCCAAGCAATGATCTACATGTAAGTCCAGATATTGTTCACTACAGCTTCTCCAGCCCATCAGCAGCCAGATTTCCCCTAGAGCATCCTTAAGTTATTCCAGCTTGAGGAAACTCATCCCAGATTCCAAATGTGGAGGTCCTTGAGCAGCATGTGAGTAGATTAAATAGTCTACATTTATGAGGTCCCCTTGGGAGCATTACCTCTGTAAAAGAAACAATACATGCAAATATACAAAGTCATGTAAATATCACTTACTCCTTTTATAACAGCAATAAATGTGTTTTTTAAATCAACCACTGGGGATGGGGTGGAGGTGGGAAACCTAGCAATAACAGAGTCTTGGTAGTAATTTAGAAAATGGCTGCCAGAATCTCTGGCTCACTTGATGAAAAAATTATCCTTTCTCTGCAGCTACATGGATGGTTTTATGTGATAACTAAAAGAGAAGACCATCCAGCAGATTAGAACAGGGACCTGGAAGACAAATCTCACAGCTCTAACTTTGGCAATGCTGCCAATTTGCTGGGCTGATCTTTGAAAAGTATGTTTTCTGTTACAGGGCATCATTTTCCTTCCTAAAAGTACAAGAATGTCATAGTGGAAAATGTCTGGATAATGTTTTTATAATTTTCTTAATAATACATTTAAATTACAAAATAAATGGGCTTTCATGAAATTTTAAGATCATCTTAAATAAAAGATTTTATAATCTTTTAGAAATGTGTTTCCATGTTCCACAGAAATTGGATTTTTAACAACTGGGGAAGAATCCATCTACTCTGTTTAAAAGGCAGAAAGAAAAACAAGCAAACAAAACTCTTAACTTTCCCCATGATCCGTATATTTTAAAAATCTATGAATCTGTACTTTTAAGCTATGTTTAGAAATTATGTAAGCAATGGTGTTCATTTTACTTCACATAATTTTTCCTTTTCTGGTGTAAAAGTCTTCATATGCAGAAATGCAATCTGCATTTTGCATATATTTACTCATATATACTCCAGGGTGAAATTTATAAACTCATCAGGGAAAAAAAACAATCCAGGCTGATGTAAAAGTCTTAGGGATACTGCCTTCACAATTGTCACTTCCGCATTTCATCTTGTCCTTTCTACCTCTAATGACAGCCTCGTTATGAAAACCTAACACCAGGCTATGATATCATACATTTATAATCTAAGGTAAATTTAAGATAGCATTCGCTTTCCTCTAGGGACCTTGGATGTCAAACCTAAACTCAAATTTGAAACATTTGCACCCTGTTAAAGAAGTTTAGAGCACCACCAGTTGGTAGATAAGAAATTCCTAGGGGTAAGAGTTGAGAAGCAGGGGCAAGAAGACTTCTTCAGTATCCTAGAAATCATACTTCATAAAAAGTAACAATCTATCTGAGCTAAGAAGAAACCCTACGAAGTTCATTTTATACATATATGTTTTATATTTGTGTTGTTAGATTGAGTACATAATTTAAACTAATTATTAAATTTGATACAGGAAAAGCATTCCCACCACATTACAGATTTCCAGTCATAACTCTGAATTTCATTTTCCTCTTTTTCATTTTTTTTCTAGATAATGGGAAAGGACTACTAGTAATCAGATGGCAAGAGCAAGGGTTATTTCAAAGGCACATTCTCTAGAATTTCCCTTCTCTAAATCCTGTTATATTTTACCTCAATTTCCCCTGAGTGAACAGTCTGTGTAGAGACAGGGTTTATCTTCTTTACATTCAGATGGTTGCATTTCCTGCTTAAAATGTCAGCTGGATTGTCTCTGCACCCTGCCTCCCCCCATCTTTTGGTCTCCCAGAAGCTGTCTGCTGCCTCAGGCAAACTTAATGATGGCAGGGCCGCAGAGCCAAAAAAGGAAAAACACCTGTGGCCAGTCTAAAGTTTAGTCCTGAAATAGACAGGCAATGGCCATCACCTGCCTGCTGTGTGAGAGCCCAATCAAGTCTATTCATCACAACTGTGCAGATAAGGGCTTTTTTTTTCCCTTTTTTCCCCCTCTTTTTTTTTTTTCTCCTTCTTCTTTTTTTTTTTTTTTTTTTTTTTTGCTGTTGTTTTTGTTGAACTGAGTGTGATAGGAAGAGAACAGATTATAGCAAAGGGATGGTGCCCTCTGCCTGGCCCTGAGGAGCCACTGTTTAGACATGTTCTTTGAAAAATTCTATTATGACATTTGCATTAAGTTTCTTGAGGAAATTATGTAAATGAAAAGAATGAGGGCTAATGACAACTAAGTGAGGACCTATCGTGTGTCAGGAAGCATGTAAGCAGGGGTTTGGAAAGGTAATTTCTTGTTCATGCCTTGTTGCAGCAGGAAGAAAAATAAGGGAAAAATCAAGCAATTGTAGACAAAATATATAAGTCTATCCTTATCTTCCTGCAATTCTTTTTTTTTTTTTTTTTTTGACAGAGTCTCGCTCTTTCACCCAGGATGGAGTGCAGTGGCGCGATCTCGGCTCACTGCAACCTCCGCCTCCCAGGTTCAAGCGATTCTCCTGCCTCAGCCTCCAGAGTAGCTGGGACTATAGGCGCCTGCTACCATGCCTGGCTAAATTTTTGGATTTTTAGTAGAGACAGGGTTTCACCATATTAGCCAGGATGGTCTCGATCTCTTGACCTCGTGATCTACCCGCCTTAGCCTCCCAAAGTGCTGAGATTACAGGCGTGAGCCACCGCGCCCAGCCTTCTGTAATTCTTGATGTTCGATTCTTGACATGTGATTCCTGGACCTTCTTGAAATAAATTGCTTTGCTATGATCCAGAGTCACCTGGTTTGTTTCCAATCTCCTTGGCTAGCTCTTCTCCACTTCCTTTGCAGGCTTTTCCTCTGCTCGTTTCTTAATTGGTGTTGATCCTAGGCCCTAAGTCATTTGATCTCTGCACACTGTCCTTGGGAGATCTTATTTCATCCACCACAAAGCTGCAAGTAACATCCATATGTTGATGACTGCCCAGGCAGTTCTTTATGTGCAATCTCACACCTAAGCTTCACACCAATATGTAGGGGTGGCCACTCGCCATGCTGCTGACTAATGAGATACTTGCAGGTGGCTACTAGGGATTTCTTAGCATACCCAGCCTTTCTGATATAAGTGCCAAAGCACCATGCTTTTCTCTTCTTGTATAGAAGATGATAAGTGGGGGTAAAAAGACTAGATTGTGAACAATAGGTAGCCATTAGGAAGAAAACTACCTGCTGATAATGAAATGGCAGACTGATAGATGGAGCCTGGGACTTTTATGAAATTGTGAAATTACTGTATGAGTTGTGTCTGCTTGCCCTAGATCTCTTATACTGTGAGAAAAGTAATTCTCCTTCTTGGTTTTAAGGATAATTGTATGTACAGAGAGTATTATATGTATAGTTGCATATAATTTTATACATTAAGTGACAGCATACCAATTTAAATGAGATAATTATATTTAACATGGATAGAATGTTCACAAAAAATGATTATGCATTTTTCCACAGAGGCTATCTCAATATAATCAAAAAAGCAAAAATTCTTTGGGCCACATTTATTGATTTTAATTGAATAAAATCAGAGACTAACTACAATAAGCAAGAATCCCCCACCATTACCACCATGAGCACATCTTACCATCCAAATTTATTCAATTTAAAAATCACAACTTCTAAGAACTCCTGAATTAAAGGAAAAGTAAGATTCAAATTATAAATAATTACGAGTGACATTCTAGTAGAAGATTTTTCCATCTCCTTATCTATCTATCGATCAATCGATCTAATTTATCTATAGCTCTATGGACTCACGAACTCTTTTATTCAATAGAATATAATCTATTATAATCATTGTGTATTTTGACCTCGAAATTTTTTCAAATTTGGCTAAATGAGGACCCTTTCAAAATGGCTCTTTTGTCTTTTTTACATGACTCCATCACTTTTTGAATATTACTCTCTGAGATAAGGTATTACTGGCTTATTTTATACTTTTCCTGTTCTAGCTCTGGAACCAGCTATTTCTTTAGGAGTCCTGGTTCCTTTTAATGAGAAACAGTATTTAGATCGCAAGCTTAGCTAGACTCATTACTCTAGGAGTACAATTGCTTCTGGCACCTTCCACAGGACAGAATTCACTCTAGTCTGCTTTTTCACATGTGTAACTCCCTTCTCTATCAGTGAGAAATCTAATTCTGTTTATCCTCAATATAACTCAGGTCCTCAAGCTTACAAGTGATTTCAGAACTTCTATGTTTCTGTGAGAAACAAATCTACTAAGGTGTATTATTTGTTTACAGATCCTTACCTTTCAAAAAAATCAAGATCATGAAAGAAAAAGAAAAACTGAGAAAAATTTTCCAGATTAAAGGACTTCTAAGAGATGTAACAACTGAATGAAATAGGTGGTATTTGTTTTGTATTATGAAAAAGAAGACTATTTGGACAATTAGTGTAATTTATTATGGATTTTAGATTAGCTAATATCATTGTATCAATGTTATATTTCAAGATTTGAAAATTCAGTTTTGATTATGTAAGAAACAGGGAGTACAGGAACAAAAATGTCTGTAATTTACTCTCAAATTTTTCAGAAAAATGTATGTATTTAATATATATGCATATATATACACACATATATATGTGTATACACAAAGACATATACGTGTTTGCATATGGATACATCTAGATAGTGAATAAAAAGGAAATGGGGCAAAATCTTAACAATTGGCAAATCTGGATAAAAAGCATAATGGAGTTATTTGTACTATTTTGTAATTTTTCTCAAAGTTTCAAATTATATAAAAACAAAGTTACAGATAAAAGAAAAAAATAAATAAATGACAATGGATATGTCACTGAAGAAGTGCCTAAGAGAAATTTTAACCTCAGGGGCATATAAAAAGTATTCATATAAATGAACTAAATAACAATGAAATAAACTGGAAAAGTACAAATAAGTTGCAAGAAGTAGGAGTAAGAATAAAAGATAAATGCAGCAATTAGAGAAACAGAAAAACAACAACAACCAAAACAGAAAAAAAAAGAAAAAATCCATAAGTATTAACCAATAAAATAAAAAACTTGTTCTCTGAAGAGACTGATAAACACATTTTTGCCATGTCTGCTTCAAAAGAAAATGTGGTTGCACGGGACAACAATGTTAGGGGCATCGGTGTACATCCAGAGGTAAATGTTGTGGTAATAAATTTGAAAACCTAGATAAAATAGAAAATATAATGGGAAAATATAAACTTGCTAAGAAGATGAAGAGAATCTGAATCACTGAACCACAAACATAACGAAAATAATCTAAAAGTTAATAAAGAACTGCCCCCAATAAGGAGGAGATATCCTCAAGTTAGTGGGAAGACATGACAATGAAAAATGCCAATTATCCTCAACATAATGATAAAAGTAATCTCATTTCCAACAAAATGCAAGAGATTGTATATAAATATAACCAAAATCTCTTAGAAAATAGAAAATATTGAGGGTTTCAATTTTTACAAATATTATACTATATTATAAAGTTGTAATTAAAGGAGAATAATATTGATACATAAAAAGTATCATCAGTAGTAGAAGATTGTAGAGATCTCAGACACAGAGCTAAATATATATGGAAATGTTGTATGTTACACATGTAATGAAAAAAGAATGGTGTTACAACAATTGGCTATTATTTCAGGAAAAAACCAATAACCTTAGGTATCTACTTACCATTTACTAAATAAAACAAAATGCCAAGTGGATTTAAACTCTAAATTTACTTTAAAATAATAAATCTACTTAAAGAAATTTGAGCAAAATGTTTGAAATAGATAGGTCTTCTTAAACAAGACATACATTGAAAATGCCATATATTTTATACTTGAAGAAAATGTCAGTAAGACAAATGATACAAAACACCAAAATCTAAAAAATTTATAAGTGCTTATTGGGACAATTTTTTTCATTGTTTACAACTGAAAAGAATTGGAAATCAGAATATATTTTAAAACTATTAAAATTAATAAAAATGAAACACACATATCCAAATGCACAAAAGGTCACATGCAGTGATGTCTACTGCAGCATTGTTGTGATAGCAAATAAATTAAGAGTTAAAGTGTTCATCCAAATGAGAAGGAAAATATATATAATCATTCAATGGCATCCTGTGTGTAATTTGGACTGAGTGTGGTCAATTTATGTAAATGATATAAATAGATTATCAGGACATGTTGTTGAATTGCAAAAGCAAGCTAAAGAAGAATATATATGGTATTATACCATGTAAAAAAAAACTCACACAAGATAAAATTGCCTGCAACGGAATGTACTGTGTGTAAATGCATAGAGGAAATGCTTATACTGAACTGATTTAGTGAAGAAAAAATTCTTACTATTGTTAGGAAAAATACAGGGATAGAAGTGATGACTACGAGTGACATATGATTCCATCTGTATTATTTAATTCTTTAACATGTAGTTAAGTGGCACTTTTGTAATTGAAAGTATCTTTTTCAATTTTTAAAAAGTAAAATAGAGGTTATTTGTTCTGCAACCATAACTATGTTAGTTATATTCACAGAAATTAGTTAAAGATCTCAAAGGCTATTTGGTGAAATGCTGACACAAATATTGTCATTTTCACATTTCTGTACATGCATACCTAGACACATGTGAATGCAGCTTGTTTGATTAAAAATTACTGTTTAAAATAATGACGCATATTTAATTACATATAATATCTACATTCCTAAAAAGTTGAAATAATTGAATCATATTTTAAATGCCCTACAAAGTACCATTATGCTCCATAAAATGCTTGACTTATAAATATGAATTTTATACATCAGCTTTACTTAATAGAAGATAGCCCTACAGGTAACTCTGCTCTCCCTATTTCCTGTCTTTCAAAAGTTTAGCTAGTTTATACAGGTTATTTTTTATCATATTGTTGGACCAATTTATTTTTATAAAAAGCACTGTCAGAATGCAGCCCTTTTATTTAAATACCAAAAATCCTCCACAGATTTCTTTCTAAATCATCAAAATCTCCTTGGAAAACTGTGTGTTTGGGGGAAATTGCTATATTAGTTTTCATATTTTAATTTTATTGCCAAATATTTAAATATATTTGATAAGTACCGATGCAAGCTGAAGGATCTTAAGAGTGTGTTCAAGGGGATTATTTTAGAGGCCTCAGAGTAACTTCCAGATCTGGAGGGATTTCTGAGGCTAAATGAATTCTTAGCAGGTTTATGAGAAAACCTTTTAGAAATATTTTGTAAGTTTACTTGTTAATCAGCAGATCTGATTTCTGCAGTATTGCCCATAGTGAACAATTAGCTATTTTTCATGGCTCCAATGGTTAGTTAAGAATGATAAATTTTAATTATACATGCTATTGTTTTTCTATAAAAGAGAAGAGATCCAAGCATGTAAGATACACCTTAAAGTAAAAAACAGGTCACCGAGTTTCATTTTCTTTAGAATACTTGCCTTTGTTTATCAATAGCCAAATCTCATGAGATCTTAATGATCCAAGTCAATTATATGTTTTGCCACCTTGTGGTAGTTAGAGGTATGTCAAATATAAACTAGTGTGGAAGGCCATCGTATCCAGAAGGTAACGCCCAGGTCTGGTTTCAGCATCCAGCATATTTTTTTTCTCTCTGAAATCTGTTGATGACCATACCCTTATATACAAGGGGAAACACTGTAGTTCGAGCTCCAAATTTTCTTAGAAATTAGGAAAAAGTAGCCAAAGCCAAGAGGGAGAAAAATCTATAGCTACAAAGAGATTTTCATAATCTATTTGACATATTTTATCATTACTTAAAAGAGAAAAGTACAGAGAAAAGAATAATACAAAAAAAGGAAAAATTTATAGAAAATTTAAATGCGATGGTCACATGACCAAAAAATATTTTTGAATGCCCACCGGAAGTTGGTAAAAATGCGTTTATATTTCATTTAATAATGAAAAAGAAGTCACCTTGCACTTGTCTCTTGCACTTGTTTAGAAAAGTACAAAAGTGGCCGGGTGTGGTGGCTCACGCCTCTAATCCCAACACTTTGGGAAGCCGAGACGGGTGGATCAAAAGGTCAGGAGATGGAGACCATCCTGGCCAACATGGTGAAACCCCGTCTCTACTAAAAATACAAAAATTAGCTGGGCATGGTGTCGGGCCCCTGTAGTCCTAACTACTCTGGAGGCTGAGGCAGGAGAATCGCTTGAACCCAGGAGGTGGAGGTTGCAGTGAGCCGAGATGGTGCCACTGCACTCCAGCCTGGGAACAGAGCGAGTTGGGAACAGAGCGAGATTCCATCTCAAAAAAAGAAAGAAAAAAGAAACGTACAAAGTAAACCTACCTGTCCAATCCTTTTTCTTCACAGTTCAGAGTCTGAGAGCACTCCCCAGTAAATTTCTTGCATATGAATTTTTTTCTCAGAATTTTCTTCTAGAGAGCGCAATCTAAGGAAAGATGCCATTAAACTTTGACATTAGAAACATTCTCTTTTCAGGGGCTCACTTGGAAAGAAGAGTCAATAGTTATGCAAGTTTAACAAATCAAAAAGAACAGTAGAATGCTATTATTAAATATTATGAGGGAAATCAACAAACTCAGAAAATGCAAAAAAAAAAAAAAAAAAAACCCACTTTACCTCTTGGAGTGTAAAGTAGAAAAACCTACCTTTTCATTACAAGGCCTTCTGTTCTACTTAGCAATGTTCACGTATTATTTTAATTTTTTTTTTTTTGAGATGGAGTTTCACTCTTGTTGCCCAGGCTGGAGTGCAATGGCGTGATCTTGGCTCACCGCAAGCTCCATCTCCCGGGTTCAAGCGATTCTCCTGCCTCAGCCTCCAGAGTAGCTGGGATTACAGGCATGCGCCACCACGCCTGGTTAATTTTTTTGTATTTTTAGTAGAGACGGGGTTTCTCCATGTTGGTCAGGCTGGTCTCGAACTCCCGACCTCAGGTGATCCACCCGCCTCGGCCTCCCAAAGTGCTGGGATTACAGGCGTGAGCCACCGTGCCCGGCTTTAAATTGTTTAAGGGTAGTATGGGGAGAGGGGAAAACTTTCTCTTTGCGTTCTGAAGGTTTGCTAAAAATCAACTTACAAAAGGCAGGTTAATAGGAGAAAATGGGTACAATATTTTATTTCAACATGCATAGTTTGGGGGAAGTGCAGGGGAATGATTACCCAATAACCCAATGGGGTACAGATGCATATAGTACCCTTCTACATAAGGAACAGAGATGGGAAAATGGGTGGCAATTTGGGTGATAGCAAATGATTTTCAGAGGACAATAAATGGACTTGGAGAACATACAATGGCCTGGGACAAAGTCTATTGGGCCCACAGAGCAGATAGCAGTTTGTAACAAAAGTCTGTCACATATGCTGACCGACTTCACTCTTCCGGGGATGTGAGTTAATGAAAACTCAGGGAAGGGAACAGAGATGATTTGTTTTTTTCTTGGGTGAATCTGGACTTCAGGCAGATAAGAAAACTTCAGAGGACAACTTCATCCTGTGCATCAGGAGAGAAAGAGGACTGAGAGACAGGAGTGAGGGCTGGGAAGGTCGGAGAGACCTTGAGTGCCTCTTCAGTCCAGCAAGTCAAAGCGCCACATTTTGCAGTATCTGTTTCTGAGCACCAACAATAGGGACTTATTTTAAAATGCATGCTTCTGCTTTCTACATTCAAAAATAATATAAAGGAAAGGAGGAAGGAAAGAAGAGAGGAGGAAGGAAGAATGAAAGCAGAGGAGGGAAGGAAGAATGAAAGCAGAGGAGGGAAGGAAGAATGAAAGCAGAGAAGGGAAGTAGAAGAAGAAGGAAGGAAGGGGAAGAAGAAAGGAAGAGAGGAAGGAAAGAAGGGGGAAGGAAGGAGGGAGGAAGAAAAAGGAAGGGAGGGAGGAAGAAAAATATTCATTTTCTGCAAATGAACTGTGAACAAAAATTGATCAATGTAACTCACCATATTAACAAACTAAAAAAAGAAAAATCATTTAATCAGATCATCTCAACAGATGCAGAAAAAAAGTTAATTAACAAACTTCAACACCTATTCATGATAAAAAAAAAATGCTCAGCAAACAAAATAGAAGAGATCTTCCTCAAGGTACTTTATTTCTTGAATGGTCCTAGAGAGATGATAATGAAGATCCAGATCCACGAAGCATGACAAAATAAAAAAAAAAAAGGAGGCATGCAGGAATGGCAGGCATCGCTAAGCTGGCCTGCATCACTCCTTATTAGCATGTAGATATATATGCCATGGCCTTGTCCTAGGGCACATCCTCACTCTCACCACAGTGGGCCAATAGATTAATTCAAAATGTGAAAGGTTGAAACAATAACAAAAGTTACCCAATATCGTAATCAATTGCTTACCCTCATTTAGAAAATTCTCTATAGCTCCAGAACTCCATTTTCCCCTTCTTTTGAACACCAATAGCATTTTTATTTCTCTTTCTTAGGCCACTTTTCTTTTATTTATATCAATAGCTTTGTCCTTCTATTTAACTGTAAGCTCCTTGAGAACATAATTGCATATTCATCATCTTTGTTTTTCCCCAGAGCCTAGACGAGAGATGTTTTCTCCTAGGTGTTTCTTGATAACTACTTGTTGAATAAAATTGAATAAACCGGCATTAGACGGAACAGACCACAGACTAGAAATAAGAAGTCTGGAATTTTAAGCCTAACTCAGTCATTAACTGGTTATATGATCTTGTAGAAACTTCTGCTTCATTGGGTTTCAGTTTCCTTTTCTATTAAATTAAGTAATTGGAATTAATTGTGAGGTCTTAAGATCGCTTCCAGCTACAAGTCTGTGTTTTGTTATGAATTCTAAAAGATACACTTAAAAATGACTTCTCATTTAGGTACAGGAATGGTGTCATTGCTGTTTTTGCCAGATATTATCTTAGCCAAAAGGGTGGGGGGTGGGGATGAAGCCACCTAAAATAGGTTCTGATAGAAACTGTAGCAATGACTTACCCAGGTGTTTAAAGTAGGACACTTTATTGGGTGTCCCCCCAGCCCTGTGGTAAAGCTGACTATCAAAGGAACTAAAAAATTTGGAGAAGATAAGAATGCCACAGGTGTATCTCTGGTGAAACAATTCTGTGCTGTAGATCACTATGAAGTCCGGAGGGGAGGAAAGGGAGCTGCCAGATCAACATACCATTTTCAGAGACTGAGTTTACAGAGGAACAGTTGCCAGTGTGGTACTGGCCTAATGATTTTATCTCATTCTCTGTCTGACTTCCCTCCAGTGAATCTTGTAAAGGAACCAGCTACCTGATCCTTTAATCCAGCTAACATTTTATCAAAGAAGATTCAAATTAGTTTTGCTTATTCCAGATGCTTTATATGCAAATGAGCCTCAGAATTGGTGGCAACTAAAATGTGAAGCAGACGCCATGATCTGTCGGAGGAAATACTCCCACCTGAGCACCCTCCCTAAACAATGGGATCATTCTCTTCTCCTTGCTGCTCTTGGCTTCTTTTTCTCAGGGGAAGAATTCTAGAATGCTCAGATATCCCCTGACTCTTTGATCCAAAGGATGAACTCTTCAGATTCCTTTTAAGTGTAATTGGCTTCGACTTTCACTAAATGACACGTGGATCACTATCCCATCCTTCCATAAAAAGCATTACCTAGGCAGTATTAATCACAGTTTGCAAGTCAAATATTAAGATCATTCCTTGGAGTAATCCAGTGGTACAACTTTGCCATTTAATTTTCCCTTTGCAACTCTAACTAGACAAGGGAGACTGAAACATTGAGCTAGGAATTATTTATTTAAAGCCACAAACCAACACACACAGATTCTGGATAAAGATTGTTTACTCTCCCTTATAATAAAAGTGGCATCTTAACGCAGAGCTGTGGGGAGCCTCAACCTTGCCTGTAGGCCAGCTCTTGCATTCTCCCATGTAGCCTGGCATTTGCCCTCTAGCATTCCTATGTTGCTTGGCTCCAAATGGAAGTGCTCTTAATTTCAAATGATTTACTGGGGAGAAGCAAGAGGCCCGTCTGTTTGTATTTGGCTTCCCCGTGTCTCAGGGGTGATTTTGAGAAGATATCTTATGTTGTAAAGCAGGGATAGGAAATAGAGAAATGCCTACCTGCTGTTGGGATAGAGCTCACTGGTGTTTTATGCAGCTTCCTGGTACCATTTTCAGCCACAGTGAAAAGAAAGAGAGTCAAGTCAGAGGACAGCAGCTAAATAACTGACTGGCAGGGTAGATTTATGCAATTCTCATGGGGTTATTTGTTGAAGGACTGTCCTGCTGGATCGTTCAAAGAGCAGAAGGGTAGCCCTACTGACACCAATCTCAGTGACAGTGGTATTAACCATAGTCCTGCTCCCACAGCATTCAATTCTGTTACAAAACTCTCCAGATTATACAGAAATTACATTTTTTCTATATCTGTTTTCAGCATTTGCCTGTGAGTTACTCACAGGAGACGTACTATGTTTGTATTCTCTTGCTTCTGCACAGTACCAAGCAAATAATAGATACTCAAGAAAAATGTTAAATGAATACATATGTATGTGAATGAATTAAAACTCTTTTTCAGCTGAAGCAGGCGCATGCTTATAGAGAAACGTGCTGTATTTAAATAGTGGCATCTAATACAAATATATTACATAAACTTTTACTACCAGTTTTATTTACATAGACTATCAGACTAAAGAATTAGAGCAGCACTGTCCAATATAACTTTCTGCAATAATGAGAAAGTTCTATTTCTGTGCTGTCCATTAGAGTAGCCACTAGCCACTTACGACTACTAAATACTTGAAATATAGCTAATGTGACTGAAGAACTATATATTAATTTTTTTAATTTTAATAATTTAAATAGTAACATGTAGTTCATAACTACTGTATTGGACAGTATAGATCTAGAGACACTCCCAGGGGAAAAAAAGAAGAAAGAAAAGTGTACTCCTTGATGTTTTTCAAAGGGAAAAATACATGTGCATGTGCATATGTATAAGTATGTGTGGTATGTGTTATAAGTGGTTAATGCCAGATTCATCATCAACATGGCGAAATATGTTAGGAGCATGTCTTTGGAATAAGGCAGACCTCAATTCGAGTCTTTGGCTCTGCCACGTACAAGCTATGTGACCTTGAATAACTCATTGTTATTACTGGCATGCAAAATTGCCCTTCCTGCCAAGCATGTCAGAATAGAAACCTTAAATTTTTGGAGAAGATACGATAGGATGCCAACATCATTCTAAAAATGAGTTGTTGGTAGGTAGCTCCTTTCCCCCCCCACAAAAAATAATATAACATAGATACCAACGATACACTGCAATTCTTCTTAGCTTATGTAATCCTATGTCACTTTTCTTGACTGCCAAGCATCTAACTTAATGTGTCTGGAAAAAGTCATTTTGTCTTTTATGAGAGAATAGAGTCAAGATTTTTGGTGTATTATTGGCATTTATAACAGGAATGATATATTTCAAATATAAAAAGTCAAGAGAAAAGACAGACAGGAAGGGAAGAAGGAAAAAAAGACTCAAGATAAAAGAGCTCAGTTGAATGCTAGTTTTCCATTTGTTTTGTTTCAGTTAAGTATCATAAACATGACTATCACCCTTGTGGCTCAGAAGAGGTGTAGATGCAGGGAAAACAGTATCCTTGGATCTGAATTCTCACTTGGCAGGTTACTCTGAGCCTTTGGTCAAGTTATTTAATCTCTGTCAACATCAATCCCCAACAGTAAAATCGGGTTAATTTTACTGTATGGTTGTTAAGAAGCTATGGGAAGGACAGGGACTGACACATAGTAAGCATTTAAAATTGTTTATTTTCTTCTCTTTTTTCCATGACTACTATTAGCATTTTCCCCAGTTACAGCTTCCTCTGGATATTAGAGGAGTGGACCACATAGGAAAATAAGACTATTGTCTTATTTTCTTTATCTATATCTTGAGATAAATAAATCTAATGAATATATGAGCTGAACAATGGCCATTCTAAAGGAACTACCAGCTTTTACCATAAGCACAATGAATTAAACTTCTGTTCTACATTTTTTTCCACATGAGTGTGCACATGTTTCATTAATCCAGTGTTGGTAATAGGGTTTTATTTTCAAAAGGCATTAAACTATGATTTAGGCCTCACTGTCCTCAACTGTGGATAGCTTGGGCATGCATACTTTCTGCCCTGATCATTAAGACTTAGAAGTGAACCAACTGCAATTGAACTGAGCTAGTAAGGGACACAGCTACGGAGGAAACTCAGACTTTCAGAGTGCGGTCAACAACTTGGGAACCATGATTGATACTTCAGCTTCACACTCCAGGTCCCTTTATTGTGAAGAAAGAATAGGGCTGGGTACCCTTTTCTTGCTTGTGCCTTTGGGCACATTGTTAGGGATCAAAGAAACCTCCTCTGAAGGACCTCTCCTGTGCACCAAAACACAACACTTTCCCATACAGAAACACCTGCACATTTTTAAGAAATTGTATCAACCAAAAGAGGTAGGTCCATTAATCAACTGAAGTTGACAAAACTGTTAACATTCTTTACATGCTTGCTGAAGAGCACTGTGGTCATAGATGACTATCTCAGATCTTCCTTTCATTGCTGCAGGCACCTAAGGAAAGAAATCCCTTCCGTTGGTATCTCTGCATCATAGTCTTTCTCCTCAGCAATAATAGCAAATGGTTATGCTTCTTGGGAAGCAAAATTAGAAGCAAAAAATTGGACAAGTTTAGGTTTGTTGCTATAAATATTTCAGAGAGCCAAACTGAGTTTCTAAGTGCTTTTCTTATGACAGTTGTATTCCCATATCTTGGGAAAGGTTGTGATCACCATCATATACATTAAAAAACTTGCAATGCCTGTTTGGTTAGGGGCTGGCTGCTTTACAAGACAAAATTTCAGAGTTGGAACCTACCCTTGAAAGATTGGTACTCCAAATGAAACAGTTTGAGGGTCTTCTTAGAAATATTGGATAGGAGAAAAATATAACCTGAAGTACAATATTGAAGCAGATGTAAATGAAAGTGGTGAGCATTTCTTTTTCTTTAAATTTCCAGCACTTAGCATAAGGCCTGGCACACAGTAGTTGCTTGATACCTTGTGGATGGGTTAAACTGTGGAAAGACTAAAAAAAAGAGAGACTCAGGGATGAATTTAGATTTTAAGACCCTAGGCTTTGAAAAGATGATGGGCCTCCCTATGTAATTCAAAATAATATAAAAGCAATTCTGAACTGTAAAACAAGAGTAAGGAAATCTAATAACATGAGATTTCTCTCATGGTACTTTTTAATAAGATCATACAATAAAGTCTTTCAAAATATCTTTCCAATTTTTTTGGTGCTTCCACTTTGCTGGTATCCTAAACATGTGATTATTTTCCTCCCAGGTAATTTAGCCCTGAGGGGCCACTAGCCTTTCACCTATTGACTCGTTTTCTCATTTACTCCACTGACTTTTATTGTTGGTCAGTTATTTATAAGACTAGAAACTCATAAATAGATAAAAGTCAAGTCCTTCCTCTGGAAGGGTTCAAAATCTAGTGGAGAGACAAATGTAAGCGTAACAGTAGTGTGGTGAGGATTATAACGTTCCCAACAAGACTCAAAAAGACCAAAGAGGAAAGAAACAAACTGTGGAAACATCAGAGAGACCTCACCTGTCTCAGGCAGATTATTAAAATTCCAGAGATAAGTCCTTAATAACAACTCACGTGGAGAATGGAATGGGACATTCTAGGTATATGACATAGCATTTGCATTCTCTAAATAAATGGAACACTCAAATGGAACTAGGGGAACTCTAGTGGGTCCCAACTTCAGGAGCAAAGGACTTCAGGCCCGCTTTGACTTCCTCCTTGTTTCTTTATTTTCAGGTTTCTTTACTTACATTCTCTCCCACATGCTATATATATTTCTTTAGGGTGATAGATGCTGTAAAGCTGCCTAGCCTGTTTAGATTTCAATTTGAACCTTTGCCTCCCCCACCTAGTTAGGACCTTTATAATGGATTACAGTTGTCTTATAAGATGAAGAGAACTTAAGGTTAGTAGCTGAATATCTGATAGCATTCTGCATTTCCTTTGCCTTGGTTTATTTGAATAGTCAGTCTCCTTTGTGATTAGAATATAGTAGATAGAGAGATCTTTCTCTCTGTCTACATTTATTATGTCCGATTTATGTAACTGTAATGCTCCTCTTAATTTGATGTGTGGATGCTGGACATGGGGGAGGACATGCATAGATTAAAGTGATACTCTTGGTGCCTTAATGTCTGAGCACCTGGGTGCATCTGGGGACTGTTACAGAGCTAATTGTCAGGTGTTGTACATTGCAAGTACAAAGATCTTCCAAGCTTCAAGAAATAACCACTTCAAGGGATCCCTAAAGAAAAAGACTCAGGGTGTCTCTGTCCTTCCTGTTTATTATGAAAAGTAGATTGTTGTAATGATGAGAATGGGTTAAGTTAGGAGGGACACAGAGACAGAGACAGTGGAATGTGGAAAATGTGCCTGGCATACATATAAGCATCTAGGAAACTACTCCTTTGAACCTGGCTTGGAATATTCTATTCCCTAAACCTATGGGAAAGGTGGACATCATATTTCTTCAAATTATACATGGAAAACTAGTCTTTCTCTTCTCTGGCATCAAGCAAACCCTAGGTAGTTCAGGACTAACTGAAGAGATGGAGACAGTGCGTGTATGTGACTTTGGGTGGAGTAAGGATGAGGGAATCCTGGTTCTAGGAAAAGATTGCAGACCAGTGGGCAAAAGATCTTGGAGAACAGCAGACAGCTTAGTGTGGTACTTTGCCATGGCAGAGAAATAGCAAATAGAGCCAGATATAATCATGCACATTATAAACCATGTCAAGAATTTACGCTTTCGTTAATAATTAGAAAATGGAGATTTTCCCCATGGGTTTTAAATCGGGAAGCCATATGATCGGATCAGTCTTTTACAGAAAGTAATTTACTTGCAGTTTGAAACATAGGTTAAAGACAACAGTACTAGCTGCAGGGTGATGTGCTCACAGTCTATGCCAGTAATAAAAGTGATAAGGCCATAAAATTAAAAAAAAAGTGAGTAGATCTTAAATTAAGGTCACTGAGGCACTGGAAATAGAAACGTTAGACAAGAATTCAAGGGCACCCAGAAGACAAAACAAAAAATAATTGGCAATGAGACCAGGATTAGGAAAAAAGCTAGAATCTCTCTCTTCTGGCTTTAGTAAGTGGGTGGGTGAGGATCTGTGCTAATAACCCAAATAAATAGGGGCCAGAAGGTTTGTAGGCAAAGCACAGAGAAAATAAATTTATGAAAAAGCCAAACCTATATTCATTCATTTATTCATTTGGAAGTTTCGTCCTTTGCGTTTTTATTGATGTAAGATGGATCTTCTCATTATGATAGTCCTGCTAGCCCTGACATATTTTTTTTCCTTTAGCCAGCACTGTGTGCTTAAAATTTTAAATTAGTTGCTAACATTTAAAAAGACAAGTGTATTACATAAAAATCTGGATTTCTAACTGCTGTTGAAACATCTGCCAATGTCTTCCAAATCCACAATCCCTTTGCATAGGAGTTGTGCTCTCTAATTTGGTACACATCTTACCACTCCCTGTTGCCTCCTTGACAGGCCTTTTTCACTTATTCGTGCTTCCTGAATAGGACCTATATAGAGCAGATGCTTTCAAAGTCCTACCCTTAATCCTCACACGGTTCTGATGGCTTCCTGTGTGCTCTGCTGAGGTTGTCCTCTTCCTGCACTTGGCATAGCTGTGGACCAGGCTGGAGGTGCCAGAGAGTTACCCTTCTCCTCCCTAGTAACCATCAACCAATGAGTAATGGGAGTTATTGGATAAAGACTCCTGCTTCCTTGACATCTCAGCGAGACAATTCTGAGGTATTTCCAGGTAGTCTCTCAGAGAGTTCTCAGCAGGATTGAATCCCAGTTGCCTCTTGTGGTAGCTCCTCATTAACACACTTTATTAACTGTCTCTACTTTGCTGACTCACTTCCCTGTTCCTTCTCAGGCTTCCTGGGATTCTTTCCAAAATAAGTTCCTTGCATCCAAATCCTTGTCTTGAGGGTCTGTTTGTGGGGAACTCAAACTATGACAGGACTTAGAATCAATTAAATCTGTCATCCCTGATTTAGACCACCTTCTGTGTGCTAACTGCTCTTCAAGAGTAAATTTCATAGTCTCCGACTGTGAGAAATAGAAATCACTTTAGAGAAGAAAGAGGCCTAGAGACTGCAAGTGAATTGCTTGTGGCCACACAGCATGATTGCGTCAAAGATGAATGAACCTGTTTCCCCTGACCCCGTCCAGTGTTCCATCCCCTGCCTCACAGTAGACAATCCATAGCACCTCCATCTGCCAAATCGAGCAACTACGGGTTTTTGAAAATAAAGTTTAATGGGAACACAGCCACACCCACTTGTTTACCTGTTGCCTTTGGCTGCTTTCTCATTTGCTCAGCACAGTGGAGATCACCAATTTCACAAAGCCTGTGGGAGCAAGTTTGCTGACCATAGTACTGGGGGTATCACACTCTCCAGAGCTCACTTATGGATAAGGCATTAAGAAAAACCTCCATCTTTCGCATGTGCTCAGTGGAGCAAAAATTGCAGCTACCTCCCTTCTGTTCAGCTGGTGGAGGATGTTTGTGGCAGAGCCAAAGGATCAAGGCTGTGACTCTGACATTTCTCAATAAATTAATTTATTATTTAAGCACATCTGCCTGTTTATTTAAAGAGTTGCGGTGGCCTCCACTTGTGCACTTGTGTGGAGGAAACCATCACACTGAGATCTCAAGTGTCACAGCAATTAGTCAAATGGGGAAAGATGCTGCTCCAGGATGTTCAGGGACACTGTACTTGATAATCTTTAATTTGCTCAATATTACAATTAAGGTAGCTTCAAATGTGTTATAAACTTAATAATGTCAACATGTTTCCATTATCTCTGGTGTGCATATTATTTTTAACCTACTTCACACACAAGAACGTATTAATGCATTTTTTGGCTGCTGGTAAAGTGGCCCTCTAATGTGCTTGTGAAGGACTTAATAACTTTGTAGAAATGTTTTGCTGACGAGTATTTTTAAATTATTGGGAAATCTCTCAGTAAGCTTTGAAAATAAATGCACTACACTGTCATTGGCTAAGAGAGAAAGATTAATGAGGAGAGATGCGATTTAATAGGAAGACAGGCAACGCTGATGTTATCATGACAAAAGAAAGTAGAAAGAATGAGGAGGCAAACACAGCAGAATTCAAAGTCAAAAGACCTGAGGTTCTAACTCTGGCTTCTCAACTCATTAGCTGTGTGATCTCAGGAAAGCTGCCAAACTTATCTGAGAGCTGGTTTCTGTACCTCCAGCTGAAAAACCATGGTTGTTCTAGCAGTATTCACATGAGAATGTAATAAATTGATGCTGGTGAGTGAGTTGTATAAAGAGCTATGCAAATATGTATTATTATTGCACAAAGCTGGGAATGAAAAACATTTCATGATGAGTGATGCTGTTTCCTGTCCTCATTTATCACATGTGTTTCCAGTAGTATGCTAAGACAATTAAGTATAAACAAGAGGAAAAAGAGACAGAGGGGACAATTCATTTCTTCCATCTTGGAGTTGCCTAGCCAGAAATGATAGATGATGGCTGCTCTATATCCATGCCTCTGCCCAATATGAGGATGGGTTTTATGTGGGAAAGAAGCAGACTGCTAAGTGGCAACTGGAAAGTGGAATTTGTAGGAGTCATATTTTTATACCATGCTGAGACTGACAAATGACCAGTGGCTAGATTTTATTTTCTTATTTTGGGATCAACTCCACTAGCCTCCGGCAGTTGCTTATGTGCCCTCCTCCTTCACAGACTGTTCAGAGGCAGCCATAGCCCCATGCCTGGATTATTGAGGTAAACATTTATGTAACTCCAATGCTTTCCACTGGTGTGAAATTACTGATACGTTGGGATCCTCCATTTTCCCTAATTAGACCAGTGAGTGAGGGATTTGCAGAAACAATTCCAGAGACTCTCACTTTAATATTAACTAATGTGCAGTTGGCCTACTTTTTGATTTTCCCACTGAACATATAGGGTCAGTTTCTCATCTTGCTTGGCACCCCTGTGGAGTAAGCTCTGAGCTCAGAACTGCAATGTTTTCGGAGGCGGTGTCTTCCCTCCTGTTACCTCTGTCTTGTCCTTTGCCTCCCACTAGAATTTTGGTCACCGTCCAGTCACATACAGAAGCTGTGGTTTCAAGGGGCTGTACAACTACGTTGACAGCCTTGTCTAGTGAATTTAATTAAGGAAATTGAAATTGTTCAATTGATTTTTTAAATATATACTGTATAGACCTGTATGATCACTGGGGGTGGAGGTGTGTGTGTGTGCACGTGTATTTTTTTTTTAACATGAATTGGATTTCAGAGGTATAGGGTACTCTTTATTCAGATACATTTTGGGGAAGGTAAACTAGGAACACAAAAGGAAATACTCTCCATGAAAATCTAAGTGAGGCATAGTGGGAAGAATAACAATTTTTGGAGTCAGACAGATTGTGTTCAAATTCTGGCTCCTGAACTGACTTCTTTTGTAATCTTCAGCTAGTAAATTTATCCATGCTCCAGATTCCCTGTCAATAATGTAGGAATAAAACTTACTTCTTAATTTGGTTGTGGGGTTATCATAATGTTGGTATATTATTCCCCATATCTTGGCACCTAGGAGACATTATATGACCACTTGTCATTTCTGAGAGACTCATGAGATAGACACATGTACAGAAAATCTCCCTACTACATAGGTAAACAAAAACAGATCCACACTTTAGAAAGAGAAGGGAAAGGGAGAAAAACGAATGAGCAGGAGACTAGTTTCCCAAACGAGCTTCAACCAAAAGAGCTGTTTTTCTCTCTTTTACACACCTGGCTTCCAGATAGGATTTGGTTAGCTAAAAAGGCTTCTCATCTATAACAACTTGGCAAAACATTAGACAAGATGATCCTAAGATTCCTTCCAGCTCTCATATTCTGTTAGGAATATGAGAGAAAATAAAGTTTTCCAAACTTTAGTTTGGTAGACCATCAGGCTGTCTGAGGCATCAGGAAATTTCAAGGCAGTTATAGGGCAGAGTCAGCTTTTTGAAAACTATGAAGCAAACATATGATTCTTGATCTCCATTTTCTATGTAGACAGGGCCCTGCTTTTCTTTGGATTCCTCACTCCAGTAACCTATCCAGCCTCTAAAGTTTCTTGGAACAACTCCCTGTTTTGGACTCCCCCCTCACTCCACCCCAGTCCTCTTTATCCTCACAGCTCACCTTTCTGTTTAGGTGTAGAAACTTAGTCTTTATCCCTGATGGTGTCCATCTCCATTGAATTGCGGCTAATTAGAAGAAAGCACTTCATACCCTCCTTCCTCAGAAATATATTACCCAAAATTTCAAGCCTCAGAGGGAAATACTTTCCTTCAGGAGTATCTTTTCTCAGCTCTCAAATGCCCACTGCAATGCCAGCTGTCTGGTTTGTCTTCCCTAGAAAGCCAGCGTTGATGTCAGATGTGAAAGTCTCTACTACAATAGTTAGAAGATAATCTTTGGGGTCAAATAGGCTCATGCTTTAGTCCTGGCTGTGTAACTTCTTTGCTTCTTTTCCTTGCACAACTTACTTAATTTCTCCAGTTTCTGGTATTCTTATGTAATATCTATCTTGGGAGTGCTGGAAGAATGTGACTTTTTCCTGGGTTAAACAGCCACTGAAACCAGTCACACCTCTAATTTTTTGTTACCACCGTCATTATCATTGTATAGCCACTTGACTCTTAGTCCAAACCTGAAGGTAAAACTGCCTTTGCAAAAAATCTCATTTAAAAAATGAGAAAATTATTACAGTGAAAAAGATCTGACCTAACCAACTCCATCTTGCTTCTAATTTAGCCTCCAAGCTGTCCTTGTTCATTCCTGGGCGTAGGCTGAACTAACTTTGGGAGGAACTTAGTTTATAGTTTAGCTTTGAAGCAAAGATGGTAACAGCCCTTTCCCCAAATAAGCCCCCTTCCTACCTGGGGACTATACTGCCTTTGCAGGACTAACAAATTAACCACAAGATTAGAAATTATGTTTTAGGAGTCATGCAGCTGAAGGCCGCAAGATTCTAAACCTCCCCGAATTGCTCCTGGGGATGACATCACTATTGCAAAATCTAATATCAGGGCTTGAGATATTTTGCAGACCCTGCACTCGATGGATCAGCTGGCATCGCCCAGATCAATAAACTGGCTCATCTGGTCTTCTGGCCCCCATCCAGGAACTGACTCAGCACAAGATGGCAGCTTTAACTTCCTATGACTTCATCTCCCATCTGATCAGTCAGAACTCCTGATTCACTGGTCCCTTACCCACCAAATTATTCTTAAAAACTCTGATCCTCAAATTTTCAGGGAGTCTAATTTGAGTAGTAATAAAAATCTGGTCTCCCGTATAGCTAGCTCTGTGTGAATTACACTTTATCTATTGCAATTCCCCTGTCTTGCTAAATCAGCTCTGCCTAGGCAGTGGGCAAGGTGAACCCACTGGGCAGTTACATATTCTGGAGGAAATGTCACACTTGTTACTTGATATAAATAAACTCAATTTGGTCAGGTGCAGTGGCTCACACCTGTAATCCCAACACTTTGGAAGGCTGAGGGGAGAGGATTGCTTGAGCCCAGGAGTTCAAGGCTGCAGTGAGCTAGGATCACGCCACTGCACTCCAGACTGAGCCACAGAGCAATATTCTGCCTCTAAAGAAAAAAAATAAAAATAATAACCAAAAGATAAAATAAATAAACTCAATTTAAATAAACAATGGGTTTCCACTGTACACACACATACATTCACACACACATACACATCCAAAGCTGCACCTAAAGGACTTTGGATCTTCCCAGCACTAAAGCTTTGGGAAAATCTTTCTATCATTACTGGCCAATTGTTTTTTGTTTGTTTGTTTTTGTTTTTGTTTGAGATGGAATCTCACTCTGTCACTGAGGTTGGAGTGCAGTGGCACCATGTCGGCTCACTGCAACCTCCGTCTCCTGGGTTCAAGCAATTCTCCTGCCTCAGCCTCCCGAGTAGCTGGGATTACAGGCACCCACCACCGTGCCTGGCTAGTTTTTTTAAATATATATTTTTAGTAGAGACGGGGTTGCACCATATTGGCCAGGCTGGTCTCGAACTCCTGATTTCAGGTGATCCACCCACCTCAGCCTCCCAAAGTGCTGGGATTATAGGCATGAGCCACTGTGCCCGGCCTTTACTGGCCAATTGTTAATGGTTGTCTCAGCTTCTTGGATACCTTGGTCCAAAGGCTCTCCTGTTTCTGGGTCTTACTTAGGTCATAGACATTAAGTGATAATGAGAGCTCCCATTCTTGGAACCTATGCAACTTAGCCTGAGACCAGAGTATCCACTCAGAGTAATGAGCAGGCACACCTTCTGTTGAAGCCTGTCATTCTGTAGCTTTTTCCCAGGTTGGGGAAATTTTCTCTTTCCCTACTCTTCACTTTTGCCCTCAACTCCATGCTTCTCCTACCATCCCACTTCAGAATACTCAGGACCTTATGAAATGCTAAAAGAATACACACATATCTTGATAAAAAGGAGCATAGCACCTAGAAATGAGTGAGTGAAAAGTGTAATATATATATATGTTATAATAATCTTCTGCCATAAATAACGCAACCATCCACAGCAGCATCACCATCATCATCATCGTCATTACTACCTATGCTACCAATACCAAGAACTTCTTTTCTAGAGTCTCATCACTTGGCAAATCTTAAAAGAAGACAAAGACGAGTCAGACTTGTAATAACTTGGAAGATTTTGTTATCCTTATGTATTAGTCTGTTCTCACACTGCTAATAAAGACGTACCCGAGACTGAGTACTTTATAAAGGAAAGAGGTTTAATGGACTCACAGTTCCACATGGCTGGGGAGGCCTCACAATCATGCTGGAAGGGGAAGGAAGAACAAAAGCATGTATTACATGGCAGCAGGCAAAGAGAGCCTCTGCAGGGGAACTCTCCTTTATAAAACCATCAGATCTTTTGAGACTTATTCACCATTGCAAGAACAGCATGGTAAAGACCTGCCCCCATCATTCAATTACCTCCTACTGGGTCCTTCTCAGGACACATGGGAATTATGGGATCTACAATTCAAGAGGAGACTTGGGTGAAGACACAGCCAAACGATATCACTTTATGAAGATAAAGAGACACATAGACCAACAATGCAAAACTTTAAACCTCAAAGGCATCCATTTTTGTCTAATACATATCTAGATACCAATAAATCCCTTCCCTTTATGCAATAATTCACAGTGATTTCACCAAGTCTAATCTTCTTCCAACGCAAAACAGTAAACTAGCATGGTATATGAAGGGAAGGAAAATATTATCAGGAAGACTGTATAAGTCAGCTCGCCACTGAAGTTTCAGCTTAAATTTTTAAATGTTAGTGACTTCTTGTGAGCTAGTGACAGTGAATAATCCACATTAAACTAGGAATCTTGTTGATGGGTCCTTCCCCTATTTTCAAGTAAATGTTAACTTCATATAAATCCCCTTTAACTAATGAAAGGTAAACACATTCAAAGACAGACGTAGTTCAATTTATAACTGTGGCTAAGTTCAATAGATACAAAATTCATGTAAAGGGCTTAATATTATTAATCCTGCAGTAGTACATTTCCAGACCTTTGATGTGTAAAGGCAGAGCCCAAAATACTCCTCCAATTCTGATTAAATAGTAAGAACTATTATATACTAAAAGATAAAATGTGCTTGGCAGCAACGTAAAATCTTTACAAACACTAGGTCAGTTAATCCTCATATCATCTTCGAAAAAAACCCTCCTGCACCTTGAAATGGCAATAAAACTTTTCCACATCGCATAGCCAGGAAGTGGTAAACCATGATTCAACCCTTGCTTGATTGACTCCAAGTCCCATGTTCTTAACTATCAAGCTACACTGCCTCCCCACTTCATAACCTCTTCACCTAGTTGAAAGCAGTAGGATGCTTGTAATACCAAATTTGGTAACCGACAACCAGTGTCCCCTACAATGCTTTCAACTTTTTTCTACTGCCATGATTTTCTATTTATTCAATTTAGTTTAATAAATGGGAACAATCAATCGCCCTCATAAAACTCATGTTGTTTTTTGTTTTTTCTTTTAGAGACAGGATCTTGCTCTGTCACCCAGGCTGGAGTAGAGTAGTATGATCATAGCTAACTACAGCCTTGAGGTCCTGGGCTCGCACAATCTCCCACCTCAGGCTCCCATGTAGCTGGGACTACAGGCATGTGCCACATGCTCAGTTAATTTTTTAAATTTTTTTGTAAAGACATGGTCCTGCTGTGTTGCCCAGGCTGGTTTTGAACTCCTGACCTCTAGTGATTCTTCTGCTTCAGCTTCTCAAAATGCTAGGATTACAGGTGTGAGCTATCACACCCAGCCTGATAAACCTCATGTTTATGTGGTTGTTTATAAGAGTCAGATTGAACTGAATCTTTCAATCCTTCATTTCACATTTCCCACATTCAGTCAATTGACAAGTGCTTTTCTTTCTATCTTTCAGAAGTACTTTAGTTTATTCCTTCTGTCCATTAGTTGAAGTACTAATTTGTCATGTGGGTGTTGTATTAGTTACTAATGAGGTTTCTCTGATGATCTTTTCTACTTTTATCTATAAGAAAAAGTTGTGAGAGACTTTGAAGTACACTATACAAACAAATAAACAAATAAGTTGCTGTGTGTACTATCTGGTGCCACCCAGGTTATTTCCACCTTCCATTGCTTTTGATCTATTTATAACTCTAAATTGTAGCTAGCTGGTAGCAATTCAAATGGATACAGTCTACACACACGTAAATGAATTCTGCTTGGTGAAGGAACAATTGACCTCTCCTTTCTCCACAAAAAAAAACAAGTTATACATCTACAGTCAACTTTCCCAATCTGGGTTCCTGCAACCAACCAGTTTCAAACAACTACAGATAGAAAATATTCAGAATGAAAATGGATGGTTGCATCTGTAGTGAACATGTACAGACTTATTTCATGTTGTTATTCCCTAAACAATACAGTATAACAACCATTTACTATATACATGTATATATATAGAGAGAGTATTATGTATTATAAGTAATTTAGAGATTATTTAAAGTGTACAGGAAGATGCATATAGGTTATATGCAAATACTGAACCATTTTATTCAAGAGACTTCAGCATGTATAGATTTTGGTATGCATGGGGGTACTAGAATCAATCTCTCATGGGGGAGGAGTCATCTGAGGGACAAGTATATTTGTAAATTTATTTCAGTACTGTTGACCAATCTATTTTTGAATTCTCCTTTCAACAAATTTTAACATCTTAGTGGTTTCCTCATTAATCAATAAGTTAAATAAAACATTTGGCATGTGTCCATCCTATATTCATATGAGAGTCATAGTTTTACCTTAAAATAAAACCTTAAACATATCTATCTTTGACATCATAGTTTATCTTAATTTATATTCCTCAGAAATTCAAGACTGAAGCACAAATTTGATCGTAAGTATTTATTGGAAAGTGACCGCAGAAACCCGTAATAATGATGTGGAAAAAACAATATAGGCAAGAAGGGAAAATCAATAAAGAGTATGTTACTTAGCTGGTTACCAGTGTGGATGCTGGTATTCAATGCTGGTGGGATGCCCTTTGAGGAACCATGTAGAACACATGCCTCAGAATTATCCCTCCAAAGGATAAGAGGCTGGAATGTTTTCCTGCCAGCTGCCCTCTCCTATAGGTAGAAGATTACCCTAGGGTGTTAACTCCCTTGTACTGCCTATCTGTGCATTCTTTGGCTTTAGAAAAAATTGTGAAGCAGAAAAGTGAAGAAAAACTGTTGTGTGTAATTGAAGTATTATGCCTAGAGAAATGAACAGAACTAGTATCCTGGTTGCACTAAAATCATGTGGATGGAGTGAATATGGTGCAAGGCACAAAACAACTGCTACATGACCAGTGTGATCTATCTAAACCAAAAGTTTATTCTATTCCTCTTCAATTTGGAACCTTTAAGTGATTTCCCATTGTCTTTAAGATAAAGTTCAAGCACATGGCCCTTCATGCTCTGGCTTTAGCCTTATCTCCCACCTCTCTCCTTCTGGAACCCTATCCTCCATTCCAAATCAGATACTCCCCTGACACTATTTTGACTTTGCATAGTTGCTCCTCCTCCTTTCTAGCTAACGCATCATTAGATGTATTGGAAGTGTTAAGTTTTCACTCCCCACAAATATTTGACATTTCCTGACTTACGTCATTCTGTTTGCTGTACTCTGTGCCTTCCTTTATCAGAGCAGCAACTACTCTATATTCTATTTGCCTGTCCTCTTTCTCTCCCCCTCTCTCTTTTGCTTTCTTTCTCATTTTTCTGTGAGTTCTCTCAGGGCCAACACGGTACTTATTTGTCTTTGTATCATCAATGCTTAATAGCTCCTCACCCATAGTAGGCACTCTGTGATGGTTAATACTGAGTGTCAACTTGATTGGATTGAAGGGTACAAAGAATTGATCTTGGGTGTGTCTGTGAGGGTGTTGCCAAAGGAGATTAACGTTTGAGTCAGTGGGCTGGGAAAGGCAGATCCACCCTTAATCTGGGTGAGCACAATCTAATTATCTGCCAGCATGGCTAGAATATAAACAGGCAGAAAAATGTGAAAAGTGAGACTGGCCTAGCCTTCCAGCCTACATCTTTCTCCTGTGCTGGATGTTTCCTGCCCTCGAATATCGGACTCCAAGTTCTTCAGTTTTGGAACTTGGACTCGCTCTCCCTGCTTTTCAGCTTGCAGACAGCCTATTGTGGGACCTTGTGATCTTGTAAGTTACTAGTTAATAATTCATATATATAACCTGTATATATGAATCCTATATATAATATATTTATATATTTATATTATATATTATATAAATATATATAATATATTAATATAATATATAATATAAATATAGAATATATTAATATAATATATATAAATATAGAATATATTAATATAATATATATAAATATATAATATATTAACATAATATATATAAATATATAATATATTAACATAATATATATAAATATATAATATATTAATATAATATATTAATATATAATATATTAATAAAATATATTGTATTAATTAATATATCGTATTAATATATAATATATTAATACGATATATCGTATTAATATATAATATATTAATATAATATATCGTATTAATATATAATATATTAATATAATATATCGTATTAATATATAATATATTAATATAATATATCGTATTAATATATAATATATTAATATAATATATCGTATTAATATATAATATATTAATATAATATATCGTATTAATATATAATATATTAATATAATATATCGTATTAATATATAATATATTAATATAATATATCGTATTAATATATAATATATTAATATAATATATCGTATTAATATATAATATATTAATATAATATATTGTATTAATATATAATATAATACATTAATATATTATATTGTATTAATATATAATATAATACATTAATATATTAATGTATTATATATAATATATATATTATATATAATATATAATATATTATATATAATATATATATTATATATAATATATAATATATTATATATATTATATGGTATAATATATAATATATTATATTAATATAAAATATATATTTATATTTTATACTATATATTATATGTAAAAATCTATATATAATGTATAATATATTTTATATTTTATATCTTTATATATACAATTAAAAATAATATATTTTATGTATTATATATTAAATACAATATATGATATATAAAATATATATTATATGTATTATACAAATATATAAAATATATAAATATATATGTATTATATATAATTATATATAATATATATTTATATTAAACATTGTATGTATTATATATTATCTATACTGTACATAAATTTATATTTTATATTATATATAATTATATATAATATATAATCCTATATATATAAGTTTTTTGATGATTTCACTCTGTTAGTAAAACAACTATATATGTCCAGCAGAATTAGTATTTGGCCAAGCACTTCTTTAGGATATATACATATCCTATTATTTCTGTCCCTCTAGAGAACACTGACTAATACACACTCCAAACTAAAAGTTTGTTGATTTAACTAGGCACTTACTCTGCACTGTACTAGAGCATAATAGAATGTAAAGAGTTTGCATTAGTCAGGATTGACCAAGTTACGTTGCAGTAACACATAACTGAGAAGTATCAGTGGTTTACAACTAACAAGGTCTATTTTCCACTCCCTCTCTACATCAATCATATGTGAGCAGAAAGCCTCTGGTCATAATATTCACTCAGGAACCCAAGCAGCCAAGCAACCATCCTCTGCAACATTGTTGGCTGCTCTACCCAAAGGAAAAGAGAGTTCTGGAGTATTTTGTACTGACAATTACATGCTCAGTCCAGGAGTGACACAAATCGCTTCTGCTCAAAAGTCACAGGCTGGAACAAGTCATGTAGTCCTATCCAGTCAAAAGGGTGCTAGAATTATAAATCTGACATGTATCTAGGAAAAAGGACAGCTGGAATTATTTGGTGATCTTCACAACAGTTTCAGTCATCAACATTATTAGGAGTGTAATTTTGTCTTATGAAAAATTCATATATTGCTGCTCTCACCACCAGTACCTCAGAATGTGACCTTATTTGAAAATAACATTATTGCAGATGTAGTTAGTTAATATGGAGTCACACTGGAATATATGGATTTCTCATCCAATATGAGTGGTGTCACCCCCTTAGAGGAAAATTTGGACACAAGCACATATACCAGCAGAATGCCAAGTGAACATGAAGGTAGCTATCTAGAGGCCAAGCAGAGAGGCCTGGAACAGATTCTTCTCTCGCAACCCTCAGAAGTAACCAACCCTGCCAACAACTTGCTTTTGGACATCTAGCCTCCAGTACTATAAGACAATAAACTTCTGTTGTTGAAGCCACCCAGTTTGTGGCACTTTGATGCAGCAGCCCTAGCAAACTAATACAGACTTCTGTACTAAGAAATGGGTGTTGCTGTAACAAGGACTTAAAAATGTAGAAATGGCTTTGGAATTTAGTAAAGAGTAGAGGTTGGAAGAAAAATGCACAATAGAATAAGCCCAGACTGCTCTAGATTGTTGGTACAAATATGAACCTTAAAGGTACTTCTTGTAAGGTCTCAGATGGAAATGAATAACATGTTATTGGGGACGAGATGAAAAGAGATCCTTGTTATAAAGTTGCAGAGAACTTGGCTGAACTGTGTTCTATGTTTGTGGAAAGTAGAACTTAAACATAATAAACTTGGATATTAACTGACGATATTTCTATGCAAACTGTTCAAGGTGTGGCCTGGTTTCTTCTTGTTGCTTATAGTAAAATGTGAGAGGACAGAGATAAATTGAAGAAGGTATTGTTAAGAAAACAGGAACCAGTACTTGAAGATTTGGAAAATTCTCAGACTATCCATATTGCAGAAATGAGAAAGCTTGCTTTGGAGAGAATGCCAAGGATGTGGCTAGACAACCGTTTGCTAAAGAAATTAGGCTTGTGACTCATGAATCCAATCAACCATCTCAGCAGAAGCCAGAAATAGAGGTGCAGTTATCCAGGAATAATCTGTGGAGGATTCTTTTTTTCTGATGGCTTGGACCCCCATGAATTGCACAGGAGGCCAACAAAGTTTTTGAGAATTTTATACCAGCAGAAACATTGTCAGCTTGGATGGAATGGAACAGAGATGGGACAAAATGAAGAAATAATGATGCCAAAGGTGGCTCAAGGGCTGGATCCTCCTGTTTCAGAGGACTGAGTCACCCTCAGTTGTAGAGGGCAGGGCCACTGCCCAAATATGAGAAGCAGGGCTACCACCTAGGGCTGAGTGGGGTAGGGCCACCACTCTGATGGGCCTGTATCATAAAGCATTGAGCCAAAGAAGATTGTTCTCAAATCTTAAAATCTAATGGAATGAACCTTACTAAGCTTCATTGGTCTTGGGATCCAAGACCTCTTCTTCCCTTCTGATTTTTCCCTTTTAGAATGGAAATGGCAATTCTGTGTCTATCTCAACACTGAATTTTGGAAGTAGATATTGCCTGGTTTTACAGGTTCACAGATGGGGGAGAATTTTGCCCCAGGATAAATCATACCCCAAGTCTCATCTATAACTGATGTAGATGTTATGTAGATGAGATTTTAGACTTCGAGTTGATCCTAGAATGGGTAAAGACTTTGCGGGATGCTGAGATGGAGTGGATGTATTTTGCGTGTGAGAAGAACAGGAATTTTGAGGGGCCACAAGGTAGACTGTTATGGGTTGATGTGTATGCCCTAAAATATATATGTTGAAGTCCTAATTCCCAGTACCTCAGAATGTGACCTTATTTAGAAACAGGGTCATTGAAAACATCTTCAGTCATGGCATAAGCCTTAATTCTGTTCATTCAAAAGTGCATCTTGCTAGTAGTTAATTTGAGAGGTGATCTTAGGAAGCACTGTGAGGGAGTTGAGAAAGTGAGACAGGAAAGGGAGAAAGTAAGAAAAACAAAAAAAGTACATTGATAGTATGGTTCCCACTGTAAGCAACCAGGGTTCTGTCGCTAGAACTCAGGTTCTAAATGGGATGCTGGTAATCGTCAGTCCAAACTGCTCTGAAATCAAGTGTCTAGATAGATGTGGCTTCATGTATCACAAGGATCTGTCATTCCTAAATTTGTAGATTGACTTTGTGAAAATATATATACTAACTGTCAGGCACAAAGGAAGTGCCTAACAAATTTTTGAATGAAGGAATGAATGAATGAGTGACAATGGATGAGGAAAATGTCCACTAAAGAAAATTACTTAGGCATTCCATCATTTCTTAAAGTTGCCCCTGCTGTGAGATGAGGCTATTTCTTCAAAGGACAAAGTCTGAAAGAAAAGGTCCCACATGTATATTGCCCTTAGCAATGATGTATCACTGCCAAATTGTTTAAGGTATCTGTGATGGTTAATACTGAGAATCAACTTGATTGGATTGAAGGATGCAAAATCTCGTTCCTGGGTGTGTCTATGAGGGTATTGCAAAGAAGATTAACATTTAAGTCAGTGGACTGGGAAAGGCAGACCCACCCTCAATCTGGGTGGGCACAATCTAGCAGACCCACCCTCAATCTGGGTGGGCACAATCTAATCAGCTGTCAGCATGGCCAGAATAAAAGCAAGCAGAAGAACATGAAAAGGCTAGACTGGCTTAGCCTCCCAGCCTACATCTTTCTCCTGTGCTGAATGCTTCCTGCCCTCGAACATCAGACTCCAAGCTTTACAATTTTGGGACTCAGACTGGCTTCCTTGTTCCTCAGCATCCAGACAGCCTGTTGTGGGACCTTGTGATCCTGTGAGTTAATATCCTTAACAAACTCCCCTTTACATATGCATCTATCCTATTATCTCTGTCCCTCTAGAGAACCCTGACTAATACAGTATTTTTGTTTTAGATCATCCACATTAAAAAAATATATATATACACACATACATTTGTATGTATATATGATGCATATTTTTTCCTTCTCCTGCTTACTGATGAGCAACCTACTGTACTATCCTGCTCTCACTCATTTAAAATATTAGAATACCGTACCTCAATAAACACTCCCTGTTCAGGCTTTGCCACTTAGACAACATTCTTTTATCCTATGAGGAGAAGCTCCAGGAAAAAAATGTTCCTGGTCAAAGATACCTGACGTACTTACTTCCCAATTCTTTTTAGAAAATTCACTAATCACAAGGCCCTGAGACTTTCTGCAGAAAATTACACTTGTTTAAGCGTTTCACTAATTTTTCTGATGATTTCACTCTTTTAGTAAAACAACTATATATGTTCAGCAAAATTAGTATTTGGCCAAACAGTTCTTTGAAAGTTCCTTTACAACATAGGGTATCTATGCATGTCGACATAAGACAAGACAGCACAAACCCACAAAGTTATCACAAAATAAGAATTTTTGTTCCATGGTAGTTACTTGCACACTTTCAGGTCCTCTTTGCTACTCTAAGGTAATATGCAAATTTGAAGATGTTGCTTGACTCAATGGATGAGATTATTTCTATGACCTGCCAGATCCTTTTCCTCTGTGATTTCCACTCTGTTCTTATGATCCTTTGTTTTCTCAATCTTTTAAGATTTTCACAGCACCTTCCTTTTTTATTCTTTCTATCCTAGATTCTAATTTTCTTCCCTGATAGCTCCTTCACCTTCCAGCTACATATGGACAGAATATACCATTTTAATCCAAACTTCTTTTCATAAATTCTCCAGTATTCTCTCGAAATATTTTGGAAGATATGTAGGGGAAAATTTCATGGCACATTATATTGTATTGAAGTAGAGATATGTCAACTATCAAAGCCAAGCAAGATCCTTCAGACATGTATATAACACATATTTGATTGCCTCCACTGATCAAATTTAACCAGATAATTGGCATTTCTCCATTTTAGCTGAGCTAGATAGATACAGACTATGCATTTGACAAGAGGGCTTCCCTTGAGTCACCTTTATGCAGCAACTTACTTGGTGTGAGATAGGGGTTCGGGGTAGTGGTGGTGGTGATGCCAGTGGCAGTAGCATTGATAATGGTAGTGGTGATGGTCTGCATATAATGGGTTGTTTTTATAGCTCTGTAGAGTCTAGACCAACTTTCTTCATAGATACTATTCTGTGTACATTTGGGGAACAGAAATTCTACAGCCCAGACTATATTTTAGATACCAGTATTTTATATAAAAATAGTGTTTCAGAACTTCAAAATAAGTTTGTCTGTCTATCTATCTATGATCTACCTATGATCTAACTATTATCTATCATTCTCTATGTTTAATTTTTAACTTTATGAGACAGAAAGCAGGATAAAACCTCCAATGAAAAAACAGAATGCTCATAATGCAGAGGGAAAACTATCTTGGTAAGGAAAATATTTCCATTTTATATTTTTAAGAGGTCAATGTAAACAATAGTGAGTTAAAATATTTTTTACATGCTGCACAGTGCCACTTGCCAGTGTTGTGTTAATTAATGCAAATGTAGAACACTGCATCAGTTCTTTCTTGAAATCTACCAATGTACATCTGCACAGTAAATATGTTAGTGAATAACCCTAAGCCACTGTCAGAAGATTCTTTTCTCAACTGCTAATCCTAGAAAATCATTGCCAGCATTCTAGGCATATTTTCATATGTTCAGGAAAATCAAAAGGAACCAGTAGAAGCCTACAGAAGGGAGTGTGGCACTTTCCCATTCTGTATGCACAGGCTGAATTGCCCAGTAGTAAGCAGAAAATAGAAAGAAAATTAACATTTATTGAGCAGCTACTAAAGAAGTGACTTATATGCTAGTCAGTTAATTTAATTTTTATAAAATATGTACTATTGAAGTGTCTGGTAAGATGTCTTAGTTTTCCAAAATGGCTGAGAAGAGAATAAGTGAGAAAGGTTAAAGCAAAGATTTTTTTGGCAGTATTCCGTGGGAGGGTACCAGCTCATTATTCCATGATTGCCATTTTTACTAATACAGAAGGATTTTAGTATTGGCAGTCTTTTCTTCTAGTGAATAGAAAACAAAAACTTAACATCTAGGTATTCAAAATATCTTTTTCCCACAACACTGTTAACGAGAAATCTGTGTCTGCTAACTTGGATTCTGAGTGTTTCTTGTGGAGAATCATGAAAGTAATTGAGAGAGAGAACAGTAAGTCACTGAAAATTGAAAACAGAGGGTTAGCGGCAGAAGAGAAATTAACAGATACAAATAGGAAAAAACCAGAGTGGAGAAGACAAAAGCCAATGCCGATTGGGTTGTGTGTGTTTGTGGTGGGGGAGAAATAAAGGGTAAGAAGGAGGACATTCAGAGAATGTCCCAGAGAGACTGAGAACCTAACCGACATAAAAGAAATAGATATTAAGGTACAAGAACTTAAAAACATGATGATATCAAACGATATCCTCTTTCCACATTTCCAATTTAAATTGCATTTCAAATTAAATGTGGGATTAATTTTTAAAGTGTATCTCAGTTTTAGACTGGAACATAGATTAATTCAGTTTTATGTAGTTTACTTTGGCATTATAAATTACATCATTTCTGTGAGGATAATGATATTCTTCCTCTATATATCTCTGGATATTCCCTTCCAGGTTTTTTTTTTTTCAGAGATGTGGTCTCATTCTCTTGCTCAGACTGGAATGCAGTGGCAATATCATAGCTCACTACAGCCTCAAACTCTTGGGCTTAAGTGATCCTCCTGCCTCAGCCCCCTGAGTAATTGGGTCTACATGCATGTACCACCACACCTGGCTAAATTCCCCCAATTTTTAATTGGTCAATCTGTTTATGATCTTTGAAGATTTCATATTCTTGACTCTAACCATGTATAGATAGAAAGAAAAAGAATACATCATATTTGCATTAAGATTTAAATGAATACGAAATTTCCATTCTGAGCAAGACTTTGGAAAAATATTGAACTTATACTAAGCTAAACATAAATCTATTACAAAATTGAAGTGGCAATGTGAGGAGCTGTGTAGATGCCCTCTTCAGTGGAACAACCTACCTGGTCAAAGTTTTTTAAGAAAAAAATTAAGGTCTCTAGAAATTTTATGCTAAGGGCATGCAGAAAATGGAGAAACATTTTATTCAAGAAAAAATTACCAAATCTTGGTAAAACTAGTAAGTCTGTGACACTGAACCATGACCAGATCTCCTCCCTGCCCCAGCCCCACCTGACTCCAGTTGAGTGTGGTGGAAGCTCTACTCCTGGTGGCTTTAAACAAAATCACAGGGCTCTGCCTCCTCTTAGCTCTCAGTCTAGGGCCATGACTTCTTCCCTGGAGCATCAGGACACCAGTATTTTTCCTCTCTCCAAGCTTTAGCTGGCAGAAGCTGTGTTCAAGGCAAGTGTGGCCTGGAGTTTTAGGGCTCCCTTTTTCTGCCCAGTCCCCACTTGTATGGTGGAGCTTTGTCCAATATGTGTGCAACTTAAGAGTACTGAGACCTCTTTACTCTTACCTCAGCTCACTAACAGAGATACCTCCTAGAACCAATGACCCCCTAATAGAGTAGGGATGTCACCCTTAAAGAAGCTGGGCACTTTCCATTTTTTAACTCCGGAGCAATAATCCTGACGTTCTGTCCACGGGGAGGGCAGGCTGTAAGAGCAGAGAGGTCCATAGCTCTCCATAAAGTGACCAGCTTTATTTGGATTAGAGCATAGGGAAATTCAAACCTTAGGTCATTGTTGAAAACAGTGGAGATTTTAGTGATGAGAAATTAAAAGAAGTCTAGTAGCTTCATGATATCAACAAGTGAAGTGGAGACTAGCCAGAAGCTTAATAAGAAAATAGTTAACTAAGAAGAACACTCTAGTGATCTGAGAAAGTCTAAAAGACAGGCCACGAATAATATCTGTGCAAACCCATGGTTAATTGGATTGGACAATGGAGCAACTTATGCCCCAGGCATTGTTGAAAACAATAGAGCAATAAGCTAGGAATTCATGGACACTAAGAGCTGTGTGTGATACCAATACAGGCAGACCAGCCAGAAGCTTAACAGGAAAATCAGGCAAAGAGACAATCAAAGAGCCAGGATAAAATCATGATCACCACTGAAGGTGTGCGGGTGTGGCGGACAGGATCATGACAATACACATGCCCAAGGCTGCACCCTCTGAGGAGAAACATGTAAATAAGACTGCACACTGTGGAAATAGACTTCACAGATTTAGTTCATCTAAGTTACTAAACAAATAAACAAAGGGTCAAGCAAACACAGTAACAACTCCTGGAGCAGGAAAGTCAATAACCAAAGTATCTACAATATATTATCTAAAATGTCTAGTTTCCAGTAAAAACTCATGAGACATACAAATAAATAGGAAAGCATGACCCATACACAGAAAAAAAGCAGCAAACAGAAGCTGCCTGTGAAAGGAACAAGATGTCAGATTTTAAAAAGACAAAAATGTAGCCATTATAACATGTTTAAAGAACTAAAGGAAACTATGCTTAAAGCATAAAAGAAAGGTATATCTCATCATATCTTGATGAGATCATAATGTCGTATCAAATAGAGCATAGCAACAAAAAGACAAAATTATTATATTTTTTAAATGAGTCAAATGGTAATTGTGTAGTTGAAGAGTAAAATAAGCAAAATTGTAAATCACTAGAGGGGATTGACAATAGATTGGAGCTGGCAGAAAAGAGAATTAGAAAGCCTAAAGATAGATCAGTAGAGATTATGCAATCTGAAGAACACAGAGGAAAAAAAGAATAAATAAAAATGAGCAGAGTCCCAGAGAAATATCAGACATTTTCAAGTGCACTAACATAAGCTTAATGGGAATACCACTACAAGAGGGGAGAGGGAAAGTACAAACAAAAGAATTTGAAGTAATAAAGGCTGAAATCTTCCTAAATTTGATGAAAAACATTAATCTGCACATACCCCAAAGTTCAAGAAACTCTAAGTAGGAAAAATGTAAAGAAATCCACACCTGTATACCCACAACTGTATCTATACATCATAGTTAAAATGTTGAAAGATTAAAAACAAGGAGAAAATTTTGAAAAGAGTAAGAGATAAAAGTGATCATCATGTAAAAGTGATACCTGAAGATTAATAGTTGACTTCTCATCAGGAACAATGGATGTCAAAAGGCAATTTAAAATGCTAAAAGTTCAAAGATATGAAATCAACCTAAATGACCACCAATGGCAGATTGGATAAAGAAAATGTGGCATGTCTACACCATGGAATACTGTGCAGCCATAAAAAAGAGTGAAATCATGTCTTTCATGGGAACATGGATGGAGCTGGAGGCCATTGTCCTTAGGAAACTAATGCAGGAACATAAAACCAGATACCACATGTTCTTACTTGTAAGTGGGAGCTAAATGATGAGAACTCATGGACACAAAGAGGGCAACAACAGACACTGAGTTTTACATAAGAGTGAAGGGTGGGAGGAGGGAGAGGATCAGAAAAATTAATTATTGGATACTAGCCGTAGTACATGGGTGATGAAATAATCTGTACAACAAACCCCCATGAGATGAGTTTACCTATATAACAAGTCTGCACATGCACCCCTGAACCTAAAATACAACTTTAACAAAAAAAGAAAAAACTTACTAAAAATTAAAAAAATTTCCAACCCCAAGAATCTTATTTCCAGCAAAATTATCTTTAAAAAATGAAAGTGAAACAAATACATTCCAAGATAAACAAAAACTGAGAGAATCTGTTGCTAGCAAATCTGTCTTAGAAGGAGTTTTAAAGAAATTTCTTCAGACATGAAAAAACAAAGCATGGTAGTAAAGATAATGATCTAGCATAAAGCAATATGTATATAATTGTATTGTTGGGCCCATAGCATGTATAATATACTTGATGACAGCAGCACAAAGGAGGTGGGCAGGAGCATAGTTATATTGGAGTAAGAAAATAATACCAGGTTATAACTAATATCCACAGGAATAAATGAAGGGATGAAAAAGATAAAGAAGAAGGCTAACATAACAGTCTCCTCTAATATATACTTGTTCTCATTTCTCTTTGGAATTTATTTAGAAAACACTATTATAACAATGTATTGTGCTTAAAACATATATGGACATAATATGTGTAACAATCATAGCACAGAAAAGAAAAGAGAATTTCACAGGAACAATGTCAGTGTAAATCTAAAATAGAGTCAGGTAATGGAGCAGAATTGAAAGTCCAGAAATAAACCCTAATATTTACCGTCAATTGATTTTTTACAAGGGTGCTAAGATAATTCAATGAGGAAATGATAATCTTTACAACAGATGGTGTTGGATAACTGGATAGTCACACTCAAAAGAATGAAGTTGGACCCTTTTCTCAAAAAATTAACTCAGAATGGGTTCTAAGAGCTAAAACCATACAACTCTTAGAATAAAATAGAGAAATAATTTTTTATGAACATGAGTTAGGCAAAATAAAACACCAAAACAATAGTGAAAAAAGAAAAAATATACAAATTGGAATTTGCCAAAATTAAAAACTTTTGTGCCCCAAAGGATACCATCAAGAAAGTGCAAAGATACCTTATGGAGTGTGAAGAAATGTTTGCAAATTTTGTATCTAATAAGAGAATTATATCTAGAATAAATTAAGAAATCTTACAACTCAACAATAAAAAAACAAATAACCCAATTTTTAAAATAGGCAACAGATACAAATAGATGTTCTCCAGAAAAAAAATCTGTGAATGATAATAGGCACATGAAAAGATGCTCAACATAATTATTCATTATGGAAATACAAATCAAAACCACAATAAAATAGAGGGCATACCTCACTCATTTTACTATGTTTTGCTTCATGCTGCTTCAAAGAGTTGTGGCAAGCCTTCATCCAGCAAGTTTATTGGCACTATTTTTCCAAAAGCACGAGCTCACTTCATGTCTCTGTATCACATTTTTGTATTTCTTGCAATATTTTGAACTTTTAAATTATTATTCTATCTGTTATCAGTCATGTTTGATGTTACCATTGTAATGGTTTGGGGGATACCAGGAACCACCCATACAGGACAGGAAACTTAATTGACAAATGTTGTTATGTGTTCCAACTGCTCCACTGACAAGCCATTCTCCATTTCTCTCTTTCTTTTCAGGCCTCCTATTCCCTGGGACACAATAATATTGAAACAAGGCCAATTAATAACCCTACAATGGCCTCTCAGTATTCAAGTAAAAGGGTTAGCTATAATGCTATTATACACTTCATGGACTACAGTATAGTGTAAACATATCTTTTACATGCACCAGGAAACCAAGAAAATTGTGTGACTTAGTTTATTGCAATATTCACTTTATCATGGTGGTCTGGGACTGAACCCATGCTATCTTGATGGTATGCCTCTACCACTTCACATCCACTAGAATGACTAAAGCTAAAAGGCAGACAATAATAAGTGTTGATGAGGAGAAATGGGAACACTCATATACTACAGTTCCACTCCTATTATATAACCCTATGTATATATCTACAAGAAATGAAAACGTATGTACACATAAAATCTTATACACAAATGTTGATGGAAGCACAGTTTATAGCAGCCAAAAAGTGGAAACCACCCAAATGTCCGTCAACTGATAAACGGACAACAAGAATGTGCTATAGCCACACAACAATATATTATTCAGCAGTAAAATGGAATGAAGTACTAATACAAGCTACAATATGATGAACCTCGAAAGCATTCTGTTAAGTGAAAAAATATGGTCACAGGGCTGGGCATGGTGGCTCACGCCTGTAATCCCAGCACTTTGGGAGGTTGAGGCAGGTGAATCATGAGGTCAAGAGATCGAGGACATCCTGACCAACATGGTGAAACCCTGTCTCAACTAAAAATACTAAAATTAGCTGAGCATGGTGGCACATGCCTGTAGTCCAAGCTACTCAGGAGACTGAGACAGGAGAATCTCTTCAACCCAGGAGGCAGAGGATGCAGTGAGCAGAGATCGTGCCACTGCACTCCAGCCTGGCAACAGAGTGAGACTCCATCCAAAAAAAAAAAAAAAGAAAGAAAAAAAAACCAAAAATATGGTCACAAAAGATCATATATTGTAGGATTGAATGTTTATAAATTATCAGAATAGACAATTCTATAGAGAAGGAAGGTAGTTTAGTGGTTGCTCAGTGTTAAGAGAAATGGGGAAATGGGGAGTGGCTGCTAATGGGTATAGGGTTACAGGAATATTTCAAAATCAGATTGTGAGATTGTGGTGATTGTGCATGCCAAATGGGTAAATTGTATTGTATTTGAACTATATCTCAATAAAACTGTTTAAAAACTCTATTACTGAAAGTCTACCAGTAATTATTCCCAAGTTACAATGAGGAGATTAGAGCTCAGAAACGGAAAGTGGTCACCCAATTCCACGTAAGCAAAAGCTACCAGAAATAAGTTTGAGACTTAACTCCATCCAAAAGCTAGTGCTTGTTCCACCTCGCCAAACTGTACACCAAATATATAATTCATCTTCTGATAATTTATATTGTTTTATATAGAGACCAAAACATCAAAAAAAAACTTTTTAGAAAAACAAGGATTGGGAGAGTGAAGAAGCTTCATACTCTTAACTGAAGCAAACCAGACAAATTTTCTCAGGTATTACATAAGAGAAGTGCTTATTAACTGTAATGTTGGATTAGGCATGTTTGTGAGGGTGGTGAGGTAAATTCAGATAAAACCTATCCCCTGACTTCAATGAGTATGGAGTAACGTCAAACACAAAGTGCAAGCATGTGCTGTGATGAACTCATACTCCGGGAAAATACAGACAGGAGGGATCTGCATCAGGTAAGTTCTTTTTGAGGTGACGTTTGGGCTGGGCTGACTCTTACAGGACACATAGGTTTTTAGGTAGATAAAAAAAGTATTTTCTAGTTAAGGAGTCTTAGCCAGTCAGTTCTCCTCTCCAGAGTTCTGACTCAATGGATAAGCAGGCCCAGGAGGAGAAGATGGACATTAAACTATCATCTTAATTACTAATAAAGCTATTTGGAGAATATGATTTATGTGTGTGCCCACTTGGGCTTGCTGAGTCATCACCTCTAAAATTTCATGAATTTACAAAAATGATGAGTTATCTATTGCTATGTAACAAATTCGAAAGCTTAGAGTGTTAATGTTTCATTACTTCTAATGACTCCATAGGTTGACTGGGCTGTTCTACTCCGTGTGGTGTTGATGGAGTCACTCATATTGGCTGCATCCAGGTGGCAGGCAGGCTGGGCTGTATGGCCGAAGAGGGCTGCCCTACATGTCTGGAGCCTTAGGGCTGGATTTGGCCATGATGATTTGGTTGTCCTCTACGTGGTCCCTTCATGTGGAACTTCCTCTCACACTCCTTGTCTCTTTGGCAAGACAGGCTGGATTTCCACACAACATGGCAACTAGATTCCACTAGGGGAAAAATGGAAGCTGTCAGGCCTTTTAAGGTCTAGACCTAGAACTCATAAAGCATCAGTACCATGGTACTTTTATTGGTGTAAATAAATCAGAAGTCCAGCCTGGATTTAAGAAGCGGGGAAATAGATTTTAGTTCTTGACAGAAAAATAGGTAAGCATGTGCAGGAAGAGGAGGAATTGTTGGCAGCCTATTTTGGGGGATGATCCCAAACAGACTTATACATGTAGTCATAGATATAGCTGAAAACATCAGGTCTTTATAACCCATGGATACTGATGGCATGGCAGAGAACAGACAGAACAAGTACCCTCTATAGACAAGAGGATTCCAAACAGAGAGGAAGGAAGGCACTGCTCCAAGACTTCTCCGTTCCTTCTCCCAAGTTCACCAATCAAATGAGTTCTCCTCCCCAGAGTAGGAAGGAGTAAGGGAGTGGAAAGGGGACTAGAGGGTTTCTCAAGCAGTGTGCTCTTCATATGGAAGCATGAGGACTGACGAATAAGTGGTCCACCACGATGCTGAGCAGAAGTCACACAGAACATTTGCAAAGCCAAATATTAGAAGGTGTACATGAACTCTACGACTTCCCATTAGTCAGCATGGCTTGGAAAAGTGCCAGGATGTTGCTGTCCAGAGCAAAAGGAAAAAAAATGAATAGGGTTTCTTTTTCTGTGATGATCTCACCAGTACCTCAGCCAATGTGCTCAACTCCATGTGGAGTTACTTGAGAGATATCTGTTCTTCTTCTTCTAAAATAGGATTTAAGTTTGAGTACATACTTATGAAACCTGAAGATGGTTATTTTAATGACAGATGAGAGTAGGGCCTATATTGTGGAGGGGTATATAAATTACAGAGACAGAAAACCCCCCAGAGCCGTGGCCAAGTCAGGTCATAACCTTCAGGCTCTTTCCATCCTGTGCAGAAGTTCTAAGGATGTGCACGATTCCATCATCTAATTAATGCAGCCAGTTCTGAAATGCTGTTGATGCTCACTCTTAATGAGTACATACAGTAAGGCAGGATGCTTCCATTTAGATATGCTAATGAATGTAATTGTAATTTTAATCCATCTTCTCTTCAAAGCAATTGAGGTTTCACAACCTAGAAAAAATAGTGGGAGATTTAGGAGTATCAAAAATGGGCTTTCTCCCTGAGGTAATTCACCTGAAACAAGAACCCTCAGGTAAAAAAAAAAAAAAAAATTAAAACTGTAAACCACCATTTGGTGCAGACTAGAGAAGGATTATTGTCCTCATTTTGGAATCCCACTGGGCCTAGAACACTCTGTGTTCAAGGACTCTCAAAGTTGTTTGTTCTTTTTGTTTGTTATTCCTTCGAGTTTATTTTTAATGGTTGTTGATTATAAGAACAATGAATTTGAAAGCATATTAGGACTGAATTAGGATACAAACACATACACAACTGTGTTGCATTACTAGCTGGGATTGGGGGTTACAACAACAGAGGTTAAGATAAAGGGCAGACACAGGTTCTGTGGAGTCCAAATAACCAGGGTACTCTCTTTTAGAAAAAGAGTTTAAATTAAGAATATAAAAATTAGATACTGGGCCTTAGAAGGGGTTGAGATAATTGAGGGTCTCAAGGCTTAAGTTTTATTGGTTTCACAATAAATTGACCTCTGTTGGAAATATAACCTTGTTAAATATAATATATCTTCTGATACTTTATATTGTTTTGTATAAAGGTGAGCAGTTTTTCCATCATTGACATATGTGTTTTGTAGCAGAGAAGAAGAATTATAGGGGATAAGAGGATATGTTACTGAGAGGTGTGTTAATTTGCTAGCGCTGTTATAAAAAAGTACCACAAACTAAGTGGTTTAAACAAAAGAAATATACTGTCTCATAGTTCTGGAGGCCTGGAGGCAAGATCAAGGGGTCAGCAGGGATGGTTCCTTCTGAGGACCGTGAGGGAGAATATGTTCCATTCCTTCTGCTTTAGCTTCTGGTAGTTTACTGGCAATCTCTGGCTTTGCTTGTAGACATATCACCCCAATCTCGGCCTTCAACTTCATCTACTGTTCCCTGTGTGCATTTCTGTCTCTATGCCTAAATTTCCCCTTTTTGTAAGGATACCGTTCATACTGGATTAGGACCCACCCTACTGACCTCATCTTAACTTGATCATCTACAGAGATCCTATTTCTAAGTAAAGTCAAATTCACAGGTACTAGGGGTTAGAACTTCACTATCATTTTGGAGGGCACAATTCAACTCATAACAACAGGTGACAAGATATTGATATATGAACTAACTTAAGAAATTAAATGTGGCTGGGTAAAACCCACCCACCATACTGCTTACATCCTATTCTAATAAGTGAAAATGTGTTTAGAAAATGTCAGAATTGTAGCAACATAAAACCAACTTGGGAAGCAAACCTAAGTAATTTCTTCCATTCTATATCTGGCAGACTCCTATGGCTCCTTCAAATTGTTCAGGCATCATCTACTCTGAGACACCATTTCTCATTCATGTAACCTCTGTTTGTTCCTCCAGATCCACCTTTTTCAACCCTGCCTGGCCTCAGCCTGAAAAGGCTTACTTCATGGGCTACATCACCTGGGCTCTTAAGTCCTTTAGCTTCAGGCTGGGTTCAGCATATGGGGACCCCTAAGAGAAGACTGAAATAGGTAGGTGGGTAAGGCCTAAGGATGTACACCCAGCATCCTTCCTGTGAACTCATCTCTGGCTGTGTCTCAAATGAAGCATACTGTTCCTCTCGAGTTCTCTGATTCTACATCTCTTTCCCTTCAGGCTCTGGACCCTTTCCTTTCTCTGGTCCCTTTCTTTCCTGTTTGGATCTTGGGTGTAATAGCTCAGGTTCTACTGAGCCATGGATGTGGGTTCTTTGCCCTGTGTTTCTTTACAACCATCCTTTTTTTTTCGTTTCAGAGCTACTCTTTTAAATGACTCATCTGTTTTGTACTGGGACCCTGACTCATACATCCTCCAGTCCCCAAATTTAATCACTTTCTTCTCTATCCTACCAGTGGAGGATTGTTGTTAATATCTAAGGAGGAAGTTGTTAATATCTAAACAAACATACTTTATTGCACTATGTACATGTAATGGTATTCACAGCCTGACTTTCCTACTAGGTTAAGAGGAGACAAATATCAAGTGAAACCACTGCAGGAGCACCACCGAGTAACAGTGATATCCAGCCCTTCCAAATAAGAATTTATATACCAGTTATCACTAAGTCTGAAATCTGATTACATTTGCCTCTTCTCTTCCTTCTTTCCCCTGTTTCTGGCAATTCACCTCTAAAAACAGCTGATCTAGCAGTTTTAAGTTCATTTCGGGATAATGGGTCTTCCCTACACAGCACATTGTTTATCAAAATAAAGTAATGGAGAAGACATAATCTTAGTGACAAAAGAGTCACAGTCTTAGGAATTATTAGCTTCAGTTCACATACTTATATCTGAAAGAAATTGTACTGCCTTTGCCATAAATCAACTCATTTCCTAGGCTTAGAGGAAAAATTAAACTTAGCCATTTTCTGAGTTCTACTTGTTGAGTTTTGCATAGTGGCAAGGTATTTGGAGGGGGTGTTATGGAACTAGTTATGGGTCACTTGTCTAGAGAGTTACTGCTCACACTTCTGCTGTCCTAGAAGTTCTCTATTCTTTCTTTGCTCTCTCTCTCTCTTTTGAGACATAGTCTAGCTCTGTCATCCCAGCCAGAGTGCAGTGGTGTGATCATAATTCTCTATTGCCTCGCATTCCTAGGCTCAAGTGATCCTCTCACCTCAGCCTTCCAAGTAGCTGGAACTATAAGCATGCACCAGCACGCTCAGCTAATTTTTAAATTTTTTGTAGAGACAGGGTCTCACTATGTTGCCCAGGCCGGTCTTGAACTCCTGAGCTGAAGCAATTCCCCACTTCAGCCTCCCAAAGTACTGGGATTACAGACATAAGCTACGCAGCCCAACCTCTCTGCTCTTTTTATTTCAGGTTTGGGGCCTGGAATACTTCTGCAAGGCTTCCCCTGCACTTATAGACATAACCATAGCCACAAACCATTTTCTTTCTGAGATTCTTCTTCACCATCAAAGCTACATGAAAGTTCTATCCCAGTCTTTCCTCTTTCTTCCCTTTTAAATCTCCAACCTTCAGTCAAAGGAATATCTCTTTCCTGTTTGTGTTTTTTACTAAGATACCTTGTCTATGTCTCAGTCATCTTTATCAACTGTTTAACATATCTGCTAAGGTGTCCTAAAGTCTTAGGATAATGGAACAGAAAAGCCACAGAGAATCAGGGCTTCAACTTTGAGCATAGTGACACAGAAGCAAGTAGAAAATAAAGGGTAAAAAACAACGCTTATGGTGATTAGCATTTCAAAATATTATCCTACCATCATACATTGATCTGGGGAGAAACTGTTCTTAAGGAGAGACACGAACACACGTAGCTGGAGAGGGCAGTGTGGTTGCGTCACCATTTATATCAAATTGCATGACTAAAAGGATAGGAATCCATGATGTGATTCATTAATTTACCCAGAGATTGCCCAAGTAACAAGCAATCAGCAACCCACCTGCCATGAGCATGGGTGGAAAAGGTGCTGCCATATACGACTGGAGAAATCCCCAGCATTGCCAATGAGTGACTCTGTTACTTATTTGAAACTTCAAGATGCGCTTGCTCCAAAAGGCTGCTTGCTACCATTTCCACTTTTGCCTGACTCCTGAATTGTCTAAAGTTGCAATTTGGTGGCTCCTCTTATCATTCCTCTTACCCACCAAACTTGCAGATTCACCAAATAGGGCCTACTTCGACTTCTCCTTTTATTCACTTGCCCAGGAATTTAGTGGCTCTAGATTAGTGATTCTCAAATTTGAGCATCTCTCAGAATTACCTGAAGGGTTATTCAAATGCAGACTGCTGGGTCCCATCCCCAGAATTTCTGATTTAGTAGACCTGGAAAATTTTCATTTCTAACAAATTCCCAGAAGTTTCTTTCCCCAGGTAATTCTGGTCTAGTAATGTGGCCACACAAATGCTTAAGTTTGGAAATGAGATCTTCAGTCCTGCTCTCCTAAAAGCAAAGTGTTTCAGTGACAAAGAGATCACTCTATTTTTTCTTTGGTAAATGACTATTTTTTCCAGCCTGTGTGCTTTGATACAGTCTAGTTACTCTGAAAATTTAAGAATTTTATTCTCTAGAGTCACTTTCAGGTCAGAGAATTATTTATTCAATAAATATTTAGTAAGCACTTACTTTCTGCAGTAGGTATTATGAGATGTATTTATATGACACATATCCTCCATGAAAGAGGCAATACTGTGTCGTCAAAAGCATGTAACTCTGGAAGTCCCAAAGTCGAAATGAAAGCCCACCTCTGCTCTAAGACATTGATTCTGGTTAGAGTTAGTCACAAAAGAAATTAATGCAAGATGTGGAAGCAGCAGCCATTACACTCAAATTTTGCTGTAGGGCAACTGTTGCAGCTTGTTCACGTGTCAATCATCTTGTGGCCCACTTCATAGGAATATGCAGCAGCCAGTTTGCAGCTCTTCCAATTCCCATGGAATCTCTTCCTTCAGCTTCTCCAAGACCTGGCCCAGGTGCTTGTACAGACACATGGTGAAAAGCTCCAGGTCTTTTTGTCAGCACACTACTCGCTTCATTCAGGTTGGAGGCAGTGAGACACAGACATGAATTCTAATTTGTCTTTACGGGATCCGTTTTGTTTGTGGCTTCCTATCTGTCCTAATTTTCTCCCACTTTATGTAATCTTTTCTGAGGCACCATTGTCCCTTATTACCTACAGTGATTTCCATCCCATACCCAAAGAAGCAATGACTTTCTGTAGAACTCTTTATAAGCTCTCCTCTGTACTTAAGGCATAATCTCTATCATAAATTCCTTATTTCACATCAGTCTTAGTGGTTCTGCTTCTCCATAAAAACATGACTGAGGCCTGGCATGTTGGCTCACTCCTGTAATCCCAGCACTTTGGGAGGCTGAGGTGGGCGGGTCACTTGAGGTCAGGAATTTGAGACCAGCCTGGCCAACATGGCAAAACCCCATCTCTACTAAAAATACAAAAATTAGCTGTGTGTGCTGGTGTGCTCCTGTAATCCCAGCTACTGGGAAGGCTGAGGTAGGAGAATCGCTTGAACCCGGGAGGTAGAGGTTGCAGTGAGCCAAGATCTTGCCACTGCACTCCAGCCTGGGTGACAGAACGAGACTCCAACTCAAAAAAAAAAAAACAAAAAAAAAACAGACTGACAGAGGCATTACTCACATGGACAATGATAAGAATGCTGTTCTTTAGAGTTTTGCAATGCACGACCTATGCAATCATATATGTTAGCCCTGCTCTAATACTTAAGATCTAAATGATCTCGGTCAATCTATGGAACTTTGCCTCATATGGAACTTCAATTTGCTAACATAGATAAAATGCCCTGACCACTCTAACTTAATGTAATCATCCCATCTCTGTTGTTGTTCTCTATACTCTTATTCTGTTTTGTTTTCTACATAGCACCACTCTCCAAATCATTTATTTATTCCTTTGTTTACATGTTTATAATCTGCATCCACTAGAATGTAAAATTCATGAGGGAAAGTGTTTTGTCTACCTTGTTTACAGCAGTATCAGAAAACACATGTTCTTACCTCTAGAACATGCCTTGGTACTCATCAACTATGATGGCTGGCTGAAATTGAAGCCATCTAGCTTGGCTGATTGAACTCATCCTAACATGAATTAATGACTAAATTAATAAATGAATAAAATTCCTCAAAGAATGGCTAGTTCATGGAGATAACTCAACATACAATAGTATTCTTTTTTAAAAAAATTGGAAACTGATAGTGGAAATGAGGTCACCATTAGCAACAATATCCAACAGATTGTGATATATGCCATAAAAAATGGTACTACAGAATTTGAGAATACAGGAAAGTCACATGCAGTTAAGTAATAAACCAAGGCTTTGTGGATAAGGAGACGTTTTGTAGGGGCAATAATTTTAACTGGAGAAAGCTAGATGGAAGAGTGGAAAAAAAGGGGAGCAAAGCAGGTGTTTAGCAAAGCATAGATTGTGTTGAAATAACAAATGGCCTTTTTTTTTTTTTGCCTGGAATATAAAGTTCTTAACAAGAAATTTATGGAAGTTAAATAAGTTAAGATAGAAAGGAAAATGAGGACCAAATTATGAAAGCCTTTTAATTACTCTCTAAATACTTAAAATTTCATTTTGTGGAACAGTATTTCACTAAATGTGTGCTCCACAGAGCACTAACACTAGCTATTCAAGACGCTTCAGAAAAAAAAAAAGCATTCATGGTCAAGTATCATATCCTTTATCTTCCTCTTGGAATACTGTAAGTACATTACCATATTTAAGACTCAGGGAGTCCTGAAGTAAAGGAACCTATTTAGTTTTGTTTAGCCCATGATTCCCATATTTGCTGATGGAAAGTTTTCCATGCAAAATGCACAGTGATATCAAGCAGAATTAGCATTTGTTGGATAAAGTTTGAGAACATTCCACCAACATCCTACGGTAGTTGTCAAGGAAATACAACAACAAATATGACACATTCCTGATCATCTGGGATGTAGCCCTTTTACTTTATGTAGTGAAAAAAGCACAAGGTTTATAGCATGATTTAGAGTTGGAAAACAATGTATTCCAAAATAAGTCCATAGAAATATTCATCTTGAAACGGCAGATAATAAATATGAGTGTTGGAACTTCTGTATTTGTCTGAAAAGAAGACAATGAAGCTTTGGATTATGGGTTAACAGTTGAATGCATAATGCATTCCTTCATCCCCTTTCCCCACTCATGATCTGGCCCAGGCCAGCTGAGAAACTCCATGAAACATGAAGGCAGGGTGATGCTATACTTTCTGAACTTTTTTTTTTTTTTAGAGAGGGTCCTGCTCTGTCACCCAGGCTGGATTATAGTGGCGTGATTTCATCTCACTGCGGCCTTGACTTCCCAGCTGAAGCCACCATCCCACCTCAGCCTCCTGAGTAGTTCTAAACAGTTCTTGAGACATGAGGGCATGTGTTAGAAGGTCAGAGTTGGGAGAGTGAATTTAAACCAGGTGATAACATAAGAGAGCTAAAAGAGAAGACTCAAGTGGAGGATGAGGTGTGATGCAAAACAAAAAAGTGGTGAAGGAAATAGGGAAAAGAGAAATGAGAAGTCACAGATTAGACAAGTGGGAGATAGTCTTGGGGAGCCCAGGAGATACACAGATGCTATTAGGATACAACTTAACGTAGTGCCCAAGGCCAGGTTAATGTAAAGGGACAAATGCAGGAGTCAGAGGTTAAAGGCATTAAGGAGGAGCATCCTTATAATCTGGAGGCTGACTAAGGTGGAAACAAACACAATCTTGTAGGAAAATGGGCTTTTGTCAAGAAGCTTGGTGGATAATTTGTATTCATTACTCTTTTCCTTAGAAAGAGATGGGAATTTTGCTGAGCAGACATGGAAATGGACTTAGACATGGAAAGTTGCCTGGGTTTTCTGTCCCAGTGTAGAAGCTAGCCTCCAGGAAGAGAAGCAGCCCACTTCTCTGTATTTATCTAAGTCCCCAGTGGCTGTATCTGTATGAGATCTGCTAGCAAAAGAACTTCAACTTTCAGTTAATGGCCACTTCCTTGTGTAGATCTCTGTAGCCATAGATTCAGGCTTAGTAGTAGTATGTAGTAAGAGTTCAATAAATATTTGATGCTCAAATAAAAGAAGGAAGAAAGAAAAGAAGGAAGAGAGAGAGAAAGGGTGATCCTGCCCAAGTTCAGAGAACATATAAAGATTCCTTAACAACATGAGGGTTTCTAATAAAACCTAAGTACATTATGTAAAAGCCTAATGACAAAGGGATGGTCTTACAAATTTTCTCTGAGTTTTTGAGGCACCAAATAAAAACCAGTTTATCTTTCAGATGCTTCCTAATTCTTCATCTTTATTACATACTGTAAACAAAAGGCAATTTGTGCATTTCCACGACTGAGTCAACTTTCAAAGTCTATTTGCTAGTGTATTTGCTGTGAGTGATAGGACCACTCTGAACATGTACAGACAGGCACATCTATGTAGAAATAGAAATAATCAGAAAATCAGATAAAGAAGAGAAAGACATGGCCATCGGATGAACCAGATAATATTGAGGAGAAGATGGGTATTTTGGGTCTAAAATTAGTTCAGGATATTTATACAGTTCACAATTTCTGTCTGCATAGACACAATGAAGTGGCCTTCCTGCGATCAGATTTTCAAAGAAAAAACAGCAATTCTTATTTGTCATTAACATTTGCCTAATGCATAGTGTCAGTTGACATTAAGGAAAGTTGTTCAGGTAGAGTTAGGGTAGACTGAATTCTTTGAGGAAGGAGAAAGAAAACTGGATTATTCCGGTACTAAGGTAATTTAAAAATCCATAATAAATAAAGTAATGAGATTTTCAGAGAATCACTTAAGCAGGAAAAAATGGCATACAGTTACTAAATCTATAGGAGTATAAGGATTCTTTAAAAGTTTTACCTCATAGCTTACTGAACAGAAATTTTATTTATTTTCTGATAAAAATAAAAGTTCTATTTTTCTGGTTTTGTATAGAATCAATATATTGTTTTGATATTTGTATAAATTTTCTGATGAAATTAGTGTGTTGAAAATCAGCATAGCCATCACACATTAAATGGATATTGATCTAACATTAGAAATAAAAAACAATACCCATTAAATTAATCAATAAGGACTTAATTCTTGATGAACTCAGCAGCCCAAGGTGGGGCATTTGTTTGCTTTACCCCTTTCTAAGCAAACTATTTCATATTATAGGAAATAATCCAACATTTAAAAGATTATGCTGGGGGAAAAACAGCAGTCGTGAAAGCTGCAGTTTGTAATTGCAAAGTTAATTATCTTTCCTAAACCATCAGTTGTCACTTAGAGAGACCAGATTCTTGCAGACTCTCCAGGGACTGCCTTTATTTCATTCCTAATGGCTTGGGACCCACCATTTTGCTGTCTCTGAACATTTGGTCACTGAATGCACCATTTATGGAGTATTGTTTAATTAAGGACAAATTAAGAGAACTGTGCACAGAATTTAATTTCATAGGCTCTGTAAATTCTTTTAAAGAGGATACTAACTATAGGCATGATAAGTTTTCATTATCCATTTCTTCTATAAGGTATTGACAATTTATTGTTTGCAACAGTTCCAAGTTTTGTTTACTCTTCAGGGGATTTTGTTGGCACTGTACTTTTTGTGCTTCACAGAAATCCTATGGATGCATCCAATCCTTTATTAACCCCTTCTGTTCTGAATCACCCAGATGCAGAAACTCACATGTTTGAAAGATTGCATTTGGCTTTTGTAAAGACCAGGGATTTATGGTAAGGGTCAAATGAGAACTGCTATAATTAAAACATGTGCTCATTGTTTTAGATCTTGGGGTATAAAGCATCCCAAATTGATAGTCATTCATTCATTCTTTCGTTTGGTAAATATTTATTGACTGCCTGCTATGCTCCAACAAATATTCTAATGGAGAATGCACCATTTGCTAAGAAGTAGAAGAGTTCTGAAATATTTTGGTTTTACAATTTTTTTAGAATAAATTTGCACCAGAATCCCCACTGCATCCTCTGAAAAGCCAAGTATACCTTATAAGTTGTAAGAAACTTTTGATAGAATAATTGTGCATTTGATATGAGGTGAATATTACAGATCTTATTGTCCAAATTCCCATATGTTACTGATGAAGATTATGGTTTATAATATAACATGAGCCAATATTTCTAACAAAGGCTCTTAACTTATGAACCCTTCCTCCATTGCAGAGTTATCTCCAAAGAGGAGGGACAATAGAATCATAATTTTGTAGATCTGAGAGTAGAGGGACCTTGGGTCCTACTTCTGCTTTAATCGTCCAAGTGAAATCAAGTCTCATCAGAATGCCTTCTTCCTTTCATAGATCAGAAGCATAAAGAAGGGCATTTGCATCATTTGCCTAGGTGGAGAGGCCAGAGCAGCCCTTTGAAGAGGACTTTTGTGACACCTCTGGTCATGGGGAAGCAGCCAGATGGAGGTAGGATGTCATTCCAAGAGACAGCGGACACCAAGAAAACATGTGGTAAGGATATGGGGAAAAGCTTCAGGGTAAGGTCAGATGGGGGACTTTAGCTCAGTAGAAGGAGGATGAATGAGACCTTGATTTAGAGGGATTCAGTTTAGCACAGGCCCTGTCTCTGCTGCTGCTGCACTATGCTTCGGAGACAGAAAGCCTTAGTGAAATTCAGAGTTCCTGGGCCAGATGTAGCCTCCTGATGTTCTGCAAAGCCACATCCTCACAGCAATTGATCCTCAGTGTTCATTAGACCCACAGAGCTCTCTTGACTCCCTCAATCCAGAGAATGTATTTTTAACTGAGGGAGACTACCACCTTCAACTCCAAACTCCTCAATTAATATAAGCTTTTGATGAAAAACCCAGGAAGTATATTGCAAACAGGCATCAAAGCAAAGAGCACAGGACCTGTTTTAAGAATAGAAAAAAAGGCCAGGCACGGTGGCTCACACCTGTAATCCCAGCACTTTGGGAGGTCCAGGCAGGCAGATCACAAGGTCAAGAGATTGAGACCATCCTGGTCAACATGATGAAACCTCATCTCTACTAAAAATACAAAATTTAGCTGGGCATGGTGGTGCGTGCCTGTAGTCCCAGCTACTCAGGAGGCTGAGGCAGGAGAATCGCATGAACCCAGGAGGTGGAGTTTGTAGTGAGCCAAGGTTGTGCCACAGCACTCCAGACTGGTGACAGAGCGACACTCTGTCTCAAAAAAGAAAGAAAGAAAGAAAGAAGATACAGGCAAAATAACAGCAACAACAATAACAGCAACAGAAAACACCAAAATTATAAATTTAAGGTAAACAAATGAGCTTTTTATATCTATTTACAATTTAAGGTAGCTAGAATCAGCTAATAGTAACAAAATACTTGACATGATAGTTGACACAGGGAGAAAAATTTTTTTTTAGTTTACAAGAAGTCATGGAGGAAGACAGTTGCAGTTGCTAGTGTAGATTCAGCAGCTATACGTTGTCAGGGTCAAGAACTCTGAAATATATTAACTTTCTCCATGTGGTCACAATATGGCTGCTACAAATCTGGCCATTACATCCTTATTCAAGAAAGAAAGAGGAAGGGAAAGCTGGTAGAAGAGTGGTATCATCCCATTTGTAAAGAAGAACATTCTTCCCAAGAAACTACCTGTGGATTTCTGCTCACAAAACCCATTGTTTAAAACCAAGTTCACTCTTAGCTAAAAGAAAGGCTTAGAACATGAACATTTAATAGGGCTCATTGCATCCTTGTTACCAAGAAAGAACAGTGGATTGAATTTTGAGTAGATAACCAAGACTGTCTATAGCACTGGTACAGCATCTTCTTATTTATAAAATAGTTTCATAGCAAAGAATGATCCTGACTGCAGGGATAAAAATCATTTAGGGGCAATTATTAAAAAGTTGTTAAAGGCAGCCACAAGCGAACCTGTCTCAGAAACAAAAGTCTATTTTATTTTGAACAAATTTTGGAAAGGCCCACATACATGATTTGGGGAGTCATTCCTACGCAAAACCACTATACACTTGTTAATATATGTTTATTTTTATGTATCATGTTTGGAGCATGTTTGTAGAATTTCTATGCTTTCAAGGTAAAACTAGGGTAAGGGAAGGAAAAAGAATATACCTAATAGCACCTCAAATTCCTTCTGGCCCTATTTTCTGACTATTTTCATCTTTTGAATAATCCTACATAGTTTCCAGCATATGGAATCCTGAAGTTTCAGCATAATTACAATATATGAGTATTGCTTTGTTATTATAACAACCTATTCTTACCTATTTTCCCTCCAAACTGCAAAAGGCTTTCTTTTATAGGGATACTGCTGTTCTTCACAAAGTCAACTTCTGGCTAGCAGCGCTTCACTCATCAGATAAAAAAGATTAAAAAAAAAAAAAAGAAATGTGTATGCACACACACATGTGCATGCATGAAGTGGGGCCAAGACAGATTTTATAAAAGCCTGGATCATGCAACACAATGTACAGGACTAAATCCTTGCAATTTACATTTTTACCATCAGACAAAATAACAGTATAAATGTTAGGATATAAGAAATAAAAACATAATAAATCCATAGATAGACAAGTAAAACTCTGACACGTACTCTCAGATTTGCAGATGTGCACATTCAGATTTGCAGCCAGACAAAAGAATTTTTTATTATTGTATTTCATAAAGAATCTTCTAGCCATGAACTAGCTGCTAAAATATTTAGATAAGATAGAGTATATATAGAGGGAAGGAGAGAAAAAGGAGGGTGTGACAGGGAAGTGAAGGAGGACTTGGAGGGGAAAGACTAAAGGGCTTAGAAATAAAATGTCATCTGAATCATAGCTAACATATTGCTCACCCAACACTAAAATGCTATAGAAAAATTATACCAAATTCAAAACCTGTCAAATGAGATTTAGCAACACAGTTCAGAAGTTATCCCCCATTGGGTAACTGTCTATACTCTTGCAACAAACCCCGTAAGTGTTCACGGTAGTTATTCCATATGCTAAGGGTAGCATATCATTTCAGAGTTGTCAGTTTTAATTTCGGTTTTATTAATTTTACCATAAGCCTACAGACATATATTTCAGAAGGCATATATCATGAAGATCGTAAACTCCCACAAAGAAGCTGGTGATAGTTATAGGTTATGTCACAGTTTTGATGGGAATTAGATTCATCAAGGGAATAGTATGAGAAGAAGGTTTAATGTATATGTCAAAGCATGCATCAAGAACTAGCCTGTCCACAAATTGGCAGTCTAGATGTGTCCAAGTGATCAAAAATACTTTGGGGAGTTTTATTGTATTTTTTTTTATTAACAACACATTGTGTTACAAAAATGTGGGCTTTTAAAACAAACCTATGAGCTCCTTAAAAAGAGTTTTTTTTAAAAAAAAAAGAAAATTACTTTTATTTCTAAAAGCACTGCTTCTTACTTCAATATTTCTCCAGTAACCCGATTATTTTTTCAGAACCAGAATCAAATTTTCCATAGCATATTAGCAAACATCTTTCAGTCACTGATTGGCTGGTGTCTGTGGGCTTTAAAACATATAAAATGAAACAGATATTGTCATGAATTAAATATGGCTGAAAATTATTTGCCACTCATTCCGTTGAGAGGCAGAATTTCTTCCTTCTCTCTGACTTTTGGGTGACTTTGTGACTTGTTCTGTCCAAGGGAATGTACTAGGAGTGATTCTGATTAATTTTCCTGGTTGAGCCTTAAGATGTTAGTCCTAAGAGTCTTAAAATAGACTCATCAATTAAAAGAAGATCATGAGAAATTATTAAATCTCCAATATGGCCTATTGATATTTGCTGGGTCATTTGATTACAATCACATAAGAATTTAGAGGCTGAGCGCGGTGGCTCATGCCTGCAATCCCAGAACTTTGGAAGGCCGAGGCGGGCGGATTACCTGAGGTCCGGAGTTCAAGACCAGCCTGACTAACATGCAGAAACTCTGTCTCTACTAAAAAACACAAAATTAGACGGGCGTCATGGCACATGCCTGCAATCCCAGAACTTTGGAAGGCCGAGGCGGGTGGATTACCTGAGGTCTGGAGTTCAAGACCAGCCTGACTAACATGCAGAAACTCTGTCTCTACTAAAAAACGCAAAATTAGACAGGCGTCATGGCACATGCCTGCAATCCCAGCTACTCAGGGGGCTGAGGCAGAAGAATCGCTTGAACCCGGGAGTTGGAAGTTGCAGTGAGCTGAGATCGCGCCATTGCACTCCAGCCTGGGCAACAAGAGTGAAACTCCGTCTCAAAAAAAAAAAAAAAAAAAAAAAAAAGAATTTAGAACCCTAAGGCTTTCACCTTTACCTCTTGGAACACTCCCCCTTGGAAGCCAGCCACCACATATGAAGTCCAGCTGCCCTTAGACCATCCACCATGTTGCAAGGAAGCCCAAGTCACTTAGGAAGAGAGAAGCTACCTGGGAAAGTGCTGTGGTGCCCAATATATAAATGAAAGTTTCTTAGGTCTCAGCCTAAGGCCTAAAGATGAGACCTAAGAAACTTTGGCTCAGCCCTGTCAATAGCTGAATGCAGCTAAATGAATGACCCTTGCTACACCATGTAGCAGAAGTACTGCCCAGAAGAATCCTGCCAAATTTCTAACCTACCGGATAGTTAAAATAATATATTGTTTTTGCTTAAGCTACTGTGTCTTTAGGTGATTTGTACTGTTCAAAAAATAATCTACACAGATTATCTGGATGTATATGCATATGTATATGTAATACACACATATGTTTGTAATTTTAAGAGAAGCGATGCAAAATAAAAATTTAATGAAACATTGCACTGCATTTTTATTTTAAAAACCAGTAAACACAGGTATATTGGGAGATGGCACAAGGTGGATAGGAAACTCAAATGAGAGAGATACTTGTTACTATGTATCTCTTAAAAGATTTTATACCACGTGATCATACTTACTCAAGGAGAGAGGGAGAAAAGAAGAGAAAGGGAGGGAGAGGGTGAGAGTGTTTGGTTTTGGAAATGCTTCCAGGGATTATATTTTGAGCAGCCTGGATGCCAGCTCTAAGGTAGACTTCAGATAGAATCACCAATGGAAATGTGATCATGAGAAAGCATTCAATCTCACATATGGCCCGCTGATGGACCCCTTGACTCTTGAGACATAAGAAGCCCCCTAGAGCCAAGAACAGTAACTCTATTCACTTACATACAATGTTTAAACTGAACATCTATGCTCAAAAAATCTTAGTTTTACTTTACAAACAATGTTTTAATTTTTAATAAAGATCCACATAAATCACCTAAAACTTATCAACTGTTCACAGCTATTTATTTAATGTGGAGACAGTCGAAACAAAAAGCCTCATTTACAAAGTAGGCATTTATGAGGGGCATGCATGCAAGTGTGTGTGATGATTACAGTTATCTTCACTGAGTCCGATTTTTTTAGTAAGTTTTGTAATGCTAACTGAACATTTCATCAAAGAAAAAAGATAGCTTTTAAGTGGATCTTATCAGAAATCATTTTGAACTCCTCTGTCATGAAAATTGAACCCCATGTTTTTATCCTAGGATCTTTGTTATGCCCATGTACAAAACATAGTACCGCAATAGTAAAACATACAATTCAACTAATGAGTATTTTAAAATGAAATGGCTAAAACAGCTTCTCAGTAGAATAAACTAATTTCATTACAATGCTAATCATCAAAACAAACTGATGGTAGTATTCCATTAGTACTGAACTGCAAATTTGGATCTGAATATGACTCAAGAAGGTAAAACCCTCCCTTCACAAAACTTTCATCCTCATTGACTCATGTACAGAGAAAAACTATTCCTATATACAGATACTACGGCATCAGTATTTTGTCTTAGTGTTTTAAAACATTATTTTAATATTCTAATGTTTCAAAGTTTTGAAAATTAAGAATAAGACATTTGATGAAAATGTACCTGATACAAGAAGTAATCAAAAGAATTAATGCTCACATGTGCACAGACACCAAAGTTTTAATAGCATGGTGTCTTCAACCATGTAAAAAGTTGCTATTGTGGTCACTACGAGCGTTGACTTTTGAAAGTAAACATAACTTTCATCTGGCAACACAAGATTAAATTTTGTTGAAATAAACATTTTACTTGGGGGGAGAATTATTAGGTTAGATTTAGTTTCAGAGTATTTTGCCAAACATCCTTTGAGGCCAAATCTACTGTGGTGCCTTGTTTGATTGTGCTTGCCATCTTATGCCCCTTTTATATTCATGAAAGAAATTCACCAAGGTGCCGCCCCTTTAGCCCCAGCTGTAGACTAAATACAACGTAGAGAAGGTCTAAGACTAGCTCATAGCAAAGCACCAAACTAGCGAGACCTATTGCAGGACCCACCTACCAGAGCCCAGCCTGGATATATCAATCCCAGCTGACCCACAAACATGTGAGAAATGTGCACTTCTGGTGTATTCTGCTGTGATTATGTGAACTTCTGTTACACAGCAAGGTCTAACTGATACTACTTCTTAGAAGACGTTAGGAAAAAGGGACAAGTGGATTTTTCAAGAGCATAAGTTGAATACTTTGTATTTACACTTTTGGTTTCTGGTTTTATTTAAGTAAACACTAAACAGAAAGAAAATGCTGGGAGGAATTAATCTAAACGTCTGACAGAAAAAAAAATCTGACTGGGACTAGTGTTGGGAGATGGACAAGAGGGTTCAGAAAAACAAACCAAAGGAAAATCACCAAATAAACAAAGTCCCATTCTAACTCATGATAACTGGTGTTATCAACTGATAATGATATTGATCATATTCCTTTTACTAAAAATAATACTTTTCAAATATAGTAATTTTTGTCATTTGACTCTCACAAAATACAATTTAAGAAACTGAAAGGATATTTTTTATCTTCATGTTACAAGTCAGTGAACTAAAGCTCAGAAAGGTGAAATACCTCATCTATTATCATCTAATGCAAAGATTTGACTCTAAGTTTTTTATCTTCTAGGCCTGGACCTTGCCATAACAATGCTTTTTATCTCACTTTATCACAAAAAAAACGAAAGCAAAAATAAAGGCCTTATGCTAACCTGGAATTCAATACAGTATCTTGCCTAAGAACCAAAAAAATGCTGCAAAACATTAGCAGTGATTATCTAAGGACGTTGTCTGTATGCTTCTTTGGGTTCATTTGGTTTTTTCTGTGGTACAGATGTGTCATCCAGGTCAATCACTCACCCCTCCTTAGTGGTTGGCCTCCTACCTAATGTTATGGACCAAAGCTGAGCCCCAGCAATGGATGAAGTCAGAAATTGGAAGAAAAGGCATGGTCTTGGCTCCTATGTAATGGATTAAGCAGAAGCAAAATGCCAACTGTAATTAAAAATATATCTTGATCCTCAGTTGATATTTAGCATCTTGTCCATTAGCTTACTGGCTTGAGAGTTCACAGCCTTTGTGGTCATACCATTTGAGGGTTTTGATTTGGGCATTGTGGTAAACTACAAGCATTTGTCGGCACTCACTGGGGCTAATAATAGAAAAAATCTAAAAAGTTATGTTGTATTAGATATTTTTGTTTTGGTGTGTTTTTCCATGGGCGTAACAGAACCACTGCCTTTCTCATTAACAACAAAAAAATATGCTGTGCTGATATCCCATTAGCCAAACATGGAACAAGTTGCTTAGCTAGTTTTAGCACTAGGATGATCTCTAAATAGAAGCCAAGTATTTCATTCTAAAAACAAATATCACCTACTACGTGCCAGGCATTGGTGATACAAGGTTATATAATACAAAATTCCAAAAGCATTCCTTTGACTGGCTGTTTGTTAGTTTTTATGCTAAGAAAATGATTAAATCCTCCTAGTCGGCTTAAATAAATCATTTGTTTAATGATTCAGTCATTGAAGAAACACTTGTAGACCACCTACCATGAGAAAAATGTTTTAGAAGCTCATTCAGGGATCTTCTCCAGCTAAAATCTATGAGCTAAAATGACAGACAAGAAATGCACGCATCCAGACAAAGCTCTGGAATGGTTATTCTGCTCTGAAGGCCCAGTGAAATAGACTGTCCTTTGTTCATGTTGGGGTGGGGGGTTTTGGATCATGTGTCTGCTGCAGTGATCTTCTCAAGATCATTCTCTTCACAATTCCTTCCAGATTCTGTTGCCATGAGTTACACAAAAATGGGGACAGGTACTCTCTATCCCACTTACGGCACCTTTGTCACCTGGCTGCTAAGGTAGGATTTCAAATGCCTTGAATTTCCCAAGTTTTTCCATCAATATAATCTTTTCAGGTGTAGCCTGCATCTCTTACCTCTGTAGAGACACACTGCCAAATACGGTAGCTGTCGCATGTGGCAACTGAGCACTTGAAAGGTGGCTAGTCCAAATTGAGATGTACTGCAAGTGTAAAATACACACCAGATTTCAAAGGCTTAGCATGAAAAATTATGTAAAATATTCCATCTGTAATTTTTATATTGATTACCTATTGAAATGATAATGTTAGATACATTGGGGTAAACAAATTATTAAAATTAATTTCACCTGTTTCTTATTGGCTACTAAACACTTTTAAATTACATGTGTGGCTTGCATTAACATTCTGTTGGACATTCTTACTTTAGAATACCAGATCTAGACCCTAGGAGTGGCTGGTTGAATACATACGTTTTCAATTTTTTCTCTTCTTTTTGTCTCTATCCCAAACACTGGTGTTCTAGCATCCTCCTGCTCCAACTTCATGCAGGAATCTAATTTCTCCATGTTTATCAAGGAATTAAAACATGTCTGGGAGTGGGTCCCTTACCAACCTCTTAATACCTTCAGAGCTCATTAATGCTTAAGCAGAGCATCCTGTCGGACCTGGTGGGAGTAACATACTATATTAGTTTTCTGTAGCTGCTCTAATAAATAACTTAGTGGCTTGAACAAAAATAGTTTATTATCTTACAGTTCTGAGGTCAGAACGCTGACACAGGTCTCAGTAGACTAAAATCAAAGCTGTGTTTCTTTCTGTAGACTCTGGGTAAGATTCCTTTCCTTGTCTCTTTCAACTTCGAAAGGCAACCTGAATTCCTTGGCTTACAGTCCCTTCCTCCATCTTCAAAGCCAGCAAAAAGACATTGAGTCCTTCTCACATTATATCACTCTAGCTGCTGCTGCTGCCTCGCCTCTTCACCTTTTAAGGGCCCTTCTGATTACATTGGACCCACATGTTTAATCCAGGATAATCTCCCCTTCTCAAAATCTTTAACTTAAATCACAGTTGCAAAGTCCCTTTTACTACAGGTTTTCAGGATCAGAATGTAGATGTCTTTGGGGGACAGAAAGGACATTATTCTGCCTACCATATATACAAAGCTTCATTTAATCAACCTAAAATAAATGCATGTATTATTGAAAATTTAAAGAAGATTATCTTCAAGGGAATAGAAGAGCCTTGGCATCTGATGACCAAAAAGTGTCACCTCGGCATATGAGGTGAGGAGGACCTTATGAATGGTACAGATAAAATATAAGTTTGGAGGTCGGTGTTTCTGGAACCCTAATAATAGTAACTTCTGCTCCAGATGATTTATGAAAATGCGTCTTGTATGTGTAAGTGTTTTACACAGGGCTTAATCTTCATTCCCAGGAGACTTATTAATCAAGGTATCATTGTCTTACTAAGAATCTTTACAGCGGACTTTCAAGAAAATTCTAAATGAATCAAATAAGTTAGAAATTATATCTGGATTCCCATACTTGCCTTTCATCAACTTATTTGGTAACACCTCCTTTAATACCTCTAGATCAAGGTTTCTTAATGTTGGTACTATTAACATTTTGGGCCATATACTTCTTTGTTGTGGGGCTAGATTTGGGATGTTTAACACCATTCTTGGCCTCTACCCAGTAGATGCCAGTAATAGACACCTCCCACCCCAGAATTGTGACAATCAGAGATGTCTCCACACATTTCCAAATGTACCTTTGGGAAAGGGGATAAAATCATCCTCTGTCCAGAAACACTATTCTACATATATTAGGACACTCTAGTTGAAATGGCACTGATTCAGGTATCCCATTCCTTAAAGCCCTCAAAGAATAAAAGTGTAACATTTTATTTACATTTGACAGGAGTTTTTCAGAATGATTGTGTATATTAATCACTCTCCTTCCACAACAATCTAACTGGATCTCTCAGTATAAGAAGAAATCACATGTAGTAAAAAATGTGAGCTTTGGAGTCATAGAGACTTACTGTAGCCTTGGTTGACATTTCAGAACTTTAATTTTCTCATGAATGAATGTGAGTAATACATCTCCTTTTATAAAATGTCTAGCACAATACTCACTGGTCCCCGACAGCTGTTGCTTCCCTCTCCTCAACAACTACAGCCCCCTCACAACCCCACAAAAATCTGCTAAAATAAGAAAACTCAGAGCTCCTATAACATCGTGGACTAACTCAACGTGTGTGTGTGTGTGTGTGTGTGTGCGCGCGCACGCACACAGGCATATACACGCACAACAGCATGAAATCACTAAAATCAGAGGCACAAACTGCTCCACTCTGCTTGCGGCACAGCCTGGGTGTTCTGAGCCAAGTTTGATATTCTGACTTGACTGTGATGCACAGGCTTCGTGATGCAGCTACTCCAAAGCTGAGACTAATGGCTATTTTGGTTTATCCTGGAGTCCTTGAAGTTATATCACAGAATCCTAGAATTTTAGAACTGGAGTCACGCTTACAGATCATCTAGTCCAGGAGTTTTCAAACTGTGCATATTGGAATCCTTTAGCGTCTGCTCTGGTGGGAGGAAGTGAGGAGCTAGATCCAGCTCTGCATTCCCAACCTCTCTTCAACCGAAGTTAACACCACTTGGACCTGTTTTACAGACATGGCTCCTACAGAAAATGTGTGCGATAAAGGAGTTCTGCTGAATTTTTATGTTTGGTTTTCAAGCCGTTGATTTAGTTCAACCCCCTCATTTTGCAAAAATGAAAGTGACTTGACCTGTGTCCCTCAGTGAATTAACACCCTTTGCGCTTCAGCTTGCTGCTTTTCTAAGGGTCTCCGTTTTGAGAACCGAGCTGGCTTATGATCATTATCAGACGCTGCATCAACGGCTCTGCAATCAGCCAAGGGCATTGTGCTGAGAAGCCATCAATTATCCCGAGTAGTCAATGAGAGTTTGCTGTTGTAAAGGGACTCAATTGAAGATAATACATAAAAAATCAATTACATTATTATTTCTTAATTAGGGCACTTGACAATATAGCTTTCCTCAGCAAAGCCATCAGCGAATAACACATAAATACACATAAATAAAGGCTGCTTCTGTCCCACTGAGATCCTTGAGAAGTTCACAGTGACCTTTATTACCAAACATTTTCCAGACAAGAACGTTTGCATGTTTAAGAAAATTCACAAGCTGTTTTTCTCTGTTGGACAGAAAAATGAGTCAATCACAAGTGCCTGTAAAAATAATAATAATAATAATATGTTTGTATATTTTTAAAATATTATTTAATGTTAATATAATGCTTTCTAATTTACAAAGAGCTGTCCTCTCTTTGAGGCAGTGATGAGCTTGACTCTATACCTTGAAGGAAGCCAGTATGTCCTTAAGCCAACAACCAGCAAGGAGGTGCCTCATGATATGAGAACATTTTCATGAATCTCCATTTATCCCTGATCTTATCCCATTTTAACTTCTAAGTCAGGGCTTCATCTCTCATCTGTAGCCTTGAAAAAGCCCTTTGGACTTGGTATTGATTTTATTTGTTCATTCAACCTTTATTTGTTGAATGCCTGATTTATGTGACAGTCACTGTAGAAACGAAGATTGTGGGTGTACAGAGTTTATACTCCAATGGATAGGCAGTTATAATGCAGTGCAAACCTCAAAGCTCCACAGGAGTCTGAGGGCATTGAGTAGAGTATCTTACTCATGCTTAGAAAAGAAGAGAAGGCTTTTTAAAGTGAACTACCAGCTAAGCTGAGACTAGAATGATGAACAGGAGTTAACAAGATCAGGATAAAGTGAAATATCATGCGCAAAGGCCCAGGAGTAAAAGAAGCTATGGCATAATACCAGATCTAAAAGTAGATCAACATGAGTAGGACTCAAAATATGACTGGAAATGTTTATTAGAGCCCCATGTAGGAGTAGGGAAAGAAATAGAGCTGTGAGAAAAGGTGCTCTAGGAAAACAGTAAAGCAGAGCAGGAACTGAGAAAGTTGACTATCACTAGTCAAGTATGAGGGATAATGGTGAGCAATGAATATGGAATCAAGAACCAGACTATGGGGGACTTACAAAACATGTTAAAGAGTTTGTACTCTTCCAAGAGTAAATTCCATTCTAGTTCTGGCCCAAGAGAACTCATTCTCCACCCAGTATTCAGAATGCATTTTTTTGTTTTGTTTTGTTTTGTTTTTATCATTGACCCCCTATTCCATCTTAAAATACCAATGGCTTTCCTTCACACTTGAGATAAAATCTAAGCTCCTTACCATGGCCAAGCAGGTTCTACATGCTCTCATCCCTACTTACTTCTCTCACCTCCTCTCAAAACTGTCTCTCTCTTGCTTATGTTACTCCAGTCACATGAACCTTCTGTCCCACTAGCATGTTAAATCCCTTCCTGCCTCAGGGACTTCGCACTTGCTGCTCCCACTGTCTGAAATGCTTTTCCCCCAGATCTTAACATGGCTGGACTTAGCACAAATGTCATCTCAGAGAGGTATTCCACTATCACTCTACTCTCAGATTGCCTTCAGCTCAACCTCCTGTTGTGCCGTATCATATCTTCCTGTTATATTTTATTCATTGCTGTATTATTGTAATAGTTAGGGAAGGTTTGCTCACATTCCCTCACCACCCCCGCAATGTGGAATGACTCCAAGACAACGGAAGCCAAGATGGGTATTCCTTTCTGAAGGGTGAATTTTCTACTTGGAATAATGCAAAGACCCAGGGTACTTCCATGTGGTGCCTCTGTCCTTCTCTAAGGCTGCCATTCAACTGCTGGGAAAAGAAAGAGAAACTTTCCCTGGAAGTGGCACGCAATGTTCTCTCTTACTTTCCACTGGGGAGAATGAGTCCCATGACCACAAATTAACTACAAGGACATTACAGTATTTCTCTGTCTAGCCACTTCCCAGCAATATATAAAAAGAACAGATTTTAGTGGGCAGCCATCTCTGCTACAGTAGCATAATCACTATTTAAAATTACCCTGGTTATTTATCAGTTTGCTTAGTAGTACTAGTAGTAGTAGTAGTGGTAGTAGTAGTATTTTATCCTCCATCAAAAATTAAAGTGAGTTCCATGATGCCAGAAACTTTTTCTATCCATGGATACCATTATAGCCTCATTTCTTATAATGTGGCCTGGGAGAATAAATGATCAATAAATATTATTTTTAAATTATGTTTTTTTTGAGGCCAGTCTGGACAATATAGTAAGACCCTGTCTCAAAATGAATACATATATAAATATATCTATATATTATATATAATAATATATAGAATATAGATATATATACTGAATATATATTAATATTGATAATATATGTAGATATATATTATCTACATATCTATATTCTATATATAATCTATACATCTATATTCTATATATATTATAGATAATATGTATAATATATAAATATATCTCTTATATAATATATTTTTACATAATATATTATATATTATAATATAATATATTTTTACATAATATATTATATATTATAATATAATATATTTTTATATAATATATTATATATTATAATATAATATATTTTTATATAATATATTATATATTATATTATAATATATTTTTATATAATATATTATAATATATTATATTTTTATATAATATATTATATTATAATATATTTTTATATAATATATTATATTATAATATATTTTTATATAATATATTATATATTATAATATAATATATTTTTATATAATATATTATATATTATAATATAATATATTTTATATACAATGTTTATGTTATATATTTTATATACAATGTTTATGTTATATATTTTATATACAATGTTTATGTTATATATTTTATATACAATGTTTATATTATATATAAATATAAATATATATAAATATATATAATATATAAATATTATATATAATATTTATATAATATATATAAATATCTATAAATATTTATAATATAATATAAAATATAATATATATTTATATATAATATAATATATAAATATATTTAATATATAAATATATTTATAATATGTAAATAAATATATTTATTTATAGAATATACTTAATATATATTAAATATATAATATAATATAAATATATAATATATTATAAATATATATTATATATAATACATATTATATACTATATTATCAATATATAATATATTATATAATACATATTATATAATATATTATATATAATATATAATAATATAATTATTATATATAATATATAATAATATAATTATTATATATAATATATAATAATATAATTATTATATATAATACATAATATATATTTTATATATTATATATAATATATATAATATATAAAATACATATATAAGATAATATATTATATTATATATATTTATATATATATTTAACAAAAGTGTTGCTGTAATTAACTTTGGTTTTCATATGCAAATCCCACACTTTTTCCACCATGGTGGTTTCTCAGCTTTCCCGTAAATAGAAATCAAAGACATGGTTTTCTTGTGTAGAACTGAAGGTAAGGCTTAGAATTAGTCGTTTTTGAAATTTCATTTACCCAGCTCTGAAATTCTGTGTGCTCCTGATCCATTTTACAATGTAAGGAGGAGAAGGGAACTTGCTCCTGAGATGCTAGGGTAGCCTTGCATTAAATAGAACAATGATTTATATTCTTTGGTTTGACTTAGGGTTGGGACACATTTCAAATCTGAAATTGTCCTTAGTGCAGATCCTGATATCTTTAGGCAAGCAATCAGTTCTGTAGGGGTCTACTGCATCTCCTGGGGATGACAAGGAAACAGGACAGAAACAGACTTTGAGACAATGAAGGTCTTGCTGTTATTCAAGTTTGACTAAGGTGCAATATTTTTAATCAGCACAGCGATTGGACTGACTTTCTTGATGTAGCAACAATTTCAGGTTATTGTGTGGTATATTGAAAGATTCAATAAATATCTGTTTAATAAATATATTTAAAATATCAGTAATAATTAGAATGTGTAAGTATTTAAAAATGAAAAAAAGCTGACCAAGGGAGTTTCATTTCTTGTCTTTCTTTTGTTTTCTTTCTTTTTATCTTTTTATTTTAAGAGACAAGTTCTCACTCTGTCACCCAGGCTGGAGTACAGTAACACAATCACAGCTTGCTGCAGCTTCAACCTCCTGGGCTCAAGAAGTCCTCCCATCTCAGTAGCAGGAACTTCAAGTGTGTAACACTATGCCTGGCTAATTGTTTTTTGATTGTTTGTTTGTTTGTTTGTTTGTTTGTTTGTTATGTTATGAGAGACGGGGTGTCCCTATGTTGCCCAGTCTAGTCTTAAACTCAAAGGAGTTGTTAAATATGCCTAAGGTCACCAATTCTACATCTTTTAAAAATGCATAGATTATACAGGATGTTGCCAGTTTAGTTACATCTACAGAACAGCAAGATTTCACCAAAATGCTTTACAAGCATTTCCCTTTTCTGGAGTCTTTGGGGTAAAGGGGTATTTGGGTATGGCTGCTTCTGAGTCACATTCTCTTGCATCTTTTTTTGCTGCTCCTCACTTTTAGGTACTAACATCTCAATCTTTATTCCTACAGCTACTATTCTTTCCCTGTCTTGGTGTCTGCCAACAAATGCCTACTATCTCTTTTGTTTCCTCAAACACACCAAGGCTGCTGTATATATTAGGCTTTTACTACAAAGATAAGACATGGTGGCACCAAACCAGGTCCAATATAAAGGTAAACGCCAAACTCTTCAAAACTACCAGCCCAAACACAGAAAGTATCATTTCTTAAGCTCACTTGCTTTCATTTTATCATGACCCAGGATCATTTCTACCTAATTGCAGAAGATGTTGCGTATTAGGCTGTTCTTGCATTGCTATAAAGAAATACCCAAGACTGTATAATTCATAAAGAAAAGAGGTTTAATTGGCTCATGGTTGTGCAAGTTTTACAGGAAGCATGGTGCTGGCATCAGCTCAGCTTCTGGTGAAGCCTCCGGGAGTTTTCAATCATGGCAGAAGGTGAAGGGGGAGCAGGCACATCACATGGCAAAAGCAGGAGCAAGCAAGGGAGTGCAGGGGGTGGAGGGCACACACTTTTAAACAATGAGTGACAAATCACTTACCACCGACAGGATGGCCCAAGCCATTCATGCGGGATCCACTCCATGATCTAAATACCTCCCACCAGGGCCCACCTCCAAAACTGGGGATTACATTTCAATATGAGATTTAGGTGGGGACAAATAACCAAACTATATCACCTCATCAGTCCTTCACTCAGTCCTCAGGTCTTACCAGTGTCTCCTTCAGAGAGTTTTCTCTGGGTTTCAGTGCTCTGCTCTCACCAGGCACAATCCTGAAGAGTGGGAGAATCAAGTTTTTCCCCCTTCCCCATCTTCTAGGAAAAGCCATTATCCATTACAGAGAAATACCCCAGGCTCCTCACTTCTCAGGTGAAATATTCCAGTGATGTGCTACAGCCAGGACACACCAGCTCCCAAGGGCTGATAATAAATACTTAGGAATTTGGCAAGTCATCATTTAAAATTTAAAAATTAAAAATTAATTGTATACATTTCAGTTAAGTAAACAATATGAAAAACAAGGGTGCTAAATACTCAAATGCGTCATCTTCTAATGATTTTACTACATTTATTTGGAAATACAGTGTAACTAATGGCTTGCTACTGTGCATCCTTTCAAACTCCATGTTTAGTTGTATCACATAGACAGTTTAAAATAGGCCAGGGTGGGAGTATTTACACCAAAGCAATCAGGAAACACTACAAATCAGAACTCTTTTTATCCCCAGAGTGTAAAATGTTGACCAGTCCACCCCCGGAGACTGCTGAGGTGCATGTTCTGTACTGGTTTCCAGAATTCCCTAGTGCAATTCAGCTCGTTACCCACACTCATGGTTACCTTCATATGCTGGTCTCATTTCCTCACTTTGCCAACCGGTGTTTCTTAAGACCACCTCAAGAATAAATTTGTTAATTCATTACATGTGTATTTATACTGTTATTTATTTGTTAAATTTGTCTCAGAGTCAGCTTCTGGGTGAATCCGCAGGAAAACACTCCTGGACATTTTTATGCAGCTTCATCAACTCTCAGTAAACACTACCGCCTGGACTCAGGACTAATTCTGCATATCCAAAATACCCACGTGCCCCTGCTGAACAGTTTTAGCAAAGAGGTGACAAAAGTTCTGAGAGTATTCTCTCCAAGACACTTTTCCTGATTACCCTATCTCAAATACTGCCCCCGCCCCCACCATCCTCTGTTCTGCTTTATTTTTCTTCGTAGCATTCATCACCACCTGGCATAAGAATAGGTGCTTACTTGTTCATTCATTTATTACTTATCTCTTCCACTAGGATGTAAGTTCCATAAGGATTAGGAACTTCATTTATTTGCCTCTAATTTGTACATTTTTTGATACACTTTAAACCCTATCCTACATCAACCAATCTACCAAACCAAAATTGAGAAAGATGTAGAGAGTATAAAGAAAAATATAATGTGGTTCTTCCCCCGAAAAAGGGAAGTCTAATGGGAGAAACAAATAATCAAATAATGACAATGGACTGTGTTAAGAGGTGAGAGCAGTGGCCCAGTCTATGTCTATGGAGTCTATCTCTTTAACATCTGTCATATGTAGGTACTACTGATTCTCCACTCTGAATGCCACACTCTCATCTCAGGCTCTCTTCATCTACTTTCCTTCTAAATAAGTGCTCTTCCTCCAGGAATTTAAATACTCTGCAGATCCTATTAGAGTAAGCTTACAATACCCCAGCTGTGATCATGTCTTTTCCCTCATAAAAGCCTTTCAGCAGTTTGGTGTTGCTTACATAAGAATTTCAAAATCTTAAACATGCTACGGACAGTTCTTTGAGGTTCTTGTATCCTCATTTACTTCTCTACTCCTTTTTAAGTGGAACTCCTCACAATTCTCAAAATATAAAACTTCTCTTGCTTCTGTTTCCTATCTAGATGATCCATCTTTTTCCCCTCATTTCCACCCCTGTCATGACCACCATCACATGGTTGTTTGGGGACAATTGTCTATGGATCTCTTTCATTTCTGCATGTCTTAAAAGTGAGATACTGTCTGCCTTTGTTCTGGGCTATCCCTTCAGGGTACTTATACAGAGAATAGCCTTGGAAGATAGAGACAGTGTCTCCCTTTGGAGCAAAGAAGAGGTTTTCTTACTGCTCATTATAAAATAGACTTGAGTTTCCTAAGCTCAGGATCTCTCTCCTGTGACACAACCTACTGTGTGTTCAAGAGTCATCTCACCCTCTTCTTGTCTTCCTGTGGGAACTGAGGCTCAGGGAACCTTGGCAAAAAATATACTGATATGCTGGTTACTTCTATCACTGTGAGTAATAAGGTATAATTTGTCTCTGATCCAGGAATCTTGTATTTTCTACCATCATCCATGTGACTGTGGCAGAATAACTTGTTAGCTTGCCAAAAGGGTAAAATCTTAGATTCTACATAGTCCGTGATAAAGGCAAACCCTTCCTTAACTTTAAGACTTAACTAAATTATTATATTGTCAAAAGAAAACTGAGAAAAAGATGCATAAGAAAATGCTTACTTTAAAGAGTTCAAGAGAGCATATGGTAGTCTCCAAAGAAGGCCTCATTTATTCCTTTCCTTACTTTACATGAATGCTGTTCCTCACATCAAGAGATTGAGTTTAGTTCCTATCCCCTTGAGTCTGAGCTGGCCTTAGTGTAGCAAAAATTGTGTTCTGGGGCTTCTGAAAGTAGATTATTAGAAGCCTTTCTGCTTCCATGGAGGTGCCTTAAAAACTTGCTTTTGACACGTCCCTCTTGTCAGCCATATACCATAATGGGAGAAATCTAAGCCACAAAGAGAGACCATGTATAGGAGCTCTGGTCAACAGCTGCCAATGAGCTCTCAGGTTACATCCATGATCAAATATCATCCATGTAATTGAGCCATTGTGGTCCTCCAGCCCTGTCACACCTTCCAGTGACTTCCTTTCCAGCCATCACCTGAGTACAGCTGTATGAGAGACCACAAGTGAGAGTCTCCGAGTTAATCCTGGTCCACCAGTGGTATGATGAAAGACAATAATACATTGTTTAAACTGCTAAGTTTTGGGGCGTTTATTATAAAGCAGTAGATAAATGGAGCAGAATCAGAATCAGATTTCAGAAGGCCTGGGTCATCAAATAAAATACACAACAACTATTTTTAAAAGCACACATGCGGACAAAATTACCAATGCAACAAATTTATTTCATTCTAATCATGGTGGAAAAGACAACAACTTTCTCAGATGATTATCATACTTGGGAAGGTTATAACGTATCTTCAGACATCAACATAGCTAAAGCAGGTAAGTTATCAAATGATTTATTTAGGGATCCCAGGCTTATGTAAAGGTTTTATTATATTGGAGATTTTACTCATCGGTGTGACCCTGTTTTAATTTGCTTCAGAATACAATTTATTTTTTCTGACTGTGCAAGGTGATGTGCATAGTCATACTGGAAACAGAATAAACTGACAGTTCTTCCTTTTCCAACATACATGAAGGCTTTCCTGCTCACTCTATTGGTTGCAACATGCATCTGCATGTTGTTCAATGTTATAAGATCATTTTCATTAGGATATTGGATATTCTTAGACCTGACTGTAAAGATCGTGTAGTACAGGTTAGCAGTTCTCAAACTTTAGCATGTATCAGAATCACCGGGCAGGCTTATTCAAACCCAGACTGTGGGCCTTATCCCATATTATCTGATTCAGCAGTCCTGCAGAGGGTCCTTGAAACCTGCTTTTCTAACAAGTTCCCAGGCAGTGCTGCTGCTGCTGCTGCTCCCAGGCCCACATTTTAAAAACCACTGTATTATACGATGGTAGTTACAAGGGCAGCTGCTGTGGCTGTAGACCACCTGGATGTGAATCTTAGCTCTGTCACATACTACTTTCTTTGACATTGTGCTTCTACTTCCTTGGTAAAATAGAGATAATACAAATAACCTACAGTAGAGAGTTGTTGAGAATATCAAACAAGAGAACCCATGTAAAGCTTGTAGAACAGTTCTGGCATATAATAAGCACTCAATTAGTGCAGTTGTCCTTATTGACAAACTGTTTACTGTAACCTAGGCTTTGGAAGATATTATCTATTAACAAAAATCAATATAAACATGTACAGGCTTGAATCTCTCCTGTAGAGGAATTTTAGGATTCTTCTGCTTACTTCTTTGATTTCTTTCAGGTTGTGTCATATAGTTGAAACAGAGTTAAGATTAGTTGAGTAATTAGCTTGCTCTCATTGACTATTTCATTTCAAAAACAGCAAAGCCCCACATAATTGTGATTGATCATCTATTTAAAGGAAGTTACCTAATTTGCCACTTCTACCCTTTAGTCTACTTCCTTATTACACATTAAAGTCTTCACTGGTCATTTTTTTCTTTAAAAGAAACACAAAGAGAAAGGGTATTAAATAAATAATTGTATAGGTTTAGTATTTGCTTGTTATTTCCTAAAAGATGAAGTCAAGAGGAAATGTTAGCATTCCCAACAAATGTTTACATAGCAGAAATGACTCTTAGAATTCTTACAACTGCAGAGAACATTTTATTTTGGCTGACAGGACCACCAAGTATTTTCCAAATGTTTCTACTCCTTACTCTAAGCATTGCCAATGCTAATCTACTCACACAGTTTATAATTATTTGTCCTCAAAATCAAGTTTCTGTTTAGATATATTTGTGTTACCACTTTGCAAAATTTCAATTTTCTTTGGAGATTTTGCCCACAAAATGTCACATATCAGTATAAGTCATAAATGGAACTTATTTAACATGCAAACTCCTTAGTTTATCTTACCAAGCCATTCACAATCTCATGTTATTTATCCTTTCAGACTAACCTTGTCAAACTGCTACTTCCTACAAGAGGTGTGCTCATGCATCTTTAGCGATCAGCTTTCTGAAGGGGGGGGAAGAAACCAACTACCATCACCACCACCATCAACACCCAGATTTGTTGTGTTTGCCAACTGTGGGGGTACAAGTACCCCCACAATGGCAGATTTCAAGCTACCTATAAGATACCAGTGAATGCAGACAGGAAGAGATACGCACAGTTGGTTCTCACGAGTGAACTGACACTAGCAAACCACTGCCTCTGACACACATACACACATCAATGTTATAACCATAACAGGGTATCCATGATTTTATAAATACAATAGCACTCTCAAGCCAGTCTGCTTTTGCTTATGTTGTTACTACTGCCAAGAATACCCACCCACATGTGTACTGGCAAACTTTTACTTTACCTCCAAGGCTCAGAAAAAAAAAAAAAAAAGTCCAATCTTCATTCATAGTTTTGCCATCACCCTCAAAGGGAAAAATTAATTACTCCTTTTTTCTGTGTTCACTTAGCACTTTAGTAATACTTTATTAAACACTATTACATTGCCTATGTGCGTATGTATTTGTGTATGCCTTGCATAGTTGCTGACACATAGTAAGTAATTAATACATTCATATTTCACTATCCAGAAAAAAAGGCTCCAAGTAAATGAAAGACCAGCATTTTTAGGAAACAGAAGAAAAAATATTTTCCAAATAATGAAATTAGTAAAAATAATTAAGGTTAATTAAAAATTATACAGAAATCATTTAAAATATTCAAGTAAAGGTATTTATTATATAGCATTTTTGTTTACAGAATATAATACTTAAATATATTAATTTTTAACTTAATTCTTACTACCTTTTAGAAAGGCTAAAAAAACTAGCTGAGGTAAACCAACATATTTTAAATCAGATAGCTAATTATTAATGAGTCAAAAATGAAATTTTTCTATCTGCCTTTTCTACTGAAATATGAAGTCAGTCTAATCTATACCCAAAGGCACTATCAGCTTCCTACAGCTCTGTAAACTCAACAGTCACTTAATAAATATTGCTAACTTTTCCCAGCCCAAGCCTGGTAAAAAACAATTCAGTAATAACATTTAATTCATTTGAGTCTTTCAGGTTTTGATAAACAAATACAGAAATAGGACTTGAAAAATGTGTTAAAATTATAAAAGTATAAAATTTTCTAATTCAGCAGTGTGGTATTAACTCAGTCCTTCATCAGATATGTATTGAGTACCCACTATGTAATATCTGACATTTCCTTTCTCCTTACTATGTGTCAGGCAGTATGCCAAACATGTATATATACTTTATGTATATATATTACATATATATATATATAAAATATTTTTCATTCTTATAAACATTTGAAGCAGGTACTATTATTATCTACATTTTTTCAGGTACAGCTTAGCAAGTTGAAACAATGTGGCCAAGGTCACACAGCTAGTACTTGGCAGAGTTGAAGTGCAAACCAAGGCTGACGCTTCTGCCATTAACTATTAATACTACGGAATACTGCTTCATTTTTGTGGTAGAAATAAAACTATTGAAGACTCTTAGCATTAACAACAACAAACTTTCATTTAAATATTGGAGATATAAGATTTAGAATAACTAGTCCCTGACTTCCAAATAGTTTCAGGTCTGTTCGTCAAGACAGGAGGACATTGACATAAACATATTTAAATAAAGATATATTTGTGATTTAAAATGTTTCAGAAATTCAGAAAAGATGGGATTTACTGGCAACTGAAACAAACAAATAGGTGTCGAAATTTGAGGTGGGTGTCAAAGGAAGAGTAGGAGAAGAGAACAGGAGGAAAGCATTTCAAAGGAGCTAAAAAATGTCACATTCCAGATTACAGATCATTGCAATGTGGAGGTGAAGGATGGGGGGAGGACTATAATCCAGATCTGAATGCTGAAGCCTGGAGATAGGATGGTAATAGGGAAGTGAATTAAAAGAATCTACTGCAAACATCTTCACGAAGGTGCAATAAGATTTTGTGAGTAAAGATAAAGGGACTCCAAAGTTTGTAACCCCAGTGACTAGGGGAAAAAAATGAGGATATTTGAGAGAGAAGCGCTAGTTTTTGAATGTGGATAAGCCCTTTGTTTGCAAATATTCTAAAAATGAGAGGATACAAAAGCTTCCAGATGGAAATGACTAGCAGGTAGCCAGAGATTTTTGTAGAAATAGATTCAGGAGAATGGTTTGGATCAATAGTAAGAGTCTTATGTATATAGAAGGAACAGAAAAATATCTTGTGGGAGGGTAAAAATCTTGACTGAATACTATTACAGAAAAGTAAGAGCTAAACTTTTGAGTAAATCAACATTTAGGGGATTGGAAGAGAAAATGCAACCAGTAAAGGGGACATTTTTAAGAATCAGCAAGTGTTAAGAAAGTCAAAATGAGAAATGGTGTCATGTATTCTGGCCAGTAGTACTGAGTACTAGAAAGAGGTCCTGGAAGACAAGAACTAAAAAAAAGACTTGCTTTTCACAACTGATTGAAAGTGTTGTAGAGTACTAATACAATGAATTGTACAGAAATCACATCGCTTTGAGTTAAGAACAGTGAAGAAATCAAGACAGAAATATAGACACTTTATAGTGAGCTAAGAGAGGAGGTAACAGGATGTGGGAAAGTTTTTTTTCAAGTTGGAGGAGGCTTCGGTACACTAGAGCAGAAAGACTCAAGATTGGGACAAAGACAGAGAGAATAAATACAGATGGAACAAAGTTCTTGAGAAAGCAAGAGAACATGATGAAGTTAAAGGAACAAGTGGAGAAACCAAGAGTAGACTACAAGATAATCACCCTTTCCTTCCTATGAGACCCTGGAAAAGAAAGGAGCAGAGAACATATTTTGCAGTTCAGAAAAGGGTCTTGTTATTAGGCAAAAAATATCTTTTTGATAATCTACCTACATCCAAATTCAGTCTGCCTGCCAAGTCATCACAATCATCATTTAGTGGAAAGGCTTCCCCTAAAGGGAGCAGGTGTGATTGGAACCAATTGAAGTGTAAAGGAGTAGACACTTCCTTTGGCAGTCTCCCACCTTTCTTCTCCCTCTTCTTTCTACCACATCCTGCAGGTGCCAGTGGCCCCCCACTGAGGAACTACATCCAGGTCTGCTCCCTGAGGATAATTCTCAAGACTGTACTTATTAAAAATTTAGGCCATTGTTGTTTTTTGCTTATCTGTCAGGAAAATGCTGATATTTTATTGGGTCTCCTAGCAGCTAAATTATTATCACCTTTTTCTCCTAGGACATTTCTTTCAAGCAAAGAATTCTCTATAACAAAAACTTTAGCCCAAAGGAATGTGTAGAGTTTCTGGTGCTGGCGCAGTCCACTTAGGGATTTTTTGTCAGGAGTAGAGGATCCTGATGAAGGTCCCTTCAAAATTATATGATATGGTTAAAATTCACCTGGGCTCGATGTATTAGGAGCCTACAGAGAGGTGGTTGAATAGAGTATAGGAATGGCTGCCTGACACATATTAGTGCTGATTAAATATCAGCCAGTATTGTTTATAACAATAAGTGTAATGAATTATTGCTATCAGTTTTTCACCCTTTAAATCTACTTTATTAGAGAAAATAAGATGGTTGAGAAATTCCAAGTGTGGAAAAGGTCTGTATCAGGAGTTAGGGTTCTTTGAGAAACAAAACTAGTAGAATAGATAGATAGATAATGGACAGATTTATTTCAAGGAACTGGCTTATACAATTACATGATAGGGCTCAGGTGGGCAAATTTGTACTCCCAGGCAAGAGCTGATGTTGCAGTCTTGAGGCAGAATCTCTTCTTCCTCAGGGAAACCTCAGTTCTGCTATTAACACCTTTCTACTGAGGGGTTGAGGCCCATCCGTGTAATGGAGGAAAATCTCCTTTATTTAAAGTCAATTATTATAGAAGTTAACCACATCTACAAAATATCTGAACAGCAATATCTAGTATTTGACTGCATACCTGGGTACTGTAGCCTAGCCAAATTGACATGTTAAACTAACCAGTATAGGGGCTAGGTAATGACATGTAGGAATAAGGATGAGTTGAACATAGTTTTAAGTTGATTGCTATATTGCACTATCTTCATCCCTTCACACATCCACTTTTCACAGTAATGCCTTAGAGATAGCCAGGATAAGAAGTTTGGGTTAATTCTAAATAGAGAGGAGAGAACCACAGGAAGAGAGACACGACGTTTTTGGAAGATTCAGTAGGAGCAGAAAATAGGAATTATTTAGGAAACGTGATCAGAGCCTGAGAATCCCTATGGGGGCTTGAATATTCATGGGATGAGTTCAAACCATTTTTATTTTTACTTAAACATCCAAGAAAGAGTGACCTAACAACACTGGAAGATTTGGAAATTCCCAGGTAAGTGACATTTAAGTTACATTCAGAAGGAATAAAATAATGTTCTTCCATTTGTTATATCTGGTTTTTTTTTGTTCTGATTCTTTTCTTTTGCATATGAATTATTTTTAAAAATTAGGATATAAAACCAGATACCATCACATCAATGACTGATCAAAGGCAGAATCAATTTTTCTATTAATTTATCATAATTTGCACTCCTAAGTAAGGCATGTAGCTTATTAAGAGGAGGAGGAAAAGCTAACATTTACTGTGTGTTTACTACATGCCAAAGCATCTTACTAATTTCCTTACTCTCATTTTCTCCTCAGGAGGGCTCTTTAAGTTAGGTATAATTATCTTGATTTTGCATATAAGGAAGCGGGATTAAAGAGGGTAGGCACAACAGAAATAAAAAATGGAAGGCTTCAAAGTGGATCTAGGTCTCAAGATAGGGCCTCCAAAGTCCATGCTTTTGACCAATACACTAAAGTGCGGTTCCAAAGCTCCAAGCCCATTGTTTCTGGAGATGTCCCTAAATGTGCTCTTTCGTGCCTTAGCATGCCACTGAGTTGCCTTAGGGACAGGCTGGGAAGATGAGAAGAAGGCTGTGAAGCTTGAAGGAAAGGAAGGCAGGAAACTCACATTGGCTAAATCGCAGACCACTTTAATCACGTACATATTGTTTTCTAGTATTTCAAAAATTATAAAACCACTGTTTAGCTAACTCATTCCAGGTATCTGCCAGACAATCTCATAAGTATAATTTTTCTTGAATTAGTACTTATGATCCAAAGGACTGGATGTGGCTCTAAACCTAGAATTTGGTAATTGAGATCCAATCATGGTGCAGAAGAAAATAACTCCTCATTTAAAATGAAGATCACCTCAGTAGCAGGAAAAATTTCAGGTCTAAATGAGGTACACATTCACTGAATAAGTAGCCTGGGGAATACTGAAGTAAATTTTAGACTTTATTCCATTTCAGGCTGCCTACAGAGGCCGATCCATAAATCAGAGCCTATCCTTACTAGAGTCCTTCTAAAAAGCAGATAAATAGGACATATATTAGGTAGTATAATCTAAAAATCAAAACATAAAGAGTCTTTGAGTGTTATCAAATCTATTAAGTCCAAAATAGTTCATTGATGACCAATTTCCAAGTGCTTAAATGGTGCAACTGCATCTTAGCTTATGTGAAAATCAATGCAAAAACATGAATCACCAGAGAGTATGGTGGAGCCTTCCAAAGACAGTTTGTAATTAGCAAACCATCGATCCAAACAGACAGGACCCTGAAAGCTACAGAGACCAGGCAGGTGAAAAGCCAGAGTCCCTGTCCTTTACAATTAATCATTACTGCTCTGCTCCCTCCCAGCAGGCAGAAGAGACTTCCAACCAGACTGTAATCTTGGCATTTTAGATGGTTTGAGAATGATAACTCAACTCTGGCACCAACCGAATATATGTGTGATATTAAAGGGAGCTCATTACATGACTTATGTATGCTCCATTATAAGGCCAGCACTATTATTAATAGTTTCTAGTATCTTTTTTTCCACCACACCACATTCTGGTCAATATTACATAAATCTAAGTGAAGATTATAATTCATAGAATCACAGAATCTTGGAACTGAAAGGAAGCTAACAGATCATTCTGTCTGTCTGACCACTTCATCTACAGAGATGGTAAGGCAATTTCTCTAAAGAGCAGTAGATCCAAGGCTAGAATCCTGGTCTCATTCCCAGGCCGTGCACTTTTCACTACATCTTGCAGACTAATAGCACAGGAAGTTTAACCTGGTGGTCTAAATCTTTTATCTTAAAGTGATTGATATAAATGTTAATTACACCATTTTTCAAAAGGAGATCTGACCTTCTCTAAGAAGGCTCTAGTCAAGCCTGGATTCATGCCACAAACTGACATGCATTTGTAGTTTGCAGACAAATAAAATTTCCTAAGTTCTTTCCTTTCATATTCAAACTGTTGTGCAGACTCTACCTAAGGCAGACCCTCCCACTGTTCACCAATATCCAGTTTCCCTCATGAGAGGCTGTGCTTCACTATCTCTTTGAAGACAGACAAGGTTATGACTACTTCCTCGACAGTCAGGGGGCTTGTTGATTGTGGTCAGAAGTGACATGTATCACATTTGGGCTCAATCATTTAATTGCTAGTGTGCACCTTGCCCTTTCTCTACCTTTCCAATCAGGACAAACAGCATGCATCAAAACGGACTGTCCATTAACATGGTCCCTGCATGACTATAACAAGCAGAGCTGACTGATGTTGGGCATATAGTGTGAGTCACAGAGATTTGATGGCCATTTGTTGCTGCAAAATTATTGAAACTATTCTGACTAATACAATAATATTTGAACAAATCAAACTTCCCTTGATTTGTTGTGAGATTTGAAAACACACACATACAATTTAGGTAGACAAAGAAATGTGTTAAGTGATGCAGATTCAGACAAGATAAGAGTCTGTTACATTTTTTTCTCTGCTTGCATAGCTTAAAAGCACAATCAAACTTATTTACTCATCTAACAACCTTATTACATACCTTTAGAAACCCTGCTTGACTAGAGATGATTATTTGTCTGGATTGTACAGTAGTTACATATATAACATTGGTCATTAATATTTTATTTTGGTTACAAATGTATTTCTTTAAAAATCAGTTAAATAGTGTTGAGAGTAAAACTAATTGGGAGAGAGCGAACTGAGTGTGGAGCCAGCAGTTCCACAATAGTTACCTGAGAACACTACGGGGATAATTATTATTGAGTCAGTCAAATGTTCCAGCAGCCTGGTCACAGCAGGAATCAATGCACACCTCTGTTTTCAATATCAAGGGATCATCTCAAAATCACCAACATTCATAGAGTGTGTAGCAAAGTGGGTTCTCTTTAGCACCTCAGGGGTCTGGATAGGGTTCTCTCGTTACTTTTGTTTAAACCAACATCCTCCTCCAAGAAGCTGAGAGAGAACTTTTTAAAACTCCACTTTGTTTGTATAAAACAACAACAAAATACATATACAGCTACATACTTTTACCCTTTTCTCTCTCTCTTTTCCTTTCTCTACCCCTAATAATGGTTCCTCTTGCTAGGCTGGACAAGTCTTGTCATGAAAGAACAATAGAGGTGCCTAATTGATGTGTTTTCATCAAATTCATTTGACTTTGAATCTAATAATATTCGGGCCATTTGTGAAGCTGTAGGTCAATCAGAACTCAAAGACCAATAGTCATAAATTCCAGAGGTTCCAAACCATTAGATGCAGAGCAAAAATTTCCCAGAAAACCAAGCCCTCTGCCTCTAAGAATATAGAGCAGTATAACTCAACATGTGGTCCCTGGACCTACAGCATCAGCTTCTCCCGGGAGTCTGTTGGAAAAGCAAAGGCTCAGACCCTGATCCAGACCCTACTAATTCAAAATTCATATAGAAGCACCTGGGAATATGTGTTTTTAACAATCTCTCCAAAAAGTGTGAGAACAACTTGTGTTGAGTTTTTAATCAGCCCAGAAGCCTTCATGCGTTTCTGTGCATTTCCACTTTCATCTGGAACTCAGAGAGTGGGCATCTCTGGGACCAGCAGATATCTGTGTGTACATCATTCAGCTGTTTTGAAGCCTCTGTCCGATTAGACCTTGTTGATGGCAGTAGTGATAGCAGCTCCTGCTTTGTGTGCTGAGGAAGTGCCAGGCAATTGCCTTTTCTTAGATAATTCCAAGATTAACAGGCTCACATTACTCAGATTAGCAATGCTTCCCACCTTGCAGCCAGCCAGAGAGAGAACATGCTGTCCTCTCTGTGGGCCAAGGGGCCTGCTTCCCAGCCATCAGTTTGGGCAGGAGAGATCCTGATCAACATAAGTCACTGTCTGTTCCCAGATTGTCACCATTACCCAACCAGTGAGACATTCCATCCTCATGCTCAAGCAATGCTCTGCTGGTTTGCCTGGCTCACACTGTAGATGGGCAACTGCACCAATAATTGCAAAGTGATTCTTTTCAAAAGGGTGCAGGCAGAATAGGAAAACCCCTTCCACCTGATTCTGGGAGGAAATGTCAGTGCAGTAAAACAGTCATTTACAGACAACAAGAGTGAGATGTGCAAGAACCTTCTTGTGCATCCCACAGAAAGCCAGCTGGACTTTGAAGTACTTAATGTGTGTCTCAGCAGAGGTCACCATGTGGACAACTAGCCTCCTGGGGGAAAGAGGAGTGGTGGGAGAGACTTCCATCTTTCCTTTTTTGAATTTCACTTTGAAACTGTTGGATTTTTTGTTTTATACAATTTGGAGCTAGTGTTAGTGTGTGTGGATTGCAAGAAAACAGGTAAATATAATAAAGCAATAGATACCCTCAGTAGCAAAACACTTTCCACAATAGCAATAGATTCTACTGCAAAATCTGCCAACAGTAGTGGTAACAATACAGGTAAGCATAGGTTCTCCCTCTCTTAAAGCAAAAACCATGAAGACATTTTTATATGATAGTACTTTGAAAAGAATGCTGCTCTTTTTAAAGCCTCTGGCTATAAGATGAAATGGAGTCCAAGTGTTCAAATATGCAAACGTGACCCTCCTAAAATACCCAATTCTGCCCAATTTTGTCAAATGGTTTAATTCTGTCCAACCCCATCAGATGAAATTCAGAATGGTTGTACTAGAAACAATAGCAAAAAATATTTTGCTACAAAAGTAGCAATGGCAAAAGTCTGGTTCCCTCTCCAGCCTCTCAAAAAAAGTATCCAGGCTGCCCATTATAACACCTGCTGCTCACAATGAAAGCCCAAGCCAAGCAACTCATGCCCTTCCATCCAAATATCCAATCTACCCGCAGAGAATTCAAGCTGTCCAGCCACACACCAGCTGCTTGCTTAGTCACTGCAGAATGCTCAACTTCAACTCCCTCATCTCTCTTAATGTTTGTTCTCTTGGTTTCTCTCCTGTCTGTTTCTTTCATGAAACAGGAGCCATTAACACAATCTCAGAATCCCCCATGAACTCATGAACCAAGATTTGGGGCTCTTCCACAAAGATCATAAAATTTTAGCCTTCCCTTTAATCCTTTTCTTAAGCTGCTAGTATGATGCAATGACAAACATTTCTAAAATACAAGGGAGAACCAGCAGGTTCTGCTTAGTGCTTAGGGACAATGATGATTCTGGACATTTCACAGAATGGATGAGCTGTGACCCAACCTCATGAACTTACCCTATTCCATTTTCCAGATGCAGGATGAATTCAGAGGTGGCTCTCATCATCTTACGAACCCTATTACAAAGTTGATTTTCTTCCCATTTCATTTTGCTTTCTTGAGTGCCTCATTCACAAAAATAGTTTTCTGTCTTGCCTTGACTTGAGTCGTGATTCACCTTACCTCACAGATACAGTTTTAAAGCAACAAATGTAAACCTTTAAAAATTGTATTTTCTCATGAATGTACAATTTTAATTCAAAGACTATTTGATTTTACTGCTGATTGATTACTGGGCAGTGATTCTTAACATTTTAAATGTAAATGCCTCCTACTCAGGCTGTGACACATACTTAGTCTAACAAACTTAGATGTTCATAGTGCCCTTAGGATTAATCTTTATGTGCCCTTAGGATTGATTTTTATGATATAATGGATGATTCTGTGATATAAATAATCACTCCTAGTGATTATGCTTGCAAGCCATGATGGCCCTCTGATAGTTCTCACAACAATCATGAGATTTCCCCGTCTGTGACCTTAACCAGGACAGCTCAACCAAAGGGGATGAAAATATAGCCCTAGCTTTGCTTGCCAAGCCAGGTAGCTCTCCTGAAATTCACCTCTTTGGAGAGGGAGTCTTTTTGCAATTTATACAGAGATTCTGTGTGGGCTGGAAGAGGCCTCTGTGACTGAAACACCCCACCAAACCTATAGGAAGTGTGGTTTCTCTCCGACTTTCAGATCTTACCTTTCAGAGAAACCCTCCTTGACCATCTTATTGAAAGCAACATGCTCCTAACCCAAACACACACACTTTCTATTATACTATATCTCAATCCACTACTTAATACGTAGCAGCAAAACAAAGCAGGGATTAGGTTAATAGCAGATTTGATTATTCACCCCAATTCTTTACCCTCTGCCAATATCTATGTTCTTTTCTGTGTAATTTTCTAGTCTTTTTTCACTTGACCCTTGTGATTTGCTTTGGCCAACAAAATGAGACAGAAGCATAATCAAAAAAGTACATTTCAGGCCTCTGTTTACATCGGGTTAATAATGTTTTACTGGCCAAAAAAGTTACACGGTCAATCTAAAGTCAAGAAAAGGGGAGGTGGGAGGAAATGCAAAATTACTTTACAAAAGATATGTGTATATATATATATGGAAGCACTTGGCACTAATGACTGAATACACTGCATTGGCCAATTTCTACCAATCGTCAGTGCCCACCTGGAACATTGCTCTGAGGATTCTGGGGTTTTGACCGGGCTCATTGAAAACTGGGTGCTATGCCCTGAATGTTTTTATCCCTCCAAAATTTATATGTTGAAACCTAACCACCAAGGTGATGGTATCAAGAGGAGGGGCCTTTAGGAGGTGATTAGGTTATGGGGCTCCACTTTCATGAATAGGATCAGTGCCCTTAAAAAAGAGGCCTGAGAGAGTTCCACCCCCCCGCCCGCCACCCTCAGCCATGTGAGGACACAGCTTAAAGGCATCATCTCTGAAGCAGACAGCAAACTCTCACCAGACACAATTTTCTGAGGCCTATTTCTTGGATTCCTAGCCTTCAGAACTTTGAGCAATAAATTTATGCAGTTTATAAACTACCCAGTGTAAGGTATTTTGTTATAGCAGCCTGAACTGACTGAGACAGTGGGCCACCCTAATTTCCCATTCCTATCATAGTCTGTGGATATATAATGAAAAACTGTAGAGAAAGAGTTAAAAACAGATCAGGGGAATCTAGAAAGTAAATATTTGTCAGCAATCCCAGAGTTTAGGAAACATCACTGATCAGTAACTTTGTCATAGATTTAGTACCCTATGCCTCTTATTTGTTGTTTGTTTGGTTGTTTGTTTTACCAAAGGCTGTGTTTTGGAGACCACTGGCTGTATTTGCTATAACCAGATGCTTATGTTTTCCTAATCTAAGAACTGAGACTATTAAGGAGGATATAAAGGTGGCAAATCAGTGGTGGGGTTGGGAGCATTGAGTGTATTGTGCTTTGGGGAGCTTAATTTTGCAGGATGTCTCTGAAATTGATTTCAAAAAGTCCATGTTTTTCTCCCATTATTTGGGTTCATCAAAGGATTTCTCCTCTGTAAGCCCCTTATTAAAGTGTGTTAATAATTTGCTTAAAAGTCCAAGAAAATGACTGGCATAGAGTCAGTTGACTTATACCTTTTTTTCCTATCGCATCACTACTGGAACTCCTCTATGAAATCTATTGTTTACTTCCAATATTCACTTAAACCTTCAAGCACCAGCAAGTTGTTTGTTTTGCTACTGTTGTTTTAAATCTGTCCCATAGAAAATTTGTATAATATAATTGGGGGTGTCAGGCTTCTGGTCTAGAGTACCTCCCTATACTCTACTCACTGCAGTGGCTTTCGTGTGTGTTGGATGTAGCAGCTTTCCAAATTTTTGTTTTCTGAGAAAGTCAGACAATATTTTTAACCAAGTGTAGCAATACTGTGTGCAGCATAGGGAAAGAGAGCAGAATCAAAAATTAAATTTGGAAGTCTCCTTAAAACAAAAGTTCAGAAACCACTGACTTGGTAAGGGCGGTGATTTAATTCCCCTTCACTTTGAACCCTGCTTTTCTTGAATTCCTCGCTTCAGTGAAATTGGTTACTAACTGCCCAGTTATCCCAGATATAACCCAGAATCATTCTTAATGTTGCTTCTTCCTCAAACGTCACCAAGTCAGACAAATTATATTTTCTAAAGTGGTCTCATATTCATCCTCCTCACCTCTCTCCCTCTCTCTCTTTCTCCCCACATTCCCACCCCCAGTTGAGACCATTGCGCCTTTCATCTGTGTTATTGCATAGCCTCCCATATAGTCTCCCAGTCCCCATGTTCTCTAATCTGTTTCCCAAATGACCAAAGTGATTTTCCTATACAATATTTCTGATCAAGACATGAATGCTTAATTCCTATTATCATTCTTTTCTTTCCTTTTTTTTTTTTTTTTTTAATTGAGACAGAGTCTCCCTCTGTCACCCAGGCTGAAGTGCAGTGGTACAATCCCAGCTCACTGCAACCTCTGCCTACCAGATTCAGGCAATTCTCCTGCCTCAGCCTCCTGAGCAGCTGAAACTATAGGTGTGTGCCACCATACCCACCTAACTTTTGTATTTTTAGTGGAGACGGGGTTTTGTCATGTGGGCCAGGCTGGTCTCAAACCCCTGACCTCAGGTGATCCATCTGCCTTGGCCTCCCAAAGTGTTGGGATCACAGGTGTGAGCCACTGCTCCCGGCCCCATTATCATTCTTAAGATGAAGATTGAATTCTGTAGTTTAGCTTCTGATTACCTACTAGCCTCTCTTTATGGCCAATTTCTATTATAAGATTCAAAACTCTTTTGGCTCTCTGAGCCCACCATGCTCTTTTCAGACTTTTATTCACATTATTTTCTCTCCCTGAAGTACTTCTCACTCTCCCAGCTTAAGCACCTGTCACCTGGCCAATTCCTATTGAGTCACGGTGCAGGCTGCACATGACCCTGGAAGCTTCCCCTGATACCATTAGATGGGTTGGGTGACACTGCCATGTGCTTGCTTAGCAGCGTCCCCTACGGTGTTTCTTACCACATACAGTCTATCTGGCATGCGAACCCCACTAGACTGTAAGCTCCAGGAGAGCAGAGTCTGTGCTTGGCTTGCTTACAGTTTATCTACTCATCACCCAGCAAAGTATTTGGCACCTACTAAACATTCAATAAATATTTGTTGAATTGAATAAACATGGAAGGGTGGAGGACTATGTCAACTTACTTCATGTCCTGAGGACACACCCATAAACTAATTGTCAGCTCAACATAGTGACAGAGCACAAACTCTGTCAGGATGCCTGGACTTGAATCCTATTTGCACCACTTACTAGTATGTAACCTTGTGCAAGTCACTTAGCCCTCCGAAGCATCAGGTTTCTCATCTTAAAATGGGAATAATAAATCTTACTTAACAAACTTCTTATAGATTAAGCACCGATATAAATCAATCAGTATAGTATCTAGCAAAGTAGGTGCTATATAAGGAATATTCTTGTTATTATCAAAAATTGGTTAGCCAGTGGGATTGAATAGCACTCTTTATGGGTAGTACCAAAAGTATTAGAATTTAAAAGAAAGAAGAAAAAATACCCAGGAAGTTGGATGTAAGGGAAGGATAGAGGCGTAACAGTATCAGTACAGTTTTTAACATTATTCTAAGCTTTCACAAGCAACTAGGGTTTTATTTGAGTTTATTTCATGTTCACCTTCAGATTCAGATATGTGTAGGTATATCTAGAGGGCCTATGTATTTCAGTTTGGACCTTTTGGCAAGTGACAAAAGTACAACTCACAGGACTTAAGCACTAAAATGGATTTATTGACTTATAAAACTACATTAGTCAGGTAACATTGGCTTCAAGCAAAGCTTGAACCTTTGGTTCTAAAATGCCACAAAAAGCCCAGTTACATTTAGACGTAACTCTGAAAGTGACTTCCAGAAGCTCTCATGGATTTTTGTATCTGCTTTTCTATTCAGCAGGAAAGAGGAAGTCTTTATCTGAGCATTCAAGCCAAAGTTCTCACATGTACTCTGATGGCTCAAAGAAAGGACATGTGACTCAAACTCTCCAAATGAGAGCTGATACTGGGACGTTTTAGTGTCTTTTAATCAATCACTGTGATCAGGAACATAGTATATACTGATTTGCTTAAACAAATCTGGATTTACCAGTTGAACCAGAATTAAGGTCAACCTCATTAAACTACAGGGCTGAAAAGAAGGGAGGCAGGTTTTCCAAAAACCTTAGAAATGTTATTGCCATTAAAAAAGAGAATAGATATTTGCCAGAAAACAACGGTGCTTGAAGGACCAGGAAGCATCCTGAGAAAATACCTCATCTTCAAGGATGAGAGAATGCAGTCTCTAGTACTTCATCCAAAAACCACACCCACTGGAAGGTGAGGGTGAAGAGAAAGAGTAGTGTCACCTTGCAAGAATATTGTGTAATTAAAATATCCTTAAAGGATTTCCTAATGGTCATATGAAGAAGAAAACCAAGGAGCTGAAAAGTCATCCAAGTTGACCTAAAACGATAAATTTAGGACTCAAATCTAGAACTTCTGACTCCAAAATCACATGGTCTTGCAGAGTCACACAAATTGAGACCACAGTTGAAATAATCACACTTCACAACTGCCGGAAAACTTTTAAGACAATAGACCAAAAAGTAAAATGATAGGTTTATCTAAACTATGTATATTTAATAGGTAAAACTATATTTAGTGTCATCCAATCAATTGCATCCATGGAATCAAAGACAATAGTGAGATCTCGTGAATCATAAGACTCAAAGCTGTTTTTCCATTTAAATTCTTAACTCTTTTTTTTGGTAGCATATGAACTTCTTATATTTATTTTTAGGCACTCTGCACTGAGCTGCCTGCATCGTGTCAATGTTTGCTGTGCTAACTTTGCATCTAAAGGTTATTCAACACAGTGAGATATGAAAAAACACTCACATTTTTACCTCAAAGAAACTGTACTTGGATTCTGCTATATGTTCTAATGGTGTTAAATGTCAAAAAAATACTTGAAATATAAGTATTGGGAAATGCACTGCAACTGCTGCCCTAGATTGTTTGTGCAGCTAAAGGATATGAAGATGTCACTGCACTTCAGTTCAGGTTTGGCATTCTGGTGTCAGTCTGTCAGATTTCTAACAGGAATACAAATTGGGAGGTAGGAAAATAAGTCAGTGATTGTTTGTCAGTGCCTGCAATTCACCCAGTACTAGTCATAAACAAAAGAAGCACTAACAACTGAGAGAGCACATGAGTAATAAAATGGCTGTTGGTTGAGTATACCAAGCACCTTTATGTATTCCATCTCATTTAATGCTCATGTCAGCCCTGAAAAGTAGTGGTGGGAGGGCGGTGGATATTATCTCAGTTCTGCAAATGAGGAAACTGGCACTTAGGTCAAGTTATTGACCACAAGGTGACTTGCACCCTTTTCAAACTGGTGACACAAGCAAATTTCTGGGACTTTTTTTTTTTTGGTAGAGACAGGCAATCACTATGTTGTCCAGGCTCATCTCAAACTCCTGGCCTCAAGCAGTCCTTCTGCCTTGGCCTCCCAAAACACTGGGATTACAGGAATGAGCCACGGAGCCCACCCCCTCATGGCTTATTTCTGAGTAAGTTTTAAACTCTATAAACTCTAGCCCAGGGGTCAGCAAAAAGACTGCAAGTGTCTCTTCCTGGTGGAAGAAGTCCTCCCTAGTTATTTCTGTATCTTTCAATGCTTTAAAGCATACGCAGGATTCTGTCATGACTGCTGTTTCAGTAGCGCAACAAATTGCTCATAAATCAGGAGAGGGGCCAACCCACTCTCAGACTGTTTTATTTAAAGATGCTGGGAAAGCAATGGAGAGTCGAGGAACACTCACAGTTGGAGCCATACATTTCAATCAGTGCTTCACACACACACACACAGAAGGGTTGCATGTTATATCAAGGAAGGAGAAGGTACAAGTTAAAAAATGGACTTTCGAATTCTTTCTTTGTTTAGAAATTATACCGACTTGATTTATATGTTTCTACTTAGGAGTAGGAGATGTTGTATTTCAATGTCTCCAAAGATAAAAGAATAAAATGCCATTTATTTTTGATGACAACGGTGTTATTTGCATAATTAAATTATTATATTATAATTACCTTGTATTTTAATACTATAGTCTGATAATTATCACTATAACAATTAATGTCATATTTTGAATCCGGATGGCCAACTTACAACCAAATATAGCCATAAGATTTCAGTGCATGGGTTTTCTTTCCTGTTTACAATCACAAAGTTACCAGGCAATCACCTAGATTGAGTTGTGTAAACTATGGCCCGTAGGCTAAACCCAGCCAGCTGTCTGCTTTTTGCAGTTGTACTGGAGTACAACTACATCCATGCATTTGTGTACCGTCTATGGATGCTTTCACGCTGCAATGGCAGAGTTGTGACAAAGACAGTATGGTCTGCAAAGATAAAAATATTTATTATTTGGCTTCTTACAGAGAAAGTTGCCAACCTCTGTCCTAGATTGTATGACGGTGTTTAATTTTTAAAATTTTTCTTTATGACAAGCATGGCTGGCAGCAATTAGACTGGCATATCATAGTATAAAAATTATAATAATCATCCCACATTTGTTATTTTGCTGCCTTTGAAATAATCCACTGGAAGAAATATTCTGTTCTCCTTTACTCAGGCCTGTTGGCAATGTGATTTAATTTAATTGACATTTAGGAGATACCTACTATGTTTCAAATACAGAAATTATTACTCTTAGATTCTAATACTCCTTGTGAAGAAATGCCAAGTGATAATTGGGATGGATAATAGAACATGATAAAAACTTGACAACCCTCTTTGAAAAACCAGGACTATCAAATGAATTTATAAACATTTTCTTTTTTTTTGAGACGAATTTATAAACATTTTCTATCCTTTGGTACCCAGATTGATTAGGAGTAAAAATGCAGAGAATCATTTGACACCAAATGATGATAATCAGTGTGCCTTTCCAGTGCCACTGCTATACTGTTTTAATATTCCAACAGTATGCTGTTACCTTAAGACAATACCAAATAATTTTAACTCCCCTTTCACAAAGACTCCAATTATAATCCAATTCCTTTCAGATTAAGTACACTTTGATAGCAATTCCCTTATACCAAAAAATATAGCCTAAGATAATAGGCTGTGAGTATAGTTTCAATGCTAATAAGAGGCAGTTTAACAGCCTCGAGAAGTTCATTCTGACTACATTTTCATTGCAGTGATAAACAGCATATAATACCCCTCAATTATAGCTTTAATGTAAAAAAATGAAGTTATAAGACAATTTATCCCAACTAAATTGTAATTTCATTTCTGAGATGTTGCCCTTTTAATAAATAAATATTCTACTTACCCATTCCATTGTTCTCAGGTTGGATTTTAACAGTGAGATCTATTACAGGAAAGAAAAAAAAAAAAGGAGTACAGATGAAATCAATGTTACCACTATGAGTAAATTAGTGAGAGTTTGTTCAAGCCACCAAGCTTGAAACACTTCTCTCCCCTTTTCTCTGAGAGTATTACAAAATACAATGTTATTGATGATTGAAATTTAAATGGAACGGTGAATCCCAGCCTACAAAAAAACACATTAGAGAAGCCCTCGAAACATATGATAAAGTTCCTTTTTTTAAACCTTAAATGTGTATATGTATATATTCAGAAAAGTGCACCTCTCATACATACACAGGTCTATGCATTTTCATCAACTTAACATACCAATGAATCTGTCAACCAGATCAAGTAACAGAACATTACCAGAACCTAAGAAGCCAGTCATGACCTCTTCTCAAGGATAACCAGTATCTAGATTTCCGATGGCATCAATTAATTTTGCTGTATGTGTTTTATATAAATAAAATCAAGCTTGTAACTGGCTTCCACCACTCAGCACTGTTTGCAAAAGTCATCCATACTGTTCTCTGTGTTCGTTTCATTCTACAGGCCATGTCCCAATGTTGTTTCCATGGATGGACTTTTGTCTTACAATTACAATTAGGATTTATTTATTTTGAGTTAGACAAAAGAACACAACAAGAACACAAAACCTATGATTTCAAAGAAGCTTAAAACAAAAATACCTACAAAGACAGTAGCAATCCTGTACATGAAGTGTTTATGGTTGCTTTTATTAGTAATAGCAAAACACTGAAAACAACACATATGTCCTTAGATGAGCAAATGGTTGGGCAAACTCTGGCTTTTTATACAATGGAATATACTTCAGCAATGAAAAGGAATGGATGATGAATCCATGCAACAACTGGGATGGACTTCAAGGTATTCTGTTTGAGGAATGTTAATCACGGATGGTTACATATTGTATGATTCCATCCATATAACATTCTCAAAAATGACAAAACTATAGAGATGAAGAAAAGACAAGTGGATATAAAGGGATGGGGTGAGGGAGGGGTGGTGGTGACCCAGGCTTGGGTGCAAATGCAAAGAAGTACCCACTGTTTATCTGAAGTTTAAATTTCACTCTGTGTCCTATGTCCCCTACTCTAATCTGCATACAGCTCTGTGAGAACACAATTCCGACTTCTCTTAATTACCTGAATCCTTTTCACAGGGCCCTTTGAAACTCACTGGTGGACATCATCAAAATCTCCAACATCTTCAACCTCTTCTCACCTATCTTGTTTTTCAAATTGAAACCAGTCTGTCTCCTGAGAACACGGTTCCCCCTGAGCGCATTTCTTTCCCATCCTCTGCATTACCACTAGGCTGGCTGTGAAGCAGGCATCCTCTTTAATCCTTGTTGCCTCCCACTTCCCGACACTACCCAGCCCTGAATCCACTGTCAGCAGATTGTTATTGATCATCTCTTCTTTCCCTATTCATCTATGGGCTCAGGTCCATCCCTTCTTGGTTCTTTGAAGATGTTACTTCCTGACAGAGTGTCATTTTTCCACAAAACGATCCCTATTATAATTCTTAGTGATTTCAATGTCCATGAAGATGATAATTTCAAGTCCTTGCTTTCTAACTTTCTTGAACTCTTCTCCACACTATTTCAGTCATCTCTTCTTGTAGTCAGGCCTTAGACTTTGTTGTTACCAAAAGTTGTAATATCTTCTAAACTCACCTCTCTCTGTTCACTGCTTTCAATCTTCCCTGCTGATACCCCCTAGTACCCCGATTCAGTACTGGCATCTACGCTGCATTGACCCCATGTTTGAAACTGCCTCTTAACCCTACATCCTCACTCCACTATTTATCCTGCTGAAGTTTTGAAGCCAATCATTTGCATCAGTTCTTTGCAAATGCTCTCATCTTCTCTGTTCTCTCGTTGGCCTACTCACGTGAAAAATGCAACTCTGGTCAAATCCAACTCTCCTCTGTTCCTCACCTGCACCTATGAAACTAATGAAGCTGGAAATAAACACAGGACTGCTGACTCGCCTCACTTTCAATTCCTTTTCACTCTCCACAAGAGAGCCCTTCGTGTGGACAGACAATCACACTGCATTTCCCCAGCCCAGTCACCCTCCTGCTTTCCTAGGTCACGATTTTGTACCTTTGCTCTCTTCAAATATCTAACAGTTCCTCCTTTGTTCTCCCTTCCATTTTGTCAAGAAAACAGAGGCAATCAGATGAGAAGTTCCACAAGTTCCCACTCCCACTCCCACCCCCACCACCTACCTCTATCTAGGTCAAGTCACTGCCTTCTTCCCTGTTACTGATGTGATGTCCCCTTAGCCAGGAAAAGCCTCCCTTTCCTTGTGCACTTAATCCCATCTGCCTTTGTCAACTCAAGAAAATTGTTCTAGAAATTTATCATCTTTGTCCAATAACAACTCCTGTCTACAGAATCATCATATATATATTATATATATATAATATATGTTTATCTGAAGTTTAAATTTTATTGTGTGTCCTGTGTCCCCTGTCTTTAGATAAATAGATAGATAGATACAAACCTTCTTCAAACCCACTTTCTACTCCATCCAGTACCTCATTTCTCTCCTTCTCTTTACAGCAAAACAAACATTATCTACACTCATAATCCCCAATTCATCTTCTCACATTCTCTTGGAACACACTCTAGCCAAGTTCATTCTCACCACCTGATAGAAACAAAGCTCTTGTCAGGAATATAAATGACCTCCATGTTCTAAATCCAATGGTCTCATCTCATTTCTTATCTCTCACTTGATCTATCAGCAACATTTGTTACATTTGATCTCTCTATTCTTCTTGAAGCATTTTCTTCCCTTAGCTTCCAACTGATTTTCGTTCTACCTCACTAGCCACAAAGTTTTCCTATCCTTTGGTGGGTCCTCCTCATGTACCCAACCTTGAAATGTTCAGTGCCTCAAAGTTCAGCTCTGCTGAGCTCTTCTCTCATTGCCTTCATGATCTCATCTGACTAGAATCTGATAACTAACAAATTTCTCTCTCCAGCCAGACCGCTCCACTGAAATCCAGAGACACTATTTTCAGGGTCATCTCAGCATTTCTACTGGAATAACTAATAATCTTCTCAACTTTAACATGTTAAAAACTTACTTCCTGGTCAGATCATTATTTTCTCTTAAAAAATCTGCCCCTCCCACACTCTTCTATCCATCTGTTTGCTAAAGCACAATGTTTTGGAGTTATACTTGATTCTTCTTCTCTACACCATACATACACTCAATCAACAAATCTTGTTGACCCCACTTTCAGAATATATCTACAATCCAATCACTTTTTATCAGTTCTACTGCTACCAGTCTGATTCAGTTGTCTTTCACTGTGATGATCGCAATGGTCTCCTAATTAGTCTGCCTACGTCCACACTTGTCCCTTACATTCTATTCTCAATTCAGCAACCAGGGTGATACCACAGAAAGTAAATCTGTGCATGTCAGTCCTCTTCTCAAAACCCTCCAATGCTTCTAGCCTCACTTTTAAAAAAAGCTGAAAGTTCTCACAATGGTCTACAAACAGCATAAAAGCTGCCTTCCCTATTATCTCACTGTTCTCATCTTCTATTAATGCCCCCACCAGCAGCAGCTCATCCCACTCCAGACACATTGGGCTTTTTGCTGTTTCTCTAATATGCCAGCCATCCCCCTGAGTCAGGGATCCCCTGAGTCAGGGATCTACAGTATCATCTGTTTGAAATTTCCTTCCTCTGCATATCGACTAGCTCCC